>NC_000011.10:86593700-87978202 GCF_000001405.40 Homo sapiens
ATGCTTAAAAAAATTTTATTTAAACAAACTTGAGATCATACTATGTATAAAATTTTTTAGTCTTTTTTCCCCACTAAAAATGTTATGATTAGCATTTTCCCACATACTAAAACTTCAGCCTAAAATGTTATTAAAAAACAGAAAAACACAGCAAGCTTTATCTAGTAATTCCTGTTTTATATAATTGTTTCCAAACTTCCACAATTATGAATTATGCTGTAATGAGCACAAAACTTTTTGTTTCTGATTTTTCTTCAGATTGAACTATAAGTGTACTTAAGAGACTGATGACTCATTCTTTCATTCAACAAATATTTAATAAGCACCGACTAGGTACTGGATACCATTATAAACTGACGATACAGTAATAAGGAAACAAAGTAAAAAAACAGACAAGATATCCCTGCCTTCATGAAACTTACATTCTAGAGATATCAACAGTTTTAAGTATCTGTACGCATACTGTCAAATCACTTTTAGAAAGGTCGAACTATTTTATAACTCCAGTACATAAGTAGCTGTCTTACTACATTTTCACCAATGCTGAGTATTATGATTTAAAATTGTTGCTAATTTATAACACTTAATAAAAATATTGCATTCCTTAGAGATTTTTCTCCTTTGCTCTCTACCTCCATATATTCACCTCATCATAAAATACAAGTACATTGAAGAGACATTTAAGTTATCATCCAAAGTTGGTCTCCTAGCTGGGCATAATGACTCACAGCTATAATCCCAGCACTTTGGGAGGCCAAGGTGGGTGAAGCACTTGAGCCCAGGTGTTTGAGACCAACCTGGGCAACATAAAAACACCCCATCTCTACAAAATAATAATAAAAAAATCAGCCAGGTGTGGTGATGCATGCTTATAGCCCAGCTACTTGGGAGGCTGAGATGGGAAGATCACTTGAGCCCGAGAGGTCAACGCTGCAGTGAGCTGTGATTGCACCACTGACACAGCAAGACCCTTTCTCAAAAAACAATACAAAAAAACACAAAAAAACAAAAAAACGAAACAAAGTCTGCTCTCCAAATGTGAAATTTCAAAAGATTTTTCCTGCCTGCAGTGAGAAAATAATCCCAGTCCCAAAGCAGGGATGGCAAGAGTGGAAATGCCTCTGATACTTTGCAAGGTAGCCCTTGAAGGTAGCAAAAAATAATGATGACAAATCAGTGCCTTGTTAGGGCCTGATATGTCTGGGGACTGAGTCAGCAATGAGTTTCTCCAGTGAAATGCTAGGCTTCTGTGGGGGATGAGCTAGGACAAGCCAGGTGGGGACTCTGCAGGGGTGGTAAGGTCAGATTCAAATGAGGCTCTTTCATGAAAGCTCCTGGTCAACTATAGAGCATTCACAATAGAAGGGAGTTTTGCTCTTTTTTAATAGAGGCCTTTAGAGGATGTTGAGGACTTTGACAAGGGCTAATAATAAGAAAAAGGGGATAAGCATATGTATGGAAATATAAAAATAAGTAAATAAAATATAAATAAAGAAATAAAATAGGTAAAAATATGTGTTTAATATTTTTGGATTGTTTATCACATGTTAGAAATTTTCAGAATACTCTATTTTACATATATATACATATACATATATATATATATAGAGAGAGAGAGAGAGAGAGAGAGAGCTTATTATGTATCAGTCACTGGTCCAGGCACTTTGACTCATGTAACCATAATTGACTTATAAGGTAAATACTAGCATTATCTCCATTTGACAGATGAAGAGACTGAAGCTTAGAGAGTTAAGTACTTATAAAGCCAGGATCTGATCCCAATTAGTCTGCCTTTAGAGTCTGTGCTCTTAAACACTATCCTATAAGAAGCAAACTGACAATCAGATCGAGTAAGCGCGTGCCCTGGTTTGAAAGGTCAGGTAAGAAGGATTGATTGAGTGTCTCCTATGAACCAGGCACTGTGCTGGCTCAAGGTCACAAAGATCATGAGGGGAAGTGTGGAGAACTGGGATCTAGCTCAAGATCTGCCTGACTCCAGGCCCTCACTATTTCTACTACACTCTACTTAAGGGGAAATGCTTCTGCATATGGGTTGATGTGTAAGAGGCAAGGCTGGCACAGGGTGCAGTGCTCTTGAAACAAAATGCCACAGCCAGAAGAACAGAAGCTCCCAGGTATGCTGTTATGGGGAAAGAAGTTGTGTTAGAGGGCACCTCTGGGTGGGCCCCTCACCATACCTTCTCGGCCCCAGACACTCTAATATGGTCCAGGTGTTTCAGAATTTACCTTCTGGGTTCAGATGCCTCCATGCACTAAACAACAGTCTTTAGAAATTCCAACAAGTGTTCCCACAATCCCAGGCTTTGGCATTAGAATTTGTTGAACTTTCAGTTATTAAAAATTCTTTTATATTTTTCCCTTGACAACTCACACTGTACTTCAGACTGCTTTGATAGTTCCCTTAACGGTTGCCTTCGTATTTCAAAACCTATGAAATTACATATTTGAAGGGATTATTCATTTTTTTCCAATGGAAAGCATACATACCCCATAATGCTTTAATAATGATAACCAGATGGATTGAGGGGTCTTTGACAAGGGTTTTCTTTAGCTAATTTGAGAACATACTGAATTTCAGTCTCTTTTGACTAGTGAAAAAAATGGGCAGAATGTAAAGTGCCCTGTAAATATCCTACTTGTACAATTTTAATACTTTCATCATGGTCAGATGAAATCTAATTAAAGCTAACTGTCCCCTTCCTCTATTTTCAAAGTACAGGTTTCAGGCTTTTTCAGTGAAGCCCAGGAAAATGTTTAACCAGGAGTACTGGATACTCCTAAGTAGTTCTCACTCAAAATTCTGCCAAAATTACTTCCTGATCAGTGCTTATATCTTGACCTCCTTCTCCCTTACTCTCAAAGGAGCCCTTGAGACTTTAAGAAGGCTTCTCACCTTCATGTAGAATCATGAGGTGTTAGGGCTGGAAGGGACCTTAAGGATCACCTAGGCTACCTCTTTCACATTATAGATAAAGAAACTGAAATTTCAGAAAGATTCAATGACTTGGCCAAGGTCATGTAGGTAAGAAGTTGCAAGGGTTAGACTTGAACCTTATTCTATGTGTAACTCATTATATCACTTGGCTTCCCTTCTGCTCTCCTTTTCTGTAATTTTCCCTCTTTTTTCTTTATATTTTCCATTTTCCCTGTCAGAACCAGGTCATAGATGATGATGGGATGGGCCAAACCAAAGTGGACCAGGTTGTGGAGAACAGTCAAATTCAGCAAAGGAAAGCAGGTCATAGAGGGAAGCCTCTGACAACAGGCAGCTGGAAAAAGTCTGGCTGAGAAGTCCAGCAAAAGACAGAGGCCCTGGTTAGACAGATGGCACAGGCAGAGCAGGAAATCTGACATAAGGTCATGGAAGTGCTGTAAGCAGATTAGGTAATAACAGGTAACAGGGTCCCAGACTTGCGAATGACATTTCAGCAGCAGGACTCCACTTCATAAGAACTAAGGTGCATTGCCAAGGCAGGGATGTGGTCGCAGGGGCCCCAGGGACCTGGAATGAAAATCTGGAGCTCAGTTCCAAGGAACACGTTCCAAGGTCACGGCAGAACCAGCAGTGAGCTTCTGGCCCAGAGTTCCTTACAGTATCCCCGAGCAATGTGATAGAGACAGTTAGCAGCTTAACAATTAGTCCATATACTTCCACACATCTCCCTTGTAGCTGGACTGGGGCCATGTGACTATTTTTGGTCAAAGGACTTTTAGAGGAAGTAGAAACCATGACAACCACACATCTTGTTGTTGGAAAGGGAAGGAGAAACACTAGAAGTCTTTGGGAACAAGCCTGTTGTCAGCTCCTTGTCCACCTCACCCCACCTCTGTGAAGTATGCTCTCTGGAGCATGTGCAGCTTTAGACACAGCATGACTTTTTACCTGTTAATACCTACGTGGGAAATGCCTTTGAGCAAGAAAGTATATCTTGCTACTATTGGCAAAAAGAGTCAAATTCTTTAAAATATTTGAAGAGATTTATTTCGAGCCAAATATGAGTGACCACGGCCCGTGACAGGGCCCTCAGGAGATCCTCACAACATGTGACCAAAGTGGTTGGGGTACAGCTTGGTTTTATACATTCTAGGGAGACATGATACATCAATCAAATACATTTAAGATACATTAACCTTAAGGTTATCATATCTTAAATGTATTTGATTGATGTCTCATGTCTAAGTCTATAGGCAGATTTAAAATGTTTTTAACTGGCAATTGGTTGAAAGAGTTATCAGTAGGGAGGAGCCAAGATGGCCGAATAGGAACAGTTCTGGTCTACAGCTCCCAGCATGAGCCATGCAGAAGATGGGTGATTTCTGCATTTCCATCTGAGGTACTGGGTTCATCTCACTAGGGAGTGCCAGACAGTGGGCGCAGGACAGTGGGTGCAGTGCACCATGCGCCAGCCGAAGCAGGGCAAGGCAGTGCCTCACTCGGGAAGTGCAAGGGGTCAGGGAGTTCCCTTTCCTGGTCAAGGAAAGGGGTGAGAGAATGGCATCTGGAAAATCGGGCCATTCGCACCCGAATACTGCGCTTTTCCGACGGGCTTAGGAAATGGCACACCAGGAGATTATATCCCGCACCTGGCTTGGAGGGTCCTACGCCCACGGAGTCTCGCTCATTGCTAGCACAGCAGTCTAAGATCAAACTGCAAGGCAGCAGCAAGGCTGGGGGAGGGGCACCCGCCATTGCCCAGACTCGCTTAGGTAAACGAAGCAGCCAGGAAGCTCAAACTGGGTGGAGCCCACCACAGCTCAAGGAGGCCTGCCTGCCTCTGTAGACTCCACCTCTGGGGGCAGGGCACAGACAAACAAAAAGACAGCAGTAACCTCTGCAGACTTAAATGTCCCTGTCTGACAGCTTTGAGGAGAGCAGTGGTTCTCCCAGCATGCAGCTGGAGATCTGAGAATGGGAAGACTGCCTCCTTAAGTGGGTCTCTGACCCCGACCCCCAAGCAGCCTAACTGGGAGGCACCCCCCAGTAGGGGCAGACTAACACCTCACGCGGCCAGGTACTCCTCTGAGACAAAACTTCCAGAGGAACTATCAGACAGCAGCATTCGCGGATCACGAAAATCCACAGTTCTGCAGACACCGCTGCTGATACCCAGGCAAACAGGGTCTGGAGTGGACCTCTAGCAAACTCCAACAGACCTGCAGGTGAGGGTCCTGTCTGTTAGAAGGAAAACTAACGAACAGAAAGGGCATCCACACCAAAACCCCATCTGTACATCACCATCATCAAAGACAAAAAGTAGATAAAACCACAAAGATGGGGAAAAAACAGAGCAGAAAAACTGGAAACTCTAAAAAGCAGAGTGCCTCTCCTCCTCCAAAGGAACGCAGTTCCTCACCAGCAGCGGAACAAAGCTGGACGGAGAATGACTTTGACGAGTTGAGAGAAGAAGGCTTCAGACGATCAAACTACTCTGAGCTACAGGAGGAAATTCAAACCAAAGGCAAAGAAGTTGAAAACATTGAAAAAAATTTAGACGAATGTATAACTAGAATAACCGATACAGAGAAGTGCTTAAAGGAGCTGATGAAGCTGAAAGCCAAGGCTCGAGAACTACGTGAAGAAGGCAGAAGCCTCTGGAGCCGATGCAATCAACTGGAAGAAAGGATATCAGTGATGGAAGATGAAATGAATGAAATGAAGCGAGAAGGGAAGTTTAGAGAAAAAAGAATAAAAAGAAACGAACAAAGCCTCCAAGAAATATGGGACTATCTGAAAAGACCAAATCTGCATCTGATTGGTGTACCTGAAAGTGACGGGGAGAATGGAAACAAGTTGGAAAACACTCTGCAGGTTATTATCCAGGACAACTTCCCCAATCTAGCAAGGCAGGCCAACATTCAGATTCAGGAAATACAGAGAACACCACAAAGATACTCCTTGAGAAGAACAACTCCAAGACACATGATTGTCAGATTCACCAAAGTTGAAATGAAGGAAAAAATGTTAAGGGCAGCCAGAGAGAAAGGCCAGGTTACCCACAAAGGGAAGCCCATCAGACTGACAGCGGATCTCTTGGCAGAAACTCTACAAGCCAGAAGAGAGTGGGGGCCAATATTCAACATTCTTAAAGAAAAGAATTTTCAACCCAGAATTTCATATCCAGCCAAACTAAGCTTCATAAGTGGAGAAATAAAATCCTTTACAGACAAGCAAATGCTGAGAGATTTTGTCACCACCAAGCCTGCCCTAAAAGAGCTCCTGAAGGAAGCACTAAACATGGAAAGGCACAACTGGTACCAGCCACTGCAAAATCATGCCAAAATGTAAAGACTATCAAGATTAGGAAGAAACTGCATCAACTAATGAGCAAAATAAATAACCAGCTAACATCATAATGACAGGATCAAATTCACACATAACAATATTAGCTTTAAATGTAAATGGACTAAATGCTCCAATTAAAAGACACAGACTGGCAAATTGGATAAAGAGTCAAGACCCATCAGTGTGCTGTATTCAGGAAACCCATCTCACGTGCAGAGACACACATAGGCTCAAAATAAAAGGATGGAGGAAGATCTATCAAGCAAATGGAAAACAAAAAAGGCAGGGGTTGCAATCCTAGTCTCTGATAAAACAGACTCTAAACCAACAAAGATCAAAAGAGACAAAGAAGGCCATTACATAATGGTGAAGGGATCAATTCAACAAGAAGAGCTAAATATCCTAAATATATATGCACCCAATACAGGAGCACCCAGATTCATAAAGCAAGTCCTGAGTGACCTACAAAGAGACTTAGACTCCCACACAATAATAATGGGAGACTTTAACACCCCACTGTCAACATTAGACAGATGAACGAGACAGAAAGTTAACAAGGATACCCAGGAATTGAACTCAGCTCTGCACCAAGCGGACCTAATAGACATCTACAGAACTCTCCACCCCAAATCAACAGAATATACATTTTTTTCAGCACTACACCACACCTATTCCAAAATTGACCACATAGTTGGAAGTAAAGCTCTCCTCAGCAAATGTAAAAGATCAGAAATTATAACAAACTGTCTCTCAGACCACAGTGCAATCAAACTAGAACTCAGGATTAAGAAACTCACTCAAAACCACTCAACTACATGGAAACTGAACAACCTGCTCCTGAATGACTACTGGGTACACAACGAAATGAAGGCAGAAATAAAGATGTTCTTTGAAACCAATGAGAACAAAGACACAACATACCAGAATCTCTGGGACACATTCAAAGCAGTGTGTAGAGGGAAATTTATAGCACTAAATGCCCACAAGAGAAAGCAGGAAAGATCCAAAATTGACACCCTAACATCACAATGAAAAGAACTAGAAAAGGAAGAGCAAACACATTCAAAAGCTAGCAGAAGGCAAGAAATAACTAAAATCAGAGCAGAACTGAAGGAAATAGAGACACAAAAAACCCTTCAAAAAATTAATGAATCCAGGAGCTGGTTTTTTGAAAGGATCAACAAAATTGATAGACTGCTAGCAAGACTAATAAAGAAAAAAAGAGAGAAGAATCAAATAGATGCAATAAAAAATGATAAAGGGGATATCACCACCAATCCCACAGAAATACAAACTACCATCAGAGGATACTACAAACACCTCTACGCAAATAAACTAGAAAAGGTAGAAGAAATGGATAAATTCCTGGACACATACACCCTCCCAAGACTAAACCAGGAAGAAGTTGAATCTCTGAATAGACCAATAACAGGCTCTGAAATTGTGGCAATAATCACTAGCTCACCAACCAAAAAGAGTCCAGGACCAGATGGATTCACAGCCGAATTCTACCAGAGGTACAAGGAGGAACTGGTACCATTCCTTCTGAAACTATTCCAATCAATAGAAAAAGAGAGAATCCTCCCTAACTCATTTTATGAGGCCAGCATCATCCTGATACCAAAGCCGGGCAGAGACACAACCAAAAAAGAGAATTTTAGACCGATATCCTTGATGAACATTGATGCAAAAATCCTCAATAAAATACTGGCAAAGTGAATCCAGCAGCACATCAAAAAGCTTATCCACCATGATCAAGTGGGCTTCATCCCTGGGATGCAAGGCTGGTTCAATATACACCAATAAATAAATGTAATCCAGCATATAAACAGAACCAAAGACAAAAACCACATGATTATCTCAATAGATGCAGAAAAGGCCTTTGACAAAATTCAACAACGCTTCATGCTAAAAACTCTCAATAAATTAGGTATTGATGGGACGTATCTCAAAATAATAAGAGCTATCTATGACAAACCCACAGCCAATATCATACTGAATGGGCAAAAACTGGAAGCATTCCCTTTGAAAACTGGCACAAGACAGGGATGCCCTCTCTCACCACTCCTATTCAACATAGTGTTGGAAGTTCTGGCCAGGGCAATTAGGCAGGAGAAGGAAATAAAGGGTATTCGGTTAGGAAAAGAGGAAGTCAAATTGTCCCTGTTTGCAGATGACATGATTGTATATCTAGAAAACCCCATTGTCTCAGCCCAAAATCTCCTTAAGCTGATAGGCAACTTCTGCAAAGTCTCAGGATACAAAATCAATGTACAAAAATCACAAGCATTCTTATACACCAATAACAGACAAACAGAGAGCCAAATCGTGAGTCAACTCCCATTCACAGTTGCTTCAAAGAGAATAAAATACTTATGAATCCAACTTACAAGGGACAAGAAGGACCTCTTCAAGGAGAACTACAAACCACTGCTCAATGAAATAAAAGAGGATACAAACAAATGGAAGAACATTCTATGCTCATGGGTAGGAAGAATCAATATCGTGAAAATGGCCATACTGCCCAAGGTAATTTATAGATTCAATGCCATCCCCATCAAGCTACCAATGACTTTCTTCAGAGAATTGGAAAAAACTACTTTAAAGTTCATATGGAACCAAAAAAGAGCCCGCATCAGTAAGTCAATCCTAAGCCAAAAGAACAAAGCTGGAGGCATCACACTACCTGACTTCAAACTATACTGCAAGGCTACAGTAACCAAAACAGCATGGGAACCAAAACAGAGATATAGACCAATGGAACAGAACAGAGCACTCAGAAATAACGCCACATATCTACAACTATCTGATCTTTGACAAACCTGAGAAAAACAAGCAATGGGGAAAGGATTCCCTATTTAATAAATGGTGCTGGGAAAACTGGCTAGCCATATGTAGAAAGCTGAAACTGGATCCTTTCCTTACACCTTATACAAAAATTAATTCAAGGTGGATTAAAGACTTAAACGTTAGACCTAAAACCATAAAAACCCTAGAAGAAAACCTAGGCATTACTTCAGGACATAGGCATGGGCAAGGACTTCATGTCTAAAACACCAAAAGCAATGGCAACAAAAGCTAAAATTGACAAGTGGTATCTAATTAAACTAAAGAGCTTCAGCACAGCAAAAGAAACTACCATCAGAGTGAACAGGCAGCCTACAAAATGGGAGAAAATTTTCGCAACCTACTCATCTGACAAAGGGCTAATATCCAGAATCTACAATGAACTCAAACAAATTTACAAGAAAAAAACAAACAACCCCATCAAAAAGTGGGCAAAGGATATGAACAGACACTTCTCAAAAGAAGACATTTATGCAGCCAAAAGACACATGAAAAAATGCTCATCATCACTAGCCATCAGAGAAATGCAAATCAAAACCACAATGAGATACCATCTCACACCAGTTAGAATGGCAATCATTAAAAAGTCAGGAAACAACAAGTGCTGGAGAGGATGTGGAGAAATAGGAACACTTTTACACGGTGGGACTGTAAACTAGTTCAACCCCTGTGGAAGACAGTGTGGCGATTCCTCAGGGATCTAGAACTAGAAATACCATTTGACCCAGCCATCCCATTACTGGGTATATACCCAAAGGACTATAAATCATGCTGCTATAAAGACACATGCATACATATGTTTATTGCGGCACTATTCACAATAGCAAAGACTTGGAACCAACCCAAATGTCCAACAATGATAGACTAGATTAAGAAAATGTGGCACATATACACCATGGAATACTATGCAGCCATAAAAAATGATGTGTTCATGTCCTTTGTAGGGGCATGGATGAAACTGGAAATCATCATTCTCAGTAAACTATCACAAGGACAAAAAACCAAGCACCGCATGTTCTCACTCATAGATGGGAATTGAACAATGAGAACACATGGACACAGGAAGGGGAAAATCACACTCTGGGGACTGTTGTGGGGTGGGGGGAGGGGGGAGGGATAGCATTAGGAGATATGCCTAATGCTAAATGATGAGTTAATGGGTGCAGCACACCAACGTGGCACATGTATACATATGTAAGTAACTGGCACATTGTGCACATGTACCCTAAAACTTAAAGTATAATAATAAAAAAAAAAGTTAAAAAAAAAAAGTTGTCAATAGATAGGAGTGTCTGGGTTGTGATAAGAAGTTGTAGAGACCAAAGTTTCATCATGCAGATGAAGCCTCCAGACTTCAGAGAGAACAGGCTGTAAATGTTTCTTATTAGGTTTAAGGTCTGTGTTGGTGTTAAAGCTGGAGGGGCAAAATGGGGCATGTCCAGCCCCCATTTCCTGTCGGGTCATGAACCAGTCTTTCAGGTTAAATTTTAGAATGCCCTGGTTAAGGAGGGAGTCCATTCAGATGGTTGTGGGGTGAGGTGGAGGGCTTCAAATTTTATTTTTGGTTTACACTACATAGGGTTGTCTCTTACAAGAAAAAAAAGAACAAAAAGATTCCCTCCATCCATATAACCATTGCTCCCTACATGTTATAACTGCTTGTTCTGTTGAGAAACAACTGAAAACTGGATAAAGGTAGAGAATTTATAAATGAAATACAGTAAACATAAATAAGCATATAAAATGATATAAATGTAAATAGCTTTACATAGGTTTATATCTATAACTCAATTTAGTCTTCTCAACAAATTAATGAGGCAGATATTATTATTTTCATTTTATAGATCAGGGAACTGAGGTATAGAAAGTGTGAGTAATTTGGGAGGCAGCTGACACAGTAGTTTGAGTAGACAAACTTCTAGGTTAGAAATTACGTCTTAATAGACAGTTAAGAAAATTATTAGTTACAGTAAGTTAAGTTGAATTAATCCATTGTATCTTATATGTTTTAATTTAAAATTAACCATTTTAAAGTGAATGATTTAATAACATTTAGTGCATTCACAATGGTTTCAATCACCACCTCTATCTAGTTCCAAAATATTTTTATTACCCTAAAAAGAAATGCACCACTCATTAAGCAGTTGCTCCCCATTTCTCCTATTCCCTAAGCTCTGAGCAATCACCAGTCTTTCTGTCTCTATAGATTTCACTATTCTGGATATTTCATACAAACGGAATCATAACGTATGTGAATTTTTATGTACAGCTTCTTTCACTTAACACAATGTTTTTGAGGTTCATCCATGTTGTATCATGTATCAGTACTTCATTGCTTTTTATGCCTGATTAATATTCTATTGTATATACATACTGCAAATTATTTATCCATTCATTTGCTGATAGTCAAGACCCCAGGCCTACTGTGCCAATATGATTTCCAACCTATGCCACCGGTTCCTCCTCAGGGCATCTGCACATGCTGTTCACAATTAGAAGGCTGGATGTGCTTCTGAGTCATGGGGACTTTGACTTAAGAACCTGTGACCAGGTATTGGTCCTGAAAAGCATTTTAGAGGTGTCATATTGAAAAAATTATTCTGGTTTTAGAAGACTTTTGCTGGGGGCTCAGCTTTGCCACCAAAAACTGCTTAATTTAGCATAAGGCCAGTCTGTTTGGACATTAGCTATCTCATGTATTCAGAGTGCCTTCTAGCCATGACAATCTATGACCTGGCATTTTCTGTATGAACAAGTATTTTTTGTTGAATTACATCGAAGTCAATGATCCTTAAAATAGTCATTAATCATTGAAGTTTTTTATTTTAGGCTCTGTTTAACGTTATTTAAAATCTTTGTAACAACCCTTTAAAATAGATTTTTTAAAAATCACACCCATTTTACAGATGGAATGGACAACTAACTTCCCTGAGTCATACAGTCAGAGGGGGAGGGTTAGAGCTCAAACCCAGACAGCCTCATTCCAAACACCAGTTTTTTTTCCACTTTAAACCCCTGCCTCCAGGACACTCTTTCAATTATTTTCTGTTCTCTAAGTTTGCCTACCCCCAACCTCACCCCAAGTCCCATGGGCCTCCCACAAGTGCCCAGAAAAATCTGACTATTTCTCCACTACAGCCATTTTCTAAAAGCTTCTGGAGGCTGTGTGCATCCCTTCTAGTGAAGTATCTGGGAGTTCACCCTGTGTTGCAGAGAGAAGACTCCACCCCTCCTCCCTCCCCAAAGCTACCACAGCTTACTTGAGAATAACAACAATATCATGTGACCCTTACATAGCAATGGTCAATTTATCCATTGATCTCTACTATATAATGGGATTGTGACAGCAATTTTGTAAGTTGGATGAGGATTAATTTTATAAATGAGAATACTGAGGCTCGGAGAGGTCACCTGTGATGGTCACATACCTGGCTCCATGTACACTATTTCCCTCCTGGGCCTTTGCCATACTGTGCTGAGCTGCAGTTGGGGAAATATCTCAGGGACGTGCCTCATCAGGGTAGTCTGTTGTGGACAGCAGAGAGATGGGTGCGTCTCTGGCCACTTAGAGCCACACACACAAGTGCCACTCAGAACACTGGCCCTGACCCTAAAGAATCAATTAGTGGTCTGCCTGCAGCGAAGCTGTTTTCAGGGCCCTTTTAGTGCTCTCACATTCCACCAGGTATCCCCCTTGGCCCCATGAGCTTGACAGTCTTCCAAAATATTTCTGACAACCCCAGTGAGTGATGTTCACCAGATGCTGATCAGGACTCATGTTCTTACATGGGCATAATGGGAAAATCCTTCATTGCATACTGGGAAGTGACCAATAGTCCATGGTGCTTATAACTCTCCCAGTACAGAAAAGTGGAGGAATTTCAGTGGAGGGATGTGGTGTCTTTGGTTGGTTGATTGGTATTGATTTAGATGTTATTTGTCTTGAAAATCTGGCTGTGGGTTAACTAATGCTTACCCTTCCTGTTTTAATCATTCCTACTTCTTTTTCTAATCCATGTGTCACCAGGAGAAACAAATGTAAATATGTGAGGTTGCTGTTTTCAGCAAATTCATTCAGGATTCAATGCCAAACTAGGCTTTTCCTGAAAACCAACAACAAGCACCAACAGGAGGAGATAGAGTTACATTTCTTGTAAACCAACAGCCTGATTTTCATTGACACATTGTGGGTTTTGTTATTGTTGTTGTTGTCACTGTTGTTGATCTGGATAGAGGTACAGGCTTATTTTCATAGCTGAGTTTATGACTAAGTGCAGCACTGCTTCCTGAAACAATTCCATCAACTTAACACATTCACAGCCATGAAGAAATCTACCAATCTGTTCTCTCCTCTGAGTGATCTTTCTAACTTGCAAATGTGATGGTGCTACTTCTTATTTGGGATATCCTGGCTGTAACTGGGATATTTCAGACATACTGGCGGGGCTGAACTTTAACTCCTCTCATCCTTCAATGTTCTCAGGCATGCAAAATTTTCCCTAACCCCTTTCTCCCTCCCTTTTCCCACCATACTCATTGGTGGTCATTTCTTCCTCTCTGATTCATAGCCCCATATACATACAATGAGTTGAGAGGCATAGTTTTTTTTTTTTTTTTTTTTTAAACTTCAGGGGAAAATATCCAAATAGAGCCTGGTGAATATCATCAGAAAAAAGGCAAACTAGGAGAGTAAGTCCTTCCTGTAAAGTCTTGCAGAATCTTAGAGTGGGAGGGGACTTAAGAGGGAAGGTACTTCCCACTCCCTTCTGCAATCTCTTTGATAGATGGTTTTTGTTGTTTTTTTTCAGCTTCCAATAGATCACATCTAGAGATAGGGAAGTCGGTGTTTTTTTTAAAAGAAATATATATATATATATATTATATACACATATTTTACATTGAGCAAAAGTTGATCTCGCAGTGAACTCTCTTATACGTCCTTGGTCGGACTCTGGAGCCATGCAGAATACGCCTACTCCCCGTTCGACATGATAGACCTTCAGATATTGGGGGGGCACTTATCTGCCTTTTGACCTTCAGAAACAGAATGGGGCCCTGGAATCATTCTTTCTGGCATGTTGGGACACAGATCATGCCATGTCTCCCCTGGGTGCCAGAAGTACCTATGAGGTATTTCCCACATGCTTGGCACCAGGCTACTGTTTGGGGAGAAAGTAAATACATTTTATTTCAGAATTGATTAATTTAAACATAAGCAGCATACTCCTTAATATAAGGTTACAATGCAAAAGAAACCAAAAAACAAAGCCAGAAAAATCCAGAAGGTAATTCTTAGAGAGACAGGGAAGGTTCCAAACATTTTTAAATGGATCTAGCAGATTAAAGTTCAGCTGCAGCTCATTATTTATGAAATGTTATTCCTGTTTCTTGCAGAGGGAGAAAGAAGCAGCCAAGAAATACTGCCGTGTACCTCTTGAGTCCACGCACGCTTGCTTAATTTAGAAAAAATTACTAGGAGGGGCCACTATGGGGAGCTGGAGACCACTCTGTAATGAAGCCCATTTCTACTAAAACAAAGTATGCATGAGATGGAAGCAATCTGGGCAATGTTGAATCGATTCGGGGAAATGATCCCAGGATTTTTCTCTGAGGATGCACTCTCAATAGTGGATAGTGATGTTTTCAGGTGTAATTTAAATGCCGTTTTGCTCAGTCAGAGCAATGGACTCAAATTCCCTCTCAGCTCCCTCTAGAGGTTAAAGTGTGCAGCTGCTGGCAGAACTTGTGGGCTTGGAAACCTGCCCATGTCCAGAGGGCAGTCAAGATGAATACAAGGAGTTATCGGTTCTTTCTGTTAATTAGAGCAAAATCTGTTGGTTGAAAAAATTAAAAATAAAGTAAAACTTTACTATTCTCTAAATACAGTAAGGCTGAGATGAAATACATTGTGAATATGCATTCATATAGAAGAGGTAGTAACTGGTATATCAGATAATTAACTGGTATATAAGATAATTCACTGGTAAGTCTTGGTGCAATGAAGAAAGTAAAAATTCCATAATGACTTCCCAGATATACTTACTTCTAAAAAGGCACGTATTTTTTTGGATAATGGATAACAATTGACATGATCGTGATTATAGCCACCAATGATTGAGCTCTTATGTGTCAGGCACTGTGTAAACACTTTACTGGCATTTTTCTCATGTAATCTTCATAAATCCCTTTTAGATAGATTCTATAGTTAGCACCATTTTACAGACCAGGAAGCAAGAACTTAGAGAAGTTAAATCCTTCATACAAGGTCATGCAGCTGACATGTAGTGATGCCTGGATTTGAACTCAGGTTTATTCTCTTAAACACAATAAAATAGTGCTTTCTCATCAGAGGTGCAGGACTCAGCAAGATTAATGAGTAGTCCCAGGTACCCAAGTAGTAAGTGGTGCCATTAATGTGTGGTTGATTGACAGTGTATATACAGTGCCTGGTCCATCATGAATATTCAGTGAAAACCAAGTCCCTTACCCTCTGAAATGACCATGATTCTGACTACATGTGTCCTGAGTATGTCTTCCAGAGCAGAAAAAGCTCTGGGAGATAGCCTGTGCCATTTAATCTTTGCATCCTGTCACCTAGACCTGTACACTGCCTATACTGGGTGCCAAATGAATATTTGCTAAATGAATCAGTGAATGATTGAATTAGGCCTGTCTTCAAGGAGCTTACAATCTGCTATGAATCATAAGTGTGCATATATGTATGCATGCACACACACACACCCCTAACCAAACCCTAGTATACTAGTCAGAAGTGAGTTAAAACATACTGAAGAATATATATCAGCAATGCTGCACTCTTAAGCCAGAAAACTTGCCCATGTTTACAAAGACATGTACAAGAATATTGATTACAAAATTGTAATAGCAAAAAATTGGGAACAACTTAAATGTTCTTCGACATAGGCATGGAGAAGTAAGTTTCAGTTTACTGATGTGATGGAATGCTAAATAAATGGTCTAAAACCAAATGTATAAAATGGATAACTCTAGAAACACAGTAAGCAAAATTATATATAAATATAATGATAATAATAGCTAACACTTACTCAACACATTATGCACCAGGCATTTCTTTATGCGCTCTGCATTTGTTAACCCATTTAGTCCTCACAACCCTTCAAGGGTATAAACTATCATCAGACCCATCCTAGAAGTCAGGAAGTTGAGGAAGGCTACATACATTTCATATAATGTCTAACATGTTTAAACATATGCCAAAAGGCTATACTTTAAGAATGCCTCCATGTGTAGTAGAAGTGTAAAAACATGCAAGGGAATCATTAAACACCAAATTTATGACAGTGATTACATTAGGGGTGATGAAAGGAACATGACCAGAGAGATGAATAGAGGGGGCAGCAGATGTATTTATAATGTTTCATTTAAAAAACTAGATGATTGGTATATGGATATTTTTCATATTATCGTTATATTTTTTCCTGTGTCTGAAATACTTTATAATAAAGTGATCTGCAAGCAGAAACTAAATACCTTGAGACCTCAAAGGAAAGAACCATTACTCCTGATATTTCATGGAGAAAGGGGCATTTAAGTTGAGCCTAGATATTATGGGGAGGATAGTGCTAAAAATTTAGCAAATGTGGAAATCAGTGCATATGCCATGGGAGTGATGCCGTGCACAAAGGTAGAAGGTGCAGCAGCAGGAGATTCCACTTTCCATTCCAAGGCCCCTGGGAAGCCCAGCCTGAGCGACTCACATCCCTTGCTGCTCAGGGTGGCTGTGCATGCATGAATCTATTGGCACCCTGTAGTTCTCTTTTGGGCTGTGGGGTTGGGGGGTGGCTCTTGTCTTCTACTCAAAGGCAGATTGCTGCAATAGGGGGTGGCGGGGGGGCAGGGTCTGTGCTCACAAGCATGAACAATAACTGACAGAGTATTTGCTTTTGAGCTTTGGGAGAAACAATGAGGACTTGTTGCAACTCAAGACCCAGTCAGTGACTGGCTGACAACAAATAGGTGATAAGTGTTTTGCTGAACAAAACAGCACCAACTGTTGGCCAGAAAAGCCAGGCACAGTGGACGATGGCAGACAATCCAGTTGTCAGGCAGCTGTAGCACTGGGGTCTGGACAGTCTCAAACTCCAGATATCACTTCAAGCCAACCTGACTTCCTAGACAGCGTTCTGAATTTGGGTCTCAACCTCATATATATGTGAATATTATTTAGCCCTAAAGAGTGAGAGAAATCTTGCCATTTGCCAAAACATGGATGAACCTGGAGGACATTAAGTTAAGTGAAATAAACCAGACATAGAAAGACAAATGCTGCATGATCTCAGTTACTTGAGGAATATAAACAAGTTGAACTCATAACAGAAAATAGAATTGTGGTTGCCAGGGCCCGGGGTGTGGGGAAATGGGGAGATGTTGGTCAAAGGGTATAAATTTTTAATTATGAATAAAGCCTCTCCTTACAGCAGACACTTGTAAACAAAAAGAGAAAAAAAGGTGAGTAAGTTCTGAAGATCTAATGTACAGTATGGTGACTATAGTTAATAAGAATTGTATACTTGAAATTTTCTAAGAGAGTAGATCTTAAGTGTTCTCAACACAAAAAAAGGTGGGTAACTATGTGAGGTGATAGATATGTTAATTCGCGTGATTGTGGTCATCATCTCACAATGTATGTATATATATTATATATATCAAATCATCACATTGTACATCTTAAATATATACAATTTCTATTTGTCAAATATAACTCAATAAAGTGGGGGGGGGGGGAAGAAAAATGAATATCTGATTAGTGCTGTATTCAAAGGAGGGCTTTTCCTTATCATGCAATGGGAAGACTCTAGAAGTTAAGTCTGAAAACAGGGCCTTGATTGTTGGCTCTTACTATGGGTCTAGATGTTTGATCTTAGGCAATCTACTCAGCCACTCTAAACCTCAGTTTTCTCATCTGTAAAATGGGGGTATTAATAGCTACCATCTGAAAAAGTTGCTGAGAGGAACAAAGACAATACACCAATATCAACCATTTATTGGATATGCATTATGTGCCTAGTTCTATGCTCAGCACTTTGGTTTACTCTTTTTTTATTTTTAATTTTTATTTCTTCTAAAAAGAATGAGATACATGTGCAGAACATGCAGGTTTGTTACATAGGTAGACATGTGCCATGGTGGTTTGCTGCACCTATTGACCCATCCTCTAAGTTACCTTCCCTTGCCCCCCAACCCCCAACAGGACCTGGTGTGTGTTTTTCCTCTCTGTATCCATGTGTTCTAATTTTTCAACTCCCACTTATGAGTGAGAACATGTGGTGTTTGGTTTTCTGTTCCTGTGTTAGTTTGCTGAGGATGATAGCTTCCAGCTTCATCCACGTCCCTGCAAAGGACATGATCTCATTCCTTTT
This sequence comes from Homo sapiens, assembly GCF_000001405.40. Classification (NCBI taxonomy): domain Eukaryota; kingdom Metazoa; phylum Chordata; class Mammalia; order Primates; family Hominidae; genus Homo; species Homo sapiens. Next base: position 86,612,253 of record NC_000011.10, read on the forward strand.
TATAGCCACATAGTATTCCATAGTGTGTATGTACCACATTTTCTTTATCCAGTCTATCATTGATGACCATTTGGGTTGGTTCTATGTCTTTGCTATTGTAAATAGTGCTGTAATAAACATATGTGTGCATGTGTCTTTATAGGAGAATGATTTATATTCCTTTGGGTATATATCCAGTAATGGGATTGCTGGGTCAAATGGTATTTCTGGTTCTAGATCCTTGAGGAACCGCCATACTGTCTTCCACAATGGTTGAACTAATTTACATCCCCACCAACAGTGTAAAAGTCTTCCTATTTCTCCACAGCCTCACAACCATCTATTGTTTCCAGACTTTTTAATAATTGCCATTCTGACTGGTGCGAGATGGTATCTCATTGTGGTTTTGATTTACATTTCTCTGATGATCAGTGATGTTTAGCTTTTTTTCATATGATTGTTGGCCATGTAAATGTCTTCTTTTGAGAAGTGTCTGTTCATATCCTTTGCCCACTTTTTGATGTGGTTGTTTTTTTCTTGTAAATTTGTTTAAATTCCTTGTAAATTCTGGATATTAGACCTTTGTCAGATGGATAGATTGCAAAAATCTTCTCCCATTCTGTAGATTGCCTGTTCACTCTGATGCTAGTTTCTTTTGCTGTGCAGAAGCTCTTTAGTTTAATTAGATCCCATTTGTCAATTTTAGCTTATGTTGCAATTGCTTTTGGTGTTTTAGTCATGAAGTCTTTGCCCATGCTTATGTCCTGAATGGTATTGTCTAGATTTTCTTCTAGGGTTTTTATGGTTTTGGGTTTTACATTTAAGTCTTTACTCCATCTTGAGTTAATTTTTGTAAGGTGAAAGGAAGGGGTCCAGTTTCAGTTTTCTGCATATGGCTAGCCAGTTTTCCCAGCACCGTTTACTAAATAGGAGACCCTTTCCCCATTGCTTATTTTTTCAGGTTTGTCGAAGATCAGATGGTTGTAGATGTGTGGTGTTATTTCTGAAGTCTCTGTTCTGTTCCATTGATCTATGTGTCCCTTTATGTTAAAAACTCTCAATAAACTAGGTATTGATGGAACATATCTCAAAATAATAAGAGCTATTTATGACAAACCCACAGCCAATATCATACTGAATGGGCAAAAGTTGGAAGCATTCCCTTTGAAAACTGGTACAAGACAAGGATGCCCTCTCTCACCACTACTTTTCAACATAGTATTGGAAGTTCCGACCAGGGCATCAGGCAAGAGAAAGAAATAAAGCATATTCAAATAAGAAGAGAGGAAGTCAAATTGTCTCTATCTGCAGATGACATGATTTTATATTTAGAAAACCCCATCATCTCCGCCCCAAAACTCCTTAAACTTATAAGCAACTTCAGCAAAGTCTCAGGATACAAAATCAATGTGCAAAAATCACAACCATTTCTTTACACCAACAATAGACAGCAGAGAGCCAAATCATGAATGAACTCCCAGTCACCATTGCTACAAAGAGAATAAAATACCTAGGAATACAGCTAACAAGGGATGTGAAGGACCTTTTCAAGGAGAACTACAAACCACTGCTCAAGGAAATAAGAGAGGATACAAACAAATGGACAAACGTTCCATCCTCATGGGTAGGAAGAATCAATATCGTGAAAATGGTCATACTGCCTAAAGTAATTCATGGATTCAATGCTATACCCATCAAACTACCATTGATATTCTTCCTAGAATTAGAAAAAAATCTACTTTAAATTTCATATGGAACCAACAGAGAGCCTGTATAGTCAAGACAATCCTAAGCAAAAAGAACAAAGCTGGTGACATCACCCTACCTGACTTTAAACTATACTACAAGGCTACAGCAACCAAAACAGCATGGTACTGGTACCAAAACAGACATTTGCTCAGCACTTTGAATCAGAATCTCACATCATCTTCCCAGGACCTCTAAGAAAGAACTGGAGAAGACAGAGCTTAAATGATTTGCCCCAGTCACTTATTGCCTCAGCTAACAGACTGTGGAGCTGGCATTCAAACTCATGTCTGGCTGATTCCAAAGACTATTACAACACTGGAGACTGCAAAGCACTTTAAGATTGTATTTTCACCACTTATGTAGAAATTATAAACTCATTTCAGCCAGTTAAAACGTCCACTCTTGAATTGATCTGATTTGGAGTTAACTTAAACCCAAAATACACAGGATGGATTTTGCCTTTGCTGTGAGTCCAGAACCCCTCTTTGCTCCATCTGAGCAGACTGAGGACCTGTTTTCCTTTCTGTCTGGGCTCTCAATGGATCAAACAGACACCAACCCCTTCTCAAAGCAGGCATAACCTTCTCTGAGGGACCCAGGTCTCCAAATTCCCAGGGTGGTGCCTTATCTTCGACCTCAATTCCTTGTCTTCTCAGCTTTTTAGCAACAGGCACCAACCAGGTGCCTATGGATTTTTTTTCATAGTCTCTCAAAGCTAAGTCCTCAAACCTCAAATATTCACTTGATTTGCCAAACACTTCCCTGAGTTAAGTGTTGTGGAAATTAAGCTTTTCAATATCTTCTCTATATCTCTCTAGCCTATAAAGAGGTCCAGCCACTTCTCTGATACTGGTATTATTTTTCACATTGTATTGCATATTAAGAGCTTGGTACTCCCAGCTCCATACCACTTACCACTTCCAATACATTAATGAGCTTTTTGATAAAATGTACTAAATACTAAACCATGTCAGATGTGGCCATGAGACGACTTTTAGGGTTTTTGGCCATAAGAATACACACATTCTGGCGGAACCAAATCGTTTTTTTAAAAAATATCACGGAGTATGAAAAACCAAGAGCTATAGCCTTTGGCTTGAGGTCCTTTTGGACATTTTTTTTTACTTTCAGAAATCAAAACAGGAATTTATGAACTATTCTTCCATCGGTACAAATCTTAGTGAGCTTCTAGCCACATCCGGACCCTACACATATTTTTTCAAGGCCACAATTTGAGAAGCTGTAGCCTCTGGATAATTGGAATTATGGAATTTTTGAGTTGGAGGTTACCCAAGAAATCATCTAGTACAGGATTCTGAAACTTCTGGTAAGTAAGGATTAACTATTCAATCATGAATGGCACTTTACATACATTAACTTATTTTGTCCTCCCCCAATTCTCATAAAGTACATTCTAGTATTATTCCCATTTTATGGATGAAGAAATGGAGAAACAGAGAATTAAGTTACCTGTCCAAGACTCAACATCAGGTAGTAACACTCCACTTAACCACATCTTTATACTGCATCTTGATCAAGGTAGAAATACAGGCCTCAAGGTGGGATGACTTATCAAGATCACAGAGCTAATAAGAGTTCACCTCTGTCTGAGTCTGCACCTTGCTTTCAGAAAGCTATTGAGGAAGTACTTCATTACTATTTACCCCATACACATGGGGGTGTTGGTGGTGGTGTGAGGTAAGTAGCAGTGAAGCACCTCCTTCCTCTTCTCAACTTCCCATACTCAGAATCTCAGCACTCTGACCTTGAGGGTGCTATGGCTTAGGGGTTGGGGCTGGGGGACAGAGTGAAACCTAAGTCATGGCTCTTGCTCTCAAGGATTTTCTTGCATAACAACTTCTTAAAGTCACAAAATATTCTTGTAGTGATTTCAGAGCATACTTCTTTGAAAAGATTAAAAACCACCAATAACAATTAAAAAAACTCATAAACATCCTAATTGCATAGAATGCATGGATAAGCAGAAGGAAGTAAAACTTATAGTCTCACCACCAAAGCACAACCACTATTGACATTTTGGTATATGTTCTTGTCACTTTAAGACAGTACATATATTGTTAGTTGTGACTATAAACAAAAAGCAATGTTATATCCTGCTTTTCCAGTAAATATTGTCTGCATTATGACCCATTTTGGTAAATATCTTTTTAAAAGTTTGTGTAATACACCGTGATAAGGGATATGCCATAATTTACTTAACTATTCCTTTGTTAGGCATTTGTGCTATTTTCTAAATGTTTCATTATCATAAATAATTGTAAAGAGATTTTATGAATAAAACTTTTATGATATTTAGGTTTACTTCTCTTGGACATATTTTCAACATGAAAATACTGGAATTTCTCTTCACCTGAAACATCACTTTATTAGGAAATTCTCAGTGCTGATGTTAATTCTTAAACTGTTAACTGTCTATATGGAAATAAGCAAGTCATTGTGGGATTTTAAATTCTTCTTAAATGAACTATTTTTTTTCCAAATCATATCAATACTATAGTTCATTCTTTGGTAGAATGACAAATAGAATTACCCTGCCCACTAACAGTACAAGCACATCTGAAAGTCACACAGCATCAGAAAGTGGTTAAGAATAAGAATTCTACCTCTGTGATAGTCCTTTGAAAAACTCATAACTTCAGTCTAATAATGAGGAAAACATCATATAAACCTAGTTGGGGGACATTCTACAAGATACCTAGCCAGTGCCCTTTAGGACTGTCAAGGTCATGAAAAATAAGGAAAGATTGAGACACTGTCATAACCCAGAGGGGATGAGGAGACATGGCAGCCAAATGTAATGTGGTACCTTGGATTGGATCCTAGAACAGAAAAGAGGCACCAATAGAAAAACTGGTGAAATCCAAAGAAAGTCTGGAGTTTAGTTCATAGTCATGTACCAATATTAATTTCTTAGTTTTGATAAATGTTAAATGATAAAACCATGGAAATGTTAACAATGTGGGAAAACTGGGTAAGGGGTATACATGAACTCTTGTACTACCTTTGCAACTTTTCTGTACATCTAAAATACTCCAAGATAGTAGTTTTTTTTTTTTTTTTTTTTTTTTTTTTTTTTTAAAGATGAAGAACAAGCGATCTGGAGCCAGTATGATTTGGTTTTCAGTTCTGGGTCTGGCATTTATTACTGCTGAGTGGCCTTGGACAAATTATTTCCTTGAGCTTTAGTTCATCTAGTATATACATAAAAAATTACCTACTACAGGGGATTGTAGGTTTTGAAAATAATAATGCAGTTAAAGCACTGAGCATTATTCCTGGCACAAGGTAAGCACTCAACAAATGTAAGCCATATGTTTATTTTGTTTAGTTTGAAGGTTCTTCTTTCCAATTCTTAGTTTCCTCTAAGGTAACTAAGTCTCGTTTAAAAGTTAAACTCAATATAAAGAAGACAAACTGTTGCATGAATCTGGAAATGATAACTGATGTGGGCTTTGGGGTCATTGCTATTGTTTTCTATGTAGTTATTTTAGGTCATTTCCTAAAGGTAGGTGTACTGAGAAGATTCAAGATTTTGAAGAGACTCTACATTTTAGCACTGATTGCCCAAAATAACCAACTTACAAATGCCCATTGTAAGACATGGGAATTTTTTCATTTGAGCTGCTTAGAAAAACAATCTTGTAGAGAATTGAAAATGGTCTGTGCTTGGCCTCTACCCAAAGGCAAATTATTTTAGTATGAAAGTCTAAGGAAAATAATTTAACCACAAGCTATGTGAAGAGGAAAGGAAAAATAACCAAAGGATAAAGAAAAATATACTTTGGCTCTTTCATATATAAAATTTCTTTTTTGGGTGCTAAACTGCAGCACAGATGTGAAACCTGATCTACAAGTTAGGGTCTAAATGACAAAGGAAAAATAAATAATCCAAAAATCTAAAAAATATTCTGAGATGACATTAAACTGCAGTCAAAGACTATAAATGAGCATGGCCAGAAACCATTATTCAATATCGGACCTGGAGTCTAGGACCTGAGTTCAAATTCACAAGATGTAGGATCATGGCTGGGCACAGTGGCTCATGCCATCGCTCTGGGAGGCCAAGTTGGGCAGATTGCCTGAGTCCAGGAGTTCCAGACCAGCCTGGGCAACATAGCAAAACCCCATCTGTACTAAAAATACAAAAAATTTGCTGGGCATGGTGGCACGCACCTATAACCCCAGCTACTTGGGAGGCTGAGGTGAGAGAATAACCTGAGCCTGGGAGGTGGAGGCTGCAGTGAGCTGAGATTGCGCCACTGCACCCCTGCCTGGGCGACAGAGCAAGGCTCTGTCTCAAAAAAAAAAAAAAAAAAAAAAAAAAAAAAGTAGGATCATAAACTACCTAACATAAATCACCTAGCTTCAGTTTTCTTACTCCAAAAATTGTGGTAATATTCACATCAAAAATTCTTATAGAGCTAATACAAGGATTAAATGAGATAATGTCTGTGAAAAACGCCTTCCACAGAGGTCACATTTAGGAAGCAATGAAGAAATATTAGCTAAGTCTAAATCTAAACATACACAGCCTTGAAGCTGGTCACAATTGTTTCTGATATAATTTGGATATTTGTCCCTGCCCAAATCTCATGTTGAACTGCAATCCTCAATGTTGGAGGTGGGGCCTGGTGCCAGGTGTTTAGCTTATGGGGGCAGATCCCTCATGGTTTGGTGCTGTCCTCATGATAGTAAATGAGTTCTCATGAGATCTGGTCTTTTTTTTTTTTTTTTGAGACGGAGTCTCACTCTGTCACCCAGGCTGGAGTGCAATGGCGTGATCTCGGCTCACTGCAACCTCCACCTCCTGGGTTCAAGCGATTATCCTACCTCCCGAGTAGCTGGGATTACAGGCACATGCCACCACACCTAGCTAATTTTTGTATTTTTAGTAGACGGGGGTTTCACCACTTTGGTCAGGCTCGTCTCAAACTCCTGACCTCGTGATCCACCCGCCTTGGCCTCCCGAAGTGCTGGGATTACAGGCATAAGCCACCGTGCCTGGCCAAGATCTGGTCATTTCTAAGTGTGTGGCACCTTCTTCCCCCCAACCCGCCATTGCTCTTGCTTATGCCATGTTATGTGTAAGCTCCCACTTTGCCTTCCACCATGAGTAAAAGCTCCCTGAGGCCTCCCCAGAAGCAGATGTCAGCACTATGCTTCCTGTACAGCTTACAGAACCATGAGCCAATTAAACCTCTTTTCTCATAAATTACCCAGTCTCAGGTATTTCTTTATAGCAGTGCAAGAACAGCCTAATAAAGTTTCTAAAGTTAAATATGCAATCTTGTTGGTGAAAAATACTATTAATGTGAGAAATTATAGAATACTGAAATCGTATAATAAAGTATTAAATTGAGGGTTAAAAATATGGTACTAATTAACTTCAGTTTTCTTCTGGCTGCCAAATTTGATCTTACTTGTTGATAATGGTTTGGCTGTGTCCCCACCCAAATCTCATCTTGAATTGTAGCTCCCATAATTCCCACATGTTGTGGGAGGCACCTGGTGGGAGATAATTGAATCACAGGAGGGGTTTCCCCCATACTGTTCTAGTGGTGGTGAATAAGTCTCATGAGATCTGATGGTTTTATAAGGGGAAACCCCTTTTGCTTGGTTCTCATTCTTTCTTGTCCTCTGCCATGTAAGACGTGCTTCTACCTTCTGCCATGACTGTGAGACTTCCCCAGCCACGTGGAACTGTGAGTCCATTAAGCCTCCTTTTCTTTATAAATTACCTCGTCTGGGGTATGTCTTTATCAGGTACATGAAAACAGACTAATACAGTTGTCAACATGATACCTTTTAGAAGTGGAAATAAGGAAGGGCTTGGATTAAATATTATACATTAATTAGGGCAGCAAATTCATCCCTTAAGTGTGAGCCTGATCAGCTGATTAATGTTCTTCCAACTATGGGATTCACAATAATTCACAGCCACAAACCATTTTTCCAGGGAATAAGCTCTTCCATACAAGTAAATTTTCCAGTGTAGTTATCTTACCCTGTTAAGTGCTAACATGTCAGTATTTTTTACACAAAAATAAATAATAAAAAGTTACATTATCTGTTTCATATTCTAGACTACAAACACAAATCCTATTTTCCCTTAAATCTCTACACTTAGCACAGTGCCTGGCACGTACTAGATGTTCAAAAAACGTTTTTTTAAACTGAAGTGTATGACATATATCCCTATTTTCTTAAACAGAGTTAATGAATATGAAACAATCTTATCAATGACTATAATAATTATTCTTAACTAAATAACTATATATCATTTCGGGTGGGTGAAGTCCTTTGGGCAATTTGCCTTCATGAAATGGTCTCAGACATGTAATCTTTTAATTTTCCCAGCTTGCTTTTAAAGTTTTCTATTTCTTCTCTTATTGAAAAGACATCAGTGATCACTGCTAGCTGTTGTCACATTGCCTCCTTTTAGGGTCTACTCTTTTCTAATATGTTGTATACTGGGAACCCAGAGAATCAACTTGTTAGGATGACATCTAAAAATAAGAGTGATATGCAAGGGGCTTTGGAGTTAGTATGTGAAATCAGATCTTTGGATTAAAACTGCAGCACTATGCTATATGGTCACAGAGAAAATGTCAATCACATGTAAGGGAACAATCATTAAAGGGAGTTTATCTCACATTCATTTGCACATTTGTTCTGCAGCTTACAAAGGGGATACCTTTATGCCTTCAAGAAGATACAGGCACCTCTACCAGGTAGCCCACTTTGAGGAGTTAATTTCAGCTACTTGTGTGCCTTAATATCATACATCTTTTTTTGATCAAATATTTTAAAATTCAGACATTTTGCTAATTCAGCCAATCTCTCTGTCCTCTAGGGCCTCAGTCCAGTTTCCTGAGGTTTTTAAAAAATCAGATCCATCTGACCTAGGCCCACTTGTCTTGGTGCATTTTCCCAGCAGAGCATGAGGTTTCTCATGCTTGTGGTTGGTTAAGTAATACAATACAGCCCAGGTTCCTGACCGGGCCTCCACCAAAGTAAGGTCTGGGTTGGGATCCAAGGGACAAATGATGTCGAGGGAACTCTTCCAGGCCTCACAATAAAGTGTCCAGACCAAAATGTTTCAGTTTTGAGTCCAGATCAGAAAATTAAAACCCACCTATTCCTGCCATCTCCAAATTTTGCTAGAATTGCTTTGGGAAAACTGTTTGCCAACTTGAAATATTTATTTCCTATCCTGACACAATGTTCTTTGAGGTAATAAGAGGAGAAAAGTCACTATTTTCAACAATTTCAATCCAGGCCTAAGGCCAGTAAGAAAACATTGTTTTTATTGGCATAGAATTCATGGGATTTAAGAATAATTAAGGTCAGCTACATCATAGTTTTTAAACTTTTTTGCTCCTCAGTCTTGGCTAATTTGTTAGCATGATTCTCAGAATTCTTAAACAAAAATGCAGAACTTTGAATTATTTACAATTGGCCTGAGAATGTCTCTTGAGTAATCATCAGGCCAGGACTGGTTCCATCACTTCAGAAAGTTTTTTTTCTAAAGTTAAATCAGGAGTCTTTCTTTTCTTTCTCTCCTTCCATTCTTTTTCTTTCCTTCCTTTCTCTTTCTTTCCTACAAATGCTTCAACTTTGAACTTGTTTTTGTGAATAGGGTTGTATTCAAATTCAAGCTGACTTAAAATATAAGTTTAAGGCAAAGTTAGTCTAACTTCAGCATAATTTGATAATAAAGATCTAGTGGGCTTTCAGGAGAAATAACATTCAAATCATAATTACAATCGAGGTTGGAATAATGGGGAGAGGGAAGGTCTGAGGAGATTTGAAATAAATCAAAATATAAAACAATGTGTTAAATGCACTTTTATATAAATGAAAATGAACCCTGTAAAGCAGAATGTGAAATTACTTTTTCCTTTAAGAGAGTTATTTTTAGAGCTTACAGGAGCTTTATGGATTATCTCTAGTCCAGAGATAACAGGAAAGTTTCAACTTCCAGCATTGTTAATGGGCGCCTAGGGCTCTATGTTAAATATTGTATTGGGTAGCCTCATCAGGCCTCAGCGAGGAGTGTCATGATTGATTAATGATGTTTGCCATGGCCAGGTGAGAATGTAGGTGGTGCAGGACTTGTGGAAGAATATGTGTGGAAGGATGCGTTCCAGATACCTTTCATGGATCCAGTCTAACCTACAACCTTGACAGCAGTAAAATCTTAGACTGCAGAGAAATTGTCTGCCAATAGTCACATGGATAGGTTGTGCCAGAGCTAAAACAAAAGCTCTGCATGTGGGTTCTCATTTTACGCCTCCCTATCAATGGGAGTCATTTAAAAATGCATTACATACTACAGACACTGCCATATCCAGTGATATATCTACAGGGATTGTGGGAGGGCATTAAAAAAAAAAAAGTTGTTTGCTGCTCACTCAGTGCTCTCTTGAGATGAGAATACCTAATAGTGTCTGTTAGAACAGGTGGCTTTCTGGTAGATCTGATAGATTACTGATTCAGTCAAAGGTGAGGCCTCAGCAACTATATTTTTATCAAGAGCTCAGAAGGTCTGTGGACCACAACTGAAAAACACTGAGACAATATCTCGTTTCTTCCTGAAAGTTGTGTTCCCTGGTTTTCCCACTTCACACTGTTCTTTGTACCACCTCTTCTGTCTATGGGTCTCTTTCTCCTGTGTATATTTTTTGATGTTTTCTTGTTTCTTCTCCCACTTTTTGGTGCAGCTTCTCTTATTCCTGACTCTGGCTGCCATCGTTGGCTGATGAAAGAGTTCCTTTTATTTGGTGAGTTCATCCATCAAGATTGTCTTCGAAGCTTTGTCTTTGAAGTTTTCACCTATTCCCAACCACTCCCCCTGGAAGCTTGTTTCCTGCACTGTTAAGAGCATGGACCCTGAAGGCGGACTACCTGGATTCAAACCCTACCTCCACCTCTTATTGGGAGAATGACCTTGTGTAAATGACATCACTTCTGTGTCTCAGTTAACACGCCTGTAAAATGGAAATAATATCTATTTGTGATGGTTAGTTTTATGTGCCAACTTGACTGAGTCAGAGAATACCGAGACAGCAGGTAAAACATTATTTCTGAGTGTCTATGAGGGTGTATCTGGAAGAGATTAGCATTTGAATCAGTAGAATGAGTCAAGAAGATCTGCGTCGTCTCATCTGGTATCATCCAATCCACTGAGGGCTCACCCAAATAGAACAAAAAGGCAGAGGAAGGGTGCATTGTCACTCTCCTCTTGAGCCAGGACATCCATCTTCTCCTGCCCTTGGATATCAGAGCTCCTGGTTCTTGGGTCTTCAGACTCTGGGACTTATACCCTGGCTCTCCTCATTCTCAGGCCTTTGAACTCAGACTGCATCACACCACTGGCTTACCTGGTGCTCCAACTTGCAGATGGTATGTTTTGCATTCTTTCTGGCTTCTGTAATTGCCTGAGCAAATTCCTATAATAAATCTCCTCTTACATATCTGTATATGTCCTGTTGGTTTTGTTTCTTTGGAGAACGCTAACATGATTGTTATGAAGATTAATTTAAATGAGTTAATGAAAGTAAAAGTGCTTAGAACAGGGTGTAGTATATTAAGGTGTTATGTAAGTTGTTGCTATTATTTTTGGCTTCATACTGTTTAAGGCTGCCAGACAGTCGAGAGTCAAGTAACCAAGGCATTGTTATAGAAATAGCAATGTTATAGAAATAACAACTTAATCCATGGCTCAGTCAACCAGTATTTCACAGTTACCTCTGAGGGTCTTTCCAGTTCGGTAGCAAGCAATAATGAAATGTTCTCTGTGTGCCCAGGTGTGTTGTGGAACATACTTTTCCCCTCTGGAGATTATGAATGCCTTTTCTTAATAGAGTAGATGTCTTCTGAAATGTCTGCCCAGATCAAAATCACACCTCCCTGCCTGCCCACACACATATGCCCACTCCCTCTCCAGCAGGCTTGACGTACAACGTGACCCCTTCCCTCTAGCTGCTGACTAAACCAGGAGTATCCACCTAACTCAAGCTGGACCAATCCATTCTTTCTCTTATAGTTTATTTTTGAGACCAGGATTTTATACCTCTTTGAGGTCGGAAGTTTAATATAAACTTTGGGAGCTGTGGGGCAGCCATGTTCCCCACAATGTTGGGAAGTTGAAGCTGGCTTATTGGCCAAAAGAAAGAAGCTGGACGATTCAGAGGGCTTCTCAGCCCCTAGTTCAGTATTCCCCTGAGCCTGCCTGAATTCCACTAACTGGCTCTTGTCAGATACCCCTATAACCTCCTATTCCCTATTTCTCTTAATCTAGATACATTTGTTTTTGTTTAAACCAGCAGAGATTTAGCATTTAGTTTCATTAGCAGTTGCTGTGAAATTTGTGGATTCTCTGACAAATCCCCTCCAAGCCAATAAACAGAATCCAATAAAAACAATATGTTTACCATATAAATATAGGTTTGAGAACACTCCTCTATTCTCCTTATTCCCAATGCCCCACTCAACCAGATTACTGCCCAAGGCCATACCTCATGCAGAGTTTCTGGAGTGGCTACTAATTATAGGAACATCTGAGATAACTGGTCACAGAAAATTGCGTAAGATTGATTTTGTTGCTTTAAAAATAGCCTATGTGGAAAACTTAGCTGATTACATTGAGTGATTCGATTTTATTAGCTGGTTAATAGGTAAACTGAATGAATAAATGTTTGTTAAACATACCATTCTTCGGCTTTTCTCTGTTATTTCCATCTGATTCCTCCAAACTTCTCCTCTGGCATCAGATAGCGGGAGAGAAAGGGCAAGTGGACTGCTCTAAGGACCAGATCACAGAGGGTCTCATGTACCATTGTCAGGACATTGACTTTACTTGGAGAAGAACAGTATTGCAAAAGCCACAGAGAAAAGAGAAAATGTAGCATGTGGAGCCCTGCAAGTATTTGGACTATGTGTAGAGAGATGAGACCAGAGAGGTAGAGAGGAGTTGGCAAATGACATGCTTAGGAGAAAGGACATTGTCCTGAAGTAACAGAATACCATTTAGTCATGTTCAAATTTGCTAGAAGAAACACTTCTGTTTTCAGTACTTTTAATTAAATATTTTTCTTTAGTATTCTCATTATAAAATAACCAATTACTTAAACAGTATATAGAATACAAAATAGAAGTGTTCTTACCCCCATTGCCAAACTCCTCACCAGACAGTAACTATCGTTAACAAAGTATGTCCGAGAAAGCTTGGGTAGAAGATCCAGCACCCTGAGTTTGGTGACCATAGTTACAGAGTACAGGGATTGTTTCCACGCAGCAAGATCTAAGAATGAAGACGCGTAGCTGATCATACATCCTAGATAACTCAAAGACCCCAAGGAACATCAACATTTGTTCAAAATACAGGAACAATGATGAATTTGCAGTGCCTCAATTACATAATCAGGAACCTCCCATATCACCAGCTGGAAAGCACTCGCCTGCCAGCTCATGACTGGGGAGAATATGGGCTCTGGAGTCAAAGAGACCTGGGTTTGAATCCCAGCTCTTACAGGTAACTGTTGGCTAAACCTTTCTGTGACTCAGATTCCTTCTCCATGTATTCAACCATGCAATAAATATTTATCCAGAGCCTTCTAAGTGTCAGACCTTGTGCCAGGCACAGGGGATCAGCAGAAAGAAACCCCGTCACTGCTGTCATGAAGCCAGCCTGATGAGACACACAGACATTGAGTCAGAATTCACAAATTAATGTAAAACTGAAATTAAGAGGCTCTGTAGTATAGTATTAATAGTACAGACCCTGAAACAAGATTGTCTGAGTTCAAGGTCTGGTTCTTCTGCTTTCTAGCTGAGTGTAACTTTGAGTAAGTAGGTATTTCCCTCTCTGTGTCTCTGTATCGTTACCTGTAAAATGGGGATAATATGAGTATATACCTCCACAGGGTTTTTGTGGGATTAAATCTTGAAAACTGCTTAGAATTGTGCTGGTACATAGTGCTATATAAGTATTCATCCATATTTTCACTAATTATAGTAAATGATATGGAGAAAAGATACACAGTGCAATATAGATATGACAGAGGGGACTGACTACATCACGAAGTTCAGAGAAGGCTTCCTGTGCCAGTTATTAAATTATTGTCTCATTTCTCCAAACCTACTCCTCTATTGTCTGTGTTGCAATGTTGGGGCTGGAACCCTGTAAACCACATTGCAAACTGCCTTTATGCTTGGCTCTGCCAAGAGAGTACAATAGTGAGAGAACAAAAGCCTGGAAGAGAAAGAAGAAACTGGCTCCTTTCTGTCTACTTCCTGAGCGATTTCTGTGGCATCCTCTACCTGTGAGTGGCACCCAGGGAATGCTTCTTCACCTGGGCAGCAGCAGTTCCCTCCTGTGGCAACAGCTCAGTGTAGTGAACAGTTTTTCTGCTATTTGTAAAACCAGCCTCATTGCACCCCGTCTCATAGACACCTTCACCAGCCAGTTGGCACCCTCTCCTCAGAAGTCTGGGTCTCAGACCTCTTGGCCTCGTCTCTAATTTTCTGCCTTTTAATAATTCCAACTTTTGTTCCTGTAGACCTAAAGGTGGTAGGTACTTCCTAGAGTTGCTACCCCTGTGATACCTTAGAGCAGAGACTGTCAAACATTTTCTGTAAAGGGCCAGATAGTAAATATTTCAAACTTGGTGGGCCACATAAAAACTTTGTTGCATTTTCTTTCTAACAAGCTTTATAAAGGTAAAAACCATTCTTAGCTCACCAGTCATACAAATAGGCCATGAACTGAATTTGGCACATGGGCCACAGTTTGCCAATCCCAGCTTAGAGTTTTCTTTTTTCTTCTGTCACCTAGCCAACAACTTTGCACTTATTTAATCATTCATTATATTATATCCCCTCTGTTTCAAATAAATGGTGTGGTTTTTGTCTCCTGCCTAGACCCTAACTGGTATATTTTCCTTGGGATCCGAAGGAAGAGTTGGAACTAAGTAGGTAAAGGATGACAGGAGAATTTAGAGGTGGAGAGAGGGAGAAGGGTTTTCCAAAAGAGGAAAGTAGGTGTATAAATGCCCTGCAGTAGAAGGAAACAAGGCTCACTTAAGAACTGCTGTGGTCAGAGCAGACAGAACACAGGCAGTATGGGGCCAGCCCATGCAAGATGTTGGAGACAATGTTAGAGATTTGGTTTTCTATTCTGAAAGCTCTGGAAAGTTGGGTTATAGGCCCCTATTTGTATTTTGAAAATACCTTTATGGGTAAAATAGAGTGTGGCAAGGATTAAATGATCTAACATTTAGAAAACAACTTGTATAAATCTAATAGATGCTTAACAAATCTCAATTTCTCATTTTTATCTCCTTTCTGTACCATGGGTATAAGGACTGTTGCTGGATTTCCGACAAAATTGCAACCAAATTTGCTTGCCCTTTATGGTTTTCAACTTTGGCTTTTCAAAGTTGGCTTTTTCAAATAGTGAAAGTCTTTCTACCCATATGCATACAAATATTAAGTGTATTATTTCTTTATTCTTGTTTTGCCCAAGACTGTGAATATAATTTTTCAATCAGACACACAATAAAATTACCAAGATTCTGAGAATCATGTACACAACCAATTGGCAAGCACAGTCTTGGCAGCTTTTCTGCTGATTTGTGAAGTCTGCCCACTCTCCTTACTCTGAAGGATTCAGTATCAACCTCAAAATCATAACCCTCAGGACCCAGTGAATATCCTTAAGGCTCCTCTGCCAAGGCCATCTCACTAGCAGATTTAATGTCCAGCAGAAGCCTTCATACTTGTACCAAAGAAAAAGCACAGGAAGCTGAATGTGGGGCAAGAGGCCTATGGGCTTGCAAGGAAAGGGTGGCTTCAGTTAACACCACGCATAAGCAATTCCCAGTTTCAGATGAGAAAGCAGAATGGCTTCTGGAATCAATTAAGATGAAAATATCACCCTTTCCAGGATGTCTATGCTTCCAGCTAAAGTCCCCCCACCCTCCATGTCCAGTCACCATGTGTGCGGTACTGTGCTACGCAGCCTGAGAGACAGCAAAGAACAGCAACAGGTCCTGCCCTCTGGTGCAGATGATTCAATGGGGAAGATGGTAGACATCTTTTGGGTGCTGGCATCTCAAACTGAGAGAACTTATAATCTATCTGGAGAGTTAAGATTTAAGTTCATAAAATAATTACATGCCAGTATGTAGGAGTCAATCCTTTGGCTCGCTCTGTGAATAACAGTCAGTGTGGTGTGTGGCTGCCAGCCTTGGCTGAGCTCCCTTGCCTGCCGCCATCTCCAGCCTCCTCCCAATACTTCGGGAGCCACTGGAGCCTGTTCTGGGCCCTGGTCCTGGGGCAGCAGATATTTAAACAGCTCCAGCTTCCCCTTCTAAGATGCTATTTCTGTCTTTCCTAAGCAGTTGTTCTTAGTTTTGGCTGCATATTCGTGTTACTTGGGGAGCTTTTAAAAATTCTGACGCCTAGGCCATAATCTAGACCGATTTGTTCAGAATCTCTGGAGGTGAGACAGTCATTAGTATTTTTTTAAATTTCTCAAATGACTGTAAAGTGCAGTCAAAGCTGAGAATCAGTGTCCTACAGTGGCTCTGTCCTCATAGACTATTTGATACTAAGGTCTATTTTCTGATCTAGACATCAGTCTTACCTGGAAGCCCTTAATGTTTCTGTTCACCTGCCTAGGAACTCAGCTCCTTTCTAGGTAATGGGTTAGGTAACCACGTCAGAAAATGGAAATACAGACTTTAGATTCATGCAGACCGCAGTTGCAACTCCTGCACTGGGTAGGCCTTGACTCAATTATGGGGCCTGTGAGCCTCAGTTTTATAGTCCTCATTACAGAAAAGTCTATGAGGAAGGAGAAACGTTACATGGAGAGAAACGTCTAAATCTAGTATTGACAAGCAAGGGATGGAAAAATCAAAGATAAAGAAAGTGCTGTGCTTGTCATCTGATTCTCCCAAAGCATAGAACCAGTCCGCTCTTCTTCCTCACAGTCTTGCATTAACAATTCCAATTAAACAGGGTCTGCAAAGAGAGGCCTGGGAGCTACATGCGTGCCCCTTGTTCCTGCAAAACCTAACTGGTGATACAGTGAATTCAATGGGTCTGACTGATGGTTTGTCTTTTGGGGAAAGAAAACCCAGGCCTGGAAACTGGAGCCCTGCTATCTTTCTCACCAGGTCATGAGAATGTCTAGCATCTCGAGTTCATGTCCCTGAACTTGTATTCCTTCGTCATAACATTCAGAGCAGCTGGACTATTCCCAGAGGCATGGCTTTGTCTGTGAGGTTTCAAAACACATTTCGAGAGAAAGATGCAGGGCTCGTACTCATTTATTTGTTTTCTTAAAGAAGCCCTTAACTTAAAAAACCCGTTCTTAAAAACAGAGAAACAATCTCTTTTGCTGAAGAAAGGAGGTTAACTAAATGTGTTTTGGTTTAGACCCTCCCCCTCCCCCGTGGGTAAAGGACACATTTCCTCCCACCAGGAACTAGTATACTTATACTGGTTACAACTCCCTTCATCACTTGGAGCCTGAGACACTGTATGAAGATAAAACTACTTGAAGTTTTACTCTCAGAGAAAACATATCAGCCAGTCTACACTGTCCTCCAATATTAAAGTCAGCTCTTACTGTCTTGGGTATCTTCTGTGTCTTGGTGTCCCATTGTTTGTTTCCAGAGTTCAAGAGTAGTCCTGAGGACACAAGCCAGGAGTATTTGAGGCTTTGAGCAAAGCAGCCATTCTTATCTAATGAGGCAGCTTACAGAACTTACCCTGCTAGCTGGGCTTACTACTACCCACCCGCTGCTGCCAGGCACCTCACTAGCAGCTTAGATGGCTGAGAACTTGTGATTGAAATTGGATGTAAATAACAGTCTAAATGTGCACTGTTGAGGTTTAATTCTGCTATACCTGCACCATGACAATGAGGTGGTATGAAGCATGCAGAAGAGGAAACTGAGTCTGAATAATGCCTACACAAGCACTTGTTTCAGAACTCTAGACCTGGAGGAACTTCAGAGGTTCTGCAGTGATTTACTTGCCACCAATAATAGAGATCTACATCCCCTATTGAATAGAGATCATCATCCCCTGATGAACCTTTTGTTGTTTTGATCTATTTTACATACAGTGTATCCCCCCAAAAATGTTCTTTTGAAGAAGAGAGTTCAAGGTCATGCTAATAACATATGAGCTAAAGGTTTGAGTTACCTCTGTTATCAATAAAGGGAAAAAGCAAGCAGCAGAAGCATGGATTTCTGGTCATGAGGCCCTGACTGACAGCGCTTGGTTGAAGTATTTTCCAAATGCAGCTGGACTTGGCAGGCTCCAACTCCAGTGACATATCTGGGGGCCTGAGCTGGACACCTGAGTGGGTTTGGTCTCCAGAGCCTCTCCTGTATCCTTCATGATGTTATGGATTGTGCTGTCTCTGGGTTTCCATGAAACAGAGCACCGGGAATGTGTTCCTGGCCTTTTCTTTGCTGCAGAGTTTAAACAGCCACAAGTGCTTTACACGCAAGCTTCCAAGCCCAAAAGCAACATTATAATTTTAGGTAAAAACCAAACCTCCTGCAGTGTTTGCCTCAAACAAGTCCAAATGCCAAGAGAAATCAAAAGGATGAAGCAGATTTGATCAAATCAGGCCTGTGGCCTGGAGACAACACACTCTTTGGCATCTTCTCGGAATACCAACACCCAGCGTCTCCTCAGAAGCTGTTGTTATTATTGAATGACCATGTTACTAAGTGTGAGTAGAACATTAGAAACCCGAGTCAGGACTTTCAAGGGCTGAGGCCAGTGCCTGTGCAGTGCCACACAGAGTATGCAGGCAGTGGGGAGGCAGTGAAAGTTTGAAAGGGAGCCACAGCTAATCAGGAGCCCCTGAGGAAACCTGGAAAGGAGCAGGGTGAGGGAGGGCAGGTGGTTAGATGGTGTTTGTGGAAGTCTCATTTCCGATGGAGGCGGCAGGGATGGCAGGAAGGACATAAATGGGGGAGGACTAGGATGGGAGGACCAACCGAGTCACAGATGAGCCCAGGTCTGGGGCCTGAGGCCCTGGGAAACAGGAGGTTGGAGGAACTGCTGGATTAGGGGAAGGATGCTATGTACCGAATTGCAGATGTTAGGTTGAACAAAATCCCTCTTAACAAGCAGTTACAAAATAGTGGTCATGGAGCTTGGCCTGAAGAGCTACAGCCAGTGAGTTCCAAAACTTGGACTGAACACAGGGATTTCCAATTCTGAAGCCCAGTGGTCACAGTCCCTGTGCTCTCCTGCCTCCCCCTTCTCTGCACATTAATGTCTTGGTGAGATGTAGCTCATTAGGAGGGATAGAAAAGTTACAGATCTAAGTTGGGATCTTCCAAATCTAAGGTCAGTCCACCTGCAAAACTGCCTGTAACTTATAGGCAGTGACAAGAATGTGAGAGAACTAGTGCCAAACTCATAAGAAAACCGTGGGCAATGAAGGGGTTTAGTGGTTCCCAAATCCAAACGCATATCAGAATCTCCTTGGTGAACTTAAAAAAAAAATTCCTTAGCTCCTTCTCAGACCTAATAGATCAGACTGTCTTGTTTATAAAAATCCTCAGGTAATTCTGATGCATCTGGAACCATGGGCATAATAAAGACAATTTGAGTGAAGCTTTAAAAATAACAGGCAATAATAATAACAGGCATGGCACATTGGAAGCCTACGGGCTGCCAGGCACTGTTCTGATAGTTATAAATTATTTTGAGATAGAGTTTTATTCTTGTCATCCAGGCTGGAGTGTAGTGGCACAATTTCAACTCACTGCAACCTCCGCCTCTCGGGTTCAAGCAATTCTCCTGCCTCAGCCTCCTGAATAGGAGGGATTACAGGCACCCACCATCATGACCGGCTAATTTTTGTATTTTTAGGAGAGAGAGGGTTTCATCATGTTGGCCAGGCTGGTCTCGAACTCCTGACCTCAGGTGATCCTCCTGCCTCAGCCTCCCAAAGGGCTGGGATTACAGGTGTGAGCCACCATGCCCAGCCAAATTATTTTATTTTACCTATATGAAGAAGACCACAGATGAAGAAACTGAGGCTTAAAGAGGCTAAGTACCTTGTCCATGGCCACATAGTTTCTGTGATTCCAACTCTGACCTGCCTGACTCCAACAGCATAGTGGTGTGGACTGGATACTTCCAAAAGTGATGTGTTCAAGGGCTGCTGGGTGCAAGAGAGTGCAGCCTGAGCAGAGGGCCTCTGGGAGAGCAGCTTCACAGGGGCCTCACAGTTTGTGGGGAAGTAGTGGGGAACTGCCTGATCCGAGAGCCTAAATAGGGGAGTGAAGAAGGGAGACAAAATGGCCAAGGGGGGTGGGGTAGAGCAGGCTCTGTAAGCCAGGTATCTTGGACTCGCTTCCCTGTGCCTGCTTCTGCCTGTTCCTCACACTACAGCCAAGAAGTTGTATTCTTTTACTTTAGCAGGGTTTCCTGAAAAGAACATGGACTTGGGAATTAGTCCTCAGGATTCTAGTCCTGACTGTATTGCTGAAGACCCTGCCTCCCTCAGACATTAGTCTCTATGTCTGCAAAATGAGGAATGGCCCTGGACATCATCCTCAGGCCCCTCCAGTACTGCATACACTGATTCTCTGGCCATATGTTGGAGAACCTGCCACATGTGTGACAGCCTGCGCTGTGAAGGAGGGGACAGAGGAGGCCACAGGGGCAGAACTGCACTCCAGAGACCTTGGGTGGGCCCAGGTGCAGTGAGTGATACTGAAGGCCAGTGGTTTCCTTCAGGGCAACCCAGGTGCTCTGCAGTCACACGAATCTCTCCTGGGCACTGGTCCTCCATGGGAGCCCCAGGCCCTGGGGCAGGGCTATATGGACAGGAAACACAACGGTGAGGAAGGGCTTTCAGAATCCACATCCTTCAGTCCTCATGCATGAGTCAGCCACCACAGCTGGATGGCAGCACTTAGTCACTCTCCGCCTGAGCACTGCACGGCCCCTGTGCCCAGGGACACAGAGTCAGGATGTTGAGGGTTCCCACAGAAAACTGCTGTGAGTCCGATATGCATGTCAGTAATGACCACTGAGTCACCATCCAGCATTGTGTGGCCAGGCTGAGGATTTGGTTGCTTATTCTCTGGTCACAGAAACTCATCTCTGTAAAGTCCAAGGCCACATTACAGTCTCCAAGCAGCTCATTGACCCACAAGAGAGATGTGACCAAGGACATAAGCACAGTGACAGACTGACATTTAGTCACTTACTATTTGCTAGGTACTTTCCTGGGCTTTGTGTGTTTTGATTTATTAACTCTCATACAGCCACATGAGGGGTGCTATTATTAACCCTATTTTGTAGATCAGGAAACTGAGCACAACATGCTTACATAATTGGTCCAAGGTGCCACAGTCTGGGGAGGCAAAGTCAGAATCTGAACCCAGGTAATGCTGGTTCTAGAGCCCGTGCTGTTAAATGCCACATTCCACTGAGCACATTAAAATAGCTGGAAAGTAAGGGCATGGAGGAGAAATGTAATAAGAGAAATGAAAAGGTGCTAGACAGGACGCTTAGGGACATTGAGACTTGATTGGTATGAGAAGGGTGGTTGTGAGGGAGAGGAAGGTACTCTCATGGGTGTCTTGGCTGCAAATCCAGGTTGCTCTCAAACCCAAATGCATGCTGTTCTATAGGCCAGAGGGCAACAGAGGACCGTGCTAGAGGGGCCCGGAAGAGGAGAGGAGTCTGTCCATCAGATGCAATCATGAAGGACTTCACAGACAGAAGCATCTACCATGGGCCTCATGGGGTCATTTGGGGAGGTTACATGTCCACCATCTAGAGGGGAAACCTGGGCTCAACGCAGTTAAATGACAGGCCCACCATCAGTGGCAGAGCTGAGATGAGAGTAGGGCCACTGGCTCACAGCCCCATGCTGATTCTGCCATGACGGTGCCTTTGGAGTCCAGATAGGAGGAAAGAAAAGGAACCAGAATTTCCTTCCTGCACTTATTCTCCCTTAACCTTGATATGTTCCATTAATTGAGTCCCCAAATCCCTCCCAAAATACACCCCTCTCCTTCCATTCCTACAAACAGCCATTTTGGGCATGAGGAAGGGAAGGAGGAAGAAAAAAAGGAGAAGGAAGAGTAGAGGGAGGAGAGATTGGGAAACCTGAGAGGGGTGTTCAGGGATGCCTCCATCTGGTCAGTCAGAAGTGGGGGCCCTGATTTAAATCCCCCTCCCAAATGAACTGGGTTGTATGGAGCCAGAGCTTGGGTTCATGTCTCTACATGGGTACCACAGTCATCCCCACCAGGACTGTCTTCTCCTTAGACTGCTATGATGTTCCCAACCTCCCTCCTGACATCCTGGTTGTGAGTAGCATGTCAGCTAATGGTCAGCATGCCCGTGGGACAGCTTTTTAAACTCTAGACTTCCCAGTTTTCTTAGCTCATAATCAGATCATGAGACTGTCTTTCTTACTGTCGCTCAGCTTACCTGTGTCTCAGCAAAGTCGTGGACTTTGGTTTGAAATAAATTATCATGCTGCCAAAAGAAAATTATCCAAAAAACAAAGAATGACTGGTAGCATTTTAGTCCCATACCTGGGGTATTGTCTACTATGCATGAAGGCTCAAGTTAGAGACAGGATCACATTCACATGCTAGTAAATGGTTCTGGGTCTTTTGTGTTTTTTTTTGTTTGTTTTGTGTTTCATTCTGAAAATAAAACATCATAGATAGCAGCTGGTTTGTCCATTGTCTTCTTTCTTGGAAATCTTATGGAAGGTTCCTTTGAACACTATCCTTGGCTTCTCTGTTAGGACAAACTGAAACTGTGATTGATAACAAACCATAGAAGTTAATTTAAACAGGATTATCCATTTTAATTGACTTGTAATCGTGAGAATAACAACAACAACAACAAAAAACCCAGAACCTCTAAATGGTAATTCTTGAGGGGTGAAATTGTATCTTTGCTCCGTTCTGGATGTTACCAGGCACCGTTAAAAAATTAGGAACAGGCTAGACACGCTGGTTCACACCTGTAATCCCAGAACTTTGGGAGGCCAAGGCAGATGGACCGTTTGAGCCCAGGAGTTCCAGACCAGCCTGGGCAACATGATGAAATCCCTACAAAAATTAGCCAGGCGTGGTAGTGCACACCTGTAGTCACAGCTACTCAGGAGGCTGAAGTGGGAGGATCACTTGAGCCTTGGCCCTGTAAGAAGAGGATTGGGTGATTGGCTCTATAAGAACAGGGAGGGACATCAAAGCTTTCTCTCTCCACCTGCATACACTGAGGAAGGGCCACGTGAGGACGCCGTGAGAATGTGGCTGTCTGCAAGCCAGGGAGAGGGCCCTCACCAGAAACCATGATGGTACCCCAATCCTAGACTTCCAGCCTCCAGAACTGTGAGAATAAGCCACACAGTCTATGGTATTTTGTTATGATAGCCTGCTGTGGTTTGAATGTGTCCTCCAAATTTCATGTATTGGAAACTAACTTACTCTCCATTGTAATGGTATTAAGAGGTGGGACCATTAAGAGATGATGAGAGCCCTCAAGAATAGATTAAAGCCATTATCTTGGGTGTGGGTTAGTTATCTCAGGAGTAGGTTTCTAAAAAAAGGATGAGTTCTACTTTATTTCCTGTCTCTGTCTTGCAGGCTTGCTGTTGCCAGATTCCAGAACCATGTTCTTGGACTTCCCAGCTCCAGAGCTGTGAGGAAATAACTTTTTTTCCTTTCTAAATTACCTGGTCTGTGATATTCTGTTACAGCAGCAACAAATGGACTAACACAGCCTATGTCATTTCCCAGAACAACTCAGTGATGTTGATACTCATCTTGCAGACAAGGAAACAGACTTAGGGAAGTTGAGAGATAAGCACAGTCTGGTCAAATGGCAGAGCCAGAACTGGACTCCTGGTCTTTTGGCTTGATAATTTCTTTCCCTAGTTCTTCTGGGGCTGCTTTGTTTAACCTAGTCCCCGTATCCTGGGAAGCTTTGGGCTAAAGCTCACACATTTTCAGGTAGAGATGGTAGAGATCATTTACCAGCCTACAAGGGTCCTAGAAAGAAACCTGGGTGCTATGGAAGCCTGAAGCTTCTGAGGGGTTGTAGGAATTGGAGGCAATTCAGTGTAGTGGTAAATGTGTTGGGGGCAGGGCGGGGTATGTCTGGTTTGAGACTTTCTGGGTTAAATCCTCTGTGAGAGCTTAGGGATGCCTATTACATTCTCTGAACCCAGTTTTTCTTTCTTTTTTTTTTTGTTTGTTTGTTTTAATCTATATGAGACTAACTAAGGTATTTGCCCCTTGGAGCTTTTATAGTCTTTAAAATGAGATAATGTCTGTGAAATGCTTTTAGGACACTGCCTGGCATAAACACTCATGAAGAGAGGGAGTGAGGTCATGGCCAGGACTGAAGAGTAGTGGCTGAGCACTGCCCAACCACTGCAACCAACACTGGTTCAGGAGAAGCATCCCTTGGTGCACCTCCAGAGTGACAACATTCCCTATGCCCAGACACACATGACAGCCTGCAGGGCATGCATAGCCCTCATTCCTGACTTACTCCTCTAACAACCTGGTGATGTTTCAGATGGAGAAAGTGAGATCTGGAGAGGACAAAGCAGTCCAGTAGAACATGCACAAGTTTTGGAATCGGAGCTGCATTTGTACTCTGGCTTTTCTATTTGCTGTGTGTGATCTTGAACAAGTTACTTAACTTCTCAAATCCTCAGTTTCTTCATCCTGAAAATACAGAGTTGATAAATGATTATCTAAAAGGGTGTTATGGGAATTAAATGAGCAAGATACATGAAGGTGTTCCTAAGAAGGTTAGTTTCTGTTTCTCCTTAAGTGCTTTGCTTATAGTTACACAGCAGCTGGTAAGTAGCAGAGTAGGGTCTAAAAGCTAAGCTTTAGGATGCTGTGAGGCCAGAGGAGTAGAATTACAGAGAAAGTGAGAAGCCAAAGATCTGGACAAGTGCGTTAAGAATCTGTTTGCCTGCCATCATTCTTGAATCAATGTAAAAAGTAAAAGAAGCAAAAAATGGCGAAAAAAATGAGCAAATCAGTAATGGTGCCTGTATCCAGAATCCCCAATTGGTTTCAAGACTAACAGTGTGTGGGTCTTATACGTAACTAATATCTATACACGTACATTCAGGGAGTCTCCATTAACTCATTCAGTTAACAAATACTATGAAGCATCTGCCATGTGTGTGAAGCACCAAGCCAGGCTCTTAGGGTTACAAAAACTGACAGAACAATCACGGTCCTTGGGAGATCCTATTATAGTACTGAAGGTAATACGTAAACAACAACAACAACAAGAAGCACAAAAAAAAAAAAAAAAGCAAAACTCATTACAGCAGTGTGATAAGTGCCATGGCAGTGGAATAAACACCCAGACACAATGAGAAAGCCCATATTTGGTCTAGAGCTGTCAGGGAAGATTTCCATGGGAAGTGATGTTAGAGCCAGCAGGGCTAAGAGAAGCAAGGGAGTAGGCAGCACAAAGATGTGGAACAAGAGAGCCTGGTGTGCACTTAGGAGCAGTGAGTCTTGTGTAGCACGCACAGCACAGACTAGGGAGTAGGGATGATGAGGCTCGATTGAGACACCCCTCGAGAAGGGCCTTGTGCGTTGTGCTAAGGAGTTTAACTTTGTGCTGTAGGTGGGAGGAAGCACAGGAAACTTTTTAAGAAGGGGAGTTCATGTATTACCAATTTCATCTGGTAGAGGTTGATGAAGAAGTTGAACTGGGAGTAGGAGAAATTGGAGATAAGGAAAATGGAGATACGGAGACCATAGAAATGTCCAGATGACATCCTGAACTCTGCACACACAGAAAAATAGTCACTGATGATTACAGGGCACAGGCTTGATATGTAGAAATAATGTATCTATGAATTTGTGCAAATATATGAATATATATGTGCAGACATGCTCATGCATACACACACACACACACACACACACACACACACACACACATAAGGAAGCAGGTTCTGTCTTTACTATGGCACCTGGGTATGAAACTCACATGGCTCCCAGCTTCCCACAGGAGCCCCCCAGGCCTGGCTGTGCCTCCCCACATGCTGTCTTAGAAATGGTGTACCTCTGACTTTTCTGTTGTGGTAAACCCAAGTGGCTTTTCATTTCCAGGCTAACCTCAAAGCTAGAGTTTGAGGTGATTAAATACTGCCTGTGAGGTTGTGGTACTGGAAACTTCCTCCTAAATGATGTAAGTACAGGGAGTGCAGCATGCCTGGGTACACACACAGCACATCCAGGGCTGTGCAGTGCAAGAGCAGCACAGCTGCATTCATTTCTGTAATCAGACCTTTAAATTAACATAGCAATTACAGCCACAGGAAAAGGAAATCAGCATTTACTATTGATTTTTCATATACAAATGCAAAAAAAAATCACAACCACAGCACACAAATAAATAAGTAGAACTTAATGTGTCTTTGTTAAAATAAAAGCTTTTGCTCAAAAAAGGACGAAAACTCATGTGAAGTGTAGGCTAAGGGTGGATGACACATTATCTTTCAAGTTTTTAGAACTCTTACTAATATGATATCATTGCTAGTAAAGGGTAAGGGAGCTTAAACTAGCATTTACTGGGGGCCTACAATGTGTCAGATATTGTGTTAAACAAGCACTTTAAATAGCTATAATATCTCTTTTAATCCTCAAAACAACCTTAGGAGGTTAGAACTGTTATCCTCTTTCTACAGATAGCAAACTTCAGGAAAGATAGATCAAGTAACCTTCCCAAGATCACACTGCTAGTAAGTGGCAGGGTCAGGATGTAAATCCATGTCCCTTGAATTCCTAAGCCTGAGCTCCTTCCACTTTACTCCCCCGACTTGCCTCCTCATCAAAATGTGAACCACTGTACTTCCAAACCTGTCTGGAAAGCCCCACCAGAAATCACTGTCATCATGCCCATTCTATCTCTAGAGAATGTTAGATTGGAAGGAGCCTTGGGTTATCAACTACAATACCCCAAAAATAGAAGTTTGCAGGTAACACAGCAGAGCCTCTCACTCTATATTAATGTCTTCTCTCTCCGTGGCAAATGTTCTTATTACTACATCTGTCTGAGATCTCCTGTCTTAGGAATTAATGGTTCCCCACAAAAGTTTGCTGTTATTATTGTTGTTTTAATCACAAGATTTATATTCTTGCCTGTCTGAAAAGGAGCTGGAGGAGTAATGCCTTTTCCTTTAGCAGATTTATTCAATGGAAATGCATGAGCTGAGTCTCCCTAATGTACATAATGTGTTTCCACAAGATCCTATAAAAGAATGAATAAGAAGTGAGTCAATCACAGCAAAATGGTTGTATTTACAATTAGTGCTCAGTTTCTTGAAACACAAACCTCCTACCCAAATATTCATCCAAAGGATAAACATCTCCCCCACACATTGCCATAACCAGTTCCTCCTGGCACAAAAACATACATCTAAGCATCCGTATCCAGGATATAAAATGATGCCTTCCAAAGCAAGGGTTCAGAGGATACCCTTGTGTGGTGGTGCCTCTCCTAGAATCCTGGATCTGAGCTTTCTATTGGGTCTGGATTCAAAGCTAATTCTCTCTCAGATGAGAAAATCACTCATAAACTCAGTTGTGTTGATCTTGATGATATCTGGAGCAGACATGCCTCCTATTTTCTACAAACTGAGATGCTAAATGGAGTAAAAATGAAGCCCCACATTAAAGCAGAAAACTTCAAGGTAAAAGAAACCTGAATATCCTTTCAAATTAGGCTATAAACATAGTTTTGCTTTCAGGGTTACGTGGTTGAAAGTCTCTAAGAAGGGCAGATAATTGGGACACAGTCTTCCAACTACGTTTCGCATGAGTGGGTGATTGGGGGCAGGATGTATGAGACAATTGAGTGAGCAGAGCTGATGGGAATCAAAGCCCACCTCTGGGCATGTGATCTCAACATCTTCTATTGGGCAGAGAGTGGAGGTGAGACCAGAATTCACCTTCGGCCTCAAGGCAAACTTTAGCCACTCTACAGCTAAGGTGCTTCTGCCCCAGCTTCTACCATTCTCCTATTAGTAAGCAGGGGGTACAATTAAATAACCATTTGAGAGATCCCTGATATAGGAAGCGGAGACAACAAAAATAAGACTGCATGACAATATTTTGGTGCTTAAGCCAAACTCCTGCAAGGCCATCTTCTGGTACATAGGATGCTGCAATCAGAGAGTTCAAGCTTGGTGAAGATCCACAGAACACGTTAGCTTCTAGCACAAAAGGCAAGCAAAGTATTGAAAGAAGGAGAATATGGGGTTTTCCAAGGCTAGGCAGCCTCTGACTTTTATTTCTATGGACCTCAGTGACCCTGAAGTGCTTCAAGCTGTAGCTGCACAGGGTGACTATCATGGTCTGTAAAGGTAAGTGGCTGTGGTCCCAATATTTGAACAACAGCTTTAGCCATGACTAACACATGCTCAGAACCCCACCTGGGGCCACAGATTTTCACACTGACTGGACAGGCCTTAGCCATCTGGCCTGGTTGTTTTCTTAAGGAGCTGCCTTATCTCTTTAAGAGGTGTCAAGATGCACCTAAACAATAATGCCCAATGGATATTCAGCAGTCACTCATTCTGATCCTGAGCTATCTCACTTTGCCTCTTGCAGATCTTGATCCTCATTCTTCTCTCTCATCACCTCTCTTCCTATCTGCCACGTTATACCTTCAGTTATGCTCTCCATGATACAGTATCCAACTCCTGGCCTCTCCCAATGGCCCACCTCTCCATTCAGTTTCTTTTCTCTCCTCCCCAATTCAGTGTTTCCCCATTGATATACACAGGAGACTTACCTCTATCTCAGCCCAGCTCCCAGGATCTCATCTCCAGGATATTGCCCTTTCCCCATCTCCCCAGAGGGAAAGATGGGGAAGAAGGTGTTCCCAACTCCCCAGAGGCCAATATCATCATGTTCAACAACTGGGGAGCAAGCTAAGCACACATATAACCTGCTCTCAATTTCACTGGGGGGGGGGGTCAATGAAGGGCATATGTGAGTAGATCTCAAAAAAATGAATGCATAATATATATTTAAATTAAGTATAGTTTTTACTGACCCTTATGCAATTCTCTGGGCTAAATACCATGTCCTGACCCCAAGTAGAAAAGGACAAAATAGGAGAAAAGTCTTCTTCTAACCCATTTGAAAAGAAAAAAACAGAAAACAGCAGCAAAATTAACATAACTCAAGACAGAAATGGAATTATACATCAAAAATCAAAGGAAAGTACCACAGAAAAGGTTATTTGACCAAAGATGCTAATGAAGCACTTCCTCTCTGAGTGGGTTGATGGGAACTGCACTTCAGAGGCAAAGCCAATGAAATAAATGCTTCCTCATGGAAAGCATGGACCCAAGAGTCCCTCAGATCTATAAACCGTCAGCTAACTGGATGCAAATGTGTTTACAGCCTGCCTTCTTTGAAGCTACAATATTATGAAATGTTTACAGTGTTAGACCCCATTATAAAAATTTGTTCTTTTGAAGAGGAAGTGAATTAAAGAAAACCACTATAGTTATACTACACTGAGTAAGTTACACAGGATCAAAGACTTGGAAAACTCATGGTGTAAAACCAAAGATCTTCTACAATTGTGCAAGAACTATAAGACTTCTAGTCTCCCAGGGATTTTTCATTCTGGAAAATTGTTTTCATCATTGGACTTTCTATGATGTCTGTAGCATCATGGATAGAGTCATACCCTGTGACAAATGACCTTGTCCAGATGATACCAAAAAATGTCAAAAAATGAGAGCTGGCTTACAATGGTATTTTTGTTCCTGATGCTATTAAAACTTCACCTCTTTTTTTAAAAAAAAACTTTAAACAGCTTTTTACTTGGACAATTGGCTGATAGTGAGTCAAACTAGCCAAGAAAATCATTCCTGCAAGCTTCTGATTTTCTATTTTTATTCCCCAGGAATCATGGTTCATAAAGACAAACTAAGACTTGGAAAAGAGAAAGGCAAGCTAAAATTCAACCCAATGGAGAAAGTGACAACACTTAGCCCATAGAGGGCCAAATTTGTGAAAGGTTCATGTTGCATGAACTCCAAATCCTGTCTTTATTCCACCCTAAGTCTTCTAAAAAATAGAGCCAAGGAAATTCTCATCTAGAAAACATACTTTCTGAACTACAAATATTATTTCCATTTTTAATGTAGGAAATTATCGGTTTTCCATGGGACTAAGAAAAAGAAGGAAGTCTCTTGAGCCCTTACAGGTGTGAAAATAAGAGTCCCACCCATATCTTTGTGATTGCGGGCAGTGATGCCAACTACTGCATGGGAGGCTGATCAATGTCCACAAAATGACAAAAATGCCATCTCACGCAACAATGTACTCAGCAAATTGGTGCTTTCCATCTATTTTGGGAGATAAAATTATAACCAGAGTGTTGCTTTATGAAAACAGAACAAGAACAAAGATGGTTAAAGATCAATGACCCCAATATTCACAATACAATTCTTAAAATAAAGATTTGCCAGGTGTGGTGGCCTGTGCCTTTGGTCCCAGCTACTTGGGAGGCTAAAGTGGGAATGGATCCCTTAACCCTGGGAGGTGGAGGCTGCAGTGAGTCACGATCATGCCACTTGCACTCCAGCCTGGGTGACAGAGCAAGACCCTGTCTTATAAAATAAAATCAAATAAAAAGGGCTCAAGCATGTAATTCCTCACATATTCCTCAGTCTCAAAGTACACCTTCATGAATTTCATGTTTTGAAAAATCCTGCATTTATTAATAGTTAATTTATTTTCCAATGTTTAAAGACACATAACTGCCAAGCAGAACTTTTGATACTTGCGTGAGATAACCAGTATTAATAGTTTTATTCCATTTAATTCTAGGCAAAGACAGAGGAATGTGATATCTTGGTTAAGCTGTGTAAATTTATGATGGATAAATATAAGGTTTCTATTAGTTTTTTTTGACATGTTGACAATAGCTCTTGGACTCCTATTACTGCTGTTATGGAGCTCAAGGAATTCTGAAAAGAGCCCAGTCTTTTGCTTCCTTAGGCCTCTCATGTCTGTGTTTGCTTCACTATTCGTCATACAAGGTCCTCATTTCCCTCATAGGGAATAAATTCCTTCTTGACTAGTCTCCCAGACTCTGTTTCTGTCTCCTACCTGGGGCCAGATGATCTGTCTAAAGTTCAAATCCTATAGTGTCACTCTTCAGTGTTCATCTTCAGAGCTAAGGTTTAACTCTTCATGCAGGCAAACAGCAGCCCATGCCCCCTACCCATGACTTTCCCTCCTGCCCCATCCTTCCACACACTCTGTCCTCCATTCAGAACCACCCACAAATCCTCTCAAACCATACAGTTTTGCTATTGCTATATTTGCTTAGAACATCTTTCCCCCATCTTCTCTTCCCAGGAAATCCCAATCTATCTTTTAGGTCTTAGCCTTGACACACCAAGAAAAAGTAATCACCCTTGGAAAGAGGTTACAGCAACCTTCCTTTTCACTTGATGCAACACATTATTTATATAATTTAAGATCAAAGGCCAGCTACTTTAAGAAACCTTCTTACCCTTCTTTCTCCCCATGAATGCAAAACTTGGACAAATTATTGATAACATACTTTTAATATAATATGAAACCTATTATACTGCTTTACTCTTATGAGCTTGCTAGTCTGTCTGTTCTTTACACTCTAGGTTCCTTGAGAGCAAGGACCATGAACCCAGCACAGTGCCTGGAACACAGTAGGTTCTCAATAAGTTTATTGAATAAGTCAGTGAACGGTCTCAGGGAATCTGGAAATGAGACTTGCTGATGTCCCTTACTATCTGGAAGACCATGGGCAACTCAGTCCTCTGGGCTCCAGCATCCTCCCCTGTATAACGAAGGTAATAACACCTGCCTCACAAGCTTTTTGTGGGGATCAGATGAGATGACCAATCAGGAGCACTTTATAATGGTAAAACACAAATATTTGATTTCCTTTTATTATGAAGAATGCTGAGGAAGCATGGGAAGTAATTGCAATAAGCAGTGGTGGTCACTGTGAGGGGTGTGGAGGGCAGAGAGCGGAACATACAGACTGGGTTCTGGTGAATCCCAAGAACACAGTGGGGCAGCCCCGGTTGCTCTACCTTCTAACTCTATTTCTAATCTGACCGCTCCTGCCTCTCCGTGACCCCTCCATCCCAGCACCCATCTTCTCCTGCTCCAATGACTGCACTAGCCTCTAACTGGTCTTGCTTCTTCCACTCTTGCCCTCTTCCAATCTGTTCTCCATACAGCAGCCAGAGAGATCTTTGACTAATGTAAGTCAAAAGCACTTCCTTGCTTAGAACCATTTAATAGTGTCCTGCTTTACAGAGGATGAAACCCAGCCCACATACACAGACTCCCAGGCCTGGGACAATCTGACCCCTGAGCTCTTTCCACCCTGATTTTATGCAATTTCCTTTTACTCATCACACTCCTATTAGACTGCCTATTGTCAGCTCCCAGAGCCTTCCATGCCAAGCTATTTGTGGTCTCCAGACTCTACGTGATATAAGCTGTTCCCTCTGCCCCAAACAGTCTTACTGCAGCTTCTCCTCTGGCTGGCTCTTTCTTTAGGTCTATTCTTAAATATCGCCTCCTTAAGAGGTCTTCTGTAGATTCCCTGTTATTCTCTTACACTATACTCTGTTTATTTATTCCGTACCACCAATAACCATTGTTAGGATTCCCAGGCAAGATGGTCAAATAGGAGCAGCTCCGGTCTGCAGCTCCCAATGAGACCAACACAGAAGGCGGGTGATTTCTGCATTTCCAGCTGAGGTACCTGGCTCATCTCACTGGGACTGGTTAGACAGTGGGTGCAGCCCATAGAGGGTGAACAGAAGCAGGGTGGGGCATCGCCTCACCTGGGAAGTGCAAGGGGTTGGGGAACTCTCTCCCTTAGCCAAGGGAAGCCATGAGGGACTGTGCCATGAGAGACGAAGCTATGTGGCCCAGATACTACGCTTTTCCCACTGTCTTTGCAACCCGCAGACCAGGAGATTCCCTCGGGTGCCTACACCACCAGGGCCCCAGGTTTCAAGCACAAAGCCAGGCAGCCTTTTGGGCAGACACCAAACTAGCTGCAGGAGTATTTTTTTTGTAACCTAGTGGCAGCTGGAACACCAGCAAGACAGAACTATTCACTCCCCTGGAAAGGGGGCTGAAGCCAGGGAGCCAAGTGGTCTAGCTCATCAGATCCCACCCCCACAGAGCCCAGCAAACTAAGATCCACTGGCTTGAAATTCTCACTGCCAGCACAGCAGTCTGAAGTCAACCTGGGACACTCCAGCTTGGTGGGGGGAGGGGTGTCCACCATTTCTGATGCTTGAGTAGGCCGTTTTCCCCTCACAGTGTAAACAAAGCCACCAGGAAGTTTGGACTGTGCGGAGCCCACTGCAGCTCGTTGTAGCCAGACTCTCTAGATTTCTCCCCTTTGGGCAGGGCATCTCTGAGAAAAAGTCAGCAGCCCCAGTCAGGGGCTTATAGATAAAACTCCCATCTCCCTGGGACAGAGCACCTGGGGGAAAGGGTGGCTGTGGGTGCAGCTTCAGCAGATTTAAATGTTCCTGCCTGCCGGCTCTGAAGAGAACAGCAGACCTCCCAGCACAGCAATCGAGCTCTGCTAAGGGATAGACTGCCTCCTCAAGTGGGTCCCTGACCCCTGTGCCTCCTGAAGGAGAGACACCTTCCAGCAGGGGTCAACAGACACCTCATACAGGAGAGCCCCAGCTGGCATCTGGGAGGTGCCCCTCTGGGATGAAGCTTCCAGACGAAGGAACAGGCAGCAATCTTCACTGTTCTGCAGCATCTGCTGGTGATATCCAGGCAAACAGGGTCTGGAGTGGACCTCCAGCAAACTCCAGCAGACCTGCAGAAGAGCGACCTGACTGTTAGAAGGAAAACTTACAAACAGGAAGCAATAGCATCGACATCAACAAAAAGAACGAACGCTCAAAAACCCCATCTGAAGGTCACCAGAATCAAAGACCAAAGGTAGACAAATCCACGAAGATGAGGAAAAACCAGGGCAAAAAGGCTGAAAATGCCAAAATCCAGAATGCTTCTTCTCCTCAAAAAGATCACAACTCTTTGCCAGCAAGGAAACAAAACTGGACAAAGAATGAGTTTGAATTGACAGAAGTAGGCTTCAGAAGGTGGGTAATAACAAACTCCTCCAAGCTAAAGGAGCATATGCTAACCTAATGCAAGGAAGCTAAGAACCTTGATAAAAGGTTACAGGAACTGCTAACTAGAATAACCAGTTTAGAGAAGAACATAAATGACCTAATGGAGCTAAAAAACACAGCACAAGAATTTCATGAAACATACACAAGTATCAATAGTGAAATCAATCAAGTGGAATAAAGGATATCAGAGACTGTAGATTAACTTAGTAAAATAAAGCATGAAGACAGGATTAGAGAACAAAGAATGAAAAGTAACAAACAAAGCCTCTAAGAAATATGGGACTATGTGAAGAGATGAAACCTACGTTTGATTGGTGTACCTGAAAGTGACGAGGAGAATGGAACCAAGTTGGGAAACACACTTCAGGATATTATCCAGGAGAACTTCCCCAACTTAACAAGACAGGCCAACATTCAAATTCAGGAAATGCAGAGAACAAAACTAAGATAATCCATGAGAAGAGTAACCCCAAGACACATAATCATCAGATTCACCAAGATTGAAATGAAGGAAAAAATGTTAAGGGCAGCCAGAGGGAAAGGTCAGATTACCCATAAAGGGAAGTCCATCAGACTAACAGTGGATCTCTCTGCAGAAACCCTACAAGCCAAAAGAGAGTGAAGGCCAACATTCAACATTCTTGGAGAAAATAATTTTCAAGCCAGAATTTCATATCCAGCCAACCAAGCTTCATAAGTGAGGGAGAAATAAAATCTTTTATAGACAAGCAAATGCTGAGGGATTTTGTCACTACCAGGCCTGCCTTACAAGAGCTCCTGAAGGAAGCACTAAATACAGGAAGGAAAAACTGGTACCAGCCACTGCAAAAACGTATCAAAAAGTAAAGACGATTGACACTGTGAAGAAACTGCATCAACTAATGGGCAAAATAACCAGCTAGCATCATAATGACAGGATCAGATTCACACATAACAATATTAACCTTAAATGTAAATGGACTAAATGCCCCAATTAAGAGACACAGACTGGCAAATTGGATAAAGAATCAAGATCCATCAGTGTGCTGGCTAACACAGTGAAACCCCATCTCTACTAAAAAATACAAAAAATTAGCCAGGTGTGGTGGCGGGCACCTGTTGTCCCAGCTACTCGGGAGGCTGAGGCAGGAGAATGGCATGAACCTAGGAGGCGGAGCTTGCAGTGAGCCGACATCATGCCACTGCACTCCAGCCTGGGAGACACAGCGAGACTCCATCTCAAAAAAGAAAAAAAAAAAAAGACCCATCTCACATGCAAAGACACACATAGGCTCAGAATAAAGGGATGGAGGAAGATTTACCAAGCAAATGGAAAACAAAAAAAAAGCAGGGGTTGCAATACTAGTCTCTGATAAAAAAAGACTTTAAACCAACAAAGATCAAAAAAGACAAAGAAGGGCATTACATAATGGTAAAAGGATCAATGCAACAAGAAGAGCTAAGTATCCTAAATATATATGCACCCAGTACAGGAGCACCCAGATTCATAAAGCAAGTTCTTAGAGACCTACAAAGAGACTTAGACTCCCACACAATAATAGTGGGAGACTTTAACACCCCACTGTCAATATTAGACAGATCAACGAGACATAAAATCAACAAGGATATTTCAGGACTTGAACTCAGCTCTGCACCAAGTGGAGCTAATAGACATCTACAGAACTCTCCACCCCAAATCAACAGAATATACATTCTTCTCAGAACCACATAGCACTTATTCTAAAATTGACCACATAATTGGAAGTAAAATACTCCTCAGCAAATGCAAAAGAATGGAAATCATAACTAACATTCTCTCAGACTGCAATGCAATCAAATTAGAATTTAGGATTAAGAAACTCACTCCAAACTGCAGAACTACATGGAAACTGAGCAACGTACTCCTGAATGACTACTGGGTAAATAACAAAACTAAGGCAGAAATCAAGAAGTTCTTTGAAACCAGTGAGAACAAAGATATAACATACCAGAATCTCTGGGACACAGCTAAAGCAGTATTAAGAGGGGAGTTTACAGAACAAAGAGACAATGTACCACAATCTGTGGGACACAGCTAAAGCAGTGTTAAGAGGAAAATTTGTAGCCCTAAATGCCCACATCAGAAAGCTGGAAAGATCTCAAATCGACACCCTAACATCACAATTAAAAGAACTAGAGAAGCAAAAGCAAACAAATTCAAAAGCTAGCAGAAGACAAGAAATAACTAAGATAAGAACAGAACTGAAGGAGATAGAGACACAAAAAACCTTTCAAAAAAAAAAAAATCAATGAATCCAGGGAACTGGTTCTTTGGAAAGATTAACAAAACAGATGTACTGCTAGAACGATTCTTCTCCTTTTCTTCTTTATTAATCTAATAGACATAATAAAAAATGATAAAGGGGATATCACCACTGATCCCAAAGAAATACAAACTACCATCAGAGAATACTATAAACACCTCTATGCATATAAACTAGAAAATCTAGAAAAATGTGAATAAATTCCTGGACACATACACCCTCCCAAGAAGACAAATCAATGATTAGACCAATAACAAGTTCTGAAATTGAGGCAGTAATTAATAGCCTACCAACCAAAAAAGCCCAGGACCAGGCGGATTCACAGCCAAATTCCACCAGAGGTACAAAGAGGAGCTGGTACCATTCCTTCTAAAACTATTCCAAGCAACAGAAAAAGAAGGACTCTGCCCTGTTTTTATGAGGCCAGAATCATCCTGATACCAAAATCTGTCAGAGACACAACAAAAAAAGAAAATTTCAGGCCAATATCTCTGATGAACATCAATGCAAAAATTCTTAATTAAATACTGGCAAACCGAATCCAGCAGCACATTAAAAAGCTTGTCAGCCACCATCAACTTGGCTTCATCCCTGGGATGCAAGGCTGGTTCAACATACACAAATCAATAAAAGTTATTCATCACATAAACAGAACCAAAGACAAAAACCACATGATTATCTCAATAGATGCAGAAAAGTCCTTTGAAAATTCAACACCCCTTCATGCTAAAAACACTCCATAAACTAGGTATTGATGGGACATATCTCAAAATAATAAGAGCTACTTATGACAAACCCACAGCCAATATCATACTGAATGGGCACAAGCTGGAAGCATTTCCTTTGAAAACTGGCACAAGACAAGGATGCCCTCTCTCACCACTCCTATTCAACATAATATTGACAGTTCTGGCCAGGGCAATCTGGCATGAGAAAGAAATAAAATATATTCAAATAGGAAGAGAGGAAGTCGGATTGTCTCTGTTTGCAGATGACATGATTGTATATTTAGAAAACACCATCGTCTCAACCCAAAAACTCTTTAAGCTGACAAGCAACTTCAGTAAAGTCTCAGGATACAAAATCAATGTGCAAAAATCACAAGCATTCATATACACCAATAATAGACAAACAGCCAAATAATGAGTGAACTCCCATTCACAATTCCTATGAAGGGAATAAAATACCTAGGAATACAACTTACAAGGATGTGAAGGACTCCTTCAAGGAGAACTACAAACCACCGCTTAAGGAAATCAGAGAGGACACAAACAAATGGAAAAACGTTCCATGCTCATGGACAGGAACAATCAATATTGTGAAAATGGTCATATTGCCCAATAATTTATAGATTCAATGCTATTCCCATCAAGCTACCATTGACTATCTTCACAGAATTAGGAAAAACTACTTTCAATTTCATGTGGAACCAAAAAAGAGCCTATATAGCCAAGACAATCCTAAGCAAAAAGAACACAGTTGGAGGCATCATGCTACCTGACTTCAAACTATACTACGATGCTACAGTAAACAAAACAGCTTGGTACTGGTACCAAAACAGATATATAGACTAATGGAACAGAACAGAGACCTCAGAAATAATACCACATATCTACAACCATCTGATCTTTGACAAACTTGACAAAAACAAGCAATGGGGAGAGGATTCCCTACTTAATAAATGGTGTTG
This sequence comes from Homo sapiens, assembly GCF_000001405.40. Taxonomy (NCBI): domain Eukaryota; kingdom Metazoa; phylum Chordata; class Mammalia; order Primates; family Hominidae; genus Homo; species Homo sapiens. The sequence goes on from NC_000011.10 coordinate 86,650,237, forward strand.
GGAAAACTGGCTAGCCATATGCAGAAAACTGAAACTGGACCCCTTCCTTATACCTTATACAAAAATTAACTCAAAATGGATTAAATATTTAAACATAAGACCTAAAACCATAAAAACCCTAGAAGAAAACCTAGGCAATACCATTCAGTACATACGTATGGGCAAATACTTCATGGCTAAAACACCAAAAGCAATGGCAACAGAAGCCAAAATTGACAAATGGGATCTAGTTAAACTAAAGAGCTTCTGCACAGCAAAAGAAACTAGCATCAGAGTGAGCAGGCAACCTACAGAATGGGAGAAAATTTTTGCTATCTATCCATCTGACAAAGGGCTAATATCCAGAATCTACAAGGAAGTTAAACAAATTTACAATGGGAAGTCAAGATGGCCAAATAGGAACAGCTCCAGTCTACAGCTCCCAGTGTGAGCGACACAGAAGATGAATGATTTATGCATTTCCAACTGAGGTACTGGGTTCATCTCACCAGGGATTGTCAGACAGTGGGTGCAGGACAGTGGGTGCAGCACACCGAGCGTGAGCTGCAGCAGGGTGATGCATCGCCTCACCCAGGAAGTGCAAGGGGTCAGGGAATTCCCTCTCCTAGCCAAGGAAAGGGGTGACAGAGGGCACCAGGAAAATCAGGTCATTCCCACCCTAATACTGCACTTTTCCAACGGTCTTAGCCAACGGCACACCAGGAGATTGTATCCCTCACCTGGTTCGGAGGGTCCTACGCCCACAGAGCCTCACTCATTGCTAGCACAGCAGTCTGCAATCAAACTGCAAGGTGGCAGCGAGGCTGGGGGAGGGGCACCCGCCATTGCTGAGGCTTGAGTAGGTAAACAAAGCAGCTGGGAAGCTCAAACTGGGTGGAGACCACCACAGCTCAAGGAGGCCTGCCTGCCTCTGTAGACTCCACTTCTGGGGGCAGGGCATAGCCAAACAAAAGGCAGCAGAAACCTCTGCAGACTTAAATGTCCCTGTCTGACAGCTTGGAAGACAGTAGTGGTTCTCCCAGCACGCAGCTTGAGATCTGAGAATGGACAGACTGCCTCCTCAAGTGGGTCCCTGACCCCTGAGTAGCCTAACTGGGAGGCACCCCCAAGTAGGGGCAGACTGACACCTCACATGGCCGGGTACTCCTCTGAGACAAAACTTCCAGAGGAACGATCAGGCAGCAACATTTGCTGTTCATCAATATCCGCTGTTCTGCAGCCTCTGCTGCTGATACCCAGGCAAACAGCGTCTGGAGTGGACCTCCAGCAAACTCCAACACACCTGCAGCTGAGGGTCCTGACTGTTAGAAGGAAAACTAACCAACAGAAAGGACATCCACACCAAAACTCCATCTGTACATCACCATCATCAAAGACGAAAAAGTAGATAAAACCACAAAGATGGGGAAAAAACAGAGCAGAAATGCTGAAAATTCTAAAAATCAGAGCACCTCTGCCCCTTCAAAGGAACACAGCTCCTCTCCAGCAATGGAATAAAGCTGGATGGAGAATGACTTTGATGAGATGAGAGGAGAAGGCTTCAGATGATCAAATGACTCCGAACTGAAGGAGGAAGTTCGAACCCATGGCAAAGAAGTTAAAAACCTTGAAAAAAGATTAGACGAATGGCTAACTGAATACCTAATGCAGAGAAGTCCTTAAAGGACCTCATGGAGCTGAAAACCATGGCACGAGAACCACATGACGAATGCACAAGCCTCAGTAGCCGATTCGATCAACTGGAAGAAAGGGTATCAGTGACGGAAGATCAAATGAATGACATGAAGCAAGAAGAGAAGTTTAGAGAAAAAGGAATAAAAAGAAATGAACAAACCCTCCAAGAAATATGGGACTCTGTGAAAAGACCAAATCTACGTCTGACTGGTATGCCTGAAAGTGATGGGGAGAATGGAACCAAGTTGGAAAACACTCTGCAGGATATTATCCAGGAGAACTTCCCCAATCTAGCAAGGCAGGCCAACATTTAGATTCAGGAAATACAGAGAATGCCACAAAGATACTCCTCGAGAAGAGCAACTCCAAGACACATAATTGTCAGATTCACCAAAGTTGAAATGAAGGAAAAAATGTTAAGGGCAGCCAGAGAAAAGGCTCGGGTTACCCACAAAGGGAAGCCCATCAGACTAACAGCTGATCTCTCTGCAGAAACTCTACAAGCCAGAAGAGAGTGGGGGTCAATATTCAACATTCTTAAAGAAAAGAATTTTCAACCCAGAATTTCATATCCAGCCAAACTAAGCTTCATAAGTGAAGGAGAAATAAAATACTTGAGAGACAAGCAAATGCTGAGAGATTTTGTCACCACCAGGCCTGCCCTAAAAGAGCTCCTGAGGGAAGCACTAAACATGGAAAGGAACAACCAGTACCAGCCACTGCAAAAACATGCCAAAGTGTAAAGACCATCCACGCTAGGAAGAAACTGCATCAACTAATGAGCAAAATCACCAGCTAACATCATAATGACAGGATCAAATTCACACATAACAATATCAACCTTAAATGTAAATGGGCTAAATGCTCCAATTGAAAGACACAGACTGGCAAATTGCATAAAGAGTCAAGACCCATCAGTGTGCTGTATTCAGGAAACCCATCTCACGTGCAGAGACACACACAGGCTCAAAATAAAGGGATGAAGGAAGATCAACCAGGCAAATGGAAAAAAAAAAAAGGCAGGGGTTGCAGTCCTAGTCTCTGATAAAACAGACTTTAAACCAACAAAAATCAAAAGAGACAAAGAAGGCCATTACATAATGGTAAAGGGATCAATTCAACAAGAAGAGCTAACTATCCTAAGTATATATGCACCCAATACAGGAGCACCCAGATTCATAAAGCAAGTCCTTAGAGACCTACAAAGAGACTTAGACTCCCACACAATAATAATGGGAGACTTTAACACCCCACTGTCAACATTAGACAGATGAACGAGACAGAAAGTTAACAAGGATACCCAGGAATTGAACTCACCTCTACACCAAGCAGACCTAATAGATATCTACAGAACTCTCCACCCCAAATCAACAGATTATACATTATTTTCAGCACCACACCACACCCATTCCAAAATTGACCACATAGTTGGAAGTAAAGCACTCCTCAGCAAATGTAAAAGACAAAAAATTATAACAAACTGTCTCTCAGACCACAGTGCAATCAAACTAGAACTCAGGATTAAGAAACTCTCTCAAAACTGCTCAACTACATGGAAACTGAACAACCTGCTCCTGAATGACTACTGGGTACATAACAAAATGAAGGCAGAAATAAAGATGTTCTTTGAAACCAATGAGAACAAAGACACAACATACCAGAATCTCTGGGACACATTCAAAGTAGTGCGTAGAGGGAAATTTATAGCACTAAATGCCCACAAGAGAAAGCAAGAAAGATCTACAATTGACACCCTAACATCACAATTAAAAGAACTAGAGAAGCAAGAGCAAACACATTCAAAAGCTAGCAGAAGGCAAGAAATAACTAAGATCAGAGCTGAACTGAAGGAGAGAGCGACACAAAAATCCCTTCAAAAAATCAATGAATCCAGGAGCTGTTTTTTTGAAAAGATCAACAAAATTGATAGACTGCTAGCAAGACTAATAAAGAAGAAAAGAGAGAAGAATCAAGTAGAGGCAATAAAAAATGATAAAGGGTATATCACCACCAATCCCACAGAAATACAAACTGCCATCAGAGAATACTATAAACACCTCTACACAAATAAACTAGAAAATCTAGAAGAAATGGATAAATTCCTCGACACATACACCCTCCCAAGACTAAACCAGGAAGAATTTGAATCTCTGAATAGACCAATAACAGGAGCTGAAATTGAGGCAATAATTAATAGCTTACCAACCAAAAAAAATCCAGGACCAGATGGATTCACAGCCGAATTCTACTAGAGATACAAGGAGGGGCTGGTACCATTCCTCCTGAAACTATTCCAATCAATAGAAAATGAGGGAATCCTCCCTAACTCATTTTATGAGGCCAGCATCATCCTGATACCAAAGCCAGGCAGAGACACAACCAAAAAAGAGAATTTTAGACCAATATCTTTGATGAACATCGATGCAAAAATCCTCAATAAAATACTGGCAAACTGAATCCAGCAGCACATCAAAAAGCTTATCCACCATGATCAAGTGGGCTTCACCCCTGGGATGCAAGCCTGGTTCAACATATGCAAATCAATAAACGTAATCCAGCATATAAACAGAACCAGTGACAAAAACCACATGATTATCTCAATAGATGCAGAAAAGGCCTTTGACAAAATTCAACAACCCTTCATGCTGAAAACTCTCAATGAATTAGGTATTGATGGGACATATCTCAAAATAATAAGAGCTGTCTATGACAAACCCACAGCCAATATCATACTGAATGGGCAAAAACTGGAAGCATCCCCTTTGAAAACTGGCACAAGACAGGGATGCCCTCTCTCACCACTCCTATTCAACATAGTGTTGGAAGTTCTGGCCAGGGCAATCAGGCAGGAGAAGGAAATAAAGGTCATTCAATTAGGAAAAGAGGAAGTCAAATTGTCCCTGTTTGCAGATGACATGATTGTATATCTAGAAAACCCCATCGTCTCAGCCCAAAATCTCCTTAAGCTGATAAGCAACTTCAGCAAAGTCTCAGGATACAAAATCAATGTGCAAAAATCACAAGCAGTCTTATACACAAATAACAGACAAACAGAGAGCCAAATCATGAGTGAACTCCCATTCACAATTGCTTCAAAGAGAATAAAATACCTAGGAATCCAACTTACAAGGGATGTGAAAGACCTCTTCAAGGAGAACTACAAACCACTGCTCAATGAAATAAAAGAGGATACAAACAAATGGAAGAAGATTCTATGCTCATGGGCAGGAAGAATCAATATCGTGAAAATGGCCACACTGTCCAAGGTAATTTATAGATTCAATGCTATCCCCATCAAGCTACCAATGACTTTCTTCACAGAATTGGAAAAAACTACTTTAAAGTTCATATGGAACCAAAAAAGAGCCTGCATCGCCAAGTCAATCCTAAGCCAAAAGAACAAAGCTGGAGGCATCACGCTACCTGACTTCAAACTATACTACAAGGCTACAGTAACCAAAACAGCATGGTACTGGTACCAAAAGAGAGATATAGATCAATGGAACAGAACAGAGCCCTCAGAAATAACGCCACGTATCTACAATTATCTGATCTTTGACAAACCTGAGAAAAACAAGCAATGGGGAAAGGATTCCCTATTTAATAAATGGTGCTGGGAAAACTGGCTAGCCATATGTAGAAAGCTGAAACTGGATCGCTTCCTTATACCTTATACAAAAATTAATTCAAGATGGATTAAAGACTTAAACGTTAGACCTAAAACCATAAAAACCCTAGAAGAAAACCTAGGCATTACCATTCAGGACATAGGCATGGGCAAGGACTTCATGTCTAAAACACCAAAAGCAGTGGCAACAAAAGACAAAATTGACAAATGGAATCTAATTAAACTAAAGAGCTTCTGCACAGCAAAAGAAACTACCATCAGAGTGAACAGGCAACCTACAAAATGGGAGAAAATTTTCGCAACCTACTCATCTGACAAAGGGCTAATATCCGGAATCTACAAAGAACTCAAACAAATTTACAAGAAAAAAACAAACAACCCCATCAAAAAGTGGGCCAAGGACATGAACAGACACTTCTCAAAAGAAGACATTTATGCAGCCAAAAGACACATGAAAAAATGCTCACCATCACTGGCCATCAGAGAAATGCAAATCAAAACCACAATGAGATACCATCTCACACCAGTTAGAATGGCAATCATTCAAAAGTCAGGAAACAACAGGTGCTGGAGAGGATGTGGAGAAATAGGAACACTTTTACACTGTTGGTGGGACTGTAAACTAGTTCAACCATTGTGGAAGTCAGTGTGGCGATTCCTCAGGGATCTAGAACTAGAAATACCATTTGACCCAGCCATCCCATTACTGGATATATACCCAAAAGATTATAAATCATGCTGCTATAAAGACACATGCACACATATGTTTATTGTGGCACTATTCACAATAGCAAAGACTTGGAACCAACCCAAATGTCCAACAATGATAGACTGGATTAAGAAAATGTGGCACATATACACCATGGAATGCTATGCAGCCATAAAAATGATGAGTTCATGTCCTTTATAGGGACATAGATCAAACTGGGAACCATCATTCTCAGCAAACCATCGCAAGGACAAAAAACCAAACACTTCATGTTCTCACTCAAAGGTGGGAACTGAACAATGAGAACACATGGACACAGGAAGGGGAACATCACACACCAAGGCCTGTTTTGGGGTGGGGGGAGGGGGGAGAGATAGCATTAGGAGATATACCTAATGTTAAATGATGAGTTAATGGGTGCAGCACACCAACATGGCACATGTATACATATGTAACAAACCTGCACGTTGTGCACATGTACCCTAAAACTTAAAGTATAATAATAAAAAAAATTTACAAGAGAAAAGCAAATAACCCCATCAAAAAGTGGGTAAAGGATATGAACAGACACTTCTCTAAAGAAGACACTAATGCGGCTGATAAACATATGAAAAAAAAAAAGCTCATGATCAGTGGTCATTAGAGCAATGCAAAGTAAAACTACAATGAGGTATCATCCCATGCCAGTTAGAATGGCAATCATTAGAAAGTCAGGAAACAACAGATGCTGGAGAGGATGTGGAGAAATAGGAACGCTTTTATACTGTTGGTGGGAGTGCAAATTAATTTAACCATTGTGGAAGACAGTGTGGGGATTCCTCAAGGATCTAGAATTAGAAATACCGTTTGACCCAGCAATCCCATTACTGGGTATATACTCAAAGGATTATAAATCATTCTGCTATAAAGACACATGCACATGTATGTTTATTGCAGCACTATTCACAATAGCAAAGACTTGGAACCAACCCAAATGCCCATCAATGATAGGCTGGATACAGAAAATGTGGCACATATACACCATGGAATACTATGCAGCCATAAAAAAGAATGAGATTGTGTCCTTTGCAGGGACATGGATGAAGCTGGAAGCCATCATTCTCAGCAGACTAACACAGGAACAGCAAACCAAACACCACATGTTCTCATTCATAAGTGGGAGTTGAACAATGAGAACACATGGACACAAGGAGGGGAACATCATACATTGGGGCCTGTAGGAGGGGGTGTGGGGCAAGGGGAGGGATAGCATTACCAGAAATAGCTAATGTAAATGATGGGTTGATGGGTGCAGGAAACCACCATGGCACGTTTATACCTATGTAATAAACCTGCACATTCTGCACGTGTATCCCAGAACTTCAGTATAATAATAAAAAAAAGATAATGCAGCCCTGCAGTTCACAATTACATGCTTGCTATGGTATTAACTTGTGACCAAACTAGAAGAAAGACTCCTGAGGTATCATTTTCCTTTAGAAAAAAAATAATAACCATCTTTATAATGTTGTTCGTTCACTTATTTATTATCTGTCTTTCTCACTAGATTGTACACTCAGCAATAAGAAGAATCATAGCTGGCAAGCTTATGATGTTATTCTCAATACCTCACAGTGCCTAGAAGATAGCAGGTGCTCAGTAAACATTGGGTGGATGGATGGATGGACAGGGATTCAGGGATGCAAGTAAAGAAGACATGAGTTCTAGGACAGGAAGCAGGATAATGTAAGATGAATAGCTCTTCTTAGGTTGGCAACCCTCAGCATCTTAGGGGTACCATGAAGAACCTCAGGATATGCCTCATATATGAGGCGGTCTTTAAGGAAGAAGAGGCCATGAAAACAGGAGATGGGAGAGATGTAGGCAAAGTTTACCTTCTTCACAATTTTTTTTTTTTGAGACAATCTCATGCTGTCGCCCAGGCTGGAGTGCAGGGCGCGATCTTGGCGTACTGCAACCTCCACCTCCCGAGTTCAAGCATTTGTCCTGCCTCAGCCACCCGAGTAGATAGGATTACAGGCATGCGTCACCAGCCCAGCTAATTTTTGTATTTTTAGTAGAGATGGGGTTTCATCATGTTGTCCAGCCTGGTCTCGAACTCCTGAGGTCAAGTGATCCACCTGCCTCAGCCTCTCAAAATGCTGGGATTATAGGTGTGAGCCACTGCACTCAGCCTGCAATTTTTCCTCTGCTTGCAAATAATATATGTAACACACCTGTAAGAGTAACTGGCACAGTAGGCATTATATGTGATTGTTATTATTTTTAATGTGATTGTGCCAGTAATTTTGAGCCCCAGAGGAGGCAGCTGACTCTGTCCAGTTGACAGTAGTAGATCACAGAACATTGAATAGCTCAGTTAACAAGAGAGTGGCTAAGGATGCTTGGACCCTCCAGTCCTGCAGTCAAAGCCAGTTACCAGAGGCAGGACTGCCCCTCTGCTTGGCAGGCCCTCGCTCCTGGCACCACCTGGCCAGCTGCCCCACTGGCACCCATGCCATCATCTCCCACAAGCATGGCTAGGCTCCTCAGACATGAGGAGAAGCTGCTGCCAGCTCTGGGAGTGTGAGAACAGGGGAAATGTTTCAGCTCTGATGGGTGGATTTAAAAGTCTGTTTCTAAAAATGGCTATTAATAGGTTTTTCTCTACACCAACCATCTCTACTCCTGTTTCATCAACAGCAACTGCATTGCTATTCACTGTCCTTGTGACCTCAAGTGATTTTACCAGTCAAAAAAAATCTACTGCCTAGAATAGACCAAAAATAAAAGAGATAAGAAAGGAGAGTATGACATGAAGGCTAAGCTTTCTGTCAGTTTGTGTAATGTTTTCAAGATCATGTTACTGCAAAGAAATACATAAAATTCAAAAGGAGGGTGGCAACTGGGAACTCACACAGTCATCAGAAACGGACACACAGGAGCGACAGCAGGAGCTACCTCAACAGATGCTTAGGTTTGCAACATACGTTGTTTAATATTAAAGCACTTCATCTGCATTGTTTTAATATTCAAGTTTTTTTATGGAGAGACTCAAAAGCCCTCTGCCTAAGTTGACTGAGGCTGATTCAAGACCCTATTTCAAGATGGCAGGCAAAGAGCTACCTTTCAAAGATGGTAGGTAGAAGAGACAGACATCACTCAAGGAGGGAGTTCCCCTTCACCACTTACTTCCTGGACAGGACATCAACCCCTCAGGGCCTCTGAAAACTTATGTAGACTAGTGATAAAATGCTAGGATATTATCTGCCCAAAGCCTAAATGCTAGTCAAGATGACCTCTTTGTCTTCTGGGGGGATGATCATCTTGTGTTCCAACAGAGGAGAAAAGTTTGGTTCACATTGTGTATGCAAGTATTTATTAACTACCCGTGGCAGTGTGGATGGAGACTATCTTAAAACTTCCTGCCCCGTCTAACTGCTAGCTGGGTGAAGTTGGCCCAGCCATACCCTATTTAGCTGGCTATGAAACAACATTTTAACTTTTATCCTAAATTCCCATGGTAGACATTCTCTTAACTTCCTGTCTCACTATCAGAATCTCATGAGACTGGGAGCGTTATAATGGTGACAGGCAGGAAGGTAGATAGAGACATAGATGATAGCTGAATGGATGGATGGACCAATCAATCGATAGATAGATCCAAATTTGGCTGGATCTATTTTTTTTTTAAGTTAGTTTTTAAACCTTGGTTAGAATATACCAAAATGTTGGGACAAAATCCTGAGACTACTGATGATATCCACTATCTTCAACACCAGCTTCAACTTCCAGAACTACTAGCTCTTTAAATGACACTTGAATTTCTGCTGCTAGTGACATTTTAATTTAAGCTTCTCTCAGGCAAATGTCTAGATTATCCAGGCTTAAGCTCTATCCAGTACTGGGAAATCATCACTAAAGTCTCCACCCAGTCTGCCTGTTCTCTGACTCACTCTTCTCCTGTCAAGTCTGCCAAAATTAGATGTAGCCCATGGCCATCGAAAGTGAGTTTGATCCTTCAGTCTTCCCCTCTCCTTCCGGACTGGATGCTTTCAGGGGGCATGTACCAGATGTAAACTCTATCACATCTGTGACTTCTGCAGCCCACACAGGGCTTCACAATGTGTTAGGAATGCAACAGAAGCTTTAGGATGTGCATTAATCAAGAACTAATTGGACACTTACCATCTGCTTTACATACATTACTTCACTTAATCATTATAGCAACTTGTCAAGTAGATATGTTTTATTGTCATCCCTTTCACAGACAAGGAAATGGAGGTTCAGAGAAATATCCCATATCTAGAGAATGGCAGAGATGGGATTGGAATCTTAGATTGTTCTGAGTGTAATTCCCTCGATTTTTAGCCTTTGAGCTCTGCTGCCTAATACCTGGTCACAGGCTATGCCCCTTGAGGGTGTCACACAAAATTGATTCTAGCTGACTACTTTCCTTTACTCCCCAAATCCTCTAACCTGTTCCAAGTTAGAACAGGTCTAAATTTAATGTCTTTAAAGCAGCCCACGGATGAGAATTGATAATCTCATCACAAAAGATGCTATTCTTTAGAGGAAGTGCACCTGGCACAACATCAGAGCAGAAAACTCTCTTAAAGAAATGTATTTCCAAAATTTGTATGATGAAATAAAAGATTTTTTGTGGCTTTCAAAATTCTCCAGTCCCCATGGAGTGATCTAAAAGAGGGTCAGGTCAAGATTTTCACCATCTTTTCAAAAGAGCTGACAGATGGGGCTGATGTATCATCAGTCTTCACCATATAGTTTCTGATACATCAAGGAGAAGGGAATGTAGAGGCAATTCATGTAACTAATTTTTACTGAGGTTACACTATCAGGAAGGCATTGCATGCTGGCTATGAGATGCCCACGACAGTCTCCTGGATCTGAAGAAAACACATGCACATGATGGCGATACATGTGCTAATAAATGTACACTAAGGCCAAATGTGGAAAGAGCCATGACTACTACAAATGCTACATGCCAAAGAAATGTAGAGGATGAATGAATTACTGCCATGTGGCGTTATCGAGGAGGGCATCATAGCAGAGGTGACCCTGGAGATGCTGAACCCTGAAGCATGCCAAAGTTTTTAAGTGGATCCGGTATGGATGGGGCACCCAGGCATTGTGCAACACAAAAGTGAGGGAAAGAACAAAACCAAAGAGCATGTCAAAGTACTGGAGAGATGTCTTTAATTCTATTTGTAGAATTAGAAATGTCATGATATTATTTAGCTTTCTGAAGATGAGGTCTCTTACAGGGTACATGTCTATTGCTCAATTTCTGCACATAGAGCTACAAAAGCAATGGATGACTATACTCAGAGACAATGCCATTCTGTCTCATTATCTGACCTAAATAGCTTCTCCTCCACCATCTTCATCTACCACCTCTGACACTTCCACAGGTGTCAGCCTTGCCAACACTGCCATTGGAAGTGTTTCTGCACCTCTCTTCTGTGCTTCCATAGCACTTGTATGAATGCACCTCTCGTTACATCTAACCACTGAATTAGAATTGCCCCTTACTAACTGGTCCTCACTTGCACCCCTCTTACGCTATAAGCTCCTTCAAGGCAGAGTATTGTATTGTATTGTATTGTATTGTATTGTATTGTATTGTATTGTATTGTATTGACCACGGTGTCTCCACTGCCTAAAACTAAACAGGAACTCAGAAAATGACTATTGAATAAATTAAACAAACAAATGAGTCTTGGGAGAATTACACAAAGTTAAAGGGAGAGAAAAAGGCATCCAGTGATCTTTAAAGTTCTCTCCAGCTCTAAGAATCTACAATTCTAACAGAGCCAGTGGAAGTGAAAAAAGCTAATCAGAAGTCCACAGCAGGGAACAGGGAATACACTAGTTATTTCTCTGGAAAGGCCACAGCACATCAGACTTCATGCACTAGTCCCAGATAAGAGGGAACCTGCACACTAGAAGTGTTAGTACAGCGTAGGGGATAAGCCCTAAAATCAGGTGGCCTGAGTTCAAGACTCAGTTCTGCCACTATGAGTTGTATGACCTAGGGCAAGTTAGCTAACCTTATGCCTCGGTTTTCTCATCTGTCATATAAGAACAATAACAGTGTCTGAGAGGCTGAGGTGGGAGGATCACTTGAGGCCAGGAGTTCAAGACCAGCCTGGCCAACATAACAAGACCTTGTCTCTACAGAAAATTAATTTTTTTTTTATTTAGCTGTGCAAGGTAGCTTGCCCCTGTAGTCCCAGCTACTTGGGTGGCTGAGGTGGGAGGATCACTTGAGCCCAAGAGTTCAAGGCTGCAGTGAACTATGATTGTGCCACTGTACTCCAGCCTGGGTGACAGAGTAAGACCCTGTCTGTAAAAAAATAAAAATGAAAATAAAATTTAAAACAGGAATAATATAATAACAGTGTCTACCTCAAAATGTTGTGGTATTGTATTAAATGGGTTAACATATATAAACTACTTAGAACAATTCCTAGCACACTGCATGTCCTAAAAACATTAGCTGTTATTACTTGACTTCCCTCCATAACGTTACCAAAGAAAACTCAGTATAATAGGAATCTGCATTGGAATCTTCAACACCTCTTTCAAAACCAGAGAAAGAAGAATGCAGAATGTCTATTTTGACTGGAACCCTAGCTCCACTGTACACTTGGCAATCCCTCTCCTGTTGGGAAGTCCCTGGGCAGCCTCATAACTCAGAAGCTATGCCAATTTATAGAGATGTAGACTCCCTCCTTCAGTTTTCTGAAAGAGCAAAGCAAAATAGAACAAAACAAAGTGATCAACAGAGACTGCCTTCTCCAGAATTCCACACTACAGAGGAAGATGTTTCATGACCAATTAAGTAATGGGCTTCATGTAGCTCACTACCAAAAGATGACACAGAATCAAGACAAAATGCTTTTAAAATATAATAATCTCAAGTTGCTGATCATTCAACTGTATCTTCTAAAATACCTCTAGTTTTCAAGAATCACTTTTAGAAAGCCAATGCAGCTTTGGCTTTCTCTCATTCAAGTTTCTCAAAAGCTGTGGATCTTTCTATCAAAAATCCCTCTCCTCAAATGACAGGTGCATTTTACTCTTTACTGTGTCCTTTTGGTAGGAATTGTGTTTCAACTGGGCTGCATGGCAACCTTTCAGATACAAAATGAATGCATGCTTTTAACCACTGACCTCGGCACACCCAACTGTAGGATATCCATCACATTTTCCTCACAATCATAGAGCATCTTTTGTGCTCTGCATCAGAGAGGCAGTCGGATACCACCCCCAAAGGATTTCCCGATATACTTTCTACACATCAAAGTGAAGGTTTTTGAAACTGACTGTAATCCATGTCTTTGCAAACAAAAGTGCTGCACATTAGTGATCCTTTTGCAATGGCCATAGAAATCAAAAGGCCTTTTTTCCCCCCTCTCACTATAATACTGACATTTGGAAAGAAAAGAGTAGATGATAAAAAGAAACCTTTGGTAGAAATGACAAAAATGTGAAGTAAAATAAGGCCATAAACCTCAGGGTCCACAAAGGCCAACATAAATTGGAAACAGGGAGACTAGAGATGAGCCTGAAAAAGTGTCCAAAAAAACGCCATATATGGAGCCCAGACTTAGACTGACTTAAGATGTCAGTTGGCCCAGGTCTGGGCAAAACACATATTTCTGTATGGGATTTACCCTTCAGCGTTGCTGCTGACGTAATCTAGATATTGCTGTTTACAACTGCTTTTAGAACAGGCAGCAGGCTCCTCTGTTAACATTTTGTTATTACTTTATTGCCTCTAGAAGATAACTAATAATAAAAGCTTGAAAGGAGACGACTTCAGAGGGATCTCCACCTATATGTTACAGATGGGCCAGCTTCCCAAAGTTGGTCTGAGTATTATTTACTTGGCTCTAGAAACAATTCCCAACAGAAACTGTAACCTAAAATTGAAAAGAAAATGGAACATTAAAGGAAAAGTACATAAAGAGGAAATAAATCTCCCATAATCTCACTGACATAACACAATCATATTCACACATTTACTTCCAAGCCCTTTAATATTTATATCTTTTTACAATAACATTCATGAGTATACAGTCTACTTAGTATTTTGCAATTTGAATTAAGCATTCATTAACATAAGCCAATGTTTCTAAAGTCTTAATAATGATTACACAAATGCTTACTTAACACGATATACTTTCCTTGGAGGATGATTCAATTATTTACAACATGCCTATGAGAAAACACTTTCTGAGTATCATCTTCAGGTTCCAGGAACAGCAAATCTCCCTCTTGTGTTCCGGGCACCCCATTCCATATTTCCTTGATTTTCAGACCCTTGGGAGCAGAGGCTCTGAGTGGTTTCCTTTGACTTTTATAGGGGTCCTACAGAACAGTGGAAATACAGAAATTCCGAGCAGGGATGAAGTCTCCAAGGACTCAGAGTGGAGGGTGGGAGTTCCAGTGGAGATGCTGACAGATGCTGGGGTCTCCTAACTCTGGTCTATTCCCTAAACATCTCCTTTTGTGTTTTCCGTGGGCTCAAGAATTGTCCTTGTCCACCTCTGGTTCCAAGGCACCACCTGTGTCTTCTGAATAGGACCTCCTTCTTCCCTGGGCTCTGCTTAAAGCTGGAGATAAACAGTTAATATCTCTGTGCTGTGCTCCTCCAGCACTTCATTCTGTAGTGGGCCTCTGGGCACCCAAAGGGCTGATGTAAGATGTATACACACTCCAGATGGGCATGTCAACACCACAGATGAGGACACTGGGCGATGAGAGTCACCAGGGTGAAAGAAGGGGCCTTGGCAAAAGGCAGGGTGAAGGGAAGAGATGAGAGGAGGGAGCCTTAGCAGATGTCTCTTTGAATGACTCGCTCATTCACTAACTGCTTACGAGCACCAACTAAGTACCTGTGATACATCAATGAACAAACAGACAAAGTCCCTGCCTAAGTGGATCTTAAGTGAACAGACAATAAGCAATAGACATACTAAGTAAGCAGTTAGATAGCATATGAGGAAGTGTCAAATACTATGGGGGAAAGCAGGATGTGTAGGGGGAGCAAGAAGGTTGAAAGGACTGTTCATGAATTCACATGTGTCGGTCAAAGCAGCTATCATTGAGAAAGTGAGAAACTTTGAAAAAGGGAGGGAGTTAACTATGTGGCTATGGAGGGGTGGTGTGCTCTAGGAAGGAGGATCAGTCAGTGCAAAGTCTGGGTAGGAGCACAACTGACTGAGGAGGCCAATGGGGTTGGGGCAGTGAGTGAGGCAGAGAAGAGTAGCAAGAGATGAAGTTAGAGAGCATCAATATGAAAGGCATCATGAAGACTTGGATGTGGCCAGGTTTTAAGCAAAGAGTGACATGTTGAAACTTAGTTTTAAAAAAAAATCACCCTGGCCATTGTGTTGAGAATAAATGAGAGGCGCTAAAGGGAAAGAGGAGACCAGCCAGGAGGCTGCTGCAGGCATTAAGCAGAGAGATGCTGGAGGCTTCAATCAGTGGTGACCCATGGTGAACAGGGGCTGGATTCCAGATTTAGTCTGAAGACAGGGTAACAGGATTTTCTGGTGGATTCCATAAGGGGTCTGAAAGAAAGAGAGTGGTCAAGGATAGGACCAAGATCTAAGCATCTAGAGGAGAAGACTGAAGACTGAAGAGGACTGGAAATTGGGAGATTAATTCAGAGGTTCTTGCATAATCTAGATATGAGATGGCAAAGGAGTGAAAAAGGCTGATGGTAGTGGGGATATAGAGAAACAGATAAATTTTTAAAGGCTGGGGTAAAATTGACAGAGTGAAACAATGAAAGCTTCATATCAACATTTTGTGGTAGTATCTTCATTTTCCAATTTCCCTTTATTTAATAATGTAGAATTTTTAGCTGAATACATGGGTGCCCAGCCAAAGATTACATTTTCCATGTTCTCTTGCAGCTAAATGTAGCATATGACCAACTTCTGGCCAACTGAATGTAAGTAGAAGTGATATTTATAACTTCCAAGTTGTGCCCTTAAAAGGGATTTCCCCTTCCCAATTGGCTTCTGCGTGGAATTCACAGCAGAGGTAAGACCTGTCATCCTGGACTTTGAAATGTAAAATGCATACTGGATGGCAGAGAAACAAAGTCAAACCACACATCAACTCATGATTGCTTGCCCAGACTTGTTCCTAACAGAGAAATATACTTCTATCTTATTTAAGCCTCTGTATCTGGGGTTCACATTGTTGTCATTGCCTAACCTGTAGCAACTAATAAACATTCTCTGAGCTGTTCTAAAAACAAAGCCCCAATACCAATACTTAGTAATCCTGTGAAGCTAGGACAGTATTCAACAGAGAAAAGTTTGATTTCAACCTGCCTCTGCTAGTTTGTTCCAACATATCTGAACAGTATTTGAGCTTCAATGCAACTGAGTCTTTGTACAAGCTCAAATCTAGAGTAAATTGCCACTTATGGAGCTAATATTTACACAATAATCCACTGTTTCTCTCAACTAGGAGGCACAATTTTACATCATACCTGAAGCAGAGATCTCGAGAAGATATATTATGTAATCTGCCTTCCAGCATCACCAATAAACTTCTAATTATCCATACAACACACTTAACATCTCCTGATTGATGAGCCAAATCCATAGTAACAACCTCCCCTCATCCAAAGAAGACAAGATCAAGTTCTAAGCTAGCAGAGAACAAAATCATATACTTTATTCAAAGGCAAATCCTAGCTGTGTGGAAGTCTAATAAATCATCATTGAATACAGAAGGGATTCAGCTGAAATCTGTGCAGTCTCAGATGTACAGCCAACACTGCAGCACTGTCCTTCAAGCCTTTGCAGGTTTACTGCTCTAAATGTATCAAGTCCACCTGGGAAGGCCATCACCCGTGGTGCCTTGCAGTCTCTGAGGCCCCACTACGTGAAATGTCCTGGTCCATAATCACAGTGACTTGACTAAGCACACTTTCCATTCATTCTTTCCCTGACTATCAAGCTCAAGAGATGAAAAAACTACAGAGAAGCAGGTGAAGGATCAGTGGAATTTCGTGGCAAAAAAAATCACTGCTGGCACACACGGATCAAAGGGGGAAGATTGGTGTGTTCTGGGAAATAATGCACTCCTTCAGTTAAATGCCCTGAAGTCTGGGAAGATGAGAGTCAAGCAGGTGCATTTCCTTCAAATGGGCCATATGTAGGCATTTATTTAGGCAGCAAGAGCATTGGGCTGTGAAGTAGTGACATTCAGATTAATGAAGTTGAGAGGAAAGGGGCCATGACATGATTGAAATCATTTAAAGAACAAATATTTATTGAGCATTTCAAGTCAGACAGAGCTAATGCCATGTGACAAGACAGAGTGTCTGTCCCCATGGTCTAGTGTGGAAGGCAAACCAACCAGCCATTGTAATAGTGTGCTCAGTGCCAGAAGGCAACAGTGTGATAAGACAAATAGGAGGGGACTCAGATCTAGTTTGGCAAGTGGGGAATAGGACGGCTCTTCCTAAAAGACACTATAGGTAAATGGAGGTCAGAAATATGTTGATGGCCCATCAACATGTTGCTACAGTTATAGAATGGGGATGGCATCTTCCTATGAAGGTAACCCTGTGAAGTGGGGCTGATAGTTGCCTATTTAATGTGAGTAAAAGAGGGGTCATATAACCAAAGATTTACTCTGTTGCCAAATCCGTATGGACAATAGAAGAGGTCATTACATAAATTTTAGAAGAAAAGCAGAATATTAGTTTTAAAAAGAAAAATAGAAGCTCATGCGTAGTTAATTTGCATCATTTAGAAAATCTAGACTCCTGGAGGGAGCTTGGAATCATCTAGTATCAATTCTGTCACCATCAGGAATATGCCTAAATCAGTCTATGCAGTTGTGAATTGCCATCATTATTCAGTAGACTCAAATACAGCAGGCAGGCTGCCTCTGTCCACTTCTATGACCAATGATAATCTCTGTGGAGTTGCTTGGCTTCTTCCTTGGCTTCTCTTTTCTTTGGAAAATGAAAATGTTGGATGAGAACAATTATTTTCAAAAACTTTTTGTTACTACAATCCACAGTAAAAATAGTCATTTTACATGCTGACCTGATAAAATATCCATCTTTATTAACTTCAATGCATTTGCTATTTTTCTATTTCATTCTAATACATTTCTTTAAAAAAATTGCTGGTAGATCCACTAAGCTAATTTCATGTCTCATAGTTTGTAACTCATAGTCTGAACAATTCCAGACTAGATCATCTCTGAGGGGCCTTCCTACCCCAATTATGGAAATCATCCTCATTATCACCTAATATTTACCACATGGGGGCTGTCTCCTATGATCCTCAAAGCAGTAGTGTAACACGGGCAGAGGAGCTTATGAGATTCATCACAGATCACATGGCCAGAGCATGATGGAGCTGGTACCAGAACCCAGTGAATGCACAATAGCAGCAATGCTTGCCCTGGTCGGCACCTCTTCTCTCAGATAATTCCACCTCCTGACCACCCTCTGTCATACAGCTGCGACTTAAATGCCACTCCTAATCTGTCGAAATGAGCTGCAAATCTAGTGAACACATTCCAAGAATTTAATGTTAAGCTAGATCTTTCAGGCACTACCCCATGCCAAACACAGGTGGACGAATCTCATTACCTGGCCTGGAAGGGCTCTCCTTCTAACAGAAAAAAATCCACCCACAGACATGAACACTAAGCACAGCATTGAAGACTCTTTCAAAACTGCACTTCCATTTTGCTTCCTCAGTAATAACCTCATTGTTCTATTTAACCTCAGCACTATCTTCCCACCTGGCTGATGCAAAGTACCAAGGCTCAAGCCTTCCATGGAGACTCTCTGAGCACTGGAGGACAACAGAACAGCCAGAGGGTGGCACTCCAGTGGGAAGAGAAGGGCACTCACAGTAACTCCCAGGAAGCACTCCCTCTGTTGCTCCCCTTCTGTCCCCAAGGGTGAGTGAATAGGGGATGCCAACAGGCTGTCAGCCTCCTTCTAGATACCCTTCTTATCCCAGACAAGCATCAGCTGACTTCAGGAATATATAAAAGATGTTGTTTAACATCATGGAAAGGTCAGGTCCTTAGATTTATGGATAACACCTGTATTAGTCTGGTTCTTACACGGCTGTGAAGAAATACCCAAGACTGGGTAATTGATAAGGAAAAGAGGTTTGATTGACTCACAGTTCCACATGGCTGGAAAGGTCTCAAGAAACTTACAATCATGGCGAAGGCACCTCCTCAGAGGGTGGCAGGAGAGAGAATGAGCGCTAGCAGGGGAAATGTGTCAGGCACTTATAAAACCATCAGGTCTCGTGAGAACTCATTCATTATCACGAGAACAGCATGCAGGGGAACCACCCCCGTGATTCAATTACCTCCCACAGGGTTCCTTCCACAACACGTGGGGATTATGGGGATTATAATTCAAGATGAGATTTGTATGGGGACACAGCCAAACCATATCAACAACTTATTTATAGTACTTGGGAGAAAAAAATTTACATCAGAGGCAAACGACAGGGGCAAGAATGATTTCAGGGGACCAAAACCTAGGTTTTAAAAAAAGACTTAAAGATCTTCCTTCATTTTCTTAACTACTTAACAAAGCAATAAATGCTGGTTGGTAACATGCCAGTAATTCTAAGGCAATTATTTTCACAATGATTGGAGCCTGTAGTGGGAATTTATTGTTTTGCTTTCTACATCCATTCCTCCTCCTTCTGATGACACTATCCATATTTACTGTGAGGATCTATATTCCCTTTATTCCAAGCCAGATGGTGTGGGTGGCCCTACCTTAAACCCCATTTTAACTCCAGGGGTGGGCTCTGACCGGCTTTAATTACTGGTGATTGGTTTTGGTTTGGGAATGGGAAGAGAGAATCTAATCAGAGTCAATAAGGCAGAAGGATTCGCTTTCTGAGGCGTCAGAGAAAGGGTATTTTCTCTTCCCCAAGAGCTACCAGAATAAAAGTATCTTTCTATTCCTGGATGATGTGGTGTGAGAACAGGAGATGGAGGACTGTGGCAATAACGAAGTGAGAGACTTCACTGAATAGAGCTTGAGGATGAAACTGACCTTGCAGAGAGGCAGAGTAGAGAGCCAGAGAGAATCTGCATCTTGAGCAATGCCATCTGGGCTTGTGGTTCAAGCCGTGCCTGCAACCCTTCCTCTAGATTCTTTAGATAAAGGAGCCTTTGTGTGCTTAAGCCAGTTTGTATTTTCTAACGCTTACTAGCAAAGTAATTCAAGGTGATAACAAACACCTTGAACACTTTGGAAAGTGGTAGCGTCCAAACAATTTAAGGTTTCTTTTGGAAAGAGCAGGACTCCAATGTGATAGAGGTTGATTTTGATTTTTTTTTCCTTAGCCGCTTCTATTAGTTCTGTAGGAAACAGTCACAATACTTCACATTATATAGTTGTTCCTACTTCTCAAAAACATCTTTTCCATACAGACTGCCTCACCTGAATTTCACAATCCAGAGTCAGAGCAATTATGAAAAAAAAATTTATTTTGCAGTAATTGTTATTCAGCACTTTATACAGTTTAAAATATGATTTCAAGTTCAGTGATTCATTTTATTGTCACAATAACCAAATGAGATAGAAATGGTGGGTCTATCATAATATCTATTTTAGGCTGGAGAAAGTTGGGCCTCAGATAAGTTAAATGAGATATGTGAGTTAATTTGAGGAGGTAGGGGGAGACAGGACTAAATCTGTCCTTGCTTCTATTTCTCTCACCCAATCCTCTGAACCAAAGATACTAAACTCTATTCCCAAAAACAAATACAAAAGAGCTAGCGGTGGGTTGAACTCGACCAAAGCATTGGAGATCTGGATTCCAGTGGCAGAGCCAGAACTAACTAGCTGGTGACCTTGGGCAAGTTTCCTTTGTCTTGTTTTTTGTAAAAGAAGAGGTTTAAACTAGGATCTCTAATGCTCCTGCAAGCTCGAAAATTTCTATAAGTCTAGACTTTTCCATCCTTGCTCTCAAATTAATCTTTTTCTCAGAATAATAATCATAACCTTATTTATTCTCCCACTGGGTACCAGGCACTGTTCTAACGTACCCCCATTTTCTACCCGCATTTTCTCTTTAGATCTCACGACATTCCTAAGACAATTATATCTCTTTTACAGATAAGGAAACCTAGGCTCATGTAGGTTAAATGAACTGCCCAAGACCAATAAAATTAGTAAGCATCAAGGGGAGAGCTGACCGCAGGTCAGACTGACCGCGAGGATCTAAACCTGGTCTGTGTTGTTACTGCAGAAGAAATTAGGCTCCCTGCATTACTGGTCGCCTCTCTCCACGCATAAAAGGGAGAGGAGGGACAAGAAAGCCAAACCAAGTCACAACAAGCCCCTGCAAGGCAAAAACAGAAAAACCGCTGGAAGGGCGCCCGGGAGGATCCTTTCTGGGTCCAGGGGGCGGGGCGCAATTTTCCGGCAGCCACGGGATCGCAACGCGGGCCGTCCTGCCCTCTGGCCCATTACCTTGTTGAGATGAGGGTTCCTGGTGACATCGTATCCGCGCTTCTTCAGGGGCACAGGGCGCGCCGGGCCAGGCTTGGAGTGGCAGCCTTGGGCGGGCGCGGTGGGTGTCCAGCGCGGGAGGGCGCCGCAGGCCCGGCCCGGCCAGGGAGCCAGCCGCGTGCCTGTCCCCAGCGCGGCACCCATGGTCCTTGGCAGACCTGGCACGGGAGAGAAAGCAAGGTCAGGGCCTCCTTCCAGCCAGCCAGGACCCACGCGCGCTGCGGGGCACCGGGCCTGATCCGGGGACGCGCCCTCTGGGAGAGGGCAGGTGCTCCCAAAGGGTTAAATGTTCCAGCCCCCGCCACTCCTCGGCTGCCACCTGCTCGGCTCCGCGCGGGGCGCCAGGCCTAGCCAAGAGCCAGGCAAAGCGAAACCAAGCCCTGGAAGCAGATCCGGTGCGGGTGACAGCCGGCGCCACCCCTGCCCCCATCCCTGTGAAAAAGAGGCGACTGCGCGGCGAGGGGTCCCCGTACCCCTAATCCCGCGTGGTGGCTTGCCTCGGTCCTCTCCTTCCCTGGCCCACCTGCGCTGCTCGGGGAGCTGAGGTCTACGCGGTCCCGCTGCGGAGCAGGCGGGGTGAGGAGCTGCGGTCTGTGAGTCCTCTCCCGCCAATGGGTGGACCGCGCTGGCGGCCGCGAGCTCGCGGAGCTGGTGAGTTCCTCAAAGAGCGGTCCCACAACCTTTGTTCTCAGTGCCTGGCTTCCCCTGAGGACGCGCGTGGGGCGCCTCAGCACTGCGTGCACGTGGTTTTCCCCAGTGACAAGAAGCAGCTCAGAATGCCCGCCTGAGACTCTCCATCTTGGCAAGACTAAATGCACAGAGGGGGATTTGCGTTTGGGGGTCAGCATATCCTCGCACTCTCCCAACATTCGGGGAAGGGCGTGCCTTCAGGATTTGGAGTAGAAATCCTCAGGCATTCGGTGCTCAGTGTTGCCTTGTGCTGTCCAATATAATAGCCATTCGCCACGTGTGGCTATATAAACGTAAATAAATTAGTCTATATAGAATAAAATTTAACATCCAGTTCTGCAGTCACGCTAGCCACATTTCCAGTTCAAGAGCCACTTGTATGCAGATACAGAACATTTCTGTTTTTGCGGATACTTCTATTAAGCATCATTGACATAGGAGCCACAGTTACTAAGAGGACTTCTGAGGACCCCATGGAGTTTGCCATGGGTTATTGGGGCCAGACAGGGATCTTGGGGTCCATCTAGCCCCAAACTTAATTTTATACTTTCTCCACACAGTAGTCAGGAGATTCCTTTTAAAGCAAACACTTTGTTGTGTGTGGAATAAAATCCAAACTTTCAGGGCCTACAAGATTTCCCATAAACTGGCTCTTGCCAGCCTCTTCAGACTTATCCTACTCTACTCTTTCCTTCTCACTGATCTCTGGCCATACTTGATCCTTCCTGTGTCTTCACCCCACTTGGTTCCCTCCCACTGCAGGGCCTTTGCACTTGCTATTGCCTCTCCTTGGAAGGCTCATACTCCAGCCTTGCAAACCACTACTTCATTCCCACCTCTCAGTTCTCCACTAAGTTGTCAACTCGAAGGCCTTTCCTCTATCCCATTCAATGTCAGCCTGCACTAGGAACTATAGAGTGAAGGGGTTTTTCTCTTTAGAGAACTTAACACAGTCAGTAGCGCGCTTGTTTTTCTGATTGTTTACTGACTATCTCCTGTCTAGAATGTAAGCTTCATGAAGAGAGGCTCTTTGCCTGTGAACCTGTGTGTCCTCACTGCCTAGCTCACTGCCTGGTATGTAGTTGCACAATAAATAGTTGTTAGGTGAAGGGAAGTGGCAGCCACTTTCATAAGGATCGTGAACCCTTAGACTTACTGACAGACAGTTGGCACGGTCCTCTGCTGACACCCCTTCAAAGCTCCCGGTGCCAGCATTAGCCCCGTTGTAAGTACCAAGCAGACATCATGGCCCATAATGTGCTAAGGGGTGCTCCTGCCTGAGTTCAGGATTCCCTCATCCCTTCAGGAATAATCGTCTCCTCCTGCAGTCTCTCTCCTCCCTGTGTAATATCTAATTTTCAACTTGAATGATCTACGTAAAATAGTTATTTCCAAAACAGAATTACAATTACCTGGTAGGAAATAAGGATGGGGCAAAAATACAGCTTTCCAGGCCCCATCCATGAAGATTCTCATCCAGTAGGGTTTACATCCCTGAAGTCAGGTTTACTCTTGGACTGCATATTTACATAAGCTTATAAATGATCTTTTTTTCTGCCTTAAACCAGTTTGTGTCAGATGTGTGATTGTGTGCAACCAATAGTATTAACTAAATCCTTTCAACACTATTTTTATATTGGCACTTCTTCCCACCAGTCAACATCTTTGGGGGGCAGAGATCATGTGTGTTTCCATCTTTGGTATCTAGTGCATGCAAATATTTGGAAATTGATTGTTGAACCAGTTTGCCCTTGCTGAATACAATGACCTTTCCCTCCCCTGGAGGATATCTAATAGGTAACTTTAGTCATTTGAAACCAGGATGTAAACAACAAAGGTTTCCAAACAAGCGAACATAATTTTTATAGCATCAATTCACTAAAGCTTGTACAGTTTACATATAAAAGTCTCTTACATGTCCTCACCTGTGGCCTATATTCTCTTAACCCAGGCATAATTCTACAATGTTGTTTTGTGTGTGTGTTTGTTCTTTGGTGACAGGAAAGAAAAGGTTAAAGGCAGGTCCACCAGGAGCAGTGACAGAAGGCAGTAGCAAGAGGAGGTGGTGGCTTCTCAGTTCCATACAGTTGTCCAGGGACCCAGGTTTTCTCTTTTGCTGCCAGGCTCTTCTGTAGCTGTTGCCCGCCTCTACACAGCGCTAACACCATGTTAGCATCCCAGCCGTGGAAAGCGGGAACAAGGAAACAGAGGGAAAGCAAATCGATTTGTTTTTTTAATTGGGACAGGGTCTCACTGTGTTGTTTAGGCTGTTCTTGAACTCCTGGGCTCAAGCAATCCTCCTGCCTCGGCCTCCCAAAGTGCTGGGATTACAGGCGTGAACCTCTATGCCCAGCCAAAGCAAATCTGTTCTGTGGAAGTGACATGAAAGTTGTATATATTACTTCTACTCACATTCCATTGGTAAAAACTAAGTCACACATTCATATCAAGCTACAGGGAGGGCTGGAAAATATTGTTTGTAGTAGGAAAGGCATGTATGTGCTCTACTGAAGTTCAGTGGGGAGTCTATTACTAAAAGGAAGAAGGGGAGAATGGTTCCTAGGGACCACTAACTAGAAGTCTAAATATAATACTCATTTTCTGTTGAAGTGCTTAGCCCGTAGTGGGTGATCAGAAACTGTGAGCTGTTTTTATTGGCACGTGTGGTTTCCATTTCTGCTTTTGTGGCAACTTCCTTACTTTTAGAGCTGAATATAGGATTTCAGAGACCAGGTTCAGAACCATGGAAACATTACAGATCTTCTTCCAACTCCATACAACTCTGACTTCCTTAGCCAGCCAGGAAGTTGGCTTGTGATCTGGTGATCTGGTCCAGCACTATATAGAACTAATGGGTCTCCATAATTTGTCTTGGCCCCTCTCCTTTCATATCCCATTTACTGACTTCTGCCATCATTGTAATGATGCTTCTTGGGATGGCAGAGAAGGAATCTCATTCCATCTCCTCCAGCCAACAGTTCCATATTCCAGGTATAGTTAATACTTTTGCTTTTCCATTTTGATTACAGAGATTTAAATATCTACCTGTTTCCCTACTAGATTGTGAATTCCTTGATGACTACAACCACCATTTATAATTCTTTGCATCTCTATACCTGGGAAAGTGCCTGGCACTTAGAATTAACTCAGTTTCTTGAATTAAATATAATTGTGGTTCAAATTTGTGCATAACCTTCCAAGGAGTGGAATTAATTGAAACTAAATTTGGTACATTGTTAAAAGGGCACAAAATGGCTTCAAGTCAGATTTTTAACTCAGTCAGCTATCTTAAAACAAGATCTCTTATCTTCTGAAAGCAGATGTTAATGACCTTACACATGGATTTTAAAAAGGAGGTGAATATAAAATTCATTATTTTTCAGTTAATCCCATTGCTTCACAAACTTATTCGTAATATTCTGCACAACATTTAATGTTCATGATTGCCCCAAAGAACTCTTTAAATTCATATTGCTGCTAGTAATATTTGTAAGCACTTCAACTCTATCATTATTATTATTATTTGCAGCAAAGGAGAATTATGGGGATCATTTATTTCTTCCTGGTCTGCATACTCATCACTCTGCTTATGTGCCCTGAACTCTGGGCCTTTGCTCAGCAGTTTCCTCTGCTTCCAGCATCTGCCAGTTGAAGCCCTGTCTGTCCTTTACAATTCTACTCAAACACTACCTCCTCCAATGAGCCTTCCGAGAGTGCCAACCAGCAGCTTACCCTCCCTCCCTGATGCCCACAAACTCTGCTATTTTTATCTCTCCTATTCACTTTTATTGCACTTTTGAAAATCTCTCCTATTGTGCAAAGAGGCTCATAAAAGTGAACACCTTTAAATCCAGATAGTCTGGACTCTCTACCAGTGAGTGACTTTGAGCATTTTATGTGACCTCTTTAAGCCTCACCATCCTCATGGATAAAACTGAGATCCTAACATCACTTCTCACGTTGTTTTTTGCTGGATTTATTTATTTATTTAAAATGCATTATAGCATACACTTACCACCTACGTGCCAGGTGCTGTTCTAAGCACTTTATAAATGCTAAGTCATTTAGCCTCACGAGCTATCATGCCATTTTGCTCAGCTCCAGATCTAGCTTTTTCTACTCTGGCTTATGGCTGAAGCTTGGGCCCTATAAACCCATTCTTTGGCAGCAGGGTTCTTGTTCATTTCTGCCAATAGGGGGCACTAAAGGGAGACTGAGGGCTGGAGAGGGGAAATGTTCTCCTTTCTGTTTGCTCGCTGTTGGTTCCCTGCAGCATCCGCCCAGCAACAGCCATTTACCCGGCATCAGCCATTGGGCCCAGCCTCCAGCCCCTTTTCACAGCCTAGAATCAGGCTTCCCAGGCTTCCGCAGACTTAGCAGCAAGTCTTTTTCACCTCAGGTCCAGCTTCTGATGGTGCAACCACTTCCCTTTGTTCCTCCAACCCTGGAGATGAAACCTGCATGCTCCGGTTACCATCTGTGATTGCCTCAGCACTCCTTTTCTTCTCATCCAGCCCTGCAGCACCTGGGAAACCAGTTCTTTATATTAACTTCCTGTTGTTGAGATATACTTTGTGTGGTTCTGTCTCCTCAACTGGACCCATCTGTTATAGATTGGTACCATTATTATCCTCATTTTACACATAAACAAAATCCAGGAAAATTAAATAACTCACCTGAAGTGGGCTGGGATTTAAACCCAGGCTCAGGTGCCATGGTGGTCCCAGGACACTAAGGGCTCGTGTTTGGTCAGGCCTGCTGCATGGCCAGCACTCAATGAACAGTGGTTCTCTGATCTCCAATCGTCATCCTCATCACCACTCTTCAACCTTTCATCCTACCCAACACCTAGGACAGGGTGTGTGCAATCAATGCCTACTGAATTGAGTCTGATTACCTAAATATGGGAGGACTGTGGCATAGAAGGGGCTTGAGTTAAAAAAGGGCATGGGGGAGCCAATGGGGCCACGAAGCTTCTGCATCCTGTCCTTCTGACTCTTCCTTTGGAGTTGTTTCCAAGGTAACTGATTCTCCCTCTCTTCTTGACCTGCTCCCTACCTCCCTGCCACGCTTTCCCTGTCCTACACTTTGGCTTGTTGACTTCTGTTTTTCTATTAAGTAGGAATAAACAGTTCTCTGACATTCTGAGAATATCAAAAGCAAAAATAAAGGGGCCATTTTGTTGGGTAGCAGAAAACACGTTTCTTATTTCTCTGTTGCATTACATCCTATTTCTCTATTCTTCTGTTGCATTGTCATAACTTTTAATACCCAATTTTAACAAGAAAACATCTTTTAAATAACCACATTCCTAAGAGAGGTGGTCCACGGAGTTCAGTTACCCCTGCAGAGTGTTATCACAAAATCACCTTGAAATGTTTGTTTATAAACTATTTCAAGTAGTGGTTGCACCAAACATAATTGCTTCCAGAGAGAAGGACACAATAGACTGCATTACTCCTCAGAACCCCTGGCTGATTCTCATTTAGTCTGAAGCTAACTCTTAAGGCCCACTTATGTTCCTAGCCTGGCCAGCTCTTATTTTCATGGCTGCTTTAGTCACAATTTACAATCCATTTTAGACATGCCCCCACTTCTACCACGTAGTAGGAGTTCCAAGAAGGAAGTGTTATCCTCAGTGACCAGGGAGAGAACTAGTAACCAGTGCTTTTTGTGTATTTTGCGGGCCTCCACATTTCCCAGAAGTTGTTTTAAAAAATCTATTTTCTGCCCCTCCTGAAACACTCTATTCAAGAACTCAGTCCTCTGATGGCTACCACACCATTTCTTCATTATGCCCTGGGTTCCTTGGCCGCCTCCTGCCTCACATAGAAGTTAGACAAAAAGGCAACTTTTAGAAAAAGGCAAGATGTGGAAACAGAAAGCCATGGCAGCAGCTGCTGAGCTAAGCAGCTGATAAGGGGGAACAAATTTGTGCCCTTAGTGTTTGTTTGGAGGTCAGGGTGGTGGCCCAGCAGGATAGGGGGAAAGCTCTTTGTCTACGGTGTGATTTGCCCATCTGGCCTATTCAGCATCCCCTGGACCAGCTGACCCCTGTCACCAGCTTCACTAGCTCCTTCATGGGCTCCAAGCTTGTTAAGCTGTAATGAGCATATCCTTGAGTTTCCTAATTAACTTTGCAACAGTCCTGACACACTTCCATAATGGGAAACAAAAATATTAATAGTTTTCCCCGTTGACAATCATTTCTTGGTGGGACAAAAATCATCAGTAATCTGGAGGAATCCTGGGATTCTTACTAGAGTTTAGGTTATTTTTGATTTAAGTGTTTTTAAACTGTGTTTTCTATGCATATAATTGGTGAGATGAAGACAGGCTGTTCCCAGTGCATTTGGGTTCTCTTCAGCTCTTCATCACCTCAGTGGTTTTTGTTTTCCCTTCTCACAGATTTAGCTACTTGACTCCCCCTCTCAGTCTGCATTTAGCCTCTAATCCCTTGGCCTGATTCACTGAGGATTCCCCCAAAGAGATGTAATTTGTTTCCTTTGCGTATTCACAGGTTTTGAGCTTCAGCTTGTGTAGTTTGTTATTGTAATGGATGTTATCTGTGTCATCAAGCAGCCCACAGAGCAGGCATTCACTCAGCTGTGGAACCGAGCAAAGATTTTGACCACAAAGCTAATGTTTTTCCCTCCAGGTCATACCAATTGTTCACCAGAGGCACCTTATTTTCAGGAATACTTGCGCTTCTAAGAGCAGGTGGATTTAGTTCTCCTTAGCTTGAATTTTGGGTTTAGTATCAAATCTAAAATACTGACTCACAAAGGGTAAAAACTGGAGACTGATTAAGCAGCATACAGATGATATGGAGTGGAGAGATATCTTTTTGCTTTTCAGGCATTGTAATTAGCTACACACTTTATTAATTTATTTGTATTTTTTACAGGCTTGACACTGCTGTTGCAAAGCAGATTTTGAGATCTGAGCTCCAGCAGCATGTTATTTAACACTTTAATTTGCACAAGGCTATAAACCGAGGTTGCCATTTAAGGTTGTCGGCTCTGATTTTTGCCAGTATAAATTTCATGTTCTGGCCGGGCATGGTGGCTCACACCTGTAATCCCAGCACTTGGGGAGGCCAAGGCAGGCGGATCACTTGAGTTCAGGAGTTTGAGACCAGCCTGGGCAAAACCCCATCTCTACAAAAAATACATCTGTAGTCCCAGCCATTCAGGAGGCTGAGGTGGGAGGATCACTTGAGCCTGGGAGATGGAGGTTGCAGGGACTCAAGATCGCACCACCACACTGCAGCCTGGGTGACAGAGCAAGACCCTGTCTCAAAACAAACAAATAAATAATTTTATATTCTTTGTATAGTAGCTAAGAGCTTTCTCTTTAAAGTCAGATACATCTGGGTCTAGATCCCAACTCTGCCACTCACTAGCTGAGTGATCCTGGGGGATTTACTTGATTTCTCTGAAGTTCAGTTTTCTTATCTATAAAATGAAGATAACAATAGTAGTATTTAGCTTATAAGGCTGTTGTGAGGATTAAGTGCCTAGCACATAGTAGATCTTTAGTAAATATTAAATATTACTATTGCAATACCTCCTCTGTATTCCCACAAAACAATTCTGGACATGTAATAATTGCTGAATAAACATTGATTAAAATGCACCTAAGTGAATTTTCAAAGGCCCAGGCTTCAAAGGCTTAATGTGAAATCTCTCTAAGGCAGGTTAATGCCCAGAGGTAGAGGCTGAATATTCATTGAGTTTCATTATATTTAAATTATCACAGTGCATGCGGTTTAGACACACACACACACACACACACACACACACACACACACAGAGGTTTAGATACAATGTCAGGTTCTATTAAAAAGGAAGTCAGGTGAAGGTGCCCTGGGCCCCACTCATCTCATGTTGCAGGTAGGTTTACTTGCACTACTGGCCTTTACTAGTTCTACCTCTACCACCTATCAAATACCAGGACCTCAGCTCACCCCAATTTTGTGCATATCTGGGAGTCCACCTAGCAGAGAGGCAAGTTTTCTATATAATCTGAGCTACAGGTGTAGCTCCTCTGCTCCCCTTTTGCTCACTGGGGCTGTGGCCACCTCTTTCAGCCCCCAGCACTGCTGGAATTCAGCTCAGATTCCCTCTTGTGGCCCTGGCCACCGTAACTTCTGAAGCCCTTTGGATAGCTGCTTCCCAGCTGGTGCTGCTTGAAACTCTGCTGTTTCTATAATACCTCTCTCTGCATTTCTGTGGTTCCTTACTCTTTGTCTCCTGATGTTGCAGGGTAAGGTAGAAAAGTCAGGAACTCCTTGTAACATGGTCCCTTTAGATTTACTACCCTCTCAGAAGAGGGCAGGTCCCCAGCAGAATGGCATGGGCCTCTACAGATTCCGTTATTATATCTCTTTTCTTATCGGGGCATGCAAATGGTCCTGGGGAAAGACCAGACCAAAGTGGATTCCAGGACAACCTCATACCATACTGTGAACTTCTGCTTTCTCCAGGGCCTGCTTCTAATGCTAGCCTATTCTGCAAACATTTTTTGTTTACTATGTTTTTTTCTGGAGGGGAGAGACTCTCCATCTCTGCATTCAAGCTTCAGTAGGCCCACCAGGTTTAGAAGACATACATGTCAGTCAATTGTAACGAGGCTCAAGTTCCTCTTCATGAGGCTCCAAGGCCCCCTGTAAATCAGTGATGTACCCAGATGCTCCATAGATATCCCTGACTACCCTGCCACATTTAAGATGTTTGTCTGCTCCAGGCACATGGCAGACCTCTGGAGGAAGCTGTGTAATTCAGAAGATATCCATCCAAATCCAGGCTCTTAGACGGCCGAGATACTCTGCCACATATCTTTAAAAACATTTCATTTAACAAGATGTATGTGACAGAGATGAGGAGAGGAATGGAGTGTCTTCACAAATCAGAAGTATTGAATTTGAGCTTTCTAAAATTCCTCCTAATTACAGGGTACATGAAATTACATAATTCTAAAGTTGGAAGGGATCTAGGTTTTATAATATATCAGTGATGCTGCCAAGAATAGAAACTTTGCTCCCTGAGAAGTTTTCCAGAGGCAGCGTGGCTCAGCAAGCCGGCAGTGGTGAGATACCTAATGAAATGGGGGGAAACCCCTTCCTTTCAGGAAGAAAACCATTAAAAAAGGATGATTGTACTTGGCAGCCATATTTTTACCCTCTTATTTTTCAGCTTTTATCAAGCCTCTTGTTAAAAAGGACATGTTCTCCTTTATAAGAAGAATGTGAGAGACTGGATTGATAAACAGCCCATATTCTGAGCACTAGAGCTATCGTAAAGAGAAAGTTCATGGCAATTAATAGATTCTAAGAATTTTTTATCTAATCACAAGAACTGACAAGCTCTAGCCAAGCCAAGAAGATAAAAATCCTAGAGAAAATAAGAAAGGATTTAAAATAAATGAGAGTTAGTAGAAAAGCTATCAAATTGGAACAGTATGTTTGCATTTGTAAAATCTTACTATTCTATATATAGAATATGACAGGATATTGAATGGGATTTTTCTTATTATCTCAGGATTTCAGCTAAAGCTGCAAGCTAAGGTTAATAGGTGGTACCCCACATTCTATAAAGAAACCAAGGAGCCACCAGACATGGTCTCCAGTGCTTTAAGGAGTGGCCAAAGGGATCCTCCAACTCTCACCCCCACCACGCCATGAGCAGAAGGCTAGACCCCATGGCTGAGGAGAGTGTGTAAACAAAGAATGAATCCACCAAGGGGGTCACACATGGAGATGAGGTCTGCTCTAAGAGGGTACCCGGTGTCTCAGTCTCTGGCTAGAGGCTTAGCAAGCTGCCCAATTTGGGAGGGCCACCAGGATGGACTGCCATGAGGCAGCTCATGAGAGAGGCTGAACCATGGCCCTGGAGGTAGGGGATTCTGTAGGCAGAGGCGGACTAGAGAAGTCAGTGACTATGGGAAGAAAGAGAGCAGTTTCATGGTGGAGTGACCTCCTCCTCTTCACAATGGCTAGGGTGAGTGGAGATCCTTGAAAGCCAGGGAATACCATAGAAAGTAGCTGAGTCGTTTGAGGGTCTTGCACCCATGAGGGGGCCTGTTTGGGGGAGGAAGTTGTAGCAGTAAGAGGCTGTGGAACTTGTCACCCCAGCTGGAACCTGAGCAAAGGGTCACAAGAGGCCAGCCAGGGAGCTCTTTTCCTAAGCTGGGCCCCTTCAAGGGCATCCAAGAAAACCTGCTCTTGCACCCAACAACATAGCCAGCTTTGGGACACTTGCCCACAGAGGGCATCAGCAGCCATGAGAGAACTAGAGCACAATCTAAATGAAAAGATTTTTTGCCCTTTAGCCTCTTGAATTAATTTCCTAGGGCTGCTATAACAAATTATTATAAACTTGGTGGCTTTAAACATCAGAAATGTATTTTCACACAATTCTGGAGGCCATTCAAGGTGTTGGCTGGGCTGTTCTCTCTCTCTCAAAGCTCGAGGGGACAATCTGTTCCTCACCTCTTTCAGCTTTTGATGACTCCAGGTGTGTGTTGGCTTGTGGCAGCACCTGTCCAAATGATCTCCACAGTCACATTGCCTCTTCCTCTTCTCTGTGAGCTTCTCTTATCTATGTTTCTTATAATAAGTCCCTATATTTAGGACCCTCCTGGATGATCCAGGATAATCTCAACTCAAGATATTTAACTTCATTACTTCTGTAAAGATCTGTGTTTCCAAATACATTCACAATCACAGTTCCAGGAATTAGGATATGGACAGATCTTTTTGGAGGTTACAATTCAACTGCCTACATTCCTATCCCCGTTTCCTCCTCCAACCATGTAGGAATCAGAATTAGCAGGATGAGGGGAAAGAGGAAGGAAGCACAGGTTGTGCCCCTCCCTCACGCCTAGGGAGGCTCCTCATTCCATGGGAAGCAGGCCCAAGCTTGGGAGAAGAAGCTCTGAACTGAATGTGAAATTGGAACTTTACATCATACCTCACTAAACTTTCAAACTGAACTTTGAAGTTTTGAGATCTGCCTGAGATTTTCTCAAAGGTCATGAAGGGGAGACTGGACCAAGCATAACTGAAGACAGTGATGGGAAAGGATAAGACAGACATTTCCTGTTGTATTCCATTGAGTTCAGTATATTCAATAAAATAGTTACACTAATATTAGTTAAAGCTTATGCTTTTCTAATATAAGAGATCTGGGGGTTTTTTTTAATAAGAAAAGCACAATTTAGAGGCGAAGCATGCTAATACGTATTTTCAGTGAACATCATATTAGGAAAGGACTAGCTGTTTGGAACAAATATCTATGGAAATCTAAACTATAAAATTGTATTAAATGCCAATCACTGAAGCGAGAAGAGTAAGAATATGCGGTTCTTTTAATAGCAGATACTCTTGTCCACCTGCCTGACCACCAATTTCAGATGTGGACTGATAAGGAAAGTACAGTGGAACTATTACCTACCTCAGTCCATCAAAATTCTAGTAATGCAGCCTCAAATCACCTCAAACTTGCAAGAGCTCTGTCACATTGCTGGCTACATTGAGTTATTAATGGAAACCCAAAGGTCAGATGAATAACTAATGAGGCAGCTGTCTATTTGAACAATTGACAATCTTTTTTTGGGATTACAAAAACTTTAAACTTAAATACCTCTATGTACTTTTATTCCTTTTCACTGTAATTTTGTTTGTTTCAGCTCATGTTTTCAGCTTGTTGAAATCTTTATAACGTTGACTTTGTAATCCAATGTGTTAGTGGTCCCTCAGAGTTTTACATCGTACAACTAATTTGGTAAACTGGCCTTCTGGGCCTACATTACCAGGAACTTTGGAGACAGGACACAGTCAAAGGCAGTTGGTACAGTATTCAGTCAGCCAAAATATCAACACTGGGAAGCCCTCATTTAGTAATTTTTGCAGCATCAGGCTTTTTAGAGAAAGAGAACACTAATAAAATAAGCTAATATAGAAGTCAGTAAGAAAAAAAACTACGTGGTAAGGATGGACTCAGTTGCATTCTACCCAATCTCTCCTTTCCCTTGTGCCCCTACAGTAGTTATAGGTCTGCAAAGGGAGAATTCATCTTTACTTTAATAACTTTTAATCATTACAAGGAAAATATAAAAGAGTGGATAAATCTATTTTCAACAAGATGTGAAAACCCTCAAAGATCCACTTAACCTCGAATTAACCGGAGAATAGGGTCATCTGTCCAGATAACCCTATTATCTATTTTTGGTATAATTAAGCTATTCTTTTCTATGCATTAAAGGATGGTTGGAGGTATGGTGGAAAGGGGGTTGTAGGGCAGAGAGAATTTAGTAGAAGGAAGAACTGACAAGAGAAGTAAGTAATATTAAAACATGAGGTTCAGAGATCAAGGAACTCTGAGCACAGGCATCTTAGATGTAGCTCATGGACCAGATACAATTCTTCTGAGAGAGAATTTTAGCCAAAACAAAAAATGCTATCTAATTAGATGACACATCTGAACTAGAAAGACAGAGTTCTATAATTCCCTGTTTGACTCTTCCATTTGTGGAAGTGTCACCCCAGCAGGCATGGATCAATTTATTAATCATTAGGAAGAAAGCGAATGCTATTGTCTAACTTGGAGGTGTTAAGATTTATTTTCATTAATGCTCTGTTATAATACCAGGGCTTTAAAAAGGATTACTGAGTACAAGAAACATAGATTTAAAGTAAGTTTTCCTATGCGTGTGTCTCATGCTTGGATCACATTCAATATCCATGTCAGGCATGGATCCTCTTGACTTACTGTTGTTATTGGTGGATTATGTAGCTACATGAAAACCCCTGGATGCTTCTGCCCTGGATGTCCTGAGAGTGCCTTAATACTGGAGATATATATGTGTGTATGTGTGTGTGTGTATATCTGTATACACATATATACACATACATAATACATATATATACATATACACATGTATATATACATGTATATGTGTCTATATACACACATATACACGTATATATACATATATACACATATACATATATACGAATACATGTATATATACATAGCCTTTTCCAGCCAGTCATGGTTCCTCGGGAAGCCCAAAGCAGATTTGATCATAATCCTGCCTGGCTCATTAGGGCCAGAACATGGTAAACCCCGACAGGCAAATATACCTAAATGCTAAAGTTAATAAAGCAGAAAAGATGAGCATATAATGACTCCTAACTCTAAAACTTTGGTTGCTGCAATGGAAGGCACTGTGGGTTTTTCTATGCTGAAAAACCATGGACAACAATGATCTCTTAAGAGGTTCGAGGAGTTAGTTGGTTTTTAGCATACTATAAAAGCTTACGATGAAAGAAACCAAACCTTAATACTGGAAATATATATGTGTGTATGTGTGTGTGTATATATCTGTATACACATATATACACACATATATAATATATATATACATGTATGCGTGTATATATACACACATATACACATACATATATACACATATACATATATACACATACACATATATATACATATATACACATATACACGTATATATACATATATACATATATACACATATACACGTATATATACATATATACACATACATGTATATATACATATATACACATACATGTATATATACATATATACACATATAAACATATATATACACATATACACATACACGTATATATACGTATATACACATATACACATACACGTATATATACGTATATACACATATACACATACACGTATATATACGTATATACACATATACACATACACGTATATGTACGTATATACACATATACGTATATATACGTATATATACATGCTTGTGTATATATATACATATATGAGAGGTTCAAGGACTTAGTTGGCTTTAGGATACTATAAAAGCTTAGGATTAAAGAAACCAAACCTTAATACTGGAGATATATATGTGTGTGTGTGTGTGTGTGTGTGTGTATGTGTAAAATATGTGTACAAATAAATGGTATATAGACAAGTTATATATTATTTTTATTGGTTTTATTATAGGTATAACTTTTTTTATTGGCAACCCAAAGTAGTAGGTGCCTTAGAAATAGGCAGGAGTTACAGAATAAGAAATATAATATACTCCTTTACTTGCTTTGGCATTAACAATTTCATAGTTATCTTTTAAGATGTCTGCAATTTAGATTCATCAGAAAAAGGTATGTTGAAAAGTGAGTTTTGTGGAATTTCTTCTCTGAGGTGGAACACCCGCAATGCATTGATGCTGGGCTCTCCAACTTTGTCACTGAGGATTGCTGCTCTAGTTTTTCTCTTGTTCCTCCTTGCTTTTGCTTAAGCAGTTGCCTCCTCCTGGAGTACCCTTTACTCACCAATGTCTAAACCATTAACATTCTCTAAGGCCTAGTTCATGTGCCCCCTTACCCTGCAAGCTTTGCCTAGTACATCTTTCCTCTCAGAACTTTCATATCACTCAAGGTATTGGTCTGCACTTCAAGTGAGTAAGTTCCCAAATCTTCCTCCTCCTACCCCCGAACAAGACCTCTTTTCCCTTCTATGAATTCCACGTTTTGAAAAAGTGTGTTACTCAAGTAACACAGTTTAATTAAGAGCACATTTATTATGAAAAATTTCATCTATTCAATCAGTGCTTTTTGTTTAGGCAGTTATTGTGTAACTATCAATAATGTCATTTTTATTTAGTATTATGAATTGGATAATCACATGAGTCTCTGTCATAGATGTGGCACTAATTATAATAATGAGGGAAATGTTAAGTCAGCAGTTAGTGGCCTAACTCCAGCTGTTGTGCTATACTTGCGTCCAAGGTCATGCCTGTTCTGGACGTAGTCCATTGGAATACTGAAACTGCCAAATGTCAGTCTGTAAAATTATGTCACCCACTGACTGTATCCTAGAAATTTCGAAGATGTCATTGACAAGCAATCAAAGCTACTGATGAGCATGAGCTAAGTGGTGTTAACACAGAGTTGATATTATTTCACCCTAAAGAAATTCGACCTTTTGTTTTAGCTAGTGTGACACGCTTTCAGTTTCTGCAAAGCTGAAAAACTTTTGAACCTAAAGTCTTCTAAAACCTCAGGTTCTGGAGATGCCAAAGTGAGAATCAGAAACCTTTATTCTAAGGCTCCCTGATTCTTTTACCAAATCTTATCTGGATTCAACACTATTGTAATTTCAAAGGTTCTGGTTCCAGGAAACATTGCTCATAGGTGACTGTCTAACATGTCAACTAGTAACTGTTAAAGGAAAAACTTAGAGTGAACTTTAGTGTCACCCATTCCTAAACATTGACTTGGTTGAGTTTGGAAGGAATACACTTCTTATCTTTAGTGTCATAGAAATAATCATTAAAGAGAGAATTATAAGAGTAATAACTTATTGTAGTCCTACTGTGTGTGCCAGGCACTGAATGAGACATTTCACAACTGTTATCTCTATTCCTCCAACAGCTCTGTAGAGTGGGTCCTATCATCTCAATCTAACAGATATGGATTTATATTTTTGGGAAATTAATTTTTTCACCTTTAAATTTTGTGCCCTTTCTGTGTTCAGACTCACCTTTGACACTGGTTATCCACAGAGTAAGGTTATTGCAGCAGAAACAAAAAGAGAATCAAGAGAATTTGTTCTTGTCTATAAAGCCTAAACAACAGGCTTGAAGAATACTTTCAAAGTAAATTTTGACCCACAGCAGAGAACATATAAATTCCTGGGCTAATGGTCTAAAGAAAGAAAGACAAGCAATTCCCAATTCCATATTTTTAAAATAAAGACCTTCCCTGTTTCTAGTCCACTATGTCTAAAGTACGGCCCTTTGGGTCCCCAACTGAGAGTCTGGAATAGTTACTAGTGCCCCTCCTCCTCAGAGGGCCCCGAACTCTTATTTTTATCTTCAAAAAGTGGTGTGAAGCAAAAGCTCATCTAGGCCTCTAAGCCTTGTAACCATTGCTTCCCGTTTGGGGCCACTTAGGGCTGGCAAATGACTCACGGTCTCACTTCTCTGCACTTGCCTTCCTCAAGGTTCTTGGTCTCTATATTTACATGCCTTTGTGTCTTAGCTCAGCCTGCTATAACAAGAATATCATAGGCTGGGTGGCTTAAGCAACAAACATTTATTTCTCACAGTTCTGGAGGCTTGAAGTCTGAGATCAGGGTGCCAGCATAATTTGGTTCTTGGCAAGGGCCATCTTCCTCATGGGGGCCACCTTCTCATTGTGTCATCACATGGTGAACAAGGAGAGGGAGAGAGGAAAGGGTGAGCTCTCTCCTGTCTCTTCTTATGAGGGCAGTAGCCCCTTCATGAAGACTCCACCCTCATTACCTAATCACCTTCCTGCCCTGCCTCCTAATACCATCACATTGAGTGTTGGGGTTTCAACATATGAATTTGGGAATACACAAGCATTCGGTGTCTAGCACTTGGTAACTCTAAACTCTACCTTTTGAGCGCTATCTGCAAATGACTGTCACTGCTCTGCTCAGCTGCTGCTTTCTGTTTTTCTGCTTGGTTTTTTCCACACCTCACTGCTT
Organism: Homo sapiens; assembly: GCF_000001405.40. Taxonomy (NCBI): domain Eukaryota; kingdom Metazoa; phylum Chordata; class Mammalia; order Primates; family Hominidae; genus Homo; species Homo sapiens. The sequence goes on from NC_000011.10 coordinate 86,689,026, forward strand.
TTGAATGAGTAAATGCCTCATAGGAAACACAGGGTGGAATGTGCTCACCTCAGGCTTTCCCTTCTCTATGGGACCTCAGCTCTGGGACCTTAATCCTGGCTCCTGTGTAGAGCTCAGATGCCTTCAAACAGATTTGTATTTTATTTTTTAAAATTTATCTAGCTCTTGCAGTTGTTTCTTAGCGGGAAGTTTGGTTGGGTGCAGTGTTGTAGTCAGAAATAGAAATGAGAATAGTGGCTAGAAGAGATGGTGTTTTGAAAATAGGACTTCAGCACCCCATTCAGTCTTTATGCCCCCCTCCCCACTGTGTTCCTTAGTGAGCAGCAGAATGTTTGCCCTTGTGCTGGGATCAGTGTGGAGGTGGCAGCAGCTGCCAGCAGACCCAGAGACCTGGCCATCTAAAGGGAAGGATACAATAGCAGATGATGATCAAGGACCATGTGCCCTGAGCCTGCCCCCTCACACACTTCAAGGCCTTGTCTCTCCTTAAACTCAACGTAGAGAAAGAAGAGGAGAGGAGTGGAGGGTGGGAAACCTGCACTGACTGAATTTACTCTGAATTGACTAAAGACTCTGTTTTTATCATCAGGCAGAAAGAGGACTCAAGATAGAACTTAAAAAAAATTACATAATGTAAAATTTATCATTTTAACCATTAAAAAGGACGGAACTTACATTTAGTCATAGAAAAATAAAGACAAATTTTGCACATCTGAGTTTGGGACCCATGAAGGTCATTCCTGCCTATGGGATCATACTATATTACTCTGTGACTTGCTTAACAATATATCATATAAATTTTCCCCAGGCAATATATGTAAATCTTCCGTTTTCATTTAATAGATGCATCGTATTCCCTAGTAAGGTCGGATTTAATTTATTCCTCCATTCTACTATTAATAGGTACCTAGGAGATTTTTTATTGCTTTCCATTATTAACTACATTATCATGTTGACATACTTTCCTTAATGAATGACAAAAATGCTAGGAATGGAAGTGCTGATGTAAAATATATCCACATTTAAAATTTTTATAGATTCTGCCCAACTGCTTTCCTTAAAATTACAGCAGTTTACATTTTCACTAATGGTATATAAAAATGTCCCTCTTTCCATACCCATAAAACGCTGATGCTATCAGTTGTACTCTTTTTGTTAATTGAATGAAAAACAACAATACTTCATTATTGTCTAAATTTTTACTTTCCTGACCGCTAGTGAGGGTGAGAATCTTCTTATATTTGTATTGTCTATTCATAATTTCTTTTCTAAAAACTGATGATTTGTTTCCATCATCCATATTTATACTGGGTTATCTTTTTTAAACAATTTATAGATATCCTTTGTATTGGAGGTCTATTATCCCCTTTTCTGCTACATAATAATTCTAACCGCTAATATTCGTTGAGTGCTTATATTGCTTATCCTGGACTTAATGCTATAAAAATACTCTCATTAAGTCTTTATAAAAGGCTCATGTTACTACTGCACTCAGTAGAAGGGCTAAAATAAAGACAGTTGGTAATACCAAGTGTAGGCAAAGAAGTGAAATAATTGAGACTCACACATTGTTGGCGGAAATACAAAATGGTACAACCATTTTGGAAAACAGTTTGACAGTTTCTTATATAGTTAAACATACCTGTATTGTATGATCCAGCAATCCTACTCCTAGATATTTATTCTTGATAAATAAAAACAAATATCCACAAATATATTTACTTGAATGTTCATAGCAGACTTATTCAAAAGAATAAAATAGCCAAAAATTGGAAAGAACCCAGATATGATTTTGATTTTGGCTTTATCAAGTTCTTCTTTGATTTCTAAAAGTCTTTACCTTATACAGGTCATTCCTGTTTTGTTTGATACATAAGGGTTTGTGGCAGTTATAGTTTCCTTCTATCATTCAAAATATCCTGTTCTGTCTAATTAAGCCTTTTGCACTGAATTCTAATTCATCTGATATTAATTTTGCCTCCTTACTGTGGTTTGGTTTTCATATGTCTCATATATATGAACTTTTTCAACATTTCTTTGACAGAGCTAATACAAAGTTGATATTCACTGAGGCACCAATATCAGTACATGTCTGAAGTCTATCGATGGACATGGAAGTATATTAGTTGAGTTTCTGTGAGTTTCAATCAAGAGTTGGATGAATACAGGTGGTATGCCTTTTTTTTTTTTTTTTTTTTTTTTTTTTTTGAGATGGAGTCTCGCTGTCTTTCACCCATGCTGGAGTACAGTGGTGCGATTTCAGCTCCCTGCAAGCTCCGCCTCCTGGGTTCACGCCATTCTCCTGCCTCAGCCTCTCTAGTAGCTGGGACTATAGGCGCCCACCACAGGTGGTATACGTTTTTAATCACTGCATGACTTTAAAACTTTTTGTACTCTCTTTGTATTCATAAGTGTAGGATTCTTAGATTAAGTCCTTTTGTCTAAATTGTGAATATTGTTCTACTAGCTACTATATGTTGCAAATAAGAAATTCAACACTAATCTATTTTTTTGCATTTTACTTTTAGAAGTTGTAGTCCAAAGTCTTATTGACTTATATTCCCCCACGAAGCATATCAGAATTTTGCTATTGGCATCCAGAATTTTATTTAAACAGAGACCTACCAACAAATGAATAATGAAATTTTCATTTTCATGATGACTTTTAATATCAATATTTTAATAGCTTAACAATTGATTCAAACAACTGATATGTCACAGTAGGTAATACATATCTGGAGAGATGAGAAGAGAAATTACTAACTGAAGTGATTTTGGGAAGTCTTGTGGGGAGGTTGAGGTCTGAGTCGAAGTGGATGAGACTTCAGTAAACAGAGGGAATTAAGATAGGAGATTCCAGTCAGAATGTTTAGCATAAGCAGATTTATAAAGGCTAAACATTGAAGAGTGTTTAGAGAATGGAAAGGAGGCTACTGGAGTTGAATAAAGGGTAATGAGAAACAAGGTGAGAAAATATTCTGGGATCAGATGACGAAGGACCTGGAATGCCTAGCTGAAGAGTATGAAGTTTACATTTTCTGCAGAGGGAAGCCTGGGAAGGTTTGTGACAGTGGAGTAGAAAGAGAATCACAGATTGGGCTACTTCTCTGACCCAAGAGAGATACAATGAGACCCTGTGCATGGCAGTGGCAATAGGATTGAAGATGTGTGGACCACTGCAAGAGCCATTACAGATGGAGAATCCTGGACGACCATTAGGATGTGGAGAATGAGAAGAGTGAAAAGTTGAAAATAGCTTTGAATTTTTGATCCTGGGAGGATGATGGTTCATGATGTTTGCTTCTAGCTGTAGGCTAGAATTTGTGTTTTCCACAAAGGATAGTTACAGTCTCATGGAAAGGTCTATATAGGTACTCTGAAATATTACCGTGTACTTCAAAGAACAGACCCTTAGGTACAAGCTTCAGAGCTGCTATCAAGTTCTAGCAACTTTCTGATCATACCAGAGGTTTGAGTCAGAATTTCTAAGTCATCTTTCAGTTGGGAGGGAGACATAATGATAAAAGCAAATTGCTGAGCCAAGAATGAACTGAGAAAGAAAATTTAATTGTGGTTATTTGTAGGGAATAGTATTGCTATTCAAATTTTTAAAATAATTTTACATTTACAAGCTAGTACAGAGACTTCCCATATACTCTTCACCCAACTTTTCCTAATGTTAATGTCTTATATAACCACAGTACATTTTGTTAAAACTAAGAAATTAACATGAGTACAGTGTTATTAACTAACCTACAGACTGTATTCAAATGTCACTGGTTTTTCCAATAGTATAATCTCTTTCTGTGTAAGGATTCCATCCAGGATACCACATTGCATTTTGTTATCATGTCTGTTTAGTCTCCTCTGACTTGTAATAGTTTCTCTTTGTTTCTGATGACATTGGCAGTTATAAAGAGTACTAGTCAGCTATTTTGAGGAATGTCCCTCAATTTAGGTATGTCTAATGTTCTCTTCATATTTAGACTATGAACTATAAGTTTATTGGAAACAATAACACAAAGTGGGGTACTCTTCTCAACCCATCATAACAGGGGTATGTGACATCGTTACTCATCATGGGTGGTGTTAACTTTGATCATTTGGCTAAGTTGGTGTCTGCCACATTTCTCTGTTGTAAAGTTACTATTTTTTCCCTTTCCATAACCTAGTCTTTGGATGTGAGTCACTAAGTGCCCCCCATTCTCAAGCGGAGAGGAATTAAGCTCCATGCCCTTGAGAGGGAAATGGCTTCATATATTTTTTGAAACTCTGGGCTGGGCTGACGCCTGTAATCCCAGCACTTTGGGAGGCAGATGTAGGTGGATCGCCTGAGGTCAGGAGTTCGAGATCAGCCTGGCTAACATGTCGAAACCCCTCTTTACTAAAAATACAAAAATTAGCCGGGCATGGTGGCAGGCGCCTGTAATCCCAGCTACTCAGGAGGCCGAGGCAGAAGAATCCCTTGAACCCGGGAGGCGGTGGTTGCAGTGAGCTGAGATTGCACCATTGCACTCCAGCCTGGGCAACAAGAGTGAAACTCTGTCTCAAAAAAAAAAAAAAAAAGAAACTCTGCAATCCCTATCTCCTCCGTTTATATATTCATTTCAAATAGCAACAATTGTGTTACTGATGTGATAGGGGCCTTCTGTGGGGGAGATTGACTGGAAGTGTGCTGGATGAGTATGAATAATTGCTCTTGTTCCTTTAGGACTGGAATAGCAATAAAGACATTTGCTTGGCTGCCAAATCCTCATGTGTCTTCAGAAAGTGAATTTTAGAGTTGTCTTTCTCATGTAAGGGAAGCACTGTGGATGTTTTTTAGGAGGAATATATTTTTCCATATTGGTACTCCATGATATGAAAATACTACAGAGATAACTCAGAAATATCTCTGAACAAGACTTTTATAGCTTTGGAGGTTCCTGCCTTTTGTTTTCTGTAGGAGACTCTCATATTGTGGTAGATGGTACAAAGGGAAACCTAGGCTGTCTATAGTGTTAGTTAAATGTGGTTCAGCATAGAGTTTGATGGAATTCTGCCTCTAATTATTTTGCTTGCGTGGAAAATCAGAGTAATAAACGTGGCAGTAAAGACTGCCGTGGGTAGGAACTTCCAACTAAGTGGCAGTCTGAAGGCCAGGGAATGAATTGTCTTTCTAAAACTGCTATCTTCTTGACCCATTGTGTATTAAATCATATGAGTTAGCAATAACAGTTTCCTTTTTTATAATAGGTGTATTTGCACTTCCATGAATTCTGATTTAAAAGCTCAGATGTGGAATTTGGCAAGCCTGCAAATCTATGTTAGGGTTTAAATTCCTAATATTTTTATTGTTTAATGCATAACATCCTCAGGTTTTCAGGACTGCAGCATGAGCAATGCAGTTGTATAACATTGAAACCCAGTAGCCTTCATATCAGAACTTTGCCTACTTATCCAGCTTTATCTTGAGCTTGCAGTCTCTGATAAATGGAGTGATATACTGTTAGTTTATATACATCCATTCATTCATTGTTTATTAAATATCCTTTTTGCCTGGTACTATGTTAGACTTTGTATACATTGTCTTATTTAGTCCTCAAAATAATCTTTGGGTTTGGTAGCGTTATCTCCATTTTACAGATGAAGAAAAGGAGGCTCAGAGAGGTAAGATACTTGCTAGCATAGTTCTGTCTCTCTTTCTCTCTCTCCTAAAAACTAACCCCACATCTAAAGAAGCTGGTCTCTGAAAGAGATTTTTTGGAGAGAACCTCATTATTGATTGGGGTCAGCAATGAATATATCACCCAAGCTGAGCCAAACAAATTTTTTTCTCCTAGAAATATGAAGTTGGAATTCAAACACTGCAAGTCACTGCTTATGGCTGGAACATATAGACTTGACAGGCTTGGAGAAGTAGATTCTGACAATGCAGTTGGAGAAGCATCAGAGGCAGAGAATATGAGAGTGAAGCAGCTGCAAAGAGAGAAGCAGGGGTGAGAGGTGTCATGACAGCCTTGCAGATCCTAATTTACGGCCCTTTTGAGCTCTAGCTGTATTTCTACCCATGAATTCCAAAAGATAGCCCTATATCCTTATAAGAAATTCCCCATTTTAGCATAAACTAGCTAAAGTTGATTATTTGCAATTAAGAAGTATTAATTAATACAACTAACATATGGCAGAATTTGCACCCAGGTATAATTTACGGCTATGTTTGTAGCCACTACACTATATTACCTTTCTAAAGAATTGCTTAACTCATGCACAGTGTTCTGGGTGAAGATATAAGAATCATGCTAATGACCATTTATCATTAATTTATTTCAATGATAAAGGAAATAGATCACCAATTTATACACCCACTCATGTACAGATTGAAAGAAGCAAGACAATTGAACAAATTTTGGTGGTGGGCTCACTGGCTCATCAGGAACTCTTTGCTGCATTAACAGCCCTACTCTCATTATCATCATCCTCATGTTGAGCAAGCTAGGCTACAGGGGACTATATACCCTGGAAGATCTCCAATTATTCTGCAAATCACATATCTGGTTTTAGATCACTGACATGCAGTTACTTCAGGACTGTGTGAGACACCATAGGGTGTTCACCAAACCTGATGCTCTTCCTCCTGGACACAGAGATTTGCTACATTTCCCAGACACCCTTGAAATTAGTGTGGCCATGAGACCAGATTCTACCTAATAGAATATGAGCAGAAATGATCTGAGCTACTTGCAAGCCTGGTCCATAAAAACACCCAGTTGCTATCCTCTGTGCTCTTCCCCCAGGTCAACAATCTTGGAAGCCACACATTGAAGCTGGAGGAGCTCCAAGGTAGAAGGACCCTGAGTTCCTGAATTACTATTTAGAGCCCACCTTTAAGTAGAAACACTCATGTACGGGAGCAAGAGGTACATTTCAATTTTGTTAAGCTATTAAAATTTTGGAGTTTATATGTTACAGCAGCTGGCATTACCATAACAGGGATCATCTCTCCCATTTACGATTAATTAGCACACATCCCAAAGCAGGAGAGCTTCATTAATGGATACATCTTATTAAAAAAGAAAGTTCTTCAGTGCTAACAGGTCATGTTTAGAATTTTTCCTTTTAAGTCTTGACTCTATGCCAGGCCTGTCAGGGAAATAGGATGACTCTGCTTGATTAACATCCTGAGAATTTGGAGTTATGAAAGAGACCAGTGTTTCCAGTACTTAATTGATGAATCACATTTCTAGCTATTAGCCTGGCCACAAAAAAAAAAATTATTCCTCAGTTCCTAGCAGACCCTGTCACCATAGAGGAGAAACTCCCCCATTCCAGGACCCCTACTAGTTGTTTTAGGGTGAGTTTTCTTCAAAGGAATTCAGATCATAAATAGTTAAGCAGAGATAGCTAAATGTGATCAGTGTCGAACAAATCCTCAGATGGGGATAGTGGAGGAATTCTGTGGCTAATCCATTTAATTATGTAAACCAACACTTTAGATAGTTTAAGCCACATAATGGATTATTATTGTTGCCATTGTTGTTATTAATGTATATTTTACACATTAAGGACCCATGAGCTCAAATGGAGTAGGCTGTCAACCTAGCAAGAAACACCCCTTTCTTCTCTGTCTACTGTCTCCTTAATCTGGAGTTAGAATATACCTGACTGATTCCCTGCACAGCACCAACTCATGGGAAAATGCATATCTCTCTGCTTTACTCCATCCTGATGTCTTTGATCTGGGCAGGAAACCCCAAACAAAATTGGCGAGAAACTGTGGGTCTTACACATTGGAATACAGTGGCTGGGTGCAGTGGCTCATGCCTTTAATCCCAACACTTTGGGAGGCCGAGGCAGGGGGATCACTTGAGGTCAGAAGATCGAGACCAGCCTGATCAACATGGTGACACCCTGTCTCTACTAAAAATACAAAATTAGCTGGGCATGGTGGTGTGTGCCTGTAATCCCAGCTACTGGGGAGGCTGAGGCAGGAGAATCGCTTGAACCCAGGAGGCAGAGGTTGCAGTGAGCCGAGATCGTGCTTCTGCACTCCAGTGTGGGTGACAGAGTGAGACTCGGCCTCAAAAAACAAACAAACAAAACAAAACAAAAAAAACAAACAAAAAATTGGAATACAGTATGTTAAGTGACATTGGATGGCTGAGACTGAAGTAGACATAGAATGAGAGTCTAGTTGACCTGAAGCGGCAGGGATCTGCAGTAAAAACTTCGGAGCATAGTTCCGTAGCTGTTGTTCCAATGCAGCTGGTTAGATCCGACTATCCTAAGCTGAGGCAAAGAGTAGAAATCCAGGAAGGTCTACAAGCAGACTTCAAGGACAGACAGTTACGCACAGGGAGTTGTGGATGCAAGGAGGTGGACAGGAAGCTCATTACTGTGGTATGGCCTCCTTGGCTTCCCCAGCACCCTGTGCAGACCCCTGTTGTAGCTTTTATCTTAAAGTGCTATGATTGTTGCTGTTTCCCTCTGGAGATTGTGAGCTCTGTGAGGGCCAGAACCACAGCTTTTGTGGAAGTCAATTTTAAAATACATTGATTGCTGGTGCAAAACAACCCAATGGAGGAAGAAAGATAGTCTTTTCAACAAATGGTGCTGGAACAATTGGATATCCCTAGGCAAAGAAAATGAACTCAATCTAAAACTCGCATCATATAGAAAAATTAATTCAAAAATGGATCATGGATTTACATGTAGAATACAAAACTATAACACTTTCAAAAAAAAAATACAAGAACATCTTCAGGACCTAGGGCTAGGTGAAGAGTTATAAGACATGATACCAAAAGCACAATTCATAATGGAAAAACTGATAAAACTTCATGAAAATTAGAAACCTCAGTTTTCAAAAGATCATCTTAACAGAAAATAAGACAACATGCTACAGAGTGGAAGAAAATGTTTACAAATCATCTTACAAAGACCTTATATTTTGAAATGTAAAAAAATCTCTGAAACTCAACAGTAAAACAAACAATCCAATTATGAAGTGAACGAAAAGAGATATGGACAGCAAAAGAAGCATATGAAAAGATTGTCAACATCATTACTCATTAGGGAAATGCAAATTAAATTACAATGAGATATCACTACAAACCTACAAGAACAGCTAAAATAAAAAATAGTGATTTTACCAAATGCTGGAAAAGATACAAAGAGACTGGCTCTTTCATTCATTGATTGTGAGAATGTAAAGTAACACAGCCACTCTGGAGAATAGTTTTGCTGTTTCTTACAAAATGAACACATACTTGCCATACAACCTAGAAATTGGATTCTTTAGCATTTATCCCAGAGAAATGTAAACTTAATGTTCACACAAAACTCTATACACAAATGTTCATAGCAGAAAACTGGAAAATAAAACCCAAGTGCCGTTCAATGAGTGAATGGTTGAACAAACTCAGGCACATCTATACCTTGTAATACTAGTCAGCAATAAGAAAAGAATGAACTATTGATATATGCAACAACTTGGTATGGAATTCAAGAGAGATCCAGGGAACTATGGATCTACACTGAGGCATCATGTAATTTGACATCCTTAAGGAAGTGATGTTTAAGTTAAGACTTACTTTCCTTTGCACTCCCAGTACCTAACAAAGTGCCTACCTTCTCTGTTGAATGAATGAATGAATGAGGTGAGAGGCAAGGGAACCAAGGTAACTTCAAGACAAGCAGCAGGAGCAACACTTTACTGTGACAGAGAACTACTGCCATGTCATTTCACATTCCCTAAGCCAGGGCATTGATTGCAGTGCTTGGAGCTATATGCAAATGTGGATTACAGGATTCACTTTTAAAAGTTAGGACCCAATACACAGTAGGCCTGGGAGTCAGGTCAGGAATGCAGAACTAACATCTTTCACATTGTTTTCTGTGTTACACATTTGGCATTTTTTACACGTTACTATTATTTCTAACAGCCATTTCCAAGCAATCAGTGCTTGCTAATATTGACTTACATTACATTGTCAAATTTTTGTTCATAAATTATTTGATTGTGTGTGTGTGTGTGTGTAAATCTTTTCTAGCTAGCTTGGTTGGAACCCTCTTATGGGCAGAAGATTTTTTTTTAATGCTTCTTTACATGGAGCTTCTGGTATGGCACTTTCTATAAAAACAGACACACACATTTAAACTGGAGCACACTTTAGAAGAAAATCATTTTAATTTCCCCCCTCCTCCTACTCATTTTACAAATGATGAAACCAAAGCCCAGAGCCAGGAAATACCATTATTGTTCACTCTCTTACATAATGTTTTCATGTGTACATTGGTTTCAAATCATGGACTATGGAGGTGTCCATATCAGAGAATATTAGACCTGAAAGGTATCTTTAAGGCCAAGGTCACACAGGTAATTGATGACAGAGCCAGGAAAAGAATGTTCTCCCAACTCCCAGTCTGGTACTTCTTCTGTAACCAGAGGCTTTTTCTGTGAGTGCTTCTAGTCACTGTTGATTGACTGATTGATTGTAGATCTGTTTACAGTGAGTGATCATTGTTCCTGGTAAGACAAACATCCTGCCCCAAATAGGGAACTCTTAATGCAGCCACCTGAAGGCCACTTGTTGACTTATTAAGTTCAAGTTTTTCTTACTACTGATGGATATCTTCAGAAGGATATTTGCAGGTTTGATGTGCTATTTGTTCTCTTTGCTCTTAAAACCCAGGCAAGTTTCGGCAGCAATCATTCCTGGGATTACTGGCTTCCAGAACTCTGGACTAGCACATTCTGAAATCCATGTATGTGCATGTCCATGTCCATGGCCTCATGTCAGGTGGCATATAGGGCTCCCCTGCTGTGGGAACAAAGACTGAAGACTTCTTAAACTTAATTTTACCAGTGTGCCCTGCCCCATGCACCCCACAATGACATTTTCCCTGGAGGTTTGTTTTCCAGGTTTTAATGGTGAAAAAAGAAGAGAGGCTAAGTACTTACAGGATTTAGATGTGCCAAACTTTCACTCATGCCGAGATGCTTTTACTCAAATTAATTTTACATCTGCCTGAAGCTTAAAGCTCTTCCTTCCTGGATCAAGCTCTCTACCAGGGTACTTGGAGTAAAAGATTGGTTCAATTAAAATAAAAAAATTAAACATTAAAAGGGTGGTGGTAGTGATGGTGTGTGTGTGTGTGTGTGTGTGTGTGTGTGTGTGTTATGCATAATGAGTTAATATGCTGAGGATAATCCAAAGCAACTATGTATTGACTAACGTGTGTAAACAGTTCATTTTAGCTAATTAATCAGGTGTGAACTGTTTAATTATTAGATGAGTTAGTCAAGAAACATAAAATCTCAGATTGAAGTTATGTTTAGCTCTCAAATTGATGTGGTGTTTTTCTTTGCACTGGTGTCAGAGACAAAAGAAATGAATTTCAAATGTAAACCTTTTATCCCATCCCCCACCCAAGAAAGCATTGCTGCTTGCTGGATCAGTTTCTAGTGGGAGGTGGGAGGGGAACTGGGGTAGTGACAGAACAGGTAAAAGAAAGAAACCAGAGAGATTAAATTGATACATAGCATAGAATTACAACAGAGAGAAGAGAGGCTATATCAGAGCCTAAATGGACTGAACTGTGGGAAATTTTTGAGAACTTGGAGTGGGAGAGGAGAAATACTTTAGAGCAGGTACTACATACATGTTAAAAGTGCATGGGATGGAAAATGAGAATGTCAAGTCATTTTTGTTTTTCATTAGTGCTTCCCATTTGGTGCTCTTTAAGAGACTTCAATAAAAATATACGTTTCTCTTTGATTATTTTAGATGCAGGATTTAACTTCTTTCAATGTGAAACCATGTAAAGATGGAGTCAGCAGGTAGTTGAGACATACATGGCTTATATATTGAATAGTAAGTGGCACGCATTTTCAATATTAGCTATCATGTATACACCCACGTGCTTTCATATGCATATACATCATGTAGCCTGATCAGTTATCTACAGATGCTTTCTGATATTCAAGAGGAACTGACAAGTGAAAATGATTGTATTGGAGCAAGTGCATCTTCTCTACTGGAAGAAAAAAATCAAAATACCACTTCTAGACTAAATCTCAGCAAACAAAAGACAACCTTCTTATATAATATCAAGGGTGTAGATAGGATATTTATAACAAATGGATACAGAACCTCAGAGAGAGAAAACATTTGAGTCACAAACATGGACCTCATAACTCATTTGATACTCTTTTGAAAACAAGAAGTTGGGACACTACATTTACATATAATTACTACAACAAAAATTCTCTATTTCATATATTTGGTTGCTTATGCCTTTAGAAAGTTCTACAGCAGGGCTCTTAATCATTGGTTTGTTCAAGACATCTTTGAGACTCAGATGAAACCTATGGACGCATCCTAGATAAAAAGCATGTACATAACAAAAACATACCATTTGCAATGTTACAGGTTCATGGATCCTCCTGGAGCTGGCTTAAAACCTCCTACATCATTCTAGAACATCAAAAGCCTGCAACAGAGATGCCCTTGTCCTGTCATGAGACATAAGCTGGCAAAGCAAGGCTATTCTTTCCTTATAACGATGTTACTATACACAAGACACAAAAGAAAGTTCTTGGGTAAAAATACTGCTCACCCAATTCTCACAAACATTACTGTGATGTGTGAAATAAGGATCAGTTTTTCAGTGGTATAGCATATTGAGCCAAAAAAATACTTCTTTTCACCTCCAAATAATTGAAAAAGAAAGACATGCGGTCCTTGTCTATCCTTACATGCAAAGAGGAAGAAGGCCAAAAATCATGAAATAACATTGGTGTATCTTCAGAGCAGCAATTAATTATTTCACTGAAGGCTTTAAATGCATATCTCTTTGTTCCATTGCCTTAGGGAACACTTAAGCAAACTCTAGCATTGTGGATGAAACTACAAATCAGCAGCACGATTAGATTTTTCCAACTAAAATTCACATAGAAGTTTTCTAATGGAAAAATGTTTGTCTTCATAAAGTTGAAATTTATAGTTCTATTTTTGGAATGTACTTACTCATTGAGTTCAATCATGGTGTCATGACTGTAATTTGTTGTGTTGTATATCTACCGGCTCTGCCACCAGAAAATATTTGTTATAGGCTTTAAATGGAATACTGTATATAAAGCTTTTAGCACAGGGTTGCTCATTCAGAAAGAGCTTAATAAATAGCCACGTTAAAAGGCTCTCCTAAGGTGGCAATATTGCAGGTCAGGCAAGTCCCAAAACTGGGGCTCTGCTTGGGAAGATTCTTGGTTTTACTCAGGAAGAAATTCAAGAGTGAGCAGGTGGAGGAAAAAACCAGCTTTACTGAGGCAACAGTGATACAGCTCCATGACTGCGCCTGCAGAGCAGGGCTACCCCACAAGCAGTGTGTTGAGAGTAGCAGCTCAGGGGCAGTTCTGCAATCACGTTTATACCCACTTTTAACTACATGCAAATTAAGGGACGAGTTATTCAGAAGTTTCTATAAAAAGGGTGGTAACTTCCAGATCATTGCCATGGAAAGGGGTGGTAACTTCTGGGTGCTGCTATGGCAATGGTAAACTGTCACTGGTGGGTGTGTCTTACAGAGAGGTGCTTTCCCCTCTTCCCTGTTTCCTAAGTCTTCAATCTTGTCCAGAAGGGAGCCCTGCCTCCTACCTCAGCAGGGCCCTTTTTTTGCTGCTGCTCTGCAGATGATTTGTGGGGGTTTGGCTCCCTGGTACAGCCTTTGACCCATGGCTAAAGAGAAAAAAATCACTAGCATATTGCTTAATTATTTGTTGAGTTTGTTGTATCCAATTTTCAAATGCTCAATTGTTGATCCAGGCTGTTTGGCATCCTTTCCCCTGCTTCTGGAATAACATCCCTTCCAGTAAGTCTTTTTCTGAATTTGTGAGTCTGCCTACTAAGTCTTTTTCTTCACTGTGTCTTTTTTTTTCACGTAAGTTCATTTGGCTAGTCCTAGGGCCTCTAGGCTAGCACCAATGTATCTAGTACTCACTTATTTTGTCCAGTGTTGGCTTTTCCACCATGCTTGTTGCTCCCATTGTATATAATTGCCTGTGTGTAATTTGGATATCTATTTTTTATCCAGGTATGTTGCATTGTACAAGATGAAGTTAGGTGAGTATAGATAACTCCTAAATCTATCTTAGTCTGAATGTGTTAAAGAACTTCCCGGAGTCGCCCTTGGCAAATGTCAGGGGTTTTGTTTTGGCGCATATGATCCCACCAGATTACTCTGAGGCTCATGTTACTCTTGCTTTGCCATTAAGATTTGCTATGGTTGAATTATTCCAATCCATTATATCTAATCACAGGGTGGTTGGGTAAAGCCTCTTTGACCTCACTCCATCATACACTCCCTTAGCGCCCTGTACTTTTCCTTCACAGCACTTTACCTACTTGAAGTCATTTAATTTATTATTGTATATATAATAGTTTGTTTAAGGTCTTTCACCACTGCTAGACTCTAATCTTGGTGACAATAGGGATTGTGTTGATAACTGTAGCCTCAGGGTTTAGTAAAGTACCTGAAGCAAAGTAAATGCCCAACAAATACAAGGTGATTGATTAACTAATTGATTTATATTTTTATGTCAAGAAATAGTGAAGAGCTGGTGGCATTGACCATCACAGGAGTACCCTGCCATTTTGTAGACCATGTCTGTAAAATCTGCAATGATCTTTCATCTAATCTTCCATCAACTCCTAAAATCCAATTACTTAGATGATTAGGCACACATATATGCTTTCGATAACGAGGGTTTGTAGGATCTCTGTGCCTAAATACCATAATCTTGTTCCTATCAGTTTTTTGGCTACTTTATTCGAATGCTCTTTTCAAAAGATCACTGTCCCCTCTTCTCCTGTGTTTACAAGAGTGCCCATCATCTGCTGTAATTAGTTCCAAGGCTTTGGGGACTTTTATTTTTGTCTTTTGAATTCCTCCAACCCAGCAGAACACTAAAAACAAATGTATACCCCTTTGCCTTGGGGAAAACTTGAAGTGGAAGAACTTCATTGTTGATGCTTCCTTCTGACCCCACCCTATCAGCCGTCTCCCTTTTCTGGGCTCACTCTCTCTCCCCACTTGGATCATCTTCTCCACTCACACCCTCAGATGACCAGCTTCCTCATTCTAAACCTTGCCTCTGTCCTCTTTCCGCATCCCCTATTTTAGTTCCTCATCTAGAGCTCTCTACTCTGGAGAGCTCCAACATCCAAAGCTGTCCACGGTCACTAAGCACGAAGATGTTGCCCATCTCAGGGTGACATCGTTGCAATTCCGTGAGGCTTCAGATGGGCACAATTTAACCCAAACAGCTAAATCCACCGGTTGGGATGTCAGTTTTTTTTTTTTCTAGGAAAAAAGAAAACAGATATGGAGACTGTTGAGGCCCTATGGGAATCAGGAGGGAATAAAGGAAACATCACACTTTCAAATGTGAAAACTATGCTCAGCTGAATGTGATCCAGGGAACCCTCTCTGGTTTATAACCTGTCAGAGGCCACTGTGGCTTTCAATATATTATTAAAACCCAACAGTAACAACATAGCGATTGTTTAGAAATTTTTAGACCAACAAAAGATATTTGGGGGCAGAGTATCTTATCACTGACATTGTTTGGAATTCTCTAGGCTCGACAATAATAAAATGCAGACCAACATTTATTCAGTTTTATTCTTTTGAAATTCTCTACCGACCCTGCACCTCTCCTTGCTGCCACCCAGAGCAGATTATTCCACTGTTGGTGCTGGGTGTTTACTACAGATAAGTTCAGATCCACACGGTGTCATTTTCTGTGTAATCTTGAACGGAGATTTTTAAAAGTTAATTTCCATAGTTATTGAGTGCTTACAGTGTGCTGAGACAGACACTTAAGGCTTTGAGTGCTTTGCATACACTGCCTCATATGATCCCTCATGTGATCCTTACAATAACCTTATTAGGTGGGCAGTTTCATTTGCTCTAGTGTGTAGATGAGGAAATTGGGACTCAGAGAAGTAAATAATTTGCTAGTTGTTGCCTCAATAAGAAAGTTGCAGACCTGAGACTGGAATTCAGGACTGTTTGACTTCAAATTATAGGCATTTAATTCAACCTGTTCAAGCATCACTTTTGTCATCTGTGCATGCAGATAATAATGTCTATGTCATGTATACTTGTGTCTTACCTGTCCCAACTTTTCACCCCAGCTTCATTTCCAGATTGTCCCCATCTCCACTTAGCCCACTCCTATTAACTTTTCCAGACTCAGCTTAGACATTATTCACAGGAATCATTTCTCCACCCCTTCCCTTGCCAGTACCTAAGCCTGGGCTAAGCTGCCCCCTATATTGTGTTCCCATAGTGTCCTGCAAAAAACCCTGGTCCAGCACCGACAAGCCCAATGGAAATGATCTATGTGTCTGTCTCCCCAGGCATCCTGCATGCTTTTGGAGCCACTTTGTCTTCAATTGTATGCCCCCAACACCTAGCATTGTGCTTGGAACATAGAGAAAGCTCAAGAAATGTTTCAGAACAATTTAGAAAAACTGGATCTCAGAGCTGGCAGGGCACCTGAAAATCAATTAGCTGACACACTTATCAGATGCTTGGCTCCCTCTGCAACATGTTTCTCCTCTTCTCCCGGAGATTCATTACTTCTCAAGGCAGACCAATGGGCAGGTAGAGCTGTGAGACACAGTGCTTTGTACATTGATCTTCACCACATCTCTTTGTACCCTATAGAATTAGCCTTTTTGTACTACTGACCATTCATCTGATGGTTATTTTCCAGTCTTGCCGACAAATGTATTTGACCAATCCCTGAATGATGCCATTTTCCATTTTAGTAAGTGGAAAACCAAGAGGATTAAAGACCCTCTCTCTTAACAATCAATTGGCAACACTCAAGATTTCAGTACCAATTAATCAACGACCCACTGAAAAAGCCACCTGTGTATTATAAGATTTATTAGTTTGCATGGATGAGAAGATCAGGGGGTAGTGTATGTGGGTAAACAGGAGGAGAAGTCCCTCCTCCTAATAGAGCCCCTATTGGAGGCAATCTTTACCTAAGAAAGTACCTTTAATAGCTGGTACCACGGAGTTCCCCTGGGCCAAGTGGTCCCAAATTGTTATAAGTCCAGATTGCATTAGGCTGAGTTTTCCTTAGTCCAGCGCAGGCCACTTGAGCATTGCCTGTTGACCTGACATTTAGGAGTGCCTTAATTTGATATTTGTCTTTTTGTTTTTAACCCAGCTGGGATGAATGACAACATTCAAGATATTTTCATCTTAGATGCCAAATTGTGATATGCACAAAGCCCTCTCCAAATGGCTTTCACTGGCCCAATTATAGGCTGTGTCAAAATTAGTTCAAGTGTTTGAAGGAGGCAGATATAGGTCTCCCAGTTTCCTCCCTATACTTCTCCAGGGAACCAGATGTTCAGGCTGATAAACTCCTGGGTCTGATCAGCAGACTTTCTTCAGTCTCATCTTCTTTCCCCTTCTCATTGTCGTGTTTGCTTTGCTGTGTTTGCCATTAGAGCTCTGTGTATTGAGCAAACTTTTTAGCCTGTGTATGCCTGCGGATATATTTGCCCTGCTTTGTTTCATCCTGAAGGACTGTTTACATTCTAGCCTTCAGAACTTTTTGGAAACTAGAAAAAGATATAAGCCCTTAGCCTCTGGGCTGTAGAAGCTCATATTTTCTGTGCTCAGAAAATACAGCAATTCTTATGGCCCAGAGCCAGAATAAGAACATCTCTTGGATTTGCAACATTGTCTTCTCTTAGAGGGCAGCAAGAAACCCTGAGATGCTGGAGTAAAATACTTTTCCAAAATAACCATAATAAGTAAGCCTTACCAATCCCAAAGTTAAAATGCTCATCAAAGCTCATGGAACTTCTGCTGTCACCATGCAAGCTAGGCTCCTGGTTCTGCAGCTTACTTGCTGTGATTCCTGGGAAAATTCTGGAATCTCTCTGTGCTTCAGTTTTTTCATCTCTAAAATGGGGCTGATGATACTCACTTTTCGGGCTGTTGCGATTAGCAAATAAACCAATAAAGATAAAGCACTTAGCAGAGCCCCTGGGGCATAGTAAATACTTAACAAAGTATAATCGTTGTTATATTGTTATTGGCTGTGTTATTTCTAATTTAAAATCATTCATTCACATCAAAGTTATTTTCTTTTTTCTTTCCGATATTGTCCTTCTATAGTAGTGATAAGCTAGCTATTTAAAATATAAAATCTTTATTGTACTGTAAAAAACACTGATGTTATAATTTTGACAATTACAAACTGGATAAAATACTTCTTAAAACAACTGTTTAATGGTCCAAGAGAGTTAAACAAACAACAAACAACAATAACAAAAAAACACCTGGTATAAATTGGAGAAAGTTTGACTCTTGAAAGAAGGAACCACATTGGGTGAGATCCAAATGTAGTGATATTCCACCTGAAGACATTCCCTTATCTCTACAGCATTCAGAGGATAGAGCTCCAGCAGAAAGGCAGTCTTATTGACCTTAAAAATCAGATGACAGAGTTCAGGGCTTCCAGAGTAGCAAGAAATTGAGGTCAGAAATCCTGGAAGGAAGGAGCCATGGAAATGGCTCCCCAGATAAAATCCTCTCAAATCCTTGACTCACCTCTGACATGAATGTTTAGAGAAAAGCACCAAGTTGTGCAGGGGGCAAATAATAGCTGGGAAGCCAAAAGGGCTAAATGGAGGTTTTAGCAACTGCCTGCCACAAGACAGATAGATTTTGGAGTTTGAGTTCCACAACGTTAAAGAGGTACCCTAAAACGTAAAGTATAATAATAATAATAAAAAAGAGGCATGGCAGAAAGCTTGGGCTGTCCATCAGAATCTCAGAAAGGCAGTGGTTTGGAATAAAGTTCATGTGCTAGGACTAAGGGAATTGACCTAGGATTAAGTGCAGAACCGAAATGGACATGCTCTAAGAAAGACCAAAACCAAAACTTCACAATACCAAGGCGAACTACTGATAATTTAAGTTTTTGCTAGAACAAAACACTCTTCAGAAGGAGATAATGAAGGCTGGGCACAGTGGCTCACACCTATAATACCAGTGATTTGGAAGGCTGCATCAGGAAGATCATTAAGGCCAGGAGTTTGAGACCAGCTTGGGTAACATAGACTCTTTCTCTACAAAATATTAAAAAATTTTCCAGGTGTAGTGGTGTGCACCTGTAGCCGCAGCTACCTGGGAGGCTGAGGTGGGAGGATTACTTGACCCCAGGAATTCGAGGCTACAGTGAGCTATAATCATGCCACTGCACTCCAGCCTAGGCAACAGAGCAAGACCTTGTCCCTTAAAAAAAAGGAAAGAGATAATAAAGCCCAGAACCTCTATGACATATTATCCACAATGACCAGTGTATATTAAAAATTAGACATGTGAAAACAAAACAAAACAGGGAAATGTGACCCCTAGTAAACTGAGGAATCAGCAAATAGAAACCACCCTAAGATGATTCCTCTATTGAAATAAGTGAATAAGGACTTTAAAGATGTTTTTATAAATACATTCGGGAAACTTAAAAATTACCATAATTAATAAATAGAAATCTCAGCAGAGACATAGAAACTAAAAAAAAAAAATCTGTAACTGCAAAGAGGACTATCTCAAATTTTAAGATTCACAGGATGAGCATAATAGCTGAATGAATAGTAAACTTTTAGTTAGATCAATAGAAATAATTGAATCTGAAGAATAAAGTTAAAACAGATAGAATAGGCGTAAACAGAGTCTCAGTAAGACGTGAAACAATATCAATCAGATAGTTAATTAAAAGCACATTGGCTGAGGCATGTCCAGAATAGGCAAATTTACAGAAAGACTGAGTAGTTGTTGCCTACAGCTGGAATGTGGAGAAGAGGAATGGGGAGTGGCTGCTAATAGGTACAGGATCTCTTTTGGGAGTAATGAAAATGTTGTAAAATAAGTGTGGCAATCATTGTACAAATCTGTGAATAGACTAAAAACCATTCACTTGTACACTTTAAATAGGTGAATTGTTTAGTACATGAATTAAATCTCTATAAAGCTGTTAAAAAATACTGGCTGAAATTTTTACACATTTTGTCAGCCATAGACCCAGAAAGCTCAGCAAACCTCAAGCAGGATAAATACAAAGAAAGCACTGCTGAAAATAAAAGATAAACAGAAAATTATAACAAGATGAGAGAGAGAGAGAGAAAAGACATTATATATAGGAAACAGATAATATGAATGAGTTGACTCAGATCAGAAACAGTGAAGGTCAGAAGATGACAGAATGACTGAAAAGACAGCTGAATTTTATAAAATACAGACAGTCCTTGACTTATGACAGTTTGATTTAGGATTTTTCAATTTTGTGATGGTGCAAAAGTGATACACATTCAATAGAAACTATACTTAATGTACCCATACAACCATTCTGTTTTTTACTTTCAGTACAATATTCCATAAATTACATGAGCTATTCGATACCTTATTATAAAATCAGCTTTGTGTTGAATGATTTTTCCCAGCTGTAGACTAATGTAAATGTTCTGAGCATGTTTAAGGTAGGCTAGTCTAAGCTGTGATGTTAGGTAGATTAGGTGCATTTAAATGCATTTTCAATGATATTTTAAATTTGCAGTGGGTTTATCAGGATGTTACTCCAAGATGCTCCTCCAAGGTGAGGGGCATCTGTGTTTTAGTCAGTGAAAATGTCTTGCAAAACTGAAGATAAAATAAATACAGTTAGTCACACTTCACTTGCACTATAAGAAATTCTAAAGAAAAATTCTTCAAATTGAAGGAATATAATAACATAAATTTATATCTACAGGAAGGAATAAAGAGCAAAGAAATGATAAACAAATCGCTTAAAGTGTTTAGTTAAACTCTTTAAAAGTTATTTGACAGTTTAAGGAGGAATAATACAAAGTATTATTGGATTTAAAGCATGTATAGACATAGAATACATAACAACAATAGTACAAAGACAAGAGAGGATATAAACAAAATTATACTGTTAAGTGTCTAATATGTGAAGTGGGATAATATTAATTCAGGACAAATAGTGACAAAATGCTGCATATTGCAGTTCCTAGAGCAGTCATTTAAAAAAATACAAAAAGGTATAGCTAAAATCCAATTAAATACATAGAATGAAATACTAAAACACATTGAATGAACCCAAAATAAAAATGGAGGGAAAAAAAACCCAGGAAAGGAAAAACAAATAGAAATATTACAACCAAACCATAGCAATAATTACATTAAAGGTAAATGAACTAGATTATTCAAAGGAAGAGATTGCCAGATTTAAAAAGAAGCTAGGTCCAACTTCATGCAGTTTACAAGAACTCATGTTAAATATAAAGACTCAAACAGATTAAAAGCAAAAATGGAAAAAGATGTACCATGCAAACACTGTATTAGTTCGTTTTCATGCTACTATGAAGAAATACCCAAGACTGGATAAGTTATAAAGGAAAGAGGTATAATTGACTCACAGTTCAGCATGGCTGGGGAGGCCTCAGGAAACTTATAATCATGGCGGAAGAGGAAGCAAATACGTCCTTCTTCACATGGCAGCAGGAGAGAGAAGTGCCAAGCGAAGGGGGGGAAGGCCCCTCACAAAACCGTAAGATCTCATGAGAACTCATTTGCTATCATGAGAACACCATGGGGAACTGCCGCCATGATCTAATCACCTGCCACGAGGTCCCTCCCCCAACACATGGGAATTACAATTTGAATTACAATTCAAGATGAGATTTGGGTGGGAACACAGAGCCAAACCATATCAAACACCAATCATAAGATATTCAGTGTGTCTATAGTAATCTCAAAGTAATTATCTTGATAAGGAATAATATCAACATTAAAGAGGTCTTTTAATAAGGATGAAAGGATTCCACCTAATAACAGATTTTCAAACTACATGCATTAAAACTGACAGAACTAAGGGATAAATAAACAAATCCAAAATTATAGATGGAAATTTTAACATGCCACTATGAGTAATTGATGAGACAAGTAGACAAATGCATGTAAATCTAACAATTAATTCCAGAGTACACACTCTTTTCAATAGGACAGGAAATTCACCAAAATAGTCTATGTTCTGGGCTATAAAACAAGTCTCAATAAATTTCAAAAGACTGAAATCATACTGAGTATGAGTTATCTGACCACAGTGAAATAAACAGAATAAAATAACAATTTAAAATATCTAGAAAAATCTCCAATTATTTGGAAATAAATTAATAATCTTCTGAATAGCTCATGATTCAAAGGATAAATCACATGAGAAATTTGGAAATATTTCAAAATGAATAATAAAAATGCAGTCTATCCAAATTTATGAGATGCAGTTTAATCACTACTTAGAGGGACATTTATAGTTTAAATACTTTTTTAAGAGAGAGAGAGAAAGAAGGAGGGATAGAGGAAGGAAGAAAATCAATGCTATAACTTTTCATCTTAAATAGATGGAAAATGAAGAGCAAATTAAACCCAAAGTACATGGAAGAAAGGAAATGATAAATATGAGTAGAAACAAAGTAAAAAAAAAAAAAGCCAAAAGTTGGTTCTGTAAAAAGATGGATAAAATTGCTAAACTTTTAGCTAGTTTGGTTTTTTAAAAAAGTGGAGGGAGGAGGGAAATCACAAATTACCAATTTCAGTAATGAAAAAAGGGATATATACAAATCCTACAGTTATTAAAGAAATATTACAAAAGCTTTATGTCATTTAATTTGACAATGAAAAATTTTCCTGGAAAGCATGATTTACCAAAAATACTTTTTGAAAGGGTAAAAATTGTTAATATTCCTGTATCTGTCAAAAAATGCATAATTAAAAACCTTCTACAGGCTGAGCCCCATGGCTTAACGCTGGTAGTCCTAGCACTTTGGGAGGCCAAAGTGGGCAGATCACTTGAGCCCAGGAGTTCAAGACCAGCTTGGACAACATGATGAAACCCTGTCTCCATCAAAAAATAAATAACTTAAAACCTTCTGCAAAGAAAATTTGAGGTCCAAATTGCTTCACCAGTGAATTCTATCAAACGTTTAAAGTGAAATAATAGTAATCTTCCACATTCTTTTTAGAAAATGGAAAAATAATTTCCAATTTGTTTTAAGAGGGCAGATGGCCTTGATACCAAAAAGGCATTTCATTTTCAAAAAAATCTAAAAATGAGTATACCTCATGAATGTACATAAAAACATGTCTAATAAAATATTTCCAAATAAAACCCAGCAGATAATACATTATAACACAAATAGGATTTATCTCAGAAATGTAAGGGTAGTTTAACATTAAAAAATCAATCATTTTAACTAACCAGACTAAGAAAATAAAGGAGGAAAAGCATAGGACTAATAAAATAGATGTCAAAAAAGTTTTGACAAAATCCAGCATTCATTTATTTTTAAAGGGTTGGCAAAATAGGAAGAGGCCTAAATGCCAGAATAGGAAGGGCATCCTAAATGCCCTTTAAGATGATAAAAGGCGTTTATGAAGAAATCGTACGTTTAACATAATTCTTAATAGTAAAGTACTAAACGCTTTTTCCCTACAATGAAATACAAAGTAAGGATGTCTGCTCTCATCACTTCTGTTTGACATTTAGAAGGAATTAGCCAGTGCCATACGCAAGAAAAAGAAGTCATGAAGATTGATAAGAACAAAGTAAAATTGTCTTTCTTCACAGACAACATGATTGCTTACATGGAAAATCCTAAGGAATGATCCCCTCCCATTGTTCCTGGTAGTGTGCTGGGCACAGAGATAACCTCTGACCATATCACATATAAGACCTGCCTCTCAAAACTCATAGTCTTGTAGTGGATAGGCAGTTATGATAGAGTGCGACGGATGCTGTGAAGGAGGAGAGACAACAGGCCACAGAAGTGAAAGATCAAAAACAAAGAGCAAGAAGAAGATCCAGCTTTTAATATTGGTGAACCCAATTAAAATTCATGAAAAGTCCTGAATATACTTTCACATCTTAAAATACTGTGAATATATGTGTACAGCATTCAGATTATTCTCCTATTACTGAGTAATGAAGAGAATTGGAAGAGTGTGGGATGGGGTCAAATACAATGGCTGCTTTTCTGTGTACCTTCTATTGTGATTTCCTAGGTAACTCCTTTCACTCCTCCATCCCAACCCTGCCTACATGATAATTGATGGCAAAGGCCAAGTAGAAAAACAAGCCACTGGACTCCTGCAGCCTGGAAGTTTAAATAGTTCACATAGAAAGTATCAGAAGTCTGTTCTTCTGCTCAAGGCGTGATTCTTTTTTTCTTTTTTTTCTTGAGACAGGATCTTGCTCTGTCTTTGTCTCCCAAACTGGAGTGCAGTGGCACAATCATGGCTCACTGCAGCCTCAAACTCCCTGGCTCAAGGGATCCTCCTGCCTCAGCCTCCCGAGTAGGTGGGACTACAGGTGCACACCACCACATCTGGCTAATTTTTTTGTTGATGGGGTCTTGCTGTGTTGCCCAGGTTGGTCTCAAACTCCTGCACTCAAGTGATCCTCCTGCCTCAGCCTCTCAAAGTGCTGGGATTATAGGTGTGAGCCACTATGCCCAGCCTAGGATTCTTTTTTATCTCAGTTTCTAATCACTAGAAATCATTCTTTCCTCACACTCTTCTCTTTCATGACTACCAGAGTGTGAAGCATGGAACAAAGTGCTTATTGAGCCAGAAAATACTGCCCAACCAGCTCTCAAGGCAAAGAGAGGGTGTACGAGAAGCTAATCTTCAAATGAGAGGTGGAGACCCAGCTGGCAGCTAGCATGGTGCGGCGTGTTGGAGGCAAGAAGCAGAATCTCAGACTGGCAAGATGCAAGGGCAGGCAGCCCACCCACAGGGAAGGCGTCGCCAATCTTGAGCAACTCTAGAAGAGAAACCTGAACACATCAGAACTCAAACTAACTGATAATGAACTGGTTTTCATTACTTCCTGAGTGATCAGGAGGTAGAATTGTCTCTTACAACCCAATGTATACCATTCTCAGTTGTCTATTTAAGGATTTCTTAGTGAGCTCCATGGTAAAATATATCTACTTCTTAAAAAAAAAAAAGTAAAGAATCTGCAACAACCTACTGAACTACTAAGTGGATTTAGCAAGGCTGCAGGTTACAAAGTCAATATACTTATATTTCTTATATACTAGCCACGAACAATTAAAACATTTTATAAGTTTATTTATAACAACATCAAACACACAAAATACTTGGGAATAAATTAAAATACAGATACACTGAAAGCTACAAAATATTGCAGAGAAAAACAAAAGAAGGCCCCAATACTAGAAAAGACATACAATGTTCATACATCTGGATGAAGTTTGAAAAATACTAATCTAAGTTAATCTTCTTATAGATTAAGAGAATAAGATATAGCGCTTTTAAATGACTTGCCCATCACTCAACTCAGCGAGGACAGGACTAGAGGTTTAAAGGAAGTGGGTAGAGGTGTAAAGGACGTGGGGAGAGTTTAGGTATCCCTTGTAAGAAAGCAGAAACACAGGAAAGCATTGCAGAGTGATACTGAGGCCCAGCTGAGGTCAGAGGTTGTGGATTTCTCATAGCACCAGCGAGCTTGGCCAAGGGATTTTCTCCAGTGGCATCCAAGAGAGCAGAGAAGTTGAGTTTAGTATTAAGCTGAAGTTTAGGGTCTCTAAAGATGGGAACAGCAAAATGATAAGCCTGCTGGGATGTTGAAGGCACAGCGGGAGAGTTGTTAGTGATTCATCTGAAGGGACAGGTTTGCTCTGATAAAGAATGAGGCCTTGAGGAGGGTTAGAAGGACTTGAGCTCCTGATAGGGCCAAAGAGAAGGCATGGAGAAGAAAGAGGATGGGAAAACCAAAGCGATCAACTATTGTGGTCAGTGCTTCGTCTAATAAAGAATCCATTATTATAACTGCTGTATTTCCTAAAGCAAGATTTTTGACGATGACTAAAATTTTAAAGGATTTGATGCATAATTCTATCTACTTGAAGAATATAATAAGAGCAATCCTTTCTTTCTATTCTAGTTAATAGATTTTTTTTTTTTTTTGCAATGTATGTTAAGTGGACCCAACTCAGAAGTACAATGGCCGAGGCGGGCGGATCACGAGGTCAGGAGATCGAGACCATCCCGGCTAAAACGGTGAAACCCCGTCTCTACTAAAAATACAAAAAATTAGCCGGGCGTAGTGGCGGGCGCCTGTAGTCCCAGCTACTTGGGAGGCTGAGGCAGGAGAATGGCGTGACCCCGGGAGGCGGAGCTTGCAGTGAGCCGAGATCCCGCCACTGCACTCCAGCCTGGGCGACAGAGCGAGACTCCGTCTCAAAAAAAAAAGAAGTACAATGGATAGGGGCTAAAATCACAAGACCTGAAGTTATGCTATCTGGAGCTGTATTTTTTAATAAATACTCACCTCTTGTTACTTAGATCTCTTACTTGTAAATGGGTGTAATGATGGTACCTGCCTCATAGGGTTACTGTGAAGTTCAAATGAGTTAACACCATTAATGATACCAGGCTTTGCAATGTGTTTGATTTAGATGCTAAAGACTATTTATTGGTTCCATATTTCAATAATTCACTGAGGAGAAAAGTGAGGGAGGTAAACATAGAATCTGTGAAATCAAAATGCCTTTCTAGAGCAAGACAATCAGGTTTCTATAGTGAAACAAGACTCTTAAAAATATGCTTACACCAAGCACAGTGGCTCATCCCTGTAATCCCAGCAATTTGGGAGGCGGAGCAGGAGGATCACTTGAGCCCGGGAATTCGATACCAGCCTGAGTAACATAGTGACACCCCATCACTACAAAAAAATAAAAAAATTAGCCAAGTGTGGTTGTGTATGCCTGTGGTCCCAGCTACTCAGAAGGCTGGGTTGGAAAGATTGCTTGAGTCTGGGAGGTCCAGGCTGTAGTAAGCTGTGGTTGTGCCAATGCACTCCAGCCTAGGTGACAGAGAGAGATTCTGTCTCAAAAAGATAAAATATATATGCTTGGGCATTTTTTTTAACCCTCAGACTTCATTTCAAGGTTGAAATTGCTTGATACAAATGTAACAGACGTTGTAGTTAAGCTCCCATGTTTCTTGTACTCCCGAATTCTTTCTGATAAACCTGGCATGAGATTAGCTGGAGTCTGACTGACATGTGATTCTTGGGAACACAGGATTCCTTGATATATAAAAGACCCTTAGATCAATGGGTAGTTCTTAATATATGCCTGCTATTATTATTCTTATCTGACTTATACATGTTCCCTTATCAGCAATGAGAGATTGTTTATACAAAGAGGGAAGAGGGGTACTTTGGTTTCTTTATTCTGTGTCTTTATTATTGAATACTAATGCATACTGAAAATATTTAAATAAAAAATACAGTGTTTGCCTTCAAGAAGTTTTAATTTAGCTGGACAATTACGTGCAGTAATGAACATATTTCCTACATGTTTTCAGAAATGGAAGGCAGGGAGAAAGACACGAAGAGAGCAACGGATGAGAAATGAATGCAAAAATTAGAGGGAGACCCCTACTCCTGTCCCCTAATTTGCAGTGAGGGTGGAGGGACCCAGAAAGGAAAATCCCAGGATAGGGAATCCGTATTCAAGACTGTGCATCCTTTTCCTAGGTCTGTCTCTAAGGCATGAATAAATTGAATGTACGCATTGAATCTATTTCTGTCACATTTGGGGCCACAACATATGGAGAGTTGGCTTGTTTTTCTAACTTAACTGACTTTGTTTAAAGACCCTTGCTCAGAGGAGAGTTCTCAATCAAAGTAGCCATACTCCATTCCCCATGGGAGGCCATCCAACCCTGGGCCTGAACTTTGAACATGGCACCAGTTGGCAAAAGGCTCTGCGAATCTACCCCTTTGTTTTTAAGACAGTGCCTGGGTGTTTGGTCCAGCATGGGTGGGTAACTTAGGGGGTCTTCACAATTTTACTACACATCTTGAATGGCATAAGGCAGGGCAACCTTTCCAGCTGAAGTGTCATAACATAGAAGTGGATTGTGGTGACCACAATTAATGTATTAGAAATAATAGGTAGATAAACAATGTTGGCAAGTTATTTTCTTGAAGATATATTACAGTATTCAGTGGGTACAGAGTTTCAGCTTTGCAAGGTGAAAAGAGTTCTGGAGATGGATCATGGTGATGGTTGCACAATAATGTGAATGCACTTCATACCATCACCAAACTGTTCTCTTTTTTTTTTTTGAGATGGAGTCTTGCTCTGTCGCCCAGGCTAGAGTGCAGTGGCGTGATCTCGGCTCACTGCAAGCTCTGCCTCCCGGGTTCACGCCATTCTCCCGCCTCAGCCTCCCGAGTAGCTGGGACTAGAGGCACCTGCCACCACGCCAGGCTAATTTTTTGTATTTTTAGTAGAGACAGGGTTTCACCATTCACAGAATGGTCTTGATCTCCTGACCTCGTGATCCGCCCACCTCGGCCTCCCAGAATGCTGGGATTACAGGCATGAGCCACCACGCCCAGCCACCAAACTGTTCATTTTAAAATGGTTAAGATGGTAAACTTTATGTTATATGTATTTTAACACAATTTAATATATACAACAGATTTAAGTTTCCAATTATAATAATGTCAGTGTCATGCAATTGTCTACTGATAGGCTTTCTTGTGGGATGGTGTCTTAGTTAGCATGTGAGGAATTGTGTGTAACCCTGGACATACCCATGGGAGTGTAGGGGTGAAAAGGTAATACCTCTTCTCATTCATCACAAGGGTCACAGCCAACTCTCCTATAACAAAAGACAGATTAGCAAGGGAAAAATGTAACAAATTTATTTAATCAACATTTTATGTGACAGGGGAACCTTCAGAAATGAAGATGCAAAGACCCAGGGAAAACTGTATTTTATGTTTGGTTAACACCATGTAGAAATGTGATTCGACAAAAAGTGCAAGCAAATGGCAATAAACTGAAGGGGAAATCCAGCAAGGCCTGTTTGTTCAGATTCTTCTCAGCCTCTCTGTGTAGCATTTCTTCCTCCCGGTGTAGGACAGAACACCTGTCACATGAGGGTTTTCAGGGAAGAAGACAGAAGGTCAGAGAGTAACATTTCCAGGTTTTATGGCTTTCTTTGGGGAAGAGGAATTCTTGTTTCTATGAGCTGATTTGAAGGAGAAATAGGTGAATAAGAAAGGAGGGCAGGAAAAGGTCAGAGAGAACTTCTTGCCTCTGAGGCCCTCCCATTTTCCTTCAGTTCAAAGTACTCAGCATGCCAAAGCTCTGTGCTTTGGGGAATCATGGTCTGACCCCAACAGGATTGTGTCACACATTGAGAATAATTCATCATAGTCGGTTAATAAACAGCTGTGACCTTGGGTAAGTTATTTGACCCATATTATTTCCCCCAATTTCTCATTTGTTTGTAAAAAAGAGACATCTTATAGGATAACCTGACTAAACCTAACATAATACATAGTGAGGCATTTTGATGTTAGTTTTCTCCCTTCTGGAAGTATCACAGAAAGAATTGAACATGATTAAAATTCACAGGAGAATCACTAAAGGGAATAAATAATCTTGTGAATACTTAAAACTTTGTGTAACCCAAATGTCCTCAGTTCCACCAACCCGAGGGAATGAATAAGTTATTAATACCCAAATTTTGCAAGCTCATAGCCCCACCTGCATGATCTCAACTCTTCCTCAAAGATCCTGTTAATTATGTGTTGGAGTCCTTATGTCTTACCAGTACTCAGTAATAGGTCCAAACTTGTCCCACTGCCTCAGCCTCCTTGTTAATGTTCACTGTCCCAAAGCACCTGAATTTCTCCACCACTGCCAATGCCTTCCCTGACAACTTTGCTTCTCTGTCTGCCTCTCCCTTCCCAAATCCTAAATCCCTGGTGTGTTGTTGTCTCACTGTATCAGAGTTATGCATTGTGGATTATACAGAAATGGAAAAAGAGCCCTTATACCAGTACTTTTTCACACCTTGTTCATCCTCTGGATGACATGAAAGCTAGTGAGACATAAAAACAGCTTCTGTCAAGACCAGAGAAAACAACAGATCCTGTGCTAACCCCTCTCCTGTACCACCATTACCCTGCCTCCACCATCCATCCGTCCAATCATCCACCAATCCATCCATCCATCCATCCATCTGTCCATCCATCCATCCATCCATCCATCCATCCATCCATCCATCCATCTGTCCATCCATCCAACCATCCATATATCTAACTATCTATCTATCTGTCTGTCTGTCTATCTATCTATCTATCTATCTATCCATCCTCTTATCCATTCCAAGGTACATCCTAGTCCCCTGCCATCCACACACAAAATTTCCTTCTCTCCCATTTCTCTGTGTTCCCTTAGCCCTTATAAATATTTTGCTACTCAAAATGCTCTTAATATTGAACATATGTATCAGGTATCTTACTATTAATATTAATATGTGCTTTACTTATATTATTTCTTGTAACTTTACAAAACTTTGAGATAAGTACTAGCCTAAATCTCTCTCATTTGACAGATGAGGAAATGGTCATATAGATATTAAGCAGTTAGCTCAAGGTCACACTGGTGATTAATAACAACTAGGATTTGAACCTGGATTTCATGCCATCCTCTCTAAATCTAGAGCCCTTAATTTAGGAAAGGAAAAAAAGTTATTACCATGTAGAATAACTACGTTTTTATATTTTACTCTCCTCCAAGCCATGAGCTCATTTAATTTAACTCAATCCTATTCATTTCTATAGATCCTTTTTAAACACCTCTCAGGGTCAGATTCTCTCCTGAAGACTCCCTATAAAGCAGAACCTCTTTCTTAGGCTTCCATGTAGCCCCAGCTCTCATCAGTGCTTGGAACCTGTATTCAACTGTCATTCATCAGTCAAAGACACTGATGACTAAGCACATACAATGCCAACCAAAATTCCTAGACGAAGAAGAATGTCAAATAGGAGTGAAGATAGCAAGTAAATTAGCAAATGACTATTTCCCACAAACATTCCTTCCCTGCCAGTCATGGGAGGTCTCTTCCTTCTTAGTAAGGATTAATCCTGTTTTCTTTGGTGGGAGAGAGAAACATGCTTCTTATATATCATTTTTTTCCCCTCTAAGTTCAACACAGTGTTGGATTCCAAATTGGCCATCTAAACACCTGCAAGCACCAACAGCACAGTCTGTCCTTAAGGTAAATCACTGCCTTTAAGCCAGAACTTGAGCTGATTAACACAACTGCATGTGGGGACATGCCTGACACCCCAAGACAAAGCAGCTTACTCTGCACAGAAGGAAGACCTTGGAGACTTCTCTGGTGGCTCTGAAGGCTTGGGCAGGTCCACAGCTCTCACAGGCCATGAAAGGAATGGTGTTTTTTCTGAGGACTAACAACCCTCCCAGAGAAAATACTTGCATCCCAAGGTCCCTGTGACACTCAAGAAACACATTCTTCTTGGCCACTTGCATGGATCCAAACTTTGATACCCAAAAGGGTTGGATAAATTTGATGCTAAAGAATACCTGAATGGGCTGCATCCTGTGAAACATGCTAACAAAACAAATCCCAGTGTCTTCACAGCACAGATACACAAGAAGATTCCAAATGTTTCCCTCCCTCCACTGATGAAGCTCTGGTCAGAAGTAGATTTACCAGGAAGCCAATAAAATGCGAGCTCCAGGGACACTCACTTATATGGGCCCCTTCTAAGTTCTGCCTCTGTTTTCAATTTGTAACTTTGTATTCATTTTCTTTACAAGTTTCCCTCCTCCCCCTCATCCCTGCCCCCAGTTGTAAAATCAACAGGCTCCACAGAACTTGGATCTGTCCCAGCTCTAGGCAGAATTTTTCCGCATAGAAATCAATATTGGACTTAGAGGATTGTGGCTCCATCTCTCCAGATGATCCCAGAGTTAATGATTTAAATCCATCTCTTGCCTCCTGTATCTTTATCCTCTTTGGTGTCTCTGACACTGATTTCAGGAACCATCTACCAGTGCTCCCAAGAGTGAAAATGCGTCCCAGGCAGTAGGGCTCTTTCCCACACTGAAAGGTCAGAATGAATTTCTTGTCATTTCCTCAGTAAAGGGACTTTCCTAAACCTCTCTTTGTCATCACCTGGTACCCTAAAGTTATCCCAGACATATTAGAAAAGAACCATGGTGGTAGAAAAGGATTCTGTACATACTTTTAACTCTGCCTGGACTTCTCTCCATTTATATAAAGTTCCTACTATTCATCCCTTAAGAACCAGCTTCTGTACCTTGGAGGGTGTAGGGACTGGAAAGTGGGATACCTTTCTTCACCCATGATAAGGACCACAGCCATTACTCCATAACAAAAGAGAGGTTAAAAAGAGAAAAGCATAACAAATGTATTTAATCACAGTTTTATGTGTCATGGGAGCCTTCAGAAATGAAGACTCAAAGACCCAGAGAAAACTGTGCATTTTTATGCTTAGGTTTGATGAAGAATGGACAACCATGTAGAAATGTGATTGGGCAAAAGGATATGATCTAACAGAAGTAGACTAAGAGGGAGGAGGGAAACTCAGCAAGAGCTGTCCAGATTTTTCTTGGCCTCTCTGGGTAGCATTCGTTTCTCTGTGGCATGGGGCAGGACCCCTCTGGATTGATGGTCTTTAAGGGAGAAGGGACAGAGTGCTCTTTCCATCTTTTATAGCTTGCTTTGCAGAAGAGGAGTTCTAGTTTCCATGACCCATCTTGAGGAAGAGGAAATCTGATTTCAATGATTTGCTTTGGAAGAGAAAGAAGAGTGGGAGGCAGGAGGGCAGGCAAAGCTCAGAAAGACGCTTCTGAGGCCTTCCAATCTCCTTTAGTTCCAAGAACTCAGCATGCCAAAGTGCCATACTTTAGGGTACTGTTTTCCAAGCCTTAACAAGGGAAAGAAGTACATTTTGTTTATCTGTGTATTGTTAGTATCTGCCATTTTTATAGGCACTCAGTCAATCTTGACCAATAAATAAACAAATGAATTAATCAGTGAAATGTGAGATGAAACATTAGGAAAGGAGAATGAACTGGATGTGAGCAGAGACAAAAAAGTAAAAAGCTAGGACATGTAAACAAGATTTTGAGTTGTGTAAACAAAATTAGAGCAACCATTAAACAGATACAATTCCCTCTTTTGATTTATAAAAAATCACACAGATTGCTCATGAAAATTTGTTAGGAAATGTACTTGGAACCCTTAAGGGAGGCAGCCACACTGAGTCATCTCTCTTAATTTGTAGCTTTTCGTCTGCTCAGAGGGTTTCAGTGTAGAAAGGAAACTTTGCAGATAGGGAAAAGTCAGTATTGACCTAGAGATAGGCTTATGTATTTTCTTGTGCCTGGAAATTTGTCCAATCACTTTTAATTCATAGGTAAGGCTAAAGCTTTGAGCATTAGTTTAAATAATTTGCTTAAATAAAACTATAACTAGCTTAACATAAACATCAACAGAATAGAGCTCACTTTTATTTTCCTTTTTATCTTCTTTTCCTTCCTGTAACACAGGAAAAGCATATCAAATTATTATCTCCATTTTATATGCAATAAAAATTTCCTATAAATTTTGTGCACAATTATGATCACATCTCCTATTTTTACAATTCATACTTTGAGATCCACTTGTCTTATTAGCTGGAAATCTAATTTCCCCAGTTGATCTTATTTATAGAGACTTTTTTACTGTAGAAGGGCTGTGTCATACTAACTTCCATAACCAAGAGGAATAGAACTGGAGTTTGATCTAATCCAACTAGCAGAAGAAAAAAGAAAGAAATGAAAAATTTTTCAATAATTTCATTAAAGCAGAAAAGAGAAACTGAAAACAAAAAAACAATTTAAATAGAAGACAAAAATACAAAAAAAAAAATCCCAATATATTTGTAATGACAATAAACATGAATGGATTAACTTTTTCTAGTAAAAGACAAAGACTCTCAGCCTGGTTTTTAAGAATGTCCAAAGACACTCCTAAATTAAACAATAAAAAGATCAGTTTAAAAGTTAGAAATGTTAAGAAACAAAACAGACAAATGTTAACAAAATGAAAGCAAGGCATAAAAGCATTAATACCAGACAAAGCACATTTCAAGAATAAAAGATGTTAATGACAAAAAAGATGTTTTAAACTCACTAAAGGTACAATTCACCAGGAAGATATAAGAGGCATCAAGTTGTATGTACATAAAATCATAGCTTCAAAATATACAAAGAAAAAAATTAGACATATAAAGTAATTATTGACAGATTCAAAATAATACAGGAGGAAGTTAACATATTATCTTAGAAATAGGCAAGTGAAAAAGCCAAAAAAAGTAAGAATGAACATGATCTGAATAACACTATTAACAATCTTGATCACATATATGAAGAGAGAGAGGAAGAAAGAGTCGGAGACAGAGAAAGAACTCACCATCTTATATAGGAAACTACACATTCCTTTCAAAAGCATGTGGGTCATTTACAAACATAGGATATAAATTTGGCCACAAAAAATTCAGTGAATTTCCAAAATAGAATAATACATACCACATTCTCTGGCCACAGTGTAATAGTACTTATTAGCAACATAAAGATAGTCATCCACAACAAAATCAAACTAATTCTACTCTTAAATAACTCAGATTAAAAAGAGAATTAGAAGCAAATTATAAACTATTTATAAGTGAGTAATTATTACACTACATATGAAAGTTTGTGGAATATTGCCAAAGCAAAACTCAAAAGAAAAATTAGGGCGGGCGTGGTGGCTTATATCTGTAATCCCAGCACTTTGGGAGGTCAAGGCGGGCAGATCACGAGGTCAGGAATTAGAGACCAGTCAGTTTGAGACCAGCCTGGCCAACATGGTGAAATCCCATCTCTACTAAAAATACAAAAATTAGCCAGGCGTGGTGGCACATACCTGTAATCCCAGCTACTTGGGAGGCTGAGGCAGGAGAATTGCTTGAACCTAGGAGGTGGAGGTTGCAGTGCGCCGAGATTGTGCCACTGCACTCCAGCCCGGGTGACAGAGCAATACTTCATCTCAAAAAAAAAAAAAAAAAAAAGTAAAGCCTTAAATATATTTTATCAATAAAAATTACCTAGACTGAGGCTGGCAAAATTTTTCTCTAAAGCCATAGATAGTTAATATTTTAGTATTTGCAGACCATACAGTCTCTGTCACATCTACTGAACTAACTCTGCCATTATACAGTAGTTGCCTCCTATCCACAGTTTTACTTTCCATAGTTTCAGTTACCTGTGGTCAAATGAGGTCTGAAAATATTGAATGAAAAGTTCCAGTCATAAACAACTCATAAATTTTAAATTACTCACCTTTCTGAGTAGCATGATGAAAGCTCACCCTGTTCCACTCTGCACACCAGAATGTCAATCATCCTTTTGTTCAGCACATCCATGCTGTAGACACTACATGGCCATTAATTACTTAGTAGCCATTTTTGTTATCAGATTGATAACACAGAGCTTGTGTTCAAGTAACCTTTATTTTTACTTAATAATGGCTCCAATGCACAAGAATAGTGATACCGATAGTTCTGATAAACCAAAGAGAAACAGTGAAATGCTTCCTTTAAGTCAAAAGGTGAAAGTTCTTGATTTAAGAAGGAGAGAGAAAAAAACTTTTATTAACATATATCATTATAATTGTTCTATTTTCTTATTAGTTTTTGTTGTTAATCTCTTACTGTGCCAGATTATAAATTAAACTTTATATTACATATATATGTACAGAATAGGAATAAAACACAGCATATATAAGGTTTGGTACTATTTATGGTTTCAGGCATCCAGTGGAGGTCTTGGAATATATAACAAGGATAAGTGAAGACTACTGTAGTTTGAAAGCAGCCATAGACAATAGGCAAAGGACTGAGAATGATTATGTTCTAATAAAACTTTATTTACAAAAACAGTGGCAAGCAGGATTAGGTCCAAGAGTCAGAGTTTGTCTCTCTTTTCTAGGGTATGCTGAGGTAACAAAGAACCTGAAAATCTTAGTTGCTTATACAAATAAGGATTTAGTTTTCACCCACTCCCACAACTCTACTCATAACAGTCATCCTCACTCTGGGACCCAGGCCGATAGAGCAGGAATCACTCGAAACATTGCAAATAGTAGTGGTAAGAAAAAGTACAACTGGCTCATACATTTCTGCCTAGAAATGACACAGTGCCATCTCTTCTTGCATTTTATGGACCAAAACAAATTATATGGCCAAAACTAACTTTAAGAGGGCAGGGAAATTTAATTATCCCTAAGAAGAGAAATAGGTATTAGTGAACAATACTCCCTCCCATATGTTTATATTAAAACATTTCTTTTCTGAAGATTCCCATTTTATCTTCCCTTCCATTATGGGTTGAATTGTGTTCCCTCAAATTTTATATGTTAAAGTCCTAACCTCCAGCACCTCAGAATGTGACCTTATTTGGAAATGGGTCTTTACAGAGGTAATCAAGTTAATGTGAGGTCATCAGGGTAGGCTCTAATCCAGTATGACTAGGGTCCTTATAAAAATGGAACATTTAGAAACAGAGACACACATAGAGGGAAGACAGTGTGACACGTTCTAAACAGAAGATGACCATCTGTAAGCCAACAAGAGTGGCTTGGAACAGATTCTTCCCTCACCACCCTCAGAAGGAACCAACCCTGCCAACATCTTGATTTCTAGAGGACTTCTCGCCCCTAGAACTGTGAGAAAAATGTGTGTTGTTGAGCCACCCATCTGAGGTACTTTCTTACAGCAGCCCTAGCAAACTAACACACCTTCCAAGGGAGACTCACAGGGTACCCTATACCTACTTCTTTGTTGGAGGCTGTCCTCTGGGAGTCCAAAGTGGTTTTCTGATGAGGATGCAAAGGCATAAGAATGATACAATGGACTTTGGGGACTTAGGGGGAAAAAGGTGGGAAGTGGGTGAGGGATAAAAGACTACAAATTAGGTTCAGTATATCCTGCTTGGGTGATGGGTAAACCAAAATCTCACAAATCACCACTAAAGAACTTACTCATGTAACCAAATACCACTTATATTCCACAAACCTATGGAAACAAACAAACAAAAATTTAAAGTGGTTTTATGGTAGTTTCTTTGCTCAAGAATAGGGAGAAAATATATCTTTGGTCTTTGGTGGACCATCCTGCTACTAAAGATGAGTCCAGCAGGAAAGTTAAGTCTCTGACTCGGGTAACATGGCTATGGTAGAGCTAGGACTAGCACAGGAAACCTTTGACCTCTGACAATGAACAAGCCCTTTCAAGAGCACCAGCGAGTCACCACAACTCTAACTGCTTTACAGGTGTTTTTTCTCTTAATCCTCATATCAACCCTATGCAGTAGATACTATTATTTCACATTCTTTCCACTTTAAGTCAAGCTAACTGAGACCAAGAGCTGCTAAGTAGCCCACTAAAAGTCCCAGAGCTAGAAAGTTGGAAAGAAAGAATTCAAAGCAGGTCATATGTGAAGACTACACCAGTATGACTCCCTCCTCTGGAATCCCATGTGCACCTTACTCAGATTCTGGTTCTGTCTTTCACCACTCTCTTGTGGGTAGGTGTCCTGGTGACTTTCCTGACCATAATGTTGCTTAGTCATCTGAATTCCCTGTGTCAGGTACAGTGCCTGATACAGAGTGGTCACCCAACCAGTGTGTTGAATGAATGAAGAATGAATGAATTGTGTCTTCACTGCAGGGAGAGTGATTTTGGTGGATAGTCAGATGGAATCAGGTTGAAGGGCACCTAAAGCTTAATCCCTGCTCGTGAGTCTTTATGTGCCTTTGGGCAAATATCTTACTTTCTACATGAAGTTTTTCTCCTTGGCATGAGTGAATCTTTCATATCTTCCCAGATGCATTATGGATTCATTCACGAATTAGTAGTGTGCATTAACACTATAAGTGCTATACTTCTGCTTAGCATATGCCCCACAGGCAACAGAGAGATCCATCCCTTTCACAGCAGCTTCAACTTCCAGGCTACTCTGGGGTTTCTAAATCACTTTGGAGTACTTGGAATGTGTTTAAGAGTTAACGAAAGCATGGAAATAGGCAACCAAAGTGCCCTTCTACCTGTATCCTAGTTCTTTTTTTTTTTGTCTTGGATTTTTCCCAAGGTTCTTAAAGGAAGAAGTGGTTGACAGCCACATGTATAAGCAAAGGCCTCTGCTTAGGAAGCAGGACTCGGCTCATTTCTGTCTGTAACTTGATGTATGACTTTGGGCAATGTGCTCTCCTTCCCTATTCATCTGTTTCCTTATCTTGAAAATCACAAAATTGCCCTGCATGACTTCTCTTTCAGCTCTAATATTCTTTGATGCAACACTGGACAAGATGCTATGTGTGGAGCTCTGCACTGGAAGCTGCAGATACAGCCATGAGTGGAGGATCGGGGTCTGGGTCTGTAAGCACTAAGAGCCTGAGCAGTGGGCCAGTGCTCCAATGAAGCCAGAGGCCTCCTGGGTCCTGACACAGCTGGGGATGGGCGAGTACTTTAGTGGGGCATGAGATGAAGGGCAGGAAACAAGGCTAAAAAAAGGAGAAAGGGGGCTTCTGTACCTCATGAGGAATTTAGACTCCATCCTGTATTCCTGTTAGCCCAACTTTGTTCCTTTGTCCCACCATCACTGTTTTGGCCAATTCTGTGCTATGGTGGTTAATAGCAGGGCCACCAGAGCTGCAAGTTCAGGTTTGTATCTATGCTTTGCTGCTTACTGGCAGCGTGACCTTGGGAAAATTACCTAACCTCTCTGTGCTCCAATTCTTCATTGCAGAATGGAGATGATACCTCATAGAAATGTTATGAAGGCTCAGTGTGTTACTACATGTCAAGTGCTTACAAACAGTGCCTGACACCTAAAAAGAATTCAAAAACCATTGGCTGGTATCTTTATACCTGTGTACCATTGGAAGTGATGTTTTAATATATGGTTTAGAAACGCATAGCACTGTACATGGAAATTCAGGATGTGAAGATCCATACTAACAATTTATATCATCTGCACAATGTATACCCCTGGAATGTAGAGGCAGAGATTTGGTTACTGAGGTTTTAAAAAATCACTGGGCATGGCTGAAAAATGCTCCTGTAATCCATGTCAACTTTGTAAGATGAATTACCATAGGCATAACTACTTGAGCTTCCCCCTGAGAAAAAAATATGTGAAATCACTAGTGTAATTTTAATAATTATACATTAAAATAAATATATTACTATTAAAATTAAAATTGTTCAACCCTCTGCTTCCTAAAACTTGTTTATGCATAAAACCCTTATTGTATACAATGAAGAGACAGAAATGTTTTAAGCAGGGAGTGACATGCACAGATTTGTATTTAAAAATTTTTAGTAATATTGCCTCCTTTTTTGTTCCTTTCCTTACCCTCAATGTGAGTGCTTGATAAGCAGAGGGGAAGATAAATCAGGCTTTGCAAAAGCTGGGATTAACTTGCCTTTTTCACACATAGCATTGTTTTCCTGTTCAGTTGTAACATGTCATATTGGTTTTGAATACAATGTTTTAAATAGAGTAAACAAAACACTTGGATTTCTCAAAGAGCTGAGGCCACAACAGAACATTTGCACAGCCTGTTATTTCTAGCTGGAATGCTCTTTACCTGCCTTCCACTTAGCTCCTACTTACTTAACTTCAGAATTCTGTAAAGCAATATTTCATAGGGAAGCCTTACTCTGTCTAGCTTACCAGTCAGATTGCCTCATTATTTATTCATCTGATGCAAGTCTATGTCCTACAGTTTATCACAGTTGTAACTATACATTTATTGGTGTGACCACTTGATTAATACCTGTCTAGCCCACTAGATGGTAAGAACCATGAGTAAAAGGATCATGCCTGATTTTGCTTACCACTTATCACCAGTACTTTGCACAATGCCTGGCACATAATAGGATCAATAAATATTTTTGGAATACATAAATGAATGAATGAATTAAACATCATTTTTAAGGCACTCCATTTTACCTTCATTATAAACATGTAGAATAGAAAGAGCACAAAATTTGAAATTGTCACCTGGATTTATGTCTATAACCCACCTCTTATGAACACTGGTCTGGCCACATGCTAACATTTTTGAGCTTCTGGATCCAGTAGTATCACTTATCAATAGGATTTTGGTGAAAATAAAGTAGTATAATACAAGGGAAAGGGTAATGTGTATATTCTATTAGTGTATACATATGTTAAACTAATTATTGCTCTGAGTTGGTCACATACAGAAGTTCATAGAATACTTTCTACCCTCAAAGAATATGCTTTCCTTGAACTTTCAAAATACACTCACACATGTACACACAATGATCACAATGGTTACAGAATAGTATGAAACAGTGTGGCATAAAATGTGGTGCTACAATTTTCAAGGGGACTTTTTAAAATTTTAATTTAATTTAATTTATTATTATTATACTTTAAGTTCTGTGGTACATGTGCAGAACATGCAGTTTTGTCACATAGGTATACACGTGCCATGGTGGTTTGCTGCACCCATCAACCCGTCACCTACATGAGGTATTTCTCCTAATGCTATCCCTCACCTAGCCCCCCACCCCCCAACAGGCCCTGGTGTGTGATATTCCCCTCTGTGTGTCCATGAGTTCTCATTGTTCAACTCCCACTTATGAGTGAGAACATGCAGTGTTTGGTTTTCTGTTCCTGTGTTAATTTGCTGAGAATGATGGTCTCCAGCTTCATCCATGTCCCTGCATAGGACATGAACTCATCCTTTTTTATGGCTGCATAGTATTCCATAGTGTATATGTGCCACATTTTCTTTATCCAGTCTATCACTGATGGACATTTGAATTGGTTCCAAGTCTTTGCTAATGTGAATAGTTCTGCTATAAACATATGTGTGCATGTGTCTTTATAGTAGAATGATTTATAACCCTTCGGGTATATACCCAGTAATGGGATTGCTGGGTCAAATGGTATTTCTAGTTCTAGATTCTTGAGGAATTGCCACAGTGTTTTCTACAATGGTGGCACTAATTTACACTCCCACCAACAGTGTAAAGGTATTCCTATTTCTCCACATTCTCTCCAGTGTCTGTTGTTTCCTGACTTTTTAATGATCGCCGTTCTAACTGGCGTGAGATGGTATTTCACTGTGGCTTTGATTTGCACTTCTCTAATAACCAGTGATGATGAGCATTTTTTCATATGTTTGTTGGCTGCATAAATGTCTTCTTTTGAGAAGTGTCTCTTCATATCCTTTGCCCACTTCTTGATAGGGTTTTTTGGTTTTTTCTTGTAAATTTGTTTAAGTTCTTTGTAGATTCTGGATATTAGCCCTTTCTCAGGTGGGTATATTGCAAAAATTTTCTCCCATTCTGTAGGTTGCCTGTTTACTCTGATGCAATTTCTTTTTCTGTGCAGATGTTCTTTAGTTTAATTAGATCCCATTTGTCAATTTTGGCTTTTGTTGCCATTGCTTTTGGTGTTTTAGACATGAAGTCTTTGCCCATGCCTATGTCCTGAATGGTACTGCCTAGGTTTTCTTCTAGAATTTTTATGGTTTTAGGTCTTATGCTTAAGTCTTTAATCCATCTTGAGTTAATTTTTTATATAAGGTGTAAGGAAGGGGTCCAGTTTCAGTTTTCTGCATATGGCTAGCCAGTTTTCCCAACACCACTTATTAAATAGGGAATCATTTCTTCAGGGGGATATGTTAATATTTTAGAAGCAAGGTAGCAAAGAGAAAATATAAGAGTTTAAATTTTAATCCCTTGTTTCCCATTTAGAAAACTGATATTATAATTTCAGTTCTGCCACTGACTGGCTATATGACCTTAAATAAGTCATTTAGATTATCTCAGTTTCCACATTGAAAATAGGGATAATTCTACCCCTTTGTAAGGTTGCTGCAAGAATTCACAAGGGCTATAAATTCCTATATTTAAAAAAAAGAATAAAGACCTCAAAAAGGAAAAGCTTCAAGTCAAGAACAAACTAAACCCAAGCAGGTAGAAAAAAGGAAATAATAAAGACCAGAATGCAAATAAACTAAATAGAGAATAGAAAACTAATAGAAAAAAATTTAACAAAACCAAAAATTAGTTATTAAGAATGAAACTTTAAATGAATAAATCCACAAACCTTATTTAACTAGACTGACCAGGAAAAGAAAGAGAGGGGGAGAAGACCCAAATTACTACAATCAACAGTGA
The DNA here is from genome assembly GCF_000001405.40 of Homo sapiens. NCBI lineage: Eukaryota > Metazoa > Chordata > Mammalia > Primates > Hominidae > Homo > Homo sapiens. Next base: position 86,731,228 of record NC_000011.10, read on the forward strand.
TAGAGGAGATATTGTTATCAACCTTACAGAAATAGAATTGTAAAGGAATACTATGAACTATTGTAAGTAAACAAATTAGATCACCTAAATGAAATGGACAAATTCTTAGAAAGCCACAAACTACTGAAACTGATTCAAGAAGGAATAAATATTTGAATAGGCCTATAACAAATAAATAAATTGAATTAGTAATCAAACACTTTACTCAAAGAAAAGCCCAAAACTAGATAGATTTATTGGTACAAAAATTTCCTTTAAAAAGAATTAACACTAGGTCATTGTCGTTGAAAATCAATTGGCCCTCTCCCTCTCCCTCTCCCTCTCCCTCCTCTCCCTCTCCCCACGGTCTCCCTCTCCCTCTCTTTCCACGGTCTCCCTCTGATGCCGAGCCGAAGCTGGACTGTACTGCTGCCATCTCGGCTCACTGCAACCTCCCTGCCTGATTCTCCCGCCTCAGCCTGCCGAGTGCCTGCGATTGCAGGCGCGTGCCGCCACGCCTGACTGGTTTTCGTATTTTTTTGGTGGAGACGGGGTTTCGCTGTGTTGGCCGGGCTGGCCTCCAGCTCCTAACCGCGAGTGATCCGCCAGCCTCGGCCTCCGGAGGTGCCAGGATTGCAGACGGTGTCTGGTTCACTCAGTGCTCAATGGTGCCCAGGCTGGAGTACAGTGGCGTGATCTCGGCTCGCTACAACCTCCACCTCCCAGCCGCCTGCCTTGGCCTCCCAAAGTGCCGAGATTGCAGCCTCTGCCCGGCCGCCACCCCGTCTGGGAGGTGAGGAGCGTCTCTGCCTGGCCACCCATCGTCTGGGATGTGAGGAGCCCCTCTGCCTGGCTGCCCAGTCTGGAAAGTGAGGAGCGTCTCTGCCCGCCGCCATCCCATCTAGGAAGTGAGGAGCGCCTCTTCCCGGCCGCCATCCCATCTAGGAAGTGAGGAGCGTCTCTGCCCGGCTGGCCATCATCTGAGATGTGGGGAGTGCCTTTGCCCCGCCGCCCCATCTGGGATGTGAGGAGCGCCTCTGCCCGGTCGCAACCCCGTCTGGGAGGTGAGGAGCGTCTCTGCCCAGCCGCCCCATCTGAGAAGGGAGGAGACCCTCCGCCTGGCAACCGCCCCATCTGAGAAGTGAGGAGACCCTCCGCCCGGCAGCCGCCCCGTCTGAGAAGTGAGGAGCCCCTCCGCCCGGCAGCCACCCCGTCTGGGAAGTGAGGAGCGTCTCCACCCGGCAGCCGCACCGTCAGGGAGGGAGGTGGGGGGGTCAGCCCCCCGCCCGGCCAGCCGCCCTGTCTGGGAGGGAGGTGGGGGGGTCAGCCCCTCGCCTGGCCAGCCGCCCCACCCGGGAGGTGAGGGGCGCCTCTGCCCGGCCGCCCCTACTGGGAAGTGAGGAGCCCCTCTGCCCGGCCGCCACCCCGTCTGGGAGGTGTGCCCAACAGCTCATTGAGAACGGGCCATGATGACAATGGTGGTTTTGTGGAATAGAAAGCGGGGAAAGGTGGGGAAAAGATTGAGAAATCGGATGGTTGCCGTGTCTGTGTGGAAAGAAGTAGACATGGGAGACTTTTCATTTTGTTCTGTACTAAGAAAAATTCTTCTGCCTTGGGATCCTGTTGATCTGTGACCTTACCCCCCAACCCTGTGCTCTCTGAAACATGTGCTGTGTCCACTCAGGGTTAAATGGATTAAGGGCAGTGCAAGATGTGCTTTGTTAAACAGATGCTTGAAGGCAGAGTCATCACCACTCCCTAATCTCAAGTACCCAGGGACACAAACACTGTGGAAGGCCTCAGGGTCCTCTGCCTAGGAAAACCAGAGACCTTTGTTCACTTGTTTATCTGCTGACCTTCCCTCCACTATTGTCCTATGACCCTGCCAAATCCCTCTCTGTGAGAAACACCCAAGAATGATCAATAAAAATAAAAATTAAAAAAAAAAAAAAGAATTAACACTAATCCTTCACAAACTCTTCCAAAAAATAGGAAACATTTCCCAACTCATTTTTAAGGCCAGTATTACCTGATAGCAGAACCAAAGATATCACAAGAAAAGAAAATTATAGACAAATATCTTTTATGAATATAGATGCAAGAATCTTCAACAAAATATTAGCAAACCAAATTTAACAACATAAAAAGATGATTATATACCATGACCTGAATTTATCCCAGGAATGTAAGTTTGGTTTAATATATAAACATTAAACAATGTAATACATTATATCAATAGAGATTAAAATCACAATCATTTCAGTAGATGCAGAAAATATATTCGACAAAATCTAACTATGTTTCATAAAAAAATATTCAACTGGGAATAGAAGGTAAGTTCCTCAACCTAATGAAGGGCACCTATGAAAAACCCACAGCTATCATCATGGTTAATGGTGAAAGACTTGAGACTTTCCCTCTAAAATCAAAAACAGGACAAGAATGTATACAGACTTGCCACTTCAATTCAACATTGTATTGAATTAGGCAAGAAAAAAAATAAAAGGGTTCCATAGTGGAAAGGAAGAAGTAAAACTGTCTCCACTATCAAACGAAATGAACTTGTATATAAAAATCCTAAGGAATATAAACAAGCAAAGAAACAAAGAGCTAAAAACCAAACCAAAATAAAACTATAAGAGCCAATAAATAAGTATAGCAAAGTTTCAGGATAAAAAAAAATCAGTTGTATTTTTATATACTAGCAATGAATAATCTTAAAATTAAGAAAACAATTCCATTTATAGCAGCATCAAAAAGAATGAAATGCCTAGGAATAAATGTAACCAAAATGCATATCTGTATAGATATATATAGGTGTTTTTGAGACAGAGTCTTGCTCTGTCACCCAGGCTGGAGTGCAGTGGTGTGATCTCAGCCCACTGCAACCTGCACCTCCTGGGTTCAAGTGATTCTCCTGCCTCAGCATGACAAGTAGCTAGGACTATAGAGGCCCATCGCCACACCCAGCTAATTTTTCTATTTTTAGTAGAGACAGGGTTTCACCATGTTGGCCAGGCTGGTCTTGAACTCCTGACCTTGGGTGATCCACCTGCCTCGGCCTCCCAAAGTGCTGGGATTACAGGCATGAGCCACTGTGCCCAGCCACAAGAAATACATATTAAAAATTATAAAACATTATGGAGAGAATTTAAAGATCTAAATGAATGGAAAGACATCCTATGTTCATGGACTGGAAGACAATGTTATTAAGATGGCAATACTTCCCAAATTGATCTACAGAGTCAACACAATCCTAACAAAATCCTAGCTGCTTTTTTTTTTTTTTTACAGAATTCAACAAACAAGCTATCCTAAATTCAAATGGAAATGCAAAGATTCAGAAAAGGCAAAACAATCTTGAAAAAGAACAAAATAGAAAGACTCATTCAGTTTCTGATTTCAAAACTTACTACAAAGCTACAGCAATCAAGACAGCATGATACTAGCATAAGACTCTCTCTCTCTATATATATATACACAATATACATATATATTATATATATATACAATATACATATATATTATATATATATACAATATACATATATATTATATATATATACAATATACATATATATTATATATATATACAATATACATATATATTATATATATATACAATATACATATATATTATATATATAGTGTGTGTATATATATATGTGTGTGTATATATATATATAAAATAGAATTCAGACCAAGAAATAAAGCCTAGTCCATTGATTTTCAAAAAGGGTGCCAACATGTTCAATAGAAAAACTTATTTCGACAAATGGTGAAAGGTTATTTTGACAAGTCGTGCTGGGGCAACTGGATATCCACATGCAAAATAAAGTTGGACTCCTACTTTACACCATATACAAAAATTAACTCGAAATGGCTCAAAGACCAAAATGTAAGTGCTAAATATATGAAATTCTTAGAATAAAACATAGGTGCAAATCTTTGTGAACTTGAATTAGGCAAAGATTTCTTAAATGTAACACCAAAAGCACAAGCAACGACAAAAAAAAGGTAAGTTGGATTTTCACAGTTTAAAACTGTGTGTTTCATAGAATGCTATCAAGAAAGCAAGAAGTAACTTTCAAAATGGGAAATAAAATTTGCAAATCATATATCTGATAAGGGACTAATAAAGAACTATTACAATTCAACAATAAAAAGACAAGTAACCCAAATAAAAATGGGCAAAAAATTTGTATTGATATTTCTCCAAAGATATACACACATCGTTTCCACTCACATTCCATTGTGAGAACTTATCTGTACAACCACACCTAATGCTAGAGGCCTAGGAGACATAGCCCTTGCCTCAGCAACCACAACTCTATACAGTGGAAGAAAGAGCACAGATTTTTCATGGAGATTTAGCCAGATGTACCTCAGTAGCAATTGTTAACCATGTCACACTGCCATCATCCAAAGCAGAACATGTGGAATGCCTTAATAATCTACTGAGTCTCAAGGTCCCTCCAGTTTGGTCAAGCTCACCTTTGGCCTTTTGGTGTCCACACTGTTATTTTACCCTTGAAGACTGAGAAACTCTTCTCATCTGAGGCACTTGGTATGGTGGTGACACTTGGATTTCCTTTTATCCCATATGGGATATGTAAACTCAGAGCAAGAAAAATATGTGCTTTTTATCATTCATACATAAGGCATTTCCTTTCTTGGCATCTCTGAGGCTGATGAATGAGTTTTTTTTCTCCCTAAATACACTTCATGCTTCATGAGCTATAATGAAAAGAAATGATATGCTCTGAATTCATCTGATTTAGGCACACGCATATTGAATGTCTTGCCATTAAGTATACTTTTTGATGTGTGGTATCCTTATGATCACATTATTTCCCTTTTATGCTAGAAAAAAACACCTGGGGGAGGGCAGGGGAGCAATGCAAAAACTCCCAGCCCAATTTATTTACACTGGGATTAGTTAGCTATGCAATGATGCCAGTAACAAAAGAGTGACCCAAATCCCCAAGCAGGCAAGTGCGCAGAAAGTTATTTTATTTTCAGGGTGAGGTGACCACAAACATATTTGATTTCTACCCCCCGAGAAGTTACAAATCTGACTCTCTGGATTCAACAAAAAGGTAATTATTATGGTTGTAAAGCTCTTTGCAGCTTTGCAAATAGCTTTCAGATTCCCTATTGCAGTGGAGCAGGATGCATAGCTTCACTCACTCATTTAATGTACAGTTAGTGAGTACCTGCTACGTACAAGGCACTGTCTTAGGTATTAGATTTCTATCTCCCTGTTACTTAGGAGAAAACTGAGGCTCAGAGATGTAAAGTAGTGTGCCCATGATCACAGTCAGTGGAATTAGAACATACTTTCCTTAAACCTGGTTCTGTTAAACCAACCCTAGTTTGTCATAGTAACTTGATTATTTACATGTGCCAGGCAAAGCGGTAAGAACTTTATATACTACATCTCATCTGATCTTCTCATCAACCTTGTGAATAGGTATTGTTTCCCTCATTTTACGTATGAAGAAACCAAGGTTTAGAGAAGTCCGGAGGCTTGCCCAAAGTCACAACACGTGTAAGTGGCAGGGCTGAAATCTCTATCTAGCTCTGTCTGTCTGGAACCCTCCTTTGCCTGTACTTTGTCTCTGCTTCTCTCCCTCCCTGTTGATTGGCTGTGCCCATGAGACCCTGTCCATGTGGCCACAGCTGATTGAATAGGGATTGACACCTGCCACAGGGCAGCTTTCCTAAGGCCAGTGCTCTGTAGCACCCTGAGCCAGGCACACTTCAAGGCACAGCCCATACTGGGGGTGTCAGCTGTTGCCGCAGTCCTTGCTCATTCAGGATGGGTCACTGACCTCTGCCTCGTTCGGTTAGGTTCCAAAGTGACTTTTTGCCGTACTTGTTCCCTGCTCTGATAACCAAGAGTGGTCACTCTTTCATCCTTCCCTCATTCTTTCTTCCAGCTTTAATTTCTGGAAATGAGTCTTTGGTTCAATTCTCCCTGGTCAGGATTGGTAACATCATTTTTAGGGCCCAGTGCAAAATTAAAATGTAGAGTTTCTTGTTCAAAAATTATTACAAATTTGGAGATAGCAGCAACAGGACATTGAGTCAAGCATGAGGCTCTTCTGAGTGTGAAACCCTGTGTGTTTAAACAAGTTACATGCACATGAAGCCAGCCCAGGCCCTGGCATAGTTTTTAATGACACTTTTGGAATGGCCCAGATTTTTACCATAGATTCTCCTTCTGTTTTTGCATCACCCCTCCCTGCTCTAACCTGGAACAGGCCAACTTTCACCATGGCTCTGTTAGCACTTATTCTCCATCTCTTGGCCCTTTTACCCATTGTAACCTAATTCTCTAATTTCCTAAGTTCCCAGTAGTCTGTCTCCCCCAAGACCAGTCCCAACTCCCTGACATTCTCATGGGCATCTCACACACTGAGCTTTCCAGACAGTGACCTTGCACTGTATACAGATGGGAGACTGATCAGGAGAGAGAAAAGACTGTGTATGTTTGGCAAAGTATTTGTTTATAAGGATTTTTGGCATCTGGAGTAATTTTTGCTTTTTATTGAATATAGCTCTGCATTTTATAGATGGCTCTCAACTTGGCCTGAGATTCTTGAAGGAAATTTTGGGATTTTTGCCAAACAATAACACAGAGCTTCATATTTATGTTATAAAAGCCAGCAGTGTCACCATAGACAACTTCCTTCCTTTGTTGGAGCAGTTTTCAAAAACACAGATCACAGCATTATTCAGTACAGTAAACCACACCCTCCACCCCTTTATTGTTATTGACAACAGCAGGGCAGAGTGTGTAAGTCATATCCAAGTGGAAAACATTGGCTCCAATGCATCCTATTGTGAAATCCTCATGCATTGTGTTGCAGCACTGACAACAAAGGAAAAATTAAGAAACATAAAGAGGGAGAAGAAAAAAGATTCCAAATGGAATAAGACAAAAGAGAGAGAGGTTCAAAAAGCAGTAGGCCAAGATATGCTGTGAATGCCCAAGACTCTGGTTCTGTTAAATCAATACTAGTCCATGACAGCAAACATTTATTGAGTATTTGCCGTATACAAGGCATGGGTTGATTCTATACATATTTATTTGGTCTTCTCAACAACCTTGAAACCACCTTTGCAAACTTACAACAGTAAGAGAAATCTAAAATAGTTGTCTCCATCTTGCTTCTGACCTCCAACTTGTCCTTGGTCATTCCTGGGCATAGGCCAAGATAACCTTGGGTAGAATTTAGTTTATGGTTAACTGAAAAGCAAGGATGATAATAGTCCCTCCCTAAAATGAACTCTTTCCTTGCTCGGGGACTGAAAACTCCCTTTGTGGGGTTTTTATTTTATTTTATTTTATTTTCGAAAACTATCTTTGTAAACTAGAATAGGATTCTGGGAAGGGCCCGAATTCTGCTAAAGTGTTGGCATAGTTTCTATAATCCCTTACCGCTCAGGAGTCATGTGGCCAGAGGTTATAAAATTTGTGGCTTCCCTAATTGCTTCTATAGATAGTGTCACTATTGTAGAACCTAAAATTGATTTTTTGAGATATCTTTCAGACTGACCCCTCCTGGACTCTGACTCATGACTCAGCTAATCCTGTGGCTCTACCCAGAGGCAAACTCACTGCATGAGGACCATTTTCCACACCTCTACTCTTTCAACCCCAACCAATAAGCAGCACCCATTTCCCAGCCCCCTACCCACCAACTTGTGCATAAAACCCCTAAGCTCTGAGCCTTCAAGGAGACTGAATTGAGTGAGAATTCCAGTTCTCCTGTATGGGCTGGCCTTGTGTCGATTAAACTCTTTCTCTACTGCAATGCCCCAACCTCAGTGAACAGATTTTGACTGTGCAGAGGGCAGGAAGAACCCAACAGGCAATTACAACCTTGTGAAGTTGGTATTATTTTACAGATGAGTAGGAACTTAAGGCTCAGAGAAGTAAGGAGCATTGACCAAAGTCACAGATCCTATAAATGGCAGAGCTGGAATCTGTGTCTCCATGGTCTAAACTTCCTCCATTCCCTACTGACACGCTGTGCCCTGGAGACCCTAACCCTACAGCCACAGTTGATTGGACATCTGACATAAACAGCTAATCCATGGGGAGAACTGGGATGTCTGTGACCAGAACCAAATATGAGATCGGGGCCAATTTTGTTCCTCTCTTACGATTTTAGAGTCTGGAAAAATCATAGCCAGTTAGCTATGAAGCCAAAGGTTAATGAGATGGACTCAATACAGGGGCAGCCATTCTGAGCCATGGGCAAACTACAGTGAGGAGCACTGCAGGCAGGAGAAAAGGGAAGACAAGGCACCAAGAGACAGAGGGTGAGAGGGATCGGAGACAGAGACACAGAGCCAAAGAGAATGGAGCCTAGAGCTAGCCACCTTGGCTCCTGACAGAGTCTTGATTTTAGGCCCAAGGGGTCCTGGCTGCACTATGGCACCTATCCTTGGCTTCCTGTGAGGTCTCCATATTCTTACAATGATTCTTTCCACCTAAGCTCATGTGAATGGGCCTCTGTAGCAACCCCCAAAATTCTGATTTCAACAGCCTGATGCAAGAGCCACCTTACCATCTGACTGCAGGCCCCCATCTTCATTTACAATAACAGCCATACCCACCATGTGTCCCAGGACAGTTGACAAGCCAGAGTTTCCATAGGTCTAGTTCCTCATCTCTGTTGCTTTGATTAACCTGCCACTGCCACCATCCCTGAATAGAGAATATGTCTTCAGCCTCCAGGCCACTCCCTACCAGTCCCACCTTTCCTCCTATGGCCTATCTCCAGGTCTCTTGCCTTCATGGGTGCAACAACCACCTTCTCAGGTCACCAGACTGCAGCTCAAGGGATACCAAGGAGCAGGTGTTCAGCCCTGAACATTGCCTTCCATTCTCATTCCTAGAGGTCCCCAAAAAATGACCCCCCTCCTCCAATACCCAGATGTGGGTTTTTAGGAATTAATCTGGACATATAATAAAGAAAAACAGAGACAGTCTAATAAAGAGATGTAGACATGAGCAGACCCTGGCTTCTTGTCTAGATTCTCATCCTGACTGGCTGTGTTAACCTCAGGCAAGTTGGCCGATATCTCTGAGTCTTGGATTTCTTACCTACAGTGACAGGGAGGGTGGATAACATGAGAATGAGGCTCCTTCCCACTCTGACATTCTAAGATCCAAATTTAAATACCAATCAGTTCGATTGGCATTTAGAGAAGAGGATCCTAGATTCTTTCTGAAACGTGTGCTTTATCATCACACCTGTTCAGGCAGCAAGTATCAGCAAAGCACCTATAGCAGTGCAGACTGGATATGGAAAAGGAACTAAATTATCACAGAAGATAACAGCACACTAACTGAAGGTTCAGAAAAAAAGGGAGGGGGGCTTCATGTCTAAGAGAAGAAGGAAGGTGTGGGCAACTGTATGAACAGCAGAGGTGCAAGGGCATGTGCATTGCTGAAACAGCAGATTTCTAAGCATGTATCACAGCAGGCTGGGCTTGCAGGCTTTATTTAGGTAAAACTCCCATTGAGCTTCAGCTCCCAGTGCCCAGTCTGACTCAGAGCTTCAGAATTTTGTCCTGCAGTGCGATGAGTCATGGTGATGAAATTTCAAGAGAAAAGGACATTTTTAAAATTAGCTGTAAGATAGCAACTGGCTGTGCTTTTGCTCTGTAAGTGCCTTTTCCAGGTTATTTGAATTCCTCCTTTTTCAAGGCAACTGGAATGGTTGGGAATGGAGGCCCTGGAATAGGCCTCTCGTTTGCCTGCCCTTGGCCACTCAGATTCCCAAAACTCCAGGGCCTCTCAGTGCTTGCTCTTTTCAAGGAAGCAAGCCAAGGACTGGGGCACTGACCCTCAGGCCTGGTCTGCCCTTCACTCTTCCGCCTGATATCTTGTGGTTCTAAGAGAATGGAGTCCTCACAGGCCCCCAAGGCTAAGGTTGGGCTGGGCTGGGTTGACCACCCCAGCTAGAAGTTCCACCATTGAACAAAGATGGAGTGTGAGAGTCTCTTCTTACCCAACCTAATTCCTCTGACTGCACAAGCCCACTTTGTGCCTTTTGACCGCGCCTCCTCTCAGGGCAGGAAATCAAAGCTGACACTGGCTTTGCAGTTGGAATATTTCCATCAGGAATGAGATGTAAATGAACAATTTCTCCACTGTTTCCTGTACAACAGAGGGTTCTGTTGAGATTGGACAGGCGTGGCTCAGTTCCCTTCTTTTATTTACCCTGATGGAGAGCGTGTTCTCAATGTTTCCATCCCTCCTCAGGGATGTGCTGTCTAATGAGTATAATTGGGATTCCCCTCAACAAATCCAAATATTCAAAGAGCTACCCAGGTCTTTAGGGAATGTGAATGGAACTACAAGCAGGAACTATGAGCCCAGCCCAGCTGGTGAGATTCAAGAAGCTTCAAAAGGCCTAAATATATCTCCCTTTTGCCAAGTTCTTCCTATCAATATGCATATATTCATTTAGTCTTTCATTTAACAAGAATTGATTGCATACCAACCATATGGCATCACTGAGCTGGATATAGAGAATATTAACATAAATAAAATACAGCTGCTGCCACAAAGAACACATCTTTCAGTATGGAAATAGTGGTAAGCAATCAGTTATAATGCAAGATGGAGTGCTATCATAGAAGTGTATACAAAATATGAGATGCAGAAAGAAGGAATGGAAAGGTAGGGATGTGATCAGGCTCTAAGAGAAAAGTAAAGATGTGTATTAGTAATTAGGTCAACAAACCAAGAAAAACAGACAAAACCTTTTCTGGTTTGTATAACCAGTATGTTGAACAAGCATGACTCATGGCATAATAATACACTGTTGACTTCTCCTGTCCTGGACCTCTCCTGCCCCACTCTCTCTCTCTCTGCTGTTTCAGATCCAACACAGTTAAAGCCATGGGCAGGAGAAGAGGTAAAGCAATAGTACAGATTTGACTTGAGTCTGGTCTTTGGCCAAGGGAAGCATCCCCTGGGTGAGCCAGAGCAGCACTCTTCTCATAGGGGCCATGCCATGGGTTGCTCCCAAGTCCCTTTGTGGGACCTCTGTCCTGCAGTCACCTTGACCCTGACAGATGTGTCGCCATTCCTGGAGCCACTTGAGGCATTGAGGAGCAGCACATTTCCAATCTTCCTGCGAAAATCCCTTCACTTCTCTCACAGGCACTTTCAGAGAAGATCTAAGATGGCCCACAGAACGGTTCTCTTTCTGGTGTGTCCCACATCTAGTGCATAGGAAATGACCTTGAACAACTCTGGGAATGCATTCCAAACCCACCCAGCACACCTCCTGGTTCCTGAACCTAGACAGCAAGTTACTCCTCTCTCATCCTCTGCCCACAGCGGGCAGGAGCCAGGACCCAGTCATGGTCTGCTCTCCCAGACATTACTCAGGACTAGTTCTCTATGGTCCCTCGTGCAAGAAATATCTTTTCACGTTCTCCTGCAGCACCTCCATGCCTCCCTCTAAGGGAGAGGGCTGTAACAGCTCTCTCCAAAGGAATCTCTTCTCTAATTCTCTCTCCAAGCTGGTCCCTCTGACCCTTTCCTCTACTCTTGACCTGGCTGAGGGCCAAGACTGAAGGTACATGAGCCCTTTTCTTGAAAATCCACATCTTGGGGATATGTTGTCATGCTCATTTTTTTAATCTTGATATTGATCATATTTGGTATGTCAGGTGAACTAATGGCAAGAAGTAGCCCATTCCAAACATCTTATGTCCCATCGCTGAAACAACCCATACTGGGAATGGTGTCTCCCAGGATGCTCACCTGAGCTGTGTTCTGTTTGTAAGTAGGCAGAGGATGGAGACCTCTTGAAGACCTAATTGTTCCCAAGATATAGTCTATGCTCCCCATCACATAAACTTCTGAGCTCCTTGGTCAAATCCGAAATGAATTTTTCATACCAGAGTTTACCCAGAGGACTGTGGGGGTGGGGTTGTGACCTGGATGGAGGACCGGAAGCTGTCCCAGTTTACTCAGTGTAGCTCGGAAAGGACAGGTTTGAAGTGAATCCATGTTTCTTCACACAGATAATTTTTTCCTCTTCAGAGTACTGGTCCACTCTGACAGCCCGTTGCCACAGAGCACCACCCACAGAGCAGAGGATCCACACTCAGTATTACATAGCATCAGCAGAAACAGAGGCTGACCCCCTTGGTGAGGCCACTTCAGTTTCCTTGTTCTTGGGCCACCCATGAGCACCTCTGACAGTTTAAAAGATACTCTTACAAGCCAAAGGAGAGAAGTATAGCCCAGGATTCCCAGGATTCCCTGGGAGCCCAACAGTCAAACTCTGAGCCCTGCGTAGGCTGTGAAAACTGAGTCACAGGTTGGTGACTCACTGGCTTGAGACCACACCATGAGTCAGGCAAAAAAGGCTGGGGACAAACTTTTATAATCTAATTTCTCCAGACTGCCTCTAGAGAACCACCCTTGAAAAAGAGCAGGCTCTGGGGTAAATGGCTGGGAAGACTTGTTGAGACACCAAACCGCGCATCAGAGAATAAAGACATACCTTGGCTTGTTGCATGTCTCACCTCACTGACAGCTTGCGGTTGTGTGCAATAGATTCTAATGTTGTTTTGTAATTTCTAACCCCACTTACTGGTAACAAATTCATCAATCACTTCAGATCTGCTGGCTGCCCTTAGTGACTCAGTGTCATTCATTATCCCCTAGCAACTGCTTATGCTTCAGTGTTTATGAAACCCTGGTGCAGAAAGGCTGTCTGGGGACAGGGGAGGTGACATAGAGCAGTGATTAAGGTCACAGGCTTGGTTATTACACAAACCTGGATTTAAATTCCGGTGTCACATTTGATAGGATCTTAGGCAAGTCACTTGCTTCATTTTTTCCATTATTAAAACAGAAATAACAGTGCACTTGAAGAGTTGCATGGAGGAATAAATGAAATCCTGTTCATAAATAGCCTGGAATATAGGATATGCTTTATAATTGATTAAATATTATATTATTCATTAAGGATTTATTTCCATTAATGACTGCTCTTCCTCACAATTTTGCTAATTGTTTACAATGTTAAATAATCATTTATTGGGGTACAAAAAAATTAAGTTTTTGCCAATATACAAAAAAATCAAACAGCAGCAGAGATCTAAACTACCATCAGCACACATAGCCCTTAAGAGAAGGACTGGCCGGGTGCGGTGGCTCACGCCTGTAATCCCAGCACTTTGGGAGGCCGAGGTGGGTGGATCACGAGGTCAGGAGATTGAGACCATCCTGGCTAATATGGTGAAACCCCATCTCTACTAAAATACAAAAAAATTAACCGGGCGTGGTGGTGGGTGCCTGTAGTCCCAGCTACTTGGGAGGCTGAGGCAGGAGAATGGTGTGAACCTGGGAGGCGGAGCTTGCAGTGAGCTGAGACCGCGCCACTGCTCTCCAGCCTGGGCGACAGAGCAAGACTCCATCTCAAAGAAAAAAAAAAAAAGAAAGAGAAAGAAGGACTACAGTTGGTCCATTTTGCATCTTTGGGCATGACACAAAGTGCTCAAAAAGTGGTTATAAATAAATAAAAGGCTAAATGGTGAGTATTTCCACACTAAACAGTTTTGGAGTTTGTGTCATCCACATTTGAGCACTTTCATTCATCAAGTAAGAAACTTCAGCACATCTCTGCATTAGACATTATGTGAAACACAACCTAGCCATCCTCCACACACAAAACAGTATAAACACAAGCACACTCCAGGGTGTGGAGGGGTTTCAAGGCCACAAAGTGATACTTAGGCTTAGGATGGTCCTGAAAAACATTTTTGAGACAGAATTGGTATTTGAGTCTGTTTGGGCTGCTATAACAAAAACATCAGAAACTGGATGGCTTATGAACAACAGAAATTTATTCCTCACAGCTCCAGAGGTTGGGAAGTCCAAGATCAAGAAACCAGCAGATTTGGTGTCTGGTGAGGGCCTGTATTCTTGTTCATAGATGATGCCTCTTTCTGTGACCACACATGTGGAAGCAGTAAATGAGCTCCCTCAAGGCTCTTTCCTAAGGGTATGAGTCCCATTCATGAGGGCTCTGCCCTGTAACCTAGTCACTTCCCAAAGGCCCCGCCACCTGGCACCATCACTTGGTGAATAGGTTTCAACCTACAGATTTGAGGGGGACACAGCATTCAGAAAATAGCAATTCAGAACTGGGACTGGAGAGAATAGGCAGGATGAGGTGGGACATCAGGAAGCAGGAGAAGCTCTGGCAAGGGCTGGGAGAGACAGAAAATGCTGAACATATAGAGATCAGTGAGGTAGTGGCCCGGCCAGCCTGATCTGGGGCATTTGTGAGAGACGAGGGTGAATAGTAAAAGCCTTGGAGGGAGAACACCTCACCCACTGGAGACAGTCTCTTGTGGTCTTCACCAGCTGGACCTCCCAGGTGAGAGTAGCTTGCTCTTCCTTTCGCTGTGGGGTGGAGACATAGGATAAAGGAGGTTCTATTGACCACATGTTTTATGACATTGGCCCAGTCACTTCCCTTCTCTGGAGCTTGAATTCCCTCAGCCATGGGATAAGTGGGTTGACCTGATCTCAGGTTCTACACTTCAGTATGCAGATGAATCACTGGGCGAGTGAACTAAAACAGATCCCTGGGCTTGACTGCTAGATACAGAATCCTAGACTTGGGTTGCATTTTACAATGCCCCCTGCCACCCCAACATGTAATTCTAGGAGGTAGAATTCTAGCACAAAGTTTCACAAACTTTTCCAATACGAGGATCAATTTTTTAAGTCAAAAAATTTCCAAAACCACCTCTATGTAAATGTAGATTAATTCTTATATTGGTTGTTTGAGAAAACACATAACCAAAAAAAAAAAAAAAGAGAGAAAACACATAACAGTTTAAAACGATCATGAATGCGATAACACTTTGTGTTGCGCTTATAGTTTATTAATCTCAGCAGGGGCACATATGTTTGAAAAATAGTATTCTATGCATGTGGAGTGGGCAGGATGTGCTATTTCTTCATAGTCTAGGTGATGTTTGGCATCCTCTGCATTGGAGTATTGTAATCCACAGACTCTGGGTATGTAGCTCACAATTTGGAAACACTGACCTAAATTAACTGTTAGTTTCCACCTCAAAACTAACCTTTGATTCTAATTAGAGGCCTATGACTAGTTGGCTAAGCACTGGTTCTTTTGCCTGTGTTTGAAATCTAATAAAAAAAAAATCTTGGCTGAGCAAGAACTGCTGCTTCAGGTAATATTGCCCCACCTCCCAAAAATAGTGGCACTGCTCCTTTCCCCACAGATTCATTGTCATCCCCTGATTTGCAAGAGGGCTGAGGAATCCACTAGGACAGGAAAAGGACTTAAATCTTTTTACCAGGGGGCTTAAATACAATGCATACGAACTGTCACTTAAGAGCCAGTTTTGCCAAAAGGGGCTATGAATTCTCCTGTAATTGAATCATCCATCAGAGAAACAGGGTCCAGCAGGCAGCCAGACCCAGTACAGGCCTGGAGGGGATCTGGAGTGTTTCCAGATCCACTCTGTTAGCTGATATTAGACCATGCCTGTCCCAGTCATGATGCACAGCTGTAAAAGGAATATATGTATGAACTTAAATAGGTCTTTTAGAAAACGTATTAACTCTGTGGCTGAAGCTATGAACCCCTCACTGAGCGTGACATGTAAGAAACTCACTCTCTTCATTAGAGTGGTAGCAGCATGCAGCCTCAGGCAGCAGCTGCTACACCTGGCAAGAAACCACCAGCACTGCTTCTTGGACACCTGAAAGCATCCCTGGGGCTTCTCAGAAATGTTTGGGATGAGTTTCTGTGAAAGACCAGTCTCCTACATTGACATAGGTGGAGGCTCAGTGCCCTAAAGATTCGAGTACTACGCTTAAATGTGATTGCCTTTGCAATGACTGAATTTTCAGACTATAGAAATGGAAAGTTGGAGACAATGTTCATCAGATAGATATTTATTGGCTGTTGCTTAGTTCTTTAGGTTTCTTTTACTGTAATGGTTGTTCAGTATAATGGTAACTGGTCTCAAAAACAAAAACCTGGTTCTCACCCAGCCATTAAGGCACCCACAACTGCAATCTCAGGGTGGTGGTAAGCATATCCATGTGAACCTTCTCTCCATCGAGCTCATGATCTCTGCGGTTGGCTTCTGGTTTCTCAGGGAATGGCTGGCATTTAGATTTACAGTTGTAGGAGAGACCCTGGGGAGTGACTGCAGTGGATTCCATTGGGCTCAGAGACATTCTTTCTTTTGCTCTGTCAACTGGGGTCCACCCAAGCTTTTGATGAGAGCAGCTTCAAAGTATGTGATGTGTCTGCACAGAGTATTCCCTTTTTTTTTTTTTTTTTTTTTTTTGAGACAGAGTCTCACTCTGTCACCCAGGCTGGAGTGCAGTGGTGCAATTTCAGCTCACTGAAACCTCTCCCTCCCAGGTTCAAGCAATTCTCCTGCCTCAACCTCCTGAGTAGCTGAGATTACAGGTGCCTGCCACCATGCCCAGCTGATTTTTGTATTTTCTGTAGAGACGGGGTTTCGCCATGTTGGCCAGGCTGGTCTCAAACTCCCAGGCTCAAAGCAATCCACTTGCTTCAGTCACCCAAAGTGCTGGGATTACAGGTGTGAGACACCAGGCCCAGCCCAGAGTATTTGGCCACAAAAATGTCAGGGAGGTGGTATGGAATTGTTAAAATAATGCAGGTTTTGGAACCTGAAAGATGTGACCTCTCTGAGCCTCCGTTCCATTGTCTGTAAAATGGACTCGAAAACCCCACCTTATAGGGTGGTTATGAGGTTAAGCAATAGTGTATGTAAGGTGACTGGCACAGTCATTGCGCAGGCAGTTTAGTGGTATTCAGATAACAGAGAGGTGGTATTCAGATACCAGAGAGGGAAGCTTATTTCAGAGACTACATCATGGGACTGTTTATACTTTTTCCTTCCCAGTGTGCCAAACACCATCCTGGGCACTTGGTTATAAAGATGCGCTAACTCACCTCCCCTTCCCCTTTCACAGCACAAGCTCAGGCCAGGAACAGTTTCCTTCCCAGTGGCATAGACTGCCAAGCGCTTACTGCTGTGGAGATGGGGGTCATTCTGGGTGCCTCTGACTTGGGTTGTGCTGGGAATGGAAGTCGGGTGGCCACAGGACGAAAACAACAGACTAGCCCAGGGCTGGAAAGCTGTCAACAGGAATGTGAAAACGAGATCTTGGTTGAATAGCTATGGCAAATATTCTTGGAACATTCTTCCTCTGTTCTTAGGGTGAGGAGGAGGAGATCTCACCCCAATTGTGGGGGTGGAAAAATCTGCTTTTCATTAGGGGTACACTGTGTGTGGAGGGACCAGCCCTTCCAGACAGCTCAGTGATCACAGCCTGGGTGCTCACTGGCTGAGGTCAGCTCTTCCCAGCACCCAGAACCAGGCTCCAGGCATTGGACAGGGCTGCTAATAGCCAACAGAAACATGAGGTCTCTCTACCCTTCTATCCTACTCAAAAGCATTTTTCTCATTCTATTCTTCGTAAGCAGAAGGGGACCAATCCTCTTCATCATAGCTTTCCTTTATTGAACACCTGTTCACCAAACACCAGACTATGAAGCCACACTGTCTCTAAGCAATCTTCATATTCTAATCTTTACCCCCTTTCTTTTGCCTGCTATCTTGCCTAATCATTCACTGAGAAAATAAATCCCACCAGGCAAGTGCATTTCGCTCAATGCAGCAGACAGGGTCCAGCAAGGAAAACAGAACTGTCTTTAAGTACTTAAAACAGAGAATTTAATACCAGAAAATGGGCTGGGCATGTTGGCTCATGCTTATAATCCCAGCACTTTGGGAGGCTGAGGTGGGTGGATTGCTTGAGGTCAGGAGTTCGAGACCAGCCTGGCCAACATGGTGAAATCCTCTCTATTGAAAATACAAAAATTAGCCAGGCATGGTGGCAGGCACCTGTAATCCCAGCTACTCAGGAGTTGAGGCAGGGGAATCACTTGAACCCTGGAGGCAGAGGTTGCAGTGAGCCGAGATCGCGCCACTGCACTCCAGCCTGGGTGACAAAGTGAGACTCTGTCTCAAAACAAACAAACAAAACCCAGAAAATGGCTAAAGGAGAGATGGAAGATGGGAGACGCCAAAGAAGCAGTGATGAGGCTGCCCAGAAGCCGCTGGCACCCTAGGCAGAGGAAGAAAGGGAGGTGGTAGCATGGTGTTCTTTGGGCAAGTGTGCTGGGTTTACTTGCCGAACCAGACCATGGAGGACATCCCTCCAAGAAGATGGCCCCATGAAGGAGAGGCAGTGGCTGCTAGAGATTTCATCAGAAGGGAGGAGGAGTAATACTCTGCTGCTCCCTGCCTCCCACTCTACAATCCTCCACCCTACTATTGCCCACCAGTGCCTCCTGTTGACCACACGCAGGGGGAAGAGCTGAAACAGGAGCTGAGAGATGCCCCCTGCAGCCCATGATAGAGTGAAGGAGAAGGGCATGGAATATTTCCAAGGGAGGCACACCATAGGCAGGAACATTCATATTACCTTATTTAGTCCACACACAATCATATTGTCAGGTAGGAATTATTGTTATCCCATTTTTCTGATGAGAAAATTGAGTATTATAGGACTTAAAAAAATAGATTCTTAAAGCTGAGCTATTTTGGCATTCTACCTACTTTAAGCTCTGCCAGAGATTTGAATTCTCAAACCTCTTTTTCTTTCCTAATAGCAGAGCTGAGTAAGCTTTAATGGGTTAGCCAGATCTGTCTTTAAAGTAAATCAAAGGTTTTCAATTTCATTTTTGAAAAACTTAATTAATGAGAAGCACATTTATTTCAAAGAGCCAACACTAAATAAAACAAGCCTATGGCCTGCTGGAGCTTGACAGCTGGCAGCTTTGGAGAAGGAGTGAGGGGCCTCTGGGAACTGCATCGTGGCTTGGTAGTGTGAACAGAGCATCACTGGGGTCAGCTCTGTGTCTGCTCAAGGCTGCCTGAGGTCTCGCTGAGGCATGTGAGCATTTCTGCCAGTGTCCCTGCCTGGCAGCACTGTTCTAGAGTTCCTGGAGCTGTGTCAGCCACCACTATGAGCCCCTTTGTCCTAAAATCTGCTTTGGTATCCCTCTTCACTGTACACTTGAGGATTTGATGTCCCTCTTCACTGTATACTCAGCATTCTGTGCCTGCATCCATCATGGCAGAAATGCAATAGAAATTTAAGGAATGAATGAGTGAAAAGACATATAGCAACGCAGATGTCCTTAATGGAATGGGGTAGTGGGAAGAATGTGCAGTCAGTTGTCTGTTAGACCTAGAATTACACCCCTATGTGCTACTCACAAGATGTGTGATTTTAAAGAACCAAATGAGGTCTGAGCTTCAGTCTTCTCCTCTATAAAATGGGATTTGTATTACCTTCCTTAAAGGGTTGTTGTGGCTATTCAAAGAAATAGCATTGCTTAATGACTATCATTTCCTTTCTACCTGATATTTTGAAAAGAAACTACTCTGTTTTTGCTTAAAATGTTTTGGGTAATCAGCAGGATTAAATATTGGGATAGATGAACCATGGCTTTGAAGCAGGATGAGGATATAAACTAAGATTCAGTACAGGAAATATAAATCACTTTGGGTAATTCAAGAAGAAAGGGATTTGATGCAGAGAATTGATAAATATAAAATTGTCGAAAGGTATGGAAGAGTGAATGTTGAGGGCCACCGCTGGACTTTTGAGTTCAAGGACATTCAGTCCACCATGGCTACAGCCCATGTCAGGAGGCTGCTGCTGCTGCTGCCGTCACACATGTCGCCACAACTGCCTGGTACTCTTCAGTCTCTGTAACCTTGTGTGTTCATGTTCTATTGCTGCATGACAATTTTACCACAAGCTTAGCAGCTGAAAACAATACATACTTATTATCTCACCATTTCTACGGGTTAGGAGTCTAG
The DNA here is from genome assembly GCF_000001405.40 of Homo sapiens. Lineage (NCBI taxonomy): Eukaryota > Metazoa > Chordata > Mammalia > Primates > Hominidae > Homo > Homo sapiens. The sequence goes on from NC_000011.10 coordinate 86,751,178, forward strand.
GCACAGCTGAGATGGATTCCCTGATTCAGGATCTTATGAAGCTGCAATCAAGGTGTCAACTGGGGCTGCAGTCTCAGCTGAGTCTCAATTGGAGCAGGATCTGCCTCCAAGCTCATATGGCTGCTGCTGGTGCATTCAGTTCCCTGCAAGATGTCAGAGTAAGGGTATCAGTTTCTTGCTGGTTATTAGCCAGAGGTCACCCTCAACTTCTTGCCACATAGTTACTTGGTACCTCAAAGCCAGCAAGGAAGACAGCATCTCCTAGCAAGATGGATGTTATAATCTTATACCACATAATCTTATAACACAATTCCATCACCTTTCCATATTCTGTTGGTTAGAAGCAAGTCAAAGTCCTGCCCACACTGCAGAGAAGAGGAGAATCATGGGGAAGGTAGAATCAATGTTGAGGGAATTAATTCAAAATATCAACACCAATGTCATTTATTTATGAATAATGATATTGAATATCTGCTCTAGTGGCCAATCTTATTAAAATGATGATGTAACATGCATTGAAAACTTACTGTGTAGGTGTCAATGTTGCAAAACAGTTAAGAGCATAGGCTTATAGTCATATTACCTGGGTTGAATTCAGATTCTATCTGAAACCTCTCATCTGTAAAGTGAGCATGATAATAGGACCTAGGTCGTAAAGTGCCTCTGAAAGAGTCAGCACTCAATGAAGTCTAGGTAGCAACATTATGATGGGCCAAACAATTCCCTAAGTGTTTTACACACATCGTCTTATTCAGTCTTCAAAATAAGCTCACAAAGTAGCTGTTGTTATTATCCCCATTTTACAGATGAGGAAACGGAGTTTTAAGGAAGTTATGTAACTTCCCAAAGTTAGCAAAGCCACTTATTGGCAGAGTTCATGGCTCTTAGTTATTAAGCTAAACTGCCTCCTCTTTATCCTTTGAAGATAAATTTTATTTTCTGTACATGGCCATAGTTGTTTTTGTTCATTATATTAACAAAAATAATAATCTCTTAAAATTATATAGAGCTTTACAATTTACAAAGTGCTTTTTCACTCCAGCCTTCCAATAGAATGATGTAATATGTATTTGTTGTATTGTTTGAGAATATGCAATTATGCTGTGGAAGAGGAGAATACAAATTAGATCCATAAAATTCATAAAATATGTTAGAAACAATGGCATGGGCGTATTTAACATAGAAAGTGATAGAGGGACCAAAAGACACCTAATATTCATAAGACACTGAATATTCACTGTGCACTAAATATAAATGTGCATATAAATGCACAGTGTACTAAATATAAATATATATATTTATTATATGTAATAAATTTGTATATTATATATAAATGATACCTAAGTATATATGAGATATATGAGGCACTAAATATTCTGGATGCAGTAAATATACATGAGCAATCAATGTTCACAAGGCCTTAATTCTGCCATAAATTAAGGGCATCCTTTCTCACTCCATGTTCTTTGCCCAAGAAACACAAACGAAACTCATGGCTGCTCAGCAGGCTAAGCAAGCTACAGCTGTTGTTCAGATGTACCTGTCCCTGTGTCTCTCCAACAGTGCAAGCATGGGTCCTTGGCCAGGGCAATTTCTGTCTGTGGGCCCCTTTGTTCAAACCTCAACTTTTGTCCTGTAACCAAACCATCAGTGGGGAAGGCTGATGTGGCAGATGGGGAGAGAGGACATATGAACTGCTTACCCCAGGACTTGGGTAGTATGGTCCTTCTATGCTGATCACACCCTATATCAGAGTGCTAATATGCCCCATGTCTTTCCTCTTGCTTGTCACTGTGTGTTTCAAATTGATGTTATAACGTGTATGATTTGAGCATTTTAATTTGGTTACTGAGCCTTTCTGTTCTGTGACCCTTGATAGGAAGTACCAGCTTGACCTTGGAGACTACCATTGCATCAAGGTAATCTTCCACTTGACAAATGATGAGAGGTAGGTAAGGCTCATGATCCCCTCTTTAAAGAAAAGGAAATTAAGAAATATAAAAGGTATGTGACTTCTCCAAGGTCACACAGCATTTAGGTGAATTAATTGGGATTCACACACAGGTTTCTCCAACTTCAAGCCTAATTTTTTTTTTTTTCTAAACAAGCTCCTCATGCCACCCCCTACACCAAAAAAAAAAAAAAAAAAAAAAGATATCAGGGGATATTATTTTAAAAATTGAGTTGGATATTTCTTGTAAGGCTGTAAAGACAGGGTGCAAAGAAGAATCCAAGGCTGTTGTGAGCAGTGGTGTCCAAGCAAAATAGGCCATCTTTTTTGCAAAGGCCTGGTTTTGATGGAGCCACACTCACTTGGCATGCCCATGCTGGGCACGTCCTTAACAGGGCCTCCTTGTTCCAGATTACAGTCACCCTTCATCTGTTCCTCATTGATTCTGTAAACACAGGCTCCTTATGGGCAAGGCCCCTAGCCAACAGACACGTTGAGGTTCTGATGCTGTTAGGGATTAGGTCCAGGAAAAGGGGAGGCTTGATCCGGAAAGGGTTCAGATGTCTTCAGGTCCTTTCTAAAGCTGGATTCCTTGCCAGACAATATCAGCCTTGGAGATTTGGTCTGTATGTTTGCTCTGGCTCTTTTAACTGTTAACTTTTGGATCAACTCTAGGTTGGCTTAGATATGAAAATTGCTTTCCCCAAATTAATAGTTAACTTGAATAAGCACTTTTTGGTCGTCCTTCCATTCTCTTTCTCGCTACATTTTTTTTTTTTTGAGATGGAGTTTTGCTCTTGTTGCCCAGGCTGGAGTGCAATGGTGTGTTCTCGGCTCACCACAACCTCCGCTTCCCAGGTTCAAGTGATTCTCCTGCCTTAGCCTCCCACGTAGCTGGGATTACAGGCATGCACCACCACAGCTGGCTAATTTTGTATTTTTAGTAGAGATGGCGTTTCTCCATGTTGGTCAAGCTGGTCTCGAACTCCTGACCTCAGGTGATCTGCCCGCCTCGGCCTCCAAAAGTGCTGGGATTATAGGTGTGAGCCACCGCACCTGGCCCTTTCTTGCTACTTTTGAAATCATGTGCAAATAAATGTTGCTCACCAGAAGGATGTGCAGGCTGTGGCCCAGGCCTTTTAGAGAGGGAAGTTTCTCTGGGAGGGCAGGACTGAGATCTTCATTTTATCCATGTCAATTCACAAGCTCCTGTGGGAAACATTAGTCTTCTCAGGTGAAGAAATGGGTAAGCCTCAATGGAATCTTGCAATAATTTTCAGACATCGCTAGGCCCCCAAAATGTGTAATTTTTCTGCAGATTTTCACTGGCTTTGCTCTTGTTTCTATTTTATCCTATGTATCTTCCTTCAATTACTCACAAAATCATTAGGCTAGAAAAGTATCACAGTAATTATAACTCATGGTTATGGAGAACTCTAGCTAGTAACAGGGAAGATGGACACAATACAATCCTGTATTTGTTTTTTTTTTTAAATATGGTGTTTTGTGCATATGTGTGTGTGTGTACAGGCACACATATAAACAAGAGAAAATTCTGAAAGAAGAAACAACAGAATGCTGAAACATACTTATGGAGGAATTGTGGGTAATTTTACTTGATTTTTCTTTATAACTCTGTATTGCCTAAATTATTACAATCATCTTTCATTACTTCCCCCCCCAACATACCTTTTTAAAAGCTACTCTATTTCTATTTTGAATGGAAATAACAATACTTGACAAAGTCTTTGCTGTTACCAAGGACCTTTATAAAAGCTAAATAATCTTAGCTGAGCTCATAATGTCCCTGGGAAGTTGGTATCATCTTTATATTCGTTTTATAGATGGCTCAGAGCAACTGTCGTGTGTGAAGTCACAGCTACTAAATGGCAAGATTGAGATGCAAATAGGTATTTTTGATGTCAAAGGCCATGTCTTTTCCACTCTGACATAGCTGCTCTCTGTAAGAACTTTCAGCATTGTGTCCTCAGTTTCAATTAACAATTACTCTATGGCATGGTGTTCCAGGGGGTTCAAGGATGAAAATTCTGCCTTCCAAGAACTCACAATCCAGAGGAGGGGTTCTCAACACCAGTTGCTCACTAGATTCTCTCTAGGGAGGTTTTTCAACTCCTAGTGCCTGGCTCACACCTCAGTGTTTTCTTAAAACTTCCCAGATGATCCAGTGAGCAGCCAAGATGAGAACAACTGATCTGCTGTGGAAATGGCACATCTATAAATGCACAGATCCTGTGAAAGACAATATACACTCAATTATGACAATTCACTGCTTTGTTTCCAGTAATTGCTTCTGGCATTTTATGGGTCTTGGTATGTGGATCTCTTTGCATGGATGTCATGAGAATTTAAGAACATAAACAGCATTTAGAGTCTATCTTTGAAATTAGCTGGAAATAACTTTTTCTTCCTCTCACTACATATGTAGTTAGGCAGGACCATGTAGCAAAGACAACTCTAAACATGGGACTCTGAAGACTTAGGTCCAGCAGTGGCTCAAGCTGTAAGATTTGGGACAAGTTGCCTCCCCTCTCTGGCTCTCAGTTTCTTCCTCTGTAAAATAGAAGAATAAAATTAGATGCTGCCCCAAGGTCTCCCCAGCTCATATTTCCTATGATTCTATACATTATATAACTCTAGATTGGTTTTTTTTTATTATACTCTAAGTTTTAGGGTACATGTGCACATTGTGCAGGTTAGTTACATATGTATACATGTGCCATGCTGGTGCGCTGCACCCACTAACTCGTCATCTAGCATTATGTATATCTCCCAGTGCTATCCCTCCCCTCTCCCCCCACCCCACCACAGTCCCCAGAGTATGATATTCCCCTTCCTGTGTCCATGTGATCTCATTGTTCAATTCCCACCTATGAGTGAGAATATGCGGTGTTTGGTTTTTTGTTCTTGTGATAGTTTACTGAGAATGATGATTTCCAATTTCATCCATGTCCCTACAAAGGACATGAACTCATCATTTTTTATGGCTGCATAGTATTCCATGGTGTATATGTGCCACATTTTCTTAATCCAGTCTATCATTGTTGGACATTTGGGTTGGTTCAAAGTCTTTGCTATTGTGAATAATGCCGCAATAAACATACGTGTGCATGTGTCTTTATAGCAGCATGATTTATAGTCCTTTGGGTATATACTCAGTAATGGGATGGCTGGGTCAAATGGTATTTCTAGTTCTAGATCCCTGAGGAATCGCCACACTGACTTCCACAATGGTTGAACTAGTTTACAGTCCCACCAACAGTGTAAAAGTGTTCCTATTTCTCCACATCCTCTCCAGCACCTGTTGTTCCCTGACTTTTTAATGATTGCCATTCTAACTGGTGTGAGATGGTATCTCATTGTGGTTTTGATTTGCATTTCTCTGATGGCCAGTGATGGTGAGCATTTTTTCATGTGTTTTTTGGCTGCATAAATGTCTTCTTTTGAGAAGTGTCTGTTCATGTCCTTCACCCACTTTTTGATGGGGTTGTTTGTTTTTTTCTTGTAAATTTGTTTGAGTTCATTGTAGATTCTGGATATTAGCCCTTTGTCAGATGAGTAGGTTGCGAAAATTTTCTCCCATGTTGTAGGTTGCCTGTTCACTCTGATGGTAGTTTCTTTTGCTGTGCAGAAGCTCTTTAGTTTAATTAGATCCCATTTGTCAATTTTGTCTTTTGTTGCCATTGCTTTTGGTGTTTTGGACATGAAGTCCTTGCCCATCCCTGTGTCCTGAATGGTAATGCCTAGGTTTTCTTCTAGGGTTTTTATGGTTTTAGATCTAACGTTTAAGTCTTTAATCCATCTTGAATTAATTTTTGTATAAGGTGTAAGGAAGGGATCCAGTTTCAGCTTTCTACATATGGCTAGCCAGTTTTCCCAGCACCATTTATTAAATAGGGAATCCTTTCCCCATTGCTTGTTTTTGTCAGGTTTGTCAAAGATCAGATAGTTGTAGATATGCGGCGTTATTTCTGAGGGCTCTGTTCTGTTCCATTGATCCATTGACATGATTGTATATCTAGAAAACCCCATTGTCTCAGCCCAAAATCTCCTTAAGCTGATAAGCAACTTCAGCAAAGTCTCAGGATACAAAATCAATGTACAAAAATCACAAGCAATCTTATACACCAACAACAGACAAACAGAGAGCCAAATCATGAGTGAACTCCCATTCACAATTGCTTCAAAGAGAATAAAATACCTAGGAATCCAACTTACAAGGGATGTGAAGGACCTCTTCAAGGAGAACTACAAACCACTGCTCAAGGAAATAAAAGAGGATACAAACAAATGGAAGAACATTCCATGCTCATGGGTAGGAAGAATCAATATCGTGAAAATGGCCATACTGCCCAAGGTAATTTACAGATTCAATGCCATCCCCATAAAGCTACCAATGACTTTCTTCACAGAATTGGAAAAAACTACTTTAAAGTTCATATGGAACCAAAAAAGAGCCCACGTCGCCAAGTCAATCCTAAGCCAAAAGAACAAAGCTGGAGGCATCACACTACCTGACTTCAAACTATACTACAAGGCTACAGTAACCAAAACAGCATGGTACTGGTACCAAAACAGAGATATAGATCAATGGAACAGAACAGAGCCCTCAGAAACTCTAGATTGTTAAAAAGCAAGTGGTTAGTCTCAGATAAGAAATTTAAAACCGCCAGGCATGTGGCTCATGCCTGTAATCACAACACTTTAGGAGGCCGAGGTGGGTGGATCACCTGAGGTCAGGAGTTCGAGACCAGCTTGGCCAACATAGTGAAACCCTGTCTCTACTAAAAATACAAAATTAGCTGGCTGTTGTGGCACATGCCTGTAGTCCCAGCTAGTCTGGAGGCTGAGGCAGGAGAATAGCTTGAACCTGGGAGGCGGTGGTTGCAGTGAGCCAAGATCGCACCATTGCACTCCAGCCTGGGCCACAGGGCGACTCCATTTCAAAAAAAAAGAAAGAAAAAGGAAAGAAATTTAAAACCTGTATATTTCAATTATCTATTGCTACATGACAAATCATCCCAAAACTTAGTGGCTTAAAACAAAAATGGTTTATTTTTTCAATTATGTAGATTGACTGGAGATTCTTCTGCAGATCTTCCCTGGGCTCTCAAGTGCAGATGCAGGCAGAGGGAGCTCAACTGAAGTTGGGACACCCAAGAGCGTCTTGCTCAATTGGTAATTGGTGCTAGCTATTGGCTGGAAAGCCTTGGCTCTGCTCCACATGACTTCTCATATGCCAGGAGGATACACTGGACTTCTTTATAACATGGTGGACTCAGCATCTCAGGAGGGTGAGAGTTGAAGCTTGCAAAACCTTTTGAGGTCTCATTTCCAGAACTCCTGCAATGTCTCTACTACAATATTCTGTTAGTCAATGTAAGTCACAGGATCATCCCAATTTCAAGAGGGTGGACCAGTAGACCACATCTTGATGAGAGAGGCAGCAATGTCATGTTGCAAAAGGATGTGGACAAAGGGAAGCATGATTCATGGGTGGCCCTTATTATAATTCTCCATATTATTTTTGCCTGGAAATGGCATATGATATAGTGGTTAAGAGTACAGTCTTTGAATTCAAATAGTCTAGTTTCAAATCTTGCCAGTCACATTTACTAGCCTTATCATGCTGGGCAAGGGGCTTAAATCACTCTTTGCCTGTCTCCTCATGGGTAAATTGAGGAGGATATTAATAGTGACCTCCTCATAGGGTGGCTATGATAATTAAGGGTGATCAGTCATCAAAGCCCTGGCACAGAGTGAATGTGTCCTAAAAGCTCTCTGCTCTTCGTACTGATCCTGCTTTTCTGCAGGAGGTGAGGGAGCCACTTCATCCCTCAACTAAGGGCAACAACTTTTGTCTCCCTCCTTCTCCACATCAGCATCAGTTACCCTAACTGTGACCACTTAAGGGTTTGAACATGGAGTCCCTTAACCTTCTGTTGTAGACTCCGTGGGTTAAAGTTCAGTTGAACTGATTATCATTTTGCTCATTCACATACACAGCATCTCTTCAGTGAAAGGCCCAGTTTTGGGCACCGATCTTAAAACAAGGAATGTGACTTACAGCCTCAGTGGGAGGAGTGTGCTTCTGGCATGAATGGCCCCTGTTGTGCCTTGGTAGGCCCTGGCTCCTGAATGCCTAGTTGAGCATGGTTCCAGGTGAGAGCAGCCCTCCACACCTGGGAACCCAACCCCACCTACATACAGCATGCCACCACTTCCTGGTCTTTTCTCCTATCTGGGCTTATGGAACTGAGGGCTAGAGGGGACCTCAGCCCTCAGTTGCTGAGGTCGCTGCTGTGGTCCAATCTGCTGTTAAGTGCCTGAGGTGCACAGACTCCCTAGGTCAAGACTTACCTGTGACTTGACCTGTGACTTGACCATATGTTCTCTGGAATATATGACCTAAGCTTTCTCCAAGGCAATTAAACCATACTCAGCAGTGTGTCTCAAGGCTTTGGAGTCAGGAAGACATGGGTTCAAATCCCTATGTTGACACCTATAGCATCATGACTTAGGGCAAGCGGATATCCTCACTGAGCCTCTCAGTTGTTTCCTCTGTAAAATGGGATAGTCTTTTTTTTCCTTTGCAGGGTTGCTGTCAAGATTAGAAGTAAGTATATAAAGCACAGAGTATGAATATGAGGAGGATTAAATTACATAATTTGCACAAAGTGTCCAAGAATGCATGTAAATAGTAAGCCCTCAAGGAAATGTTACTTCGCTTTCAGTATCATGGTGAATCTAAGCCTGAGGATTTTCATTAATTAATTAATTCATTCATTCAACAAACCACTGCCAATCCTGTGGGAAATGAAAAATGTATATCGAGTTCCAAACTGTTTGCTCCATGAAGATAGGGGTCCTGCTTTTTGTCCCTCACTCTTTAGAAAGTTCTAGTACAATGCCTGGAACACAGTAAGTACAGAATAAATGTCTGTTAAAGAAAAGATAACATAGTCTCTGCCATAACTAAGTTCGATTTTTTTTTTTTTTGAGACCAAGTCTCGCTCTGTCGCCAAGGCTGGAGTGCAGTGGCGCAATCTCAGCTCACTGCAAGCTCCGCCTCCTGGGTTCTTGCCATTCTCCTGCCTCAGCCTCCTGAGTAGCTGGGACTACAGGCGCCCACCACCACACCTGGCTAATTTTTTGTATTTTTAGTAGAGACGGGGTTTCACCGTGTTAGCTAGGATGGTCTTGATCTCCTGACCTCGTCATCTGCCCGCCTTGGCCTCCCAAAGTGCTGGGATTACAGTCGTGAGCCACCACACCCGGCCCTAAGTTTGGATTTGAAGAAAAGATGAGGAATATACACAAATAACTATAATTTCTGATGGATTGATTCAAGTGATCAGAGAGGTACAAGAGTTATGGAAGCAATTATGCCCTACTAGGGGCTGAGACAAAGCTTCAAAGGAGAGATGCATTTACAATGAGCTTAGAGAAATGGATGGGGCCTCAAAGTGCAATATGGTAAGAAGATTGAGAATAGAGGGAGCAAAGCTTAACCCATGGCTGAAAATGAAGCTGAAAATCAGAAATGAAACTCTAAGTGTCTCTTTCTCTGTCTGCATGTTTATATGTCTGTAATTCAGAGATGCCTCAAAAACCTCTCATTATGCGAGTATGTAGTATTTTCCTACCTCTGGCAGTATTACCCAAATTAAATTATAAAATTCCTTAAAGGAGCTGATTGTACTCTGATTGAATTTAAGATGAGTAAGCTCATATATAAATAAAACATTCCTAACATGCTCTGAAACAAAGGAAAATGAGCCTTGAATATTTTCAATGTGAAAAAATAGGTATTCTTATAGAAACTAACTCAAAAACTTTTTTTTAGTTATGTTTATATGATGTAGGTAAATCTTAGGCAAACAAAACTAGTTGAATAATTTTAGTTTAATAAAAACAGCTTTGTTTTCTCTGAGTTAGAATTAAGTATAAGTATACATTTGTATTCTACTTGAGTAAGGTTTTCCTAAATTTATCTAGGTTTACTGATAAAATAAGCTAGCATTACTCCTACTAAATATTTAAGATTTATGAAAAATATAAATTTGTATTTAACCACATCAAATCATTATTCTGACAAACTTTATGTCAACTGTAATTATGATTTTTAGTGTTTAGCTAGAAGATAATTTCCAAGATGTTTAGGTAACTTAAAACCTTGGACTAACACTAAATTAATGAATGGATGTTTAATAGATACATAGATCATTTATAAAAAGAATACTGAAAGAATGTTACTAAGTATAATTTAACTTTATATACGTTTGCCTCTTATTTTTATACACTGAAGAGAAGCTATATATGTTTGGATTGTTAACAAATGTGCTTATTTCTTGCCACTTTGAAAATTATGCTATAAAGGACATGTAATAAGTATAGAATGCTGTGGAAGGGTTGTGAAAAGGAGATTTTATTTATCATGGCCAAAGCTGGCTAAGGTTTGATCAGTTTATTTATGAGATTTTCATGGTCTTTGAGCTATTTTTACACCTCTCTGTAAATTGTAGGTGATGGATATGCGAACTTTGTCTTTTCTGGTAGAGATTAACTGACTTCCTACCTCCCTGTGGAAAACCCGGGTTGGTACCTACTTGCAAGTTGGACTGAATCCTGTTACCTTGCCCAAATTTTCACTTCTTCCAGATTCCTTCGATATGTGGCTACAACTTTCCAAATTAACTTTTTTGGTTTATCGCCCGCTGCCCCAATGGCATTCCTGAGGACCAAAACCCCTCTATGTCCCTATTGGGACCTTAGGTTGCCATGCAGTTGGCCATTTTTCCTAGGATTTGACAAAGGCCTGCAAACCGAAGCTGGACAACTTGATATAAATCTGGAAGGACTCACCATCACTGCAGACCATGCATGAGAAGGAATGATGTTCCTTGTGCCCAGGAAGCTAGGGAGACGTATGAGAAGAAAGGATGGCCTGTTATGTGTAGGCAAGTATGCCTTTAGAGAGCCTCCCAGTTTCCTGCCTGTAACTCAGTGCACCACTGAACTTGCTGAATCATTCCTGAGAGATCAAAACTGGCACAGATGTAGGAATGAAACCCACAGGCTCTAAAGGAGATTTCAGATATGAATGGAGAATAATTTAGAAACCTGAGTGGGCAGGCAATTGAGGGCCCAAAGAACCACTGGACATCTCAACAGATTCCAGCTCAGGGACATAAACTCATAGATCAAATGCACTATCGACTCTCACTTAACACTTAGAAGCACCTCTTGGGAAAAGCAGACATGACCAAATGGACATGCTCTGTTTTAGCTCTGTTTTGACTTACCACCAGATAGGATGATAGCTCAAAACAGAAATTACATACAGTTATAGAAAAGAAAGATATTTGTAGATTATTTGAACCCATTATACATGTTAAGTCGCTACCCTTCAATTGGATGCAAAAGCAAAACACAATACAACCCCAAATCTTTACACTACAGTGATCAAGGCTGGGGGATGTAAGAGATACAGCAATCAGTGTGCAGAGTGAGAACAGAATTGCCTGGGCTTGAGGCTCTAGTGACCTAATGTGAGCCTGTGTTGGTAGAGTCCTGGTGGCCACAGCTAGTGCAGTTCTGACTCTGGGGAGAGGTCAGGTGACCTGACCTTGACCTTCACGTTTATGACAATTTGAGATGTCACATCAATTTTTCTAACTGGGAAGCAGAAAAGTGATACAGGGCTGTATTAGTGCAATCTTTCTCATGCAATATGAAAATAAGCAAGAATTCGGGAAAAGTTTTGTTACTTGTGACTTATTTCTTGTGTATGAGACCACACTGCTTCAGAGTGAAGCCTTCCTGTTTCTCACTATATCTTCCAACCTATCCGTTTCCTTCTTCTTTCATGAAATACTTTTGGGTACTTCCCTAGCATCTCAAGGGATCATCTGGAAGGAAATTCCCAGCCCCCCCCCTTTTTTTTTTTTCTGTGTGAGGGAGTGGGGGCAGGTGAGGAGGAGGGACACAGGGACACAGCTGGCTATTGGTCAAAGTTAAAACCAACATTCCTGACAGTGGAGTTCTGAGCTCTGCACAAGCTCTTCAGGATGTGTTCCTGGACTAAGTGCCAAGGACTACTCCTGGGACTAAGAAAACTCCAGTGGGCTGTCCTCATCACATCAGACTCCCATGGATGTCATGTATCTTATCTAAAGCCAGAGCAAGGCACATGGGATCAGGACCCACAGAGGCACGAAGGACACTTCCATCCCTTCCTCTCCCTCTTCTCCAACAGTCCACACCAAGTCCCACTTGAAGGAAAAGACATACCAGATGACTGGGGTATTCAAAAGAGGTTTAGATCGTAGGAGAAGGTAACTCAGCCTCCTCCAACTTAGAAAATGTCTACAGAAAGCCTGACAAGGGAGAAAGAACCAAAAGAAGGCCAGAAAGATACCTAATGGATTCTTCTTTCTCCATAGTGACCTGATGGAGACAGCCATTCCACTCAGCCTCATCCAAGGACATGGGGACACAACAAGGGACCTCACGAGATCGCTTTACAGACCAGTGAGATACAAAGTCCTCTTCCAAAACCCTTCAGGTCACTTAGACACAGAATCTATACCAAAGTCCCCACAATTCAGACCCCTAATCTCCTTTCCCAGCGGCCTCTGGTCTTTCCACCAAAGGATATTTCAAAAAGTGTACCCATAACTCTCTCCAAACTCCATGAGGGAGGGTTTTGAAGATGGCTTTCTAGAGTGCTGGTCTTCAAACTGAGCTCCTTCAGTCTCTAGAGGTCACAAGAGAAACCTCAGTGTCTCCACGTAAGCAATGGGGAGGCCAAACGGGATGGATAGGCTCCTGATCCCCAGTCCCAAGTCAACCACAGCAGTCTATCTGTTTTATATTTTGGGCTTTTGGGTAAAATTTTATCTGCAAAAAGCCTCCAATGCCAGAAAAACTATTTTTAAACCTTTGAGCTGGAGGATGCATCTCAGTATCCCTATTGCATCCTCACACTCAGGCAGACTTTGAGGGAGGTGGTACATGGCAGAGGGTGGGAATGGGCACTGGGCACACAAGTTCCAGGTACCTCACTAACATTATTAAAGGTCCGGATAAGGATATAGCCTGTCTCAGTTTATAGCAACTATGAAGAAATGGTTGTCTTGATAAAAAAAATTTACTGTTACCTTCTCCCAGTAAAATAAAACTCAGACCTTCCAAAATTTGGCCTGGAAGGAGAATCTCCAGGTAAAGAATGTGAATTAGACCTAGAAACACTTTTTTCTGTTCCTCTGGGTTCCATGTATCATTTTCCTCTTTGGATTTTCTCAATTGCTCAGTGTTTCTACTCTGCAGCATTCCCCCACTATGCCTGACAGGAGAAGTGCTGTTCCTCAGCATCTATCTGTCTTCAAACATCTTTCCATTTCCTCCTAAAATGGCAACAAGTCACCTCCACAGATTCCTCAGCTGAGATAAGATTGGAATTTTCAAGAAACAATTACATATTAAGGGGAAGTAAAATGGAGGGGGAGTACAAATCATTTAAATGATGCAACTTTCAAGCACATGGCTCTGATCCACCTGAACTTTCAAGCATGGGAGTCTTATTCCACCTGAACTGAATTATTCCCCAGGGATTTCACCCCTTCTCATTTCATGTGGGATCCATGAGTGGCTGTAAGCTAGCTATCCAAAGGGCCAGATCACCTCCAGAGCCTTTGCTTAAGCCCTCACTTCAAAACTCCCATCCTGTTGCCACCCCCGCCCCCAGGAACTTGACTCTTTCCATGGACAAAACCAAAAATCAGTCATCTCTTCTTCCTACCTAAGGTTGGTCCGGAGGCACATTTCTTCTGCAGGGATTGGCAAGGAAGATTTCAGTCTTCAAGGTAGATTTTTCACTATAAACATTGATATGACTTTATCCTTTCAGGTCAGAGTCTATCATTGCCTTAATTCTTTTAAAACCAGATGGGGAAATTGTAAATTGAAATATAATGTTTATGAAGAGCATTATATTTGGCCTGAAGGCTGTGAGAGGTAGGGTGAAAATGTTTTTATGAATCCCTGGAACTTGAAGTTTATCTTAATCCCTTACCCTCTGTCCAGGTCTGTTGCTGGGCCTGGGCAATGGATGCGTTTTTCAGTAATAAAGAGAAGAATTTGAAGTTCCAACAGATGATTCAGGAAATGAGGAAAGATGACTAGGGGGTGGGTGCTACATAAAGAAGGAATTTGAAGACAGCAGGAATATCTCAAAATGGACTTTGGCATGACTGTTATAAATTCTTCCTCTAACTCCTCTACAGAATCTTTAATAAAGTCTACAATGCTCTTTTGTACATTTGTGCGAGTGAATTCTCTTAGGCATTGACTTTCATGTCAGGTTGGGTCATTCTTGGTGCAACACAAAGGCGGCACTGGAGGGAAACAAAGTGTGGAGGCAAATGGGCCACGAGACTTTAAGTCCTCAGGAAACAGATGTCAGGGGTGGGGGAATGGTTTCCCCAGGCTGTGAAACGGAGATGTGAGGCTTGTGTTTGGCTGCAACTTGTGGGTCCAGCAGGCTCTAGCTGACCAGAACTACAACATGATAAATTGTCATTTCAATCCTTCACTGGCTACCCATTGTCTAAGTCCATACTCCTTGGCAGGAGAGGTGCTGCTCCTCCAAACTTTCTTCCTTCAAACATTTTTTCCATTTTCCTCTAAAAATGGCAACAGTTCCCTTTCACAGATTCAATAGCTAAGACTGGAATTTTCAAAACAACTAAGTATTGGAGAGTAAAAGGGGAAAAAAAGTATAAATCATTTAAATGATGCTACCTCCTGCAATAGGGCTCTGAGTCTTTGTATGGATGATACATAAAGCCCTTTCAAATCTGGCCTGCCACCTCTCCATTGTCATTTCTCCCATACACTGCCTTGCCACTGCATGCTACAGCATTACCATTTGCAAGAAACCTAAATGACGACACTCTAACCCCACCAAGGAAAACAAATTACTCTTCTCTGTCTCTTCCGAGCATAGCATTCCAGATCATTTTGCATAAATATTTATTGACATGCTTGGCTCTCCTAAAAGATTTTGTGAGTTTCCAACCCCAGAACCCACTGAGTGCTTAAAAAGTAGTAGAATCTCAATGAATGTTTGTTGAATTAAAACGATTCCAAAGATTGATGTTAAAACAGAAAAGGAACAGACAGACAGAGTTGGAACGGCAATTCTGCCACTTACTGGCTTGACAACTTTGGACCAGTTCCTTAATCTCTCAGTGTCAACTGCTTCATCCATCAATAATGGTACTTTGTAGAGAGAAGGTGAAAGCATATAAAGTATCTGGTCCCAGTGGTCGCTCTTAATTAGTAGGCCAGGGGCTTCCCAGATTTTTCATTATCAGCAATGAAATATTTCATAGAACCAGATAAGAGCAGAGCTACTGTAACTTAGGGGTGCAGCCTCAGAGCCCCACCTGCTTAGCTACACCCACATCTTGACCTACTCACTCCCACCCCAGAAGAACCCCAGGACTCCCAGAGCATGGAGTAAAATCTACTGTCTTAAAACAGCATGGGAGGCATACAACTAGTAGTATGTGAGATGATTTTAAGTGGCATAAAGACATAACATTAAATAATACTGATACCAATAACTTTAAAAAAGTTATTCTCTCTTCAATTCTCTTTTAATTTTTCTGATTCTTTTGGGGGAAAGTCTCAGTTTGGGGTCAATACATCTTTAACTCCTCTCTTTCTCCTCCTAGGGTCCCAATATTAAAAGACAGCCAACCACAAGCTCAGAATCTTTAGCCAACAATAGTACCTAGCTAGAATTAATGCTATGAATTTGTGCAGTTTCCATCTCTACCTATATCATATTCTGTATGTTTGGACAAATTATTTGACAACAAACTTCCTTCATTCATGAGGATTAACATGGATTTATTCTGAATGTATTTATTGAGTGACTTCTATGTGCCAGGCAGCATGGTGGAATACAGTGGTGAATCAGGCAAATGAGATCTTCATTCTCATGGATCTTCCAATCTGGAGGGAGATCTAGATAAATAAACAGACAATTTATTTATATACTGTGATAAGTGCCACTGGGGGCATATGGTGTGCTGGGCAGACACTTTAGAGGGATGCCTAACTTGGACTTCGGTGAGGGGGTAGGCAAAGAAATATTTTTTTAAAAAAATAGCGTCTCAGTTTAATTCTGAAGCAGTAGTATTTGATCAAGAATGAGGAGAGGAAACCACATGTACAAAGGTCTAGATGTAAGGAACACTGAAAATGTTGACTTCCTAGTATATGTCTGGAACATAGCAGGTATTCAATAAATGGCAGCAGCCTTTAGAACTACTACAGATGAGATGGGGCATGTTCAGGATGGTATGGCTGTAGACCCTATAGAACTTTTACAATGTCCTTAGCCTCCAAAGGTATTAGATTTATCTCTGTGGCCTCAGTTCCTGGCACATAGTAGATAATCAGTAAGTGTTGAAAACTGAATAATCAAATAAATAAATGAGTGAATAAATGAATGAATAAGTAATTATTAATTTCTGTCTCCTCCTAACGACCTCCCATACTAGAAGCCACATTCTCACTCAGACTTTACCTAGAATAGTGTGGTTCCCTCGCACTGTAGAGAGAGTGAGGCTGCAGCCTGGTTTTGACTTTGGACTTGGGAGATATCCACTGGGTTCATCTGGAATCATGTGGCCTCCTCCCCTCTAACAGAGGAGAGAGTATGCTTTTTTCCTTCTTATAACACTGATGCTAATGAGATGCACGTAGATGATTCTTGTTTGAAAGTCTGTCTGAATGACATCTATTTGTCATCCCAGAGACCCACACAGAGCTTAGCAATTGGTAGTATTGTGAAAACAATAACAGCAACAATAAAAGCCAAACAAACAAAAAAGAGAGTGGCTGTGGGGCTGCCTTATCTTCTGGAGCCATGTCTGATTGTGGCTTATGGACAAATGGAGCAACTTAGCAGGTGGAAGAGCATTAAAAACCTGAGAACAAGTTATAGGGAAGTCTGAAGCTAATAGTCATATACTGATGAGTTAATGAATTAATGGGTTATCATGGGCGTAGGACCAAGGCTTTGAGAGAGACCTGGGCTAGCACGCTCAGCCGCTTTGCCATGTGATACCCTATAACACTTTGGGATTCTGCAGAGTCCCCACCAGCAAGAAGACCCTCACCAGATGTGGCCCCTTGACCTTGGACTTCTCTGCCTCCATAACTATCAGAAATTAATTCTTTTCCTCTAGAAATTACCCAGTTTGAGGTACTCTATTATAAGCAACAGAAAATGGACTAAGACACTGGGCGTCGTGCTAAGTGCTGTATGTATGTTACTTCATTTAACCCCCGCAAGGACCCTTAGGAATAGAGACTGATATTATCTGCATTTTACAGGTGAGAAAACTGAGGCTTGGAGAGTGATGTGACTTGCCAAGGTCACACTTTTAGACAGGGATAGCTTGGATCAAACACAGTTTGTGTAACAGCAGAGCTGGTACTCTTAACCTCTTAACCACAGTCCCATAAGCGAAAAAGGGAGTGGGGTTCAGCATATGCCTTATTAGAACACTGAATAAACATTTATTCAGAAATCAGAGAAAAATATAAGAAACAGATTGAAGTAGAGCTAGCCACTCAACCAATCCCAATAATAGAATCTTTTTTGTTTTGTTTTGTTTTCTATTTTGAGCCACATTACCTCAGATTGCAGTGTGGCATTAACTATCAGTTTAGTCTTTCTTAATTTCCAATAAGTCAGTTTTCACTGTGGCAACAAGGTCAGTCCCTAAAAGCAGAGACTGAGTTGGGAGTTATTTCTGCCTCTGGAATTATAAAATGGCCCCTTACTTTGCAATTTTTTCCTATTTTGCAGAATGACGTCTACTTCTTCTTTCCAAATCTCAGCACCCACATGCTAGAGAACGATGTGCAGACTATTAACAAAATATTTTCTTTAGATCCATCTTCAAATCCCAATGTGTGATTGGCCTGCAGAACCATCACTACACCCTCCAGGACTTGTTCCTTTGAAGTTAGGCCCCAAATATGTGCCTTCAAGATTCACCTTGAACAGGAATAATTTCTGTCATTGATTAAGGGCTAATCAATGTGCATGGAGCAGTCAGAATCAGGAGGCCCAGCTGGAACCACTAAGGTCCAGTGGGAGCCCGACCCAGAATCCAAAGCTATGATGCAGCCAGGCACTCTCCATTTCTCTCTGCTGGCTTCGTTCTCCCTCCCCAAGCTTCTCAGTGTCACTGCAAAAGGTCATGCAGCTGCTATGATTAGCATGACTACAAATCTCTGTTATCTAATCTCAGCTGGGCCCTCAGTGACACTCAGAAGTTTTTACTGATCCTGAGTGACTCCCCATCACATTCCCCATGGCACATTTTCCAACTGTTTTCCTTTTGTTAAGCCCCCAACCCACTCCAGCACCCTTACCCACATCCCTTTCCTTGCTTAGCAGATTGGGGTTGATGTCCTTCTTTCCCATTAAAAACTTCCTCATTTCTTCCCATCCTTTCCTGTCTCCTCCCTGCCCTCTCAGGGAGGCCCATCCCCTAGGCTTTATGAGATACTCTCCCCCATCCCTAACCCTAGTCCTAAAGATCATACTCCCTGTCTCTTCCCCTTGTTCTCAAACCTTATCCTTCAGCTTCCCCAGCCCATCACCTCAGTTTATAAACAGGTTCCAGGGCTCCCCATGCAAATAAATGCAGAAATGAATCAACAACTATTTTTTTTTCAGTGCTTTCTTCCCAAAACACCATCCCAACTTTCCCTTTAATAGCTATTTTCTTCTCTTCACCTCTTGGACTTTATAGTTTTAAATTATGTAAGTAATCTATGTTCATGGTAGAAAAGTTAGAAGCTGCATATTGGCAAAAGAAAAAAATCTGCCATAACCCCTCAGGAATAACTTTGTTATCATCTTGAAATATATCTTCTAAAGGTTTTTCCATGCATTCATGTACAAAAATAGGTTAAACTGATTTTATTTTATTTTATTTTATTTTATTTTATTTTTTTATTGATCATTCTTGGGTGTTTCTTGCAGAGGGGGATTTGGCAGGGTCATAGGACAATAGTGGAGGGAAGGTCAGCAGATAAACAAGTGAACAAAGGTCTCTGGTTTTCCTAGGCAGAGGACCCTGCGGCCTTCCGCAGTGCTTGTGTCCCTGGGTACTTGAGATTAGGGAGTGGTGATGACTCTTAACGAGCATGCTGCCTTCAAGCATCTGTTTAACAAAGCACATCTTGCACCGCCCTTAATCCATTTAACCCTGAGTGGACACAGCACATGTTTCAGAGAGCACTGGGTTGGGGGCAAGGTCATAGATCAACAGCATCCCAAGGCAGAAGAATCTTTCTTAGTACAGAACAAAATGGAGTCTCCTATGTCTACTTCTTTCTACACAGACACAGGAACAATCTGATTTCTCTATCTTTTCCCACATTTCCCCCTTTTCTATTCCACAAAACCGCCGTCGTCATCATGGCCCGTTTTCAATGAGCTGTTGGGTACGCCTCCCAGACGGGGTGGCGGCCGGGCGGAGGGGCTCCTCACTTCCCAGACGGGGCGGCTGCGGGGCGGAGGGGCTCCTCACCTCTCAGACGGGGCGGCTGCCAGGCCGAGGGGCACCTCACTTCTCAGATGGGGCGGCGGCCGGGCAGAGACGCTCCTCACCTCCCAGACGGGGTCGCGGCCGGGCAGAGGCGCTCCTCACATCCCAGACGATGGGCGGCCGGGCAGAGACGCCCCTCACTTCCCAGACAGGATGGCGGCCGGGAAGAGGCGCTCCTCACCTCCCAGACTGGGCAGCCGGGCAGAGGGGCTCCTCACATCCCAGACGATGGGCGGCCAGGCAGAGACGCTCCCCACTTCCCAGACGGGGTGGCGGCCGGGCAGAGGCTGCAATCTCGGCACTTTGGGAGGCCAAGGCAGGCGGCTGGGAGGTGGAGGTTGTAGCTAGCCGAGATCACGCCACTGCACTCCAGCCTGGGCAACATTGAGCACTGAGTGAACAAGACTCCGTCTGCAATCCCGGCACCTCGGGAGGCCGAGGCTGGCAGATCACTCGCGGTTAGGAGCTGGAGACCAGCCCGGCCAACGCAGCGAAACCCCGTCTCCACCAAAAAAATACGAAAACCAGTCAGGCTTGGTGGCGCGCGCCTGCAATCGCAGGCACTCGGCAGGCTGAGGCGGGAGAATCAGGCAGGGAGGTTGCAGTGAGCCGAGATGGCAGCAGTACAGTCCAGCTTCGGCTCGGCATCAGAGGGAGACCGTCGAAAGAGAGAGAGAGGGAGAGGGAGAGGGAGACCGTGGGGAGAGGGAGAGGGAGAGGGAGAGGGGAATTTTTGTCTAAACTGATTTTAAAATAAAGATAAAATAACATTCTACATTGTATGCTGTAACCTGCTTTTCTTTAATTCAGTCTACTCAACATCTTTGCTTTGGGGCCTCCCAGATAATACAGGATAATCTCACATCTCAAGATTCTTAAACTCATTTGCAAAGTCCATTTTGCTATGTAAGGTAACATATTCACATGTTCCAGCAGGGATTAGAACAAAGACATCTCTGGGGGAGGGTGGCATTATTCTGCCTATCACAAGTTGTCCGTAGCCTAGGGAAGTGGAAGGGAGCAGAGTGGTAGTTGGGGGATTCCAGGCACAGGGAACAGCAGAGTGTGATGGGACTTCCTTCTCTCCCCACTCCCAAAGCCTCCATGCTGATAAATATACTCTCTTTTAAAAAAATAAGTTTGTAGCTATTATGGACATTTTTTTGTGTGTGAACTCAATCTTTCTTCTTGGAAGATACCTTTTTCCCACAGCATGTGATTCTGGAAGGTTTGTCAAGGAAGAAAGGCACATGTGATCAGGCTGACTAGTCACAGTACCCCACTCCTTGGGGCACAGTAACTGGTTGAAGGATGGGCAAGTGACCCAAACAGGGCCAATCTGACTGTTTGTGGGAGGGGCCTGGTCTGGATGCTGAGACAAGGAAGCTCTAGTTGTTGATACTTTGCAAATTGCTGATAAATACTGTGAGCTCTAGAAACGCTGGAACCACTGGGGGCTACTTTCTTACATCTAGAGAAATCCTGTCTAAAAAGGGAGCCATCCCAGCGGAGAGAATTGAGAGAGAGAGAGAGAGAGAGAGATCAGAGGATATCATCTGAACATTTATTCCAGCGTGCCTAAAGCAGACAAGTTCTAGACTCTTCAATTGCATTAGCCAATAAATTCTTTTTTTTTTTTTTTTTTTGAGATGGAGTCTCGCTCTGTCGCCCAGGCTGAAGTGCAGTGGCGGGATCTCAGCTCACTGCAAGCTCCGCCTCCCGGGTTCATGCCATTCTCCTGCCTCAGCCTCCCAAGTAGCTGGGACTACAGGAGCCCACCACAAGCATTAGCCAATAACTTCTTTTTCTTCCTTTGCTTGAACTAATTTGATTCAGGTTTCTGTTACTTAAAATAAAGAGTCTTCACTAATAAAATATTATTCCATAATATGGATGCATTAAAATAAAATTAACCACATTCCCTAATGTTGAGTCTTTGGACCGTTTCCAACTTGTACTATTTTAATAATACCATAGTAAACCTCCTTGTACATATATCTCTATGCATATTACTGATAATTTAGAACACATTCAAAGAAATATATTTAGAATACATTCTAATGTATTCTTTAGAATACATCCAAAGAAACTCATCAATTAAGCCTACTGCAATCTGGCTGCAGCCCCACAGCTCTGCTTAAATTGCCCTCTGCTAGGGCACCAAACATTTCCTCATTGCCTATTCCAGCAATTCTTTTTTCATCCTCATTCTGTTCAACCTATTCACATTCCTTCTATCTGTAAAATCCTCCTGGGCTTCAGTGAGTCTTTCTCCCAGCTCCTATTCCTACTTCCAGGGTTCAATTTGGGCACCAATTCTGAAGAACTGGTAGGACTACTGGGAGGAGTCCCAGTAGTTGTGAACAGTTTTTTAAATCGCAACAAAGCTTGGCAGGAGAATGTGTGATCAATAATTAACAATGTTTTCCAATGTACTGACGCATGGTGGGTGGGGAAGGAAAATGCTAAAAATTGTAGCAAGAGAGCCAAACATTTGCCATTGCTATAACCAGAGTTTCTTAATCTGGAGGATAAAGGTTAGGAGATGCCCTGGGGATTTCAAAGTGACCCCAGAGCTTCATGAATCCCCTGGAGTTAGATGCAAATATTGTGTGATCACATCTAGGTATCTAGGATCTCCAGGAAGATCAAGAGCCATTTCTATAGGACAGTCTCCTGACCTGTGTTTTCCTCAAGTGGCCTTGCGGAACTTATTGTTCGGAGAAAGAAAAAGTCAAGTGACCCAGTAATTACCCATCAAACTGATGCATGAAATGACATCGGGAAAATGTAGGTGGTCCCTGCAAGATTCTTTAGGGAGAAACACAAGGTCTTCTTACACTGCCCTGTGGGCTGGCCCAGCATGACTTGGCTGAGTAGGGAGGGAGGGCAGGCAAGTTGAGAGAAGGTACAGCTGCTCTCCATGATGTGCATTTCATTCTTTAACTCTGTTCTCCTAACCCACTCCTGGACAGCTCTACCTCAGCTTCTCCCAAAACTATTTCTAGCTCTCCAGTGCCCAAGAAGCCTGCACAGTGTACTGCCAGAGGCCTCCCTCCAGCTGTGCCCCAAAGTGCAGAAGTTTGTGACATCTGGAAATGTGCACATTTGGGAAACAGTGCTCAGGCCAGCTACATTTGGCTTTGAGTATGATTTGCTTCTGCCCTTTCTGTCTATTGTAGGCCTCTTTAATTATGGTGGCTCCGTTAAGATCTCCTTATCTTGGTGACTATCAATGTTTTGAATTCCTTGCTTTTTTCCCCCCAAGTTTAATGAGAAATATTTCCTGTCAACATTTCTTCTGTCCTCTCTGGTGACTGTAACTTCAGCTGTTATCTTCAGTGAAATTCATTAAAAAGGATGAATATCTCATGTTCCAAGATCACTAGCAGAGATGTTAAATGGAAGAAGATTGAACCACAGGCTTCTTCATATCCTCTTGAGACCTCCCAGAATCCAGCCTGGAAACTGTATTTCTAGGTATTCTGTGGTCATAGTTCCACACTGCACCTTGACAGACCTCTCTGGATCCCTTCCAAGAATATAATTTCTTGAGACCAATTCAATGTCTTATTAATATTTTAATCTGCATCCTGTGACCCATGAAAATCTCTAACCCGTGCTTTCCAAATACCATTCAATCTTCCACAGAGTACCTATAGTGAGATATTTTTCTCCCCACATAATTACTTGGAGCATTGCTTCACATAAAAATCTGGCATTCACACATCTCAATCTGGCATTCAGGGCCCTACAGTTTGATGTCCTTTCCTTCTAGAAGTTATGTGCATTTCATTCTTTAGCCCCTACAAGGACATGTGCTCTGGACTCAGATGACCTTAGTTCAGATTGTGATGCATATACTTCCTAACTATGTGACTTTGGAGAAGCTAATTAATATCTCAGAGTCTAAGTTTCTTCTGTCATGGAGTGACTGACAGAATTAAATTGCATAACATCATTAAGAGATTTAAATGAGATAATGCATGGAAAGCATTTAGCAAAGTGCCTGGACCATAGTAAGTGCTTTTGGTGAGCAGAATGGCCCCTCAAAGAGGTCCACACCTTAATCCCTGGAACCTGAGAAAGAAAAAAAACTCAGATGTAATTAAGGTTAAGGATCTTCAAATGGGGAGATTTTCCTGGATTATCTGATTGGGCCAAATATAATCACATGAATCCTTAAAAGCAAGGAACATTTTCCTAATAGAGGCAGAAGGATACAGAAGGAGGAGTTAGAAGTTAGAAAGATTCAAAACATGAGAAAGACTCAGTGTTGTGGCCCACTCTGAAGAATGGAGTGGGCCATGGATGTGGACTGCAGATAGACCTTTAAGAGGTAAGGGTGGTCCCCAGCTGACAGTCAGAATGGAAGCAGGGACCTCAGTCCTACAACTCTAAGGAACAGGTTTGGCCAACAAGCTTGGAAGTAGGTTCTTCCTCTGAGCGTCCAGTAAGAAATGCAGCCCTGCTAACACCTTAATTTTAGCCTGGAGAGACCCATGTTAGGCTTCTGCCTCCAGAAACTGTGAGATAATTTATTTTAGCTGTTAATTCGTGATAATTTGTGATGGCAGCAATAGAAAATGAATCCATTGCTAAGCAATATTGGCTATGATTTGCCAGCCACACTGGCCTAAGATTCCCCAGCTCACCTGCCGCCATCTTCCAGTTGTGGGAAAATCCCTTTCCTCAAATAACTATCTTCAAAGCCTTGTTCAGATCCACCTCTTTTATACTGTCTTTCATGACCCTTCTATGAGCATGAGTCAGCCATGAGCTTCCAGAGAACAAAATTATATGCTTTCGTCATTCCAAACCTATTCTGTTTGAGCCACTTACTACCTGTTGTCTTCCCAACTCCATGGAAGGACACATCTATATTTTACAGACTGTATATTTATAAGACTGTTTTCTCTGCTGGCTGGGAGGGGAAAGGACAATTAATACTCAGAGTTTTCTCTGTGTCAGGCCCTGTGCACATAAATTATTTTACTCTTACAAGAACCCTATGGGGTAGAGAGACACTTTTTTATAGATACCTCAGAGGAGAAAAACTTATCCATGTCCAACAGCCTCCAAGAGGAAAAGCTGTGATCTGATTCCTGGTAGATTCAGGTCTGCTTGATTCTAAATTTGTTGTTATTTCCACTATATTGTGGTGTTTCTCATAAATATCACCTTTGTCATCATTACAATGAACATTTGTATAGCCCCTTAGAGAGTAGCTCACATGGCAGGCTTTTAAGGAAGGTTTTATTATCCTAATTTTAAAGTTCACACAGTCCCTGAGAGACACCATTAGGATTTGAGCAGGATTTCTTACTGCAGAAACAGTGTTTTTTCCACGATACCACAGCTAGTTCCAATCAATGTTGATGAATTAAATGTTACGCAGCTTCGGGCTTGTGTTCTCTCTCTCTCTCTCTCTCTCTCTCTCTCTCTCTCTCTCTCTCTCTCTCTCTCTCTCTCTCGTTTCTCTCCCTCTCTTGTTTCTCTGTCTTGATTATATGTGCCACACCTCCCAGTTCTGGGTCAACTGCAAATTGCTTTTGTGTCACGCTGACTTCTCCCAGATTACACACCCAGATATAGGGAATGATACAGATTCTGACATCAGCTTCTAAAGCCTCTAGGCCGCTCCACCCACAGATAAACCAGATCAAATTCCCCTTTGTTTAGGAACTTCTGGTCAATTTTAAGTCAACATGACTTTTTAAAATGTTGTAAAATATCCTCAGTATTTACCATTTTAACCATTTTAAAGTCTAGTTCAGTAGTAGTAGGTACATTCACCTTGTTGCACAACCATTGCCATTATACATCTCTGGAACTTTTTCATCTTTCCCAGTTGGAAACTCCCCATTTCCCCTCCTTCCAGCCTCTGGCAACCACCATTCTACTGTCTTTCTCTATGAATTTGACTACTTTCAGGTATCTCATGTAAGTGGAATCATACAATATTTGTCCTTTTGTGACTGGCTTATTTCATTTGGCATAATGTCTTCAAGATTCATCCATGCTGTGTCAGAATTTCATTCCTTTTTAAGGCTGAATAATATTTCACTGTATATATAGTACATACTGATTATTCATTCATCAATCAATGGACACGAGGTGCTTTCACATTTTGGCTATTGGGAACAATGCTGCCATAAACATTGGTGTACACATATCTTATCAAGTTCCTACTTTCAATTCTTTGGGATATATCTTCCCAGAAGTAGAATTGCTGGATCACATGGTAAGTCTATGTTTAATTTTTTTTTTTGAGACAGCATCTTGCTCTGTCGCCTTGGGTGGAGTGCAGTGGCACTACCTTGGCTCACTGCATCTATGTTTAATTTTTAAAGGAACTGTGACACTATTTTCCACAGTGGCTGCAACATTTCGATTCCCATCAGCAGTACACAGCGTTCTAATTTCTCCTCATCCTTGCCAACACTTTATGTTCTATCTTTCTGATGATAGCTATCCTAGTGAGTGTGAAGCAGTATCTCATTGTGGTTTTGATTTACAGCCCTACTGATTATTAACCATTTGTATAACTTCTTTGGAGAAATGTCTATGCCTGTCCTTTGCCCATTTTTCAATCAGTTGTTTTTTTTGTTATTGTCAGTGTGACTTTTCATAAGTAAACTTTAAGTTTTTTATTTCAAAAATAACACATCAAGTGTTAAAAAATAAATTTAAAATCACATTTAATTCCACCACACGGAAAACCAGAGGAAGTTACTTTTAAATTAAAATGTTCCTAGAAATAGCTTAAAGATTTTATATCTAATACTATAAATTGAGTATATTAAATGCATTAGGGACCTACTATTTTATAAGCAATTTCTCTGGTTTGATACATTTTCTTTGAAAAAAGAAAAAAGAAACCCGTATTGCATTTTGCTTACTATGTTTTTTAAGTCTCTAGGGTTACTTGTTACCTTCATACTCGTTTCATTAAGTTTATTACCAGATAAAACAGGGTCTACATTCTTCCTTGAATATAAATCAGTTTCCTAATTCTGTCCTCTAGAACTGTCTTCATTTTTCTTTACTTTATACAAGTTAAGGCAAACACTCACTTCCAACACCCCTGAGAACTTAGATCTAGCTCTGCTGATTCTGCAAAGTTCTCATTTGCTAAGTGCTCCCTAGCCTGCTTTCCATCAAAAGTTACAATAGTGTTTTCACTACTTCTTAATTATCCATACTACTGGGCTCTGGTTTCCTTGTGAGCAAAAGCAAATAATAATTGGTGCAACTGCATTTTTCTTTGTTTAGATTATTATTCTTTTCTCTATAGAGTTTGATTTGACACAGCATTTTCTGTTTTTGTAATTATATATGCAAACATTTTTCCCCAAACTCTAAACCTCATACTATTGACTCCTTCATTTCTCAGTAATCCTTGACCCTATTTCTGGGTGCCTCAATACAGGTTACTAGATTTTCTCATGCTTCTCCTTTTTATAAAGTGAGGGCATTGCTTTTTTATGCTAATTTCCCAGATGTGATCCTGCTTTAATTACCTACAAAATTAAATTACCATTTAATCAAATTTTATTTGTAGAGATTGTGCCTCACTGTTTAGTCACAGTAGAGTCTATTGAATAGACCAATTATACTTACTGATAATCCTTGGTGAATTATTATTACTTATTACAGTATTAAAGTATTCCATGAGTCTATACTATATGTATAATAATAACAAAAGTCACTTTTTTGGAGTGTTTACTATGTGGTAGGCATTTTTCTAAGCACTTGACATAAGTTAATTTATCCCAACAAATCTGTGATAACTTAATTGTCATCATTTTATGATGACACTCACATATAGAAATATTAAGTATATTGCCCAAGGTCACATAGCTAATAAAAGATATGGCCACAGTTTGTACCTAGGCAGGCTGAGTGTCATGTTAGGTGTTTGTTCATAGGACATGTCAATGGCTGTCTAGATATATACATGAACTTTCAAATAAGTATGTATTCTCTGAGGAGTTACCAAATGTGTTCATTTATTCAAAGTGCACTTACTAAGCATTGACTCAATGCCTCCATTATGATACACTCCATAGAAAGAGATTCAGCAAACCAATATCTACACTTGAGGGAATTTAAATCTAGCTGAGATCTACAGATATAGATACGACACAATCTAGCTAAGGAGATCTAAGATACAGACACGACACCATCAAATAACAATAGAATCAACATTTGAGTAAAAGATTGCATAGAACAGCTTATCTCTGATACCAGAAATCACAAAGTGGGAAAATAATTGTAGTATCCATTTTGTCAAGCCGTACAATGGACTTGCATTAGAGCATGAGTACACTCAAGATAAAAAGGAAATCTTGATACTATGAATTTATTTGATTAAAAAAATACTTACTGAGCACCTACTATGTGTCAGGCACTGTTCTTGGTACTAATTGTTAAATGAGGGAATGGATGCATTATTGAGAAAAATTACAAAATTACTTTCTCTTCAATAACTTTAAAAATAGGACAATATTTAGTTATGCACAGAGGCAGGGAGATGAGCTATGTGATGAAAATTATACTTAATGATAACGGGATGACCTTGAAGGGGGACATGGCATAGCCCTCTCTGTGCTGTCCCATTAAGCTACCCAGGGAGAAGTCATTAAGTCATCTCAGGAGCTCACAGAGGTTCAAAGCTGCTGCTCTGTGCATCATTCAATCCAGTCCTTTATGCCTCCTTTTCCTCCCAAACTTTTTTGTAGAGCCTTCTGGAGCTAGATCTGTGATCAACAAACTCCAGTACATCCTCATTGCTCTGACCACTCCCTCTCCTGGCCTTGTTGAAAGTTGGTTATCCCCCAAGGCCACTTCTTCACCTAAAACTTCTAAAGGCTATGGTCTCTCTTATTCCAAGTGTATCTAAGGGCTAGGATGTGGAGTAAGCATCCTTTTTGCTCTAATTACTGTTTTAAGCCATTTGTCCCCCACTGTCTCTCAAAAACTGAAGCTCCTGCCTTGAGATTACAAGAATACCTTGTAGTTGTCAAATATCTACCTCCCCAGATGGCAGTCGCTCATCCCCCCTTTTTCACTGAAGGCTTTAGTTATGAGTTCTAGGTCTCCCAACTAAACTGTGAGCTTCTTGAGAACAGAGACCTCCTTTCCTTTGGTCATTCCTGGATCTCCAGCATCCAGAACAATGCTTGGAAGAAAACAGGTGCTCAGTTAACATCTGTTAAATAAACAAATCGGTTTTAAAATATATGTTATATGCTACGTTCTTCAAATGTCTTGTTTCATTTAATCCCCATAACCATCTTACCAGGTATTATGACTATTATATTATCTTCTTTTGACAGATGAGGAAACAGAGGTTCAGAAGAGCTATTTGCTCAGAGTCACAAAACTGATGCAAATTGTATTAGTCAGCATGGGTTGCTTTAACAAAATACCATAGACTAAGTGGCTTAAACAAGAGAAACTTACTTTTTCCACAATTCTGGGGGCTGAAAGTTCAAGATCAGTGTGCACAGGGAGAGAGAAAGAGTTTAACCCTAATTACTTTCTTAAAGACACCATCTCCAAACACAGCCACACTGGGGGTTTGGAATTCAATATACATTCAGGGAGTAGGAGGAACAAGAATATTCAGTCCATAACACTGACAGAGCCAGGATCCAAACCTAGACTTGTCCAGCTCCAAAGCCTACATCCTAACTGCTGAATAAGGATGTCATATCGCCTCTGGGTCCCTCGCTCTGCCCCTGTCCTGAACCACTACAGGCCAGGCTTCATGCATTGCCGGGATCATCTGTCTGGTTCTCTCACGGCACACATTCTCCTTGGAGTTGGGAGCTAATGGTGCAAGGCCTGTCTTCGCGCTTCAGTACATATGTGACCTGGAGCCAATAACTTAACAGCTCTGGATGTGCCTCCATTTCCACCTCTGTAACGGAAGATGATTCTAGGAACTTCTTTCAGGTGTTGAGGGAAAAAAGAAAATAGTCTTCTGACAAGTCCACTAAATGCTTTATGGCAAAAGCACCACATAATTCCAATATCTTGTTGCTATGAGTATTTCCCTGAATAACATTAACAAATGTGTAGATAAGCATGAGAGAAAGCAGCCTCCATCCCAGCAGGGTGACGCAGCCTATGGGAAAGGCCCTTAGAGGCTGTGACCAATATTTTCTGCTTCTTTCTCATTTGAATCATTGTGCTTTTGCTTTGTTTGAATGAAGTTTTTTGTTTTGTTTTTTGCTCGTATGCTCTATTTACAGGCTGGGAAGGATTATCCCAAGGGGATTGTTCTAGTAGGCAGCCTCAGGATCCCACTGAGATGGATGTCACCCTGTCTGGAAGTTCTCAGGAATGTTATTTACCCACTTGAGATCAATGGACATCTGAAGGTAGCCTAAATTATAATAACAGCTAACACTTATATAGCACTATGTAACAGGCATTGTTCTAAGCACTACCGAGATATTAATGTCCGTTATTTCCACGATAACCACATTCTGAAGTAGATGATCCTCCTAGGTAGGTACTATAATAATCATTCCCATAGCTACTAAGCAGCTGAGCTGGGATTGGAACCAAAGGACTTTGGCTCTAGAACCTGTGCTCTGAAAGATGACAACTCAAGGCTTCTCCTTTTCCTGACATCTGTTGTTCCTCTCTGCCTGTCCCGTAGTCACGAGTGCTGAGAGATGGGGCCATCCTAGAGGACTGGGAAAGGAAGCATGGGGCCTTATGGGTAGAGGTGAGTCAGGGAGCACCATTGTGGGAACAGAAGCAGAAGCCAGAAGTCTGTGGGACCTGCAGTCACCATCTAACAGGGTTGGGGCTAGTCCCCCTCCAGGGTTCCCAGATCAACCCTGTGGGTTCCCAGATCACTAACCAGCCTGCATTGTCACTATTAGCTCAATTATGTCCTCCAGGGGGCAGTGGGTTCCTCCAGGGCAAGGCTGGTGCCTAGGTCAGCTCAGTGGTCCCTCTGCAGACAGTGGCCAATGGCAGTAGGGCAGGGAACTGGGCCATCACCTGAACTATTGTGATCCTGGGCCCTAAAACAATGCACTCACAGCCCAAGTGCTCATGAATGGGTAGATGAAATAGGCCAGGAAACACCACAATAAGCACTTATATAATGTTTCTTTAGTATTTCTAATTTCTTTACCTTTTATATGTTTCTGCTCCACACAAAGGCCCTTAAACTTGAATCACCTGAGGAGTTTGGTAAGAAGGCCCAAAACCACTGAGATTCTGAATCAGTAGTTGGTTTGTGTTTTTTTTTTCCCCCCGAGACAGAGTTTCACTCTTGTTGCCCAGGCTGGAGTACAATGGCACGATCTCAGCTCACCGCAACCTCCGGCTCCCAGGTTCAAGCAATTCTCCTGCCTCTGCCTCCCAAGTAGCTGGGTTTACAGGCATGTATCACCACGCCTGGCTAATTTTGTATTTTTAGTAGAGATGGGTTTCTCCATGTTGGTCAGGCTGGTCTCGAACTCCCGACCTTAGGTGATCCACCCACCTCTGCCTTCCAAAGTGCTGAGATTACAGGCATGAGCCACCACGCCCAGCTGGTTCATGTGGTTTTAAGAAACATTTTACTAAGGGCCCCATGCAATGGCTCATGCCTGTAATTCTAGCACTTTGGAAAGCCAAGGCAGGTGGATCACTTGAGGTGAGGAGCGCGAGACCAGCCTGGGTAACATGGTGAAATCCCATCTCTCCTTAAGGGGAAAAAAAAAAAAAACATTTTTCTAGAATATAATATACAACCAGAAGTACTCATAAGTGTATACCTTACTAAACCTTTGCAAACTGAATATACCTATGTACCCAGTACCTAGATCAAGAAACAGAATATTATCAGAAAAGTTTTTGGACCTTTAAACAAACATCATCATTAAATAAACAACATCCCAGTAATTCTCATGCAGGTCCCCTGAAGGCTGAGAAACACTACAGGAGTAATGAGCAGTAAAACTGAAAGCGGAAACGACTCGTGTGCATTTTTGAGGATAACAAGGACAAGATAACTAGAGAGATTAGTTCCGTGGACACTGGGACCCCCCCCCCAGGGACAGAGTAGGTGGCATTGGCCTTGGGGTGGGGAGTGGAGAAGGCCAACTGAGCTGCCAACTGACTTTTTGGATACACAAGAAGCAGAGCTCATAAACTTCCAACACCTGAAGAGAGACCCTGAGGATTCAATAGGAGAAAAGTTCATGAATGCCAGGTGCAGGCCTCAGGTTATTAAACAGCTAAAAGCAAACAAGCTTTCAGAGCAAAGGCAGAGGGGCCTTATGGGCTTTAGTCATTGAGTCACCTACTTAAAATGGATGTGTGTCCCTCCTTACAGGTTCCATCTGAACCAGAATGGATCAAGGCCTTCAGAGATTCATTCATTCTCTTTCTTTCTCTCTCTCTGTCTCTCTCTCTCTCTCACACACACACACACACATGCCCCAAGACTTGCTTTTGAATGTTCTTTCCCATGCTCCATTTAGGGTCTTTTACTATGAATCAGACTCAATTTGATTCTTGAATTACCTCTGCCTTTTTCCTCCTAACTTTTCCTTTCTTCAAAATTTTTTGATTCCTGATGTACAGACTTAATGACAAAACTAAAAGTTGAAACCTGACCCTCTACAAAAATTAAAATATTGAGTGATGAGAAAAGAAGAGATGGTTGTTATCCTGATTATCACTTAATCACTCATCAGATTCTCAGAACACTGAAATCAGCCTGGCTCTTCCAAGCTGCATCTGTATTTTCCCTCTTGTATTAAAAGTCCTCCAGAGCCTAGCTGTTTATCAAGTATAGATATAGAAAGGGGCATAACAGGGAGTCACTTGGGCACTGGACTTTGAATAGTTTCTCTAGTTTTCTAATGTTAAATCACTAACAGTCCATCCAACTTATAAAACTATTTGTGTTGTATATTCAACAGAGGGATGGAAATTTTTTTTTTGTTTACTGGGTTTGGCTCCTGAATTCTTTCCCTAGAATTTATTTACTGTGGGAAAAGGGTTGAAAACATTTCAAAATAACTTTGGAAAGGAGTTTTCTGGGCCCTGTACAGATTTAAGATGAATAAAATGAGTAAACTTTTTGCCTAACTTTTTGTCTCCCAGCCAATCAGTAATAAGTCTCCATCTGGTGGTCCTATGGAGAGCTCAAGTATAGTTCATGCCCAGAAACGTAACATGGGGAACTTTTCACATTACACTATTGATTTATTCAATCATTCATTTATTCAACAAATTGTTATCGAGCATGAACTATGTGTCAGGCACTATGGTAGGTGCAGATCACCAAATGCAAACTCTCTTCCCTGGTCTCTCCTTTTTATATCTTGGTCGGGGCACTCAGATAAATGAAGGAAATACAGCTCTCTAAAATCATCATCCTTCCCGTCCACCTGTCCCCTGCCTTCCCAGTGACCAGTTAGGAAGTTGCATAATTGAGAAAAAAAGTGATTCCCTCCAAACCTGGGTCTTCTATCAGTGTTGTTGTTAACATCTGTGTTTCTTCAGGATGATTTTTATGAGTCTAATGAGGGCCAGGAGGCTTCCTGGGCTTCACAAATCCAGCTGACATTGCAGCAAGCCTGCAGCCTCCCGGGAACTGTTGATTACAAGACCTGTTGATTGTATTGTATTGGGACAACCAGCTCTGGCTAAACCAGTACACTCATCTGCTTTGCAGTATCAAAAATCAAGTGTTCCACCCAGATTCTTTTCTAATTTTCAAACTTTTGATCTCATTCCAAATTACATGTTACAGTAGTTTGCATCAGCAGGATGACAGTCACTCTGGAAAATTGAAGGAGTGGCTCTGCTATATGTTTAAAAATATGCACACAGCAGCGTGGATTTTGGTAACAACTTGATTCAAGCTGCATTTGTGCCTTTAACACTTTTAATTATTTTTTTTTTGAAATGGAGTCTCTCTCTTTTGCCTAGGCTAGAGTACAGTGGCACAATCTTGGCTCACTGCAACCTCTGCCTCCCAGGTTCAAGCGATTCTCCTGCCTCAGCCTCCCAAGTAGCTGGGATTACAGACAGGCACGACCACATCCAGCTAATTTTTGTACTTTAGCAGAGATGGGGTTTCACCACGTTGGCCAGGCTCGTCTCGAACTCCTGACCTCAGGTGATCTGCCTGCCTCAGGCTCCCAAAGTGCTGGGATTACAGGCATGAGCCAAACACTTTTCAAGTAGACATTTTCTTTTTAATAAAACAGAGCTCAAATTTAACAGTCTTATGATGGGATTCAACATTTTTCCTTCATGCAGCTCAGGTGTGAGTACCTGGCTTTAAAGCAAATCCAGTATGTGAAAATGGGGATGCGTACCCATCAGTACTGGGGCAAGAGATTCACTTCACAGAATGAATGCTGCTTTTCTTTACCGGAGGAATTTTCATAGTATTCTCTGGAAGGCATAAGCTTTCCTCATACCCATAAACACTTAGTAAACTTTTAATTTAGGTACACTCTTTAGATAAGTGCTGTATAAAGAGAAGATTCAGATCAGGCAGATGGTGCATGTTATTTTTCAAGCAATTACCTTATTTCAAATTAAATCCAAATGATTTTTCAACATCTGGTTGGCATTCAGTGCCTTGCCTAGATTGTTCTATTTTAAACATAATGGAGTCTCACTATGCTGCAGAAGCTGCAAACTGCTGGGCTCAAATAATTCTCCCAACTTGGCCTCCTGAGTAGCTGGGACTACAGGTATGCATCACCGTGCCCTGCCTAGATTGTTTTGATGTAAAGCTGCTTCAAGGCTTAGGTTAATAGTTACTCCTTTGTCACCCCTCAGATAATCTGTACCCTTTTCCCAGACTTGAAATCTTTTTAGCATTTATGTAGGTTTGTACTCTCCAGTTTGAATACGGCCCTAGAAATAGTTTTGGTTTTATTCATTTTATGAGGTTAGCCATGTGCCAGGCCCTTAAGAAATGCCTTAAAAAATATTGCAGTTGATGGAATGAAAAGAAGCTGTCACTGTTCCGAATCATGTCTTTTGGTTAGGAAGAATTCATCAGAATGAGATCTGATCTTGGTCATAGGGCAGCATTTTATAGTGGCCTATACTTAGGCTGTCTTCATGGGCAAATTATTAAAATAAGAATAAGAAAGACCAGATATGAGTCCAAGCCAATCAGCAATGATCTCTCGTAGCCAGAGAGATTACTTCAGGAATGTGCAGGTGACCCTGCCTGGCCAATGGGAATCGGGGTCAGGATAGTTGTTGGAACTGATGAGGGAGACAAACTCTCTTTTCTGCTGGTTTTAATTCTGGGAAAATATAAGTTAAAAGCATCTGCAGATTACCTTAAAGTGAAACCAGCACAGAAGAAAAACTGAGTGGTAGAGAAGCCCAAATCCTGATGATGTTTCTTGAGCCCTGTAGTTCAACAGTTCCAAGGCTAGACCTATTTTGGGGACTTTTCAATTAAGTTAATAGGTAAATTTACTTTTTTTTTTTTTTTTTTTTTTTTTTTTTGATGGAGTCTCCCTCTGTCGCCCAGGCTGGAGTGCAAAGGTGCAATCTCAACTCACTGCAATCTCCACCTCCTGGGTTCAAGCAATTCTCCTGCCTCAGCTTCCCCTAGTAGCTGGGATTACAGACATGCACCACCACGCCTGGCTAATTTTTGTATTTTTAGTAGAGATGGAGTTTCAACATGTTGGCTAGGCTGGTCTCAAACTCCTGACCTCAAAATATCTGCCCGCCTTGGCCTCCCAAAATGCTGGGATTACAGGCGTGAGCCACTGTGCCCAGCCTAATTTACTTCTCTATTTAGGCAAGTCAAGTTTGGGTGACTTTTTTTTTATCACTTCCTAACGAAAGGTCCCTGATTCCCCCATTTCCCCAACTCTTTTTTATATAAATTACCAAGACCTAAGGTTTCTCCCTCCAGAATATCACATATCCATTATGTCATCTCCATCTCAATGTCCATAATCTAGTTTGGGTTCTCATGAACTCTTGCTTGAATGTGCAAACTCTTAGTTTGTCTCTCAGCCTTCACTTTCTCCCCTTGCACTTACCTTTCCAGAAGCTGCCCGATTAATCCTTATAAAGCACAGATATTATGAAGGCACACTGCCCAAAAGCTTTTGCTGACTTCCATTGCCTACTGAATAAAGTTCAAATTCCTGAGTATGATATTTCAGCCCTTCTATATTCTACCTGCAATCTTTACCTTTCCAACTTTTATATTTTGCTGCATCTCTCATGTAATTTATACTCAAGGATTATGCTTTCCAGTTGGGTATTCAAATTTTTGAAGCAAGTTTGATATACGTGAACAGATGAACTTGCTATTTCCATATCCAAATCTGACAGCTTCTAATTCAAGTGACACCTTGTCCATGAAGCCTTCCCTAACACCACAGCTGAAAACTGTCTCCACCCTCTGAGCAGTTACAGCCCTTTGTCCCTTCATTACTGAGCTATTACTTCCTCTTATCTTCCTACGTTTTATTATAGCTGCTTTATCTAGTCTGCTTTCTAGAATTTTTAACTATTAGATAGTCACTGTCCTTTCAGCAGGGTCTGTTTCAGATTTAATTTTTTGTGTACCCCATCACCTCCTCCCATGGTAATATTCCATACATGTTTACTGAATTGGTATAAATGAAGGGATGAGAAAGGTGTATAATAGCTTCTTAGAAAACTTACTTTTTGATGACTACTTTAACTTATAAATAACCAATCTTATTGACCTATCCTAATTTATATATAGATTTCCTGTTGAAGTTCATCCGGACGCTTGAAAATTGGCTTTCTAAATACTAAATTTCATACTTTCCCCCTATTTTACACTATTAATCTGCCAGCACAAAAGTAAAATTTAGGTAAATCTTTGACAAAACTCATACAAATTCTAAACTATCATCTTGATGAGATTAAGTACCACAGATGAGTTTAATTGAAAGTGTCTCATGATCAACAGCTCTCTTTGAATCATGTTAATAGAAGCAATAACATGCATTTAAGTAGTGTGTTACACTTTACAAAGTGTTTCTACAGACATGACTTCATTCCTGTTTCACAACAACCTGGTGAGATCAGTAGGGTGGGAATTGTTGGCCCTGTTTTACCAATAAGGAAAAGGTAAGGTCTAAAAGAGGCTACCCAATTAGCAAGTTTCCATAACTAAGTAGATGACAGAACTAGGACTAAAACCCAAGATCTCTGAACCCTAGTCCAGACCTCTTCCAATTATTCCACACCACCTACCTTAGACTAACTGAGGTAACTTCATTCCCTTTCCAGTAATAGGTTTAGCAAAGGATGTATTATGACTATTGAATTCCAGCCATTGCAATACGAGGACAGGTGTGGGGAGTGGTATAAATTTGTTGCTCCTAAGACACATAAGAAAAGCCCCCTTTTGATTGTCTCCTGGATATAATTATACATGATGTTTGCTTGTTTCTCCATCTTGTCGCAAGCCTGAGGGCTGAGCCAATGCAGAAGAGGGGGCACCAAGAGAAGCAGAGAGGGAGCCTTGAGTGCCCCTCACCTGCAGCCACCCTGACCTTGAACTTCTTGATATGTATGATTTTTCATTTCCTTATTATTTTTTAAGCTAGAGTGAATTGGGATTTTCCATTACTTGCATGTAAAAGCATCTTAACAGAAACAACATAGGAAACCTTATAAGAGAATTTGGGATAGAGAGTCCTGGGTTTTCATCCTCTCTCCAACACTCTGAACAGAGAATGTTACTTAACTGTTTGGAGCCTCAGGTTCTTGCCAGTAAAAAGAGGGATTCGAGCTACTACTGCTCAGGGTTATCCGGTCAAATGCAAGTAGTGGGAAGTATCTAGCACAGTATCTAGCACATGATGCTATTATTATAATGATTATAAATGATCATTATTATTAAGATGGACTCCAACTATATCAGTGCCATAGGTACTTTTTTAAAAGTGCAAAAGTAATTTGGTGCAAAAGTATTTGCGGTTTCGGACTGTGAATTTTAAATTATTATCGCTAAGCTCAAACACATCTTTATTAATCAAAATAGGAACCATTACAGTTAACGCATTTTTGCCAACAAGTAATAAGTTTGTTTATTCCTATAGCGTAAAAATCTGTGCTTCAGGATTTGATGAACATTGGAGAGCATTTTCTGCATCCTGCTGGCTGAGGAAGCGTTTTTCCTGCAAAAGGCTGTCGAGATCCTTGAAGAAGTGGTAGTCGGTTGGTGA
The DNA here is from genome assembly GCF_000001405.40 of Homo sapiens. Classification (NCBI taxonomy): domain Eukaryota; kingdom Metazoa; phylum Chordata; class Mammalia; order Primates; family Hominidae; genus Homo; species Homo sapiens. The sequence goes on from NC_000011.10 coordinate 86,789,022, forward strand.
GAAGTCAGGTGAATATGGCGGATGAGGCAAAACTTCGTAACCCAGTTTGCTCAACTTATGGAAGCATTGGTTGTGCAATGTGCATTCGGGCGTTGTTGTGGAGAAGAACTGGGCCCCTTTCTGTTGACCGATGCGACCGTAGACCTTTCAGTTTTTGACACATCTCATCAATTTGCTGAGCATACTTCTCAGATGTAATGGCTTCACCGGGATTCAGCAAGTTGTAGTGGATCAGACTGGCAGCAGACCACCAAACAGTGACCATGACCTTTTTTGGTGCAAGTTTGGCTTTGGGAAGTGCTTTGGAGTGAGAAGAATCTAGTTCCAACCACTGAGCTGGTCATCATCAGTTGTCATATGAAATCCACTTTTGTCGCACATCACAATCCAATCAAGAAATGGTTTGTTGTTGTTGCATAGAATAAGATGACGCTTCAAAACGACATTTTTTTTTCTCAGCTCATGAGGCACCTATGAGTGGGTACTTATTGAGCTTTTTCACCTCTCCAATTTGCTTCAAATGCCAAACAACCATAGAATGGTAGATGTTGAGTTTTTCAGCAACTTCTCGTGTTGTTTTAAGAGGTTCAGCTTCAATGACTGCTCTCGGTTGTTGTCAACTTCCGACGGCCAGTCACTATGCTCCTTATCTTCAAGGCTCTCCCCTCCTTTGCAAAACTTCTTGAACCACCACTGCACTGTACCTTCGTTAGCAGTTCCTGAGCCAAATGTGTTGTTGATGTTGCAAATTGTCTCTGCTGCTTTACGACCCATTTTGAACTCGAATAAGAAAATTGCTCAAATTTGCTTTTTGTCTAACATCATTTTTATAGTCGAAAATAAACAGCAAGTAAGAAGTCATTAGCAAAAAACATAAAGTGAGAAATGTACATTAAAGTGATATATAACATAACATTTAATAATGTATTCCAGTATCAAATGGCAAATTTCAACAATGCAAAAATCGCAGTAACTTTTGCACCAACCTATACTATTTAAAACTACAACTTTACACAAAACCATTTTATAGCTAACTCATCCTTTCTTTTCTTGTCAGGTAGGGATCAGAATAAATGCAAAGGTTGACACCTATCATGCTTAGATCAAGAATACCCAATCTCTGAGTGAACTTCATTTCCCTGAAGCTTGGAGATCGTTGGGCAGAGGATGAAAGAGTTGATAATAAAATTACAGATTGTAGTTGGGGTTGGGGGACTGCTACCAAGACTGGAATTTGCCTTGAAGTCAGCAATCAACCCTTCAAAGCTAGGCTAAGAAATCAAAGGCTTGTCATGTATTTGTTTTAAGTTTTCCTGCAGGAAGGTTTTTAAGGATTTAAGAGTTCAATTTTATTACACTGAGAGAGGGAGAGAGAGATTGCTATCTCTTGTCCTGAAAGAGCAAATAGCTTGGATAACCTCATTTTCCAAAATGCTATTTATACAACTGTGAGGTCATGGTAGTTTAGGTAGTTTAGACTTCCTGGGTCTTCCTGGATTGTAGCCAAGTGACTTTTTCATTTTCACATTACAAGAAAAATTGTCATGTCATCTTGGAGTGGTGTCACATTGCTGGGAAGAGCCCATTTTTATTGGCAGCATGATCCTCAAACCACTGTATTACCTATCACCCTGCTGTTTGATGGAATGGACCCACTTCTTGTCTGGAGAGTCTATCCTCACCCTGACTGCACACAATTCCCCAAACAGCACCTCTGCCAGCCTTGAGTAGAGACTAAATATCTGTGTGCTCCAGGAAAAGCCAGAGGACTCAAGATTGGCCCACTAAGAAAGTGTGAGGCTTGTGGGTGTAGTGACATCAGAGCCATTTATTAACAGTTTGGGTTTATGTCTTGATTTCCCAGGGGCAGGGACAACAATGTGAGCAACTACTTACAGATCCCACAGGATCAAGGGGCTTTTTCCCACTAAATTTAGTCTGCCGGAAACCCGGATAAAAAAGTCACTCCTCCTTGAAGGAAGTCCCTACCTGCAGCTGCTGGTGTCAGTACTGGAATCTCATCCCAGTGTGACCTTCATTGCCTCTGTCAGTGTGACAGGTTCCACAGAGCTGTCACCCTGCAAACTCACCCTTCCTCCAGGAGCACAGGCGCAGAGCTGCAGTGGAGGGTACCTGTGTGGCTTCCTTGTCTGACACAGATTTGCCTTCATCTGGTAAGTCCCACCTCACTCCCCCAGTTCCCAGGAAAGGGCTTTCTTAAACCAGCACAGCCCTGGAAGGGCCTCTCTTGTTTCAGGTGGGAGAACCAGCCCTTGTGGCATTCTGCAGGGCTTTGAAGTGAAAAGAACACATGGATGATTATTCTTGTGGTTTCCCTAATCTGTGTGCGGAGGGCAGAAGGAGCCAGGTGATCCTGTGTTTGAAATAAAACAGGTTACTCTTCTGAAAAAGGAGGAAGCAATTTGCTTCTGTAAGTACAAATCCTCCTGCTGAACCCCTGGGCCAGCCACCTCTAGCTGGCTTTCAAATGTGACAAATTGGTGCCATTTCCAGTGATGGCTGTGAGGCACTTTTCACAAGCTCACTTGTTTTTCAGCAGCTCTCACCTCCACAAAGAGACAAAGGAAAACCTAGAGGCCTAGACTGTGGGGAAGAAGTGCCAGAACAATCTGCTGAAAGTTAAAAATAAGTCTTAAAGTCAGCTCACTGCTGTCTGTTTTCCAAGGTCAGACTGACTGATGATTTTAGTCAAAACAGCCAAACTAGCTTCCCTGTGACCTCTGTTCAAGGTGGCTCCCCGTGGCACACCTGATGGCATCCATTCATGGTCCTACTGCTCAGAGGGCCTATGCTGCCATGTGTAAGAGCTGAAAAATAAGCAATGCATGACATCTTCTTCAATGAGCTTTTATACCAGTAGCTATTCACAGGGTTCTTATGACTAGCTAAAATAATTTGAGAATCAGGCTCTGTGCGATATGTTAATATTTGGATACATTTTCTAATGAAATCCCTATAATCTCCTTACAGCCCTGTGAGGAGGGTACTGGTCACTACCCCTATTTTGAAGCAGGCTTTCCCAATGTGCTGATTATTTTCTGTCTGCCTCTCTCCCATGAGTTCTCCACCCTTCACTACCCTGCACTGTGCTCAGAAGGCTGGTCCTTACAGACAGCACAACCTGACTCCCTTGTGAGCTGACTTTGGTAGGCCTCGGGAGATCAGAGTAGGAAGAGAAGAGGTCAGGGTGCTTCTTTCCAACTTCCTCCGTCCTTGGGGAGCCATTTCTTGCAGCAGCTGCAACTCTCCATGGACTACTCGGCAATTGGAAGCAGGCTTCCCTCCAAGGTGCTCATGCTCACTGGGCTCTGGGACAGCATTTTCTCCTTTCTGCCTCCTGCCCAGATGAGTGATGGCTTCCCACTGCTGCTAGACCCTGGATGCCTCTCTGGCTTGTTTGTTCCCTCTACCCTGTCTTCACCTCCATAAGTAGCCACTTCATTAAAGTATCATCATTTGAACCAATGTGCTATTGCCAAGACCCTGAATAACACACCCAGCCAAAAAAGGTGCAGGCCAGAGATGCAAACTCATGGTATTCAACAGTAGGGGAGGAGAAACATAAGCTGAAAATAAAACGAATAAAATTACAAGAGCTATGAGAAAGTTACAGAAAGTGTTATGGGAAATCAAAGGCCAACAAAAATACTTTGTAGAAGATGTAACATTGTGTTAGGCCTTTGAAAAATGGACAGAATGTAGACAGATGGATATGAAAGAGTTTCAGATATGAACAAAGACAGCAAGGCAAAAAAAAAGCACAGAGCACATCTTGGGAACAGAAGTGGTTCAATTGTAGAAGTGGGGTAAACTTACGGATGACGTTTTTCAAACTCCATTCTTTTTTTGAGACAGGGTCTCACTTTGTCACCCAGGCTGAAATGCAGTGGTACAGTCACAGCTCACTGCAACCTTGACCTCCCAGGCTCAAGCCCCCCAGGTAGCTGGGACTACAAGCACACGTCACTAGGCTCAGCTAATTTTTGTATTTTTTTGTAGAGATGGGATTTCACCATGTTGCCCAGGCTAGTCTTGAGCTCCTGAGCTCAAATTCTGTTCTTTAGAAGGCTTCTATATTGTGAACTGTTACTTCTGTATTGAAAAAAGGATTCCGTGGTCAAATAAGATTGGGCACCTTTGAGATAAACGAGCTTAACTAGATTTCTTTATGCAAGACTTCTCAGAGTATTTGAAATGGTAATATCCATATTTAACTACCTTTTTTTACAGGCAATTTATTGACCTCTTCCAGAAGTGTGGGAGGGAATAGAATTTGGGAAACACATATTGTCCAATAGCATTCTTTAATCCTGGGGGACTCCATGGTAGAGCAACTCAGAACACCCTGTAGTGGCCAAATTCAGAGCATACTGCAAAGAGTTCTGCAGAAAGCCAGTCAAATGTCATAAATCATGGACAAATGGCACCTAGAATGCCACCATGTAGCCATAGCGTGAGTAGTGAAATGTAATTAGCAGGCCAAGTGGAAACTGAATTTGTTATCTGACATGAACTGTAAGGAAACAATGGTAAACAGACCCTAAATGGAAGTTCAGATTAACATTCTGGAGAGTGTGAGAGCCCCAGTGGTAAAATTTCATGTACACTCACTGTGTCCTGTTCCTAGTGGCTGGCAAGCTAAATTATTTCTGATCTAATATTTTTAACCAATTAGAATTTTATTCATTAATTTAATCATTTATTAAATTAACATTAAATAAGCCTTTACAAAGAGCTAGGTTCTCTGCTAGACTATAGCAGAAAACTATAAAGACTAAAAAGGAAAACAAGACAGATTTCCTACTCATAAGGAGCTCTGGACTGCTTGAGTTTCAACATGTAAATATATATAATTACAACATAAGATATAATTTTAATACAACCCTCTAAAAAACATAAGTTAAACTTACAAATCTAGCACCGAAGGGTTTGGAAGCCTTCAGAGAACAGCTGATATTTGAGCTTGAAGGATGAATAGAATTTTCCACAAAGTAAAGGAGAAACCTCATAAAAGACCCAAATTCAAATATCCAGACCCCACACTGAACCACATGAAAGCTTACTCCTTATAAAGGAGTAAAAAGAGAATCCAACATTTATGGATAAATATAAACAAAAATTGAAAACAAAATAATTTTCCATAAAAGATTTTTAAAGTTGTAAAGATTTCAGAAAAAAAATTTCCAATATAAAATCTTCATTTTCTCTTTTGTTCTTGATCATAAGATCCAGTATGCAAGTTAGAGTAGATCAGAGAAGCCCCATGCTGGCCACTTCAAATTTGGAGACTTCAAATTTGACCAGAGAAAATGAGAAACACATAGTTATTCCAAAATGTTCCCAATATTTCAGTTTACAATAGTGCCCAGAGCATACAGGAAATTGCAAGTACTCAAGTCTATTTTTCTTTCTGATAATTTTAGATTGGCATATTCTAAGTAGGATTAGAGTAAAGCTTTTACTTGCTGTGCAGCTCTTTTTTTCCTACCATATGTACCAATATGACAATTTAACCCTACAATAATTTTGTATGTTAAGCTTTTATATATTACACCTTCACATATTTACATTTAGAGTGCCTGACTACCTATGTTTCCAAAGACTTAAAATGAGTAATCTATACTTAACAAAAATAGAAATTTTTAGAAAGTTTTGAATGTAATACAAATATATTTGTTTTCTGTATTAAGTGCTGTAGAGATTTGAGTGGTTTATCTTGTTAGATTTGTTTTTATTACAGGAATTTTACTATGGGGGTTTTACTTTTTACAAGGAAAATTTTAAATTAAACATTATAAGAAAAATGTGATTTTGCCCTAAAAAAACACTGACAAATATATAAACCTTGTAATATTCATGGTTCAATAGGTAATTGTTCAATGAATGAACTGATGGTACCATAGAGGAGATTGGAGGAGGAGACAAAAAATACAACCATGGCTCTCATTTGAATCTATAATTCTTCCTGAATTCAATATTAAAACTCTCTTGCCTGTAGACCAGACTGAAGACAAGATTTGGGGGTGTCAACGGGAGTCCTGGGATACATTTTTTCTTATAAAGTCTGGATTAAACTTTTTAGCATGGATAATATAACAGTTTGATTTATTCATTTATTCATTCAACAATTTTCAAAAACATTTATTGAGCATTCACAGTAGTAACAATAGCAGCAGTGATAGTAATGATAATAATAATTATAATAATAATACGTATTGCCAATTTAGAATTTACTTTGTGCTGAGCTCGATGCTATGGGTTTTGTACTGATTATCTCACTGAATCTTTACAACACCCCTAAATCAGTCTCATTGTGCAGATGAGAAAAGTGAGGCACAGAAGGTCACGTAACTTGCCCACATTCACCCAACGAATAAATGAATTCTAAGTTGAATCCAAGTCAGTCTGACCACAGAATTTCACATCCTTTGCTACTCCGGGATCCCATGGTAGGCACCGTGGGTGCCCCAAAATTAAAAAATGATGTGGATCATCTTCCCGTAAGGATTACTATGTCATAAGCTCAAAGACTGTAACAGCAGGTTATCTAGGTTCTCTACTAACAGACAAGAAATCAAGGCCAATGAGTGTGGTGATTTACCCAAGGTCACACAGCACCTCTATGGCTAAGACACATTTAGAATGCCCCACCCTGTGTTGACTTTCATTCCAATTCTCTTTTCACTCACTACACAGAGCTGAAAACCCCCACTTACTGAGTAAACTACAAGATCCACGTAACACTTTATTATTATCAAAGAAATATGAAACCATATGGAAATGATTTTGAAATATGCCCATTTATCTCCTTAGACATAATCCTTTTTGATAACTTTCAAACTGACTTAAATTGTTGAGGCTACATATGGATCTTGGTCTCATAAAAAATAAGCACTAAAATTTAGTTGAGTTGAGGTTGAGTTTAGAGTTAGTGCTGGTCATGCCACCCTAAGCTTCCAAGTATCATTCAGTCCCATCTTGTTTCCTGCTTTGGGGTTATTTAACAGGTCATTCGTGAGTTATTACATAACTGGAACAAAAGCAAGATAGAATCAAAAGGATACTTAGAGCTGGAGTGACATCAGAAACTGATGCAACCTCCTTATTGTCAGGACGGGAAAAGGCAAGTCTGGGAAGCAATATAACACAATGGAATCCAGCAAAAGAATGGGGCAGACTGGGCAGAGGTCACAGCTGTGATCCTTTGTACTGTAGTATGGCACCGAGTAGACTATTTTAAAACTTTGAACCTCAGAATCCTCATCTGCAGAATGAAGAAAATCATAGCTTCTCTATTTGTCTTAAAGATTACACATAGGCCGGGCGCGGTGGCTCACGCCTGTAATCCCAGCACTTTGGGAGGCCGAGGCGGGCGGATCACGAGGTCAGGAGATCGAGACCATCCTGGCTAACACGGTGAAACCCCGTCTCTACTAAAAATACAAAAAATTAGCCGGGCGTGGTAGCGGGCGCCTGTAGTCCCAGCTACTCGGGAGGCTGAGGCAGGAGAATGGCGTGAACCCGGGAGGCGGAGCTTGCAGTGAGCCGAGATCGCGCCACTGCACTCCAGCCTGGGCGACAGAGCGAGACTCCGTCTCAAAAAAAAAAAAAAAAAAAAAAAGATTACACATAATAAAATATACTCCACAGTACCTGGCATATAGTATGCATTCACTAAGCATAGATACAATTTAGTCCTAGTTCTGCTCCCTTAATTTATGCATTGATTTTCTCATCTATACAGTGGATATTTTTCTTCTTGTCTGTGTTACAAAGTAGTTTTGTGAACACAGTGAGGTAATGTCCAGATTTTTATGCTTTGAGCTTCAGCTCAAATTCTACCTCAAAGCTTTCAGCACCTGCCAGAGTGGGAATTAATGATTCCCTCTTCCATGTTCTCTAGCTCATGTCTGTATCCTGATCCAGCTGATATCTTGCTTTCTCCTATATTTGATTTTGTTTATGTCCATTGCATACATTCCTCGAGCTGAGGGGTATTTGCTTTCTCTCCCTGACAGCCCAAATAACCTTACACAGAGTGGATGATCAGAAAATGTGTGGGCTTTGCCCTGAATGCATTTTGAACAACTCCATTGCTACGCATATAAAAAGTATTCGGGAATTACAATTATAGAGTTGAACTGAGTTCTTAAGAAGCAGTGAGGATTTCGGTTTTGGTTCCCCCGACCCCCTCCCCACTGGGGAGGGAAATGGGACGAGTACAAAAAGAAAAGCAAACCTCTAATCTTAGCATGAAGACATCTGCTGTTTACATTGGTCATTTGTCTCAGAGGTCAAAATACAGTTCTATCATCGTCCTTATGGCAATCGTGATGACAACCTAACAGCCAGGAAGTAGCCTCTCATTTTACTCTTGGTAGCTCTGAGGAACAACAAAAGCTTGTGGTGCATGTTCAAACCCTGAGCCCCCGTGGGACATCTGTAGTTAAAGAGTCCTTCCTATTAGCTCTTTGGATAGTGGGCGGTAGTCCCTGAGACCAGATGAAGGACTGTTGTGCTCTTGGGCCCTTCTGTGCCTCAGTTTTTCTCTCTGAGTGATGGGAATAATCATCTTGTTCTCCATGACTCTAACTTGAAACATTGCAACTACTAGGAAAAAAATGAGCAATGAATGTCAAAGCTGACTGAGGTGGTACTGGAGGACTACACTCCGAAGCAGAGCCAAGTGTGATAAATATAACAATACCTAATATTTATTAAGGGCTTGTTCCATGTAAGAAACTCTCCTAAGCACACTATGTATATTCATTCAATTCTTAAAAGAACTCTATGAGAAAGTCCTGGTTTTACAGAGGAGGAAACTGAGGTACAGAAAAGTTAAGTGAAAAGCCACACAACTAGTAAGCGTCAGACCTTGGATTGGTACCCCATAGTCAGATGCCACAGGCCACTCTTAATTATGTTGCTGTATGGTCCTCCTATATGCATCTCTTTAATTTTGTGCCTAGCGCAATGTTTTCCATGTAATATGTGCTCAATATATATTTGTTGGATTGAAGTGACTCTAATACAACTTGAGCATGGTTGATAAATCTCTCCCTTCTTCCCTTCCTTCCAGCTGCACCTCCAGTTCCTCTATTAAGATACTTACCTTTTAATGGTGTTTCTTCAATTGGGAGCTACAGACACTTAGAGATCCTCAATTTAATCTTTAAAATTTTTATAATAAAAGATAAACACATTCTGGATCATTGGGATGACCATCTCATGCCAAGTACTGCCTCTTGATTGCAGCACCTGTGTGTACTAGTCTTTGGCAGCAAGAGTTACCACTTCACTTGCTATGCTAATAAGAGAGAAACAGCACAAATACCTAAATAATGTATTAGAGTCAAGAGAAACCCATTGCAATGACATATGGTGTGGGCAAAGGAGATATGGTAGATGGAACGAAGGAAAGAGGTGAGAGAATTGAGTCTGCATTGGGCACCTCACACATCATGAGAGTGGCAGAGCCACAGGGAAGTCAAAGGTACTGACGCCTCAGCTGTCAGTACCATGCAATGCTGATAGTAGTCCAGGAAACGTTACTAATTTCAATTTTATTATTCTGGAAGAAAATTTTTATAAATCTGTTTTGGTTTTATTTGCGAGTTGTTCAAAAGCTGTAACATAAGTTTATATCTGGTTTTGTGTCTGTGTGTGTTTTGAGACAGGGTCTTGGTCTGTCACCCAGGTTGGAGTGCAGTGGTGATCATAGCTCATTGCAACCTCCACCTCCTGGGCTCAAGCCATCCTCCCACCTCAGCCTCCCAAATAGCTGAGACCACAGGCGTGTGCCACCACAACTGGCTAGGTTTTTTGTATTTTTTATAGAGATGGGGTTTTGCCATGTTGCCCAGGCTGGTCTCAAACTCCTAAGTTCAAGCAATCTGCCCACTTTGGTCTTCCAAAGTGCTACGATTACAGGCGTGAGCCACTGAGCCTGGCCTATGTCTCTATATATTAATGTGACATTTTAAAAGAAAACAATTGAAGCTAAGCTAAGAAAAATTTGCCCTTAAAATGGTGGAAAATATCAGTTTCCTTTCTATTTAAGAAATACCAGGCCGGGAGCAGTGACTCACGCGTGTAATACTTGCTGAGAAGGGAGGATACTTGAGCCCAGGAGGTCTACGCTGCAGTGAGCTATGATCCTGCTACTGCACTCCAGAATGAGCTACAGAGGGAGTACTTGTCTTGAAAATAAAATAAAAGAAAAGACCACACAATAATGTGTTCAGGGCTTTCTCATGTAAAAGTAATTGCAAACACCAACGTATTAGGCATATCAGTAACACCTTGGTGTGAAATAGCACTTTAGACCTTCCCTTTCTGAGAGTAGACTTTGATAGGAGAAAGGAAAGCTAAGTAGCTTGATAGAAAGCATGGCTCAGTGCAAAATCTTGTCCTACCATTCAGTAGCTGTGTGATTTTGGGCAAGTCATAAAACCTCTCCAAACCTCCTGTTCCTTATAAAAATTAGTGTAATCTCTGCACCTTCTTCACCACAATGGCCTATATGTAAAGCTCTTGACCGAAAACGCTCAATACACAGTAATCTATACTAAATAGGAAGGCTCTAACACTAGGACCTTAAATGGCAAGGTCTCCAGCCTGGTTAGGAGAGGACTCCCCGCACACCCCCCTACCCTGGCCCCCAACCACCACCACCAAGATAACGACCGCTTGGAGTGATTCAGGGAAGTAGGCCCACTGGACAAGGAGGTGGCTCCACCAGCTGGTGCCCCGATGAAGAACTGAGGCCAGTGGGCTCCCCAGCCACCGCCGCTCAGAAGCTGCCAAGCACCCCCGGTGCTTTGGGCCCCACGCACAGCACTGAGTGCTGTAAGGAAATGCAAAGCATTGGTGGCCCTGCCATGGGAATACAGGTTTCTGTTCTTTGGAGGCACCGGAGAAACTAGGAGTTCGGTCAGCACCTTAAGGCGCTAAAAGTGTACGTGGGGGTGGGGCGCACACAGGTTCTGAACCAATTCTTCAAATTTGCCCAGGGCTCCCCATACACCAGGTGTGGCCCGCGTCCCTAGTTCTAGGCTGTTGGGGGAGGGGTCGCCTTTTGTAGGGGACCTGGTCTTTTTGCGAGCTGGCAGCGTGCTCCCAGCAGCGAAGGCCGTAGTCTCGCTCAGGAGGCCGCGCGCCAGACCCGGGGATGCGCGGTGTTCAAAGGGTGACGGCGCGCGGGTCCCGGGCAGGAGAGCCCGCCAGAGCCGGTGCTGCCTGGCGCCGAGAGGCCCGGACTGGCGACTGCTGCCGCGCCACCGGGGCCCACCTGCGCAGGGACGCTCGGCCTCAGGCCCTCTGGGCTGCTCCACCCTGCTCCGGCCGCAGGCGAGCGGCGAGGGGAGGGGGGCACGGTTTATGTGCAGTGGGGCGGGCGGCGTCCGCGCGGCTTCCCCGAGGCCGGAGGCGGGGCGGGCGGGCCTCGGGTGGCGCGGGGGGCGGACCCGCCAGCTGCCTGCGCTGCTCGCCAGCTTGCTCGCACTCGGCTGTGCGGCGGGGCAGGCATGGGAGCCGCGCGCTCTCTCCCGGCGCCCACACCTGTCTGAGCGGCGCAGCGAGCCGCGGCCCGGGCGGGCTGCTCGGCGCGGGTGAGTGCGGGCACCGACTGGGGCATCCGCCCGGGCGCGGGAGAGGCGAGGCGCCGGGAGGAGCGGGACAAAGGGCCGGGTATGCGCGGGGTAGGGTAACTGCGGGCTGCCGGAGGCACCGCAGGACTTCGCCAGGGCAGTCCTCGGGGTTCCAGGACACGGGCTGGGGGCCTGAAGGAGCTCTGGGGAGACGGCGGGGGCTGCAGGTCATTTGGATTCATGCAGTGTCACCCATGAAACGGATGGGGAAAGAAGATCCTGCTGTCTTGGGTGCAGGATGTTGGTTGGGAAGCAGAGAGAGCCGGCTCTCGGCAAGCTGTCCTTCGGCGGGGGCGATGGCTACACCCCCATGCACCCCCCCAACACACCACCACCACTACTTCTTTTCCTTGAGTTTTGCATATACCGGATTCCATCAAGTTCTGAATATTAAGTTTTAACCCTGGGCATGTGATTGTGAACACACCTAAGCAAGCAAGAGAAGTGCAAAAGTGCAGCAAATACAGGCTGGGAAATAGAATCTTTTCTCCGGAGTGGTTGTCCGTGTGCGTTCCGGGGGTGCTAACCCTAGACACTACAGTCTGAACTAACAACAGTTGTTGTAAGCAAATAGTTCTTCTGCCTGTAGGCATTCATCACGAGTTAACTTTTAAATAAAAGTTTTAAAGTTTTAAAAGGAGCGGGAGAAGACTTGTTCAGATGAAGGAACACCACCACTCCTCTCCAGAATACAAATTAGGTTTGCTTTCCAGCACCTCAGGAGAAAGCAGCTGATAAAAATCCTGTTTGTTTTACTGCCCACTGGGTGACACCAGTAAGAATTAAGCAGCTCAGTGTAGGTATTGGAATAGGGCTTGCTTCTCTCAGCTCCTGAAACTAAATTTGAGGGCTCCCTGTGCACTCCTTAGGAACAGGTAGGCCAGTGCCAGAATCCTCATCACATGGTCATGTGAGAAAGAATTGAATTTATAGATGAGGTCAGCTGTGGTCAAAAGCCCTATGTCAAAGTAGTATCAGGATATTTATTGCATGTTGTTTCAAGATCCTACTTGTGCATGCGAGTATTTGTGACAGGTTTATAACCGTGCCTACCATGAAGTCTGTCAGGAGTGGATTGGAGGTGAAGTGGGGAGAAGGAACTTAGAAAATGCCCCCAGAAGCCACTATGTTTATTTGTGAAAGTGTTTGCACCCCATCTGCGTACGAAAAGGTTGTTTCACTTGCAGTTTTCCTAGTTAAATAAAGTCAAGCGGTAACTTGTCCTTTCCTGTGCCTGAACTGGGAAGGAAGCCTTTTTCCAAGGTGCCTAATATGGATCTCATTTTTGTAACACTGACGACTTATTCAGCTGGATGGTTAACATGGATGCATTTTCTGGTTGTAGCATAAGTGTCCATTAATGCATCTGAGAACATTTTTGTCCCCAGTCTGCAATGGTTAATAGTCTCAGGTTCTCCCAGTAACTCTTCTCATAGATCCCTTAGGATTTCATCCACCAGGCATTATTCATGCCTAACTCCCACAGACTCCAGGGAATTTGTTTCTCATGTTCTCAATATTAGCAGGTTTTTTTGCACTCTGTTCTTGTTCTGCCAGGTTTGTCCCAGGCTCAATTTAGTTTACCTGAAATCCGATAGAGAAGAGGCTAAACTTCATTTGACCACAAGATTGTGTTTAGGGTTGCTTGGACTTGTAAGTGCCTTGTAGTTTCCTGTACAAGACTGTAATTCTTAAACGATTATGTGATTAGGTCTGTTTTGCCTTAATAGGGTCTGTGATTCAGGAAAACGAGAACAAGCCCGACTGCAGAGTATTCACAGAGCTTGGTTCATTCTTAAGCATTTGCTTTAGGATTTAGCATGATTTCACCGTTCCATATCACTGACCACTGATTCCATGGAAGACCCTTTGTCATCTCTCCAAATGGTGTCCAAAACCTGTATCTTTGCAAACTTTCCTGCCGTTTCTTTCTGTCATTACTGTTTATAGCGGCTGCAGGAATTCACAATTTGTACAATAGAGAATACATGACCTAAGGATTAGGTTTTCCCTCCCAGCACTTGTTTGCTATAGGAGTTAAATCATTCTCTCAAACAGTGGCCCTCTTGAGGAGACCTGTGTTGTTGCAGTTTTCAAGACTAAGGTGCCGTGCAGGAGACAGTAGTCACTGCATCCAGTCTCCAAAGAGATTGTTGTTTGCATATCTGTTAATTATGCAAAGTCCCACCACCAAGGGCCTATGAAGTGGCAGCATCCTCAAAAAGTATAAATATTTTCAGACAGTGGCTCATATTGAGTGATGGAGGGTGGACTGTGTAACCTATTTATGAATCAGATACCCAAAGCTGGAAAAGGAATAGTTTCTGTATTACTAAGCATGGTGAAAAAATATTTTCTTACCTTCATTTTCCATTCTTCCCTGCCAGTTAGGTGAAATGATGCACGGAAACACTTGGTTGGAAACCTTAAAAGATAATTTATGTATACCAGGAATCTTTATTCAGCAAAAGTTTATTCCTAGAAATGAAACGTTATAGACCTAAATTTTCTTCATCCAGACTTAGGTAAAAGGGTGAGATTTGAAAATCTTCATTCCATTTTTAAGGTGTGAGTCTTCCAGGCAGCTCTGCAAGGATAAGGTGATTCATTTATAAGGGTGAGAGAGAATTTAAAATCATGTAACTCATTAGTTACCTTTCCAGGTGTGGGATTATGAATGTTTTCATTACATCTGTTTATACCTTAGATGAGTGTTTATGTTTAAGTAAACTTAAACAGGTATAGCACAGGCTTACCCAGGGTTTATACAGATGGTAACAATAATTATTTGTCTTCTAAGGAATTACTCCATTATCATGTGAGTTGAGAAATGAATGTAAATCCACCAACCTAATTTTAAAGCATCACAGTTTTGCATCATTTGTTGTTTTATTAATGCGGATGAGTCAGGGCAGGCTGCGAATGCCTCAGGAAAGACCCTTAATGGACAGGAGGGTTGTTTCCCCCTCAGGCTTTTCTTTGGGGCCTGTCTTAAGAGCATACACACACAGCCATCCCTCCACTCAGTTCTTGAAAGCTGCCTTCTGCTGGAGTCACAATTTGTACAATAGAGAATATATGACCTAAGGATTAGGTTTTCCCTCCCAGCACTTGTTTGCTATAGGAGTTAAATCATTCTCTCAAACAGTGGTCCTGTTGCAGACTGATCAGGGAAATCTTGTCTGCCAGATAGATGAGAAATTAGCATGATTCATTTTCCTTTTCCTTTTCCTTTCCCCCTCCTTTGCCTCCACCCTCCATAATTCCATGAATCAATGGTCCTGAGAAGTAAATGATAGTACAGACACTATAGTCAGCATCGTCCCTGACCTGGACTTACGTGATTCTGGAAAATTATAATATTAGGGAATCCTGGACCTAAAGACCAGAGCTAAAAAGACCAGCTAAAGCAATCATCTGGTTGAGGATGCTATTCAGAAGAATTTCTAAAGCACCCTAAATAAACATTTGGTAAAGGACTAAGCAACTTAAGAAGCTTGTAGCTTTAATACAGACATCAGTTTAAACCCATTTAAGGGCTTGAGAACCCACAGCTGTATCTTCTAATTTCTGATTAGATATTTTAAAAATATCTAAGCCTAATCAGTTTGAAGTAATTTGATGGGCATTAGTTTCTAAAAGTCTGCATTCATTTCTAAATCTGAATTAAACTTTTTTAAATGCAATTTTATAACTTTTAGCGTTACATGGAAGCTTTAAGCAAGATATATAATGCTGTCAGAACAAAGTCTTATCACACAAGTTAGTAAATAGGGTTTAGTAATGTGGAGAACTTGGAAGCAGAGTTGCAAACTAATAGAAATTAGGACTTATTAAGTCTCTGAAAAATTTATTCTTCAAAGTTAAAGCTTCACACTGTCCTGTTGGGTTAGCAGTTTGTTTTTTTCTTATAGATGGCTGGCTTCTCCTTCACTCCTGGCTAAATGAACAGAATTCAAGTTGTAAGAACTCTGAATTAGTAATATTCTATCATGCAGTAGACTCTTTAGCATTCTCTAACAGGATTCTGTGATTCATAACTGATCCCAAAGTTTCTTGAGACATAATCATTCATCATTTTGCCAAAGAATACATTTGATCCTCTATATTGAGAGGTTGGAGTAAGGCTGTGGCTCATGAAAGAGGATATTGTAACTGCCATGTTCTTCATGCACATTGAAAATATTATCTGTAGCTGATGATAATACATACTATAATACTACCTCATCTCCTACTCTTTCTCCCCCAAGAATCGTATTTTAAAAACAAGAACGCTTGGCAGGTTGGACCTCCGCATTCTGTGTTTTCTTTCTTAAGATAAGCTGAAGTAAAACTTGGCTTACCATGTGCTCAATGTAAGTCACATTAACATTCCCCACATTACTCAAAGGGAGGAGAGAATGGTGCGTTGAAGCCCAAGATACAGCCATGTGGGAGATATATGACTCCTCCTAGTCCCTGTCACATTTGGCAGGGATTCTGGTGTGAGTGGGGCATTTAGTCACCTAGACAGCAACTTATATAGAGAAAAGGCTGCTCAAGTCCTCGATAAGCCCAAGGGATGACTCCTTAGCCAGTAGGTGGGAATAATCAGAACCATGCCCCACAGATCTCCTAAAGGGTTGTCATCACCACACCCATTTCACTGCCAAGTTCTCCATTGGAGAGGAGGACTCAGCTAGCATTGGCATCCCCTTCCTAGTCCACTTAAAACCTTTAGTCTTGGCAATATTCCCAACAAGCACATACAAACACGTGTGTGCACATATGCGGGCACCCCATGTTTTCAAGGATTTAAAGAAATAATTAAATGTATTTCCTTCCTACAAAAGGGCTCAGGGACCCTTCCTATTTGGAAAGATGGAGACAAGTAGAATTTCAAGGAATTAGGGAGTCCCAAGGAACTGGCTTTTCCAGGACCTTATTTCTTTCTTTTCCTATCCCTATTCTCCCTGACTGAAGTGGAAGCCAAGAGAAAAAGTCAAGCAAAAAGGTCCCAGAGGTGGGTGGGGCACACACATATGTTAGAAACACAGTGTGGATATTGGGAATGAGAATGGGCATGCTCAGCTATACTACATCAGATCATTGGGATTTTCTACTTTTATATAAAAGGGAGCAAAAGGCACCCAAAGTTGCCAGTAGATCTGTACTTTCAAACAGGAAGAGAATGAGAATAACAAAACAGTTTCTTCCTAACTTCTGCTGTGTTCCCAGAGCCTCTTGAGACCCACCCCTTCCGGGTCCTTGTTTTTGGATGCTTGGTTGTGAATGAGTTACCCTACCTGCTGAGTCAGCTTCTATTGAACCAGAAGAGTCAGAGCCACTGAGAGCCAACTGATGCTTAAACATTTATGAAAGCACTTTCAGTATTCCTCGTTGTTGTTTTTCTTGTGGGATGATTGATCTGGGCATTTAAACATACCTTGCAGTATAAAATCCAAACTTCTTTGTTTAGTACACATAGCACTTCACAATCTAGCTCTTGCCTGCTGCCTCCACCACTTCCTCTACTCCACCCTTGCTGAGCTAAGTGTGATTCCCCAAATTACTCACATGGTTGCATGTTGCTGTGCCCTTGCACAGACTCTTGTTTCCCTTCCCTAAGTATCCCCTTCTCTCTGTCTTATGTTATCAGACTTCTTTTCTACTTCAGCACCCATCTGAAACATCAGGTGATGCCTGGAAAATTTCTAGGCAATTTGTTCATTTAGAGGGTAAATTTAAATTACATAGCTTACTGAATGACCGAAGCATCAAGGAGGGACAGCTCCACGGTGTCACCTTTACTAGGACTCCTATTGCTTCTAAATGGTGGGTACATTTGAAAAGAACGGGTGCATTTGCCAAATAATACATTTGGTCCTCTATATTGAGAGGTTGGAGCGAGGCTGTGGCATACTATTTCTCAAGCATCACTTCTCCTAGAAGGCCTCTCTTGTTCTTACTCCCACAATTGGCCTCAAGCTGTTTCTCTGAGCTACCGCATCATCCATGTACATCATTGTCATTAGCGTCAGCATGCAACATTCATTCACTTTTCCATTAATACAAGCATCCATTTAACAAATCTTTGTCGAGTGCTAGCACAGGCCCAAATTTAAGAGATTTAGTTGGTAATACAGATATAAACAACTGAAAAAGTAACCAATGGTAACAGTTCATAGTGTTATAGCTGATGCAATATTAGAGCTTTAGATATTGACAAAGATCCTGGTAGTGTACAACATAATCCAAAGGAAGAAGGAATATTTTATTAGAAGCCTAGCCACTCTGGAACTCAATATATATAATAGTAAAGGTTGTTGTAAATTCAAAGCAAAAAACAAAACAAAACAAAAAATCTCATACCCTTTCTCGAGTGCACCATCATTTAAAAACCACAGGAGTGGTGGTAATTGTGACACTGTGGAGCTGTCCTTCTTTGATGTCTCAGTCACTCAGTAAGCCATGTAATTTAAATTGACCCTCTGAGTGACCAAGTTGCTCTGAAAATTTTCCAAGTACATGTTACAATGAGAATGAGAGAAGGAGGAGGGAAAGGCGGGGACATCATGAAGGTAGAAGAGGAGGAGGTTTAGAATCAAGCACAAAGAGGGCTCAAAATTACGTGGAAATTGGGGCTGGTCAGTCAGTTAGCCAGGGGACTAATGACTTTATGCCTGCTACTCTGCAGTCTACCATCATTAGGGACATCTTAAACATAGAAAGGAAGGAACACCCAATTTCACTTCAGGCACCCAGCCACAGGAACTTTCCTAAGGTTGAGCCTTTGCGTTGAAAGTGAGACCGTTATCTAAGGATTCCTCTCCACACCCTGATTCCTGAGGAGTGTTCAAAGACTCAGAAACAATGACAGGCCTGCTGCTGAGCTTTGCTGTCTGCAGTAAATGAACGTTCAGCCCTTGCCCTCCTGACCTGCTTGTCTTTGTTTCTACAGAACAGTGCTCGGCATGGCAGGGATTCCAGGGCTCCTCTTCCTTCTCTTCTTTCTGCTCTGTGCTGTTGGGCAAGTGAGCCCTTACAGTGCCCCCTGGAAACCCACTTGGCCTGCATACCGCCTCCCTGTCGTCTTGCCCCAGTCTACCCTCAATTTAGCCAAGCCAGACTTTGGAGCCGAAGCCAAATTAGAAGTATCTTCTTCATGTGGACCCCAGTGTCATAAGGGAACTCCACTGCCCACTTACGAAGAGGCCAAGCAATATCTGTCTTATGAAACGCTCTATGCCAATGGCAGCCGCACAGAGACGCAGGTGGGCATCTACATCCTCAGCAGTAGTGGAGATGGGGCCCAACACCGAGACTCAGGGTCTTCAGGAAAGTCTCGAAGGAAGCGGCAGATTTATGGCTATGACAGCAGGTTCAGCATTTTTGGGAAGGACTTCCTGCTCAACTACCCTTTCTCAACATCAGTGAAGTTATCCACGGGCTGCACCGGCACCCTGGTGGCAGAGAAGCATGTCCTCACAGCTGCCCACTGCATACACGATGGAAAAACCTATGTGAAAGGAACCCAGAAGCTTCGAGTGGGCTTCCTAAAGCCCAAGTTTAAAGATGGTGGTCGAGGGGCCAACGACTCCACTTCAGCCATGCCCGAGCAGATGAAATTTCAGTGGATCCGGGTGAAACGCACCCATGTGCCCAAGGGTTGGATCAAGGGCAATGCCAATGACATCGGCATGGATTATGATTATGCCCTCCTGGAACTCAAAAAGCCCCACAAGAGAAAATTTATGAAGATTGGGGTGAGCCCTCCTGCTAAGCAGCTGCCAGGGGGCAGAATTCACTTCTCTGGTTATGACAATGACCGACCAGGCAATTTGGTGTATCGCTTCTGTGACGTCAAAGACGAGACCTATGACTTGCTCTACCAGCAATGCGATGCCCAGCCAGGGGCCAGCGGGTCTGGGGTCTATGTGAGGATGTGGAAGAGACAGCAGCAGAAGTGGGAGCGAAAAATTATTGGCATTTTTTCAGGGCACCAGTGGGTGGACATGAATGGTTCCCCACAGGATTTCAACGTGGCTGTCAGAATCACTCCTCTCAAATATGCCCAGATTTGCTATTGGATTAAAGGAAACTACCTGGATTGTAGGGAGGGGTGACACAGTGTTCCCTCCTGGCAGCAATTAAGGGTCTTCATGTTCTTATTTTAGGAGAGGCCAAATTGTTTTTTGTCATTGGCGTGCACACGTGTGTGTGTGTGTGTGTGTGTGTGTAAGGTGTCTTATAATCTTTTACCTATTTCTTACAATTGCAAGATGACTGGCTTTACTATTTGAAAACTGGTTTGTGTATCATATCATATATCATTTAAGCAGTTTGAAGGCATACTTTTGCATAGAAATAAAAAAAATACTGATTTGGGGCAATGAGGAATATTTGACAATTAAGTTAATCTTCACGTTTTTGCAAACTTTGATTTTTATTTCATCTGAACTTGTTTCAAAGATTTATATTAAATATTTGGCATACAAGAGATATGAATTCTTATATGTGTGCATGTGTGTTTTCTTCTGAGATTCATCTTGGTGGTGGGTTTTTTTGTTTTTTTAATTCAGTGCCTGATCTTTAATGCTTCCATAAGGCAGTGTTCCCATTTAGGAACTTTGACAGCATTTGTTAGGCAGAATATTTTGGATTTGGAGGCATTTGCATGGTAGTCTTTGAACAGTAAAATGATGTGTTGACTATACTGATACACATATTAAACTATACCTTATAGTAAACCAGTATCCCAAGCTGCTTTTAGTTCCAAAAATAGTTTCTTTTCCAAAGGTTGTTGCTCTACTTTGTAGGAAGTCTTTGCATATGGCCCTCCCAACTTTAAAGTCATACCAGAGTGGCCAAGAGTGTTTATCCCAACCCTTCCATTTAACAGGATTTCACTCACATTTCTGGAACTAGCTATTTTTCAGAAGACAATAATCAGGGCTTAATTAGAACAGGCTGTATTTCCTCCCAGCAAACAGTTGTGGCCACACTAAAAACAATCATAGCATTTTACCCCTGGATTATAGCACATCTCATGTTTTATCATTTGGATGGAGTAATTTAAAATGAATTAAATTCCAGAGAACAATGGAAGCATTGCCTGGCAGATGTCACAACAGAATAACCACTTGTTTGGAGCCTGGCACAGTCCTCCAGCCTGATCAAAAATTATTCTGCATAGTTTTCAGTGTGCTTTCTGGGAGCTATGTACTTCTTCAATTTGGAAACTTTTCTCTCTCATTTATAGTGAAAATACTTGGAAGTTACTTTAAGAAAACCAGTGTGGCCTTTTTCCCTCTAGCTTTAAAAGGGCCGCTTTTGCTGGAATGCTCTAGGTTATAGATAAACAATTAGGTATAATAGCAAAAATGAAAATTGGAAGAATGCAAAATGGATCAGAATCATGCCTTCCAATAAAGGCCTTTACACATGTTTTATCAATATGATTATCAAATCACAGCATATACAGAAAAGACTTGGACTTATTGTATGTTTTTATTTTATGGCTCTCGGCCTAAGCACTTCTTTCTAAATGTATCGGAGAAAAAATCAAATGGACTACAAGCACGTGTTTGCTGTGCTTGCACCCCAGGTAAACCTGCATTGTAGCAATTTGTAAGGATATTCAGATGGAGCACTGTCACTTAGACATTCTCTGGGGGATTTTCTGCTTGTCTTTCTTGAGCTTTTTGGAAGGATAATTCTGATAAGGCACTCAAGAAACGTACAACCACAGTGCTTTCTTCAAATCATATGAGAAATACTATGCATAGCAAGGAGATGCAGAGCCGCCAGGAAAATTCTGAGTTCCAGCACAATTTTCTTTGGAATCTAACAGGAATCTAGCCTGAGGAAGAAGGGAGGTCTCCATTTCTATGTCTGGTATTTGGGGGTTTTGTTTGTTTTTGCTTTAGCTTGGTGAAAAAAAGTTCACTGAACACCAAGACCAGAATGGATTTTTTTAAAAAAATAGATGTTCCTTTTGTGAAGCACCTTGATTCCTTGATTTTGATTTTTTGCAAAGTTAGACAATGGCACAAAGTCAAAATGAAATCAATGTTTAGTTCACAAGTAGATGTAATTTACTAAAGAATGATACACCCATATGCTATATACAGCTTAACTCACAGAACTGTAAAAGAAAATTATAAAATAATTCAACATGTCCATCTTTTTAGTGATAATAAAAGAAAGCATGGTATTAAACTATCATAGAAGTAGACAGAAAAAGAAAAAAGGACTCATGGCATTATTAATATAATTAGTGCTTTACATGTGTTAGTTATACATATTAGAAGCATATTTGCCTAGTAAGGCTAGTAGAACCACATTTCCCAAAGTGTGCTCCTTAAACACTCATGCCTTATGATTTTCTACCAAAAGTAAAAAGGGTTGTATTAAGTCAGAGGAAGATGCCTCTCCATTTTCCCTCTCTTTATCAGAGGTTCACATGCCTGTCTGCACATTAAAAGCTCTGGGAAGACCTGTTGTAAAGGGACAAGTTGAGGTTGTAAAATCTGCATTTAAATAAACATCTTTGATCACAAAACCCTTGTTTTCTCATATAATGCCTATAAGCAATCTGGTGTTCTACTAAATACATTCTGGGGATCTCTGTAACAGCCTTTTGGTTGAGGTGGTAATGTAGAAAGAATGATGAGTCCGAGTGGGGTCAGGTGTCTGTGCCTTTAGGGTTTAACCAGACCCTATAACCAGGATTTGGAAATCTTCACAGCGTGAAATTAGAAGTAATAAATTTGAAAATTATCTGTCGCTGAGAATCAGAAGTTTGTGGCAGAACTGGGGACACATGTTTTACATAGACTTTACTCCAAATTTTGAATTTTGAAAAGGAGATAGTGTTTTTAAAAGGTGGGAAAATAGCCTTAAAGGGGTAAAGAAATAGGAGCAGAGTTGTATGTGTAATCTTTCTTTTTACTGTTTTTGGACCAAAAAGGGATTGAAATACCAAGGTCATGCTCCCAATTCCCTGTTCTTTGTGTAGCTCAGTCTACCTGCTTGGGGAGATGGGAAGTACCTGGTGATGCCTGGATCATGTATTCAAGGAATCACTCTTTCTCTAACAAACCCCACAGGAGGTCTTTAATGCAGAACTTGTTAAGAATGACTAAGCCTGCCCTGGAATGATGACTCTAGGCTGCTGTCTGCTAACTGAAGGGTAAATGGCAGCCATCCAGTGAGTCCAGAGGAATTCTGACAGTGATCCCCAACACTCACTGAGGGCTTCCTTCTTACTTTGCCTGGGTTCTGCTGCTGTTCATGTCTGCACTTTTTCTTTGTTCTTGTCATGAACCAGCTCAGGTATGCCTTGAAGTTGCCTCTGACCATTGATTTCTATGGATGTTTGATAAGGCAGCCATTTCATTTATCATTCAGAATGGGATTCTTTTGAGAATGCTATGACTAATGAAGCTGGGGCAGCAGGTGTAAGCCAGGTATGTCTTGGCCAACAAGCATGTTTGGTCACTTAATTATTAACCTTTCAAAGCTCTGTATAGCGTGCAGACTGGCAGCCATCCTTGCTAATCTAGGAACAAAGGTGGGGCTGCAGCTCCCTGCGTTTCTCCTCTCTGGGCTTCCATTGTGATTCCTGTGATACCTTCTTTGCCTGGCTCAGCATTCTGAGGGCCTCCAATAGGGGAAGGGCATTTAAAAATCCTTTTGATGGGGTGGGGTCATCGTACATACATGGCAGACATGAGGCCATTTCTGGGCGATCAACAACACATCTGTTTTTAGTCTGGGGTTCCCCCCGGAGGAGGAAATAAACCAGCTTCCAGAACAAGAGTAAACAGGGGTTGGCCGGGCATGGTGGCTCATGTCTGTAATCCTAGCACTTTGGGAGGCTGAGGCAGGTGGATCACTTGAGGTGAGGAGCTCCAGACCAGCCCTGCTAACATGCTGAAACCCCGTCACTACTAAAAATACAAAAATTGGCCGGGCATGGTGGCGCATGCCTGTAATCCCAGCTGCTAGGGAAGCTAAGGCAGGAGAATCGCTTGAAACTAGGAGTCGGAGATTGCAATGAGCCAAAATTATGCCACTGCACTCCAGCCTAGGCAACAGAGTGAGACTCTGTCTCAAAAAAAAAAAAAAAAAGAAAAAGAAAAAGAAAAAAGAAAGGGTAAACAGGATTGAGAGCTGAGATAGCAGCCTGGTATGGGAAGATGATGGCCTTGGAGTTGGGCAGACTGATTCCACAGTTGTCTAGTTCCTTATGGCAAATAAATCCCAATGCATTGTGGTTTAAAATTTAAACCCTCCTATATGATTTAAAGATCCTCCCTCTTCTGGGTTCCAGCTTCTCAGTGGGCTCATTTGAAGCTGAGGAAGAGAGAAAGGAGACAGGCATATTTATCTGACTCATTGCAGTGATGTTCTCTCTTCATTGCTTGCTGCTTCTCAGATAACACCAGCTCTTCTACCCTCCTTAGCCCTTAACTATGGTGATATAACCCTCTGTCTCCTGCGCACCTTTATCTAACAGATAGCTGTCTCAAGTACACAGCCAGCAAGATGCTTCAAGCCCAGTCATCTTGTTTCCTATTTGCATAACCCACAAGAAACTCATAGGCTTGCTATACCTGTGTGTTAGTGGCTTATTGAGAATTTGGGAGGGAATATGTTTGAGCCTCAACAAACTGAAGTGCAAGGGCCCCTGGCAGTATCAAATTTGTTCTGTTTAAGAGACAGATGGGGAAGAGTTCAAAAAGATAGATTCCAGCCAGCTCATATAGAAATTAAGGATTCTGTCAAGGTCTTTTTAATTCATCTTACTTGCTGGGGGATACAGTCAAAGGACTTTAAGTAGGAGCCCTGGTGGGGCCTAATCAGGACCGACTTATCCATGAAGGGACAGTAGGCACAGTGTCTAGGGCCCACAGCAGTTTCAGAGATCACACAGAAATATTTATTTTAAAATCAGAAGAAGAAAGTTAATTTTTAAGCCTAATAAAATGTGTTAATATAATGTTAATATATTTATATTAACAGCCATAAAATATAATTTTTAATATTTTTTAATGGAGAAGGAGACTTATGAAGGCAAAAGTGCTTAGGGCCCACAAAAATCAAAATGCAGCCCTGAAACTCATTCATATTTGACAATATCTCTTTGGATGCTAAATGGAGAATGGATTTTAGGCAGTGGCAATGGGAAAACTAGTAATCCAGGTAAGAAATGGCAGTGACTTTGACTTTGGAAGTAGAGGATATTGAATAGTGGTCATATCTGGAAGAGTATATATTTGAAAGTAGAGCCAACATGAATAGGTGTGGTAAAGGAGGAATCAAGAATGACTGCTTGGCTTGGGGCCTGAGCATCCACAGAGATTCCAGGTGCCATTTGCTGAGATGGGAAAGACTAAAGGAAGAGAATTAGATTCTGCTGTGGAAATGAAAACCGAGAATTCCTGTGTCAGTCATGTTAGGTTTCAACTGTCTAGCGGACACCCAAATGCCAATGTCAAATGAACTATAGGATCTCTGATTGTGAAGCTCAGTAGAAATATCTCAAATGCACTTGTAGATGATATTTAAACCACAGAGAAATAATATCATCTGGGGAGAGAATGAGGCTTGAGAAGAGAAGAGGGCTGAGGACAGAGTCCCAGTCCACCAACATTTAGATGTTGGGTTCAGTAGAAGAGAAGGAGGAAGAGGAGGAGGAGGAGGAGGCAGTAAGGAAGCTGGTAAGAAGCCACCAATAAGGTTAAGGACAACAAGGAAAATGTGGCCTCAAAGAAAGCAAGAGAAAAAAGTTGGAAGCCAGGTTGAGGAAGTGAGAGACAAAGGGTGGGACAAGATCAGATTGTGCTTCAGGTTATGTTTAGAAATGTCCCTCTGGCTATGGTGGGAAAGACGGGGTGGAAGGCAGGAGACCAGAGAGGAGTCTGTCTAGTCCTCCAAGCCTCAGCTGTTTTCATGACAAGCAGAACCTTGCCTTGTGTGTCTCTGTGCACCCACCATGCAAGCATGGGGCACTGTGCACCAGGTATGCTTATCATGCCTGTGAATGAGGGATTGATTAACTGAATCCTCCAGGGACACTTGGGACAGCTCTGCCCACAAGAAGAGCAAGAACCCAGGCATCAATGGGGTGGTGCAGACATGGGCTCAGGGAGGCCCTCTGCCATCCCCTCCTGCCTGGACCAATGTTTTCTGAGAGGCAGAAAGTGCAGGGTGACTCTTCACTGTGGTATTTGTCTATGTGTGTATCAAGTGTGTAAAAATACTGTGCTCTCTTAGTCTTGATTTATCACTGCCCCTTGTCTTCGGGCTATTAAAAGGACTAAGGCCCTGTCTTCCATAAAGAGCAAGAACAGCTTTGAGAAGCGTCAAGTTCCAATCCAGTGAAGAAAGACTGAAGTGTTTGCCTTGGAGAGAATGAGGAGAGTCTCAGGAAATGAAATAAACAGAACAAGGGGCTAGAATCCAAGCAGCAGCCGTGGGAACAGCAGCCAGTTCTTGCCATCCAATGAGATGTCTTCTCAGGATGGCCTTCCCTGGCCATCTTCTCTGAAATTCAATGCCCCTCAGCCCCTTCCTCGGGGAGTTCTTATTGCCCTTCCCTGTTTTATTGTCCTGCTCTGCACTTATCACTAACACTGTTATATTTATGTATTTGTCCTCTGCCACTAGAATGTAATTTCATGAGGACAGAGGTTTTTATCTGTTGTGTCCCCACAATTAGAACAGTGCCTGGCATGTAGGTTCTCAATAAATAATGTTATTCAAATGGCTGATTGAACGAATGATCCCAGATGGTTTATATAACCCAGAACATGATGACTTAGGGTTATGTGAGCTTGGATATTTCTTGGGTCCAAACACATCCCAGAATAAAACTCTTGTGGTGTTTTGTATGTATTCTGTTCTATTCTAGCATGTGTTACATTGCTGTTGTTATTTATGTGTCTGCCTCTTCTACAAGACTATGAGCCTTGCAAGAGCAGGGGCTGAGTTCTGTTCTTCTGTGTCTTCCCTTATCTATCCCATGGTCTAGCACAGGAAATATTTGTGAGAAAGTGAGTGTCTGTCTGTCTGTCATGACTTAGCCTGTCATGACATAGATCCTCTCCCACATCTCACAGGCAACAAGCTAGAGTTCTGTGCTATCCATCACCTCCTCTCCAGCTCCCCTGCCACTGCCCTGATTTCACCTTGTTGTTTCTCCTTTAACTATGACAGCAGATTCCAAACTGGATTCTGAGCCTCCCAGCTCGCCCACACCTGCCCAAGACATGTTCTGAAGCAAAGACCTGATCAGGCCCCTCCCCTATGTTTCCTATTGACTAGATGCTGGTTACTAGAGAAGTTTAGTTTTCTTAGCCATGAATCCATGACCAATCCAATATAGTGATCAGATTTATCCCCCATTGCTTCCCAGAGTCACATAACCTGTCGTCTAGCCAAGTTGTACCAAACACATCCGTGTTTTCAACCTTCTGTCATTGCTCAAGCTCTCCTACCCTCCAGCTAGGTTGCCCTTCCTCCATCTCTTCAATTAGTCAATCATTCAGTTATTCATTCAGCAAATGTCCTCAAGCCCACCTCGGTGCCAGTCACTGTGTTCACGCTGGGGCTGCAGAGATGACTGAGATACATCCCTGTGCTCAGGGTGTTCATGCGTCTTCTCCTTTTGAGGTCACTGTAGTCATGACTCTTGCTCTACCTCCCAGAGTGATGAGGCTCAGTAACTACCCTCTCCACAAAATATCTTGGCCTCAGTACAATGGAATTGCCACTTTGTAAATTGAATGAGTTGAGTGCTTCCCCTACATTTTAATAAGTCTTTGAGTTACCGTCCTGCCTGATTATTACATTTCCTTTCTTGGATTTATTAAAACTTGCTCCACCCCCAGTTCCCTGATGGAAAATGCCATGTTTGGTAAACTAACATAGCCCCCAGCATGACTAATATCCTCTGTGGATAAGGCATTCTGGGACATAAGGACACTGTTTTTTTAAAGTGACAGGTTTTACTACTCCAGGATGATTTCCAGACCAGCTGAACACAGCGTTGGAATAGAAATGCCACCACTTTGTCTTTCTACTTTCACAGAAAAGATGTGTTGGTTGAGTATAACATAATATCAGGAAGAATTCATTCAATTCCTTCATTATATCTTTACCGATCAGCCTCTTTATGCTTTGTTTTGTTCTTCAAGCTGTTTAGTGTCCCAAATTCTCTTCACTTTGTCTGAGGTCTTGAAAATTGTAAAATCCTATGAAGATTCATCTGCAGAAAAAGTTTAACTTGAAAATCTAATTATTTATAAGACCCACTTTTGTGAAAGAATAAAACATGATCATGCTTGAGTCTAAAACTCTGGACATTTATAGTTGCGATCAGATTTATTTCCATTCTATATTTTTTCAAATGGCCTATTTTTGCTTGAAAATATGGTTTTTGAGGGGCAAGAAAGCCTTTTTTTGTGATTTTTTTTATTGCCTTCTAACTGTGGGCTTCTGTTTCCCTCATGCTTTCTATTTCATGTATAGTATATTTTGGATCATGTTTTTCCTGACTCTGGAACTTCCTATAACTTTTTATATGGTGTTCCTTTTAGATACTGTTTTAAAAACTCTTTCTTTTGAAATGTGTCAATCTGTCCAGAGAATTAAGTTAATGATGTGGCTATTTTTAAACTCTTTAGATAGCTATGGTTGAAAAGACAAAAAACAAAGTGAGCAATTCTGTGACTGCAGATAGAACTTTTCTAAATGGCTGGCTGGCATTTTTGAGACAAAACTCTATACTTTTATTGAAATACCTCTATTTCTGGCTCATGGATTGTCACCGTATTCTAGAAGTAAGACAAAGAGCCTTGTCTGGTGGACCTGAACACCAATTAGAGTTTCTTTTCAAGAGTATCACTATTCAGCTCTCCTGTTTGCCACTGGCCAGTTGACTTTTTATAGCCAGTGAAAATCCATCCAAGAATCCTGCAGTTTCTTCATGAATTTGTTCTTGTAATGAATTTACGTTGTGTTCAGGCAAGTATCAGATCATTCATTTATGAAACCAACAAGCATGTATTGAGTACCTGTAATGTGCCAGACACTTTTATGAATGATTTACATATATTAATTAATTCACTTCCCACTACAAACCTATGAAGTAGGCATTGATTTTGTATCCATGTCAGAGAGGGGCTAATTGAAGCAAGGTAACTTGCCAAAAACACACAGCTAGAAATGGGATTCATATCTTAGCAGTCTGCCTTGGGAGTTCATGCTCTTATTCTACTAATAGCAAGGTGCCATAAGACTACCGTGAGTGGAGCAACTAACCATGCCTCCAGATTGGGAGTCAGGAGCCTCAGGGAAGGCAAATTCAGAACAAGAGTTGTTTGATCCTTGATGAAGAGGCTTAATCGTTGATTTGATCCTTGTTAGCAACTGATTAGCACATACCAAATTACCTGCAGAGAAGATACACCAGAAAAAAATATGTGCACATATCTGCAAAGCTGTATTACATACCTAAAAACTTTGTATCATCAGTACAAGTATAAAACAAATCATGTGTGATTTGATTCATTTATACATGCTAACCAAATATTTTCAGATTTCCTTTATGCTGTGCCACATCATATGTATCATTAATTGAAATCTATTTTGAATGGCCAACATTCAGAAGTTTCTCGAGTGCCTGGGGTGGGAATCTAAATTTTTAAGACACACTATTGTTTCAA
Source organism: Homo sapiens (assembly GCF_000001405.40). Classification (NCBI taxonomy): domain Eukaryota; kingdom Metazoa; phylum Chordata; class Mammalia; order Primates; family Hominidae; genus Homo; species Homo sapiens. The sequence goes on from NC_000011.10 coordinate 86,818,405, forward strand.
CCATTGTTTTTCCTTATAACATGATTCTGATCAATTTGTATTTAGTAAGTGTTTCCGACCATTTAGAAAGACCTTTCCTTTCTAAATCAACACGTAACTTGAAAAAATAAATCAAAATTTTGAAATATCACCTTGTTCTGTAGATTCAGACTAAACGATCTCAGATTTCTTCATGTGTTGGAAAATGTACTTAAAAAAAATCTTTCCCCGAGGCATCTTCTTTGCCAACTGGACTGACTTTTGCTCATTCTTGGATTGCCCCCTAGTGGTTTATTTAACTTATGACTATTTCCCAGATGCTCATCGGCAACTCGTGGTTTCTTTGAATTTGTTTTTAGTTTGATCTTTTCCACACCTTCTCCCATTTGCAGAGAGGGGCTTCCAAAGACAGTGTCTTTGAATGAGGGTGAGCAACGTGCAAAGTGGCACAAACGCTTAGTGTTAATCAATACATGCCATTAATGATGGTGGTGAAATCCTTCTTTCAAGTTTGTTCTCTTTTTTTCTTTGTGCTGTTTTTAACTTTGCCAACTCCTTACTTTCTTCCCTCTGTTAACATCCTACTGGAGTGGTGCCAGGTAATCTGGTGGCACAGGATGACTTACAGGCAATGCTGTGTCTTGAAAATGCCAATTAGGAATGCTGAATGCTGCTGGGCGGGAGTCCCATGCTCTCACCCATATAACAAGTCAGCACTCCATAGGCCTCAGTCAGACCCAGACTTCTTGGCTCCTTTTGGGTAGCTAAGGCTATGACTCGCTGGCCTAGACACTTAAGCATCATCCAAATAGCGAGAAAAACCTTTGAGTTTCTGTAGAAAGCCAGCGAGAGACCCAGACAGCATCACAGACCTGACACTCTGCAGAACTCTGGGTCCAGGCCATCTGCACCAATTAGACCAGAACCAAGAAACGCAGTGCAAGATGCATTATTAATTCAAAACTTTTTTCAATAAGAAAAAAGCCAATTATTGGCTCCATTTTTTTTTAGAGAGAGAACACCTACACTGCTATATATAATTTATTAACTTAGTTTAGTCTCTCAATATTTAGCAAGTTTGTTTAAAAATTACCATTCCCATTGGTTTATAGTGACATGAATATAAACCCATAATTTCAAAGTCAGCATTCCTTTCACTGTGAACATAAGGCTTCTTAAGAGATAGTGGGGGTTGGGGAACAGTAATGACTGTGGCTGGTGGGCACTGTTCAAAGCCAAAAAGACTGGCAGGTTTGGAAAGGCATACACTGTGTATAGACACTCTCTCAGTATACTACTGTTCCCCACACTTTTGCTGTACATTCTTGTCTCAAAATATGGTATAAATTATTCCCTTAAATTTGAAAAAACAATTAAGATGAATACATTTTCATCTTCATTTCACAATAACTCTTTTAAATATAAAAAGTTCCTCATGTTTGTTAAATCTGTTCAAAAGTTGCATTTAAGTACTTTCTTCACAACATGTACAATGTTTTCATCCTTAGTGCCTCATTACAATCAGTTTGGCAATAAGACCTCCAGTGCTTTATCAAAAATGGCATTCAATAGATTATAAGATTGATAAATCTGCATTTGAATCAGTCTTACCACAATGAATTATAACAAAGTCCAAAAAATGTATAACTATTCATCAACACCCTTGGAACCTATGAATTATTGCAAATAATCTCCCACGTGCATGTAATTCAAACATAAACTTTGTGGGGAGGGGGTGTAAAATAAATACTACAGTATTTCTTCAATTTTATTTAATGCTGCCTAGCTGGTTAAATGAAAGATTAATTACTAACAGGAAGAGTCAAAATTTTAAGGACTGTTTTCTAAGAAGGACAATTTTGCAAAACAAAGATAAGCAAGAGCCTATGCAAATACATTTTCTTGTAGTATAATGTAATTGCTAATATGAGGTATAATCTGTAAGCAATTAATACAAATATAAATAAGTATAAGCCACCACTAACTCACAGTCTCATGAAAAGCTTCTCAGCTAAAGTAGTTTGAGGATAAGGTTAAGGGAAATGAGGAGTGGACAGGGCAGGTTTCCAGTGGGAACATCATTTATGTGCCTTATCATTATCATCATCCTGTATGTACCAGTCCATTGTTGCAGAAAGGTAAATCCTTTCCAAGTATGTTATACTTTATGTAGCACAGTAAAATTATTTAAGTATTACTAACGCTTTATTTGCGTTTGTATTTAGATATACACATAATTATATATGCATATCAAAAACTATAAACAGAATTTTAAAACACTTTATCTCATTTGAGGAAAGTTAACAGGTAAGACAAATCTATGTACTATAGAATTTTTGAGGATATCTAAACTCAGGGTGAAACAAAGAAAAACATTTCTACCTCTTTAGTAAAGGGCTTGTGTGAAACCTCAAGCTCTCGCTCAATTTTTTTTATAGATGGGTATGTTTGATGAGGATTGTGATCCAATGATTGTTTAGCAGCAATTTTACCCAACTGTAAATTCTTTTATTAACAGGCATTATAAACAGATAGTACTAATCTTATTCTAAAACCATGAGTGCCACACTGGTGAATATACAGCTTATGAATAACTTAAAAAGTATTTCCCATTTTAAAAGGCAAACCCAGCATACAAAAACTTATACTAAATGAAGAAGCTATAATATGGATACATGATTGATGTGTCTAAAATGATATATACAGTACATAATTAATGTTAATTATGTGATCTGTACATTTTTCCATGATTCCCTTCATGCTTCACTTTCCCCAGAAACTGAAACCTGTACTTCCTCTTCTAAAATTGGTACAATGAGGTTATCCCTGGACATCAAATTATATTTCATCTAATTCATCACAAATTTAGTAATCCGATGACACAAAAATGTTTCCTTTTCATATTCATCAAATATCTACCAATGATGAAAATAAACATGTGAAAATATTCTGTAACTCCTAAGGTATAGTGATCCTAGTTTTGCTACGGATTACTTCTTTATGCTAACCCTGCTGGGAAAACATTGATTGCTCTTCAGAAGACATGCAGCACCATCAAGTATGTGTCTGGTATAGGCTATAGCAGGACACTCTTTCAGAGCTTTATGAGCTGCACAAAGAAAAATCCATTGTTCAGTTGCTGTCATTTGAGTGCAAGTATCTGGATGGCATTCACTCTGAAGTTTGACAACAAGTCCGTTTAGCTCAAGACAGAATTCCCTTAAATGTTCATACTTCCATAACTTTCATCTTGGCCTTCAGCTGGTTCAAGAATTTTGTCAATATTGGAGCAATCTGCTCTTATGTTCTGTTGAATATACTGTTGAACAGCTAGTGTACTGTCTATTTCTTCAAAGTGTTCGTCAGGCCAATTATAAAAATCCTGTGCCCAGCCCGTTCCGCCTCAGCACGCTGCCCCCTCCGCCATGACCATAGTGTCAGCGTCTGGGCCTATTGGCTCGATTTAATAAGTAAGAGTACCAATAATTTTTTAGAAGTAAAATGGATGTATTAAAGGATTTTAAAGAAAAAGCACTTGCTTTTATCTGAATTTTAAAAGGAGAATTGACATTACAGATGAAATAAAGATGAATACAGAAGAGAAGATCCTACTTTAAATGCAAAATAATATCTATAAAATGGGACTAGTAATTTCTTCCTAGAGAGCTTGTGATAACTAGAGATAATGAATATAAAGTGACCAGTGAATTATCAAGCACATAATAGGGGTTCATTTATTTATTCGTTCATTTGGCAAATATTTATTGAGCACCTACTATGCAAGGCATAGTAGGTAAAACTGAAAAACGTGTCTTTGTGAAGTTTACGTGGTAATTTTCCATCCCATATGCCAAAGAGATAACAGGGGAGGAATGACCACCATCTTTTAGAGACTTGTAGTATCATTTAGGAGATGAAATGTTATGTTTTATGTGGCTGTAGAAAGCAAAACTAGAGCCAGGCATGGTGGCTCACGCCTGTAATACCAACACTTTGGGAGGCTGAGGCGGGAGAATGGCTTGAGCTCAGGAGTTTGAGACCAGCCTGGGCCACATAGTGAGACCTCGTCTCAACACAACATCGAAAAATTAGCTGGGTGCAGTGAAGTGTGCCTATAGTCCCAGCTAATCTGGAGGCTGAGGTGGGAGGATAGCTTGAGCCTGGGAGGTCGAGACTGCAGTGAGCTGTGATCACGCCACTGCACTTCAGCCTGGGCGACAAGAGTGTGAACCTGACTAAAAAAAAAAAAAAAAAAAATGCAGAACTAGGACCAGTGGATGATCTTTCAAGGGTGGTGGTTTTCATAATGAAAGGAAAACCCTGTTTACAACCAGGACTGTCCAGGAATGGGATGGGGCCACCTCTGGGAGCAGAGAGACATGGGCTGGAGGTGATTCTGTTAGTGGAAGTATTTTGTAGAGAATTTGAGACCTTGTATCAAGGATCTTTGCAGCGTGGGCAAGGAGGGAATACAAAATCGGTGTTTCCTTCTGCCTCTTAATTCCAAGATGCTGGAACTGGGGTGGGAAGCCAAGCCATTGACCAGAACCAGGGCTACAACTCGGGGGTGAGTGTGGGAGTTTAAATGCAGGATCCACACTGGTTACAGCTGAACTGGAGCCACAGATTCCTGTCACTTTCTGCCTCCAGGGATCAAGTACCATGGGTCTCGACCTGACCAGCCTGAAGGTTTGGGAGGCCCCGTCAGGGGATGGGGGCAAGTTACTTTCCCTAAAAGAATGAAGAGGCTACATCTGGTGACCAGACACAAACATGGAGGCAGAGGGTAATAAGGATGATACATACAATTTATTCAGTTCCTATTTCTTTTACTTTAGTATTCCTAATCTGTAAAAGCATCATAAAAAAAAATGTATGATTAATCTCATTTTACAGATGAAGAGACTGACGGTCCGAGATGTAGAATAGCTAACCTAATTTAGTGTAAAGCCAGGACTTTGAACTTGCTGTCTCTGTGTTTCATCTACTTCAGATGGCTCCCTAATGAGTAGAATGAGACCTGTGTGCCAACCCTGGCCTAGTCCTCATGCCCCCACAACTGTGAAGCGAGAGGGCTCAACAGTTTCGAATTCAATTCAACCACCACCTCCTGAATACCAACTAGGTTCCAGGACCTGGCTAGAAGCAGAGACACCAGGACAGAAAAGACAGTGTTCTGCTTTCATGGAGTTCACAGAAGAGTCGAGGAGGTAAGTTCATATCAGATTATCACAAAGCAGTGTGCTTAATGGTGCTTAAATCTTTTCATGTTTCCACATTTTCTAATGCATTTTAACGGAGCAAAGCAATGTCACATTGGTTTCATCAAGAATTCAGAGCAGGCCGGGCGCGGTGGCTCACGCCTGTAATCCCAGCATTTTGGGAGGCCGAGGCGGGCGGATCACGAGGTCAGGAGATCGAGACCATCCTGGCTAACACGGTGAAACCCCGTCTCTACTAAAAATACAAAAAATTAGCCGGGCGTGGTAGCGGGCGCCTGTAGTCCCAGCTACTCGGGAGGCTGAGGCAGGAGAATGGCGTGAACCCGGGAGGTGGAGCTTGCAGTGAGCCGAGATCGCGCCACTGCAGTCCGGCCTGGGCGACAGAGCGAGACTCCGTCTCAAAAAAAAAAAAAAAAAAAAAAAAAAGAATTCAGAGCAAGGGGCTTTGGTGAAGAGAAGTCAAAGCCAAAAGAGGGCTCTGCCGTTTAGAAGAAGGGGAATCATTCAGCCTGGGCAACATAGTGAAATCCCGTCTGTACAAAAACTTCAAAAATTAGCCGGGCATGGCCCCGTATGCCTGTGGTTCCACCTACTTGGGAGGCTGAGGTGGGAGGATCGCTTGAGCCTGGGAGGTGGAGATTGCAGTGAGCCAAGATCACAACACTGCACTTACTCCATTCTGGGCAAAAGAGTGAGATCCTGTGTCAAAAATAAAAATAAAAATAAAAATAAAATAAAATAAAATAAAATAAAATAAAATAAAATAAATAAAATAAAAAAACAAAATGGAGGAAAGTAAGAACAGTGGGGTGAGGCCTTTGAACTCTGAAATTATGATGGAACCCAGTCTTTTTATCTTTTTTTTTTTAAATTTTATTTTATTATTAGTATACTTTAAGTTTTAGGGTACATGTGCACAATGTGCAGGTTAGTTACATATGTATACATGTGCCATGCTGGTGTGCTGCACCCATTAACTCATCATTTAGCATTAGGTATATCTCCTAAAGCTATCCCTCCCCCCTCCCCCCACCCCACAACAGTCCCCAGAGTGTGATGTTCCCCTTCCTGTGTCCATGTGTTCTCATTGTTCAATTCCCACCTATGAGTGAGAATATGCAGTGTTTGCTTTTTTGTTCTTGGGATAGTTTACTGAGAATGATGATTTCCAATTTTATCCATGTCCCTACAAAGGACATGAACTCATCATTTTTTATGGCTGCATAGTATTCCATGATGTATATGTGCCACATTTTCTTAATCTAGTCTGTCATTGTTGGACATTTGGATTGGTTCCAAGTCTTTGCTATTGTGAATAGTGCCACAATAAACATACCTGTGTATGTGTCTTTATAGCAGCATGATTTATAGTCCTTTGGGTACATACCCAGTAATGGGATGGCTGGGTCAAATGGTATTTCTAGTTCTAGATCCCTGAGGAATCGCCACACTGTCTTCCACAATGGTTGAACTAGTTTACAGTCCCACCAACAGTGTAAAAGTGTTCCTATTTCTCCACATCCTCTCCAGCACCTGTTGTTTCCTGACTTTTTAATGATTGCCATTCTAACTGGTGTGAGATGGTATCTCATTGTGGTTTTGATTTGCATTTCTCTGATGGCCAGTGATGGTGAGCATTTTTTCATGTGTCTTTTGGCTGCATAAATGTCTTCTTTTGAGAAGTGTCTGTTCATGTCCTTGGCCCACTTTTTGATGGGGTTGTTTGTTTTTTTCTTGTAAATTTGTTTGAGTTCTTTGTAGATTCCGGATATTAGCCCTTTGTCAGATGAGTAGGTTGTGAAAATTTTCTCCCATTTTGTAGGTTTCCTGTTCACTCTGATGGTAGCTTCTTTTGCTGTGCAGAAGCTCTTTAGTTTAATTAGATCCCATTTGTCAATTTTGTCTTTTGTTGCCACTGCTTTTGGTGTTTTAGACATGAAGTCCTTGCCCATGCCTATGTCCTGAATGGTAATGCCTAGGTTTTCTTCTAGGGTTTTTATGGTTTTAGGTCTAACGTTTAAGTCTTTAATCCATCTTGAATTGATTTTTGTATAAGGTGTAAGGAAGGGATCCAGTTTCAGCTTTCTACATATGACTAGCCAGTTTTCCCAGCACCATTTATTAAATAGGGAATCCTTTCCCCATTGCTTGTTTTTGTCAGGTTTGTCAAAGATCAGATAGTTGTAGATATGCGGCGTTATTTCTGAGGGCTCTGTTCTGTTCCATTGATCTATATCTCTGTTTTGGTACCAGTACCATGCTGTTTTGGTTACTGTAGCCTTGTAGTATAGTTTGAAGTCAGGTAGGGTGATGCCTCCAGCTTTGTTCTTTTGGCTTAGGATTGACTTGGCAATGCGGGATCTTTTTGGTTCCATATGAACTTTAAAGTAGTTTTTTCCAATTCTGTGAAGAAAGTCATTGGTAGCTTGATGGGGATGGCATTGAATCTATAAATTACCTTGGGCCGTATGGCCATTTTCACGATATTGATTCTTCCTACCCATGAGCATGGAATGTTCTTCCATTTGTTTGTATCCTCTTTTATTTCCTTGAGCAGTGGTTTGTAGTTCTCCTTGAAGAGGTCCTTCACGTCCCTTGTAAGTTGGATTCCTAGGTATTTTATTCTCTTTGAAGCAATTGTGAATGGGAGTTCACTCATGAGTTCACTCATGATTTGGCTCTCTGTTTGTCTGTTATTTGTGTATAAGAATGCTTGTGATTTTTGTACATTGATTTTGTATCCTGAGACTTTGCTGAAGTTGCTTATCAGCTTAAGGAGATTTTGCGCTGAGACGATGGGGTTTTCTAGATATACAATCATGTCATCTGCAAACAGGGACAATTTGACTTCTTCTTTTCCTAATTGAATACCCTTTATTTCCTTCTCCTGCCTAATTGCCCTGGCCAGAACTTCCAACACTATGTTGAATAGGAGTGGTGAGAGAGGGCATCCCTGTCTTGTGCCAGTTTTCAAAGGGAATGCTTCCAATTTCTGCCCATTCAGTATGATATTGGCTGTGGGTTTGTCATAGATAGCTCTTATTATTTTGAGATACGTCCCATCAATACCTAATTTATTGAGAGTTTTTAGCATGAAGCATTGTTGAATTTTGTCAAAGGCCTTTTCTGCATCTATTGAGATAATCATGTGATTTTTGTCTTTGGTTCTGTTTATATGCTGGATTACATTTATTGATTTGCGTATACTGAACGAGCCTTGCATCCCAGGGATGAAGCCCACTTGATCATGGTGGATAAGCTTTTTGATGTGCTGCTGGATTTGGTTTGCCAGTATTTTATTGAGGATTTTTGCATCGATGTTCATCAAGGATATTGGTCTAAAATTCTCTTTTTTGGTTGTGTCTCTGCCCAGCTTTGGTATCAGGATGATGCTGGCCTCATAAAATGAGTTAGGGAGGATTCCCTCTTTTTCTATTGATTGGAATAGTTTCAGAAGGAATGGTACCAGTTCCTCCTTGTACCTCTGGTAGAATTCGGCTGTGAATCCATCTGGTCCTGGACTCATTTTCGTTGGTAAGCTACTGATTATTGCCACAATTTCAGAGCCTGTTATTGGTCTATACAGAGATTCAACTTCTTCCTGGTTTAGTCTTGGGAGGGTGTATGCATCGAGGAATTTATCCATTTCTTCCAGATTTTCTAGTTTATTTGCGTAGAGATGTTTGTAGTATTCTCTGATGGTAGTTTGTATTTCTGTGGGATCTGTGGTGATATCTCCTTTATCATTTTTTATTGCCTCTATTTGATTCTTCTCTCTTTTCTTCTTTATTAGTCTTGCTAGCAGTCTATCAATTTTGTTGATCCTTTCAAAAAACCAGCTGCTGGATTCATTAATTTTTTGAAGGGATTTTTGTGTCTCTATTTCCTTCAATTCTGCTCTGATTTTAGTTATTTCTTGCCTTCTGCTAGCTTTTGAATGTGTTTGCTCTTCCTTTTCTAGTTCTTTTAATTGTGATGTTCGGGTGTCAATTTTGGATCTTTCCTGCTTTCTCTTGTGGGCATTTAGTGCTATAAATTTCCCTCTACACACTGCTTTGAATGTGTCCCAGAGATTCTGGTATGTTGTGTCTTTGTTCTCGTTGGTTTCAAAGAACAACTTTATTTCTGCCTTCATTTCGTTATGTACCCAGTAGTCATTCAGGAGCAGGTTGTTCAGTTTCCATGTAGTTGAGTGGTTTTGAGAGAGTTTCTTAATCCTCAGTTCTAGTTTGATTGCACTGTGGTCTGAGAGACAGTTTGTAATAATGTCTGATCTTTTACATTTGCTGAGGAGAGCTTTACTTCCAACTATGTGACCAATTTTGGAATAGGTGTGGTGTGGTGCTGAGAAAAATGTATATTCTGTTGATTTGGGGTGGAGAGTTCTGTAGATGTCTATTAGGTCCACTTGGTGCAGAGCTGAGTTCAATTCCTGGGTATCCTTGTTAACTTTCTGTCTCATTGATCTGTCTAATGTTGACAGTGGAGTGTTAAAGTCTCCCATTATTATTGTGTGGGAGTCTAAGTCTCTTTGTAGGTCACTCAGGACTTGCTTTATGAATCTGGGTGCTCCTGTATTGGGTGCATATATATTTAGGATAGTTAGCTCTTCTTGTTGAATTGATCCCTTTACTATTACGTAATGGCCTTCTTTGTCTCTTTTGATTTTTGTTGGTTTAAAGTCTGTTTTATCAGAGACTAGGATTGCAACCCCTGCCTTTTTTTGTTTTCCATTTGCTTGGTAGATCTTCCTCCATCCTTTTATTTTGTGCCTGTGTGTGTCTCTGCACATGAGATGGGTTTCCTGAATACAGCACACTGGTGGGTCTTGACTCTTTATCCAATTTGCCAGTCTGTGTCTTTTAATTGGAGCATTTAGTCCATTTACATTTAAAGTTAATATTGTTATGTGTGAATTTGATCCTGTCATTATGATGTTAGCTGGTTATTTTGCTTGTTAGTTGATGCAGTTTCTCCCTAGCCTCAATGGTCTTTACAATTTGGCATGATTTTGCAGCGGCTGGTACCGGTTGTGCCTTTCCATGTTTAGTGCTTCCTTCAGGAGCTCTTTTAGGGCAGGCTTGGTGGTGACAGAATCTCTCGGCATTTGCTCGTCTGTAAAGTATTTTATTTCTCCTTCACTTATGAAGCTTAGTTTGGCTGGATATGAAATTCTGGGTTGAAAATTCTTTTCTTTAAGAGTGTTGAATATTGGCCCCCACTCTCTTCTGGCTTGTAGAGTTTCTGCCGAGAGATCCGCTGTTAGTCTGATGGGCTTCCGTTTGTGGGTAACCCAACCTTTCTCTCTGGCTGCCCTTAACATTTTTTCCTTCATTTCAACTTTGGTGAATCTGACAATTATGTGTCTTGGAGTTGCTCTTCTCGAGGAGTATCTTTGTGGCGTTCTCTGTATTTCCTGAATCTGAATGTTGGCCTGCCTTGCTATATTGGGAAGTTGTCCTGGATAATGACCTGCAGAGTATTTTCCAACTTGGTTCCATTCTCCCCGTCACTTTCAGGTACACCAGTCAGATGTAGATTTGGTCTTTTCACATAGTCCCATATTTCTTGGAGGCTTTGTTCGTTTCTTTTTATTCTTTTTTCTCTAAACTTCCCTTCTCGCTTCATTTCATTCATTTCATCTTCCATCACTGATATCCTTTCTTCAAGTTGATCACATCGGCTCCTGAGGCTTCTGCATTCTTCATGTAGTTCTCGAGCTTTGGCTTTCAGCTCCGTCAGCTCCTTTAAGCACTTCTCTGTATTGGTTATTCTAGTTATACATTCGTCTAAATTTTTTTCAAAGTTTTCAACTTCTTTGCCTTTGGTTTGAATTTCCTCCTGTAGCTCATAGTTTGATTGTCTGAAGCCTTCTCTCAACTCGTCAAAGTCATTCTCTGTCCAGCTTTGTTCCGTTGCTGGTGAGAAGCTGCGTTCCTTTGGAGGAGGAGAGGTGCTCTGCTTTTTAGAGTTTCCAGTTTTTCTGCTCTGTTTTTTCCCCATCTTTGTGGTTTTATCTACTTTTTGTCTTTGATGATGGTGATGTACAGATGGGTTTTTGGTGTGGATGTCCTTTCTGTTTGTTAGTTTTCCTTCTAAGAGACAGGACCCTCAGCTGCAGGTCTGTTGGAGTTTGCTAGAGGTCCACTGCAGACCCTGTTTGCCTGGGTACCAGCAGCGGTGGCTGCAGAACAGGGGATTTTCGTGAACCACGAATGCTGCTGTCTGATCGTTCCTCTGGAAGTTTTGTCTCAGAGGAGTACTTGGCCGTGTGAGGTGTCAGTCTGCCCCTACTGGGGGGTGCCTCCCAGTTAGGCTGCTCGGGTGTCAGGGGTCAGGGACCCACTTGAGGAGGCAGTCTGCCCGTCCTCAGATCTCCAGCTGCGTGCTGGGAGAACCACTGCTCTCTTCAAAGCTGTCAGACAGGGACATTTAAGTCTGCAGAGGTTACTGCTGTCTTTTTGTTTGTCTGTGCCCTGCCCCCAGAGGTGGAGCCTACAGAGGCAGGCAGGCCTCCTTGAGCTGTGGTGGGCTCCACCCAGCTCGAGCTTCCCAGCTGCTTTGTTTACCTAAGCAAGCCCGGGCAATGGTGGGCGCCCCTCCCCCAGCCTCACTGCCACCTTGCAGTTTGATCTCAGACTGCTGTGCTAGCAATCAGCGAGACTCCATGGGCATAGGACCCTCCGAGCCAGGTGCGGGATATAATCTCCTTGTGCATCGTTTTTTAAGCCTGTCGGAAAAGCGCAGTATTAGGGTGGGAGTGACCCGATTTTCCAGGTGCCATCTGTCACCCCTTTCTTTGACTAGAAAAGGGAACTCCCTGACCCTTTGCGCTTCCCAAGTGAGGCAGTGCCTCGCCCTGCTTCAGCTCGCACATGGTGCACTGCACCCACTGACCTGTGCCCACTGTCTGGCACTCCCTAGTGAGGTGAACCTGGTACCTCAGATGGAAATGCAGAAATCACCCATCTTCTGTGTCGCTCATGCTGGGAGCTGTAGACCAGAGCTGTTCCTATTCGGCCATCTTGGCTTGACTCTGTAATATCCTATAGAAGTGTTGCTCCTCATATCACAGGGGCTATACACCCCGTAATATTATTCGTAATATCCTAGGGAGACATTACTACTAATATCACAGAGGTGTACACCCTTTAACATTATTTGTAATATCCTAGGAAGATATTACTCCTAATATCTCACTGGGTGTACACCCTGTGATATTATTCATGATATCCTAGGGAGATGTTCCTCCTAATGTCATCAGGGGTGTACACCCTGTGACATCATTTGAAATATTCTATGGGGATGTTACTTTTAAAGTCACAGGGGGTTTACAAACTGTGATATTATACATAATGTGCTACACGGATGTTACTCCTAATGTCACAGGCGTGTACACCCAGTGATATTATTTGGAATATCCTAGGGGGATGTTTCTCCTAATGTCAACGGGGTTTACAACTTGTAATACTATTCGTAATATCCTAGGCGGATGTTATTCCTAATGTCACAGAAGGTGTACACTCCGTGATATTATTTTTTATATCCTAGCAGGATGTTATTACTAATGTCACAATGCTTGTACACCCTGCGATATTATTCATAATATCCTAAGGGAATATTACTCCTAATGTCATAGCGGGTTTACACCTTTTTGTATTATTCGTAATATCCTAAGGGAATATTACTCCTAATGTCATAGCGGGTTTACACCTTTTTGTATTATTCGTAATATCCTAGAAAGTTGTTACTCCTCATGTCACAGGGTGTGTACACCCTGTGATATTTTTTGTAATATCCTAGTGGGATGATACTCCTAATGTCATAGCAGGTGTACCCCCTGTGAAATTTTTTGTAATAGTTTTGGGGGATGTTACTTTTAATGTTACACGTGGTATACACACCGTGATATTATTCGTAATAGCCTATAGAAATGTTACTCTTAATATCACCGGGGCTCTACACCCTGTAATATTATTCATAATATCCTAGGGGAATGTTACTACTAATGTCACAGGGGGTGTACGCCCTGTGATATCATTCCTAATATTCTAGGGGATGTTACTCCTAATGTCACAGGGGGTGTACACACTGTGATGTTATTCATAATATCCTAAAGGTATGTTACTACCAATGTCATAATGCTTGTACACCTTGTGATATTATTTCTAATATTCTAGAGAGATGTTACTCCTAGTGTCGCAGCGGGTATACACCCTGTCATATTATTTGTAATATCCTATGCCAGTGTTCCTCCTAATGTCACAGGTGATGTGCACCTTGTGATATTATTCACAATATTCCGGAATGATGTTACTCCTCATGTTCCAGTGTGTGTACACCCTGTGATATTATTCGTAATATCCTAGGGGGACCTTACTCCTAATGTTCGAGATGGTGTAACTCCCGTGATATTACTCATAATATCCGAGGTAAATGTTACTCCTAATGTCACAGGGGATGTATGCCATGTATGTACACCCCCTGTGATATTCTTCATAATATTCTATGGGGATGTTGTTAATATTACTGGTGGTGTTCACCATGTGCGTACACCCCCAGTGATGTCATTCATAATATCGTAGGGAGATATAATTCCTAATATCACAGTGGGTGTACCACATGTGTGAACACCCTTGATATTATTCATAACATCCAGGGTAAATATGACTTCTAATATCACAGAGGGTGTACACCTGGGGATATTTTTCACAATATTTTAGGGAAATATGGCTTCTAATATCACAGTGGGTGTACTCCATGTGTGTACACTCTGTGATAGTATTTTTCATATCCTAGGGAGCTATTACTCTTAATATCACAGTGGGTCTTCACCCTGTGATATTATTCGTATTTGACCTTGCTGCCTTTTTTAACCCACACTACAAAAGGAATGGAACAGATAATAAAATAATGAGATTAAACTGTTCTGCCATGCAACCACCACAGGACCCTTTTGATGTCCCTGTTTCTCAGTCTGTAGATGAAGGGGTTCAGCATGGGGGTGATCACCGTGTACATCATTGAGGCCACTGCACCCTTTCTGGGGGAAGATGACACATCTGAACTCAGGTACCCCCCAACGACTTTTCCATAAAATAAGCAAACAACTGACAGGGGAGACCCACAGGTGGAGAAGGCTTTATACTTCCCACCTGATGATGAAACACTCAGCATGGAGGAAACAATTTTATAGTAAGAGAAAATGATCCGTGAGATAGGAAGAAAACCAAATATGGCAGCAAGGAAATACATGACTATGTTATTGGTGAAGGTGTCACAACACGCAAGGTGTGGGAGTTGAGAAGGGTCACAGAAGAAATTAGGAATTTCCACATCCTTGATGCAGGTCATTTGTAAGGCAATCAAATTGTGCAGCTGGGAGTCTAAAAGACTGAGAAAAAAAAAAACACAAAACTAGGAAGCCACAGAAACATGGGTTCATGATGGCTGAATAATATAGAGGGTGACAGATGGCTACAAACCGGTCATAGGCCCTCACACTCAGGAGCATGTCTTTCTTCCATGCCTCCAAAAACAGCAAAGAGAGACATCTGAGTCAGGCAGCCTGCATAGGAGATGACTCTGCTGTGAGATTGGATGTCCACAATCATCTTGGGGACCGTGTTGGAGGTGAAACCGATGTCAGCCAAGGACAGGTTGGAGAGGAAGAAGTACATGGGGGTGTGGAGGTGGAAGTCAGAGCTGACGGCCAGGATAATGAGCAGATTCTCCAGCACCATGACTAGGTACATGAACAGGAACAGCCCAGCGAGGGCCAGCTGCAGTTTTGGATCCTCTGAGAGTTCTAGGAGGAGGAATTTTGAAGCATCTGTTAGATTCTGTGGGTCTGTATAGTTCGGACATGTATATATATATATATATTTACTGTTGCAAGATTTAATAGAGTGAAGACAGAGCTCCCATACAAAGGGAGGGGATCCATAGAGGGTAGCCATTGCTGGCTCGAATGCCTGGGTTTATATCCAGATCATTTTCCCTCCCACTGTGCTCTCAGGCCATAGATGATTGGCTATTTCTTTACCTCCTGTTTTTGCCTAATTAGCATTTTAGTAAGCTCTCTTATTGGTCGGGCGTGAGCTAAGTTGCAAGCCCCGTGTTTAAAGGTGGATGCAGTCACCTTCCCACCTAGGCTTAGGGATTCTTAGTTGGCCTAGGAAATCCAGCTAGTCCTGTCTCTCAGTCCCCCCTCTCAACAGGAAAACCCAAGTACTGTTGGGGAGGTTGGCCGACTGACCACTCTAACTGCTTCTTGCTGAATTGGGGCATAGTAGGGGTTGTGCAGTTGAGATTTCCTCGGGAGGGGTGCCTTCGATGTCATTAACATCAGAGCATGTGCTAGCAGGCCGGTCCAGGGGTCCATGGTAGATCTTAGTCATGGACTGCATCTGGGGCTCCATTTGAAGAACATTTGTAGTTTTACAGCTTCGATTCTGGAAGAGACAAACTTAACAAGGAGGTTAGAGATACAGGGATTGAAATGTATGGCCTGCAGTGCAGGGGATTATTTCTTTGGCACACTTCACAGGCCCTGACCATCTGCTTAATAGTTTTGAAGAGGCCTGGTCCAGTAAATAAGAATTTGGCCATCTGATGGGTGCTATCAATGCCTAAGTGAAAGATTTGGTGAAGGGTTTTAAGTAATTTTCATTGGTTAGCTGCAGGCAAAAGTATTTTTCCTTCTTCGGTGGCTAGTCATCCTGAGGGGAGGAAACTATGTCCTCCTGAGGTTCCCCATTCTATTTCTTCTTCTGAGTACCGGGACTTGGTTTTCCCGAGGGGATTACCCAAACTAGGGGTCCTTCTATAAGCATTTCTAATGAAGCGTCCTGCCTTGCGGTTCTTTTGGCTTCAATATCTGCTTGGTGATTCCCTTCTATTTTCCTTTCCTTTCCTTTCCTTTCCTTTCCTTTCCTTTCCTTTCCTTTTTCCTTTCCTTTCCTTTCCTTTCCTTTCCTTTCCTTTCCTTTCCTTTCCTTTCCTTTCCTATGACTCCGGCAGTGTAAGACTGCCACCTCTTTAGGTTGCTGTACAGCCAATAATAATTTCCTAATGGCTTCCTGATGTTTGATAGGTGTTCCCTCGGAAGTTAGGAATTCCCTTTCTCTCCATATTGCTGCATGGGCATGGAGGACTAGGTAAGCATACATAGAGTCTGTATATATATTTACCCTTTTTCCTTCTCCTAATTCTAGTGCCCGAGTAAGGGCTATTAGTTCTGCCAGCTGAACAGTAGTTCCTGGAGTGAGGGGATTACTTTCAAGTATTCCATTATCACTGACCACTGCATACCCCGCTTTTCGAAGTCCTTTTCCTACAAAGTAACTTCCATCAGTATACAAGTTGAGGTGGGGATCAGTCAAGGGAACCTCTAAATGGTCCCCTCAAGTGGCATAGGTTTGAGCAATTACTTGTTGACAGTTATATTCTACCTTTTCTTCATTGTCTGGAAGAAATGTAGCTGGGTTAAGAGTTGCACAAGTGTGCAGTTGCAGCACTGGCCTTTCAAGTAATAGAGCCTGATATTTAAGTAAACAGTTGTCTGACAGCCACAAGTCTCCTTTAGCAGTGAGTATGCCTTTCACATCATGAGATGTCCACACAGTAAGATCTCTTCCTTGTATTATTTTAACTGCTTCAGATACTAAGACTGCTACTGCCACCACTACCTGTAAACAATGAGGCCAACCTTTTGCCGCTACATCAATTTCCTTACTCAGGTATGCCATGGGTTGCAAGCTCATCCCTTGGACCTGTGTAAGGACTCCTAGAGCTATTCCTGTTTTTTCTGTGACATATAAAGAAAAGTCTTGCCCCGTTGGCAAGCTTAACACTGGGGCTTGGGTTAGGGCCCTCTTTAGGGCCTGGAAAGCTGCTTCTGCTTCAGGGGTCCATCTTACTAAATGGGTATTGGCTTTTTGAGTTTCCTTAATTAGTGTATATAATGGTCTGGCTATTTCGTCTTACCTGGGAATCCATATTCGGCAGAAACCTGTTATGCCAAGGAACCCTCTTAGTTGCTTTAGGGTTTTAGGATGAGATTAAGCCAGTATAGGCTGGATACGTTCCTCACTGAGGGCCCTGGTGCCTTTGGATAATTTTAGCCCTAAGTACGTAACCTCCTGTGAGCAGAGCTGAGCCTTTGGTTTGGAAACCTTGTAGCCACAGGTAGTGAGGAAATTTAAGAGTGCTTGGGTGGCTTGATGGCACAAGGTTTCTGAACGGGCAGCTAAAAGTAAATCATCCACGTACCGAAGGACAAGAGTGTCCAGGTATGAGAATTGGCTCAAGTTTTGGGCTAATACCTGGCCAAATAGATGGGGGCTATCCCTGAACCCTTTCGGTAAAACAGTCCAGGTGAGTTGAGATGTGGGGTTTGAAGGTTCTTCAAAGGCAAACAAGAATTGAGAGTCAGGATGTACAGGGATGCAGAAAAAGTCATCCTTAAGGCCCAGGACTGTAAACCACTCTGCTTCCTCTGGTATTTGAGAAAGCAGAGTGTAAGGGTTAGGTACAGCTGGGTATAGAGGGACAAGGGCCTCATTGATAATCCTGAGATCTTGCACTAACCTCCACTGTCCGTTGGGTTTCTGTACTCCTAAAATTGGAGTATTGCAGGGGCTATTGCACGGTTTTACTAGGCCTTGGGCTTTTAGGTCCTTAACAATCTTTTGGAGTCCTTGTTGGGCCTTGGGGTCTAAGGGGATACTGCCTTTGGTAGGGAAAGGAGGCAGAATCCTTTAGTTTGACTTGAACAGGATGGGTATTCTTTGCTCATCCATATTGTCCTTCTGTTACACAGACTTCAGGATTAATTCCTTCCTCAAGCAGGGAAGAACAAATGGGTGTTCCTTTTCCTATGTTCAGGTGTGTAATAGCCCCTGCTTTTGCTAGAATATCTCTCCCTAACAAGGGAGTGGGGCTTTCAGGCATAATTAGAAAAGCATGTGAAAACAGTAAAGCTCCCTAGTCACAACTTAGTGGCTGGGAGAAGTATCTAGTGACTGGCTGTCCCAGGACCCCTCGAATAGTGACAGATCTGGAGGACAGTTGTCCAGGACAGGAGAGTAAGACTGAGAAGGCCGTGCCAGTGTCCAGGAGACAATTAACCTCCTGGCTGTCAATGGTCAAGCATACCCAGGGCTCTGTGAGGGTGATGGCATGGACTGGCACTTGCCCCGGGCACCCTCAGAGTTTGGACATATTTTGAGTAGAAAAGAGGATTGAAAAATAGAAAACAAGTAAACCAACACCCAGAACTGTGTCTGCATTTTGGATATAAGCAATTCACAAGTAATGTTTTCAGATTTCAGAGCAATCCACACTCAGCAATATTGTGCAGTTCTGACAAACTCAATTTTTTTATAATTCTTTTATTGAGTTTTGTGTTATTCACTTCTTGCTGTACACACCTGCCTTAGAGACACTAGATTCAAGAATGTTCCAAG
Source organism: Homo sapiens (assembly GCF_000001405.40). NCBI lineage: Eukaryota > Metazoa > Chordata > Mammalia > Primates > Hominidae > Homo > Homo sapiens. Next base: position 86,837,075 of record NC_000011.10, read on the forward strand.
AACCAGATCATCATATATAACAAATTCATAATTGCTAGAAAATACAGCCTATCTTTTCCAAAGAAAAATATGTAATAAAATCATTCTCTTTGCTTTAAGAAAAAGTTTATCCTAATTAAAAGAAATTAAGAACTCAAATGTATTATTTTATTCTAATAGATTGCCACAAGTTCCCTTGATTTAGAACATTTATAAACACTGTGTAACAGCTGAGACCAGGTCATCTGGAAATAAAATTATAGTTGATAGTTCATAATCAGAAAATATTTCCAGATGCCAGTTATGTTCTCTGACTTTTCTCCTTCAAGAGAGTAATTGCTTACTCGAGTAGGTGGGCCTTGTTTTAAAATTCATGTAAGATATAACTTCTGTCCCTAGCTTAGGCGGACTTAGAGATTTCATAAGAAAGTTTGGCCAGACACAGTGGCTCACACCTGTAATCCCAGCACTTTGGGAGGCTGAGGTGGGTGGATCACAAGGTCAGGAGATCAAGATTATCCTGGGCAACATGGTGAAACCATGCCTCTACTAAAATTACAAATATTAGCTAAGCATGGCAGCATGCACCTGTTGTCCCAGCTATTTGGGAGGCTGAGACAGGAGAATGGCTTGAACCTGGGATGCAGAGGCTACAGTGAGCCAAGATCACACTGCTGCACTTCAGTCTGGGTGACAGAGCGAGACTCCATCTCAAAAAAAGAGAGAAAGTTTTAGTTAAATGGACATAACTGGAGATCGCTTTTAAGATGGCCAAATAGGAACAGCTCTGGTCTGCAGCTCCTAGTGAGATCGACACAGAAGATGGGTGATTTCTGCATTTCCAACTGAGGTACCTGGTTCTTCTCATTGGGACTGCTTGGACAGTGGGTGAAGTGCACAGAGGGTGAACTGAAGTAGGGCAGGGTGTCACCTCACCTGGGAAGTGCAAGGGGTCAGCAGATTTCCCTTTCCTAGCCAAGGGAAGCCGTGACAGACTGTATCTGAAGAAACGGTACACTCTTTTTTTTTTTTCAATTTTTAAAATAGCTTTATTGACATATAATTGGCATCCAGTACACTTCATGTGTTTACAATATAAAATTTGATCTGCATTGACACAGGCACACACCTACAAAACCATCACAACAATCAACCATCACCAGCACATCCATCACCACCAAAAAGAGAAACGGTACACTCTTGACCAAATAGTGCACTTTTCCCATTGTCATAGCAAATAGCAGACCAGGAGATACCCTCCCATGCCTGGCTTGGTGGGTGCCACAGCCACGGAGACTTGCTCACTGTTAGCACAGCAGTCTGAGATCAACCTGTGGGGCTGCAGCTTGATGGGGAGAGGGGCATCTGCCATTGCTGAGGCTTGAGTAGCTCACAGTGTAAACAAAGCTGCCAGGAAGCTCAAACTGGCTGGAACCCACCACAGCTCAGCAAGGCCTACTGCCTCTCTAGATTTCACTTCTGGGGGCAGGGCATAGCAGAACGAAAGGCAGCAGACAGATTCTGCAGACTTAAACATCCCTGTCTGACAGCTCTGAAGAGAGCAGTGGTTCTCTCAGCATGGCATTCGAGCTCCAAGAACAGACATACTGCCTCCTCAAGTGGGTCCCTGAACCCTGTGTAGCCTGACTGGGAGACATCTCCCAGAAGGGGAGCAAAGACACCTCAAACAGGTGGGTGCCCCTCTCAGATGAAGCTTCCAGAGGAAAGATCGGGCAGCAATATTTGCTGTTCTGCAGCCTCCACTGGTGATGCCCAGGCAAACAGGTTCTGGAATCGACCTCCAGTAAACTCCAAGAGACCTGCAACTGAGGGGCCTGACTGTTAGAAGGAAAACTAACAAAGAGAAAGGAATAGCATCAACATCAACATCAACAAAAAGGACATCCACATGAAAACCCCATCTGTATGTCACCAATATCAAAGACCAAAGGTAGATAAAACCACAAAGATAGGGAGAAACCAGAGCAGAAAAGCAAAAAATTAAAAAAAAAAAACAACAGAGCGCCTCTTCTCCTCCAAAGGATTGCAGCTCCTCGCCAGCAAGGGAACAAAACTGGATGGAGAATGAGCTTAACGAGTTGACAGAAGTAGACTTCAGAAGGTCAGTAGTAACGAACTTCTCTGAGCTAAAGGAGCATGTTCTAACCAATCACAAGGAAGCTAAAAACCTTGAAAAAAGGTTAGACGAGTGGCTAACTAGAATAAACAGTGCAGAAGAGACCTTAAATTACCTGATGGAGCTGAAAACCACAGCAGGAGAACTTCATGATGCATGCGTTATCAGTGACTGAAGGTCAAATTAATGAAATAAAGTGAGAAGAATAGAGAAAAAAGAGGGAAAAAACCTAACAAAGCCTCCAAGAAATATGGGGCTATGTGAAAAGACCAAATCTATGTTTGATTGATGTACCTCAAAGTGATAGGGAGAATGGAACCAAGTTAGAAAACACTCTTCAGGATATTATCCAGGAGAACTTCCCTAACGTAGCAAGGCAGGCCAACATTCAAATTCAGGAAATACAGAGAACACCACAAAGATATTCCTTGAGAAGAGCAACCCCAAGACACATAATCGTCAGATTCACCAAGGTTGAAATGAAGGAAAAATGTTAAAGGCAGCCAAAGAGAAAGGTCAAGCTACCCAGAAAGGAAAGTGCATCAGACTAACAGCAGATCTCTTGGCAGAAACCCTACAAGCCAGAAGAGAGTGGGGGCCAATATTCAGCATTCCTAAAGGAAAGAATTTTCAATCCAGAATCTCGTATGCAGCCAAACTAAGCTTCATAAGTGAAGGAGAAATAAAATCTTTCACAGACAAGCAAATGCTAAGAGATTTTGTCATCACCAGGCCTGCCTTACAAGAGCTCCTGAAGGAAGCACTAAACATGGAAAGGAACAACCTGTACCAGCCACTGCAAAAACATGCCAAATTGTAAAGACATCGATGCTATGAAGAAACTGCATTAATTAATGGACAAAATAACCAGCTAACATCATAATGACAGGATCAAATTCAAACATAGTAATATTAACCTTAAATGTAAGTGGGCTAAATGCCCAAATTAAAAGCTACAGATTGGCAAATTGGATAAAGAGTCAAGACCCATCAGTGTGCTGTATTCAGGATACCCATCTCATGTGCAAAGATGCACATAGGCTCAAAATAAAAGGATGGAGGAAGATCTACCAAGCAAATGGAAAGCAAAACAAACAAACAAACAAAAAAAGCAGGGATTGCAATCCTAGTCTTTGTTAAAACAGACTTTAAACCAACAAAGATCAAAAGAGACAAAGAAGGCCACTACATAATGGTAAAGGGATCAATTAAACAAGAAGAGCTAACTATCCTAAATATATATGCACCCAATACAGGAGCACCTAGATTCATAAAGCAAGTCCTTAGAGACCTACAAAGAGACTCCCACACAATAATAATGGGAGGCTTTAACACCCCACTTCAGTATTAGACAGATCAACAAGACAGAAGGTTAACAAGGATATCCAGGACTTGAACTCACCTCTGGAACAAGTGGACCTAATAGACATCTACAGAACTCTCTACCCCAAATCAACAGAATATACATTCTTGTCAGCACCACATCACACTTATTCTAAAATTGACCACATAATTGGAAGTAAAACACTCCTCAGCAAATGTAAAAGAACAGAAATCACAACAAATTATCTGTCAGACCACAGTGCAATCAAAGTACAATTCAGGATTAAGATACTCACTCAAAACTGCACAACTACATGGAAACTGAGCAACCTGCTCCTGAGTGACTACTGGGTAAATAGCAAAATGATGGCAGAAGTGAAGATGTTCTTTAAAACCAGTGAGAACAAACACACAACATACCAGAATCTCTGGGACACATTTAAAGCAGTGTGTAGAGGGAAATTTATAGCACTAAATGCCCACAAGAGAAAGAAGGAAAGATCTAAAATTGACACCCTGACATCAAATTAAAAGAACTAGGGAAGGCCAGGCGAGGTGGCACATACCTGTAATCCCAGCATTTTGGGAGGCTGAGGCAGGCGAATCACCTGAGGTCAGGAGTTCGAGACCAGTCTGACCAACATGGAGATACTCCATCTCTACTAAAAATACAAAATTAGCCTGGTGTGGTGGCACATGCCTGCAATCCCAGCTACTCAGGAGGCTAAGGCAGGAGAATCCCTTGAACCTGGGAGGTGGAGGTTGCAATGAGCCAAGATTGAGCCATTGCACTCCAGCCTGGGCAACAAGAGGGAAACTCCATCTCAAAAAAAAAAAAAGAAGAAGAAAAAAAAAAAAGAACAAGGACTAGGGAAGCCAGAGCAAAGAAACTCAAAAGCTAGCAGAAGTCAAAAAATAAGTTCAGAGCAGAACTGAAGGAGATAAGAGACACAAAAAACACTTCAAAAAAATCAATGAATCCAGGAGCTGGTTTTTTGAAAAGATCAACAACACAGACCGCTAGCAAGACTAATAAAGAAGAAAAGAAGAAATAATCAAATAGACACAATAAAAAATGATAATGGAGATATCACCACTGGTCCCACAGAAATACAAACTACCATCAGAATACTATAAACACCTCTATGCTAATAAACTAGAAATCTAGAAGAAATGGATATATTCCTGGACACATACACCCACCCAAGAGTAAACCAGGAGGAAGTTGAATCTCTGAATAGACCAATAAGAAGGTCTGAAATTGAGGCAATAATTAATAGTCTACCAACCAAAAAAAGTCCAGGACTAGACAGATTCACAGCCAAATTCTACCAGAGGTATAAAGAGGAACTGGTACCATTCCTTCTGAAACTATTCCAATCAACAGAAAAAGAGAGAATCCTCCCTAACTCATTTTATAAGACCAGGATCATCCTGATACCAAAACCTGGCAGAGACACAACAAAAAAAGAGAATTTTAGACCAATATTTCTAACGAACATCAATGAGAAAATCCTCAGTAAGATACTGGCAAACAGAATCCAGCAGCACATCAAAAAGCTTATCCACCACTATCAAGTCAGCTTCACCCCTGGGATGCAAGGCTTGTTCAACATACACAAATCAATAAACGTAATCCATCACATAAAGAGAACCAAGAACAAAAACTACATGATTATCTCAATAGATGCAGAAAAGACCTTTGACAAAATTCAACAGACCTTCATGCTAAAAACTCTATATAAACTAGGTATTGATGGAACGTATCTCAAAATAATAAGAGCTATTTATGACAAACCCACAGCCAATATCATACTGAATGGGCAACAACTGGAAGCATTCCCTTTGAAAACTGGCACAAGACAACGATGGCCTCTCTCACCACTCCAATTCAACATAGTGTTGGAATTTCTGGCTAGTGCAATCAGGCAAGAGAAAGAAATAAAGGGTATTCAATTAGGAAAAGAGGAAGTCAAATTCTGTTTGCAGACGACATGATTGTATATTTAGAAAACCCCATTGTCTCAGCCCAAAATCTCCCTAAGCTGACAAGCAACTTCAGCAAAGTCTCAGGATACAAATTCAATGTGCAAAAATGACAAGCATTCCTATACACCAATAATAGAGAGCTAAATCATAAGTGAACTCCCATTCACAACTGTGAGAAAGAGAATAAAATACCTGGGAATCCAAATTACAAGGGATGTGAAGGACCTCTTCAAGGAGAACAACAAATCACTGCTCAACGAAATAAAAGAGGACGCCAAGAAACGGAAGAACATTCCATGCTCATGGGTAGGAAGAATCAATATTGTGAAAATGGCCATACTGCCCAAGGTAATTTATAGATTCAATGCCATTTCCATCAACTAGCACTAATTTTCTTCACAGAATTGGAAAAAACTACTTTAAATTTCATATGGAACCAAAAAAGAGCCCACATAGCCAAGACAATCCTAAGCAAAAAGAACAAAGATGGAGGCAGCACGCTACCTAACTTCAAACTATACTACAAGGCTATAGTAACCAAAACAGCATGGTACTGGTACCAAAACAGATATATAGACCAATGGAACAGAACAGAGGCCTCAGAAATAACACCACTCATCTACAACCATCTGATCTTTGACAAATCTGACAAAAATAAGCAATGGGGAAAGGATTCCCTATTTAACAAATGGTGCTGGGAAAACTGGTTAGCCATATGTAGAAAGCTGAAACTGGATCCCTTCCTTACACCATATACAAAAATTAACTCAAGATGGATTAAAGACTTAAATATAAGACCTAACACCATAAAAATTCTAGAAGACAACCTAGGCAATATCATTAAGGACATAGGCGTGGGCAAAGACTTCATGACTAAAACACCAAAAGCAATGGCAACAAAAGCCAAAATAGACAAATGGGATTTAATTAAACTAAAGAGCTTCTGCACAGCAAAAGAAACTACCATCAGAGTGAACAGGCAACCTACAGAATGGGAGAAAATTTTTGCAATCTATCCATCTGACAAAGGGCTAATATCCAGAATCTACAATGAACTTAAACAAATTTACAAGAAAAAAAGCCCCATCAAAAAGTGGGCAAAGAATATAAACAGACACTTCTCAAAAGAAGACATTTATGCAGCCAACAGACATATGAAAAAAAGCTCATCATCACTTGTCATCAGAGAAATGCAAATCAAAACTACAATGAGATCTCATTTTACACCAGTTAGAATGGTAATCATTAAAAAGTCAGGAAACAACAGATGCTGGAGAGAAGTGGAGAAATAGGAACACTTTCACATGTTAGTGGGAGTGTAAGTTAGTTCAACCATTGTGGAAGACAGTGTGGCAATTCCTCAAGTATCTAGAACTAGAAATACCATCTGACCCAGCAATCCCATTACTGGGTATATACCCAAAGGATTAAAAATCATTCTACTATAAAGACACATGCCCACGAATGTTTATTGTGGCACTATTCACAATACCAAAGACTTGGAACCAACCCAAATGTCCATCAATGATAGACTGGATTAAGAAAATGTGGCACACATACACCATTGAATACTATGCAGCCATAAAAAAGGATGAGTTCATGTCCTTTGCAGGGACATGGATGAAGCCTGTAACCATCATTGTAAGCAAAGTGTCACAAGGACAGAAAACCAAACACCACAAGTTCTCACTCAGGTGGGAGTTGAACAATGAGAACACATGAACAAAATGCAGGGAACATCACACACCGGGGCCTGTCAGGGGGTAGGCAGCTGGGAGAGGGATAGCATTAGGAGAAATACCTAATGTAAATGTTGAGTTGATGGGTGCAGCAAACCAACATGGCACATGTATACGTATGTAACAAACCTGCAGGTTGTGGACATGTACCCTAGAACTTAAAGTATAATAAAAAAAAAATGGACATAACCATAGGCCATCACTTACTACACCAATGTCCACAGTGTGCAATACAGCTGTCAATGATTAAACAATAATGAAGTTCTAAGAACATTTTGGTTTACTTTTTTTGAGTCTGGAGTAATGTGAAAGTCTAAAATGTGTGTCAGTCCAAGCAATAAGGTTTACCTGCCCCCATTTCTTTCTGCCTCTATTTCTTTTTTATTAGACCTATGAAAAGCTCTTCCTTGGTTTTTGAATAATTGAATGCTGTGAATACTAATCAATAGAATCATAGGACCCACGTCATGACATAGAAACAAACAAGTGTTGTTTTATCATCTCTAGTTCTATGGCATGTTGCTGGAAGGGATGAAAGAACAGGCAGCAAATAATTGAGTATGTTGGGCTGGGCATGGCGGCTCATGCCTGTAATCCCAGCACTTTGAGAGGCCGAGGCAGGCAGATCACCTGAGGTCAGGAGTTCAAGAACAGCCTGACCAACATGGAGAAACCCCATCTCTATTAAAAATACAAAATTAGCTGGCCATAGTGGTGCATACCTGTTACCCTAGCTACTCAGGAGGCTGAGCAAACAAATCACTTGAACTTGAGAGGTGGAAGTTGCTGTGAGCTGAGATCACACCATTGCACTTCAGCCTGGGTAACAAGAGTGAAACTCTGTCTCAGAAAAAAAAAAAAAAAGAATTAAGTAAGTCGAAGTCACACTGATCACAGCCAATTTTTGTGAACCAAGGAAGGTTCTATTCAATAATTAACATAGATTTTTACTTTTGCTATCTCCTGTGTGCCACGCAAAATATAGACTCTGGAGAATCAGAAGCAAAAGAAACTCACTTGTTCCTCTCACAATACTCAGTACTTACTTAGATAAGGACAAAATAAAATGTCCTGTCTGGAATGCAGGGAAACCAGAACTTCAGGTCAGGGGATACTTCAGTTGAATTGTATGGAGATTAAGCTTAAAATATTATGAATGTATCTTAAATTCACTTTGTCTTTACTTGATACATCCATCACATAGACATCATGCAGTGGGCACCTACAATAGGTTTAATCACTGCTCACTTCTGTTGGATCAACAAGAAATCAACTCATATGACAGTGATGAGTCTCAGAATGAGAGGAGGTGCCAGCTGGGCCTCTTGGGTTGAGTAGGGGCTCAGAAAGCTGTGAAACTCACTCATTTCCCTGCATCAGGACTTACTTCAGTCCTGGATGAATAATATTGAAGATATATGCTTAAAATATTCCTAACACCAGAATTTGTGCATTGTGTTTTCTTCCCCAAGAAAGCTATAAACAGCAAAAAAATTTTGCTGTAAGTTTCCCTGTGTCCTATTTCTCTTCCCCCTACCCCAAAACTAAAAGGAATGTTAACTGCTCATTTTTCTGTGACCAGCAGACCTTATCTATGCTCCCAATTCCAATTTCTTATAAAAGTACTTTGTAAGGTCCTGTAAGATCCTGTCTCCTTTACCATGCTACTGCAAGGTCATAAAGTAGCTAAAACCTAAGTTGCAATTCCAGTTTTCCTCAAAATCTAAGACATGTCACAAAATAATTTACTGCCTTTGTTTCTCAATCTGGTAACATCTTCCCACCACACATATTTCCTGCCTTAAAGAGTTGAAAAGGCAATTGTATAATCTCACTCTGGTTACCTGTTCAGGACACCTTCCACAGTGTGCTTTCACTCAGCTCAATAAAGCCTACAACTTTTTCTCTCTCTCGGTCCTTGCCTCTATCACTCACCATAGTCAGCCACCACACCAATTCTTTGGTGTGGCTAGGCAAGAACCTTAGGTGTTACATTTTGGTGAGCCAGGCAGGATACTCCAGGAAAGGCATCTAGATCATCACACTGTGAGTACAATCAGACCTCTTTTGCTTGCTATTCTGTCCTGTCCTTCCTTAGAATTTGGAGGCTAAACTAGGCACCTGTCAGCCACTTAAAGGTGATTAGTGTGGCTGCTGGACTAAAGACACGGGTGTCAGGCTGTCTGGAAAAGGTTCTCTAACAACCCCTGACCCTTCAGGTTTGGGAGCATTGGTTGGCCTGGAACCAGTTCCAACTCTTTTGCTTTCCATGGTGGTTCTGAAGTACACCTGGGAGTGCTCAGTGGAAATCTTAGTCTCCCAGATATCCTAGTTGAGACCACAGCCCTGCCAGAGGCTCCCCCTGCATGGGTTAGTGAGCATGAGACAGCCACATCTTCTGACTCCCACCTCCTAATGAGTCCTAATGTCCACCAGTTAGACTTCTTTCCTCATCTTGTAAGCAAGGTTATTCCCACTAGACAGGATCAAGATTCCCTATTTAGAAGACTTAAAGTCTTGGGGTGGCACCCAGAAGATCCCTGTTCATGGTGCCCTCTAGGGTTCAGGCAGGTGTCACCATTTGATGGCTATTTTGAAGGACCAGTTCCCCACCATAGTGTGTAGTCCCCCACATCAGGATAATTTAAAGATAGGTCTGTAATTTTCATGTGGATAGTAGAAGCCTTAGGGCATTTCCTCCATTGCTCCCCAGATAAACTTTCCCCTTCCTTGGGGCCTATCAAGTACAATCTATGGTGCATGGGTACAGCTCTTAGAGCCATTGAATTGTTGTTTCAACCATTTAATAATTGGTATTGGAAGAAAATGTAGTCAGTTGGGACACAGGATACTGGTACCACCTTGAGAGGGGGGCTTACTCTTTTGATGGCAAGTGGGGACAGAAGGCTAAAGTACAGCAGCTGTTCTCTCAGCCCTGGTCTGGAGGACATCCACCACCCCCTTTAAGCTTACTAAGCCTCCTGTTGCTAATTCAGAGATTTCTCCTTGAAGGACAGTTTTATGGCCAGGACCGCATAAAGTGGGCCTTAGCATTCAAGCATCAGTGGTGCCCCCAACCCAGGCCTTGCCACCCTGGAACAGGTTGGATGTATTGGCAGAAGGACCATAATAAATCCAACAGTCCTTGTGCCCCATTTAGTAGTCAATGGGTGCATGGCAGGGGCAAGGGAAGTTTCCATCCTGCCAGTAAGCATGGTTAAATCTGGTAGATGGAGAGCTCAGGAAAAGCGGCCATGAGCTTTCAGCACAATTAGTCCTGACCCTTAGGGGACACCCTAAGGGAAGATGAGTCCCAGGACTAACCAGGGGTGTGGGCATCCCTGTGTTTAAAATTCCAGATGGGCACCACACCTTCCAAACCGGACACTCCCTTAAGATGTATCCTGAATAACTGGGACAAATTCGACCCTGAAACCTTAAAAAAGAAGCAGCTAATTTTCTTCTGTACCACTGCCTGGCCACAGTATTCCTTACAAAATGGAGAAACTTGGCCCCCTGAGGGATGTATTAATTATAACACCCTTCTACAACTAGCTCTTTTCTGTAAGCAGGAAGGTAAATGGAGTGAAGTCCCTTACGTACAGGCTTTCTTTGCCCTTCTTGACAATACTGCCCTGTGCCAAGCCTGCGAGCTTTGCCCAAATGACAGAGGCCCACAATTACCTCCATATTCAGGGCCTCTTCCCTCAGCCCCACTCTCCTCCTGCACTGACTCTCCTCCATCTGGCCTCACTGAAGTGTTAAAGGCAAAATGGAAAGAGAACGTAAACTCCGAGAGCCAGGCACCCGAACTATGTCCCTTACAAACAGTAGGAGGAGAATTTGGGCGCATTCACATGCATGCCCCCTTCTCACTCTCAAATTTAAAACAAATAAAGGCAGATTTAGGGAAATTCTTGGATGATCCTGATAACCATATACATGTCCTGCAAGGATTAGAGCAGTCCTTTGATCTAACATGGAGAGATATCATGTTACTTCTTGATCAGACCTTAAGTCCTACTGAAAAAAAAGCAGCTTTAGCAGCAGCCCAGCAATTTAGGGATCGATAGTACCTTGGCCAGGTAAACAATCCATTGAATGGCCTTGGAGGAGAGGGAAAAATTGCCCACAGGGGAACAGGCAGTCCCCACTGTAAATCCTTATTGGGATACTGACTCAGATCATGGAGATTAGAGCCACAGGCATTTGCTAACTTGCATTTTAAAAGGGTTGAGGAAGACTAGGAGAAAGCCTATGAACTACTCAATGCTATCCACCATTACCCAGGGAAAAGAAGAAAATCCCCTCAGCCTTTCTAGAAATGCTGCGGGAGGCTCTAAGAAGGCACACCCCCGTAACTCCGGATTCCCTGGAAGGCCAACTTATTCTAAAGGATAAACTTATCACCTAAGAAGCGGCCGATATTAGGAGAAAACTCCAAAGGTCTGCCTTAGGCCCAGAACAAAGCTTGGAGGCATTATTAAACCTGCCAACCTCGTTGTTCTATAACAGGGACCAAGAGGAACAGGCCAAAATGGAAAAGCAAGATAAGAGAAAGGCTGCAGCCTTAGTCTTGGCTCTCAGACAGGCAGACCTTGGTGGCTCAGAGGGAACCAAAAGAGGAGCAGGCCAATTGCCTAGTAGGGCTTGTTATCAGTGCGGTTTGCAAGGACACTTTAAAAAAGATTGTCCAACTAGAAACAAACTGCCCCCTCGCCCATGTCCAATATGCCAAGGCAATCACTGGAAGTAGCACTGCCCCAGAGGATGAAGGCCCCCTGGGCCAGAAGCACCCAACCAGATGATTCAGCAACAGGACTGAGGGTGCCTGGAGCAAGTGCCAGCTCATGCAATCACCCTCACAGAGCCCTGGGTAAGTTTGACCATTGAGGGCCAGGAAGTACACTTCCTCCTAAACACTGGCCCAGCTTTCTCAGGATTAATCTCCTGCCCTGGAAGACTGTCCTCAAAGTCCATTACTATCTGAGGAATCTTAGGACACCCTGTAACCAGGTATTACTCTCACCTCCAGCTGCAATTGGGAGACTTTGCTCTCTTCACATGCCTTTCTTGTTACGCCCAAAAGTCCCACACCCTTATTAAGGAGAGACATATTAGACAAAGCTGGAGCTATTATCTACATAAATATAGGGAACAAATTACCCATTTGTTGTCCCCTACTTGAAGAAGGAATCAACTCTGAAGTCTGGGCCTTGGAAGGACAATTAGGAAAGGCAAAGAATGCCCATCCAATTCAAATCAGGCTAAAAGACCCCACCACTTTTCCTTATCAAACGCAATATCCCTTAAGGCCTGAAGCTCACAAAGAATTACAGGATATTGTTAGACATTTAAAAGCTCAAGGCTTAGTAAGAAAATGTAGCAGTCCTTGCAACACCCCAATTCTAGAATTACAAAAACCAAATAGTCAACGGAGACTATTGCAAGACCTCAGAATCAATGAGGCAGTAATTCCTTTATATCCTGCTGTACCTAACCCCTATATGCTGCTCTCTCAGATACCAGAGGAAGCAGAATAGTTCACTGTTCTGCACCTCAAAGATGCCTTCTTCTGCATTCCCCTGCACTCTGACTCCCTAGTCACCCTACAAAGCCAGCTTAATTCTCTCGCTGCAGTAGTCCTCCAAAACTGAAGAGCCCTAGACATAGTAACAGCTGAAAGAGGAGGAACCTACCTCTTAGAGAAGAATGTTGCTATTTCATTAACCAGTCAGGAATCATTACTGAAAAGGTCAAAGAAATAAGAGAACGGATAGAAAGTAGGAAAAAGGAGCTTGAACACTCAGGACTGGAATATGTTTAACCAATGGATACCTGGGCTCCTCCCCTTTCTAGGCCCTGTGACAGCCATCCTACTATTACTCACCTTTAGGCCTTGCATTTTTAACCTCCTTGTCAAATTTGTTTCCTCCAGGATCGAGGCCATCAAGCTACAAATGGTCTTACAAATGGAATCTCAAATGAGCTCAACTCATGGCTTCTAGTGAGAAACCCTGGAATGACCCGTTGGTCCCTCATTAGCCTAGAAAGTTCCCCTCTGGAGGACACCACAACTGCAGGGCCCCTTCTTCATCCCTAACCAGCAGGAAGTAGCTAGAAGAACCACCACTCAGCTCCCAACAGCAGTTGGGGTGTCCTATTTACAGGGGGGACTGAGAGGAGGTGCCAGCTGGGCTTCCTGGGTTGAGTAGGGGCTCAGAAAGCTGTGAAACTCACTCATTTCCCTGTGTCAGGACTTACTTCAGTCCTGGATGAATAATATTGAAGATATATGCTTGCTTAAAATATTCCTAACACCAGGATCTGTGCATGTGTTTTCTTCCCCAAGAAAGCTATAAACAGCAAAAATTTTGCTGTAAGTATCCCTGTGTCCTCTCTCCCTTCCCCCTCCCCTGAAACTAAAAGGAATGTTAACTGCCCATTTTTCTGTGACCAGTGGATCTTATCTATGCTCCCAATTCCAATTTCTTGTAAACATGCTTTGTAACGTCCTGTAAGATCCTGTCTCCTTTGCCATGCTGCTACAAAGTCATAAAGTAGACAAAACCTAAGTTGCAATTCCAGTTTTCCTCAAAATCTAAGACATGTCACAAAATAATTTACTGCCTTTGTTTCTCGCTCTGGTAACATCTTCCTACCACACCTATTCCTTGCCTTAAAGAGTTTGAAAGGCAATTGTATAATCTCACTCTGGCTACCCATTCGGGACCCCTTCCACACTGTGGAAACTTTGTACTTTCACACCAATTCTTTGGCGTGGCTAGGCAAGAACCTTAGACGTTACAAGAGGATTGGCATCTCACCCCTTGCCATACAGATAAGTAGAAAGGGTGGCATTCAAAATTAATGGCCAGTCTCTAAGTCCCAGGCACTGAACTTCATGGTCTTCCAACACTCAAAAAGTTGTAAGCAGAGGTCAGAGGTCTTAACCATAGCCATATCTGAGTTGCATTTTGAAACAGTTTCCAGCTTCCTCAGTAGGAATGGAAGCCAAACTCCAAATTTATGACTCCTTTGAGGAAGTCAAGAGCTGTAAGGAAAGCCAGGGGCAGGGGCAAGGGAGAGATGCCCCTTGAATGATCCTGTGCCAGTTCTTTCTGGGATCTTTGATGTCATCTTAGCTGCCCTTTCTATACTTGACATAGTGAACGTGGCATCCACTGGTCTAGCTGTGGTCTACCAGGAACCCCCAAAGGGAAGGGCACAGTGAGCAGGGGCATCTGCCCGAGTGACAAGGATTTGAGAGGGCAGGTTGGATGCAGGGAGAGGACTGGCCAAATGCCATGAGTCTGGACGTAGACTGCCTGGTTCAAATGGGAATTCACCCTTTTCGACTTCATGATCTGATACAAGTTATATGAAAATGCGTCACAACTTTTCTAGTCTGTTAAATGATAATGAAATGTGCACTAATAACTGGGAGAAGACTACACAGATGAAATGAAACAAGCTGCATAGACCACAGAGCTAAGAAGGTGGCACTTAGGAAGCCCTCAGTAAGAGTTCTTGGTGCCATGGTATCTGCCATCTTCCTTTTTATCCTCATCATCACCTTCATAATCTTTCTGTTGTGCTTAGGGAATAGTTTAGAGGAACTCATTCCCTGCTATCATGAGTGAGATGTCTATGAAAAGGACAACCATTGGTGGGGGGGAAGCAAAATTTTGAATAACATTTCTGAGACCCCCACCACAACCAAGAACAGAAACTCCACAGTCTGCTGAGCTGACAGTTTGCATATTGGTCTCCTCCCATCTGCCCACTGCACTCTCCTGTTTGTCCTGAGGATGAGGAAACAAAGCAACGCTCCCAACCATCCCTCAGCACTCACTGAACTGCCCCTCCCCTCTGCTGGGCCATGACCACGGAGAACAGGTCCACTGTCCTCCCTGCGTGGTGCACGATGGAGTCTCAGAGTCCGTCCTCAAGACTGGCAAGAAGACAGGGTGAGACATGAGCCTCCTGATAGAGGTGATGGGTGTGGAGCCCACAGGACTGGAACCTCACACTGCAGGGCTGGAGGCACAGACTGAGTATTTACTATTCTATGGCCTGTGGGGCTCAGGGCACAGAGCTCCTCATTAGCCAAAGTCACCCAAATTCCCCAACTTCTAAGGATTTCCTCATAATAATGCAAGAAGAAGAGAAAAGTTAGTGTCCATTGAAGCTTTGGGGCTCTTCCTCTAATCAGGAGAAAGCTTGTGTATATTATTCGCTTCTTTCTTTTCTTCTTAAAGATCCAACTGCTTTAATTTTCATCTTTTATTTTGGGAAATATACCACATATAAATATTAAAAATTATAAATATATATTACTTCATATAGAATGGCCAGTATAAACATTTACAATTTCCACTATTTTTCAGTTTACAGTTTAATGACATTAAGTACATTCACATTGTTTAGCAACCATCACCTCCATCATCTCCAGAACAGTTTTATCTTTCAAAATGGAAAAGGGACCCATTAACCAAACTCTCCATTCCTCTCTCTCGCCCACCCCTGGGGGCCACCATTCTATTTTGCAACTCTATGCATTTAACTACTCTAGACACTTGATATAAGTGGAATCACACCATGTTTTGTTTGTTTGTTTGTTTGTTTTGGAGACAGAATCTTTCTCTGTCGCCCAGGCTGGAGTGCAGTGGCATGATCTCGGCTCACTGCAACCTCCACATCGTGGGTTCAAGCGATTCTTGTGTCTCAGTCTCCGGAGTAGCTGGGATTACAGGCGTGCGCCACCACGCCCAGCTAATTTTTGTATTTTTAATAGAGACGAGCTTTCACCATATTGGCCAGGCTGGTCTCAAACTCCTGACCTTAAGTGATCCACCTGCCTCAGCCTCCCAAAGTACTGGGGTTACAGGTGCGAGCCACTGAGCCCGGTCGTGTTTATCCTTTTGGGATTTATGTATTTCACTGACGATGATGTCTTAAAGGTTCATCCATGTTGCAGCCTGTGTCACAAGTGCCTGCCTTTTTTTTTTTTTTTTTTTTTTTTTTTTTTTTAATGGAGTCTCACTCTGTCACCCAGGCTGGAGTTCAGTGGCACAATCTGGGCTCACCGCAACCTCCGCCTCCCAGGTTCAAGCGATCTTGTGCCTCAGCCTCCGGAGTAGCTGTGACTACAGGCATGCGCCACCATGCCTGGCTAATTTTTTGTATTTTTAGTAGAGACAGGGTTTCACCGTTTTGGCCAGGCTGGTCTCGAACTCCTGACCTCAGGTGATCCTCCCACGTTGGCCTCCCAAAATGCTAGGATTACAGGTGTGAGCCACTGCGCTGGCCAGAAGTGCCTGCATTTTTAAGGCTGAATAGTCTTCCATTGTATGAATGAACTGCAGTGTGCTTTTTCATTCTTCTGTCCACGAACGCTTGGGTTGCTTCCACATTTTTGCTGTTGTGAATAATGCTGCTATGAATATGGGTGTACAAATATCTCTTCCACTGCTGGCTTCTAATTCTTTTTGGGAGGTACCCACGAATGTAACTGTGGGATCATCTGATAATTCTGTTTTTCATTTTTCAAATACACTCCATACTATTTTCCCTGTTCCTGCACAATTTTACGTTCCCTCCAATCATATTCGAGCATTCCTACTTCCCTCTAGTTTCACCATTGCTTGTTTGTTTATCATATCCATCCTAATGTGTGGTATCACATTGTTGGTTTGATTTGTACTTCCTTAAGATTAGCGATTTTGAACATCATTTTATATGCTTATTGGCCATTGCTATATCTTCTTTTTTTTTGAGTCGCAGTCTCACTCTGTCGCCCAGGCTGGAGTGCAGTGGCACGATCTCGGCTCACTGCAAGCTCCGCCTCCCGGGTTCAAGCCATTCTCCTGCCTCAGCCTCCCAGCTAGCTGGGACTATAGGCATCTGCCACCACGCCTGGCTAATTTTTTGTATTTTTAGTAGAGACAGGGTTTCACTGTGTTAGCCAGGATGGTCTTGATCACCTGACCTCGTGATCTGCCTGCCTCGGCCTCCCAAAGTGCCGGGATTACAGGTGTGAGCCCCCGCACCTGGCCGCTATATCTTCTTTAGGGACATGTCTACTCAAGTCTTCTGACCATTGTTAATGGGATGCCTTGGGTTTCCTGTTGTTTACTTCTAGCTGTTCTTTGTATATTATGGATAACAGCCTCTTTTCAGATGTATGATTTGCAAATATTTTTCCTAATCCATGGGTTATCTTTTCACTCAGTTCACAGTGTTTTTTGATGCACAAAAGTGTTTGTCATTTAGATGTAATCCAAGGAATCTAATTTTCTTTTGTTGCCTATGCTTTTGGTGTCTTATCCCAGAAAGCATTGTCCACTCTGATGTCATAAAGGTTTTGGCAGCGTTTTCATTTAGGCATGTTATAGTTTTAGCTCTTGGGCGTAAGTCTTTGATCCAGTTTGTGTTAATTTTTGTACCTGGTGTGACATAGGGTCCACCTTCATTCTTATGCATGTGGAAATCAAGTTTCTCCAACACGATTTGTTGAAAAGTATGCTTTTCCACCAATGAACTTTCTTGGCACCTATTTTAAAAATCATTGGGACATATGTGTGGGAAGTTATTCCTGGGCTCAAAAACAAACAAACAACAACAGATAAAAATACAGCATGGGCCAGGTGCGGTTGCTCACGCCTGTAATCCCAGCACTTTGAGAGGCCGAGGTGGGCGGTCACCTGAGGTCGGAAGTTCAAGTCCAGCCTGACCAACAGGGAGAAACCTCATCTCTACTAAAAATACAAAATTAGCTGGGTGTGGTGGCACATGCCTGTTATCCCAGCTATTCGGGAGGCTGAGGCAGGAGAATCACTTGAAACCCAGGAGGCAGAGGTTGTGGTGAGCTGAGATCACACCATTGCACTCCAGCATAGGCAACAAGAGCAAAACTCCACCTCAATTAAAAAAAAAAAAAATACAGCATGATTTCGAGTCCCAGTCTAGCCTCAAAAAGAAGAGTATAGAAGGGTGTGATTGGAGCGGAAAGGTAATAGCTTAAAAACTAGCATAATGAGAAAGTTAGGAAGCTTCTTTCCAAGCCATCTGGAAATATTCAATAAATTCCTGTGAACTAAAATTTCCCTACTGTACTGTCAAACAGTCGAACTCATTTATTCCATCTTTCTGTATTTTTGTACCCAATTATCCACTTCTCTCCATTCCCTATCCCACTCCTTTTCTTCCCAGCCTCTGCTAAACACCTTGATACTCTCCACCTTCATGAGATTTCTTTGCGTGTGTGTGTGTGATGGAGTCTCGTTCTCTTGCCCAGGTTGGAGTATAGAGGCATGATCTTGGCTCACTGCAACCTCTGCCTCCTAGTTTCAAGCGATTCTGCTGCCTCAGCCTCCCAAGTAGCTGGGACTGCAGGCATGCACCAGCACACCTGGCTAATTTTTGTATTTTTAGTAGAGATGGAGTTTCACCATGTTGGCCAGTCTGATCTCCAACTCCTCAGATGGCCTCAAGTGATCCGTCTGATCTGGCCTCCCAAAGTGCTGGGATAACAGACATGAGCCACCACCCCTGGCCAAGATTTTCTTTCTTGTTCCTACATATAAGTGAGGACATGTAATATTTGTCATTCTGTGCCTGGCTTATTTCACTTAATATACTGACCTGCAATCTCACCCATTTCTGCTGCAGTGGAGAGGATTTTATTCATTTTTAGGCTGAATAATACATCATTGTGTGTGTATACCACAGTTTTTTAATTGAAACAAATTTTTTAAAAATATATATTTTAAAAATGTCTCAGAATGTGAAACTTTAGGGATACTGTGACCATTTTATTCTTTTCTATTTCCCATTTTATGTATGTACAAGTGTGAGATAAAACAGCAATCAATGTGTGTATAAATCTATAACTTCAACAAATGTAAAATGAAAATGCTAAGTGGTAAGAAAGAACAGCATAATAAAAATTTGCATCATGTTTAGGACAATGCATTTGAAGATAATATTTGAAGAAATCATATTACAATTAACTTCTGTTCTTATTCATTGGAGCTTGATCCCTCTAGGAACTTCATCATTGAAACAGTCTCTGGTGCTTTAAAAAAAAAAAAAAAATCTGCATGCCCACACAGGTGCAAGTAAATCGGAATGTCAGGTAATGAGACCCAGGCCTCATCATGTCTAAGCTCCCCAGGTGATTTCAATCAAAGCCAACGTTGAGAACCGAACCGGTGACACGGATCTCTACACATAACCTGCCTAAATAGATTCCCTAGAAGCAGTTTATAAGGAAATTCCACATGAACTGTGGAAAAGGATGTGAATTTGATGTACAGTATGTCCTGACTTAACATCTTGGAAAGTCTCTTGGAAACTGCACGTTTAAGAAAAATTATGTATAGTGAAACCAAGGTATTCCTCATCAACACTATAACTAAACAACCTTAGACAAACCATTGGTGTTGGAGGACATGCTGCACATTGTTTCCATAAAGTCAATTTTCAGGGAATTACAAAATTACAAAATGAATTACTTCCTGTATATAAAAAGATGGTTGTGATTTCACCTGGAGTACAGGGTTATTGCTGAGAAACTAAAGGAGGCCGCCCAGATATAGAGGATTCAGTCATGATGTTTATGCTAAACAAAGGATCCCAGAATACTCACCCATTCCAGTTAAAGGCATAACAAAGAAAGCAATATTCACATAGGAAATGTGGAAAGGAATAAAAGCCATCAAGCAACAAAAATAATGTGACAAAGGGGTTAGGATTTGCAGATGTACAGATTTAATGTGGTTGCCCTTTCTTACTCACACAAGAGAAAGGATGGAACAGATCATGAGATTTGACTGTTCTGCTGCGCAGCCTCCACAGGGCACTATGAATGTCCCTGTTTCTCAGGCTGTAGATGAAAGGGTTCAGCATGGGGATGACCACAGCGTACATCACTGATGCCACCACTCCATTCCTGGGAGATGATGACACAGCTGAAGTCAGGTACACGCCAATGCCTGTTTCATAAAATAAGCAAACAACTGCCAGGTGAGAGCCACAGGTGGAGAAGGCTTTATACTTCCCATCTGACGATGGAATTCTTGGAATGGAGGAGACAATTTTATAGTAAGACAAAAGGATCCCTGAAATGGGAAGAAAACCAAATATAGGGATATCTAAAATACATAATATGTTATTGATGATGCTGTCAGAACAGGCAAGGTTGAGAAGTTGAGATGGGTCACAGAAAAAAAATTATAGATTTCCACATTCTTGAAGAAGGTGAGTTGTGTAACACAATCCAGCTGTGCAGCTGGGAATCCAACAGGCTAAGGAAAAAGGACACCAAAACTAAGAAGACACAGAGGTGAGGATTCATGATGACTCGGTAGTGCAGGGGGTGACAGATGGGCAGATGGCCACAAATCGGTCATAGGCCATCAGAGTCAGGAGCATGTCTTCTATACATGCAAAAAGGACAAAGAAAGACATCTGTGTCAGGCAGCCCGCATAAGAGATGACTCTGCTATGCGACTGCATGTCCACAATCATCTTGGGAACTGTGGCCGAGGTGAAACCAATGTCAGCCCAGGACAGGTTGGAGAGGAAGAAGTACATGGGGGTGTGGAAGTGGGGGTCAGAGCTGCCAGCCAGGATGATGAACAGGTTCCTCAGCATCGTGACCAGGTACATGGACAGGGAGAGCCCAGTGAGGACGGGCTGTCTCCCAGTATCGCAGGGGGTTGTACACGCCTTCTGGGATATTGTTCCTAATATCCAGAAGGCAAGAGGATGATATTACTCCCAATATCTAAGGGAGTGTACCACCCCCTGTGATACTGTTCCTAATATCTGGGGGAGAGAGGATATTACTCCCAGTATCTCAGAAACTGTACACCCCTGCTGTGATATTGTTCCTAATATCCAGTGGGGGAGAGAATGACATTTCTCCTAATATGGTAGGGGTTGTACACCTTCCTGTGATATTGTTCTTAATATCTAGGTGTAGAGAGCATAATATTACCTCCAATATCGCACGGAATTTACACCACCCCTGTGATATTGTTCCTAATATCCAGTGGGGGAGAGAATGATATTACTCCCAATATCGCAAGGGGTTTACATCACTCCTGTGAGATTGTCCCTAATATCCAGGGAGGGAGAGGATGTTATTACTCCCAATACCGATGGGGGTGCACACAACCCTGTGATATTGTACATGATATCTACTGGGGGAGATGATGTTATTACTCCCAATATCTCAGGGGGTGTACACCGCCCCTATGATATTGTTCCTAATATCCAAGGGAAGAGAGGAAGATGTTAATCCCAATGTTGCAACAGGTGTACAACTCCCTATATTTTTGTTTTTAAGATCCAGGGGGGAGAGGATGATATTACTCCCAATATTGCAGGGGGTGTACACACCCCTGTGATGGTGTTCCTAATATCCAGTGGGCGACAGGATGATATTACTCCCAATATCACAGGGGGTGTACACAACCCTGTGGTATTGTTCCTAATATCTAGAGTAAAATAGGATGATATGACTCCCAATATCGCAGAGGGTGTACACTCCTCCTATAATATTGTTCCTAGTACCCAGGGAGGGAGAGGATAATATTACATTGAATATTGCAGAGAATGTACACCCACCCCCTGTGATATTGTTCCTAATATCCAAGGAGGGAGAGGATGATATTACTCCCAATATCGCAGAGGCAGTACACCTCACCTGTGATATTGTTCCTAATATCCAAGGAGGGAGAGGATGATACTACTCCCAATATCGCAGGGGTGTACACACACCGGTCTAAAATCTAGGGGAGAGAGGGTGATATTACACCAAATGTCACAGGGACTGTACATCCCTCCTGTGATATTGTTCCTAATATCCAAGGGGGAAGAGGATGATATTGCTCCCTATATCAGGGGAAGTGACACCCCCCTGTGATCTTGTTCCTAATATCCAGGGAAGAAGAAGATGATATTACTCACAATATCAGAGGAAGTGTACACTCTTCTTGTGATTTAGTTCAGGTGATATCTCAGGTGAGGAGGGGATGATATTACTTTCAATACCGCAGAGGGTGTACACACTTCCTGTGATATTGTTTCTAATACCCGTTGCAGGAGAGGAGGATATTACTCCCAATATTGCAGGGAGAGTACACCCACTCTGTGATATCGTTTCTACTATCCAAAGGGGAAGAGGCTTATATTACTCCCAATATCGTAGAAAGTGTATACCTACCCTGTGATACTGTTCCTAATATCCAGGGGGAGAGTTGAAGATATTACTCCCAATATCGCAGCAGGTGTACAAACCCCTGTGATTTTGTTCCTAATATTAAGGGTGAGGGGGGAAGGATGATATTACTCCCAGTATCACAGTGGGTATACACCACCTTTGTAATATTGTTCCTAGTATCCAGAGGGCAAAAAGATGATATTACTCCCAATATCCCAGAAAGTGTACACCCCCCCTTCATAATATCCTGGGGGGAGAGAATGATATAACTCCCAATATCACAAGAGGTGTACCTTCACCCTGTGATATTTTTCCTAATATACAGGGTGGGGAAGAATGTTATGACTCCCAATATTGCATGGGGTGGACACCTCCAGTGTGATATTGTTTCTAATATCCATGGGGGAGAGGATGATATTACTCCAAATATTGCAGGGGTTATACACACCCCCGTGATATTGTTACTATTATCAAGGAAGGAAGAGGATAATATTAATTCCAATATCGCTGGTGGTGTATACCCAACCTGTGATGTTGATCCTAATATCCAAAGGGGGAGAGGATAATATTACTTTCAATATCGCATTTTGTACACCCCCTGTGATATTGTTCCTAACATCCAGGGGAAACAAGGATGATATTGCTCCCAATATCACAGGGGATGTACACCCCTCCATGATATTGTTCTTAATATCCATATGGGGAGAGGAAGATATTACTCCAAATATCTCAGGTGTTGTTCACACC
Organism: Homo sapiens; assembly: GCF_000001405.40. Lineage (NCBI taxonomy): Eukaryota > Metazoa > Chordata > Mammalia > Primates > Hominidae > Homo > Homo sapiens. Next base: position 86,860,221 of record NC_000011.10, read on the forward strand.
CCCTGTGATATTGTCGCTCATATCCAGTGAGGGAGAAAATAATATTACTTCCAATATCCCAAGTGGGGTGTACCCCACCTGAGATATCATTCCTAATATCCAGGTAGGGAGAGGGTGATATTACTCCCAGTATCAAAGGGTGTGTACACTGCCCTTGTGGTGTGGTTTTTAATATCCAGGGGGTGAGAGGATATTACTCCCAAAGTAGCAGAGGGTGTACACTGCCCCTGTGATATTGTTCCTAATATCAAGGGGGGAGAAGATTATATTACTCCCAATATCACAAGGGTTGTACACCCCCTGTGATATTGTTCGTAATATCCAGGGAGGGAGAGGATGACATTACATTCAATATCACAAGAGGTGTACATCCCCACTGTGATATCGTTCCTACTATCCAAGAAGGGAGTGGATGATATTACTCCCAATATCGCAGTGGGTGTACGTTACCCCTGTGTTATAGTTTCTTATATTCAGGAGGGACAGGATAATATAACCCCAAATTTGGCCGGTGGTTTGACCCCCCTTGTGATATTGTTCCTTATATCCCAGGGCGGGGAAGACAATAATACTGCCCTCAGTATCGCGGGAAATGTACGTCACCCTGTGATATTTTTCCTAATATCCAGAGGGAGAGAGAATGATATTACTCCCAATATCGTAGAAGTGTACAGCCCCCCTGTGATATTGTTCTTAATATCCGTGGGGTGAGTATGATATTACTCCCAATATAGAAGGGGGAAGTACACCCTCCTGTGATACTGTTCCTAATATCCACCGGGGGTGAGAATGATATTACTCCCAATATCGCAGGAGGTGTACATCCCTCTGTCACATTGTTCGTAATGTTTAACGGGAAAGATAATATTACTCGAAATATCGTTAATACCCTGTGTGTCCACCCCCCTGTGATATAATTAGTAATATCCAGGGGGAGAGGAAGGTGATATTACTCCCCATGTCACGGGGGGTGTCCACCCTCCTGTGATATGATCCGTAATATCCAGGGTGGGAGAGGGGGGCGATATTACTCTCAATGTCGCGGGGGGTGTCCACCCCCCTGTGATATGGTTTGTAATATCCGGGGGCGGAGAGGGGCATGATATTACTCTCAATATCTTGCGCACCGTTTTTGTACACCCTCTCTGATATAGTTTGCAATATCCAGGAAGGGAGAGGATGATATTACTCCCCATATCGCAGGGGGTGTGCACCTCTCTGTGACAGCGTTTGTATTATCGGTGGGGAAGTGTATGATATAATTCCCTATATCGCAGAAGGTGTACACGCCCTTGTGATATTGTTCATAATATCCAGTTGGAGAGGGGATGATATTACTCCCCATTTGCAGGGGGCGGACACCCTTCTGTGATATTGTTCGTACTATCCGGGAGGTGGGGAGAGGATGATATTACTCTTCATATTGCAGGGAGTGTACACCCCCCTATGATATTTTTATTCTACCCAAGGGGGGTAGAGGTTGATATTACTCCCCATGACTCAGGGGTGTACACCCCCCTGTGATATTTTTTGTAATGTCCAAGGTGGGGCAGAGGATATTACTTCCCATGTCTGATAGGGTGTACACGCCTTTGTGATATTGTTTGTAATATCCAGAGTGGGAGAGGATGATATTACTTTCCATATTGTAGGAAGTGTACACCCCCTTGTCATATTGTTTGTAATATCCAGCGTGGAGAGGATGATATTACTTCCCATATCAGAGGGGGTGTCCACCCAGTTGTGATAATGTTTGCAATATACAGGGGGTGAGAGAATGATATTACATCCCATATCACATGGGGTGTACACCCCCTTGTGGTATTGTTTGTAACATCTGGAAGGGAGAGGATAATATTACTCGCAATATCGCAGGGGGTGTACACCCCTTGTGATATTGCTTGTAGTATCTGTTGGGGAGAGGATGTTATTCCTCGCAATATCTCAGTGCGTATACTCACTGGAATATTAGAAGTAATATCCTCGGGAGATATTACTCCTAATTTCACAGTGGGTGTACACCCTGTGATATTATTTGTAATATCCTTGGGGTATGTTACTCCTCATGTGACAGCGGGTGTACATCCTGTGATATTATTTGTATCATTTTTAGGGGGTGTTACTCCTAATGTACAGGGGGTGTTCACCCTGGGATATTATTGGTAATATCCTAGAGATATGTTACCGTAATGTCACAGGCAGTGTACACTTAGTGATACTATTCGTAATACCCTAGGAGGATGTTACTCCTAATGTCGCTGTGGGTGTACACTCTGTGATAATATTCGTAATATCCTAAGAGTATGTTATTCCTAATGTCACAGCGTGATATTATTCCCAATATCCAAGGAGAATGCTACTCCTAATGTCACAGGGGGTGTAAACCCTGTAATAGTATTTGTAATATTTTAGGGGGATGTTACTTGTAATGACACAGGGGGTGTACACCCTGTGATATTATTCATAATGTCTTAGAGGCATATTACTCTTAATGTCACAAAAGATATACACCCTTTTATATTCTTCCTAATATCCTAGGGGCATGTTACTCCTAATGACACAGGGTGTGTACACTCCATGATATTATTCATAATATCCTAGGGGGGTGTTATTTTTAATGTCATAGGTGATGTACACCCTGTGATATTATTCATAATATTCTAGGGAGATATTACTTTAATGTCACAGAAGGTGTACACCCAGTGATATGATTTGTAATATTCTAGGGAGATGCTACTCCTAATATCACTGTGCATGTATACTGTGTGATATTATTTGTAACATCCTAGAAAGATATAACACCTAATATCACTGTGGGAGCACATCCTGTGATATTTTTTGTAATATCCTAGAAAGCTATTACTCCTAATATCACAGTTGGTTTACACCCTGTGATATTAAAAGAAATATCCTAAGTAGATACGACTCCTAATATCACACTTGGTGTACACTCTGTGATATAATTCCTAATATCCTAGGGAGACATTACTCCTAATATAACAGTGGGTGTTCACCCTGTTATATTATTTGTAACATCATAGGAAGATATTACTCCTAATATCATATTGGATGTACACCCTCTGATATTATTTGAAATATCCTATGCCTTCATATAAACTTTTGCTTGCTAGATCAGTTCCTTGAGGAGAGAACTTCAGCTTTAAACATTCTAGTCCCTTCATGGCACCCAGAGGATACAGGAAATGCCCCAGGTGCTCATAAGTGCCCAATAGTAGGTTCCCCTCATCAGTGAGCCTGGATTCAGGATGGGGGCCAAGAAGTAACTCAGTCTACTACATTCCTTGCCTCAGAACGAGAACCTTTAGGGAGATTTGAATATTTGAGGTCACAGGGACATTTCTCATATGGCAGAATCCTAACTTTCAGAATTTAGAGTTCCACAGCAGCTTTAAATGCCTGCAACACTAAATCCATTCTTTCTTTACTTTCCACTTACCAGATTTTCCTGGACCTGTTTTCTCTTCTCCAGAATCCCTTCATAGACTCAAATGCTTCAGCAACTCCTTAAAATGTTTTTAAAATATTGACTTCCTAACGATTAACAGATGCAGACAAAGCCACAAGCTGTGGGTAGAAGAATATAAATCCAAATTTAATTCTGTATTAAAGAGCAAGGCTGCATTGTAATTCTCTAATTCTGCATTGTGTTGCAATGCTTGACACAAATGAAGGGGTTACCTTCTAAATACCTGAGTGACCGTGAAATCTGAGATCACTTGGGACCCCATGTCCATGACGAGTTTTTAAAATGTGTAATCATATAATAATCACGGTCATTTATTTGGAATTGACTCTGTGCTTCACACTGTGCAGTTCTACATAAATCATTTTCTCTTCCAACAACTCTATGAGGTAATTGATCCTACCTTCATTTTACAGATGATATTACCAAGACTGAGACACTGAGAGAATGGCCTTGAGATGTGACTGCAGCCATTACACACACTGTATAGCCCATGATGGTGATTATTTAAACTTGATTTTTTTTTTTTCCCCAAAGACTAGTGTTCCTGGCCTGACACAGGACTGAGCAAAGGCAGAAAGGCAGGGGGTAGTCGAGGCAGTGCTGGAAATCAGACAGCTGCAACAGGCTCACTCCTTATGGGAGAGGCAGTGTCACAGGAGGTTGTCAAGTTGGAGGCTGGCGGTTCATGTGTAGCAGAGGGGCTGACGCCACAGCACAGAGGAAGGACCACGTAGTCATGCCTAAGAAGCATGGCCAGTGGTGGCCAATGACAATCCTGGCCAACGACATCAGTCTCTCTGGAGCTGCCTTGAACAATCACCAGCTCTCATGGTGGCTCTTGCCCAGCAGTGACTTTAAGGACACCTCTCATCATCTGGCAATTAGCAAAATTTTCCAGGGTGGATTAGTTTTCTATTGCTTCTATAACACATTACCACACACTTAGTAGCTTATGCAAGACTGATTTATTATCTTACAGATCTAGAGGTCAGAAGTCCCAAAATGGTTCTTATGAACTATGATCAAGGTGTCAGCAGAGCTGTCTTGTTTCTGGAGGCTCTAGGAGAGCACCTTTTCCAGCTTCTAGAGGCTGGCCTCATTCCTTGGATGGTGGCCCTGTCCTTCATCTTTAAAGTCAACAGCTAGCATCTTCCAGTCTCTCTCTGAGTCTGCTTCCATCATCACACTGCCTTCTGTAAGTGTGATCTTCCTGTCTACCTCTTAGAAGGACACTGTGATTGCTTTGGGCCCACACAGATAACTCAGGATCATTTTGCCATCTGAAAATGATCCATAACATAACCACATCTACAAAGTTCCTTTTTCCAGGTAAGGTAAAACATTCCCAGAGACTAAGATGTGACCATCTTTGGTGGTGGTAGGAGGGGACAGAGGCATTATTCTGACTACCACACAAGGGAAGTAGCAAGAGACCAGTGTGTAATTTATCCTGGAGCTGGCCCTTCTGCTCTATGGAAGCATCACGGTACAGTGGGGAGGCCATAGGCTTTGGAGCCAGGCAAGTTGAGGTTTCAATTCCCAGTTCTACTATATGTGGTCTTGAGCAAGTTACTTAAGTCCTCAACTTCTTTGAGTTTCAGTGTATGCTTGTGGGGATGACCGTAGTAATGACTAGGGTTATTATATCACTTGGAGGTAACATATGCAAAGCGCCTGGTACATTCTTAATAAATGAGGGGCTATCATCACTGTCACTCTGATGTTGTTTCAGCAAGTTCTGTGAGTGTGGTGATGGAAATGCTAAATCCATGTTCTGTGAAGCAGAATGCCTCCTTGCTGGGCCTCAGTGGCAATGCCAACTGTAGCCTTCTTTGCCAAAGGACAGGCAGGTAGAGCTGCAGGAGGGAGAAAGCAAGCTGTTGTACAAAGCTCAAGATATAGCTGGGTTCTGTTTGATCATCAGTTAGCAGGTTTATGCTCATCCACTTGTTGGCAGTTTCTACTCAGATGGCCAATTCCTGGCTTTGGTCCCACTGAGGACTCCGTGGACAGTGCTGCCAGCTCAGGTCCCTACTCCTCCCCACCTAATTCTGACAAGGTGTTCTCATGCTCCTTGGAAACATCAAGACCAGACTAAGCAGACAGCTAATTGCAAATTCATTTTCCCTGCATGAAACAAATGGAAAAAGCCAACAGCTTACACAAAGTCCTTTGAATTGAAGTTGCAAATGCTTCTCACAGAAGTCCACATGCGATTAAAAAACCATAGGCCTGAGAGACTGGGCATCAGTCATCATTTCTTCCATTTTACAGATGGGGATGTCTGGGAGTCACGCTTCATATTGCTGGAACAAGAGACAAGCCTAATCTCCTCACTTCTTGTGTGGCCTCCTAAATCTAAATTGGGCTGGGGTATTTCAAAGGTTGAGGTTCAGCCTGATCTTTTTCAATTTTTTCTTGCATTTAAAAACAGAGCCACAAAGGGGTGATATCCAGCCCCTCAAAGTGGTAAGTTATCCTATGACTCAGCCTGATTGTGAAGTGCAACCCTCTAGAGTAAACCCAACATTACTGCTGCCAATACGACCACCACCCTTCATCCAGAGAAGTACATGACAAGAGAAATGTGAGTGATACAACCGTAATGCTCTGAGTACAGGGGTGGGGAGCTGCAGTCAGTAAGGAGAATGGTAGGGTACAGGAGTGAAGGGGTCAGTGCATGCAGGGTAAAATGACATTAGGAGAGATTACGCTCTTATAATTACATAGAGGACTACCTGCCTATTTAAGCAACATCACCCTATGACTAAATTCATTTATTTAAAATCCATTCATCATCTATTCATTCATGAATCAACTTTTCAAGTCAGCATTCATTGAACACCTTTTATATATGCCAGGCACTGCATTAGACTCTGGGTATTTAAGGATGAGCAAGATACCCATTGCTATGATTTCAATGTGGTTTGTTTGTCACCAACAAATCTAATGTTGAAATTTGATCCCAGTGTTGGAAATGGGGCCTAATGAGAGGTATTTGGGTCATGGAGTAGAATCCCTCATGAATAGATTGATGCCCTCTCTTGGGTGTGAGTGAGTTCTTACTCTACTAGTTCCCATGAGAGCTGCTTGTTAAAAAGAGTCCCCCACCCATCTCTTGCTTCCTCTCTCACCACGTGATCTCCACATACACCAGCTCCCTTTCACCTTCTGCCATGAGTGGAAGCAGCCTGGGGCCTTCGCCAGGTGCAAATGCCCAATCTTGAACTTTCCAGCCATCAGAATCATGAGCCAAGTAAGGCCTTTTCCTTTATAAATCACCCAGCTTCAGGTATTCCTTTATAGCAACACAAAACAAACTAAGTCACCCATTGTGCCCTAGAGAAAGAGACTCAGTACATCAGTGATGTGGCAGATACAGAACCAGGGTATCTAATCTAGCTTCATCCCCGAGCAGAAATGTCTTCACATATACTAGTGAGTTTCTATATCTTTGTTAACCTCACTCTTACCATCTGGAATGCTCTCCCTCACAACTTCTCTGTGATAAAACCACCTTCATCCTTAAGGGCCTGGCACAAGGCCTCCTTCTCCTTAAAACCTCCCCAAGCTGGCTCTCAAAACTATTCTCTCATGCCTCTGTGTTCCCACAATGCCTTGCACCTGAAATTTAGGCTCTATCAGGGCTGATTTCCATGGGAACTGTGGTTTACAACTGTCTCCTAGATCAAACCCACAGTGTCTTAAGAACAGAGTGTCATAAGGACAGGGCCTTGCCTTCATCATCTTTGTAGAGTGTACATACTGAGGAAGGGATCAATAAATGAATGGCAAGATGCTTTACTCTTCTCCCAACTTTCTTTCAGGGGTATAACAACCATCCTCCTTCTGAGACCCTAGTATACACCAAGCTATGAAAATAAAAGATAAGCCAGGCACAGTGGCTCATGCCTGTAATCCCAGCACTTTGAGAGGCCAAGGCTGGAGAATTGCTTGAGCCCAGGAGTTTGAGATCAGCCTGGGCAACATAGTGAGACCCTGTCTCTACAAAAAATAAAATAAGTTGAGTGTGCTGGCAAGTGCTTATAGTCCCAGCTACTTGGGAGGTTGAAGAAGGAGGGTCGCTTGAGCCCAGGAGGCTAAGGCTGCAGTGAGCTGAGGTTGTGCCACTGCACTCCAGCCAGTGACAGAGTGAGACCCTACCTCAAAAAAAAAAAAAAAAATACAACAGAGGATTTTGTAATGTGAGTGGAGGTATGGAAAAGAAGTGAAGGCCACTGAAGCACAACTTGAAAGAATATGCTAGGAGGCTACTCGCCTCGGCCCCTCTTCACCTCAGGGACCCCACTACAGCTCCACAACACATAATGAATGATAATTCAAGCCAAAGGCCAAGGAGGAAAAAAAAGTGAAGCCTAGGGGACATGGGAGCGAAAGGCTGAGCAAAGGCATTTGAGACCACAAGGAGCTGTGGGAGAGGACAGGAGAGGCTCCCAAGAGACCCTCAGAGCATTCATGAGCATGAAGGACAAAGGCTGAGCACACCCTGTGAACTCAATGGAGTGAAAGAAGCACTGACCATTCTCTAGTCAACATGAGACTTTGGTGGGTTCCTTGAGTGAGAAAGAGAAAACTGTTCTTCATCTCCTTCTGGGTTCCATGTGGTATGCTGGCTGAACAATAGCAAGTATGGATGATGGAGGCTGCACTGATCCACACTCAGTGGTTAAGAGCAGGGAAAGAGGTTATAAATGTTGTTGAAAGAGCAAAGGAATGACACATTCATTTATGTAAGGGGGCTTGACCGATATTAGGAGGAACAAGGGAACTCCTAGCCCCACAAGGCACTGGGTGACTTTTTATTATAGGGACCCCAGACATTGCAAAGACTCCTTCCCAGTCTCCCTTTGACCCTGTGTAGCCAAGAAAATGCCCTTGAGCACCATCTAATTTAGGTCATTGCATGCCATGGGATTCCTTGCAGCCTGTCACATCTTACTCTGGGAGGAGTGGCAAGGAAGTTAGTTGTCTGGATCTAACTAGCCCTAGAGAGGCAGCTTGCATAGAGGGAAGCAAAGCACTTTGGAATCAGAACACTTGGGTTGAAATCTTTCTCTGTCACTTCCCAACTCAGATTCTGTATAAATTTCTGTTTGTTTTTGAGACAGTGTGTCACCCTGTCACCCAGGCTGAAGTGCAGTAGTGCGATCACGGCTCACTGCAGCCTCAACCTCCCAGGCTCAGGTGATCCTCCCACCTCAGCCTTCTGAGTAGCTGGGACTACAGACTTGCACCACCATGCCCAGCTAACCTTTTGTATTTTTTGTAGAGATAGAGTTTTGCCATGTTGCCCGGGCTGCTCTAAAAGTCCTGGAGTCAAGCGATCTGCCTGCCTCAGCCTCCCAAAGTGCCACTGCTCCCTGCCAATTTTGGATAAGTTTTTAATGACTCTGAAATTCATTTGGAGTGAAAAACAGACATAATGTCAGCTATGCAAATGACTGTTGTGAGAAGAAAAGTAGGTAGACAAACATAACAGATTTGACAGAACATCGTTTGGAATGTAGTCAGTATTTAATAAATGGCAGATAATAACATGAGGGAGACTAAATACCATGATGTATCTAGAAAGCAGCAGCCATGATACATGAAGTTCACAGAAGTCATTTTCTGGTTCACATTTCATCCACATCTACATTCCTTTATCAAACATCAACTGGGCACCTATCAAGGGTTAGACACTATTTTAGGAGCAGAGGATATAGCTTTGAATGAGACAGACATGGGCCCCGCCTTCAAGTTGCTCCGAGCCTAATGAGAGAGGCAAACAATCACTGAAATCTGCCATGGTAAGTACTAGAAATGGCATTGTTCCCAGGGCACCAACGAGAAAGGGCTTGACTGTTTGGGGAAATGGGAAGAGGAGAGAGGCTCAAAGGAGTTAAATGATGTGTCCAAGGTTACAGAGCTGGATTAACTTCTGCAATGCCTCTCAAACGTGATGGTTTAGCTGCCTCATCATGCATCATAGCATCATAGTGCTCACCACCACCAACTGCAATTGTCCCACCAGGAGATGGAGCCCAGGAATCTTCCAGATACTCACGCAGCACCTCTCAGATTGGTCACTGTGAAATAAGCACCGTGTCTCCTAGATTATGAGCACTTTGAGGGCAAGAGCTACATATCTTTCAGAGCCCAACACAGGGTTTGAAACACAGTACGTCGTCAGTAAATATTGAATACTGAATTAATAAGTGAGTGGTACTCACAGAGTTTAACTGATTTGCACAAGATTACTTGGCTAATAAGCAGCAGGGCTGGTGCAGATACAAGTTCTCTGACTCTCTCTTTCAACACTGAGTAAAGGGAAAAAATGAACAACCAGTGAATGACTCCGCCTGGCCTGGAAGAGAAAAGATTCAAATGATCTTTTTTTCCCCAAATCGTTTTCACAGATTATGATATGGCTCCATCTGACCAGCAGAGGGCAGGCTTGGATGGAACTAGCATCCCAGGCCCTCTGACCAGAGTCATCATCTGTGCCTTGGCGCTACAGAGATGGTGATTTTTTTTTTTTAAGGGAGGGGAAAAAACAACAACAAAACCTACCAGAGCTGAAAGTCTTTTCCAAATTATCCCACCTATGTCAACATCCTGTCGTATTTATTGGATGGTTGGATCTGGATAGAAATAGGGCCTCGTACTGTGTTTAGTTCCCTGGATCCCTCGTAACCTATTTCCTTTTATCAGCCCAAAAGTAGCTTTAATCTATTCTCCTTTGGCAGAGATGGGGGTGAGCTAGAACAGGCATGGAGGGGAGGGGTAGACAAATAAGTCAGGAAAAGCTTCTGCTTAGATGGTAACATTTACTTTTTGTCAAATTTAAAACATTTTTGACCTTTATATTTTCAAAAGCGTTTTTCAATCCTTTTCATACTCTTCAGGGATTCCAATTACATATACCTTATATCACCTGAAATTGTCCCACAGGTCGATATGATTCTGTTTATTTATCAATCTTCCTTTCATCTGTGCATCAATTTTTTGTAGTTTCTTTTGATTTGTCTTCAAGTTTATTACCCCTTTCTTCTGCAGTGTCCAATCTTCTCTTTAACCCATCCAGTAAATTGTTCATTTCCAGTCTTGTATTTTTCAGTTCTACAATTGTCATTTGGTTTTTATAGTTTTAATTGTTGAGCTAAAATTCCTAATCTGCAATCATTCTGTCCACCTTTCTTTCAAATTCTTAAACACATTTATAATAGTTGTTTTAAAGTCTTTGTCTGCTAACTCCTACATCCATGTCATCTCTGGGACTATTTATATTGACAATTTTTTTCCTGATTATGAATTACATTTTCTAGCTTTTTTCATATCTAGTAATTTTTTATTATACACTGGACCAGCTGAATTGGAGCGCTTAGACTATATTTTCCTTTGAAGAGCATGGAGTTTTATTTTAGCACGCACTTAAGCTACTAGCAGATCATCTTGATCCTACTGAGGCTTGGTTTTATGCCTTTTTAGGGTGGGTGTAGAGTTGCCCTTACTTCAGGCAATGATCCTTAATTCTAAAATGTGGTCTTTTTAACATCTCAGTTAAATTCTCTGAGTTTTCGATGGGATTTCTTCACTTTAAATGGTTGGAATGTCAACATCTCCAAGCACTGTGTGACCTCTGGAATCATTGTTCAGTTCTCAGCTCACCAGGAACTCTTCTCTTTTAGGCCTTGTGTAGTCTTACCCTGCATATATGCAGCTTAGTTTTCAAAGACCCAATGGGTTCTCTCTGCATATTTTTAAAGTTCCTGCTCTGTACAGTATTCTCTTCTCCAGTACCCTGTCCCACAAATTCTGGCCACCTCAGTAGCCCCAAACTCTATTTCTATTTCTTCCACTCAGCAAAACATCAGAGAACTGCAATCTCTTCCCAAATCATTTTGTAAGTTTCTCTTCTGTTAAGCCTCACAATCGTGTGACTTCTAACCTCCAATGACTGACAACAATTGCCTCATATATTTTATTCCATTTTGTTGTCATTGATAGTGGGAGGAGAACTCTGATATTCATAACTCTACATTGGGAGATATAGAAAGTCAGGAGGTAACATTTAAGCTGAGACTCATAAGATGACAAGAAGCCAACTATGCAGAAAGCCACAGGAATAACATGTTCAGGCAGAAGGGTCAACATGTACACAGGCCAGATAGCAAAGCTTGCTATATTTCTCTCCAGAGAAAATATGTATATATGTGTGACTGTATTTGTGTGCACACATAGGTTGGTAAACATCTATGTAACTAAAGCTATCTCAAATGGCATAATAGTAAAAGCATGGGCTCTGGAATCAAACATCCCAGGGGCAAATCCTGCCACTTACAATTAGCAGTAAGGGGTGTTCAGCAATTCACTTAACTCTTGGTTTCAACTCTTTCTTGTGTCAAATGAGGCTTGTTACATACATGCAGCAGGACTCTCGTGGGGATTAAATGTGATAATGTATGTTAAGTATCTAGCAAGATAATGGAATAAATAGTATATAATGTGTTATTATTTCCTCTTCTGTAAGTTTTTAAATAATGTTCAAAGAGTGAAATATAATGTATAAAATATGGGGCAATGTATAAAATACAGAAACTATTTTCCAAATATAAATACCACTTTTCTGAGTTCTTTAAAGTTCTTGAATATCAAGTTATTCAACTAGGAACAAAGGAAAGTTTCACACCTATCCCACACTTAACACGTTCCTGATTCCAACATTCTCTTATTTGGGTTATTTATAAACATATCCGTACTCTGCCCATTCCTCCACCCTCAGGTCAGACTGTTAAGGTCATTTGAGTGCAGAGACAAGTTTTATTTATATTTGTCTCTCTTACAGACAGTGGCCCAGCATCTAGCACATAGTATGTTTTTTCAAACATTATGAATTTTTCTTCAAAGGAGTAAATAGACTTAATTTTTCATACAAGAAAATAAAATTTGGAGTTATGCATATACCACACCAAAGCAATCTGTTATAATGATGAAAACCCAATTATCCCATTGTGATTCTACTTAATACTGAACAACCCACCAGGAGTAGTAGAAAGAAATGGGAAAACAGAGACCTGGTTTCAAAACCTAGCTCCCTCCTATTTACTAAATGACCTTGAGTAAGTTGCTTAATAGCCTGAATTTCAGTTTCCTTATCTATGACAAAGGGATAATAACTACCTCATGGGGTCTGTTATAAAGATTATTAAGAAATAATATATCTAAAGACTCTACCACAGAGCATCCATGCTACATTGTAGGAACTCAGTTCTCATCATTCAATGGACTCAATCAACTATTAATTAACTCTGAATTTTTATGTACAACAGTAAGTCTGGCTGATCCTCCACTGTATTTCAGGGGCTATGGTGGACACCCACCTATGATATTGTCTATCCAACCCCCTCTGTCCATTTGAGAATAGTTCTTCTTTCAATTGCAACCTTGTGATTTGCACACACAGGAAATTATATATATACATATATATACACACACACACACACACAGATATATGTATATATATATACACACACACACATATATATGTATATATATATACACACACATATATATACATATATATATATTTTTTTTCTTTTTGAGATGGAGTTTCACTCTGTTATCCAGGCTGGAGTACAGTGGTGCAATCTCAGCTCAATACAACTTCTGCCTCCCAGGTTCAAGTGACTCTCCTGCCTCAGCCTCCTACAGGCATGCACCACCATGCCCAGCTCATTTGTGTGTGTGTTTTTAGTAGAGTCGGGGTTTTCCTATGTTGGCCAGGCTGGTCTCGAACTCCTGAACTCAAGCGATCCTCCCACCTCAGCCTCCCAAAGTGTTGGGATTGTAGGCATGAGCCACCGTGCCCAGCCTATATTCTTAAAGATTGTACCCCTGGCCATAGCTGATTGGTCCAGAGATGGGCATCTAACCCATGCAAGGCCACTCAGAGCCTTTCCCTCAATTTTTCAAACTCAAAGTAAGTAAACACCTCACTGATGGTGAATGTTGCAAGATGTGAAATTTGTGAGTTTTGACAACCATGTTCCACTATCAGATGGAGGAAGCCAATCTGTAGAGCAAGAGAATGAACGGACGGAACATGAGAGGCATAAAAGAGAACCAGAGAGAGGGAGATGTGGAAGCATTTGAGTTCCTGACACTAAGTTGCATCAGAGCTCTTCCTGTGATTTAGTTACTCAGACTTTCATTCATGTGAAGTTCCTGTGTTATTCTGAGTCCTATGAGCAGTTCTGAGGTGAGATTAGAAGTGCAAGACATAGATTAGGGAAAATATCTAATCTATGTCTTGTGATGGAAAATGTGAGAGAAAATGTGGATGGAGACAGAGAAGGCTGGGAGAGCCATCAGACCAAGAAGAGGGTTTAATCTTTGTGAAGAGAAGAATAAAGGGGAAAGGTTGGGTGGAAGAATCTTGGGCTGCAGTGCAGTTCGAAGGAAGTTCACCAAGTCCGATGGAGAATCCTTGAGCCAGAGTCACCTATCAGAGGAGTCCTGTGTCTCCCAAGAACAGCCCAATACAGAATCTTGCCACATTCACTCACCGGCTGGGAGCAACTTGTGTAGGGTTGCCAGATTACATATAGGACACGCAGTTAAATTTGAATTTGAATTTCAGATAAATGATGAAACATTTGTTAATATAAATAGGTCCCAAATATTGCATGGGCATCCTGTATTTTTATTTGCTAAATCTGACACGCCTAAGCTTGTGGGAGCACTTGTATTCAGTGTAACACAGTAAGAGATTTGAGTGCAGCAGCTGGGACCATCCGCCAGTCATGCTGTCATAATCAGGGATCTGTGAGGCACAGCCCCGTGGCCACTACAGTACACCTTCCAGTAGATTTCTCTTCTTCCAAAACTAGTCGGAGTTTACCTTTTTCACTTGCAATCTAAAGAATTCTGACTGATTGCTACAGTTACCTATTGACTTATAACACACAATTCCCAACTTTGTAGTGTAAAACAAAAACTATTTTATTATGCCTGTGGGTTCTGTGGGTCATGAATTGGGATATTTTATAGGGAGGATGGCTTATCTCTGCTCCACAATGTCTGAGGCCTCATCTGGGATGCAAAAACAGAGGATGATACAAGTGGCCGAAGGGCTGAGTCATCTGGAGGCTTCTTCACTGGTATGTCTGGTGCCTAGGCTGGAAGGACTTGAGGGCTGTGCTCAGTTGAGACTGTGAACCAGAATGCCTTCACATGTCTTCTCCATGTGGCATGGAATTCCTCACAACATGACTGCATCAGGGTAGTTGGATTTTTTCCTTAGAGGCTTAGGACCCCAAGCATGATTGTTTCAGTAAATAAGGCAGGAACTGCATGGTCTTTAATGTCTTAGCCTCAAAAGTTACCCAGTCTCACAACTGCTGTATCCTACTGGTCAAAGCAAGCACAAGCCACCTACATTCAAGGAGAGGGGATCTAGACCCCACCTTATGATGAGAAAGAATTTATAGGCATATTTTTAAAGTGCCACAATTAGCCGGGTGTGGTGGCGGGTGCCTGTAATCCCAGCTACTCAGGAGGCTGAGGCAGGAGAATCACTTGAACCCGGGAGGTGGAGGTTGCAGTGAGCCAAGATCATGCGGTTGCACTCCAGCCTGGGCAACAAGAGCGAAACTCTGTCTCAAAAATATATATATAAAATAAATGAAATAAAGTGCCACATTAGTTAGTTGACCAGGCTCAGCACATGATTTTTAAAAATCCCTCTTGCCTCTTAATGTCTGTGAAAGACCGTGCTCTGGTAGGAACGCTGACTCTTTCAGAAAGCAAGAACTCAAATGTTTTGTGAGTCTATGGCATAAAGTCCTTTCCTAACATCTACTCAGAGCATCCTTGGGGGTACCAACAAGACCACTAACTTTTTCTGCACTCTTTCTTGACTAACAACCCTTCGATTAAAAATTTAAGCAACTGCGTAATATAGAAGGAACATCAGAACAAGTTTATTTTCTTTACAGACAGAGACCTCCAATCCCATCAATTATTCTCTGTCATTTGGTGTAAAGCTGCAGATAGAGGTTACAACAGCTGTGAGGATGTGCAGAAGGAAAATGAGAACAGCCTTTTTTATCTTCAGAGACTTTGGGCAGACCAACTATCATTCTCACAACCAACTTTCTAAAGACTTTTGACAATCTGGATATCAGTAATAGTTGATTGAAAAGTACTTCTTCATTGTATCATCTGTGCAAGAATCCATAATTAAAAATATAAAATAAAACACTGTGGGCTCCTTTATATGGCAGACATGGATTTAAATTCTACCTTTTCTCCCATTTTTGTCTAGGTAGACGTGTACAAGTCACTCTGCCTTTCTGAGACTTATTTTCCACACAGTGCAATGCAATTAATAACCCTGCCTGAAAGACTGAGTGTGAGAATTAGAATAATAAATATAAAATAAAGCACCCAGAAGATTGCATAGTGGCGGGTGAGATATAAAAAGAAATTTCGGAGTAAACATCACCAGATGCTTGCCATGTACCAAACACCATACTAGAAACTGCAGGGGACACAGGGATGATCAAGGCACAGTTCTTGTCACCAGAAATAACATAGTTGATTAAAGGACTAGCCTATCTGCTATGAAGGAATCAGCGAGTATGAGGCTGAGTTCCAAGTAAGGTGTGTCCTAGCATTCTCTGGCTAACCATTATTGCCTCAGTTTCCTCATCTGTTATGATGAGAATAATAATAACCACCTTGCCTACCTCACAGGGTTATTCTGAATATTACCTAAATAGTAGGGATTAAAGTCCTTGGTAAATACTAAAATATTAAAGTGTAGTCTTGCCTCACTAACCAAAGTGTGGCCCATGGACCACCAGAATTGACATCACCTAGGAGCTGGTTAGAAATGCAGACTCTTAGGCCCCACCACAGACCTACTGAATCAGAGTTTATTGTTTAACAAGACTATTCGTGATTCCTATGCTCATTAATGTTGGAAAGACAGTGATCTATATAACAGTTAACATTGCAATAAAAAAAAAAACGAAGCAATTTGATTCATTTCAAAGCAACCTATGGGCCCATGCAAAATGATCTAATAAAAATTAAAAGCCTAATTTCTAAGAAAACCAATTAGAAAGACAAGTGGGCCCCTAAATAGGACAGGCTAAATAGGAGGCATTCCTAGAGGTTGTGGAATTTTAAAAATGTGCTTCAGTCTCACCACTAATGTCAACTGAGTAAAGAGTCTCCATCATAAGAAAGAGTTGTATAACCTGTCTTCTACCTGCACGGCTGAGCCCTGGCCAAGCAGGTCATTTTAGCCATCTCAATGAGCGAGGCACTTCATGGTGCACTGGGCCCACTGTGGCAACTGCAATCAAATCAAGATGGGTAATGTGCAGTATAAGTGTTTAGCCCTCACAGTGCCTCATTCAGCCCTCTATTATGGCTTTATCCATTGTACCCTATTATCTGTGTTCAGGTCTGTCTCCTCCACTGCACTGTGAGCTCCTTGGGGGTCAAGGGCAATGACTGTTTTCTCTGTAATCTCTCAACTCTCAGCACAGTGCTACTGCAAAACTGATGGGAAGATTTAGTGGGGGATTAAAGGGAAAGTCCCCATTTTGGTCAGACCCAATGTGGACACCTTTTCTTCTTACACGGTTCCCGTTCTTCTGATCCCCTTCTCCGTACATGTCTCAAAAGCTCTTATTCTTCACCTGTGCAGTCTTTGGATTCATTTTAAACAGAATTTTTATTAACATATTTTTATTGAGGCTTTTTCTATTTTGAATTATTATAACTTTTATATACACTGGAAGGTAAGGGAGGTGTTCAACTTTATTGTTTGCATATGGCTATCTAGTTGTCTCAGCACTATTTGTTGAAAAGACTATTCTTTGCCACCACTGAATTGTCTTGGCACTCTTGTCAGAAATCAATTTACTGTATATGAAACTGCCTCAGTTCTATTCCATCTGTCTTTATGTCTATCCTTATGCCAGTGCCATACAGTCTTGATAACTGTACTGTTTTATTGCTTTGAAATCAGGAAGTGTGAACTCTCCAACTTTGTTTGTTTTCAAAACTCTTTTGGCTATTCAGGGTCCCTTGCAATTCCATATGAATTTTAGGATCAACTTTTTCATTTCTGCAAAAAAAAAAAAGAGGTGGGGTGGGGGGTGTGCAGGTAGGATTTTGATAATTATTGCATTGACTCTGTGGGCCATTTTATGGAGTATTACCATGTTGACAATATTAAGTTTTAACAATTCTTGAACACAGGATGTCTTTCCATTTATTTAAATTTCTTTAAATTTCTTTCAGTAATGATTTGTAATTTTTGATGTACACATTTGCACCTCTTTTTTATATTGTATCAAAATTGGAATTGTACTATATTTGATATTACTGCATCCAAAACTAAAATTGTTTTTTAAGTTTCATTTTTGATTGTTCATTGGCAATATATAAAAATACACTTGAGAAAAAAATTTGGATTTCTCCCTCTCCCTCCCCCTACCCCTCCCCCTCCCTCTCCCTCATCTCCGTCTCCCTCTCCCCACGGTCTCCCTCTCCCTCTCTTTCCACGGTCTCCCACTGATGCCCAGCCGAAGCTGGACTGTACTGCTGCCATCTCGGCTCACTGCAGCCTCCCTGCCTGATTCTCCTGCCTCAGCCTGCCAAGTGCCTGCGATTGCAGGCGCGCGCCGCCACGCCTGACTGCTTTTCGTATTTTTTTGGTGGAGACGGGGTTTCGCTGTGTTGGCTGGGCTGGTCTCCAGCTCCTAACCGCGAGTGATCCGCCAGCCTCGGCCTCCTGAGGTGCCAGGATTGCAGACGGAGTCTGGTTCACTCAGTGCTCAATGGGGCCCAGGCTGGAGTGCAGTGGCGTGATCTCGGCTCGCTACAACCTCCACCTCCCAGCCGCCTGCCTTGGCCTCCCAAAGTGCCGAGATTGCAGCCTCTGCCCGGCTGCCACCCCGTCTGGGAAGTGAGGAGCGTCTCTGCCTGGCCGCCCATCGTCTGGGACGTGAGGAGCCCCACTGCCTGGCTACCCAGTCTGGAAAGTGAGGAGCGTCTCTGCCCGGCCACCATCCCATCTAGGAAGTGAGGAGCGCCTCTTCCCTGCGGCCATCCCGTCTAGGAAGTGAGGAGCGCCTCTTCCCTGCGGCCATCCCATCTAGGAAGTGAGGAGCGTCTCTGCCCGGCCGCCATCCCGTCTAGGAAGTGAGGAGCGTCTCTGCCCGGCCGCCATCCCGTCTAGGAAGTGAGGAGCGTCTCTGCCCGGCCGCCATCCCGTCTAGGAAGTGAGGAGCGTCTCTGCCCGGCAGCCATCCCGTCTAGGAAGTGAGGAGCGTCTCTGCCCGGCCGCCATCCCGTCTAGGAAGTGAGGAGCACCTCTTCCCGGCCGCCATCCCGTCTAGGAAGTGAGGAGCGCCTCTTCCCGGCCGCCATCCCATCTAGGAAGTGAGGAGCGTCTCTGCCCGGCGGCCCATCATCTGAGATGTGGGGAGCGCCTCTGCCCCGCCGCCCCGTCTGGGATGTGAGGAGCGCCTCTACCCAGCTGCGACCCCGTCTGGGAGGTGAGGAGCGTCTCTGCCCAGCCGCCCCGTCTGAGAAGTGAGGAGACCCTCTGCCTGGCAACCGCCCCATATGAGAAGTGAGGAGCCCCTCCGCCCGGCAGCCACCCCGTCTGGGAAGTGAGGAGTGTCTCTGCCTGGCAGCCACCCCATCCGGGAGGGAGGTGGGGGTCAGCCCCCGCCAGGCCAGCCGCCCCGTCCGGGAGGGAGGTGGGGGGATCAGCCCCCCACCCGGCCAGCCGCCCCGTCCGGGAGGGAGGTGGGGGGGTCAGCCCCCCGCCCGGCCAGCCGCCCCGTCAGGGAGGTGAGGGGCGCCTCTGCCCGGCCGCCCCTACTGGGAAGTGAGGAGCCCCTCTGCCCGGCCAGCCGCCCCGTCCGGGAAGGAGGTGGGGGGGTCAGCCCCCCACCCGGCCAGCCGCCCCATCCGGGAGGGAGGTGGGGGTGTCAGCCCCCCGCCCGGCCAGCCGCCCCGTCCGGGAGGGAGGTGGGGGGGTCAGCCCCCTGCCCGGCCAGCCGCCCCGTCCGGGAGGGAGGTGGGGGGGGTCAGCCCCCCGCCCGGCCAGCCGCCCCGTCCGGGAGGTGAGGGGCGCCTCTGCCCGGCCGCCCCTACTGGGAAGTGAGGAGCCCCTCTGCCCGGCCACCACCCCGTCTGGGAGGTGTACCCAACAGCTCATTGAGAACGGGCCATGATGACAATGGCGGTTTTGTGGAATAGAAAGGGGAGAAAGGCGGGGAAAGGATTGAGAAATCGGATGGTTGCCGTGTCTGTGTAGAAAGAGGTAGACACGGGAGACTTTTCATTTTGTTCTGTACTAAGAAAAATTCTTCTGCCTTGTGATCCTGTTGATCGGTGACCTTACCCCCAACCCTGTGCTCTCTGAAGCATGTGCTGTGTCCACTCAGGGTTAAATGGATTAAGGGCGGTGTAAGATGTGCTTTGTTAAACAGATGCTTGAAGGCAGCATGCTCATTAAGAGTCATCACCACTCCCTAATCTCAAGTACCCAGGGACACAAACACTGCGGAAGGCCGCAGGGTCCTCTGCATAGGAAAACCAGAGACCTTTGTTCACTTGTTTATCTGCTGACCCTCCCTCCACTATTGTCCTATGACCCTGCCAAATCCCCCTCTGTGAGAAACACCCAAGAATGATCAATAAAAAAAATAAAAAAAATAAAAAGATAAGCCAAAAAAAAATACACTTGACTTTTTTTTAACTTTAAGTTCCTGGATATATGTGCAGAATGTGCAGGTTTGTTACATAGGTATACATGTGCCATGGTGATTTGCTGCACCTATTAACCCATCATCTAGGTTTCAAGCCCTGCATTAGGTATTTGTCCTAATGCCCTCCCTCCCCTTGCCCTCCACCTACCAACAGGCCCTGGTGTGTTGTTCCCCTCCCTGTGTCCATGTGTTCTCATTGTTCAACTCCCACTTATGAGTGAGAACATGCAGCATTTGGTTTTCTGTTCCTGTGTTAGTTTGCTGAGAATGATGGTTTCCACCTTCATCCATGTCCCTGCAAAGGACACGATCTCATTATTTTCTTATGGCTGCAGAGTATTATATGGAAAAATACTCTTGATTTTTAGATATCAATCTTGCATTCTTCAACCTTGCAGAATTTATTTATTAGCCCTAGTAATGTTTTTGTGGATTCCATAAGATTTTCTGTACGCAATATGATGTCATCCATTAACAGAGACAGTTTTGCTTCTTCCTTTCCAATCTCGATTATTTGATTGCTTTTTTCATTCATAATTACCCTGGCTAGAACCTCCAGTATAATGTTGAATAGACATAGCAAGATCAGACATTCTTGTCTTGTTGCTTATGTTAGGGAAAAAGCTTTCAGTCTTTCACCTATTAAGTAGGATATTAACTGTGAGTTTTTGCTAGATTTCCTCAGGTTGAGGAAGTTCCCTCTAACTGTTGAGGAAACAGGTAGAAGAAACTTTGTTGAGTGCTTTTTTTTTTTTTTTTATCATGAAATGGTGTTGGTGTTTGTCAAATGTTTGGCTTTTTTTTGTTGGTTTTTTCTTTTTTTTGCATCTATTGAGGTGATCATGTAGGGTTTTTCTCTGTATTCTATTAATATGGTGCATCACGTTGATTAATTTGCATATATTGAAACAAACCTGCATTCCTGAGATAACTCCCACTTAGTCTTGGTGTATATTTTTTTTAAAATATATGGCTGAATTCAGTTTGCTAGTATTTTGTTGAAGATTTTGCACCTACATTCATAAGAGATACTGCTCTATCATTTCCCTTTCTTGTGATGTCTTTGCCTGATTTAAATATGCTGGCCTCAAAGAATGTGTTAGCCTCATAGAAAGTGTTCCCTCTTCTATTTTTTTGAATAATGTGTGAAAAATTGGTGTTAATTCTTCTTTAAATGTTTGGTAGAATTCACCAGTGAAATCATCTGGTCCTGGACTTTTCTTTGTGGGAAGTTTTCTCATTAGTAATTCAATCTCCTTATTTGTTATAGGCCTATGAAGATTTATTATCTCTTCTTGAGTCAAATTCATTAGTGTGTGTCTTTCTAGCAATTTGTCCATTTCATCTAGGTTATCTAATTTTTTGGCATATATATTAATTGTTCATAGTATTCCCTTGTAAACCTTTTTATTTTTATAACACCAGTAGTAATGTCCCCTCTTTCATTCCAGACTTAAGTGATGTGAATCTTCTCTCTTTTGTTCATGGTCAGCCCACTTAAATGTTTGTCAATTTGGTTGATCATTTCAAAGAACCAAGTTTTTATTTCATTGATTTTCTCTGTTGTTTTACTATTCTCGATTTCATTATTTCTGCTCCAATATTTATTATTTACTTACACCTGCCTTGGGATTAGTTTGCTCTTCTTTTTCTAGTTTCTTAAAGTGGAAGCTTAGGTTATTAATTTGAGGTCTTTTTTAACTTTTAAATTCAGGAGTACATGTGCAGGATGTGTAGGTTTGTTAGTAAATGCATGTCATGAGGGTTTCTTGTACCAATTATTTCATCACCCAGGTATTAAGTCTAGAACCCATTAGTTATTTTTCCTGATCCTCTCCCTCCTCCCACTCTCCACCTTCTGACAGGCCCCAGTGTGTGTTGTTCCCCTCTATGTGTCCATGTGTTCTCATTATTTAGCTCCCACTTGTAAGCAAAAACATGTGGTATTTGGTTTTCTGTGCCCGTGTCAGTTTGCTAAGGATAATGGCCTCCAGCTCCATCCATGTCCCTACGAAGGGCATGATCTCGTTTTTTTAATGCCTGCATATATTTCATGGCGTAAATGTACCATATTTTATCTAGTCTGTCATTGACAGGCATTTAGGTTGATTCCATGTCTTTGCTATTGTGAATAGTGCTGCAATGAACATACATGTACATGTGTCTTTATAATAGAACACTTCCTATTTCTTTGGGTATATCCTCAGTAATGAGAGTGCTGGGTGGAATGGTATTTCTGACCTTAGTTCTTTGAAGAATCGCCACATTGTCTTCCACAATGGTTGAACTAATTTACACTCCTACCGACAGTGTGTAAGTGTTCCTTTTTCTCCACAACCTCATCAGCATCTGTTATTTTTTCACTTTTTAATAATAGACATTCTGACTGGTGTGAGATGGTATCTCATTGTGGTTTTGGTTTGCATTTCTCCAAGGGTCAGTGATGTTCAGCTTTTTTTCATACACTTTTTGGCCACATCTGTATCTTCTTTTAGGAAGTATCTGTTCATGGCCTTTGCCTACTTTTTAATGGTGTTGTTTGTTTCTTTCTGGTAAATTTGTTTAAGTTCCTTATAGATGCTGGATATTAGACCTTTGTCAGATGCAGAGTTTGCAAAAATTTTCTCCTATTCTGTAGATTGTCTGTTTACTCCGTTGAAAAAAGAGTCTGAATAGCCAAGGCAATCCTAAGCAAAAAGCTGGAGGCATCATGCTACTCGACTTCAAACCATACTACAGGGATACAGTAACCAAAACAGCATGGTACTGGTACAAAAACAGACACATAGGCCAATGGAACAGAATAGAGAACCCAGAAATAAGACCACACACCTACAACTATCTGATTTTTGACAAACCTGAGAAAAACAAGCAATGGGGAAAGGATTCCCTATTCAGTAAATGGTGCTGGAATAACTGGATAGCCATATGCAGAAAATTGAAACTGGACTCCTTCTTTACACTATATACAAAAATTAACTCAAGATGGATTAAAGACTTAAATGTAAAACCCCAAACTATAAAAACCCTGGAAGACAACCTAGGCAATACCATTCAGGATGTGGGCATGGGCAAAGATTTCATGATGAAGACGCCAAAAGCAAATTCAATAAAAGCAAAAATAGATGAATGGGATCTAATTAAACTAAAGAGCTTCTGCACAGAAAAGGACTTAATCTATTTTTAAATATACGTGTTTACCTCTATAATTTCCCTCCAAGCATTGCTTTTGTGTATCCTATATGTTTTGGTATGTTGTGTTTTCATTTTCATTCATTTCAAAGTGTTTTCTAATTTCCCTTGTGATTTTTCTCTTTAATCCACTGGTTTTTAGGAGTGTGTTGTTTGATTTCTACATATTTATGAATTGTAAGCATTAGTATGCTTCCTAAGCACCTCAAATTTAGCAGCCCAAAATCGAACTAACTTTTTTATCTCTTCTACCTCACCTTGCTTTTCATCCTATCTTCCTTAGCTTTATGATATGCACCATTATTTACCCACTTCCCAAGACAGAAACCCTGGAGATATCCCATATCATTAATATTTAATTCTCTCTTATGGCTATAGCCAGTAAATCATCTAGTCTTATTGCCTCTCCATCCCCTTCCTCCCCAGTTTTTGGCATGCATCATGTCCTCTGTCTTTACCAACACTACTCTATACTGGCTACTCTCATCATCTCTCTCCTTGACTGTTACATCTATCGCCATTTGGCCTATAGTTTTTGACCCTTCCAATTCACCCCCCACATTGCCAACAAAATATTCTTGCACTCATATTTGTTTTTGTTTTGTTTTGTTTTGAGACAGAGTCTCACTCTGTCACCCAGGCTGGAATGCAGTGGTGCGATCTCGGCTCACTGCCACCTCCACCTCCTGGGTTCAAGTGATTCTCCTGCCTCAGCCTCCCAAGTAGCTGGGATTACAGGCACGTGCCACCAAACTCAACTAATTTTTGTATTTTTAGTAGAGACGGGGTTTCTCCATGCTGGCCAAGCTGGTCTCGAACTCCTGACCTCAGGTGATCTGCCCCCAACCTGGCCTCCCAAAGTGCTGGGATTACAGGCGTAAGCCACCACACCCAGTCTTGCACTCATATTTGATTATATGATTTTCTTTCTCAAAACCTTATTACCCATGGAACAATCTCCAAATTGCTTTGCATAACACATAAGCCTTCAAGATACGGCCACTGTCTCCCTAACCTGCCTCTTGTCCCACCATTCCCCTACACTATCATATCTTACTCTGTTCATCCAGAAAATGCATATATTATTGAACATGCCATGTGTCATTCATGCTACCATGACCTTGAATGGTGTTGCCTTAGCTCCTAGGTATCTCCCACAAAACTTGGCATCCCTAAAATTGACATCTTTCATGTCAGCTGAAAAACTGCCACCTCTGGAAATTATGCCATTTCCCCAAACAAATTTAGGTGTTTCTCCTATACTCACAATATATTTGTCTCTGTCTTCAGTAAAGCAATTATTTTATTATATTGTGCTCATTGGAATATTTCAAGAAAACAGCTTCTTGAAGACAGGACATTTATTTTATTTATCTCTACATTTCCAGTGCTACAGTAAAGTTTGGCCTAAAATAAGTATTCGGTGATTAAATCTCCATTGTTCAGTACCCTACCACATACTATATAACATCATTAAATTTCTATCACCATCAGTGACTCAAGAATGTTACTGATTTAACTATATCATCCCAAGAACTTCATAGGCAAAATTAGCAAAGGAAAGCACAGAAACCTGAAGCCCTTTCCCGGCACTGTGATGGAATAATATTATGCACACCATATGACTCTCTTTGTCAAATTTTCTGATTCCATAAATTAGAGGCGAAGTCCCATATTCACTCCTATGATGGTTAACTTTGTTAACTTGGCTAGGACACAGTGCCCAGATATTTGGCCAAACATTATTCTACATATTTCTATGAGGGTATTTGGATGAGATTAACATTTGAATCAGTGGACTGTGAGTAAACGGATTACCCTCCATAATGTGTGTGGGCTTCATCCAGTCAGTTGAAGGTCTTAACAGAACAGACTGATCTCCCTTGAGCAAAAAGCAATTCTGCCAGCAGGCATCCTTCAGACTTGAACTGCAACATTAGTTCTTCCCTGTGCCTCCAGCCTGCTGATCTATCCCGCAGATTTTTGACTTGCCAGGCTTCATATTCATAATCACCTAAACCAATTGTTTAAAATCTCTCTTTCTCTCTCCCTCTCTCTTTATAAATTCACACATCCTATCTTATTGGTCCTGTTGCTCTGGAGAACCCTGACTAATACACTGTCTAGGAATCTTTTCCATTGGCATGGGCATTAGGTCTTTCATTTTAAAAGAAGAATTCAGAAAATATGTCCATCAACTTCTCTAAAGGCTGAGCAATTTATTATGTTCTTGCTTGCAAGATGGCAAGTGTGGGCTATCTGGTAGTTAATGATGATGATGATGATGGTGATAGCAGGTAACATTTAGGAAGTGATTACTCTCTGACAAGCATTGTGCTAAGTGTTTTATATGTTATCTCACATAATTTGTGCAACAGACCAGCCATGATGGCTAACATCTGTAATCCCAGCACTTTGGGAAGCTGAGGCAGGAGAATTGCTTGAGTCCAGGAGATTGAGGCCAGCCTGGACAACAGTGAGACCCCATCTCTAATAATAATAATAATTTGTGCAATGGGTGCTTTTAGGAATATAGCCCCACAGTTGTCAGCCCTTTCCAAAAATTGCCCTCAGCTGGAGAGAGCTACCTCATTTGAGGCCACACTCCCTTCAGGGAAAGGACAGCCTGCTTCCCATGATGGATCATTTGTAGGAGTATAAAGACCTCAGCTCCCTCCCTGCACTGCAACACAACTCTGAAGTGCTCTCCCAGCTTTAAACTGTCCTGTGAAGTTGCGTGAAGCCTCTGTTAAAACTGTACTGCAGCTCAGTTTCTCTGTCTGCCCAAATCTGCTTCTTTTGCTCCCTCTTCACAGGTGTTAATCCTAAAGCACTCCCTAATAAACTTCCTGCATATTAATCTGCATCTTAGAATTTGTCTCTCAGAGGACCCAACCTGCAACAATCCTGTTATGAAGATTAAATGTAATAGTCCCCATAAAGTGGACTTGCAGCCAGGTGCGGTGGCTCATGCCTGTAATCCCAATACTTTGGGAGGCCGAGGTGGGCAGATCACTTGAGGTCAAAAGTTTGAGACCAGCCTGGCCAACATGGCAAAACCCCATCTTTACTAAAAATACAAAAATTAGCCAGGCATGGTGGTGGGCACCTGTAATCCCAGCTACTGGGGAGGCTGAGGCAGGAGAATTGCTTGAACCCGGGAGGCAGAAGTTGAACCCAGGAGCTGAGATCGCGCCACTGCCCTCCAGCATGGGCAATAAGAGTGAGACTCCATCTAAAAAAATAAATAAATAAAAAAGTGGACTTTCCCAAGACCTAACATTAAGTAAGTAGTCAAACGATGGAATTATTACTATGTGCCACCTAAAAAGGTAGGAACTATTATTATCCCCAGTTTATAGATGAAGAAATTGGACTTTAAGGAGGTTAAATAATTCACCCAAGATCACTATATAGCAGAACTCAAGGTAGATATCAAATACAGATATGACTGACTCCAGAGCTGTGCTCGTTCTTATTACACAATCCTGGCTTCTTTTAAAAATTATTCTGGAGACTTTTCCCAAATGCAATATCTGGAGGAAGGTACATCGCAGGTGGGGACTGGGTTCTTGAGGCAATGTTTGGTAGCAGCTTGGGATGGTAGAGAATTATAGTCAAATGCCAACTCTGCCCAAGATGTGAAATGGGAAATGGGAAATGACCAGAAGGGGTCAAAAAAACAGTCAGGAAAAAAACAAAACAAAACAAAAAAAAAAAAACAGAAGCATGAACGTCCCAGCAAAAAAGCCAGGACTATCTCAGGAGGGAAATTTCACAGTGAATGTGAGGGAATAGATGAGAAGATTCAGCAAATATTCCCTGTGAGCACATGGAACACCCCTTTACGGAAGCACTTTAAAAAGTCAAATAGTCCTGATGCCCACTGTGAAAGAATATTATAACTGTCCCAGGAATCACATTCAATTCCACACATAATAATTACCGTGCACCTACGTTATTTCTGTCTTCGAGGAGCTCATAGTCCGGTGTACTGGGAGTAGGGGTGGGAGGGAAGAGAGGCAGACACACACACTGAACAACTAAATAATATTACACAATGTTGGCTGGGCGCAGTGGCTCATGCCTGTAAACCCAGCACTTTGGGAGGCCGAGGTGGGCAGATCACCTGAGGTCAGGCGTTCGAGACCAGCCTGCCCAACACAGTGAAAATGTGTCTCTACTAAAAATACAAAATTTAGCCGTGTGTGGTGGCGGGCGCCTGTAATCCCAGCTACTCGGGAGGCTGAGGCAGGATAATTGCTTGAATCTGGGAGGCAGAGGTTACAGTGCACCAAGATTGCGCCATTGCACTCCAGCCTAGGTAACAAGAGTGAAACTCTGTCTCAAAAAAAAAAACAAAAACAAAAACACACACACACAATGTTACTGAGCATCAAGTTGGTTTTTTTTAAAAAAAAACAAAACAAAACAAAACCTAAGCTGCCACATAAGGCATGGTTAATTCTGCTCAGGAAGACCCTAGAAGGCTTTACAGGGGAGGCAACATTTGAACAGGACCTTGAAAGATAACAAACCTCTATGCAGTCAAGGGGAATTTTAAAAGACTAGACTATTTTCTAAGAGGAAGAAAGAACACATGCTATTGTTTGCTTTTCTCCAGAGTGTAGGGAGTACTCCATAAGGAACAATCACTTTATTGTCTTATAATAAATCGTGGACACTTGGTATTTGCCATATTTCAACAACTGGGGGTAAATCCTCTAAGGAGAATCACTCTAAATCCAAGCACTTCACCCTCTGAAAGGCTTGTCATGGGGCAAAAGAAATGGTCCTTTGAATTCACATGTCATACAATCCCCGCCAGAAAAACATGTGTATGGGGAAGGCAGCCTGTGTTCGGTGGAGTTACATGTAAGAAACAGATGTTTTGCTGTATTCTGAGAGACTGTTGGTCATTCCTGAGAAATTGTTGAGAGATTGCATGATCATTTCTGAGCCATGTCTCCTAAGACTTAAAGGAGAGCCCCATCTGTAAATCCTAGTAGCAGGCATTTGTGTCTAAACCACAGGAATTCTATCTTCAGGTTCCAACACTGGGGTGTTTGAAACTGAGAAGGTAACTTCATGCTGATAGCACAGTTACCAACCAGATGCTTCAAAGCTGGAGGATCCAACTGAATTGCTTCAAAAGTTTTCTGGTTCCTAGCGCTGCCTAGCAGATGGCAAGTTTGCCCCTGGGAACTTGCTGCCGGGGTGAAGTAATGTCTTTTTGCAGTTACTGTCTCATTGTTTTTAATGAGTGTTGATGTGATGCACAAATGCACCTTATAGAGCCCTGATCACTCATGGTGGGGATGTGCCTGTTCCTAATCCTTGGGAGGGGCAGTTTTAGGAAATGACAAGGAAGTGAAAATGATTCTTTCTGCCCATCTCTGCTAACAACTAGCAGTGGTTAAGCAGCCTTTGATGAGTCCTTTGGTTACTCAAACAAACCTGGTATGTAGAGCAGGCACTGCCAGAGCCTCATGGCCTTTTTGTACGGGAGTGGTGTACAGTTCAGCAGATAGGCACAGCAAACTCCTCTTCTGCCATTCAGATCAGGGACCTCTGAAATCCACAGATGGGGCAATTTGGGCCCTGTCTTAGTCTGTTCCTATGGCAGTAACAAAATACCTGAGACTGGGTCATTTATAAAGAACAGAAATATATTTCTTATAGTTCTGGAGGCTGGAAGTCCAAAATCAAGGCATTAGCAGGTTTGGTGTCTTGCAAGAATGTGGTCTCTGCATCCAAAATGGTGCTGTGTTGCTGCATCTTCCAGAGGGCATGCTGTATTCCCACAAGGTGGAAGGAATGGAAGGAGCAAAAAAGGGACTGAATGCACTCCATCAAGTCTTTTTATAAGGGTGATCCCATCCATGAGGCAGAGCCTTCGTGGCCTAATCAGCTCCTAAAGGCCACACCTCTTGATACTGTTGCATTGTGGATTATGGTTCAACATGAATTCTGGAGGGACATAAACATTCAAACCATCACAGATCCCTCGTGCCTAGAACTCTGGGGGAAGAGGCTGAACACTCAGCTTCACCTGTCACTCCGAGACTTATCCATCAGAAATGTCAAATCCTGAATATGACCATTCAGTAACAGAAATCTCCCTTCCCTTCTTTCTCTGATGTGCAGTAGTTCTGCCTGTTAGAATCATCTGGAGAGCTTGTTAAAAATACCAATGTCAGGAGCTCGACCCTAGAGATTCAAATTTAACTGATCTGGTGTGGGACCTGGAAATCCTCTATTTTTTAAAAGTTCCCCAGTTGAGGCCAGGTGCGGTGGCTCACGCCTGAGTCCCAGCACTTTGGGAAGCCGAGGCGTGTGGATCACTTGAGGTCAGGAGTTCGAGACCAGCCTGGCCAACATGGTGAAACTCCATCTCTACTAAAAATACAAAAAAAATTAGCCAGGTGTGGTGGTGCACACCTGTAATCCTAGCTACTCAGAGGCTGAGGCATGAGAATCCTTTGAACCTGGGAGGCGGACATCGCAGTGAGCTGAGATCATGCCACTGCACTCCAGCCTGGACAACAGAGTGAGATTCCATCTCCAAAAAAAAAAAATTTCCCCAGTTGAGTCTAATGGGCAGCTAACATTAAGAAGCATTGCCCTGGAATCTCATACCTCAGCATAAAGCATAGAATTTCTAGCCATCTTTATGCCAGAACAAAAGTTTACATCAGCTGTTGATAACACCAGTGAAAAAATATGATTAATAATAATTGCTTAAATTGTATCCATGTAGGGTAAATGCACCTGATAGCAATAACTTAAGCATACCCTTAGACTGACCCTGTATGGCAGACACATCTGAATGTGTGTTCCAAACTAGGGAATTCGGGAGTGGCCAACCCAGAAATTATTCCTTGTTTATGAAGAACATCTGAGCCCCTGGCCTGAACCATGGAAGTGAAACACGGGCTGTACACGGGATTGAGGCCCTAAGTTTTAGGTTAAATGAAGGTTGCCAGGTGGAGGTCATTAGGGGAAGGTGTTAAGTGAAAATGCTATATAAACTGCATGCTGTTTGCAAGTGGTTGCAGTTTCCTGCTTAGCCCAATGCCACTGGGCCATGTGGTTATGTTGTCCAGCCCACCACCACTGGACTTTCTCTTCTGTGTGTAAGCCCTTAATAAAACCCCTTATCTTCTTTGCTGACTCTTGGTCTCTTCTTCAGCCTCTTGAACCTGGTGCTCTCCCTATTAAGGTTAATCAGGGTTCAGAACAACAACCAGTTAGTAATTTATAGTTTGCCATCTTCAAAATGCCTTTTGGTTCGGTGAGATAAAGTGGCTAACCAGGAGTAAGCAGGTGGTATGTGCCAGGGCTTGGTCTAAAACACCTAATTATTTGAGCTCAACTCCTTCCACTGTTCCACCCCCAGCTCCTCAATTGCCAAGCCTGTTTTCTGTAATCAGACTGAGCCTGTGAGACATTTACAGCCGGCTCTCCACCACTGGACTGAAGCAGAACAGCGAGGTAATTATCTGAATAATTCAGGTAATGGCAGTTTATTTTCCCTAAATTACCTGGATAATTACCTCAAGCCTAATAAGATGGAGAGAAGCCAGAGCCACATTCTGATGGTTTTATTGCCCCCTCAGTAATGCTTTCTTGTTTAAAGGTCCTGACTTAAAGAAATCATTTGTTGGAGCTTGTGTCTTCCTTATTTGCCACAGGGTATTCCATAAATCATCTGGGAAAGGTACCAGTGTGTAATTATCCAACTCCTGTGCCTGTTGAAAGCTCCTCCAGGCTGAGGAGCACAGCTATCCTGGATTCCTGATGTGTTCTCTGAGTTTTGGGGAGTCATTAGCTCAGGTAATGAGGTGACAAAGAGGAAATCTTTTGGGTGTTAGATTTTTGTTTCTCCTTTTCTTTTTGTGTTCTTTCCCACATTTCTTAAACTAAATAACCAAACATTTCGCACTACGTCTGCTATGGTTTTCCTGTGTCCCCATCCAAAATCTCATCTTGAATTGTAATCCCCATAATCCCCACGTTACAAGGGACCAGGTGGAGGTAATTGAATCATGGGGGCAGTTTCCCCCATGCTGTTCTTGTGCTAGTGAGTGAGTTCTCACGAGATCTGATGGTTTTCTAAGTGTTTGGTAGTTCCTCCTGCGTTCATTCTCCTTCCTGCTGCCTTGTGAATAAGGTGCGCTTCCCCTTCACCTTCCACCATGACTGGAAGTTTCCTGAGGCCTCCCCAGCCATGCCAAACTGTGAGTTAATTAAACCTTTTTCCTTTATAAATGACCTAGTCTCAAGCAGTTCTTTATAGCAGTGTGAAAACAGACTGATACAACATCCTATTTTCCTGTGCTGAACTTGATCTGTAAAATAGAGCACCTTGTCCAAGAGACAAGACCCGGGCTTTCACATCAAGCCTCATAGCCAGAAACTGGGGAACCCAAAGCCAACTAATGGGACAGGAGCTTCCTTGTTCTGCTGCTATCACTATTTGCCTTGTTAAAATGACCAAATGTCTCACAGGAAGAGGTGTCTATCTCTTTCCGAAAGAGAATTCCTCCTCTGGGACACTTGGTCATCTCTCTGTAGCCTTACTTCATTGTCACTCCCTCTCTTTTCTCTCTCTGCCATCTTTGCTGTGCACTGGCTCCTTCCAGATAGGATTAAGTCTTCTCCATCCCTGTAAGTAGAAAGTGAAGAATTGAATGAGATTGGGCGGGAGCTGGCCATGGCTGAGAGTTGATGGAATGACAATATTAGGAGATGGAAAGAAGAAAATAGAGGCCAGAAAATGCAGCCAAGTCAGATACACCAGATCAATGCAGCGATATGGAAGCAAAGGGAGATGAAGTTCCAAATACACATGATATGATGGAAAACCATGTGTTTGGAATTGAATACTGGCTGCTCAGCTCTCTAGCTGTGTGATAATCTTTAAAACTGACATATTATTAAAACCCACCTCCTAAGGCTTTATAAGATTGAATTATTTGTTGCATGTAAAATTACTTGAATAAATTTTATACTTATTAATTATTAATATTATTATTGCCAAAAAGGGAAATGTAGCCAGCTTTGTTAAATGCTTCCTGGAATCAGAGTGAAAAAGGTACTAGGGGTCTTCTAGTCCTATGTTTGAAAGTTTTGAGACCTCTTCTCATAATAAGAAAAACAATTCACACCGTGATCAAGAATTTACATATATATATGTAGTGGGTTGAATATTGTCCCCCAAAATTTATGTCTACACTGACCCTTGGAATGTGGCCTTATCTGGAAATAGGGTCTTTGCAGATATAATTTAGGTAAAGATCAAGATAAGATCACAATGGGTTAGAGTGGGGCCTAAATCCAATGGCTGTGTCCTTAGACAGAAAAGGGCACAGAGAGAAGATGCTGTGAAGATGAAAACAGAGATTGCAGTTATGCTAACACCAGCCAGGGAATGCCAGGCTAATTCACTAATTCACTAGAAGTTAGAAGAGTCTAGAAAGCATTCTCCCCTAGAGCTTTCAAAGAGAGCTTAGTCCTGCCACACCTTGATTTCAGACTTCTGGCCTCCAGAAGTATGAGAGAATAAACTTCTAATGTTCTAAGCCACCCAGTTTGTGGTAATGTGTTATGGCAGCCCTAGTAAACTAATACATATAAGTATCTGAATCCAAAGCTTCGCAAATTATACTTACTGTGTGTTATGCACTATGATAAATCCTATTAATGCTGGCTGTAAACCACTAAATTGATTTCCGACCCACTTATTTGTTGTGACTCATGATTGGGAGAAACATTGTTCTGCTATGTCTCTCATTAAGGATGAATGATGACTGAGAAAAAAATCTTTGGATTTGGTTTAAGAGTCAACGCTGGTCCTCATGGAAATAATTAAGGTAGGATGGCAGGAGCTATCTACTTAGCACAGAGATGTGATCATTATAGATAGGTAGATAGAAATAGATGGATAGATATAGATATATACATGCATTGTATATTTTGTGCCCAAAATAGCAGTGGCTTAAATAAAAGTATATTCTTCTTGTTAAAAATTTTTTTTAAATAAAGGTAAATTATTTACTCTCATACAAATATAAAATGAATACACGTCAAAGATTTTAACTCATTAACTAATGAAGGAACCAGTAAGATATTACTATCAGCTCAAAGGAGAATTTAAAGTACCCCACTTATAGAGGTCAATCAGGAATACTGAAGTGAATTTACAAATAGATGTAAAACTGGCTTTTTCCAAGGGGCAGAAATAGAGTGGGAGTAAAGGGGGGAATCAATTCACTGGACAGAATTTGTCTTCCGTTTTTGTTTGTTTGTTTTTGTTTTTGTTTTTGAGATGGAATCTCACTCTGTCGCCCAGGCTGGAGTGCAGTGGCACAATCTTGGCTCACTGCAACCTCCGCCTCCTGGATTCAAGCAATTCTCCTGCCTCAGCGTCCCAAGTAGCTGGGATTACAGACATGTGCCACCACGCCTGGCTAATTTTTGTATTTTTGAGATGAGGTTTCACCATGTTGTCCAAGCTGGTCTCAAACTCCTGACCTCAAGTGATCTGCCCGCCTTGGCCTCTCAAAGTGCTGAGATTACAGGCATGAGCCACTGTGCCCAGCCAGAATTTGTTTGCATATGGAAAAGAAATCATCTTTGCCCTGCTAGCAGTTCTCTACAACTTACAGAGTTGTAAAATATTTCAAAGACAATGAATGTTAGAGGTAACCTGGCTGGGTAAGCTACTCAGGGCACCCAAGAATCTTTTTGTTGCCCATTTCAAGACCCTTTGCAATTTTTCCTGGCACTCTCTTATATAATCACATGAGAGTAAGTATTCTAGAACTCCCATGGCAGCTCCCAGTGTCAAGGGACCAGTGCCTTCCATCTTATTGCTTCTCCATTTCTAGGGTGACACCTTCATGTCTGGCAATGTAGGGAAGGAGAGGTAGTAGGAACAGGAAGGGAAAATCAAGCTGAAGAAAGGACTAACCTTTACCGGTCGTTGTCTTTATCTTCAAAGCTCACAGTGCAGATGCCATCCCCTCTATGCAGCCTTGCCTAATCACCATAGCTAAAATCTCTTTCTCCCCTAAACTCTCATGTCCCTTGATGTATGCCCTTCTTCCTTATCACTATTTGTGTATATGTCTTATCTCTTCTGTAGGCTCTAAGGTATCTCATTTATGTTTTTAATGCTCATAGCTTCTAGTACACTGCCCTGCCCAAAGGTGACATTTTATTCAGTTATTACCTTCCTCTCTATTGAGCTGTCTTCAGGACAAAGCCAAAGAAAGGATCTAGTATTTTTCCTCCCCTTTCAATAACACAGAGAGTTACCAGTACTCTTTCTTTGATGACATTACAGTGAGACTTCAGATCATGAGTTTGAGAATTCTGGCTTTTAAGTCCTATTCCATTTTGATATACAGTAACATATAAAGATTTAATCAAATATAAGGATTTAATCAAATAATTAAACATCTATTCTACCCAGGACAGTATGGCATATTAGAAAGTGAGACAAATTTTGAATACCACAGACCAAGGTACAGATCCTGGTCCTGCTACTCACTGACATATGTGAACTTCTGTGAGTCACTTAACTTCTCTGGGCTTCTGCTTTCACCTTCACTAAATGAGGATAATAAATCCAGCTTGCAAGGTTATGATGACATATGAGCCTATTGTATACACAATGTCTATCATAAATTCAGTGGCATTCATTAATATTAGAATACTAAACTGAGAATATCTGGATTTTTTACTGTATTTATCCTTTATTTTATCCTTTTTTTTTTTTTTTTTTTTTTGAGATAGGGTCTCACTCTTGCCCAGGCTGGAGTACAGTGATGTGATCTTGGCTCACTGCAGCCTTGACCTCTTGGGCTCAAGTGATCCTCCCACCTCAGCCTCCTAAGTAGCTGGGACCACAAGCACATACTACCATGCCCAGCTAATTTTTATATTTTCTATAGAGATGGGGTTTCACCATGTTGCCCAGGCTGCTCTCGAACTCCTGGGCTCAAGTGATCGGCCCACTTTGGCTGCCCAAAGTGCCGGGACTACAGGTGTGAACCACCGTGCCTGGCCTGTATTCACCTTTTTTAACCAGGTGTTTTGCACTATTGTGTAGCCACAGCTATAATTAGCAGAAGGTAAGTCAAATTCATGTCAATTACGGCCAGATATGAAGATGAATTAACAAATGCATCTGATCAGTCCATCCAAAATTTCAGTCAAATTATCAGGAAGTATATAATTTGTATAACACAACTAACTGTTCATCTTTCTGTGAAGTGTACTCACTTCACAGTGGGGACAGGCTTATGGCAGTAGCTGTACAACTTTGAAAATCTGCCTTTGTCTCTTATTTATTTTGAAATGGGGGTCTTTTTAAACTCCTTAAAACTTGAAGTAAGTCTCAGAGACCCCAACTAAAACTACCAATTAAGTTTGCACAGGAAATTTTATTTTCCAAATGTAATTACAGGGCAGATATTTCAGGATGTATATATGTGATAGTATTTTAATAATTTGTTGAGCCTTAAGGTACAGTATCAAATACTGCTCATTCCTACCAGTTTGGAGGGGAGGGGTGGAAAAGATAGGGAAGCAGAATGGAATGACTTATTCAACTTTCCAATTCTTTAATATAGCATTGACCTTTGTAAAAAAAAAAAAACACACATATACACATGCACATAAACAAGGACTCCCATTTACCTTATTTTCCATTTTAAATTATAGTACCCAGTCATTCGTCTTTGTCACGATCCACCAAATAGTTTTGTAAGAACGTGTTTCATACAAGCTCTCTTTCAGCATCAGCCAGGAAGGTTAAGGTTTAGATCCTGCATGATAGAAACCCTTTTTGTAATTCTCCCCCAAACATCTGTTCAGTCACTCATCATTAACATCTGTCACCCATTTCTGGGCTCAACCCAGACAAAGCTATGTTTTTCTGTTTATCTAACGAACTCCATTTCAAATTGTTACCAAGTGATTCCTACTCAGACTAATCTTACACAAGGATTGAGAAGATGTCTTCTTGGATCAAATTCATCTTCCACTAATGCAGCGTCTACCCTGAAGCCTTGGCAAAAGCCCAATGGCTCAGAGGAAGGGAAATTCTTCATAACATGCTAACACTTTCCTGCCTGGAAATGTTACATTGAAAACTTCTAATTCTCTTTAACTTTCCAGGGTTAACAAAACGCCATCCTATACATCTTATACATATGTATATCTTTAACTTCAGCCCATCATTTACCCTATACAAGCCCCAGCAGGGCCGCTTTGCAAACCAGCTGAAATAAGAACATAAGAAATGATTTTTTAAATACATGGCCCAATTATTTGCATAAAATGGCTAATAAATATTGGTTCATTTGGAAAGGCAATGCAATGTTTAAAAATATGTAGAGAGACCTGAATTGAGATCTTGGAAAATCACCTCTAAGTCAGGTAACCTTGGATACTTTAGTTAATGGCCCTGGGCCCTCATCTACTTAAAGGAAAAATGGATTCCTTATAGAATTAAAGAGTTAAAAGAACTGTTGCACATAAAGTGCTTTTTTTATTTTAAATTTCTTAGACAGAGACAGGGCCTCACTATATTGCCCAGGCTGGTCTGAAACTCCTGGCCTCAAGCAATCCTCCCAACTTGGCCTACTCTCAACGTGCTGGAATTACAGGAGTGAGCCACCATGCCTGGCCAACATAAAGTACTTGACACAGTGCCTGGCACATAGTAAACAACTCAGTTTATAGTAACTCTTTATTTATTTACTTATTTAATTGAGATACAAAGTCTTGCTCTGTCACTCAGGTTGGAGTGCAGTGGCATAATCATATCTCACTGCAGCCTCAAACTACTGGGCTCAAGTAATCCTCCTGCCTCAGCCTCCTGAGTGGCTAGAATTATAAGCATGCACCCCTGGCTAGTTTTTTTTTGTTTGTTTGTTATAAATACTGGGTCTTGCTGTTGCCCAGGCTAGTTTCAAACTCCTGGCCTCAAGTGATCCTCCTGCCCTGGGCTTTGGTTGCTGGGATTATGGTGTGAGCCACCACACCTGACCAGTTTATGGTAACTCTTGCCATCATCATCTTCAAAGAAGAAAAAGAGCAGAATGGTTTTACCTTGCTCTTTGCGCTCAGCATCTCCTTTTTCTTATTTCTGTTTAACCAGTATTTATTGAGAGCCTCTTATGGGCTAAAAACTGTGCCAAATAACATGAAAGAGGCAAATTCCTTGTCCTCAAGGAGCTCTCCCTGGAGAAGATAGATAGATCTAGACTCTACTTCGAATCAGATGCTAGTAAGTGCTCTCATTTTAAAAGTAACATTCCCCACAGATTACTTGAGGATGTTTTAACACCAAATCTCTGATTTTCTTATTAGAAATCTTTAATTGGAGGCTCATCTTACACAGTAAGTTTAGGAATTTAAACCCCAGGGCAGATATTTCATTTCGATGAGAACCTAATGGTTATAATCTAGGTCAGTGTTTATAATGTCAATAGTGCAGTGAGGAGGAGAAGGGTTTTCACCTCTATTTCCATGGATTTTAGAAACAATCATAGTGAAGAAGGCCCCTAAAACTGAACCAGATGGGACAAGTGAATTATTATAACTTATTTATTTCCTTCAATAAATATAGTATAAAAAGTATTTCAGAAAGCTCCCATAACCCATTAGAGTCTATTTGATATATAAGGATGCTAAATATTAATGTTGATATTTTTTGTTGAGGATCAGAATGCCAAGGACTCATTTTCTGTTGAATGTAGTCAATAAGGAAGGAGTCTCTTTGAGAATTCCATTATGACCATAGCTATTTGTCACTTTCCTCATTGTCTGGGGAAAGGACAAATGAAGCGGAGCACCTTTCAGAGCTACAGTTCTCTGCTGTTGTTCCTTCATGGGTCCCTGTCCTTGGGACATATGTCTTGTGAATAAAATATGTGTCACACTGAAGATGTGATAAGTGTGCTGAGACCACACAAAGAAACTGACTCCATCAGCAGAGGGTGATGGGGTGAGCAGAGGCTTTCCAGGCAGAGGGAATTGCATGCGGTGTGCATATCTCTTCTCTGAACCTTCATTTCCTGGCCTCTACATGGAGAAAACAAGGCACACCTCTCTGGGTGCCCAGAAGCACTTACATATATTGTCTGGTAGTCATGGGCACTCATCTATGTTAATTTGTTTGTGGCACAGAGTTACTGGACTAGGTAGTGATCAGAAACCAAGCCCAGGTATTCTGAGCACTAGGTCATGCAGGTTCCAGGGCATCACTCTACTTCCAGGCACACCCAGAAGACAAAGTGTATGTGCAAGTCTCAGCTGACCTGCCACCATGTTCATAGGGTAAAGTTGGGAAGTATTTGTCCCACAACCTTCAAACCCCACCTGCTTCAACAAACCCTGGCCTGGCCAGCATGCATTCCTGTGCTGATCCCTTCCCCAACCCCACACCCCACTCATGGTGCACTGCTAGGGGAGAATCAAGCTAAGTCTTCACAAGTCAAGAAAAAAATACTACCCTGGCCAGGCGTGGCTTCTCACACCTGTAATACCAGAACTTTGGGAGGCTGAAGGGGGCAGATTGCATAAGCTAAGGAGTTTGAGACCAGCCTGGGCAATATGGCAAAACCCCATCTCTACAAAACATACAAAAATTAGCCAGGTATGGCAGCTCGCACCTGTAGTCCCAGCTACTTGGGGGGCAGAGGCGAGAGGATCACCTGAGACTGGGAGGTTGAGGCAGCAGTGAGTTGAGATCATGCTACTGTACTCCAGCCTGGGCAACAAAGTGAGACCCCGTTTCTTTTTTTTTTTTTTGAGACAGAGTCTCGCTCTGTCACCCAGGCTGGCGTGCAGTGGCACGATCTTGGCTCACTGCAAGCTCTGCCTCCCAGGTTCACACCATTCTCTTGCCTAAGCCTCCCAAGTAGCTGGGACTACAGATGCCCGCCACCATGCCTGGCTAATTTTTTTCTATTTTTCAGTAGAGACAGGGTTTCACCATGTTAGCCAGGATGGTCTCGATCGCCTGACCTCGTGATCCACCTGCCTCGGCCTCCCAAAGTGCTGGGATTACAGGCATGAGCCACCAAGTCCGGCCGCGAGACCCCATTTCTTAAAAAAAAAAAAAATACTACCCCAAGGGAGGCCTCAGCCATGAAGTAAATTGGGAAGAGAAACACATAAGTGACAAGTGACACTGAAAAGGCTAGATTTTTAAAAGATGTTTTTAGTTGTCTTTAAAAAAAAAAATCCAAAGGCAAATCTGATAACCAAAGAACGCATGGTCTATGATGGAGGGAAGTAGGAAATTGAGTTAGATGAGGGAAGGAGCTGACTAAATGCCTCTTTGAAAATAGAGATGTTTCTGAGTCAATGGACCTGAAGGACATGTTTCCTGAGATACTTAATGCCAAATGTGTTCTTTTCACTTAAGACTGGTATCTTGTTCTCTAAGTTGTTGAGATCTTCAATACTTGATTTATTATTTCCTCCTCAATGCTTTCCTCTCCTCTAATTGTAGACACTTTGCACTTGGTTTCAAGGTCTGTAAACTGCATTCTGCCTCCCAGGCGGGACATTTGGTACAGGGAGGCAGGAGGAGGAAGCGGCTTGCATGTGCCCGTATGCTCAGGCTCTGTGCCCACCTTGCAATATGCATTTGATGACTCAGGCTGTGTACTGCTTTTCTTAAATGCATATCTGATCCATTCTGCACACAGAATTCAGAGATATTTTGTAATGTAAGCAGATCATACTACTTTTCTGCTTGCCACCTGCCTGTGACTTCCCACTGTACTCAGAATGAAATCCACATTCTTTACCAGGTGCTACAGGGCCCTGCATGGTCTGGCTCTGAGCCACCTCACCACGCTCATTTTGTGCCACTCTTCCCCACCAT
The DNA here is from genome assembly GCF_000001405.40 of Homo sapiens. Taxonomy (NCBI): domain Eukaryota; kingdom Metazoa; phylum Chordata; class Mammalia; order Primates; family Hominidae; genus Homo; species Homo sapiens. Next base: position 86,900,617 of record NC_000011.10, read on the forward strand.
GACTATGTCACACCTGTGTTTGCCTCTGACAGTATATAGGCGGCATCCTCTTCTTTTCAGCTCAGAGTCTACACATATGCTGCTCCCTCTCCCTGGAATCTCTTTCTCAGACTCTGCCTGGCTAGTACCCACTCCTTCAAATTTCAGCATTATTATCTCTCTCTCTTTTTTTTTTTTTTTTTTTTTGAGACGGAGTCTCGCTCTGTCGCCCAGGCTGGAGTGCAGTGATGCGATCTCGGCTCACTGCAACCTCTGCCTCCCAGGTTCAAGCGATTCTCCTGCCTCAACCTCCCAAGTAGCTAGGACTACAGGCACCCACCACCACACCTAGCTAACTTTTGTATTTTTAGTAGAGATGGGGTTTCACCATGTTGGCCAGGCTGGTCTCGAACTCCTAACCTCAGGTGGTCCGCCCACCTCAGCCTCCCAAAGTGCTGGGATTACAGGCATGAGCAACCATACCCGGCTTATCATCTCTTTCTTAAAGAGGTCTTCCCTGTCTCCCAATCCAAATTAGGCCCACCACTATTGTACATTCATAACAGCCTAGTCTTTTCCTTATTAACACTTTGTTATTTGTGAGGTTATTTGCCAAATGTCTGACACCCTACACCTGATGGAGAGTAAACCTCATGGGGACATTGACCAATATGCACCTATTTTATCTACATTATATACCAAGAACCGAAAACAGCTCTTGTCCCAGCAGAGGGCATGATAAATGTTTAGAGAATAAATGAATGGCTGGCTTGAACAAAACTACCATCTTTTCTATTCCTGCTGTCGGAACTGAAAGAGTAGAGGTGGCCTGTATACCTCATCTCATAACAGAATACCAAATTATTAAAAGTGCCTGAAACCAAATTGAATTACAGTCAAAATGGTAGGTTGACTGTCTTCTGCTTCTAGCCAAGGAGATGCTAAGAAGGGAGGTCACTGGTCTAAAAAGTTATAAAGGACTTTGAGGAAAAGAAGGTGCATTTATCAAAACCAGAAAGCCTCTAATTCAAAGTCTCTTGAGAGGGCCGATCACCTACATATATAGTCATACAGTCATTCACATAAATGCCAAAATGTCAGAATTTAAAGCTGGCATTTGGAAGGGAATTAGCTGTACCTCCAGAGAAACCCGGACCCTACAGACCTTGCTCACATAGTATAGTATTTTCCAGCGTTATCCTGAGAAGCCCAGCTGTTCCCATAACTAAAGACAATTTCCAGTCATTCCTTTGGTTTTCCACTAATTATACATTATTATCATAATGGCATGTCAAGCCATGGTCATTTATGAAAACCAGGGTACTTCTGGGGGAAAATAGATAAAAAGGAAACTCATGTCTCTGTCTCTACTGAACCAGGCATGGGTGATCCTTCAAGGTAGAAACTGGGTGTTGCTCATCTTTGCTTACCTGGAGCCTAGAATGGTGCTGAGCACAGAGTAGATTGTCAATTCATGTCTACTGAATGTCTACATAGATGATGGATAGATGGGAGTGTGTCTAAGCAATTTGTGGAGTTTTCTTTCACTGAAATAAAGTTGACCCTTAGAATATTCATTTAGGAAGATTATGTACTTATAAACTGAGCCACCTGTGCTCAGAAACTATAGGGACATTCTCTACAACCCCTCCCCTAAAACCTTATCTATTTGCTCCCAATTTCTACTGCTCTATTTAGACTCAGCATGTCTTCTGACCTTTGGCAATATCTCCCAGCTGGAGTCTTCTCTATCCTTGGACTAGGCATTGGTACTTAATTTTTTTCTTTCTTAAGACCTGTTATTCAGCTTATCTCATTCTTATCTTTGGATGACCTAGATAAGGGTCCTCACCCAAGCTTCGGCCACTTCAGGTGTACCTGGCTTTCTGTCAGACCAAGACTTCTGAAACAGATTTTAAAGAGAGATGCCCTAGAAATTGGATAATTGGTGAGCTGCCACCAGATAACAGCTAACAGGCATGATATCATACATCTAGCTATCAAACTACTTCCAGATGTGGATAACTGAGGAGAAAAGATTAGTGTACATGATGCTACTACCTATGTTTTTTCTAGAAAGACAGTTTAAAAAAATCCAAAGCAAGATGTAAACAACATGATATCAAGACACAGACTGGTGCTTACTTTTTCTGCTCTCTGCTAATTCCACACTGCTTCATTCAGCTACTTTATGTTTTCAAGCCTGAATTGAAAATGTCTTCCCTTCTTCCCAAGGATCAAAGATGAATATAATCGTAGTTAAGATCTTGGATTGTGGACTCTGGAAGGCCAGTGTGGAAATTCTGAGTCTACCACTAAGTAGCATGGGCAAGCTATCTAACCTCTTCAGGCCTTAGTGTTCTCTCCAAAATATGAAAAATAACAGCACAGAGGGAAATTGCTCACTGGAATGTCCAGGACCTTACCTGTCCTGGATGAATGATATTTCCAACACTTAGATATCTTCAAAAGAACTTTTCCTGCTACCATTTGATCCAGGTCTTGCATCTTCTGGATATATTTCTTCCTTCTTTCCTTCCTACCTTTCTTTTTTCTTTCCCCTCCCCACTGCCCTGTGTTTATCTGTATGTTCTTACCTACTACATGGATTAAGGGATGGATGTCTAGTGTCAATTTCCACAATCACAGTTAAAAGGTATAAAAAATATGATATCCAGCAAAATATAAACAAACAATAATCATCCCAGCTTCTGTTTTACAAGCTACAGGTCACAAGGTCACTGCAATCATGCATAATGGTTCATACCCCACTAGCGATGTATGGGCTGAGCCTCTGGCATGCCCACTGGTCATTTACAACCCAGCCCTATACAGTACCACAACACCAAGTTGTTCCTTAAGTATTGTAATTTTTAACATACAATCTTTTTTTTTTTTTTTTTTTGAGACGGAGTCTCGCTCTGTTGCCCAGGCTCGAGTGCAGTGGTGTGATCTCGGCTCACTGCAACCTCCACCTCCTGGGTTCATGCCATTCTCCTGCCTCAGCCTCCTGAGTAGCTGGGACTACAGGTGCCCACCACCACTCCTGGCTAATTTTTTTGTATTTTTAGTAGAGTTGGGGTTTCACTGTGTTAGCCAGGATGGTCTTGATCTCCTGACCTCATGATCCACCTGCCTCGGCCTCCCAAAGTGCTGGGATTACAGACATGAGCCACCACTCCCGGACTACATATAATCTTTTAAAATCTTTTTGAACAATTAAAATGCTTACTTCCAGACCCCTGGGTAAGTGACTTATTTATTCTACCTCCCTCATGATCTTGAAGTGAGGATTAAGATAGATAAAGTGTGTAAACCACCTGGTGTATGACCTGGCATAGGCAGGGTAAGCAATAATTTAGAATGTGCTGAAATAGGGCTGCTTGAATTGATAGCTTTTGCTTCTGAAGGCTTTTTCTAATAGCTTCAGAGAAAAATAAATCTAAAACCTTCTCACTATGGCTGGAATGAGGTAAATCAGGGATAGCATATAGGTCTGAACATGCACACTCACTCTACAAACAGTCACCTGGAGTACAAATAAAGCTGCAGAAAAGACTTCTGTGCTCACTTAGCACTGGCCACTGTGGACCCAGGTTGAAGGAATGACAACATGGGTGCTGTGTATTTGCTGTCCTTGCTGTTGTGATAAGCACATAGGGCTGCCAGTTAGAAAACCTGGATTTTAGTCCTGCCCCACCTAGACACATCACCTCCAGCAAATCACCCAAGTCGAGACTGATTTCCTCATCTGCTTCCGTCCCCATCTTGCATGTTGTATCCTAGTAATCATGAACTGCTTGTGGTTCTAGCAGTTTAGTCCCTTGGCTTTCCTTTGCCTGGAGTACCCATCTTATCCTTCTAACTCCCACAAGTCTTACCCTTCAGCTTCTAGCTCAAGCAGTGCCTTTCCCAGGAAGCCTTTCTCAACTCCCAGGTGGTGCTATGTACCCCAACTCTAAATACCCGCCCACCTGAGCATTATTCCTCTATTCTATGGGCTAGCAAACTTTTTCTATAAATGTTCAATAGTCAATACTTTAGGCTCTGTAGGCCGGATAGCCTCTGTCACAACTATTACACTAAACTCTGCCATTGTAGCACAAAAGCATCTGTGGACAACATATAAATAAATGAGTAAAGCTGTGTCCCAGTAAAACTTTACCACTGGGCCAGATATGGTGGCTCATGCCTGTAATCCCAGAATCTTGGGAGTCTGAGGCAGGAGGATTGCTTGAGGCCAAAAGTTTAAGACTAGCCTGAGCAACATATTGAGATCCATTTCCACCAAAAAAAAAAAAAAAGTTTTAATTAGCAGGGCCTGGTGGTGCATGCCTGTAGTCCCAGCTACTTGGGAGGCTGAGATGGGAAGATCCTTTGAGCCTGAGTGTTAGAGGCTGCAGTGAGCTATGGTTATACCACTGTACTTCAGTCTGGGGGACAGAGTTAGACCCTGTCTCAAAACAGCAACAAAACAAAAACAAAAAAACCCATTTATTTTCAAAAACAGATGTTGGGCTTGATCTACCCTATCAGGTAACATGTCATACCGAAATGATCCATGTGCATATCTTTCTCTTTCACTAGACTGTGCGCTAAAGGCAGAGATAGGCCTTCCTTCTCTTTGTACCTCTAATATTCAGCACATAGTGGCTATTCAATAACTGAAGTAACAATGCTGGAAAATTGGAATAATAATCTCTTTCTGGCTATTCCACAGGGCTATGGGTTTTAAGCATGATAAAGCATGTGAAAGCCCAGGACAGTGATAAGGCACCATTCAAACGTATGGTGCTCTTCCTACGGCACATCATTGATACTCTTGCTCTAGCCTCTTCAGGAGGTGGAGAGTCATATATGAATCTGTTATTTCCCGCCACAAGCAGACACAAAATAAAATGCCAGCTAAAAACCTCACTCCTTTCAGATTCAACTTCTAAGAAATGAATCATTAGGTCATATGCTGAGTTGAAGCATATTAAACCATCCAGAAGTCCTGAAGCTACCCTGAAAGGCATAAAAAGTCTCACAATGTCTGCCTCCCTTTCTTTAAGGTTTTCTTTAACAAATACCTTCACACTTTTCCAGAAGGTGTCAATATTTACATCTGCTGAGTTTGCTGTCAAGCTTAATAGAAGGCAGGAATAGACGTCTGAGTCCCCAAGGTGTGGACACAGAACTCAGAGAAGTCCCACTCATCTGGGGTTTCTGCTCACTATGCAATGCTGCTCTTACCTGAAAACATGACCCCTTTGCACCAACCCGCTGTGACCAACACAACGGTGAAAATTCTGTACAGATGTGAACAAATGGAGTGAACAAAGAAGGTGAGGATGAAAGATGAGATCTCCTGATCTTGCTGGTGCCCTAGGCCCATCCCCACTGATGACATTCATTCACTCATTCACTCATTCATTCATTCATTCAACAATTATCTTGAGAGCCTACTCCAAGCCAAATTGTGCTGAGAATTCATTGCCTTTGTAGAGAGAACAAGGCACCACAGGGATTTCTCAGGCGCACTATTGCCTTGCAGGAAGGGCCAGGGCCTGGCGGGGCCGGGGGGCGGGGGCAAGAGGAAAGCTAATACCTCTAATATTGTCTGCCAGTCAGAAGGCCACACCGGGATTGGAAAGGGAAGGGTTCCCGGGCCTTCTCCACCCTTGTGCCCAGGAAACCAAACCTCGCAGCTATTGTTTTCATCGAAACCCTAAGCCATGGGCTCGGCTGCGGCCTCTCAAAGGCCCCCACCAGCGCCACCCTCAGCTCTTCGCCCAGGATCCCCCTGAGGCTGCGCCCTCCGCCTGGTACTCGCTTTCGCCCAGCTGCCCGCCCCTGCGCCACCCCGGCGCACCTTAGGGGCTGGAGGCTGGCTCGGCGAGGTTGTAGCTGGGACCGCGAGGTTGCCCCCCATCTAATCAGCCCCGCAGTGCCTCGCCAACTCCGGAAGATTTCAAGGAGTTGTGCCTGATAGTTTGCCACGAATCTCCAAATGCTGAACTACCAGTTTCCTCCATACCCTGCATTTCCCAGAGGTAGAGCTGAGGTCCAGGGACAGCACTGCTGCCCAAAATAACACTGCTGGTTAGTGGCACAATGAGGCCCAAACCCAAGGTCCTCTATCACTAGCACTAATGACAACAAAAGCAATGTCTATTTAGGGAGCGCTTGCCATATGCTAGGCCCTGTGAACATTTTAGGTACGTTATTTCATTCATTCTTCTCAGCCACAACCAGAGATGGCATTTGTATCTCTGTACAAATTAAGGCACCGAGAAATTAAACAGTGCCTGAACAGCAATAAGCAGTAAGTAGCAGGGAGAGGTTTCCATCCATTTTACCCGGTGATAGATTCCGGCTGATGTCAGGGAACTCATTCTCTGTCGTGTGCATACCTGGCTGTTAACAAACTTTGGTATACTTTAAGATGCTTAAAAGGAATGAGCTGCGTTGTTTTTATTTGTGTACATCCAGGGGACAGAATACCATTGCTGGCCTAAACTGGGCCCAATTAATGATTTTTTTGGTCTTGCTATTCACATAAAACATGAATAAAAACATCTTGTAGTGTATATACGTACATGTATATTTTTGTATTGTATCTACTTTTTGTTATATAGATTGACTGATGGATAATGTTGGACATATGCCTAGAAAGAAAAACTGTTCGCTGTAGCATCCTCATGCATAACACTGAACCTGGCACATTCTAAGTGTATGATAAATGTTTATTGAACAAATTAATGATTTTTTTTTCAATCAAAATGTTAGCAGTGGTGTTAGGGAAATTGTCATTTTAAAAATACTTTTCTATAGGGAACTTTTTTAAAATTGTGGTAAGAGCACTTAACATGAGATCTATCCTCTTAACAATTTTTTGTGTTTTTTTGAGACAGGGTATCACTCTGTCACCCAGGCTAGAGCACACTGTGCCATCATGGCTCCCTGCAGCCTCTTGGGCTCTAGCAGTCCCCCCATCTTAGCCTCCCGAGTAGCTGAGACTGCAGGTGTACACCACCACGCCCAGATAATTTTTGTATTTTTCGTAGAGACAGAGTCCCTCTGTGTTGCCCAGGCTGGTCTCAAGCTCTTGGGCTGAAGTGATCCGCCTGCCTTAACCTCCCAAAATGCTGGGATTTCAGGTGTGAGCCACCACGCTGGCCTTAACAAATTTTCAAGTGCATAGTGCCGTCGTTTTAACTGTAAGTGCAATGTTGTAGAGCAGTTCTCTAGAACTTATCCAGCTGCATAACTGAAACTTTATACCCAGTTGAATAGCAGCTCTATTTTTCCCTACCCCCAGTGCCTGCAACCACCATCTATTCTCTGCTCCTACAAGTTTGACTATTTCAGATTCCTCGTCAGTGGGAATCACGCAGTAGTTGTCCTGTGACTGGCTTATGTCACTTAGCATAATGTCCTCAAGATTCATTCATGTTGTTGCATATGGCAGGATTTCCTTCCTTTTTAAGGCTGAAAAATATCCCATTGTATGTATATGACACATTTTCTTTATCTACAGACATTTAGGTTGTTTCCACATGTCAGCTATTGTGAATAATGCTGCAATGAACATGGGAGTGCAAGATCCTGATTTCAATTCTTTTTAATAAATACCCAGAAGTGGGATTATTGATTGGATCACATGGTAATTCTATTTTTAATTTTTTAAGGAAACTCCATACTGCTTTCCATAGCAGCTTCACCATTTTGCATTCTCACCAACAATGTACAAGGAAACACATATTTTTAATAATCAAAATATGTACATATCTATAATTTTGGCCTTTTGGAAAACAAGTCCAAAGTCACAGGAGTTCATGAAGGTGTTCACAGTCTTCAGTCAGTTTACTCCTACAGATTGATCCCAGGGAGGAACAGGAGGAAATAAGAAATGCCCTTGGGCTGTCCCAGAAACCTGCTGCTTCCTTGCAGCCACTTCCTAGGACTCACTGGTCCAGTGTGAGGGAAGCAATTGGATAAATGATGCTAGTTCAACACTATGGGATACTGTGTAGCTACTCCATAATAGTAATTACAGAAACTTTGCGGTCCATATAATCTGTAGAAACATGGAAAATGTTTATTAGGTAATAATAAACATTTTTAGGTTAACTGAAAAATATCAGACGTGAAAGTGGTGTGAGGGGGGTGGGGTTTATATAATTCATTGTTATTTTCATTTTCAACTATTGTAATGGTTTCTATCCTTGTTCATCAGAGTGTGGCCCACTCAAGCAGCAGCAATATCAGCTAGGTTCACCCTGGAGCTCGTTAGAAATGCAGAATTTTTAGCCCCACTCCAGATCTACCAAACCAAAATTTGCATTTTATCAAGATTCCCAAGTGATTCGTATGTGCCTTATGGCTTATCTTTTTCTTTTTTTTTTTTTTAATGTATTTGTTGAAGGAGCTCCTTAATTTGGTCTTCAAGCCATCTACAGATGAGGGGATAAGATTTAAGTTAAGTGACTTAACCAGAGTTGTGCACCATGTAATGTCAGCTGTCAAGCCCAAGTCCCCTGATTCTGAGGCTACAGCTAAATTCAGGCTAGCCACAGCCTGCCTGGCCTTGTGTTTCTGTGCCAGGCCTTCCTCCATATGGCCTGAGGTGGCCCACCCACTGTCACCTTCCTTAGGCTAAACAGCATGGGCAGTGACTACCATCAACAAGGGCCCCTATTTCAGTAAAAAGAGGACAGGCTGAGGTTTCTGAAAACATTCCTGTCTCTCCCATGGGTTCCTGATAGCACTCCCCTGAACCCAATCCAAGGGGCTGAGGATTCGTGTTTGTGAGCCACCTTGGAGTGGTGGAGATGAAAGTAAGCAGGGCAGAGGGCCACCGCACATCAATTGAAGCCACCTGGCTCTCATCTAGTTCAACTGCATCCATTTTCAGAAGAAGAAACATACCCGGAGAGGGAAGTGACTTGCCTTAAGCAACAAAGCTAAATTCAAGGCTAAGAGGAGAGGCTGGCATAGAGGGCAACCCGGATATGGGAATTCAGGGTAGTGTGGTTGGGAGCACCTGAAAAGACACCTGCCATGTGGGGAAAGAACAGGGATGTCCAGAGTACTCCCTGAAGAACAGGTGTGTAGTATCCTCCCATAATGCTGTGATCCTTTGTCATTAATGTACCCCTTTCTAAGCAAAAGTTTATCCTAGCTCTCCGCACTGAGAAAGGCTTGCTCCCTGTCCTGTGTGTTGTGCATCCTCAAGTGCCTTTACCCTCGTCAACCACTGACAAAGCAGAATGAGAGTCATCTGAAAGGTGGATTTAAATAAATAAAATTAACTCTTTAGTTAAGGTCTGCTGAAAAGGCATGATTTTATTGCACACTCACAATATGACAGGTGCTGTGCTACTCATCAACACTCTTTTCAAAACAGGATTTGGAGACAGGATTCTTCAAAAGAGAACTGCACATTCAACTAAACATGTCCAAAAAACTTCAACTCTTTTGAATTAGTCTCCAAATCTACACAAACCATAGAAAATAGAAGATCATTAAAATACATGATTATACACAGACAAATGGACAAATGAAACAGTAATTAATATTGCTTGAGCTCAGATTGCTCCTGTAAGATCTGCAGAAATCGTATGATGGGGTAAGGTTTTCTAGAACAATATTTCATCAGGAGATAATGGCAGTATCTCATTAGACTAAAAGGAGATGATAGATGCTGGAAGATCAGTTTTCATACAGCTCTTCTCTGTTCATAATAATACTGTGCACCTTCTCCAAATGACAAAGAAGTAAATTCATACTCCATCAAAATAACCTCAAAACAGTGAGCCATTTCAGGGTTTTAAAAATTAGTCCAGAATTGTTTGGCCCCCGTAAAAAGACTCTGCTACAAAACTTAGATTGCACGTAGGTAGAATATGTTTTAGTATTTTGCAGGTAAAAAATAACATATGGTTAACTATAAACAAGGAATATACGTGCAAAGTATTTATATCCTTAACATTTGCTACTCAAAGGTAATTTCTAAAGTATGTAGAATGAGCTAATTTTTTTTAAATAAAAAAAGCCTTCCTTGAAGTGCCCGCTTTTGGCATTCTAAATATTCTCTCTCTCAGACACACACACTCTCCATCCACTTCCTCTCTAATCATGGTGTATAGATGCAAGCAGTATCGTTGGTTCTATGACAATACTTTTAAAACTACAAAACCAAGTTCTCCCACTTTAATAGATGATACATTTGTTTGTTTTCCCATTATGTGACTCATCTATTAGAGTGGGAGAAAGGTTTTTGGTTTTTTTTTAAACGCTGTGCTCCCAGCAATAAGGATAGTCAATGGCACAAAATAGGTGTTCAATGAATAATTAATTCACAGTGAATTCTCTTACCTTTGCTCTCCTATATCTTCTAAATGTCCCATGTATGATTTTTATAATAAGAAGTAAAAATAATAAGTTATTTTTAGAAGTACCAGAATCTCAAAGTGACCAGTATGGATCATTACATGATGAGTTCTAAAGGGTAAAGATTTCCTTATTTGTCATCACGTCCTCAGTACCTGCCCCCAAGTAGGTGACTAAACAAGTTTCATGATTAGATGAATAAATTAATTAGGGAATGATTGAATTATAAATAAAAAAGAGCAGGAGAGTATTTTATATATAATTAGCTTATAAGGAATCCTATCCCTTTCCACCACATCACTTTCTTTTTAAATTATTTTTATATAGAAATATTTTAATTTACTTTTTATTATTATAAATACATGGGGTACATGTGCAGGTTTGTTACGTGAGTATATTGCATAATGCTGATGTTTGGGCTTCAAGTGAACTCATCACCCAAATAGTGAACATAGTACCCCAAAACTTCCAACAGGTAGTTTTTCAACCCTGGCCTCCTTCCATCCTCCTCCCTTTTGGAGTCTCCAGTATCTAATATTTCCATCTTTATGTGCATATGTACCCATTGATTAGCTTCCACTTATAATTGAGAACATGCAGTATCGGATTTTGTTTGTGAGTTATTTCACTTAGGATAATAGCCACCAGCTGCATCCATGTGGCTATGACATGATTTCATTCTTTTTCACATCACATCACTTTCAAATTTGTTTTTGTAGTTTTAAAAGTATTGTCATAGAACCAACAATATTGCTTGCATCTATACACCATGATTAGAAACGAAGTGGAGTGTGTGTGTGTGTGTGTGTGTGTGAGTGTGACAGGGTCTTGCTCTGTTACCCAGGCTGGAGTGCAATGGCATGATCTCAGCTCACTGCAGCCTCAACCTCCTAGGTCCAAGCAATCCTCCCACTTCAGTAGCTCAGTGGTCAGTAGCTCAGACCACAAGCATGTGCCACCATGCCCAGCTAATTTTTTTATTTTTGCAGAGACAGGGTTTCCCTATGTTGCCCAGACTGGTCTTGAACTCCTGGGCTCAAGCATTCCTCCCGCCTCGGCCTCTCAAAGTGTTGGGATTACAGGCATGAGCCATTGCACCTGGCCAAAAAGTGGATTTTAAAATGTTTTTGTATATGCATCTCCAGATTGGTGAAAATAAGAAAGAGGGTGGTGATAAGCAGAAAAAGACAAGACAAGAAGGTTTTGCACCAAAAGATTATAGACATAACCATAGGCTTTGTTGTCATTGTTGTTACTGTTGTTTACTACTGAATTATGTGATGGTTATCTTTGTACTTACCCTATTGGAGATTCATTAAACTTCTTAAATCTGAGAACATATGCATTTCATTACATTTGGAAAGCTTTTAGATATAATTTCTTCAAAAATGTCTTCTGCCCCATTTTCTAGCTTCTAGTCTTTGGGACTCCAATTGCACACGTTAGGCCTTTGATATTGGCCTACTTTCCCTGAGGCTCTGTTCATTTTTTTTCCAATTTTTCTTCTCTCTGTTCTGCAAGTCAGTGATTTCTACTGACTGCTCTTCAAGTTCACTAACCCTTTCTTCTGTCATCTACAATTTACTGTGAAGTTCAATCAGGGAATTTTTTATTTCTCATATTGCATTTTTTGTATATGATTCAATTCCATTTGGTTCTTTTTTTAATTTCTATTTCTCTAGTGTAATTTCCTATTTGTTAATTCATTATAAGTCTATTCTCATGTCCTTAACCACGGTTATAATAACTACTTTAAAATTCTCGTCAACTAATTCCAACATATGGTTCATCTCAGAGCTTGTCTCTATTAGCCCTTTCTCTTAAATATGAGTCATGTTTCCCTGTTTCTTTATAATAATTTTGGATTATGTCTTGGACATTGTGAGTGATATGTTGTAAGGACTCTGTCTTTTGTTACATTCATCCAAAAAGTGTTATTTTTATTTGTTTGTTTGTTTTAGCCAGTAATTAACATGGCTAAATTCAATCTCTATCTCTCACTAAAACAGACACCAAGTGAAATCTCTGTTTAGTTGTTTTGGCCTTAGTTGGGCTGCTTGACGTCTGTCTTACACATGCATAGTTCAGAGAATTGCCAGAGACTTAGGTAGAGTTTTATACATAAAATTTTGGGCTCCCTTTCCATTGTTTTATCCTTTCTTGGATCCTCCTGCCCTTGATCCCAATTTACAGCTGCTATAGTTACCCTGAATGCTTCCCTCTTATTCTTCTATTTGGTAAGACTGCATCTATCTGCATTTTAGCTGCCCTGCTTAGTACTCACTGGGGTCTGCCCTCAGGCAAAAAAAAAAAAAAAAACCTATTAAAAATGCATATTTCACACATGATAGTCTTTTTGTCCAAATGCTGGCTCTTGTCTAGCGTTTGTTTTTGGTTCTTCTCCATAGCCTTCAGGTTTGTATTGGTGTTTTTTTTTTTTTCAATAGTCTACTGTTTTTATTTGTGGAAGGGTTGGTCTTATAGGAACTATTCTGCCAGTAGCAGAAGTGGAAACTCAGATTTCCATATTTTAGAAAGTATTCTAAAGGAGTGTTGAGAATGGATCTGAAATGAGACTAGGGATAGAGAAACCAGTCAGGATATATAGCAGCCACCCAGGGAAAAGGTAATGAGAGTTCACAGAACAGCAGCAATCAAGTGCAATGAAAGTTTGTATTTGCAAGCTCCAGACTCTTAAATTCCAACTCTGCAGTAAAATAGCTAAAAACAGTCTGAACTAAAATATCAAGAGTTTTTGGATAGAGATGTAGGTTGTGGTGAGAGGGGAGGCAATGATCTTGAGTGGTATTTTCCTATGAAGTGTGAGAAGGGAAGTGGACCAGAGGTTGAACCCTGGAGAAGAGGCAGGGAGTGATAGGACAACAGGGTAGCTAAGAAAAGTCAGAGAAGCTGGAAACTGGTTGTGATGACACTGAGACTAGAAAGTTGTGGCCAGACCCGGTAGCTTATGCCTGTAATCCAAATGTTTTCGGAGGCTGAGGCGGGTGGATCACCTGAGGTCAGGAGTTTGAGACCGGCCTGACGAATGTGGTGAAACACCATCTCTACTAAAAAAAAAAAAAAAAAAACCTCAAAGATTAGCCAGACACAGACGTGGTGGCGTGTGCCTGTAGTCCCAGCTACTCAGGAGGCTGAAGCAGGAGAATTGCTTGAACCCAGGAGACAGAGGTTGCAGCAAGCCGAGATCGTGCCACTACACTCCAGCCTGGGTGACAGAGTGAGACTCCATCTCAAAAAACAAAAAACAACAAAAGAAAGAAAGTTGCAAAAGGAGTGTTACTGATTAATAACATTGAATGCCTCAAATTAATCAGGTAAGCTGAGGTCCAAAAAACTCCCATTGGATTTGCAATTGGAAAGTCACTGGTGACCTTTGTGAGAACAATTTCAGATGGTGGAAAAGGCACATTGGAGAGGGTTAAAAAGTGAATGGAAGGTGAGGAAGAGCACAGCATCCTATGTCATAGATGCCTTCAAAGCATTTCACTCGATTTCCCTTGTTCTTTTTCCACATAAAATTTCTACAAATTTCATAATCGTGTATCACACAATTTTCAAAAAATGTAATTAATCTATATTTTGTTTCAGTTTTTATGTGACTGTCTTTGAAAAAAGTACCATCTGATTGTTCTTTCAAAATAACAGAAATAAACAGTTGGAAAAAAGGATTATAATGTGGCAGAACCTTTTTTCCCCTTTTTAGTTGACATGTAATCATTGCACATATAAAAACTTTCAATAATTCTGATTTGAATGTGTTAAGTTTCAAAACATCTGAGTGGGTGTCAATTAAACTGTTCCAAGTCTGGAATTTAGAAGAGAGTTTTAAGCCTTATACATTTTTTAAAAGTTTAATATCCTGTTTAGAATGTACTGAGTTGCTGAGAGCATCTCAGATTTTGAAAAAGTTTCAGAATATAAATGGGAATACAAATGGGGCACAAATAACCACGAGGGCTTTAGTGAGTGTATCAGGATTCAGTTTTACAGCATAGAGACGTGATTAACCTCATAGCCTGCCTTTCTGGGAACAGCTGAGAAGGAAGGAGGACCAGAGCACATGGCACAGCAGTTGGGAACCATCAATCGCATCAGTCCAGCTGCCTGGGAACTTTAAAATGGAGAGCGTTTAATTGGAAAACCCGAATTTTACTAAGAGGCCAGGGGATTCATGGGAACATGAAAGGAGTGAGACTAGGATTAAGTTTTTTGAGCAAAGGAGAGTAGAAGAAAACTCTTACATCACAAGTAATGATGTTCTGGTAAGACAGAAAACTCAGGGTGGGTTAGGGAGCACCAGGCACACCCAGAGTGTGGCAATAGGTAGTGTTGGCTCAGGAGTTAAAGAGACTTAGGTGTAAAGCCTGGCTTTGAACTTGGGACAGTTTTTTATCCTCTTTGAATTCTAGTTCCTTCATTTATAAAACAGTAATAATACAGTAATAATGTCTACTCTGGAGGCTTATAAGGAAATGAGATAATGTAAGAAAAGAGGCCGGTGATGTCACTCAATAAGGCAAATATCTGCTTAGAGTCGTAATAATAATATATATTATATATATAAAACTAATATATAATGTATATAAGTAATATATATATAACATATAATTATATATAATACATATTTAGCCACTGTGCCTGGCTAAAGTGGTAATAATATAGTAACTGAAAGATAGAAAATTTAAATGTCCAACAATAGATTGACCAACTAAATTATAGAGCAACTGTATAATGAAATATTATATTTGTAATTATATTTGAAAGAGCATAATGGGTCAGGTGTGGTGGCTCATGCCTGTAATCCCAGCGCTTTGGGAGAGACTAAGGCAGGTGGATCACTTGAGGCCAGGAGTTCAAGACCAGCCTGCCCAACATGGTGAAACCCTGTCTCTACTAAAAAAATACAAAAAAGTTAGCCAGGCATGGTGGCACACACCTGTAATCCCAGCTACTCAGGAAGCTGAGGGACAAGAATTGCTTGAACTCAGGAAGCAGAGGTTACAGTGAGCCGAGATCACACCACTGCATTCCAGCCTGGGTGACAGAGCAGGACTCTGTCTCAAAACAAAACAAAACAAAACAAAGTGCATAATATATAAGGAAGTATTTGTCATATAAAGTTATATGACCAGACCAGAATAAATAATGCATACAAATATAATATTTAAAAAGAAAGTTTATACATCAAAATGTTAAAGTGATTGTAGTTTAGACTGAGAGATTTTGGTTTTCTTTTTACAAAAAAAACCCATAAACACGAATTTTGGTAGCTTTCTGAGTTTTCTATGATGAGAATTGCTTTTATAAGAATATGGAATTTTAATTGGAGATAATAAATAGTGAATGTTTTCATGTCACTGGTGTTACCCTTATCAGTGTATTGTTCTTATTTGCTGTTCCCCAAATCCACCTCTGGCTTTACCCCTGGGAAAATGGCAACAATCCAGCAGAAACCAAATCTGTGGACCTAGAGGAATTAAAAGGATTTTTCTTCATTTACTTTGGGTGGTTTTGTCTGGCTGGGTGTGCCTCATACTGACAGGAAGTGTGTGTCACCAGAAAAGAATTTAATTCTTTGCAGCAAAAAGATGGTTAGTGGAAAGAGAGAAAAACACTCATGAGTGCTTCTCACAGATTCGGCTTCATTGTGTCAAACTGGCTCCCCTTCCCAGTTGGACCCACCCAGAGAAGAGGTGCCCCCACTCAGAATCCACACTGTTCCAACAGACCAGGAATGTGTAGGGGCCTCCCAGTCCACCAAGAGGCCAGCTTGTTTGACCCCCGGTGTATAAACCTGGCTTTGCCTCTTGAAAGAGTAACCACCCCTCTCTGTGCCTCAGTTTCTCAACTGTAAAACTTATACGTCTGCCACCCCCACTAAAAAGTGAGTCCCTGTGAGCACAAGGACAGAGCTTTATACCTTTCTGTATCCGTACAGCTTAGCCCAGCACCGAGGCTCAGTTCATGTCCATTGAATAAAATGACAAAGTTGTTTTAAGTGGCTTTTTAAATGTGCCATCCAATGTTTGCAATTAAATTTGTGGAGCCGGGCGCGGTCGCTCACGCCTGTAATCCCAGCACTTTGGGAGGCCAAGGCGGGCAGATCACGTGAGGTCAGGAGTTCAAGACCAGCCTGACCAACATGGCAAAACCCCATCTCTACTAAAAATACAAAATGACCCAGGCGTGGTGGCACAAGCCTGTAATCCCAGCTACTCGGGAGACTGAGGTAGGAGAATCGCTTGAACCCGGGAGACGGAGGGTGCAGTGAGCTGAGATTGTGCCATTGCACTCCAGCCTGGGCGACAGAGTGAGACTCCGTCTCAATCAATCAATGAATTTGTGATCGTGGGCCTCTGGTGTAATATTTCTGGGGAAAAAAATTAAGGCAAACATAGGGAAATGTTAAGATCTGATAAGTCTGTATGGTAGACACATGAATGGATCTAACTAATATCCATATTAATCACTGATTTTCAGTTTCCTTGTCCACAAAATAATATCTACTTCATTGAGACTTTTGTGTCTTGAACAAGAAGTGTTAGGTCAAGTGCTTAGCACATTTGTGTCCTAACTCTTTTCTTGCAGCAAGAGGAATGAAAGGTAGCTCTCATTACTTGATTTTTTAATTCTAATGCTTAAAATCGGACTATCTGATTTGTAGGATCTGACCACAGTCATCCTGGCTATCATCCCACAGTGGCTGTGTCCCATAGTGACATAGATATTTCAATGGAGAAAAGATTGGACCACATTAGGGCAGATGATTGATCTCAGCCAATATCTCACCCAGTATTGGAAGCCTTCCACAGTAATGTATGAAAGTATAATTGATTGCCTATTCATTTACCAAACACCACATGCTGGGCATTGCACCAAGCACAGGAAATTAATAGATGCGAAGACCTAATTCCCTGGCCACAAAAAATTCACTGTGTAGTAGCAGAGACAGAGGCAGAAACAAATTATTTCAATAGAATTCAGTATATGCTAGATTATTAGCCCAAAGGAAGAAGTAAAACATTTACCCACACTTAGCAATCACATTTAGCTATTTCATTTTTAGTAATGAGGCCTATAGCTCTCACATACCTTTGAATTTTAGAAAATGTTAAGACGACTCTTTTTGCTGAAAATAAAAAGATATCACCTTCACAAAGGATGAGCTCATTTACGTAGGAAATAAAATAAAGCTATTGTGTCAGTATATACAGAAATGAATGTAAATGCAGAGATGAAGCTTGGGCAGGGAACACACCATTGCCAAAGTGCTTATTGGGAGAGAGGAGAAGGTAATAGGAGGGTGGTGAGAAGGTTGTTCCCTTGTTTCCCATATATTTCTGTATTATTTGAAGATTTTAAATCAAAGATGTATTCATATATTGTTTATGTTATAATTGCATTATTGTCTATGTACAGAAAGAAAGAAAGAAGTCTTCTCCCAGATATCCACATCTGCTTCAGATCTTTGTTCAAATGTCACTTTCTGAATATCCTATTTTTAAATTGCCACCTCACCACCATTAAAATCCCCATCCCCTTCTCTGTCTTCATAGCATTTACCACAATCTGACATCCTATATATTTTACTTTTTTACAAAATATTATTGTCTGTCTCTCCCAGACAATTAGAATGTAGGCTCTGTGAGAGCTGAGATTAGTGTGTGCCAGCTTTACAGCTGTAAACCCAGGGCCGAGGACATATACCAGGTGTTCCACAGGCCAACAGCCTGAATGTATACAGCATTATGCTAACAGCAGTTATTTCTGAATGGAGAGACTACAGATGTCTTTTATTTTCTTCATTCTGCTACTTGGTATCTGAATTTTTGTAATGAGCGCATATTAATTATATTACCTAAGAAAACAACAAAGCTCTTTGAATTTATTATTATTTTAATAACCTGGGAACTAAGAAAGAGGCTCCAGTAGAAGCCACCATGGAAGGAGTAAGGGCCTAGTGGGAGTCAGGCCAAAGAGCATAGGCGAAATCTCCTGAGATACTTGGTGGAGTAAAGTTAGTTGGAATTAAAAAACCAACTAACTTATGACTCCTCCACTGCCTCGCAGTTTCCAGACATCCGCAAAAATGCCTGGTGCACGGGTCACTGTTTCACAAAGGGTCTTCTGCCTCATAGCTTCCCATCCCCAAGCAGCGGGGCCCAGAAATTTGCCCACATCCTTCCATCCAGCAAATGTTTTTATCTGGGTCCTACTTAGGTTTCAGCCAATTCTTTGCTGAGCAACTTGGCTTCCTGTTTTCCTTGGGAACCAGACTCTTTTTAAGTTGGAGCCATAAAAAGAATGAAATCCTTTACCTGATACTTTTCTATTCGGGTATTCAAGCCTGCCACAGACGGAGGCCCTGTGGGCCACTCTCTCGTTGTGGGCACTGGCATCTTAGCCCAGCACTTTGAATAAGGCACATGTGAGAGTGAATGCTGCGCTTTTTTCATTCTTTTCTTCTCTCTCTCTTGTTTTTTTTCTGTTCTATTTCTAATTGAAAGCCATTGTCTTGAGTGAATGATTGTAGAGAAGGCTTACTCCTCATCTCAAAATGCCATCTCATAGGAGCAATGGGAGAAAGTGGTCCTGCCAGTCTGAAAGTTAAGAGACTTGGTTTCTCATAATTGTTCTGCCATTAAGTTGTTACGTGATCTTAGTCAAATCATGTTACCTCCCCGGGCCTCCGTTTCTTCATCTGCAAAATAAAGTTCTTTGCAGTGTTTCTCAAGTCCCTGCCCAAATCAGTGTTTGTTTAACTGAGGATGAACAGTGACACCTTGTGGTTCTCCTTGAGCCATGTCTTTGTTTTTTCTAGCCCAAGTTTAAGGGAGCCAAGGGTATCTTTGCCTGTTCCCCTGCCTGGCCCACCTACCCTAGCAGCTTCACTTAGCATGGCTCTAACCTGGTCTCCCCCTAGATTCAGAAAAGTGCATCCACCCTTTGTTCACCAGCTGCTTCCCAGCCTCAACTTGGCCAATGTTGCTAAAATCAAACTACAAGTAGACTGCAGACGCCAGCGTGAAGGCCTGTGCTTCTGTGGTGAGGTCTGCGGTTTGGTGTGAATGTGAGGGTATCAGCCCCAGGTGTTTTTTAGGGCTGCTAGTGCAGTCCCAGAGAGGGACCTGGGCAACAGCTCAAGGAGCAAGACTGAAGATTTTACTGTTTTCCAGCACTCCTACGAATTTGTAAAATTATCAGATTCCAAATTGTTCTATGCCATAGTTTTTCCATTCATAAAATAAGAAAAATCTGCCATAGCACTGCCTTCAAACTCAGTTAGTCTATTCATTCATTTACTTATTTGTTCTTCAAATATTTAATAAGCATCTTCCTGGTGCCAAGTTCTGAGCACCTACCTGTGCCAGTAGTCCGAACTTGAGAAGACACAGTCTCTACTTTTCAAGACCCTGTTCTTGTCTAATGAAGAAGAGAGAAGGAGGAAAAACTTCCATTGCCATGCAATAAGGTAAGCTTATGGCAGATAATGTGTACACATAATGGCATGGAAGCCTGGGGACAAACATCATACTAGGCCTGGGAAGAATGTTTGACAGAGAACAGGACACTTAAATACGGACGTTTACAGAATGGAGTTTGCCAGAGGAGACTCTTCAGGAAGAGAGAACAGAGTGGGAATAGGTACATAAACATGATCTATCTAGATGCCCTACCGTAAAATCAAAACACAAAACCCTACTGACTCAATTCCCTCCCCTTCCAGATATTACCCCATTTCTCTACTTCCCATTGTAGCCAAACTTTCCAAAAATTCATGTTCTGTCTTCATTTCCTCATGTTCAACCCACCCTGTCTTAGCTACCACCCCTCAGTAACGACCTAGCCTGGGTAGAAACAAATGTCAGCATGATACCATACTCAATGATCCTTCGTCACTGTTGTCATTGTCATCATTCCATGGCCTTACTTTCCCTCTCAGCGCCATTTGCTACAGTAAGAAACTTTCTTTCTTGAATTCTTGTTTCTCTTGGCTTCCATGACACCCACTCTCCTATTCATGCTCCAGGTTCACTGTCTGCTCCTTCCTGGTCTCCCTGTTCAGCTCCTCCTACTCCGTTCAACATTAAATGTCAATATTCTTTTCTTCTTTCTATCTAGGAAATCTCATTCATTCCCATGGTTTTAAATGTCATGTACCAGCTCCTAAATTTTGTATATCCAAACCTGACCTCTGAAATCCAGTCTTAGCAACTAGTGAGGTCTCAGCTTAAATATTACCTGAAGGTTGTGTGATCTTCCCTGACATTTGTCTTCTTATCTGCTTCTCGCTAGATTGAGAGCCCCACGCAGGCAGATTCATCCTTACTTTCTTCAAACTTGCATGTTTAATGATTAGAACAGTTCCCAGGATACTCAAAAATTATTTGTTAACTAATTTCTGAATGAAATATAAGTAAATATAAGTATTTAAAATAGAATAAATCTGTGATTTTGATTGTTTTTAAGAAATTATTCACTCAATCCAGTTCAAGTTCAGCCAGGCAAGCCTCACAAAGGAGCATATGCTTAATGTTTCAGGATGTGATCTAATTTTTAATTGTTTCTTGATACAAAGTATCACCTTTTTCTAGTGACTGTTTCTCCTCCTCCATCATCTACTCTTGCCCAGTGGGAGATTTCCCAGTGAAATCCCACCGATGATCTGAATCAGAACATTTCATTCTCCATGGTTATTTCAAGTTCACAGACTTTATTTGTGGCCCTTGTGGCAGTTGATACTTTTTCAGGAAATACTATAGTTGCAGCAGGCCCTGTTACAGCTTAGTGGATATTCATGTTGTGGATGCTTTTTTACCGAAACACACAGTAACCAAGTATCCAGGAGCGGGAGCTAGAGACACTGTGGTCCAGACCTGTGGAAAAGGGAACACCACTCCTGGCAAAGGGAAGCAACAGGCAGCACATTTTGTTCAAAGAAACAAGGTGAACCCTCTTGGAGTTAAACTTGAGGCTGACATCCATTTCAGCTTGAGGCTTCCAAGGCACAAAGCAGCTCCCAGTAGCTGAGAGGGATCAAGAAATAGAATATCCTCATCTTTCCTTTGTAGCAAGAGCCTTCAGAAAGGAGGACCACTGGTCACCTGGAATGGAAAGTTATTATTAAAATAAAGCTCCAGTCACATTATTCAGGAAACTTTGGGAATGTTTATAAATAGATAAAAATAATAATGGCCAAGGAACATTCCTCTCTCCAAATCTCCCTGAGACAATACTGACCAAGTTAAACATGCCTTGTTTCTGAGATTGAGTCCCAGGTCTACCTCTGATAAATCAGATGGACAATTACTTAACCACTCTCAACTTTTATTTCCTCCTCTTTAAAATGGGCAAAATGTGACCAGGTACAGTGGCTCTTGCCTGTAATCCCAGAACTTTGGGAGGCTGAGACGGGAGGACTGCTTGAGCCCAGGAGTTAGAGACCAACCTGGGCAACATAGCAAGACCCCATCTCTAAAAAAAATAAACAAATAAAAATAAAAATAAAATGGGCAAAATAATGTCCTCACACCATCACTATGAAGATTAAATGAGACAATACCTGTCAAGTGCAGATACAATACCTGGGACACAGTAGTAGCTCAGTAAAAATAAATACTTTCCATCCCTTGATATCTAAGCAGAAGAAAATGCCCTAAAGATATAGATATTCTCTAGAGAATTTTTTTCTACATTTGCTCAAACATATGAATAAATAATACAGCAGCCTAGACAGGAAGGGACACCCAGCATTGAATTATAATTTGTGCTTTCCAGAGCTGTCTGCCTATTACCCTGGTATGTTTGTTCACCTTCATATTCCTGCATCTAACAGACTTCCTGGCATATAACAGGTGCACAAAATGTTTGCTGGCTTGAATTAAACTACACCTGCACTGTAGGTCCTACCCTCATATGACTATTAAGCACTTGAAATGTGGTTAGTCTGAATTGATTGTGCTGTGAATGCAAAACACACAGCAGGTTTTGAAAATTTAGTAGCCCTTTTTTGGGGCTACTAAATGTAAAATATTTCATTATTAATTTTTATATCCATTACATGTTAAAATGATATATCACATACATCGGGTTCAATAATATATGTTAAAATTAATTTCACCTGTTCCTGTCTACTTTTTTTTTTTTTTTTTGAGACGGGGTCTCTGTCGCCCAGGCTGGAGTGCAATGGTGTGATCATTGCTCACTGCAACCTCGAACTCCTGGGCTCAAGTGAGCCTTCCACCTCTGCCTCTCAAAAAACTGGAACTACAAGCACACATTAACACACCCAGCTAATTTTTTAAAATATTTTTGTAGAGATGGGGTCTTGCCGTGTTGCCTAGGGTGGTCTCGAACTCAAGTGATCCTCCCACCTAAGCCTCCCAAATTGCTGGGATTACCAGCATAAACCACCTTCTATTTCTTTAATGTGATTACTAGAAAATTTTAAATTACATGTATGGCTTATACATTATATTTCTAATGGACAAAGCAGAACTAGACTATAGGCCACCAATTGGCTGAAAGGTCATTGAATATGTATATCTCAGACTTTTTCTCTGGACCTCCTCTCTTGTTAAAGTTATACAAGCTCTACAAGGCATTTTCTAGTTCCAGTATTCTATGATCATATGAACTTTAGACTACAGTTTCTTATGTAAGAAAACTGATTAAGTTGCTAGTCTGGGCCAAACACTTTTGTACACACTGTTATTTAGTCTGTATAACACACTTAAGAGGGAAGAATGACCCTCCTCATTTAATAAGTGTAAAAAGAAGACCCACAGAAGTTAAGAAACTTGGCTAATGTCACCTGGCTTGTAAGTGACAGAACTGGCCTGGAATCTTTTCCCGTTTTCTCCAGTTCTTTGTAAGAATTCCCAACAGAAAACACGATTCAAGAGTCAATGTGGGTGCTTTGGCTTGGTTATTCCCTAAGATATATTTCCTTGAGAAGAATCGTATATCATCAGAATCATTGTAAAAGGGTATACAAGAGGATCCTTAAAGAATGGAGAGGAAGCCCCGGTGCTTCTCAAGCTTGGTAGATCATTGACACCTAGCAGTAAATGTAGGGAGGCTTCTAAGGAGGTAAGATCGAGAGCCGGAAAACAGGGGCTGCTTGCTGGTGGTTAATTGTTCACCAGCTTCAGAAGACAAGGCTGGGAGGACAGCAGGGGAGTGAAACATTGACCAGTTCTAATTTAGATGCAGGAATGTGTGAGGGAGGCACAGAAAGGTCGGCACCTGAGACAGCTCCCATGGGCAAAATTCCTCTCCCAGAGACTGGGAAAGGAACAGGGAATGTGCTCAGAGAAGAAAGGGCTGCTGGCCTCAGAATGCATTTATTTTGCCAACTCCTACAGCCATTTCTAGGGCCTACAACAACAACAAAATGATGAGGGCATGTTTGACTTTTACAACACACCAAACTCTGTTAAATTTTGGAGACCTGGGACCAAGAAGTAAGGGATAGATAAAACAAAAATGAGTTAAATAAGATACTGCGCTTGCATTGGAGCCAAACTGGAAAATGCGAACTGGACTTGAAGGCTCTTGGACCTGGGTTCAATTCTTGGCTCCACCTAGCCACTTAATCCTAGGCAATTCAGTGACTCTCAGTTTACTCAACTGGAAAAGAAAAGTAATGAAACTTATCTCCAAGAGTTGTTATAGTGATTACATGATAATGAGGAAGCTCCTGAGTCCTGGTGCAATCAATATTGAGTTGAAGAGTAGGAAAGACTACATTGTTTAAAATGGTCCAAGGGCTCCCCAAAACCTTTAGTGAACGGTTCAGTATGGCTTCCTTTCCTCCAAGAGCCCAGCTTATTTCCACAGCTTCCCTCCTACCCTCTGCCTCTTCACCCCTACCTAACCGGGGTCAGCTTCTGATTTGTGACACTTTTAGAATCAACATCCTGATTGCTGAGACTCAGTATTTCATTCTGTAACATTTTCTGAAGAAGACTTTAACTCACCGAGGGGAGTTGACCCTTCAAAGGCCCTTCTTTAGCACAAGCCGCCAAGCTACCTTTTCCGCGGTTAGCCCTTGGCCCTGTGGGGGTGAGCTTGATCACCCCAGACATCACTTGACAAGGAGCATGTTGCATTTCTCTTAAAACACAAAACAAAAATTTGCTGGCTGGCTGCCCAGTTTCTGTTACATAGACCCAGATTAAATTTCTCTTGGACTGGTTTGTAGAGCCCCTGGATGCTGGACTGAAAAGTGATTTATGTTTTCTCTTGGCAGGGAATTACCCAAGTGAAAACTGCATTGAAAATTAACTGTTTAACTGGAGTGTGTGTGTGTGTGTGTGTGTGTGTGTGTGTGTGTCGTTTACATTTATATGCATGCCCTAGTCTGGTCCGATTGATAAGCTGCTTCTCATTGGCTGACAAGCTTTAGAAACAGAAAATCAAGAGCCAGGAAAAGGGACTTATAAATATGCCAACCTTAATAGTAGCAGGGTTGCCATGATTAAGTTTTAAATTTGATTCTGAACTCCCTGGCAATCAAGGCAAAAATGAAAACATAATCAGGCATGTAGCTCTCAATAACAGAAAGGAAGGCCCTCCTGACCCTTCTTGAAAGTATTCAGAATATTACAATAATAACAACTGTCATTTACTGAGCACTCTCTATGTACCAAGAGCATATTTTGTGCTTGTAACAACCAAACAAATTAGTTTTTTCTTTTATGGTTGAAAAAATTAGGCTTACAGAGGTGATGACTTTTGTAAGACTTTCCAGTTAGTAGCAGTTGAAACCTGAATTACTATCCAAGTATATCTGACTCCAGCTACTAACCAACACTGTCTTTCCAGCCTGTGATAGACATGTCTTCAGTAACGTTTTCATAGCAAATGTGCTACTTTTAATGGCTGTTTGACCTTCAAGTAGAAATTTCAAAATTTGGGGGTTTGTTTCGTGTCATATTCAAACTGAAAATGAGTTGAGTGACTGAGCCTCAGAGCTTTGCTCCATCCCCTTTCCCATCAGAAAGTAAAGAATAAAACTAAATATATATTGAGTCTACCATGCTAGGTGCCCTACATTCATTTCTTTATTTAAACTTCACCCAAGGCCGGATGCAGTGGCTCACACCTGTAATCCCAGCACTTTGGGAGGCCGAGGTGGGTGGATCACCTGAGATCAGGAGTTCGAAACCAGCCTGACCAATATGGTGAAACCCCGTCTCCACTAAAAATACAAAAATTAGCCGGGCGTGGTGCCGTGCACCTGTAGTCCCAGCTACTTGGGAGGCTGAGGCAGAAGAATCACTTGAACCAGGGAGGCAGAGGTTACAGTGAGCCAAGATCGCACCACTGCACTCCAGACTAGGTGACAAGAACGAGACTGCATCTCACAAAAATAAATAAATAATAAAATATAAATAAACTTCACCCTAAAAAAAAGTGTGACTTAGAGTCCTAATAAAAGATTTTTGGTTACCAGTTGCAAGACCCACCTGAAAGAGTTTAAATAAAGGGGTACCCATAATTATAAATAATGTGTATCTGGAAGAACTCAAGGGCGGGAAGTGTGGCTGAGCTTCATAAGAGAGACAAGGAGCAGAAACTGGGAAGTCAGAACACTGACTGGACCTACTTCTCCAGGGGGTATTGTCTTTTGACCCTGCTTCTCTATGCATCTCTTATGTTGGGGTGAACCTTCTTGTTTCCAAGTACAAAAACCTCCATTAGGGTTACACTCCTGGATTTTGGTTCATGAATTTGGGGAAAGGACCAAGCACTCATAGTTCAACTGTTTCCCCTCGCATTTTTCCCCTCCATCTACGTGGGGCAGCCTCTGGCTATTCAGGGTTGTCTATGAAAAGTCTGTCTCATTATGTGTTCAGCATTGCCACACTAAACTATGTTTATCTGCAAAAAGCTCATGCGTTACTCCTCCTCTGCCATAACCTCATGAATCCCTTAATTGGTTTGGAAGTGAGGCAAGGAAAGGGGAGGTTACTTATTGGGCCCCCTCAAACTCCAACATGTAGTCAGATAGGGTTACCCAGTCATGCTGTCACCCCCACTTCCCAGATCAAGAATTAACAGAACCTCTGGATTCTATTCTTAAGGATTTTTTAGATTCTGACTGAGCTAACTTGAGTCAGTCCACCATGGGTCCAATCAGCTTTGCCAGGGGCCTGGAGTCACGTGGTGCAGAGAGGAGGAGAGTAGTCAGAGGGAAAGAATCAAGGGCTAAGCAGATACCTCAAGGTTTCTATTATAGGCAGGCGTTGTCATCTCCTGTTCACCAGTGGAGAAATTGCATCTTAGGGAGAAGACAGTCTCACAGCTAATATCAGAGCTAAAATTCATACCGAGGTCTGATTGACTCTAAAGGTTATGTTCCTAACACAGTTATAAGATCTCAGAAGCTGACCCTGAGCTGGCATTCTCCAGTTGGCATTGAGTAGAATAACTGGCATCGTGTAAACTAGCCCAACAGTAATACTGATAAGAAAGCAGAGCTAAGATTTTACCTTCTCATTTTTTAAATTTTTTTTTAGATTTTAAAAATGAGACGGGGTATCACTATATTGCCCAGTCTGGTCTTGAACTCCTAAGCTCAAGCAGTCCTCCCACCTTGACCTCCCAATGTGCTGGGATTACAGGCATAAGCCACTGTGCCCGGCCTTACCTTCTAATTTTTAGTGACATCTTCTTTTCCTTTCTCCTTCTGAACTACCCTAGAAATATGAGCGGCAAAGACTAATAAAAAGAATACTAGGCCGGGCGTGGTGGCTCACGCCTGTAAGCCAGGGGAGGCTGAGGCAGGAGGATCACTTGAGGTCAGGAGTTTGAGACCAGCCTGCACCTGTAGTCCCAGCTACTCAGGGGCTGAGGCTTAAACCCAGGAGGTGGAGGTTGCAGTGAGCTGAGATTGCACCACTGCACTCCAGCCTGGGTGACAAGAGAGAAACTCCGTCTCAAAAAAAAAAAAAGTATACTGTACTTGGTCCCAGAAAGTCTCCACTTACAAGCTCCATGTCCTTAAAACACACAGATATTAAGCTCTTTGATCATCATTCAGTTTTTTCATTTATTTAGCCTACATAGATGTATGTATGTATATGTATATATGTATATGTTAATGTAATATATATTAAGCATATGTATTATATACTTATAATACATATTATACATAAATATATGTATATGTTAATATATATTAAGCATATGTATTACAAATATTTTATACTTATAAATATATATGTATTATATATAAGTATATGTATTTATTATATACTTATACATATGTTTAATACATATTACATTAACATAAATATACTTACATAAGTATATAATACATATGTTTAATATTGCATTACATTAATATATATATAAATCTATAATACATATGCTTAATATATATTAATGCCAGGCTGGGTGTGGTGGCTCACACCTGTAATCCCAGCACTTTGGGAGGCTGAGGCAGGCAGATCATGAGGTCAGGAGATCGAGATCATCCTGGCTAACACAGTAAAACCCCATCTCTACTAAAAATACAAAACATTAGCCGAGCGTGGTGGCAGACACCTATAGTCCCAGCTACTTGGGAGGCTGAGGCAGGAGAATGGCTTGAACCCAGAAGACGGAGCTTGCAGTGAGCCGAGATCGCGCCACTGCACTCCAGCCTGGGCGACAAAGCAAGACTCTGTCTCAAAAAAAAAAAAAAAAAAAAAAAAAAAAAAAATTGGCAAGACATATACAGCATATAATACATTATGTTATATATTAATATATAATACATAGGTTTTATTATTATATCAACAGATATATTGGATATCTACAACATACTAAGTAAATCAAAATAAAACAAATCCTACCAGATGCTTAGCTTCTAATGTGAGAAATGCAAATTAAAAGTAACTACACTGAAATAATGTTTTTCTGCTCTCAGATCTCCAAATGTCCAAATGTTCTGCAACACATGTAGGTGAGGCGCACTTAAACATTGTGGATGGGAATATGAAGTGGTACAATCCCATGGAAAGCAATTTGTCAAAAATTATTAAACCACAAACTTGGCTGGGTGCGGTGCCTCGTGCCTGTAATCCTAGCACTTTGGGAGGCCGAGGTGGGCAGATCACCTGAGGTTGGGAGTTCAGGACCAGCCTGACCAACATGGAGAAACCCCGTCTCTACTAAAAACACAAAATTAGCCGGGCATGGTGGCGCAAGTTTGTAATCCCAGCTACTGGGGTAGGCTGAGGCAGGCGAATCGCTTGAACCTGGGAAGCGGAGGTTGCGGTGAGCCAAGATCGCGCCATTGTACTCCAGCCTGGGCAACAACAGCGAAACTCCGTCTCAAAAAAAAAAAACAAAAAAAAAAACCCCACAAACTCAAGGCCGGGTGTAGTGGCTCATGCCTATAATCCTAGTACTTTGGGAAGCCGAGGCAGGCGGATCACCTGAGGTCAGGAGTTCAAGATGAGCCTGGCCAACATGGCGAAACCTCATCTCTACTAAAAATACAAAAATTAACCATGCATGGTGGCATATGCCTTTAATCCCAGATACTTGGGAGGCTGAGGCAGGAGAATCGCTTGAACCTGGGAGGCGGAGGTTGCAGTGAGCCAAGATTGTGCCTGGATGACAAAGCGAGACTCCGTCTCAAAAATAATAATAATTTAAAATACAAACTCATATACAATTTGTACCAGCAATTTGGTTTCCAGGAAATTATGCTTCAAGTGTTCTCACACTCATAAGAAATAACATCTGTATATGATTGTTATCATTGCGGCATTGTTTATGATCACGAAAGATTAAAAACAATTAAATGGCCATCAGCACAGGCCTAGATCATTTATAGAGTGGACCTCTGGGCATCAATGACAGAAAATGAGGAAGCTCTCTAAGTTGTGAAATGGAAAACTGCCAAAACATAAAAGTGAGTGGAAAAAACAAGGTGCGGAACAGTGTGTAGAGTGTGCATATGTGTAAAAAGTATATACATTAGTATTAGCAATACTAATAGTATAACACTAATAGTATTCATAATTTGTTATTTGCTAATATATACAAATATAGTATTATACTATACTATAATAGTATTAGTTATAGTGGTATAGTATGTGTATATATGTTTGTGTATATGTGTATGTATACAAAATCTTGTATAGGCATTAAAAAATATCTGGGGAAAAAAACTGATATCAAGAAGTTCCTTTAAAAAAAAAAATGTGGGGTGGGAAGCCAGGCAAATAGGGACAGGGATGGGAATAAAACTTTTGACAGAATATCTTTTTAGAATTTTTGAACCAACATGAATGTATAAGCTATTCAAAAATTGAAATAAATATATGCAGTTTGTAAAATGACAACAGTGCAGTGAATGTTAGGAAGGGGAAGCCCAGGGCCCCACAGGAACATGTAACAGGGGATCTAACTTAGTCTACAGGGCCTAGGGAAATTCCCTGATGAAGCTGCTTTTAAACTGAGACTGGAAGAATAAATAAGCAAAGAGGAAAGTGGATGAAGAATGGCTGACCAGGGCCGGGCGCGGCGGCTCACGTCTGTAATCCCAGCACTTTGGGAGGCCGAGGCGGGCGGATCACAAGGTCAGGAGATCGAGACCATCCTAGCAAACACAGTGAAACCCCGTCTCTACTAAAAATACAAAAATTAGCCGGGCGTGGTGGCGGGCGCCTGTAGTCCTAGCTGCTGGGGAGGCTGAGGCAGGAGAATGGTGTGAACCTGGGAGGCGGAGCTTGCAGTGAGCCGAGATCGCGCCACTGCACTCCAGCCTGGGCGACAGAGCGAGACTCCGTCTCAAAAAAAAAAAAAAAAGAACGGCTGACCAGAAAAAGGGACCTCACGTACAAAAGCCCTGAGCAGGTAAAGTGCTTCACAGTCAAGGAGTAGAAACATACCCAGTATGGCCAGAACACAGAAAAACAGCGGGCAGGAAGATGCAGGAAGGAGTAGCCAAAGCTAAAAGGAAAGTGAGGGCCAAATTGTGCAGGCTACGTGAAAAATGTCTGGACTTGCTCCTAAGGGCAATGGGAAGCCATTGAAGGAGTTTAAGCAGGAAAGTGATGGGATCAAGGTTATGTTTTAAATGGATTGCTCTGGAGCCTATGAGGAGAAATGACTGGAGGAAGCAAGACTGGATGTTGACAACTCATATATCTGACAAACTACTTTGGAAAACTGTCTGGCAGTTTCTTATAAAGTTAAACATACATCTACCCTATGACCTAGCAATTTCATTCTTGGGTATTTATCCAAGTTAAATGAAAACATATGTTCACAAAATATTTGTACAAAATTTGTTATAGCAGTTGTATTCATAGTAGCAAAAATGATGAAGAAAAAAGCCACTAAATTTCCATCAAAAAATGAATTAATAAGCAAATTGTGGTGTATTTCTACAATGGCATACCACTCAGCAATACAATGGAAGGAATTCCTCACACACACAACATGAATGAGTCTTAAATCCATGAAAAAAAAGCACAGATGTGTACATACTGTATGATTCCAATGATATGAAATGAAATCAATGTACATAAAAAATAGTCCCTAGTAATAGAAATCAGAAAGTAGTTGCCTAGAGGAAGGAGACATTGACTGGAAAGAAAAAAATGAAGGATTATTCTGGGGCGATGGAAATATTGTATCTCTTTTTGTACATGGCAGTTACCCAGTGTATACAACTGTCAAAACTTATCAAAGCAAAACAGCTGGACTTGTGCTTTTTATTATCTCAAGCTCCGGAGCTCAAGTGACCCACTCACCTTGGCCTCCTAAAGTGCTGGGATTACAGGCATGAGCCATCGTTCTCAGCGTGCTTTTTATTAACTGTACTTCAATTTTTTTTAAAAAAAAGAGTGGACATTGAGGAAGATAGGAGGCAACTGTAATAATCCAGGAGAAGGGTGACGGTAGCCTGGTGCCCTATTATTGGGGACCAAATAAAATAACATGTATAAGAGGGCAAACAATAAAACTTCATGCAAACCATGAAGCTCTATGCAAACTGTGAATCTTTGTGCAAAAGTGAGGACCGAGTCTAACTTAACCCCTATCAAAATTTGGAGGTGATGGAGACTTCCAAAATTGCCCCCGAGGCAGTCCCATTGTTTGCAATGAAGGGCTGGGGGGTGATTAATCATGATCATGTGGTTGGTTTGTCACAGTTTGGCAGGAAGTGGGACCAATGACTGCTGAGAGTCATCAGAATACTTGACCTTGGGGCAAAAAGCAGGGGAGGGGCAGGAGCTGCTTTTGCCAGAAGTCGTTTTCTACTGAAAATTAGGCTTTCCCAAACAAGAAGTGTATTCAGCTGCTAGACTGGAGTCTTGAATTTATTTTTTTGTATAATTAGGGTTTGAAGGATACAGCAAAAAAGGAAGCAGACTGTCAGTTCCTGAAGCAGGGGCCATCACCATCAGTGACACGGCCACCCAGCCTCCAGAAGAGTTTGCTGGGGGCTGAGAGTGTGTGGGAAATACATGGGGGCTGCTTGCAAGCATCTGCCTCTGACTGCAGACAGGTTTGGAGAAACAGCTGTGTGGAAATCAGGCAAAAGCTATCTGAAGAACTGTTCACTCACCATTTAACTGAATTCAACTTTGTTTCCATGACTTTTTTTTTTTTTAGTGTTAATACATCTCTGATTATTTGCTTTAATTTAATGTTGATTTTGTTTTCTCAAAACCACTTGGAATGAGCAGACACAGCTGGATCCTCCCTGTTTACCCCAGTGGATGCTAAATGCTTTGGTGAAGAGGAGACATCCCTGCACAAAGCAGAGCTGTGGATTCTCTGACCTCCTTGAAGACTCTCTTCTGAGCTGCAGTGGACATTTGCCATATTTTTATTAATGGGTGTCTGTCATCAAATCTCCCTCTGTAAGGGTTGGTCACTGTTGTGGCTTCTCTCGATGTGAGGTCGGACTCACCTTCCATATCAAAAGTGGACAAAATCACACTCACACTCTCTTGTTCACACATAAACACACAACCCTGGCACAATCTGAGGGTCAGTAACTGACTTTGGCTCAGCCCACCAAGTGGTCTTTCCCTGAAGTGTGAATCTCAGGGAAGCAATACAAAAACAGGCAGGGGGTGGGTGGCTACCTCTGGAGACAGCTGGAGGTCGTCCTTTCAAAAGCAGGCTGGCGGGCACGCTGACCAAACTACTCCTGCCAAGGAGCCATTGCTGTGGTTCCTTTGGACTGGACTTCTGACTCTCCCCTAATTTCTACTCATTTCTAAGGTTAATTCTCTTTACTCTCCAACCACTCCAATACATTTCCTTCCATTTATGTTCTCTAGAGTCTGTTTTCATTGCTGACACCTAAGGTGGTGCATAATTATAAGCCAGCGTGATTTCATTTCCTATCTGAAGCCTTCGAAAAAAATGGCTCTCAAGCAGTATCTCAGACACCCAAATCCAAGGCTTTACTTTGGTGGCCATGGAAAGACACCTGAATGGGTGGGCGTGGGAATAGGGTAAGAGAAGTAGAAAAGAGGAAGGGAAAAGAGAAAGTACTGCATATTTCATACCTACTATAGTCTAGGACTGAGGATACAGCAATGATCAACATAGGCAGAGGCTCTAACAGATGCCAGGAGCCAGCTAGGCATTTGTCCGGCTATCTTATGATAATATTATAGGGAGGGAGGTGCTCCCATACCCCAAGTGGGAAGAGTGCGGCTCAGTGAGGCTGAGAAACTTGCCGTGGGTCACACAGCAGATGACTATTGGAGCTGGAATCTGAACCAGATCTCATTCCTACCATATCTGCTCTTTCCACTACATAAATTTGTTAAACAATGGTGGGTAAACCATGCACCTTTTTTTCTTTTCGTATTTTGATTTCAGTGTTGTATCCATGATTTGGAACGAGCCCACCTGAGCCTAATGATGCGACGAGATCATTGGATTATATATGTATTTACTTTAAAAACACAAGGTAGAAAACTTTACTGAGTCCATGAAAAGAAAAGCTGGAGACACGTCAAAGCCTGTTTTGATTTAAGTGGAATAGATCCAGCTTGAGTGTAAATTCGAGACTGTGTTTGCTTGTGTCACACTCTATTTTTCAAATTACTTTCATATGTCCTGTTTCATTTATTTCCCCCAGTTCGGAATGGGAAAACTGAGGCCTGGGACTTGAAATAACAGATGTATGTTTGTACAGCAAATCATCATGAGAGCCAAAACTCAAACCCATACTCTCTCACCGAACCCCACTGCTTCTTTCAGCACACAATAATTATTATTATGCCAAGTAAGTTTAACAAGGTGACTTGGATCGATTCATTCTGATGATTTGAGTTGGCTCCTGGGATCATCTGGGTAAATATTAGGCCCACATCTCTTTCCAAACATATTCCATCTCTCTCTCTCTCTTTGGTTTTTTCTTTTTTCTACATTTTCACCTCTGCTCCCTCATCATACCTCCCTCCCTTTCTCTGTTGAACTCCTCCCCTTCTCTTCTTTCCTCCCTTCCTCTCATCCTCTCACCCACAAAAACATTTGTTTGTCTTACATAGGGATAGTGTCATGTGACTGGGTGGCTGAAAGGAGAAGTATCTTTTAAGCTCCTGGAAGCAGAATATTTTCTTATGGATTTTTTATTGTTTGGATTGTTTTGCCAGGCTAATGAAAGAAGACTCTGAGGTCCCCTTATCTCAGGCCAACTAGAGGATGCCTTCAAGTTTTTGTTTTTCTTCCCAAGCTGGTTCCTTACAAATGCATCCAGAAGGTCATTCCCAGGTCCCCAAGATAGTGGTGGGTAATCAATCACATCCAGGACATCAGCATCACAGCAGATAAGCTCATGCATGGGAGGATTTGGGAAAGGAGAGAGGGGATCCTAAACTATCCCTGAACCATGTGCTCCAGCAAAGGCAAGTGGAGGGATTACTTTTTCTAGGAGTTCACTGGGACAGCCACAAGTATATTCTAGCTCCAATGACCATTCTTCCCTTTTGATTTTTGACTCAAAACAAATAAAAATACACATACATAAAATCCTTAAACATTTCCTATATAATCTGATAATTGCAATTCAGCAAGCAATAAAGATTGTGTGATTGTGTTTAACAGCTCCAAGGGATGGGTCCACACAGGGCCCCCAGGCAATAACTAATCCCTCTGAAACAAACAGAGAGGACTCCAGACCTGGCTTTGCCAAGGACAAGTTTTGTAAGCTTATTTAAGTCACCTGACTTCTCTAGGCCTCAGATTCCTCAGCTATAAAATAATGAGCTAGTTTATTATTTCAACCAATGCTTATTAAACATCCACTTTGTGTCAGGCTTTGTGCAAGAAGCTGGAAATATTTTTAAAGTATAGACACAGTATCTGTTCTCAGGGTCTCAGTGTTTAATGCGGGAAAAGATGCATCATAAGAGAAAAGTGCTGTGGACGGCAAAGGCAAAAACAACTCAGCCCAGGAGCTTATCTTTAGGATTCTTCCCAACCCCAAAAGTCTACGTGTATGGCATTTTTTTGTCTGTTCATTTTGTTTTGGTTGTCTTTTCACATGAATGTTATTTCATTCTTTCTTGACTAGTTGTTTTCAAATCATTGTTGCATTGTTGTCATTATCATCCATTACCAATTACTAAACACATACTGTTACCCCAAATGTTGTAATTACCCCAACTGTTGGTAATTACCCCAATGACTCTAAAAGTTAGACATTATAATCACTATTTTTTATATAATAACACTGAAGCCCAGAGAGGTTAAGTAACTTACCCAAGCTCACATCGCTAGAAAGTTACGGAACTGGGATTGGAGTTGACCCCTGCCAACTCCAAAGTACATGCTCTTTCTACTACTTGGTGCTGCCTTAGGTATATGTAGCCACTTAGGACAAACATCATTTACAGGAGCAGGTGTGATATAAAAATATGAGGCCCTTTGTTCAAATATTATTGAAAATTTCAAGATAGCAACAGCAAAGCATTAAACAAAGCACAAGGCCTGTCTAAGCACAGGGCTCTGAATGACTGCCCATGTTGCAAACCCAGGAATCCAGCCCTGCCAGCCACAATTCAGTTTGCAATGGCATCTCCCACTGAAGCAGAAAAGCTTCATAGCAATTTGCAGGCCCAGATCACACTCGCAGAATGTTTCAGTGATCATGCTTCACATGTAGGATTTCTGGCACTACCCAGAGGGTTCATTGTGAACCACCTGGCAGGACTTGGGGGCTCTGTGTGGTGGCTTTTTCAGAGTAGCCCTGGCACCTAACCTAAAGAATATTAATATCATTTCTGGTAATGCCAATTACTTTATTTTTTTTTGAGATGGAGTTTTGCTCTTGTTGCCAGGCTAGAGTGCAATGGCACAATCTCAGCTCACCACAACCTCTGCCTCCCAGGTTCAAGTGATTCTCCTGCCTCAGCCTCCCGAGTAGCTGGGATTACAGGCATGTGACACCACACCTGGCTAATTTTGTATTTTTGGTAGAGACAAGGTTTCTCCATGTTGGTCAGGCTGGTCTCGAACTCCCGACCTCAGGTGATCCGACCACCTCGACCTCCCAAAGTGCTGGGATTACAGGCGTGAACCACAGCGCCCGGCCAGCCAATTACTTTTTTTAATGTGGGGAAAGGTATATAATCTTGCTGAAAGAGTTTTGCTCCGTGTGATGGTTCATACCTGTAATCCCAGTATTTTGGGAGGCTGAGGCAGGAGGATGGCTTGAGCCCAAGAGTTTGAGACCAGCCTGGGAAACAGAGACCCCTGTCTCTACAAAAAATACAAAAAATTAGCCAGGCATGGTGGTATGTACCTGTAGTAGGAGGCTGAGCTGGGAGGATCACTTGAGCCTGGGAGGTTGAGGCCACAGTAAGCCATGATCATGCCACTGCACTCCAGCCTGGGTGACAGAGTAAAGAAAAAAAAAAAAAAAGAGTTCTGGTCATACCCTTACACCCTTACTCTTACATTTAGAACATTTAGAACATTAATGCTGCATAAATGGAACATGTCCAAAAGCCTCTTAGGATGCAAGCCTCTTTTGAAATTGCAAACTGGGACCAGTACATGTGCCCTAATAGAGGGCAGTAGGAAAAAAAGCAAGAGCTTTGCAGCTGCTGGATTACGAACCTCTCTACTGAGGCACTAACTCCTATTAAGGTGTTAGCTCCTACTGACCCAGCAGAGGCTGAGTAAAGATTGTCATTTTGGTCAATGATTCTTAATCAGTGGTATTTAATCTTTTGAGATCACAGACCCCTTCTTTGAAAAGTATGAACCATCTCCCCAGAAAAAAGACAGGTGTATGTAAAATATTCTTGCATTCAATTGTAGACTCTCTGCCTTAGCCCTAGATTTTTTAAAACCATATTTTAAAGCATGGCTCCCCTAATTATAGAATTGTCAGAGGCGTCTGAACCAGAGCAACTCCATCTTGAGTAGGGGCTGGGTAAAATAAGGCTGAGACCTACTGGGCTGCATTCCCAGACGGTTAGGCATTCTAAGTCACAGGATGAGATAGGAGGTCAGCCAAGATACAGGTCATCAAGACCTTGCTGATAAAATAGGTTGCAGTAAAGAAGCCAGCTGAAGCCCACCAAAACCAAGATGGCCATGAGAGTGACCTCTGGTTGTCCTCACTGCTACACTCCCACCAGCACCATGACAGTTTACAGATGCCATGGCAATGTCAGGAAGTTACCCTATATGGTCTAAAAGGGGAGGCATGAATAATCCACCCCTTGTTTAGCATATAATCAAGAAATAACCATAAAAATAGGCAACCAGAAGCCTTCTGTCAGTGGAGTAGCCATTCTTTTATTCCTTTACTTTCTTAATAAACTTGCTTTCACTTTATGGACTCGCCTTTAATTCTTTCTTGCGTGAGATCCAGTAACCCTCTTTTGGGGTCTGGATCCGGACCCCTTTCTGGTAACAGAATCTTCCAGTGTTAGAACTAGACACAAACTTAGAGATGATTTTTGTGAAAGCACCTTATTCCTAGTGGTGTGAAAGCTGAGGTCATTTGGGATAATAAATGGTTCTGCACATTTTCAAAGAGCTAACCCTCATTGTCAACACTACCTTGAACTAGTTGCCCCACTCCTAATTTGCTCCTGTCAAAACACTGCAGCCAAATGCAACAATCCAGTGCCACAAATGGCTGCTGCCAGGATGTCAGTGAACATTTGTCGAGCACCCGAACCAGCATTGGGCGCAAGAACAGCTCTTGCCCTTGAGAAGCTCAAACACATCTAGAGGAGAAACAAACAAGAACAATATAATGTAATATAACACATGCAATTACAGATGTTTGAACTAGGTTCAGAGGTGCCCTAAAGGAAGGTGCTACAGGCTCTGCTTGATTGGATCATGCGAGGCTCCCAGAAGAGGAAACGTGTATGCAGGGACTTGAAGAAGAAGAGGAAACACTTACTCAGGGACTTGAAGAATGAGCAGAAGGGCCACGGAGTGAAAGAGCCTCCTGGCTCAGGAGTCCAGCATGCAGGAGCAGAGAACACTGAAACAGCCTGAGAACAGGAGGAGCTGGAAGTGGCTGGGATTGGCTAGAGCATAGGGTGTGTCTGAGGAAGAGGAATGATGTGGCTGGAAGAGAGGGGAAGAGCCAGACCTGAGGGTCTTGGATATCACTCTGAGGGGTTTGGACATAAAGAAGAATATCAGCCGATGTGATGGATTAAGGAGCTCCTTCCTGGGGGTGGTGCAAGGAGGCCAGATAGTCATCTGTCCTGGATGGCCTTCCGAGGGGCTGGGGGTAGGGGTGGGGTGGGGCTGGAGTGAGGGCAGCCTCTCTGAGATCCCTATCACCTCTCTCTTTAAAAATCAGCCACTGCCAAACACTAGAGAACCTAAGAAGGCCCCTGTAAAGCAGAAACGACAGGCAGTCAGCCTAGAGTACACCTTTAAAAAGTCAGTAAGACATATACACCAGAAAAGGACCATGCTTCTCCATTAAAAGATAGCCAAATGGGAGGAGGCCTTCTCAAAAATATAGGGAAATTTCTCACTTGATGTATTGATGTTTTTCCTCTGCAGAGCTTCACATTTTTCATCCATTCTTAAAATTGAGCCAGTTTAGCCCTAGGAGGTGGGCAGGCTCTGAGGAATCATCAATCAAGAGAAGAGAACATCGCCAGAAACACGTAAGGGAAACGTTTCCATGTCACTACTTCTCAGGATTCCTGGGCATTAAGGGTACTTAAGAAGTGCTTGTAAGGAGTGTGTTTTCTCCCAAGCAAACACATAAACAAAAAATTCTAATTACAGGGACACTGCATTGAGTCTGTCCTAAAGTTGTTCTGCCTGTATTCACCACTAGGTGTCATTAGAGCCCTCTTTTAAAAGAAACAAAGCTTCAAAAAACACTGACCTCAGGAGAATAATTTTTCCAGTGTTCCTATTTCTCAGTTAAAAAAAAAAATATATATATATATATATATATATTTTTTAACATGAGTAAAAATTGCAAATGTTCAGGACTTAGCTCTTGAATGGCTACTAAAGATTATAATTCCTCAGACTACCTGCAAATATCATGAGTCTTACAGAATCACAATACATTTTTATTGAAATATCCATGGTAAATATACATCTTACAGGAAATTCCATTGCGTTTACACTATTTATTTAATAGAAATAATCTCTGGGATTATTTGCATTTATTTCTGAAGGAGGATGTTTTTCCTTCCTGAGAATAAGTTCAGGAAATGGGTGAAATGTTCAGGAAGTTAGCTAAATGCTGATGTAAATCCAAAAGGAAGGTCTGTTGTTGTTTCTTTCTTTTTTTTTTTTTAAAGGGGTGGGTGGGGGGGACACACAAAAATGCTAGGAAGTGGTTCTCTCATTCACTTATGGAAAAATGTTATACTGAATTTCTGATTTAAAAGGAAGAGGATTAGAAAAAAATGTGGGCCCATGATATGGTTTTCTGTAGATCTGGTTAGGCAATTCACAGTAGTTAGCAAAGAAAACTGTGTCAAGAAACAAAATCTACATGGGAGACATGACTTGGATTCAGTTTGTCCTAAATTAAACCTTTACTATGAAATTTGAATCGGCTACTCTAAGAAATAAGTCGTGTTAGAAAACTCTGAGTCCCGAAGAGCTGGTGGGGCCCCTTAGCACTACATAAACAACTAAATGCTACCCTCTCCTCCCAAGGACCCTGTCCCCTCCACTAACAGTGTCATGCTGACCCTCGGACTGCAAGGGGGAGTCTGAATGCAGTGAAACTCAAGATCTCCAGGGCTACTTGGTCAGTGTTGCAAGCTGCCGTGGCCTCTGGCGTTATTTATCTTTAGTTTGCAACGTAGGGGTGTGCTGTATCGGGTGTGCAGAGCAAACAGAAACTCCTTGCCTCTGAAACACTGGCATTTTAGAAAGCAAAGATTCGGCTCATTGACCAGAGCTACAGAGGACACAATTTGTTGTGGCTTCTCTGAAAATCACCCCCTCCTTTCCATCTCTCTGCTACCACCTTCATTCAGGCCTTCATGGTTTCTCATCCAAACCGGTCTTCCTGTCTCCTGCTTGCCTTCTTCCCAGCCCACAGTCCACACGGCAGACAGAGCAAGCTATGTAAAAACACCAACAGGGACATGAACCTTCCTTGCTTTCAAACTTTTGCCGACTCCCCTGTGCTGAGCGCAGGAGAGAATACGGCCTCCAAGGCCTTTCATAACTTGGCCTCAGCCCACCTTCCCTCCCACTCCAAGAATCTCAGGCTCCAGTTACACTGAGCCACTCACTGCCCTACACCTCCTGCAGGCAACTCTCTGCCAAGTTTATTCACACATTTATCCTTTTCACTCTGGATACATGAGGAGGACTGACCATGTACTGTACTTCTTTTAACTTCTATAGAGCAATCTCTTTGTATTTATACAATTATGACAACAGTAGTAAGAGAAGAAGGTTCAGAGGATACAAGGTAACACACCTACATAAACGACCTACTGGGTACAAATATTGTAAATCAACATAGGCCTAGAAAAGGTGGTCAGATGCTGAATTTTGACTAAATACCTCCGATGGCACATAATGAGTAAGTTTCAATTTTTATATTTTACATTCTGAATTCTGGGGGTGGTTTTGATGGGCAGACCAAGTTTTAAATGAGTTATGGTCTTTGGGATCCTCACTTCTCTCTTTTTCTTCTTCCCTCCACCTTCCCTACATATTTACATCAGCAGATGTGTCCTTTGAGGGGTCAAATGGTGAGACGACAGCAGTTTAGGAACTGTTTGCCCATTACACTGGGTACTCAGAAACTGTTCTATTCAAGCTAAACCACAAGACCTATGGACTTAGGAAGAAATTACATAGTAAGTGTGATAGGACTAGTAGCATTGATCCTTTGTGGGAAGGAGGGTAGAGGGAGGCACGTAGTGTGCTGCAGCGAACTTCTAGAGGGAAAGGTTATGTCTTATTTATCTGTGTCCCCTACGGTGCCTTCCCAGGACAGTGGCTGGCACACGATGGACCCTCATTTCAGCTATTCAACAAATATTTACTAAGCAGTAGAGGATTTGTTTTTCCACATTTAGAGTTTTAAGCTTGTTAATAGCAGCTGAATTCTTTCTCTGTTTTGTCATCTGCACTTTTGGACTCCAAGTTGGACTTCGTATTTCCTAGTTTTTAAAAATCACTCCCTTTCCCTTCCCTAGCCCATTCCAGTGTTCTATATACAGTAGACTTTCAGCAAATATTTAAAAGAGACAACTTACAATAGGCAACACAGTGGGGTAGTCGATCATTCCCTAACCTATCTTTGAGGCTGGAGAATTTTCTTGGGGGCTAGTGCCCTAGTATCTTCCCAGAAAGTCCTGCCAACCTGATGGCTCTTGTTGTCACCTTTGGTTTCCTTCCTATGGTGGCCATGTTTGTCATCAAAGCCCTTCAGTTTCTCCATCTAACAAGGTTAAAACCCTCCCTTCCTCCCCTCCTTCCTTACTCCATTTCTTCTTTCCTCCCTGCCTTCCTTCCTTATACATATATTTTGAAACTTGTGCCCTGTGCCAGGCAGTGTGCCAAGCTCTGACGGTACATAAATAGACAACTTTAGGTGCTCAAAGTCATGCTCAGGGAGCTCAGTTTAGTAAGAAATGGATGCATGCACAGATCATTGCAATCAGTGCAAGGAAGGCTCCCAGAGTTGAATGCACAGAGGCTTAAACCTACCTATCAATAAAAGGAAAGGGAAGCAGGAAGTGGCAAGCAGGAGGATCGGGGATGTCTTCCCAGGAAAGATGACCCAAGGCTTTAAAAAGGACAGACATAACCTAGTTGAAGAAAGATGGAAAGGACATTCCAGGCAAAAGGAAACAACGCATATGCAAAGGCAAAGGGGTGAGAGGAACATGATGAAACCAGGACAGGATTTTCTGTGACTTATCTATTCCATCTCATTGCTTTATATTCCACCCATTTACCTCATATCAAGTGGAATGATGCAACCCCAGGCATTTCAGGAAATTTACATAACCAATCATTTAATCTCTTAAAGAGAAAGGCATTGATAATGCAGGCTTTCCATGAGATTAAGCACGTTCTTGAGTGAAAATAGAATTGGGTGCTTATAGGAAACCAGGTGGAAAGCTGATGAAAATCAGGCAGTGGATGGAAAATGCAATACATTTGATTTTCTATTCTCTTTCCCTGGGAATTTGAGAAGTTGGAATCCTTTGCCATGAGGGTAAATAAATCTATGGGCCCTCTTAGCCTAAAGATGAAATGACTGAAGGAAAAAAACAGGGTAATTCTAAGAATTTCATGTGAGGCCAAGGTCCATTTTGAAACCCTTTTGAACTAAACTTTTGCAGGTCCAACACATCTTCAAGATATTTAGTGGGATCCTCCCAGTCCTACGGTACCAGCTTGCATTGTGAAGGAAAATGAAGGACAGAATAAAGCCCTTCTCCCAGTCTGGTTTATTTCTGTACACAGAACCTCTGAAAACAGGAGGCCAAGGCTGACCTCTTTAGTCAAGAGTCAGCTCAACTTTAAAATTATAATTGCATGTGAAAGCTAAAATGGGAAAGAGAAAAAATCAGTTCTCAGGACCGAAATGCTAAAAACCCTTGGGTCACATTCCAGTTAGGGTCCTGGCCGTGCACACAGAGCTCCCATTGGGGGAAGGTGGGCAAGAGACCAGCCAAGACCAATTCAAACTATAGGGTGTTGGGGATCATGGCATTTATTCTAGAAGTGTCCAGTTTACAGATAAAGGAATGTACTATAGTGATAATGCTATATAATCTTTTAAAAAATAGAAGCTTATGGTCAGATCTCATTATTGAGAAAGGTGCCAAAGAATCTACCCACTCCAAGTGAACTATTTGCAGTAAAGAAATCAGAGGAGGCTGGGTGCGGTGGCTTACGCCTGTAATCCCAGCACTTTGGGAGGCTGAGGCGGGAGGATCGCCTGAGGTCAGGAGTTCAAGACCAGCCTGGCCAACATGGTGAAACCCCATCTCCACAAACATACAAAAATTAGTCAGGCATGATGGCAGGTGCCTGTAATCCCAGCTACTCAGGAGGCTGAGGAAGGAGAATCACTTGAACCAGGGAGGCGGAGGTTGCAGTGAGCCGAGATCAAGTCATTGCACTCCAGCCTGGGTGACAGAGCAAGACTCCATCTCAAAAAAATAAAATAAAATAAAATAGAAAAAAAATAGAAATCAGAGGGATAGAGTCTGTATTAGTTTCCTTGGGCTGCTGTAACAAATTATCACAAACTGGGTGGCCAAAGGCAACAGGAATTTATTTATTATTTATTTGGGACAGAGTGTTGCTGCGATGCCCAGGCTGAAGTGCAATGGCACGATCTCGGCTCATTGCAACCTCTGCCTCCCAGGTTCAAGCGATTCTCCCATCTCAGCCTCCCAAGTAGCTGGGACTACAGGCGCGTGTCACACCTGACTAGTTTTTGTATTTTTAGTAGAGACGGGGTTTTACCATATTGGCCAGGCTGGTCTCAAACTCCTGACCTCATGTGATCTGCCTGCCTTGACCTCCCAAAGTGCTGGGATTACAGGTGTGAGCCACTGCGCCTCGCCCATAGGAATTTATTCTTACACAGTTC
Source organism: Homo sapiens (assembly GCF_000001405.40). Taxonomy (NCBI): domain Eukaryota; kingdom Metazoa; phylum Chordata; class Mammalia; order Primates; family Hominidae; genus Homo; species Homo sapiens. The sequence goes on from NC_000011.10 coordinate 86,944,067, forward strand.
TGGAGGTTAGAAAGCAAAGATCAAGGTTGTGTTCTCCTGGAGGATCCAAGGAAGAATCTTCCCTGCCTCTCTCCTGGCTGGTGGTTTCCAGCAATCCTTGGTGTTTCTTGCTTGGCCTGTAGCTGCATAACTCCAATCTCTGTGTCGGCCTTCCCATGGCATTCTCCTCTCTGTGTCTGTGTCCAAATTTCCCAGTTTTTATAAGGATACTAGATATTAGATTAGAACCCACCCTAATCTAGTAAGTATGAACTCATTTTTAACTTGATTTAATCTGCAAAGACCCTATTTCCTAATAAGGTCACGTTCACAGGTATCTGGGGTTAAGATTAGAGGGACACCATGCAACCCACAGGAGTATAAAACAAAAACAAAAGAAAACCCTGTATAAAATAAAAATACAACCAAAACCCTGAGTTGGGCATGGGAAGACCTGCTGACCAACCTTCTCCAACCCCTTTGGGTTGCCCTCGCCCTCTCTACGTCTTGGCTTCTCCACTCTAAAGGAAGGTTGTCAGACCTGCCCTACTGACTTCAGAAATGCCAGGAGAATAAAATGAAATCATGTAAATGGAAGTATTTTCTATTCAGAAAATGTTTCTTTAAGTGCAAGGAATTAAGAATTCATTCCAGATTGTGTTGACTTTCCTTAACTTCGTAATTACTTAATGAATAGGTAATGGAAAGAGAAACACAGCCCAACCGGGAAAACCATTTAAATTACATACCTGCCTTCATTTAGGGTTTGAGATAAATGTCCGGTAGCAATCTGCAGATAAGGAGAGTAGTACTGCAGATCCTTGTTCAATGGGCTTTTTACTCACACCAAAACAGGGTGGTATTCAAGTGAAGCTAAAGGGTGGCAAGCAATTTAAAAGCAAACCAAGAGGCCTGATGTTCACATCTGGGACATCAGCAGACGGTGATGGCTCTCCTTCCCTCTGTATGTGAGGTCTATAATATTACTGACTCCCATAACAATATCCTGATAGTAGCTTTGAATTTGCTTTGTCCGATGACTTTTCTGGATATGGGGACACAGACCATCCAATTTATAAAATTAGCTAAAGAAGCCACTTTCCTGATTGACAAATGTGACATATGCCCATGTCTATTACACAAACAGAACCACTGGGTAGCCAGAAAAAAAAAAATCTGAAGAAAAAAAAAGCCCCCTTTCCCTTCCCTTTTTTAAGAGGCCAAAAGTTCTAGCAATGATGGGAAAACTCTTTTTTAGGCCATCAGATTAAGTCAATGGGGCTTGAAAGGCAAAGACAGCCATATGCACTGAAAATGCCAAAAAAAAAAAAAAGAGGTGTCATTGGGATAACAACTTGAGAACTATAGTTATATCCAAAGCATCATGTGACCTACTTGAGTGTTACTGATGACCATATTAGCAATCAATTCTGTTGACCTTAGACTGTGGGGGTTTGCTGACGCAGGAGAAATCCCACAGGGGAAAAAGAGCCCCAGCAAAAAAGAAAGAGGCCCTCAGAAAGCAGTTCCCAATCTGCCCTACAAACTGAATCCTCTATTTCTCACTGCTGGGTGTATATGCTTCCTAGTGGCTGTCATATACTTTCAGAAATATGCCAAGTCACACACAACCTAACAAACAAAACTTTATTTTCCTTTAATACAAAATTAAATAGCAAGGGGTTTTCTTTGTACAGTGATAAATTAGAAATTTACAGTACAGACATCGATGCAGACATACTTTTGTACATCCTTAAAAGCAGGGTCCATTTCCTTTGAAATTTAGCAATTCATTCAGGGCATGTGTAGCAGGAAGTTTGCCTGGTACCTCTTTGTCAAACATCTGAAAGTCCCCCAGATTGGCTTCAAGGTTCCTGGAGCTGTGGGGTGGCATGAGGACCCAAGAAAGGCCACAGAGCATCCAGCCCGACTGCTGCACAGAGCAGGGGAAGTCACATTTTATCTTTTTTTCAGATTACATCCGATATTTCATCTACCTTTCTTACAAAGAGCTCAAGGGGCCATCATTTTTTGACCTTTTCAAGCCTCACAACATCCCTGTGAGGTAGACAAAATTCAGAAACACCTCCATGCCTCACTGGGAGAGATCTAGAAAGCAGCTTACCCCTCCCAAAGCCCACAGCCAAGTCAGGGCCCCAGCCTATTAGTACAATTTGAAAACTTTCACAACCTCGGAGAGAAGATGGACCCAACCTTTGTGGCGCAGAGTGGCTCTTGCCCCTCTTTTCAGAAGCCTTCTAGGATGACAGTGGTCATGTACTGAATATTGTAGGAGAGCAAGGAGGTTTAAAAGCTTTGAGGACATGGCTCATATAGGACCCCAAAAAGGTCCTCTACAAATTGCCTGGGGAAATTCTGGGAATTGGCTGATGCAAAGAAGAAGAGAAAAAAGGTACATCAGAAACAGAAACATGCTACTATCAGGGCAACTGAGCTTGCCAAGGGGAAGAGGCATGTCGGGGGATCTGTAAGTCATTTGTCTCCTGGTACTGTCAAGTGTGTAATCACCGCACAAGTGCATGGCAAGAGACAGCAACAGAAAGCTCTATGTAGGCTAGAGTGAAATGAAATCTATTATGTGGGGCTCCAGTATCTGATCCTTGGTAGGAGCAAAATGCTCTCTAAGGAGTTTCCAAGATCTATGATCTAACCCTGGAGGAAAAGTGATAACCCAGGTCATTTGCCAGACATAATACAAACCCAGAAGGGAACTCTAAACTCAAATAAAATAAAGGAACCAATAGGATTTTCAGAGTCCAGTGACTCGACATGATTGACTGGAATAGCAACTCTCTCCAGTGTCCTCCATCACAGAACAAAATACAAGACGTAAACTGATTTTAAGAGGTTCCTTCCAGGCCAGGTGTGGTGGCTCACACTTGTAATCCCAGCACTTTGGGAGGCTGAGGCGGGCAGATCATGAGGTCAGGAGTTCGAGACCAGCCTGGCCAACACAGTGAAACCCCGTCTCTACTAAAAATACAGAAGTAGCTGGGCGTGGTAGCACGCACCTGTAGTCCCAGCTCCTCAGGAGGCTGTGGCAGGAGAATCACTTGAACCCAGGAGGCAGAGGTTGCAGTGAGCCAAGATCGTGCCATTGCGCCCCAGCCTGGGTGACAGAGCAAGACCCTGTCTCAAACAAACAAACAAACAAACAAACAAACAAACAACAAAAAAAAGGTTCCTTCCAAAGTCTGTGCTCAATGGCTCCCTTCCCTAACTGCAGCTGTGGTCACCTCACCAGAAATCAAATACTGCACCGACCTGGTGAAATCCCTGAGTCTATTCCTCTAGGGCTGAGACTGTTGAGCTCATCTTTGTGTCCTCAGGTCCCATCTTGGTTCTCAATACAATAAGCATTTAATTCAGTGACCATGAGGATGAGGGGAGCCAGAGAGTATAGAGCTAAAAGGTGCTGAACAGAATCTCAATTCAGTATCTAGACACACAAGCTTCCCGGAACCTGAGTTTGGAGAGTGCAGGTGAGACAGTGACCTGGGAGAGGAAAATCAGAAAGCATCTCTGAAATTAAAAAAATGTCACCCCTTCTCCAGTTTCAGGCCCAAGTAAGTTGCCAGTTCAGCAACAGTCTCAGAGATCAGGAAATGGGTCTCCATAAAGGAAAGAGGATATGAATCAACCAAGTAGCTCAAGCAGATGGTTCTGGCCAGCACCACTCTACCCCCATGTTCCCTTGCCCTGAGGTTTGGCCTATATGAAGCAGGAGAAAGGAATCTACCAGAAAGGAGGTTGGACAGAGGTGCCATTGCACCATGTTTAATCTCTGGAGGCCAAGGGATTTCTGAGGAAGCTACAATCATACCCATTTACTGTAGGTTTCAGAGAAAGAAAAACAACCCTCACCTTTTCTCTAGCAAGATGCTGTCCTCAAATATACCTATACAAGTCACATGGAATACCCCAAGCCCTGAATTGCCGGCAAAGCCAAAGCAGATGTGTGGGCCCATGTCCTTGTGGCCTACTCTCATAGTCTTCCTAAGGGATTTCTCCAGAGACTGTCACGAAGCAGAGCTGATGCTTTCTGTTAAAACCACCTGTAACTGACTTGGAAGGAATCCTGGGAAAGGGATGAGAGATGTGTTAAAAGTAGAGAGACCCAGGCTGGGTGTGGTGGCTCACACAGGAAGAGATTTATGGAATGGAGACAGTGAAACAGATGGGAATTCCAGAGGTCCCTGCTCCTTTCCCAGAGGAACAGTAAAGTTCAGCAGACCTGGGTGCGTCCCCATCCTAGATCAGTTAGAAGAACAGAGATTATCTATTTCAGGGCTTTACTACAGTCGGCACTCAATAAATAAAATAACTGATTTTTTTAACAAATACCGATTTAAGAAGTGATGGAGTTGATTGAAGGTCACTGGTAACTGACCCCTCAGCCACAAAGTTCTTTTCCTGAAACCATAAACACTCTCCATTGTCTGGAATGTGAAAGGAGAGGCCTATAACCCTGTAGCATTGCTAAGGCTACTAATCCAAATGGCCACTTCTGATCAAATACACTTTGCCCTGAAAAGGCAAGAGATTTGTGGAAAAGGCATGTCAAAACCCAAAGCATTGTCAAAACACTAGCTCCAGAACTCAAAACTCAGAAATCAGGTGCCCAGATTCACCCAAGTGCTCTTTTATTGTTATTATTTAGTCATTGACAAGTATCGATCACCTACTCCATGCCTGGCTTTCTGCTAGATGCTGCCTTGGTCACACAATCACTGACACATTATGAAGAAAACTGCATTACAAACCTCTATACTCTAACAGCAAGACCAGTCCCCTACCGCCTGGTCTTCCTTCCCCTGCCTGGGCCAGAGTCCCTGCACAACTCCCAAGACACCAGAGCAGAGCGTGAGTAAGGGCAGGCTCTGCCCCTGGGTGCGTGCTCCAGGGCCGTGGACAGTTATGGGAACTGTCTACAAGCAGCACAGGGAGTTCACATTTTACATTTCATAGGCAATGGAGTATCAGATGGAGTTAAAATGGTTCTTCTGGGGATCAATTCTCATGCTCCTGGAGCCTGACCTAGAGTCTAGCCAAGGTACTCAGACTGGGCACAGCAGCAGGGGCCACCTGTGCCCACTTAACTTCAGTCTCAAAAGCCAAGACTTTGCCTTCCAAAACATACAATCGACTTTACATGCATCTTGATGTCAGAGAGCTCAAGAACCACACAAAAACAAAAAGGAAAGAAGAAAGGGAAATGTCAAACTATGGGCATAAGGCTCAAACCAAATTTTTAAAAAAGAGGAAATGCTTACTTCCAGAATTTGACCACCTTTTTGGAATTTTGAGTCCCTGGAAATGTTTTTCCACAAAGTGTGATTGAAAAAAAAAAAAAGAAAAAAAAAAGCTTCCCTTCCTATTTTTTTAAGGCATGAATTAATAAATAAATGTCATTGCAAAGCAGTTGCTGAAGCAGACAGGTATGAGTTACAAGGAGAGCAACCTGTGACATAGTCAATTTGTCCCCAAGATCTCATGATTAGAACGCCTAAGGCAAGGTAAGAGAAAGGCCAGTTACAGTTTTAAGAGAAGTGCAATTTTCGAGAGGCTGCTGGGGGTACCCCCTTGTGAAGAACGTATGCATAAATTTTAAAAGCTTTGGATACCTCTGCTAAAGGCAATTAAGACCTGGGCTATTAGAGTTTGCAGTTCATTTCATATGGTCTACACTTTATTCCCTACTAACCAATCAGGCTTCTGGCTGGCATTCTGGAGATTCATTAAGCACCATATAAATACTCCAGGCCACACTGCCTCCAGTGAAATCTTACAAGGAGCCTTTGCCAATTACTAGGAAACAATTACGCACCAAGTAGTTGGATTAGCTGTCCTCAGTTCCCTTTATAAAACTGAAAAAGTCTCCATTGTCCTAAGTAGACCAGATTCTGATAACATTCTTATGCTTTAAAAAATAAAAAAATTTTTAAAGGCACTATCATTCTGAGAATGCAAGTTGAAGTTGACCATAGTTTTAAAGTCAGTTGAGTATACTATGTCATGGTCCAACAATGTGCTTTTAATTGTAATTGACACACAAAAATTACACAGCTAATCTGTGTGAATGCAAAGTTGCCAAGAAACTTAACATTTCAGCTCTTCCAGACTGGCGTCTGCATAGATGCAATCACACAAGTAAAATATATTAAGTCCCCACTGCTCAATGCAATAGGTCTCTGGGGTCCGTCAGGTAAGTCAACTTAGTAAATCTCATTTTCCTCTGAATTAAGTGATTGTCAGAAAGTGAATCACCCTTCCTTTTCCCCTCTTTAAGCATGCTGCAGTACAAAAATTCTATAAAAATACCTTTTTTGAGTCATTAACATAAAATGAAGAAAACAGCAGCAGCCAAGAAGAGAGATGTTGAAATTTAAGAGAGGAAGACAGAGAAGAAAAATCCACTGGATACCTTATGTGTGTGAGTACAGTACTTTTGTTTGTTCAAATAACTGTTTTATGACAAAGGCACTGAAAGATTCTAACACCACTTCTTGGGAGTGCAGTCCACAAAGTTCTAAACAGCAGACAGCGCACCACAGAAGATGTTTATGTTACATCAGCCAAACTATAAAACTCTTGTAACACTTTTCTGAACCCAGCGTTTCCAGTGTTTATAGATTGCTTTGCTATCTGAAAGACCCAGTTAGTATTTAAAATGGTAAAGGGTTAAAAAAGTTAATATTTCTCCCTGCTAGTTACCAACTCACAGCTCAAATCCCACCCTGCAGGGGAAAACAGTATCGCCCTGGACTTCCTGGAATCTAGGCAGGACCTCCACGCTCCAAGCTGCAACCTGCTAAAGTGATCAACGTTTTGATTTTTCACAGCTTTGAAAGCCTCTAACTGGCTTTTCCATTTTGGATCATTCCAAAGTCTGCAGCAAAATCATTGGTTTTTTGATGCTGGGGTCGGGGTGGGAGGCAGTGGGTTGACGGGGGTCACTTAATTGTTGCTAGTTTGTTCAAACTGAGATTCACTGCATAAAACTTTTAGTAGAATTTCCTCCAAAATGCTGGCATTCCCCCCTTCAAAATGAAGAAAGCATGGAGGCTGACTAGCCTTATACCACAGTCTCACTGCCTTTTCCAGGCTTCACCCAACCATTTCCTCTCTTCTCTCTCTTTACCTTTCCAGAATTCACCAATCTGTTGGAACACTTCTGCCACGTGTGAAGAGTTTTGGCAGACCAAATCCACATGCCTGAAGTGATGCCCACCAACAAAGACATAAAAATTTTCAACATTTCAACAGCCATGTTGGAATCATCTGCAGAATACCGAAAAAGTGCCCAGTTGGAGATTTCATAAAAATAACAGGCAATCACACACGTTGCAGGAACTGTGTACAGTACTGAGAACACCCCAATCTTGACCATCAGTCTTTCTAACTTGTCTGTCTTTGTCCCATCCTTTTGAAGATTTGACCGAATTTTGAACAAGGCCACCAAACCTGCAGCAATGAACAAAGTTCCAATGACCAAATAAGTAAAGAGGGGAGCCACCACGAACCCGGTGAGGGCATCGAGATTTTGGTTTCCAACATAGCACAAGCCAGTCAGTTCATCTGCATCCACCAGTCTCATAATCAAGATGACAATGGTTTTCACTGCGGGGATGGCCCAGGCTGCAATGTGGAAATAAGAGCTGTGCATTTCAATGGCTTCATGACCCCATTTGAGTCCTGCTGCCAAAAACCAAGTGAGTGTCAGAATAACCCACCAAATGGAGCTGGCCATTCCAAAAAAGTACATCAGCAAGAAAATTATTGCACATCCTGTGTTCTTAAGTCCTTCTTGGATGAGAACAGGTTCTGCTGCCTCTTCAAAATCACAGGATATCCTTTCCCGGCCTACAGTCAGCCTGACAATATAAGCAATGCTATAAATATTATAGCACATACTGAGAAATATGATGGGGCGCTCAGGGTAGGAAAACCTAGAAGAATCGATCAGGAAGGTCAGTACTGTGAAGGCAGTGGAGATGAAACACAGGCTGGCCCACACAGCCATCCAGATATCAGTGAACTCCTTGGCTGAGCGGCTGTATAAGCCAGCATCATAGCCACACTTGAGCACACAGTTCAGGCTCCTTTTCACCCAGATGTACTGATCAGAATTGGTTCCCACAGAGTGACACTCTTCCCCAGGCTGGATGGGGGTTTTGTGAGGTAAGGGCACCTCTTCATCACCTGGCCCTTCCATGCACATGTGGTTGTGGTCGTTCTGTGGTGGGAATTTGCTGCAGTTCAGACTCTCTGGCCAGGCAAATCCAAATTCCTTCAGGACGGGTTCACAGCGTCTCTTGACTGAAAGACACATGCCGCCGCATGGGCCAATGGGGATGTTGATCTTCTCTGTGCACATTGGCACATAAACAGAACAAAGGAAGAACTGGAAAAGTAACAAAATGAACACACACAAAAAAAACAATGACTTGGAAGTTTGACCAAATGCTCCCACAAAGCTGAGTTGAATGCTTCCAGGCAATCTAGGTATCTACTTTTAAACCAACCTATCGGGAGTCTGTCTGTTTACTCTGACCTCAAACAAGGGCGCCTGATAATCCATCACTTACATACTTTTCTTAGTTTGGCTTTAGTAATCCTTTCCAGAAGAATGTACATAAATAAATAAATAAAATAAATAGGGTCTGAAGAATTGCATAAGCCCTCTTTGCACAACACTTGAAATAAATCTTAAAAAACTGGCTTTCAATCTCCTTCCATTTTAGAAACTATTTGAAAAAGCTAAAGAAACTAATATGACTCATTTAGGTGGTTTATTTTTATCCCCGTTTCTTTATCATTTTAAAAATAAAAGTTAAAAAAAAATGTAGATCCTGTTAGTATTCTCTTCTCCCTAATTTATCCCTTAAAAATTTGTTTAAACTAGTCCCATACTGAAACAAAAAATGGCCCAAATGAGACACTGTTAGACTCAAGGATGGGATGCAGATTGAGGTCTCTGGTCACTAGGGATTTGTTTGGCCAGGTTTCCTCAATGAATAATAATGAAGCACAATAGGAAAATGTAAATGTTAAGTCGCTGAAACTGCAGTACCAGCAGGGGAGAGTCCAGTTGCTGTCCTCAATTCCTCCAGCATTGATAAACAGTCTGCTTGGCTCCTTACAGATGTTGTCTATGAAGTCTAGAGTTACAAGTAACTATTTTCCAGCATGTAAAGGGATCCAGTCTTGTCCTTCAAAACAGCTTGGCCGCTTTCCCCAGGATACATGTAATTAAAAATATATATCCCTGCAAAAGCTGTTTCTCCAACAAATTGCCACTGATGTCAGGATATGTGCTGTTTCCAAACTGAGAGCTGGAGGATCATTTCTTAAGCTTTTATAACCTAGTTCTAAAGTTCTGAAACTTCCAAAGGGATATTTTAGCAGCAACAGGTCTAATCCCCACCATCTTTCCAAAACCACAAACCAAGTTTTAAAATGACCTATGTAAAAACATGCACCTAGTAAGTAAGCTGTATGTCTGTTTATTATCTCTCAGAAGTTACAGCCAGAACCACAGATTTCTTTTCTTTTCTTTTTTTTTTTGATACGGAGTTTCGCTCCTGTGGCCCAGGCTAGAGTGCAATGGTGCAATCCCCGCTCACTGCAACCTCTGCCTCCTGGGTTCAAGCGATTCTCCTGCCTCAGCCTCCTGAGTAGCTGGGATTACAGGCGCACGCCACCACGCCCGGCTAATTTTTGTACTTTTAGTAGAGACAGGATTTCGCCATGTTGGTCAGGCTGGTCTCGAACTCCTAACCTCGTGAGCCACCTGCCTCGGCCTCCCAAAGTGCTGGGATTACAGGCGTGAGCCACTGCGCCCGGCCAGAAACCAGATTTCTGAAGCCTGGACAACTAACGTCTACTTTTTCCCACAACTTCTCTCTTTTCTAAATTTCTAAAAATCACCCAGCCTCACCAACCCAAACATAACCAATGTTAACACTTTAAAAATTTTCCTGTCAGTCTTTTATTATCCCAATAAATTTTTTATTTTGCAGGATTATAATCACCCTGTATATGCAAATTCTTATTACTGTGGAATAAACATTTTCTCTATCATTAGATATGCTTTACATTTTTTAATGACTGCAAAAAAATTTCTTCCAATATACCAACCACCTTCCTGCAGCTTCTTCTCACCCTCCAAGCATTAAACGTGCCTTCAACTGTGAGGATAAGAAAGAACTCAAGCCAACCCAACCACTCCTTCATGCATGACCTCTAAAACGCTGCGGGACGTCGTGAGAAGGGGCTATTCAGCAGAAAAAGGTGCAGTAGTGTTTCATTTAATAACACCCCAAAAATAGTGGGGAGAAGGAAGTTCGGTGAAGGATGGTCTCCTTATCACTCCCTCCAAGTCTTAGCTGCAGCTGGCTCCCTCCCACTCGCCCACCGAGCAGTGGCGGCCAGAATCCTTGGCAGAGATAACCCTCAGCTCCACTGGGGTTAGGGGTCTGGGCCAGACATGGGTGGGCAAGAGAGAAAAACGGAAGGGCGGGGTGTAAGAGTGGGTTCTTTCCCAGGCCAGATGACTTACACAACGTTTTGGCTTCCAGTCCCTGAGAAAGTGGGGGTGGGGATGGAAATCACTTTTCCAGGAGAGCTGTCTCCTTCGGGCTAGGATGATCAACTTGGCATGGGCTCTGCAAAGTTAGTTTGGAGCGTCCCTCCCCAAGGGGTCCCGCCAGGGGTGGGGGTGGGGGCGCCCACCTGCAGCTGGCTGGAGCAGCCGTACTGGATGAGCGGTGTGAAAGTTGTCAGCTGCAGCTCGGCGTCCGTCTGCAGCTCGTGCCCAACCAGGTTGGGCATCTTGGTCACGTTGTAGCCGAGGTTCTGGCACATGGAGATGCGGATGGGGTCGCAGCGCCGCTCTTCCTCGTCCCCGAAGCCCCGCGCCGGCCCCAGGAGCAGCAGCAACTGCAGGAGCAACCCCAGACTGAGACCGACGCCCCCGGGCGCCCCCGGGACGCTCGGCCCTGCGCCCCGCCAGGCCATGGCCAGCATCGGGGGTAGCAGCGGCAGCGGCTGGGGCTGCTCTGGCAGACACCCCCAGTTTGCACGGGGGCGCCGGCTGCCCGCGCTGCTCCCAGCTCCCGGGACGGGAGTGTGATGCGGCGACGAGGGGGCAGCGGCCGGCTCTCCAGCAGCTGCGCGCGACTGTGTGGGATTTTAGACGTCCCGGGCCGAGGCCGAGGGACAGGCTGCGAGGGTCATGGCTGCAGGCGGCGAGCCCACAAGCCGGCGCCGGCCGCGTCCGTTCGGCGTCTCCGCGAGGCCAGCCAGCAGCCAGCGCTGCGCAGCTCTCACCGCCGGAGCCCTGCGCGGCGCTGGAGGCTCGCGGCGCGGCGGCGGGGCGGGACGGACAGCGGGCCTCTCCAATGGCCGGGCGCGGTGGGCAGCTAGGGGCGAGGCGGCGGGGCGGGGCCGCTCTCCCGCAGGAGGAGTCAGGCCCCCGCCCTCCGGCCCCCTCCTCCGGCCGCCCCTCCCTCCCTCCCTCCCCTAGCGCCCCGCCCCGCCCGCCTCCCGGCTCTTGCTTTCCTCCCACCCGGATCTAGGCGCGCAGGGGCCAAGCAGGGACGCAGCCCAGTGGCTCCAGCCACGCCGTCCTGCCCCCTTCTGCAGGTGAGAAGTGCGCCCTGTTCCATCTGCCCCCTTTCCTTCCTGTCTCCTTTCAGCTGTAACCTAGGCCGGTGGCCACCTCCCCGTCAGGCAGAGAAACGTACACAAAGAATTGGGGATTTGGATTTACACCGATTGTGGCTTTCAGTCCCGGTTGTGTGACCTTGAGCAAATTGCTCAACCCCTCGGCGTCAGTCTCCTCTGTAAAGTCACTTGGGAGGATTAGAGATAAAGTGTAGAAGGCTTAGCATGGTGCCTGGTACTGCGTGAGTCCACAGCTATTTTCACTCCGGACCAGCGGCGATCGGGGCCCGGCCTCTCCCCGCCCCCAGACTCGCCCGACCTGCGCAGGGAGCCGCCCACCTCCAGCCGCCAGCGGGGAGGCGCCCCAGAGCTGCGGAGCTGCAGACCCGCCGACGGTCTCGCGCTCTGATTTCCTCACCGTATGAAATGAAATTCCACAGGGGGATTCGAAAGGAAATGAGACCGGGACTCTCCGTGCTTCTCGGCCCGCCGCCCTTCCTGTCTCGGGGACACGGTTTCTAAATAAGGTTGGGAGGGTGAGAGGGCGGGAGGGGAGAGGCTTGACCTGTGCACTGGGGACGAGGAAGGCGCACAACCACCGTGACTCCTCTCTCCCGGCCTCCCGGGCACCCCCTCCCCACCAGGCTGCACCCCTTTTTTTCTTTGCTTCTGCTTCGGCTCCTAGGGATCTGGGGATCATGTGACCCAGGTTTGAACCCAACTTTCCTGTCTCATTACCAGCCCCCCGCGGCTTTGTGCTGGTCCACCCTCTCTCTGCTTTCCAGTCGGCCAGTAAACTCCCAGCAGGTGGATTCCTCCACCGTTTACTTGTTGCTTGACTGTGTTGAAGCTATGGTGCCTCTCTGAGCCTCAAAGTGGCCGGCTGTAAAGTGGGGAAGTTCATATCCACCTCACACAGTTGTTCTAAGAGTTCAGTGAGATAATACCTGTAAATCATTTAGCAGTGTCTGACACATAATAAATGCTGAAGAACTTGGTGATTGGGGTGTGTGTGTGTGTGTGTGTGTGTGTGTGTGTGTGTGTATGTGTTTCCAAAACAGCTAGGGGAGATCAATTATGGGACAGCCTCCTGCTTTCCAGCCTGGTGCTAAAGACAGCTCCAGCAGCCCCGGAATGAGGATCTGGGTAAAAGGCTTTTCACCCTCTTCCTGAGATCTTTTTGTCCAACACTTGCCACTGTTTTATGCATGTTTTTATCCTCCCATTTCAGCCAATTCTGTGGCATATGGCAGAGGCTAGATGCAAGTTGGAAGAATGTCTGTGCCACTCATGTGACACTCATATTCTGTCTTGTATTTTTAGTCTTCTTATATTGGCAACGAGACTTGACTGAGGGCAAAAATGGAATCAACTTTTTTTTGGTATTTGGCTCTGTGCCTAGAACTGTGTTGGACACGGAGAAGCTGCATTGTCTCCAGTCATCATCATAAACTCCCAGTGAAGGAGGTTCCGTTAGCTCCTTATAGAGATTAGGAAACTGAGGCTAGAACCACAGTAATAGAAAATGACAAGACCAACCAAACCAGGGCCCAGAAGAGGCTCTTCAAAGATGGAAGGCAGGGCTATTTTCCCAGAAAAAATTCCCAGCTGGAAATCAATGTACTCAGCAATAGGATTGAATCTCTGTGTGCCTGTGCTGAGTAATGCATAAAACCCTTGGCCTACAGAGATGAATAAACGATCAGATGTAGAGATCAAATGATCTATTAATCATTTGGGTTACAGAGATGAATATATAATCAGATGAACAGATCAAATGAATAGATAATCCTCATCCTTTAGGATCTCACAGGAGGAGACAAAGGATTAACAAACAACAATAACTTAGTTTGCTAAGTGCACAGATAGAGAATTGTGGGTGAATTGAAGGTAGAAGTGGCTGAGTCTGGAGGGCTACTCAAAGGGGGATGACCTGCAAGACTCGTAGCTACTCAACAAAGTGTAGTTAGTATGCAATTGGCCCTTCTTCTAGGGAAGAGTGGTGGTGGTGGGGTGTGCTTTGTGCTGAAGATATGGTTACATGGTTTATTAAACAGTGAACTCCCTGAGGTCAAGGAGGAGGACCTGTCCCTCATACAGGGCCTGGCACACAAGGAACATCATTTGTTCTGGGTGAAGGAATACTGTTTTCAAATCAATAACAAACCACTCATATAGAACTCTTACTTTCAGACACTGTGTTACATGCCTTACATTCTTAATTTTATTTATTTCTCACAACTTGCAGAAACTGATGCTCTGAGAGGCCAAGCAGTTTGCCCAAGATTACACAGTAAGTCGTAGAGAAGAACTCATGCATGTCTGCCTGGCCCTAAACTCTGTGTGCATGGTACTGCTCTTGCAGAGGAAACTGCTTCACGCCCAGCCTAATCCATAGTTAAAGATGACCATTTTGTGATCTGGACCTCTTATTCCTAGACCTGGCATCCTGCCTCAGCTTGCTTGAAGCAATTGTCTCCTTTGAGAACACATGAAGAAGCCCCTTCCCTATCAGAAGCTTTTTCTGTCAACAGCTTTTCTTTCTAGTCGTGGAACTCATCACCAGTATTTTCCAAAAAAGAAAGCTAGGGGAATCACATTTCAGTCTGAATGTGGAAAGACAACAAAGACCATAACTTAGAGCTAAATCTGAATGGCCTGGAGCCCCTCAGCCTCCCTCTCCTGGAGTGGTTTACACAGTCCACAATCTGCCCCTGGTGACAGGCATGGCATGTTTGTCTTTGTTACAGAAAACACTTCCCGAGGGAGTCCCAGGCAGAGGGATATCCACCCTGTGACATGCACAGCATTTCTGAGAGGAAAAGATAGGGACACCTGAATAAAGTGTAGGCCATGGGCCCCTGCTAACTCTGGCTTGAGTGCCTGGGCAGTTTCCTTGGTCCAGCCTCTGAGCAGTAAAGATTCAACTACTTTGGAGCTGCAACAAACATGACTTCAACAGTCTGTTGGGCAGTTGGAGGGCTCTCCATTTGTATCTAATAAGAGGCTGGGTTCTTATTAACTCCGGTGATGTGTTAATTTTTCAACCTGACGTTTTCTGCTCTAATAGATTCTTGTAATGCTTACTAAATTAAAGGCTGCATTGGAAGAGTAATGTTTAGGTTAAAATGCATCACCTAAGGGGGTGGAAGCTATAAACATCCTTTCCCTCCTACGGGAAAATCTCTCATTTGCGGCTCTTTGCTAACCCAATTAAGTGCTGAAGTAGTTACCCTAGAGCCTGCTTTTTATTTCCTATGAAACAATCCAACTAATCCATATTCAGTAGCTTCCAAGAAAAGTCTTATTCCAACCACTCATGAAGAAACCAGCTTCTTTGAATCTAGATAGAACATTTAGAACTCACAAAGAGCTGTCTTGATGGAAAGTGCAAGAAAGTGGTTCATTATTATCTGCCTGGTTTTTGAGGGAAATAATTCACTGGGACTAAAACCCCATAAGTATTGGGAATTTACTGTGGAACAACAAAAGCAAAGCAAGAAGATGCCATGCCACATTCCATCCATTTATAAATAGGGTGTTACATCTCCCCCTGCACCCAAACTAGTTATAAAACAAAAGTGCGCCTGCTGAGTAAGGTGGAAGGGAACACTGATCTTACTTCGAGCTGAGGAATCAAAGTTCCCAAGAGATTAATACCTATTAAGTGGCAGAGCCAAACTCCCTTCTTAGTCCATTGCACCACTAGCTAGCAGAGAAGAATTGTCACCACAGAGCTCTTGCATGTCAAGAAATAGAAGCTCAAAATTTTTCCTACCCATAAGTTTAGCAAGCATTAAATGGTACATCAGACATCCTTATTTATTGGTGGTGATGAGTTAACGCAAAGATGAACAACCAAAAACCTCCATGGAAGGCAAAAAATAATGCAAACACACTTTTACCTCCATAGCCTCGTTTCGTTTCAGTGAAATTGATCAGTCAAGCTGTTAACAAATATTTAGTGATGGGTTATTGTGGACATGTCATTGAGCTGGGTACTAGGGAGTATGCAGACATGTTAAAGGTGGTTTCTGCCTTCAAGGAGCTTACAGTCACATTGGGGAAGATTAAGACATGAGACCAAGGGCAAAACAAGTTTTTTATGGTTAAGTGCATTTTGTTGAGCTTTCTTATTTCCAGTCTCCCCTTGTTGTTTTACATAAGGTTCTGTATTATAAAGTTATTGGGCTGTTTTGCTTTTGTCTCTTTCACTCTCCTCTGAAGTCAGAGGCTGTGTCTTTTTCACTACCATGCTCTTAAACAACATAGAACAATATTACCTGAGCCATAGAAGGCACTCAGTAGTTATTTGTTTAATACATAAATGAATGGTTCTGCCTATAAGTGATCTGATTATTCAGAAAAAGAAAGCCTGCATTATGAGCCGGGTATAGGCAACCGCCAAAACACTACCTAAGTGGTTCCAGAATGATGGTTAAGTCAAGATTATAAACCGCTCCTCCAAGTCAGGCATGGTTCACACTTTCAGCTTTCTTCTCAAGTCAGATGTTTTGCCAATTATTTATCTTCCTTTTTGTTTGACTGTGTCTATTCTTAAATCTTTTACAGTAGACAAATATCTTTTTTTTTTCTTTGAGATAGGGTCTCACTCTGTCGCTCAGGCTGGAGTGCAGTGGTATGATCTTGGCTCACAACCTCTGCTTTCAGGGCTCAAGGGAGCCTCCAGCCTCAGCCTTCTGAGTAGCTGGGACCACAGGTGCGAGCCAACATGCTGTGCTAATTTTTATATTTTTTTGTAGAGACAGGTTTTGCCATATTGCCCAGGCTGGTCTTAAACCCTTGAGCTCAAAATAATCCACCCACCTTGGCTTCCCAAGTGCTGGGATTATAGGCACGAGCCACTGTGTCTGGCCTAAAAAAATAACCTTGACAGAAATTGTTTTTCAATTCAGAAGCAAATGTGTTAATGTGTTTCTCTATTTCATGAATCGGCCTAAGACTGTTTTTTTTTTTTTTTTCCTGTGAGACGGAGTCTCACTCTGTCACCCGGGCTGGAGTGCAGTGGCGCAATCTTGGCTCACTGCAACCTCCGCCTCCCAGGTTCACGCCATTCTCCTGCCTCAGCCTCCCAAGTAGCTGGGACTACGGGTGCCCACCACCATGCCCGGCTACTTTGTTATATTTTTAGTAGAGACGGGGTTTCACCGTGTTAGCCAGGATGGAGCCTAAGATATTTTTTAGATCACTGTTTACTACTATAGTTAGTCGACCACTCATCTCATTATTGTCAACTGAAGCCATTAGGAACATATATGCCATGAGACGGTTGGTAAAAGCCGGGGTCTGAAGCCAAAGCATTTTAAGTCAAGGGATTACATGTGATTGGTAAGTTTGTACAAAAATTAGAATGTAAGCTTAGCTTTGAAGGATGGGTAATTTTCAAAGAGACTTTGGGAAGCATGGAAAGGAAGGCACTTTTTAATATTCTCAGACAGCACTCTGATTAATTAATGGAGATGAGAAATGAATATGAATGAAAATGATGCTAAATAATGACCAAAGGGTGAACTAGCTACCACATATTGTGTATAAGCATGAACTAGATGAGATAAAGTCCCAGATGGTGGTTTTAAAACATGGCCTCAAATTCTTTGATGCTTCTCCTGTTGAAGGACGGAATTTATGTTCTCTCCCCTTGAATCAGGGAGGGTTTGTAACTTCTTCAACCGACCGAGTATGCTGTAAGTGCTACTACGTGACCTCCAAAGCTACATCATGAAAGGTCATGCAATTTCTACTTTGTTTGCCGGAAAACTCACTTTGGAGCTCTGAGCGGCCTTGTAAATAGTTCAGCTACTCTAAGACTGCAAGGAGAGGCTACGTGCAGGTTCTTCATTAGTCCCAGATGAGCCTGTCCTTCAGCCATCCCAAGCCAGGGGCCCAAAATGTGAGGAAAGAAGCCATCTTGAAAGTGGATTCTCTGGCTCCCCCATTCCTAACCTCTACTGTTGGAGTCATCCCAACATCCTTGCTGTGCCTTTTCAAATTCCTAACACATAAAATCCGTGATGGTCATTGTTTTATTCCTATAGGTTTAGGTTGGTTTGTTGTTTAGCAACAAATAACCAGGACACAATTAAATAACAAGATATCAAAGGAGAGAGTGACTCAGCTAGGAAAAGAATGATTATCACCCAAAGATGAATAAAGGGACTTTATAGTCACTCTCAGGGAGAGGGATAGCATATTTTTAGTTGCATGAGGGACAATTGTGTATTGTGAAGGGAAAGCATTATTTTGCTCTTTATTTGGAAGTTAAGTGTGGTTAAAAGAAGTGCGTATGCATCCCAGGCTGACAAGGAGTAGATTCTACTAGTTTCGTATTATGTTAATCTAGCTAAGCTGAAACGAACTTTCCCAGAATCTCCTTCCTACATGGTTCCAGATTAGGGTAAGCTACAAGAAAAATTAACGCAAGATTGGGGAGGTAGATGTGAAGCAGCATTTTTATGCTCTGAAAGTCAGTGCTGGGTACCAGGCACCATGGTGGCTCATGTGCATTGTTACTGATCTGCTGGCTCACCTGTTGGCATGGGGTAACACCCGGGCCTGCAGTTCCTCCACCTCCTGATGATCTCCTTTATTTGCTCGGAGTCCTGGGCCAGGTGCTTGAGTAGTTATGTTGCTAAGGACTCCAGCTTCTGCAGGTCACCTGCATTATCAAGCTTAGAGGTGGTTAAAGACAGACATGGGATCTAGTTTGTCCCTGTGGGTTCCACTTTGCCCCTGATTTCCCAAACTTCACACCTAGCTTTCCTTTTTTTAAAGGAGTAGTGCTGCAGTAAACATACATGTGCAGGTACCTTTATGGTAGAATGATTTATAGTCCTTTGGGTATTTATCCAGTAATGGGATTGCTGGGTCAAATGGTATTTCTTGTTCTAGATCCTTGAGGAATCGCCACACGGTCTTCCACAATGGTTGAACTAGTTTACACTCCAACAACAGTGTAAAAGTGTTCCTGTTTTTCCACATTGTCTCCAGCGTCTGTTGTTTCCTGACTTTTTAATGATCCCCATTCTAACTGGTGTGAGATGGTGTCTAATTGTGGTTTTGATTTGCGTTTCTCTGATGACCGCTGATGATGAGCATTTTTTCATATGTCTGTTGACTGCATAAATGTCTTCTTTTGAGAAGTGTCTGTTCATATCCTTTGCCCACTTTTTGATGGGGTTGTTTTTTCTTCTAAATTTGTTTAAGTTCTTTGTAGATTCTGGATATTAGCCCTTTGTCAGATGGATAGATTGTGAAAATTTTCTCCCATTCTGTAGGTTGCCTGTTCACTCTGATGATAGTTTCTTTTGCTGTGCAAAAGCTCTGTAGTTTAATTAGATCCCATTGTGTATTTTGGCTTTTGTTGCCATTGCTTTTGGTGTTTTAGTCATGAAGTCTTTGCCCATGCCTATATCCTAAATGGTATTGCCTAGGTTTTCTTCTAGGGATTTTATGGTTTTAGGTCTTAACATTTAAGTCTTTAATCCATCTTGAGTTAATTTTTGTATACGGTGTAAGGAAGGGATCCAGTTTCACCTTTCTACATATGGCTAGCCAGTTTTCCCAGCACCATTTATTAAATAGGGAATGCTTTCCTCATTGCTTTTTTTTGTCAGGTTTTTCAAAGACCAGATGGATGTAGATGTGTGGTGCCATTTCTGAGGGCTCTGTTCTGTTCCATTTGTCTGTATGTCTGTTTTGGTACCAGTACCATGCTGTGTTGGTTACTGTAGCCTTGTAGTATAGTTTGAAGTGAGGTAGCATGATGCCTCCAGCTTTGTTCTTTTTGCTTAGGATTGTCTTGGTTATGTGGGTTCTTTTTTGGTTCCATATGAAATTTAAAGTAGTTTTTTCCAATTCTGTGAAGAATGTCAGTGGTAGCTTGATGGGGATGGCATTGAATCTACAAATTACCTTGGGCAGTATGGCCATTTTCACAATATTGATTCTTCCTATCCATGAGCATGGAATATTCTTCCATTTGTTTGTGTCCTTTTTTATTTCGTTGAGCAGTGGTTTTAGTAGTTCTCCTTGAAGAGGTCCTTCATATGCTGTGTAGGTTGGATTCCTAGGTATTTTATTCTCTTCGTAGTAATTGTGAATGAGAGTTCACTCATGATGTGGCTGTTTGTGTGTTCTTGGTGTATAGGAATGCTTGTGATTTTTGCATATTGATTTTGTATCCTGAGACTTTGCTGAAGTTGCTTGTCAGCTTAAGGAGATTTTGGGCTGCGACAGTGGGGTTTTCTAAATATACAATCATGTCATCTGCAAACAGAGACAATTTGACTTCCTGTTTTCCTAATTGAATATCCTGTATTTCTTTCTCTTGCCTGACTGCCCTGGCCAGAAGTTCCAATACCATGTTGAATAGGAGTGATGAGAGAGGGCATCCTTGTCTTGTGCCGGTTTTCAAAGGGAATGCTTCTAGTTTTTGCCCATTCAGTATGATATTGGCTGTCGGTTTGTCATAAATAGCTCTTATTATTTTGAGATACATTCCATCAACACCTAGTTTATTGAGGGTTTTTAGCATGAAAGGCTGTTGAATTTTGTCGAAGGCCTTTTCTGCATCTATTGAGATAATCATGTGGTTTTTGTCACTGGTTCTGTTTATGTGATGGATTACATTTATTGATTTGCATATGTTGAACCAGCCTTGCATCCCAGGGATGAAGCCCACTTGATCGTGGTGGATAAGCTTTTTGATGTGCTGCTGGATTCGGTTTGCCAGTATTTTATTGAGGGTTTTCACAATGATATTCATCAGGGATATCGGTCTAAAATTTTCTTTTTTTGTTGTGTGTCTGCCAGGCTTTGGTGTCAGGATGATGCTGGCCTCATAAAATGAGTTAGGGAGGATTCCCTCTTTTTCTATTGATTGGAATAGTTTCAGAAGGAATGGTACTAGCTCCTCTTTATACCTCTGGTAGAATTCAGCTGTGAATCTGTCTGTTCCTGGACTTTTTTTTGGTTGGTAGGCTATTAATTATTGCCTCAATTTCAGAACCTGTTACTGGTCTATTCAGAGATTCAACTTCTTCCTGGTTTAGTCTTGGGAGGGTGTACGTGTCCAGGAATTTATCCATTTCTTCTAGATTTTCTAGTTTATTTGCATAGAGGTGTTGATAGTATTCTCTAATGGTAGTGTGTATTTCTGTGGGATCAGTGGTGATATCCCCTTTATCATTTTTTATTGCGTCTATTTGATTCTGCTCTCTTTTCTTCTTTATTAGTCTAGCTAGTAGTCTATTTTGTTGATCTTTTCAAAAAACCAGCTCCTGGATTCATTGATTTTTTGAAGGGTTTTTTGTGTCTCTATCTCCTGCAGTTCTGCTCTGAGCCTAGTTATTTCTTGCCTTCTGCTAGCTTTTGAATTTGTTTGCTCTTGCTTCTCTTGTTCTTTAAATTGTGATGTTAGGGTGTCGATTTTAGATCTTTCCTTCTTTCTCTTGTGGGCATTTAGTGCTATAAATTTCCCTCTACACACTGCTTTAAATGTGTCCCAGAGATTCTGGTACATTGTGTCTTTGTTATCATTGGTTTCAAAGAACATCTTTATTTCTGCCTTCATTTCGTTATTTACCCAGTAGTTATTCAGGAGCAGGTTGTTCAGTTTCCATGTAGTTGTGTGGTTTTTAGTGAGTTTCTTAATCCTGAGTTCTAATTTGATTGCACTGTGGTCTGAGAGACAGTTTGTTGTGATTTCTGTTCTTTTACATTCGCTGAGGAGTGTTTTACTTCCAATTATATAGTCAATTTTGGAATAAGTGTCATGTGGTGCTGAGAAGAATGTATATTCTGTTGATTTGGGGTGAAGAGTTCTGTAGATGTCTATTAGGTCCACTTGGTCCAGAGCTGAGTTCAAGTTCTGAATATCCTTGTTAATTTTCTGTCTCATTGATCTGTCTGATGTTGACAGTGGGGTGTTAAAGTCTCCCATTATTATTGTGTGGGAGTCTAAGTCTCTTTGTAGGTCTCTAAGAACTTGCTTTATGAATCTGGGAGCTCCTATATTGGGTCCATATATATTTAGGATAGTTAGCTCTTCTTGTTTAAGAGATCCCTTTACTATTATGTAATGGCCTTCTTTTTTTCTTTTGATCTTTGTTGGTTTAAAGTCTGTTTTATCAGAGACCAGGATTGCAACCCCTGCATTTTTTTGCTTTCCATTTGCTTGGTAGATCTTCCTCCGTCCATTTATTTTGAGCCAATGTGTGTCTTTGCCCATGAGATGGGTCCCCTGAATACAGCACATCGATGGGTCTTGACTCCTTATCCAGTTTGCCACTCTGTGTCTTGTAATTGGGGCATTTAGCCCATTTACATTTAAGGTTAATATTGTTATGTGTGAATTTGATCCTGTCATTATGATACTAGCTGGTTATTTTGCCCATTAATTGATGCAGTTTCTTTATAGTGTCAATGGTCTTTACAATTTGGCATCTTCTTGCAGTGCCTGGTACCAGTTGTTCCTTTCCATGTTTAGTGCTTCCTTCAGGATCTCTTGTGAGGCAGGCCTGGTGGTGACAAAATCTCTCAGCATTTGCTTGTCTGTAAAGGATTTTATTTCTTCTTCACTTACGAAGCTTAGTTTGGCTGGATATGAAATTCTGGGTTGAAAATTCTTTTCTTTAAGAATGTTGAATATTGGCCCCCACTCTCTTCTGGCTTGTAGAGTTTCTGCCGAGAGATCCGCTGTTAGTCTGATGGGCTTCCCTTTATGGGTAACCTGACCTTTCTCTCTGGCTCTCCTTAACATTTTTTCCTTCATTTCAATCTTGGTGAATCTGACGATTATGTGTCTTGGGGTTGCTCTTCTTGAGGAGTATCTTTGTGGTGTTCTCTGTATTTCTTGAATTTGAATATTGGCCTGTCTTGCTAGGTTGTATCCTGCAGAGTGTTTTCAAACTTGATTCCATTCTTCTCGTCACTTTCAGGTACAGCAGTCAAATATAGATTTGGTCTTTTCACATAGTCCCATATTTCTTGGAGGCTTTGTTCATTTCTTTTCACTCTTTTTTCTCTAATCTTGCCTTCTTGCTTTATTTCATTAATTTGATCTTTAATCACTGATATCCTTTCTTCCGCTTGATCGAATCAGCTATTGAAGCTTGTGTATGCTTCACGAAGTTCTCATACTGTGGTTTTCAGCTCCATCAGGTCATTTAAGCTCTTCTCTTCACTGGATATTCGAATTAGCCATTTGTCTAACCTTTTTTCAAGGTTTTTAGCTTCCTTGCGATGGGTTAGAACATGCTCCTTTAGCTCAGAGAAGTTTGTTATTGCCGACCTTCTGAAGCCTGCTTCTGTCAACTTGTCAAACTCATTCTCTGTCCAGTTTTGTTCCCTTGCTGGCAAGGAGTTATGTTCCTTTGGAGTAGAAGAGGCGTTTTGGTTTTTGGAATTTTTAGCCTTTCTGCTCTTTTTTCTCCCCATCTTTGTGGTTTTATCTACCTTTGGTCTTTGATGTTGGTGACCTATGGATGGGGTTTTGGTGTGGATGTCCTTTTGGTTGATGTTGATGCTATTCCTTTCTGTTTGTTAGTTTTCCTTCTGACAGACAGGCCTCTCAGCTTCAGGTCTGTTGGAGTTTGTTGGAGGTCCACTCCAGACCCTGTTTGCCTGGGTATCACCAGAGGAGGCTGCAGAACAGCAAATATTGCTGCCAACATGTTCCTTCCTCTGGAAGCTTCATCCCAGAGGGGCACCCGCCTGTACGAGGTGTCTGTCAGCCCCTACTGTGAGTTATCTCCCTGTCAGAGTACACGGGGGTCAGGGACCCACTTGAGGGAGGCAGTCTTTCCATTATTGGAGCTTGAATACTGTGCTGGGAGAACCACTGCTCTCTTCAGAGCTGTCAGGCAGGGACGTTTAAGTCTCTAGAAGCTATCTGCTGCCATTTGTTCAGATATGCCCTGCCTCCAGAGGTGGAATCTAGAGAGGCAGTAGGCCTTGCTGAGCTGCAGGGCTCTGCCCAGTTCAAGCTTCCCTGCTGCTTTGTTTACACTGTGAGCATAGAACCGCCTACTCAAGTCTCATCCATGGCGGACGCCCCTCCCCCCACCAAGCTCCAGCATCCCAGGTCGATCTCAGATGGCAGCGCTAGCAGCAAGCAAGACTTGTGGGCATGGGACCCACCAAGCCAGGCACAGGAGGGAATCTCCTGGTGTGCCAGTTGCGAAGACCATGGGAAAAGCATAGTATTTGGGCAGGAGTGTACCATTCCTCCAGGTACAGTCACTCATGGCTTCCCTTGGTTAGGAAAGGGAAATCCCCTGATCCCTTGCACTTCCTGGGTGAGGTGACGCCCCACCCTACTTCGGCTCACCCTCGGTGGGCCACACCCACTGTCCAACCAGTCCCATGTGATGAACCAGGTACCTCCGTTGGAAATGCAGAAATCACCTGTCTTTTGCGTCGATCTTGTTGGGAGCTGTAGACTGGAGCTCTTCCTAACCTGCCATCTTGGAAGCAACCCCCACCTCAGTGAATATTTCTTTCTTTCTTTCTTTCTTTTTTTTTTTTTTTGAAACGGAGGCTCGTTCTGTCGCCCAGGCTGGAGTACAGTGGCGCGTTCTCGGCCCACTGCAAGCTCTGCCTCCCTGGTTCATGCAATATTTCTTAAATGAATAGATCTATACAGTACCTACTGTTAGTCTCCCCATTTTGCAGATGAGGAAACAGAGTATCTGATAGATTAAGAAACTTGCCTGAGGTCCCGCAGTAAATGGCCGAGTTGATATCCAACACAGGTCTGTCTGACTCTACAGCCTGTGCTTTTAATCATTATGCATGCTACCTTAGACAGCTTCATTGCCTCCATAGGTTTTCTCTGTAAAATTTATTAGAGGATATTATCATTGCAAGGAAATTTGATAATCAGCTAGTTCCTTGCCTAGTCATTATAGTAAGTTTAATCAATTAACAACTATTGATTGAGTTTTTATAGTATGCATTGCTAAGGTAACTGAAATCCCTCCCCAAAATAGGGTAGACGTTAAGAATCACTCATTTATTACATCCTGAAAATTTCCACATGCCTACATTTTTATCTGATTTTCCTTCAGTAGCCCTTCAGGAGTTCAAGACCAGCCTGGCCAACATGGCAAAACCCCCTCTTTACTAAAAAATACAAAAATTACCTGGGTGTGGTGGCATGCACCTGTAATTCTAGCTACTCAGTAGATTGAGGCAGGAGAATTGCTTGAATCTGGGAAGTGGAGATTGTAGTGAGCCAAGATCACACCACTGCACTCCAGCCTGGGCAACAGAGTGAGACTCTCTCAAAAAAAAAAAAAAAACAATTTTCACACCAATGTAAAGAAACAGTAGCAGTTGATAGTATCCATTAGACTATCAGAGACCTAGAAGGAATCTTCCAGATCATCTGCTGCTGAACACCACTTAACAGATAAAGCAGTTGAGAACCAGTGAATGGAAATGACTCATCTAATACAGGGTTAAAACTAGAGGTCCCTTACCCTGTTACCAGGACCCTTCCTACCATATCTAACTCTGTCTTTCCTTCACCTACCTTCTCTAGAAACTAGGATTTCTGTGGAAACCAGGTTATTGGGTAAATAGCAGCAAACCTGTCAATCAGACCTGAGACTTCAGACTGCATATACCAGGACCTAGGTCATAGATTGCGCTGTATAATCCAGCCCTTTCCTGTTCTCTGTATTACTGCCTCACATTGTCATTTGCTCACTAAGAATGAATAAACATTCCCTGCCTGCCTGTCCTTCAGAGTGACCAATCACTCCTCTCCCTCTGCCATCCCCTTTCTCCTTCTTCCTTTTCAAAACATTTGTGTTCAGGAAGGCATTGTGTTGAATGACTTTCTCATTTCTGCCCCTGTGATGCTGTTTAAGCCTTCCTTGAGGGACAAGCTAATGAGGTCTGAATTATAGCATCCACATGAGACCAGAGTGGTAGAGGCTGTGTGGCTCAGAGAATGTCAGAAGTGGAAGATAACTTAGAGACCAAAAGGTCTGCCTCATTGCCCCATTTGAAGATAAATGGAGACAGCAAGAGAAAGGGAAATGTTAATTGACTGTTCGTGTTGCTATTGCTAGCTAGATGCAGAGTATGGCTAGACCGCAGGCCTTCTGACTTCCCAGTTCAGTACTTACTATTAATACATTACACTGAAGCCTTAGCACTTAGAACACAAGGGATATAATGAGCCCCCAGGAAAGGATGTTGACCAATTGATAATAATTTCCAGCAAGGAAATGAAGAAATTATGTTTCCTTCTTAGAGGAATTCCCCACCATAGTAGCCTTCTCCAGGAAAAACAAAAGCAAAAACAAAATTTCTTTATCATCAAAGGGTCTTCGTGAAAATTACAGAGATAACTATATGAAGGTCCTTACCACTGGGCTTGGAAAATACTGTTAGATTTCTTTTACCTCCAGCTTTACTGAGGTGTTTTTGACAAATAAAAATTGGATATATTTATGGTGTACAATATGATGTTTTGATACATGTATATACCGTGAAGTGATTACCACAATAAACCTAATGTACATTTCCATCACACCTCACATAGTTACCTTTTGTGTAAGTCTCTGGTGAGAACATTGAAGATCAAATCTCTTAGCAAATTTCAAGTATGCAATACATTACTATTAACTATAATCATCATGCTATACGTTAGATCTCCAAAACTTATTCATTCTGCATAACTGAAACTTCGTACCCTTTGACCAGCATCCTTCCATCTCCCCAGTCCCTCAGTCCCTTGGCAACCACCACTCTACTCTCTGTTTCTATGAGTTTGAGTTTTTTAGATGCTACGTATAGGTGAGATTATGCAGTATTTGTCCTTTTGTGTCTGGCTTATTTCACTTAGCATAATGTCCTCCAGATTCATATATGTTGTCACAAATGATAGAATTTTCTTTTTTTATAAGACTGAATAATATTCCTGTGTGTGTGTGTGTATGTGTGTGTGAAATTTTCTTTATCCTTTCGTCACTGATGGTAGTTTGATTCTGTACATTGGCTACTGTGAATAGTGCTGCAGTGAAGAAGTGGGTAGAGATATCAGAGATACTGATTCCTTTTCCTTTGGATATATACCCAGATATGGGATTGTTGTAGCATATTATAGTTCTATTTTTAATTTTTTGAGGATATACTGATTTCCTTTCTTTTGTTATTATTTGGCATAATAGCTATACCAGTTTACATTCCCAACAGTGGACAAGGGTTCCCTTTTCTCCACATCCTTACCAACACTTGTTATATTTTGTCTTTTTGATGATAGCCATTCTAACAGATGTGAGGTAATATCTCATTGTGGTTTTGATTTGCATTTGTCTGATGATTAGTCATGTTGAGCACCTTTTCATATACTTGTTGGCCATTTGTATGTCTTTTGAGAAATGTCCATTTAGGTCTGTTGCCCATTTTTAAAATTGGGTTGTTTTCTTGCTATTGAGTTGTTTGAGTTTCTTGTGTATTTTGGATATTAACCCCTTATCAGATATATCATTTACAAATATTTTTATCCCATTATATAACTTACCTTTTCATTTTGTTGATTATTTCCTTTGCTGTGCAGATATTCTTAGTTTGATGCCATCCCATTAGTTTATTTTTGCTTTTGTTGCCTGTGCTTTTAGGGTAATTTTTTTAAGAATTCAGCTGGGCGCAGTGGCTCATGCCTGTAATCCCAGCACCTTGGGAAGCTGAGATGGGTGGATCACCTGAGGTCAGGAGTTTGAAACCAGCCTGGTCAATAGGGCAAAACCCCGTCTCTATTAAAAATACTAGCTGGGTGTGGTGGCAGGCACCTGTAATCCCAGCTACTGAGGAGGCTGAGGCAGGAGAATCACTTGAACCCAGGAGGTGGAGATTGCAGTGAGCCAAGATTGCGCCATTGCACTCCAGCCTGGGCGACAGAGCGAGACTCTGTCTCAAAAAATAAAAATAAAAAATTCATTGCCAAGATCAATGTCAAGAAGATTTTCTCTATATCTTTTGTTCTAGTAGTTCAAGTCTTACATTTAAGTCTTTCTTTTTTTTTCTTTTTCTTTTTTGTGCAGATGGGGTGGGGAGGGAGGGTCTCATGATGTTGCCTAGGCTGGTCTTGAACTCCAGGCTTCAAACAATCCTCCTGCCTGGCCTCCTAAAGTACTGAGATTACGGGCACGAGCCACCATGCCCAACCACATTTAAGTCTGCAATTCATTTTGAGTTCGTTTTTGTATGTAGTTTAAGATAAGGTCTAATTTCATTTTCTACATGTGGATATCCAGTTTTCCCAGCACCATTTCTTAAAGAGATTTACTACTTTAAAAAATCTTTACAGAAATTAGCTGGATGTGGTAGTGGGCACCTGTGGCCCTAGCTCCTCAGGAGGCTGAGGTAGGAGAATTGCCAGAACCCAGGAGGCAGAGGTTGCAGTGAGCCGAGATCGTGCCATTGCACTCCAGCCTGGGTGACAAAGCGAGACTCTGTCTCAAAATAAATAAATAAATAAATAAAAATTTCATCATTGATGTTTGAGAATTTGATTATAATATCTTGGTGAGGCTGGGCGCGGTGGCTCACGCCTGTAATCCCAGCACTTTGGGAGGCTGAGGCAGGTGGATCACAAGGTCAGGAGTTCAAGACCAGCCTGGCCAAGATTATGAAACCCCGTCTCTACTAAAAATATAAAAATTAGTCGGGCGCAGTGGCAGTCACCTGTAATCCCCACTACTCGGGAGGCTGAGGCAGGAGAATCGCTTGAGCTGGGAGGCAGAGATTACAGTGAGCCGAGATCACGCCACTGCACTTTAGCCTGGGCAACAGAGCAAGATTTCATCTCAAAAAAAAAAATAATAATAATATAATGTCTTGGTGAAGATCTGTTTTTTGTGTTTTTTTTATGGGGGGCTTCATGTGTCTGAATGTTCATTCCCTTCTCCAGACTGGGGCAGGGTGGCGGGGGGGTCTGTTATTTCTTTCTTTAAATAAGCTTTTTGCCCCTTTCTCTTTCTTTCTCCCTTTTGAATATCCTATAATGTGAATGTTGGTTCACTTTATATTGTCCCATAAATCCCATAGGCTTTCTTCACTCTCTTTTGTCATTTTGTTGTGTTGTTTTCTTGCTGGGTAATTTCAAATGACCTGTCTTTGAGACCACTGATTCTTTCTTTTGATTGACTGAGTCTGCTGTTGAAGATCTCAATGGAATTTTTCAGTTTGGTCATTGTATTCTTCAATTCCAGAATTTTAAAAAATGATTTCTATTTGTTGAACTTCTCGTTTTGTTCATGTATTGTTTCTGTGATTTTTGTTTGTTTAGTTGTTTATCTGTGTTCTCTTGTCACTCAGTGAATTTATTTAAGACAATTATTTATAATTGTTTGTTAGGCAGTTCATAGATATCCATTTCTTCAGGGTTGATTACTTGTGCTTTATTTTCTTCCTTTGGTGGTGATCCTGGTGGTCTTTTGTTGGTGTCTGTGCATTTGAAAAAGTAGTAGTTTTTCCCACCTTTGCAAACTGGTTTCAACAGGGAAAGACCTTCACTAGTTAGCCTATCCAGAGATACTGGGTAGGCTAACTGGTGGGATTTATGGATGGGCTTGCTGTTGGAGTCCTCAAGTAGCTGGCCTGGTTCCTGGGTCTGTGAATGGATGGTCCTGGTGTCTGGGTCCACAGTGGCCAGCCTGGTGCCTGGGTTTGCAGGGTGGCCTGAAGGTCTACTTGGGCAAACCTGTAGCTCAGGTCTTCATGGCTGGGCCTGGTATCTGGGTCTGCAGGGGCAGACCTGAATCCTGAGTCTGTTAGAGTCTGGGCTATGGAAGATGGCTTGGAGTATGGGTTTGTGGTTATCAGCCTTGTACCTGAGGCTGCAGGACCCAGCCTGGCACTAGGGTGGGCCTCTGTTAGCTTTATTTCACGTGTTTCTTGTGGCATTGAGTTCAAACTTGTCTGTGTTATAGTAGTATTTGAGTTAAATAATTTTCCACTCTCATTGTAAAGTTAAGTCATCTTACAACTTTTAGTCAAGGTGATGCTGTGGTGAAGCTCTAGGGACATAATTTGTCTTATCTTCTTGGTGAATAGCACATCCGAGAATTACACATTGTGTCATTCTTTATCCTATGGTGGGGCAGCAGATAATAGCTAAAGTGCTTTACATATACTAAGTTAATTTGATACTCTAAAAGGTAAGAACTATTGTTGTGTCTATTTATCAGAAAAGAAAATTTGTCGGGATCAAAGCATTGGTCCAAGGTTACAATACAGGGCCAAATCAGATCTATCAATAGCTACAGGTAGTAAATTAGAGCCAGAGAGATATTGTTAGCAATTCTAACTAAACATTGTATTAGTTGTGTGGTATGGGTCAACTCAATGTTTATGAGCCTCAGTGTTCATATCTCTAAAATGGAGATAATAAAAATTTGTGAGTGGCTGGTGTAAGAATTGTATATGACATAATTCTAGCCAATGAGATTGAAATAGATATGGGGGTGGTGAATTTAGAGGGCCCACCTTTTGGAACATTTTCCCTAACTTCTAGAAAGGGTGTGGCAGAAAGACCAACCTCCTCCTTTTACTCCAGCTTTTGGATGTTGTGTGAAGAAGTGATGGCTGGAACTGTTGCTGCTATCTTGCTACCAGAAGAGGTATAGGCCAAATGATGAAGATGACTATGATTGTTAATTTTATGTCAACTTGACTGAGATAAAGAGTACTCAGATATTTGGTTGAACATTATTTTGGATGTTTCTGTGACAGTGTTTTTGGATGAGTTTAACATTTAAATCAATAGACTGAGTAAGGCAGATTGCCTTCCCCAATGACTTAATCAGTTAAAGGCATGAATAGAACAGAAAGGCTGGCCCTCCCCAGAATAAAAGAGAATTCCTCCTCCCTGACTGCCATCAATCGGAGATATCAGTTTTTTTTTCCCTGCCTTTGGACTGGAACTTAAACATCTGTTCTTCCTGGGTCTCATGCCTGCTGGCCTGCAGACTGGAACTACACTATTGGCTCTCCTGGTTCTTAGGCCATCAGACTCAGACTATAACTATGCCATCAGCTCTCCTGAGTTTTCAGCTTTCCAGCTTACCCTGCAGAGCTTGGGACTAAGCAGATTCCATAGTCATGTGAGCCATTTCCTCATAATAAACACACACACGTACACTATTTGTTCTGTTTCGCTGGAGAACCCTAACACAACGAGAGAACAGGAAAATGGAAAGAACATGGTTCTTGCAGAGGTGGTTGAGTTACTGAATTAATCAACCTAATAAACTCTATGTTTAGATACATGGTTAAATGAAATACTTTTTTATTCTTATTTTAGCTACTGTTAGTTGGTCTCCTATTTCTTGCATCTGAAGGCATCACAATAGATCCAGAAATCAAAAAGGTAGTAGGACTGTTGTGAAAATTTAATGGTGGTCCATAAATATTAGTTCTCTTCCGAGCATCTAAATTATAGCCCAAGCCACACTTCTTCATAATAATAATCCCTTAAGTGATATAGTCTTCTGTTGGTCATGGAGAGATTCCATAGACATTTTTCTACTAGGCTGTTTCTTAAAAGTAGAAACCGGCCGGGCGCGGTGGCTCACGCCTGTAATCCCAGCACTTTGGGAGGCCGAGGCGGGCGGATCACGAGGTCAGGAGATCGAGACCATCCTGGCTAACACGGTGAAACCCCGTCTCTACTAAAAATACAAAAAATTAGCCGGGCGTGGTAGCGGGCGCCTGTAGTCCCAGCTACTCGGGAGGCTGAGGCAGGAGAATGGCGTGAACCCGGGAGGCGGAGCTTGCAGTGAGCCGAGATCGCGCCACTGCACTCCAGCCTGGGCGACAGAGCGAGACTCCGTCTCAAAAAAAAAAAAAAAAAAAAAAAAAAAAGTAGAAACCATGTTAAGTTTGTCTCTATTTCTAGCACAGGTGTTGCATGTTTCTTAGACTACATCTTTTAATGGATTTGATCCTCAATAACATTGATGCTAACTTGGAAGTAATTACCTAGGAGCTGGGCAAAGTTATCTTGACACAACTGTAGATGTATACCTCATAGTAGAGTTGTTGTTACAGGACAGTCAGTTTGGTTCTTTGATTGGCAAACCTTATATTGACAAGGATGTGCTTACATGTAAACTGCTGTTATGCTGTTATCTAAGGCCTATGCTATGTTAAAGGCACCATTTTAACTTAATAACCAGGTGCCCTATAATTGAACCATCGTGTGGAAATTCCATGACTGTTAGGATTGCCACCAAGGACAGACTTAGGATGCTTGGAAGGGCTTGGGTTACCTCAGGGCTCTGGGAAAAGCAATAGAAAAAATGCTAAATATGATTCTGAAAGGTAAACTAGAATTTCAAGGATGGTTAGCCATGACCTAGCTGCTTCTGCCCGCTGGAGGGTATGTCCTTCTATATACTACAGGCCAGAAATAGTAAAGAGAGGGGGAAAAGGGATCCCTGTAAGAGATAGGTTTGTGTATATATAAGGGGAGGAAAGGTGGAGTGGAGGGAGGTTGTCAAGAGAAAGGAAGCCTATGGCTATTGTATGTCTTGGCTTCTCCCCAGAAGAGCCTTTCTAAGGAACTTTCAACTCTTCACTAAGATGCCCATGTAGACTTTGTGAATGAAGGGAATCCTTAACCAAGGAGCCTTTTTTTCCTGCTCAGCAAGCCTATAAAAAATGATTATATCAGACAGTTGTTCCCTAATTTAACCTCTAGAGACTCTAGAATCTAGAAGGTCAGGTGCATGGTACAGGAAATTGCATTTCCCTTCAAGTATCCCAGGTGATGGTGTCAGTAATTTTTCAGACTTTACTTTGGGTATTACTAATACAGGAACATCTGAGCTAGGCAATTTATATTGAGAAGGCCCCTGCCAGCTGATTGCCATGACCTAAAATATCTTTGTTAGAGTCTACCCGAGAGAGTAGAGAATGTAGGTGGAAATTGAGTCTAGAGACCATGATGCTTAGATGTTTTCTTTAGGAGTTTCTCATGGTCTCCTCTGCTCACAACAGGAACCTGTACGCTGAATAAAGGGTTGCTTCTAGCCCATTTTCTGTGAGAATTTAGTGAAGCCATTCCCTCTAGGTAGATACTACCCTGTGGGGTTCACAGCTTGGTAAGGGAAGTAAGGCTAGATTTTAGCCCCACTTGCCCAAATCAGGGTATTTTTGTGCACTGTACAATCTGTACAACTGTACATGATGTCCTTACGAAACCCTTCTGCTGGTTTTCACTGAGGAAGGAGCATTTGAGGATTAATAAGATAAACAAAATGAGCTCTTTGGGGTGCCCAATAAAGCCCTAAACAAACAGCATTATTTTCATTCCTGAGTTCAAAATAAATTAAATAAATAGGTCAAAATATTACCTTTATTAGTGAGAGAGGCTAGACTGGTCAGTGAATGCTATAGCTCTAGTGATAGCTGCCCTTTATTCACTAACTCATATATATACCAGG
Source organism: Homo sapiens (assembly GCF_000001405.40). Classification (NCBI taxonomy): domain Eukaryota; kingdom Metazoa; phylum Chordata; class Mammalia; order Primates; family Hominidae; genus Homo; species Homo sapiens. The sequence continues at coordinate 86,977,216 of NC_000011.10, forward strand.
TACTGAATTTATATTATTTCTAAACCTCCTCCCCAAGTTTTGGAGTTAAATATTATGATCCCCATTGTGTAGATGGGGAAACTGAGTTAGTAAGTTGGAGAAGCAGGATTCAACCCTAGACCTGACTAGACCCAAAGCTCCCAGCTTCTTATTTGGCACTGCTGCTTCTGGGGAACCAGCTGGAACTTCTACAACCAAAACCCAATTAAATCAACCAACAATTCTTAAGAGATTTCCAAAGTTGTCTCCTGGCAGAGTTTTTCTCTTTCCCTGAGGTTCTCCTCCGGCACAAGCCAGAAGGCCTGGCTCTTCCAGCAGATGCAGAAATGTGCAAAGCCTTGGGTCTTCCAGTTCCAGGTTATTTCTCATTGCCCCTGGGAGCACTAGGTCTAATGCCAGCACGGATGTACTATTTTGAAACTAAATGCATTTCTCAGAAAACTCAGGCAGAGTGCCATTCAAGGATATATTTTATATCATTACCCCACAGTGCAGTATCACTGCTACTGTGCTTCAGCCTGGGCCTTGCTGTCTATGGAGAAGAATTGCTTTATTTAGTGTTTACCTCCCAAGCATGTCAGGAAAACCACAATAAAACCCAAAGGGGTAGGCTACTTTCATCATTTCACATGGCTTTCATCATTACAAAGATACATTTTTTCGTGGGATAGTTCTTGTCTTAGGTCACGTTCCTTAGAAACCAACCGTGAGATGGGGATTTGTGCTCAAGTGATTTATTGAGTGTTTTTAAGAAGCGGAGTGAGACATAGGTGGGAATTGAACAATGAGAACACTTGGACACAGGGTGGGGAACATCACACACTGAGGCCTGTCATGGGGTGGGGGGAGGGGGGAGGGATAGCATTAGGACATATACCTAATGTAAATGACGAATTAATGGGTGCAGCCAACATGGCACATGTATACATATGTAACAAACCTGCATATTGTGCACATGTACCCTAGAACTTAAAGTATAATTAAAAAAAGAAAAAAAGAAGGGGAGTGAGAGAAACAGGACAGGACAGAGAAAGGTGTTAAGCAAGAATTTGGCTTCTACTGACGTCTTGCTTCACTCTGATCTCATGAGGAGGCTTCTACTGACGTCTTGCTTCACCCTGATCTCATGAGGAGCACTGAATCACAAATTGTACCACAGAGTTAAACCCACTTTAAAGTTGAAGGGGTGCGGGTGGCCTTTTGTACTCCCCATGACAGTTAGTCATGGGCCACCGGCTGCAGAGGTCAAGTCTATGTGTACATGTGCATGTAGCCTCCTGGTCAAGGTGGCTCCCATTAGCTCAAGGTCTCTTCCTCATGGCCAAGGGCAATTCTCCAGAGAAAGTGGAAGCTGTGAGTTGTATTAGCCAACTCTCCGTGCAGCTGGCGATAACTGCCTGGGTACACTGGCTCGTAAAGGGGACCCAACAGGGCACCAACAGCATTTCTGAATCATAAGACACGAGAGTCATTTGAATCTGAGTATTGGTTAATTAATCTCAGAGTTCCCAGAGACTGTGCCTCATTATATATTCCTTTCTATGCATTTAACTGGTGAGTAAGCCAAAGTGAAAATCACACAGCAAAAGACCTATGGTTCTAAGTTTCTGTAAGTAAAGATAATACTCAAGTAACTTCACCCTATTTCAACATTCAGCCAGCCTGCTGAAATACATAACTTTGAATGTTACCGCATATGTTCCATTTTATATGCTTTTTCATAACCAACAATACTGCATATAGTTTAGTCTTGCAGTATGACCAATAGGTGGCACCAGAAACACCCACACTTATTCCAACTACATAGTATGTATATATGTGCTAAAATTTCAATCCCTCTCTACTTAGTTTTTTCATGTTGAAAAGGACCTCATGATGTTAAATCTAAACCCAAACTTGGTAACTTATAATTTCCCATTTGCTATTTGACCTCTTTCTTGTAGGGTTATGTGAGCATGAAAAAAATAGGGTGATAGGGGCAGTCAATTCAGAAAGAAAACATCTATTCATTAGCAAAAGGAAGGAAAAAAGACTGGAGCCCTGTATCCTTTTCCTTCAAGGTCTCTTGAGTGTATAAATGCCGAAGATTATTAGGAAATATTTGAATAACAGGATAAAAAAGTCAAGGATACTGCCTCCAAAACATGAACTTTATTCCCCACTGAAAACAGACTTGGATGGCAACCAAGTTGTTCAAGGATTGCCCTGGCCAATATCTGACCACAGGGTTCCACTCTGGGAAAGGTTTTTGAGTCCGGCAGTCACCATTTTCAAGTTTGTTTCTTTTGAAGTTTGTACTTTATTGTTGGTGAAAGGAAGTAAAGGGAGGAGGGGGTGCTACATCTTCCAATTTTTTTTCCCCAGCAATCCAGCATTGTGCTCTTTTCCTACATCAGACTATTCCAAGGAGCAGAACGACTTAGAGGAAAAAGTGCTCAATTGGAAATTAGGCTACAATACACTTAACGTTCACCAAGTATTTTTGTAATCATTATTTGACCCTCCAACCATATTAAAAATGGGTATACCGAATTTCAGAAAGGTCTGTTAGCTAGCAAGGACCTTAATCCAGTTCATCTGACTCCCAAGGCCAAGGCTGAATCTAGATATGTTATGGGCTCACCATACAAATTGGACAACTCATTTCACCTCACTTGCCTTTAGTTTCATCTACAACATAAGATGTGTTGCATGGCCCCAACACATCTTCCAGCAAGACATCTCCAGATTCTGAATAGTACGTGTGGAGTGGAGTGTCTTGTGTACTAATTGGGACTGGAGGTGTGGTTTGTCACATAGTCAGTAGGAAGGGAGGGTAGAACTCACTTTGATAGTGTTCCAGAGTGGAAGGTAACAGGGCTATTATACAATGCATTCAACAGTCTGGTTCTTGCATTTTGGGGGGGAAAATCAATGCCAGGTTTTGATTAGCCTTTCCTATGCCTGTCATCAGCGTATTACGCAGTAAACATCATGCCTCTGTGAGCTTTCGTTTCCAAATGAAATGATCCTAAAGTTTGGAATTTCTCTTTACATGGCATGCTCTTCTGCCATGCATACCACAAATTATTTTCACTGCCCTTCTCTGAACCGTTGCTATTTTTGCTCTGCCTTTTTGATAGCAGCACTGATTAAAGAGTGATTTTATTCTTTTAAATATTAACTGCAAAGATAGAGGCAACAGGACTCTTCAAGGATACACATGGATTTCTTGCTCATAAAACTTCATAATGTGAACAGAAAAGTCAGCAAAGGGGAAGAAAGGAAACTAACTTTAATTGAGTGTCTACAATATATCAAGCTTTCTTCTAGGTCCATTTGATATCTTATCTCCCTTCATTCTCTCAGATGAGGGGCAGTGGTGTGTAGCGGTTACATGCCTAGGCACTTGAGTCAGATAGACGTGGCTTCTCATCAAGGCCTGAGTGCTACCTTACCATGTGACTCTGGGCAATCTATGTAACTTTTCTAAGCTTTGCTTTCCTCAGTGACACAACAACCGTAAAATACTCAGTATTAGCCCAGAGTAAGTACTCAATGAATGTTAACTATCTTTTTGACCACCCTAAAGAATACACCTTATCTACTTCACACTAGATTTTTAAAAACCTAAGGTTCTAAGAAGCTAAGTAAAAAAATTTCAGACCTATATTTATCTGACACTGATGGATATCTGTTGTTTCTCTCTCTTTTTTTTTTTTTTTTTTGAGACAGAGTTTCACTGTTGTCACCCAGGCTGGAGTGCAGTGGCACAATCTCAGCTCACTGCAACCTCTGCTTCCCAGGTTCAAGCAATTCTCCTGCCTCAGCCTCCTGAGTAGCTGAGATTACAGGTGCCTGCCACCATGCCTGGCTAATTTTTTTTTGTATTTTCAGTAGAGACGGGTTTCATCATGTTGGCCAGGCTAGTCTTGAACTCCTGACCTCAGGTGATCTGCCCGCCTCGGCCTCCCAAAGTGCTGGGATTACAGGCGTGAGCCACTGTGCCCGGCCGGATATCTGTTGTTTCTTTTCCCCAGCACCACTCTTTACCCAGGAAACCCATTCTCCTCCCACCCCTATTCCACTTTGTTTTGCTAGAACAGATTCTATCAGGCTCAAAAGTGAACTCTGGAGCAGATAGTATGGTTCAAATCTCAGCTCTGGCCAGGTGTGGTGGCTCACGCCTGTAATCCCAGCACTTTGGGAGGCTGAGGTGGGTGGATCACTTGAGGCTGGGAGTGCAAGACCATCCTGGCTAACATGGTGAAACCCCATCTCTACTGAAAATACAAAAATTAGCTGGGTGTGGTGGTGCATGCCTGTAATCCCACCTACTCGGGAGACTGTGGTGTGAGAATCGCTTGAACCCAGGAGGCAGAGGTTGTAGTGAGCTAAGATCGCACCACTGCACTCCAGCCTAGGTGACAGGGCAAGACTCCATCTAAAAAAAAACAAACAAAAAATCTCAGCTCTACCACTTATTGGCTGTGTAACTTTTGAAAGATTCCTTAACCTTTCTGTGCCTTAGTTTCTTCATCTATCAAACGAGGATGACAAAAATCTTTACCAATTGGATTCTTGTAAAGATTAAATAAGTTAATAGGAATGAAGTACTCATAGCAAGTGCCTCATGCGTGGTAAGTGCTCGGTAACTGTAAAGTCTTTTTCTTCTTACCCTACCTGTCTCCCAGCTATAGGGCTGGGCAAATGATTCAGATCTGGCCATCAGAGTGTCTGTCCTATCTTCTTGTTTACCATGATTGGTCTAGGGCAAGGTCAGCAAAATTTTTCTGTAAAAAGCAGATAGCAAATATTTTAGGCTTTGTGGGCCGTGTGGCCTCTGTTACCACTACTCAACTTGCTATGACAGTGGAAAACCAACTATGGACAATACAGAAACAAATGGGTGTGATTGTGTTCCAATAAAACTGAAATTTATGGACCTTGACATTTGAATTTCATATAATTTTCAGGTGTTATAAAATATTACTCTTATTTTTTTCCCCAATCATTTAAAAATGACAAACCCATTTTTAGTTCATATGCTGCCCCAAAACAAGAGTCAGGCTGGATTTGGCCGGTGGGTCATAGTTTGTTGACTCCTGGTGTGGGCATGGGCATGTGACCCACAAAGGGCCAAAGTCCTGCCACGGGATTTGATACGTGGACACTGGGAGAGAGTATGTGCTGCTTCCTTTTGGATCAAGATTTCCATGGCCATCTTCCTTTCCACAGGGAGAGATCCTGTGTATGGCAGGAGGAATGAAGCCAACAGCAAAAAGAATCGGAGCCCAAGCAGAGCCAGCTAAGAAATAAAGACAGAGACAGCAAGCCCTGAAAACTTTATCTGAGCGTCAAGATCTAGCCATGCCTATTAGTTCCATGAGCCAATAATTCGATTTTTGTTTTTTCTAATATAGGTTATAGTCAGGTTTTGGTCACCTACAGTGGAGTTCTGATAGATACTTAAGGGCTTGTTTTCCTTACACGACATAATACCACCATACATAATTATTTTTAAAAAGGGAACACTAGCCTGTATTGTGTAGTTACCATGTGCCAGGCAATTTGGTAAGTGCTTTCACATGTGAGCTCTCATTGACTTCTTATAACAACGCTCTGAGGTTGGCATTATTATCCTCACTTTACCAAGAACACAGACACATTTGATGCCAGTAGATTGCTTGCTGAGGTACAGTATTTGATGGCAGAATGAAGCAGCTAAAGGGATTAGGGCAAGTGGACTGTTCAGGGCCATTTTCTCACCCACCTCGCTCCCTAAGAAAGAAGGATGGCAGAGTATACTGTCAGGGCACACTTAATCCCTTTTCTGGGAAAGAGGACATGTACTGATCAGAAATCCCCACTGTTCCCTCTTCTGGGCAGTGGGGAGTGGCGGTCCTGGAGTTCTTGCCCAGCTGCCCAGCAGAGAGTGGACGAGCAGCTGAGGCACACTGACGAACAGCCTGGGTTAATCCAGGCTGCAGCTTGCAACTCCCTTGCAGGACCCATCCAGGATTTCCTTCAGAAGTATCACATCACAGCAGCTGGCTGGCTTGACTTTGCCAACTGCTTGACCCCTAGCTGCACAGGAAACTTCAGCAGGTAGAACTTGGCCAGCCTCAGGAGTAGACACACCCTGACCTCCTTAGGATAGAACAGAAAGGCTTGCACAAACAGGGCTTGCACAATAGAGGATGAGAAAGCGGCCAGGGAAAATAATCCTCCACATCCATTAACCCTCACCTTGACACATCAGCCCTTTGAGTTGTGGATTGAAGACAAAGAACTACCATATTAATAGCTGTTACTTATTGGACAACTCCTGTATCTCATTCCATTTATTATAATAGCTCTTATTATCAATTATTGTGTGCCAGATACTTTACCTAAATAATAATAATTATTATATTATATATATATATGTGTATATATATATATATATTTTTTTTTTTTTTTTTTGAAACAGTCTCACTCTATTGCCCAGGCTGGAGTGCAGTGATGCAATCTCAGCTCACTGCAACCTCCGCCTCCCAGCTCAAGCAATTCTCCTGCCTCAGCCTCCTAAGTAGCTGGGATTACAGGCACCTGCCACCACACCCAGATAATTTTTGTATATTTAGTAGACACAGGGTTTCACCATATTGTCCAGGCTGGTCTCGAACTCCTGACCTCAAGTGATCTGCCTGCCTCAGCCTTCCAAAGTGCTGGGATTATAGGCATGAGCCACTGCACCAGCCTAATTATTTCTAATTATCAGAAACCTTGCAAAGTACACATTAAATATTACCTACTATTTTATAGACAAAGAGACCAAGATGACTAGAGGTTACAAAATGATGAACACTAGGAGGGAAGGGGAATTTGCACCTGGTCTGTCTCTATTTCCACCCACTACCATGTGAGATGGGAGATGAAGCAGGAGGAGAGGGGCAATATTTTTCCAGCCTTCAGCAGTTGGACAGGACAGGTCAAGCCACTGGAAATGGAACATGAATCTTGAATCCCTCTTCAAACTTTTTGAAGGCAGGGAATTGTGTTATTTTGTATTTACATGGTATACATCAGCACATAACTCATACTTGGCCCAGAGCAGGAGCTCATTGATGTTTGTAGAATGAATGAGTAAATGAGTCCAGGTGTCTCTTGCTTTCAGTAAAACAGGAAAAGACTGAAGGGGCACTGATTTGATGATGTCCTCTCTTTAAGTTGCTTCCTGGAACTCTTAGAAGTCATATGAACTCTTATGGGCATCTACCTTACCTTTTAGTACAATGGAGTAGAAGTTCACCCAATTTCACGGTAAATTTTATAGGATTGCTTTACCTAATGCCACCATAGGGGTCTAAAACAGGTAGTGCATGTTTCAAAAAATTGTCTCTACTGGACTTTCTTCTTGAGGCAGGGAAAAAATTCTGATTTCACAAACTTGAGGGTTTTCTTGCTGGGCCTTAACCAGGCAGTAATAAGCGCTGGGTGCTGAGAAAGTTAAGCAGAGACCTTTAAAATGGGGATGGAGGGCAAGGCAAGGAAGGAAAAATTGGGCACAAAGGTCAAAAGTTGGAGCTTTGCCTATTCTATTCCCTGGCCAGCAGGCAGGCCCTGAACTCAATTCCCTTTTGCTTGCTCTCTGGGGCAAGGCTGAGTTAGCAAGCTATAAATTCCACTAGTCCAAGTGTGAGGAATGTGGAGATGAATGTGGAGAAGTCTTCGTTCCAGAGGAAAGGGCACAACAGCGGGCCAGCTGGAGACGGAAGACAGAACATATCCCAAGTGCGAGCCAACAGAGATTTGAAATTAGAATCTGGGCTCAACCTGCACCTGGGTTTTAAGAACTCTGTGATTGTAAGTGGATAGGGCTGTCAAGTAGTTGGAAGAAAGTGTGTAGAGTCCTGAGGTGACATGGAGTTGATTTGCCAAGAAAAATTATTAGCATATTTATCTGATCATTTGCGTCAATGTGTCTTCTTGGCAAGGAGAAGCATTTGTGCAGGGAACTAATGAAAGAGGAAGGTTAAAAGAAGAGGAGGGCCCCATAAGGTAAGCAGGAAGTCAAGTGGTACCCAGAGAAGCCCATCTGGCTTTGCCATCAAAGGCAACTTGATGGAGATGGAGAAGCTAAATGACTGGCCACATTTCCCATGTGTTGTGGGGTGACACCCTCTCCTAGAACCTGGGGACTGGGATCCAGGCCTGGAGCTTACTTTGGACTTTCTGTGGAGGATAATTTTTATTGGGAAGTGTGGTTTGAAAGGTAAAACTGTTGAAGACCATCTATCTTTGAAGATCAGCGTTTGCTGGCACTCACTGAGGATTTCTGGATTCTTGGAAATCTAACAACTGCCTCTTTCCTCACCACAACTAGGTATAAACAATGAATAATGTGGGAACTAAGAATTCAAGGATGATGGCCTTCTTAAGGTTTGCTTTGAGTTCAAGGATTTAAAACTATAGATAGAGACAGGAGGCAGCCAAGCATCCCCAGTGAAACCCCACCTCCAAGCCTAAAAGTCTGAAGGCTGAAAAACCAGACTGATGGTCCCGGATGAAGCGTACCGTTTCCCGATTGATTCTCTCTGAATAATGCCCACCTGCGCACTGGGGGAGGTGAGTGGAGCCAGGGAAAGTTCCTGCCATTTGCAGGGGAAGGAGCCTGGCCTCTTCAGTTCCTGTGTGGTGACCTGGGAATCGGTCTATGAGGTGGGAGATCTGTTAGTAGGACTCTATCTCACTTTGCTCAGAGTTCCTTTTTCGTTTTTTCCTTTTCAGCCAATAAACCCTGCCCTACTCACACTACAATTGTGTCTGTGTGCCTAAATTTTCCTGGTCGTGTGACAAGAACCTGGTGTTTTTCTACAACACTATGTCCTCTTAATGTGACTTCATCCAGTCATAGGATGCATAAATAGCTGAAAAGGTATTACATCAATGGCCAGAAAGTAGGGGTTTCAGGAAAATTCTCCTTTAATGTGTGAGACTGGGCAAGCCATTTAACCTCTTTGTGTCTAATTTTCCTTACCTTTTAAATTGAGTTAATAGTATCTTGTCAAAGTAAAATAAAATGATAAGTGGCCGGCCAGGCGCGGTGGCTTATGCCTGTAATCCCAGCACTTTGGGAGGCCAAGGCGGGCAGATCACCTGAGGTCGGGAGTTTGAGACCAGCCTGACCAATATGGAGAAACCCCGTCTCTACTAGAAATACTAAATTAGCTGGGTGTGGTGGCACATGCCTGTAATCCCAGCTACTAGGGAGGGTGAGGCAGGAGAATCGCTTGAACCCAGGAGGCGGAGGTTGTGGAGAGCCGAGATCACGCCATTGTACTCCAACCTGGGCAACAAGAGCAAAACTCCATCTCAAAAAAAAAAAAAAAAAGATAAGTGGCCAAGTGTTTTTTAAGTATGCAAACTGAGTCAACCGTGTTACATGAAAAGGGTTTGGGAATCTGGGTTTAAATACCCATTCTGTGATTTACTACCTGTATAATTTTTATTTATTTATTTATTTTGAGACGGTCTTACTCTGTCGCCCAGGCTGGAGTGCGGTGGCAGCATCTCGGCTCACTGCAACTGCCTCCTCTGCAGGTTCAAGCGATTCTCCTGCCTCCGCCTCCCAAGTAACTGGGATTACAGACATGTGCCACCACATCCGGCTAATTTTTGTATTTTTAGTAGAGATGGGGTTTCACCATGTTGGCCAGGCTGGTCTCGAACTCCTGACCTCAAGTGATCCGTCCACCTCAGCCTCCCAAAGTGCTGAGATTACAGGCGTGAGCCACCGCGCCCCAGCGTATAATCTCGGACATGTTTCTTAACTTGTCAGTGCCTCATTTCCTGATCTCTAAATACTTCTCTAAAGCATTGTAAAGATTAAAATAATGTATGCAAATGACCCAGCTTATATATGGAGCTTTATAAATTCTACTGATTATGATAATGACTCTTTTTTTTTTTTTTTTTGAGACAGAGTCTCACTCTGTCGCCCAGGCTGGAGCACAGTAGCGCAGTCTCGGCTCACTGCAACCTCCGCCTCCCTGGTTCAAGCTATTCTCCTGCCTCAGCCTCCTGAGTAGCTGGGATGACTGGCGTGCATCACCACGCCCGGCTAATTTTTGTATTTTTAGTAGAGACGGGGTTTCATCATGTTGGTCAGGCTGATCTCGAACTCCTGACCTCATGATCTGCCTGCCTCGGCCTCCCAAAGTGCTGGGGTTACAGGCGTGAGCCACCGCACCCAGCCAATAATGACTCTTATAAGCAAGAAATACATATTAAGTGCTTGAAGTAATACTTAAGTTTGTGCGTGGTAAGTGCTAATTATTATCATCATTAATGTTTCTACCAGATATGAAAAACCATCTAGAGGCAAAATTCCTCTCACCTCTCAAAAATGATTGAATAAAACAGGAGTGAATCCACTGTATGCAAAGCAATCTGAGCTTCATTGGACCTGGAGCTTTTTCTACCACCTCTGGAAATCCTGTTTCACAACAGTTTTTTTTTATTATTATTATTCAAATGGGAACTGTGAAGGGAATAAAACCACTAATATTTAATGCATAGGCAAAACCCAAACTGAGGATAAGCTTTGGACATGATTCCTCAGCAATAACTCAATAGCAACCACAGCCCCACCAGAATAATGTTCTGCCAGGAACCTCAGGGCCAGGGTGGTGTCCTTCCACCAACTCACCACAAGAGATTGTACCAAAGCAGTGGAGTACCAAAGCAGTGGAGTACAAGGAGCCCACATTTTAAAAATTACAGGATGAAGAAGTGGAAGTCCAAAATACTCATAAGACAGAATGTATAATAATCTCATCATAACGTCCATAACTGCTAAAAGAGAACTAACTTTACTGGGATAGTTTATCCAGTAAAAACTTACGATAGGGTAACAAGATTGATATAAACTTGCTAGAAAGCTAATAAAATACGTAGATATTTATTTTTCTAACTCAAGGGTATAATGGTTACACCTAAATTTTTTTCTTCCCATTACATCTTTTTGGAGGCAGTTCTATTTTTCTGTTTAATGAGGCCCTGAAAATATAAATGAAAAGTGTAATATATAAAAATCAAGCAATAACTTCACATGTTATGTGAGGAATTTTATCCCCAAGAGCTAAAAATAATATAAATTCCCTATTATATATTATAAATATTTTAATCTTGAATTAAAAATAGAAACCCGAGTCTTATACAATATATATGTGATTATTAAAAATGTTCAAAAGACAAACATTGAATACAGACAATAAAATTACTGACCTAAAGTAATTTCTTACCTCAAATTCTGGCTGTTAGCCAACTTATGTGACATTTTGTTGACATAAGACATTGATTTAGTGTTAGGAAGGAGGACTTTCTGATGGTGATGTTTCACTGGCTTGGGCAAGGTATTTTGCAGGGAAATGAGTGGACTGATCAATAAATTATGATGCTAACTGAAATGGCTTATCAGCCTTTACCAAATTTCTTTCTTGGATCGAGGTGATGAAATGATTATGCAAGTCAATCTTGCTTTTCCCACCCTCCAAAGCCCTTAAATTAACATAAATGAAAATTTTAAAAAGATTTAGGGTTGACAGACTTAGCAAAAATTAAAACAATACTGGACACGCTCAGTTAAATTCGAATTCAGATAGACAACAGACAATTGTTTAGTATAAGTATGTCCCAAATGCACTATTTTGGACATGCTATATTTTATCTGGCAACCATAAAAACAATAAATTCATAACACTGTACCATCAGTGGATCATAATTATGTAGAATTTTGGGATTGGATTAGATTGAGTTTGTCCTGCAATTCTACTTTTAGGAATTTACGAAATGAAAAGATAATATTCATAAAAACATCTGTGTAAGAATGTTCACAGAAGCGTTACTTATAATAGTCAAAAATCTAGAAACAACCAAATGTTTATCAGCATTATTCTGGATAAACAATTTGCCTTTTTAACAAGTTCCGAGGTGCTGCTGATGCTGCTAGTTCAGGCACTATACTTAGAGAGCTACTGTTCTAGAGAGATCGATAGCTCAGAGTCAGGGTGACTACAAGTCAAAAGCAGAAGGGGGTCCTGAGACAAGTGTCAGGATAATTAATTACAGACCTGCATCCGGGAGCAGCAAAGCCAGTCATGTCCCGGATCCCCCATTACCACCACCACTGAGTAGCCAGCAGCCGCAGCAGCCCTGGACCCTGGGTTAAAACCCCAAGAGACTACCCCTCCAAATAATGTAAACTTCCTATTTGGAGGGATAATGTTGTATGGGGATAGAGAGCTGAGAAAGACAAATAGACACTTCCAAAATAGACCCAGGAGAAATAAAAACTATGTTATCTTTGCTTAGGAAAAAAATGTATTGAAGTCTTCCCATGCCAAAGTAAAACCCTACTTATTCTAGTAATGAGGTAGGGAAGGCAAAGGGTCTTCAGCCTGCTTGTCTGCCCCATGCCCATGCTCCCTAAAGTGACATCTTTTGATCAAGCCCCATCCACTTACACACAGCCACAGCCACACTTTCTTTTAGGGGAGAGACCTGTTGGGAAAAACAAGTCTGAGTAGCTGCAGAGGAAGCCCATGCCAGATACCTAAAATCCAAACAGACAACTAGCGATCACCAGACAGACATCAAGATTAAGAAGGAGAAAGGACAAACTGACCAGAGGAAGCAGAGATGTCTCAGAGAGCAGTGAACTTGCAAGAAATACTAATTTGTGTACTAGGAGATATTTGAGAGGCTATCATGTTCATAAAAATAGGAACAATCATAGCCTAAGACTGCCAAAGAAATGTAATAGAAACTAAACATGACTGAGGACAGTTTCTCTCCTGTTTTCTTTATAAATAATCATGGCAAGATGCAATAAAATATGGACAAAAACTGCTGAACAGAAAAAGATGTGGCCCTGCCAAAGTAGGGCTGTGGGCTGGCAGGTGGTGCAGCCATGGGATACCTCAAATTGCTCATTAAACTGCAAGTGTATGAAATTCCAGATTTGGTGTTGGAAAGGCATTTTAGGGGTGGCATGTGTAATGTGTGAAAATCGGGCTGTATAAAAGTTGACTGTGTGAAAGTTAAGAACCATCTGTGTCCACATTCCACTTGGCTTTCCCCAGAGCTTAGTAATATAAGTCTGTCAGCTTAGACTCAGGGTCACCATTACAATAACTCTATCTATATACCATTTCACTACTTATAGTTTACAGAACACTTTTACTAATTATTGTATTTAATCCTTATCTTGGAAGGTAGCTAATATATCCTTATTCTACCCTTGAGGGAATAGAGGCAGCCAGCGGTTTTTATCTAAAACCTTCCAGGAAATATAGAGACTGGTCAGAAAGGCACTTTTGCAGACTGCTTCCCAAAGAATGATCTGCAAATTGTTGATTCCATAAGACAATAGTTCTCAAACTTCAATGTGTGTCAGAATTGCTTCATAGCTTGTACACACACACACACACACACACACACACATTTCTGTCTCTCCTCCCTCCCCGGTTTCTGGATTCAGTAGGAGCCTGAGAATTTGCATTTTAACAAATTCCTAAGTGATGATGCTGCTGCTCCTGCTGATCTAGGATCAACATTTCATGAACCACCATCATAAGGTGCTCTCTGAAAAAAGAATTCCGTGGTTAAATTGAGGCATATTTGTCGTGTAATAGCATTAGCTCTGAAAGGGAAAGAGTAGGAAAAATGGAAATAGTTATACTAGAATAATAGGATTATGAATGATTTTTACTTGAAAAATCTCTTTACATACCATGAGTTTATCTTTTAAACTAAAATGGAGAGGGAGGATATAATATACTGAAAAATGACTAAAATAAAAGATAATGCACAAAACTTAACAAAAAGTTCTTACTGATCTGGGAAAATGTTTATGATGTACAATATGATCTAACCATAGATATTAAAATAAATCTGTCTTTTTCCATGAAAGAGAGAGAGAGAACGAAAAACTAGAAGGAACTGCTCCAAAATGTGTGCAGTGATTATCTTTGGACTTTTGGGGTTATGCATAGTTTTTAGTTTCTAGGAAAATACACCTGTATTTTTTTCTAAAAAGACGCTTAGAGTCTGTAGGAATTCCAGTTTTTAAGAGGAAAAGAAAGTTTCTGCTTTTTAAAGCCCACCTTTAAAATTCCACCCCCTTTGTTTAAGCAATCTCTCAAATAGAATTATACTTCTTGTAACATAATTTGTATAAAAGGCAATTTGTGGTGATTTACTAGTGCAAAAAAGGATTATACCATTAAATCAACTAGTGTCAAATTACCACATTTCATCACATATAGACTATAATTAAGGCAAGTCTAAACTAGACTAATCTTTTTTTTCCTGCTTCCCACAATAATCTAGTTTTGTCTACTTCTCTACTACTTTTTTTTTTTTTTTTTTCGAGACCGAGTCACAGCTTGTTGTCCAGGCGGAGTGCACGATCTTGGCTCACTGCAGCCTCCACCTCCCAGATTCAAGTGATTCTCCTGCCTCAGCCTCCCAAATAGCTGGGATTACAGGTGTGTGCCGTCATGCCCAGCTAATTTTTGTATTTTTAGTAGAGACAGGGTTTCACCACGTTGGCCAGGCTGGTCTCAAACTCCTGACCTCAAGTGATTGACCCGCTTGGGCCTCCCAAGGTTCAGGGATTACAGGTGTAAGTCATTGCACCCAGCCTTCCCTACTACTTTTATGATTTTGCCCAACTGTGTTTGAAAACTGCCTCAAAGTTACAGGCCAATCTCTGATATTTATACATAACAATGAATGTTTTGTGTATTTCAAAAAAAGAAAGTAAGTAAATCTGTATATGTTGTGGTTTGTTGATTGTAACAACTGCATGCTAGAATGGGTTTCCATGGCACAGGTTCATACTGTACAAGTTTCAATGTAAAGAAAATATTCTCCTTAGAGAACTAATGAATCAATAATTCAAACATTAGGTTAATTTTTAAAACATTTTCCAGACACACAATATAATTTTTTTGCAATAGGTAGCTTAAATCAGACTGAGGCTGATTAAAATGGCCCCAAACTGTTATTTCTATAATATGTTCATGAAAATACCCCTTCAAAAATTCAGTTAAGGCCAGGCATGGTGGCTCACGCCTGTAATCCCAACACTTTGGGAGGCCAAGGTGGGCGGATCACTTGAGGTCAAGAGTTTGAGACCAGCCTGGCTAACATGGTGAAACCCTATCTCTACTACAGATACAAAAATTAGCCAGGTGTGGTGGCATGTGCCTGTAATCCCAGTTCCTTGGGAGGCTGAGGCAGGAGAATTGCTTGAGCCTGGGAGGTAGAGGTTGCAGTGAGCTGAGATCACGCCACTGTACTCCAGCCTGGGCAACACAGCAAGACTCCATCTCGAAAAAAAAAAAATTCAGTTAATAATGTGTATGTTGGATATCTGTTAAGTGCCCAATTCTGTGAGATCTATGAAATGTTTCCTGCTATAAAAGAGTTTCTGTCTAAATTGGTAGAGATAAAATTTTTACACATGAAGCGATAAGAGACAAATGAAAGTACAGATGAATGGCTCAGGGAAGTTAGTCCACTAAACAAGGGAACAAGATCTAATAGGCATACTAGGAGGCATTTTAGAGGTTATTACATTCATAAAGCAAAAATAGGAACAATCATAGCCTAGGACTGCCAAAGAAATATAATAGAAACTAAACATGGCTGAGGACAGTTTCTCTCTTGTTTTTTTTATAAATAATCATGGCAAGGTGCAATAAAATATCCGCATCTTTCCAAATCATCTTTAAACCTCTTTAAACACTACTGTAGCTGATCAGTGATAGTTCAGAGTATTCCACAGTGTCGCAATTCTAGAAGGATTTTCAAGTTTACTAAATTCAAATGAATCCTTGCTCCAGGAAGTCTGCAGTAAGGAGGCATTTATTTTCTTCCTTTTTTATCCTACTGCTACCAGCCTTTAGTACATTTACCATTCCACGGCAAGCAAGTGAGGAAATAGACAAGCGAGAGTATTTCCTCTTAGGGACATATGGCAGCAAGGGTGCCCTTGGCTACAAGTAAAAGAAAAGCCCAACAGATGTAAATGAAGAGGAAATCTCATATCTCCCAAGATAAGAAGCACAAAGTGAGGGTGAGTTCTAGATGCATCAGGATTAGAAGCTTCTGTGAAGGAACCAGCTCTTTTCTTTATCTGTACCTATCTTTCTCCATCCTCAGGCTGGTAGCAGAATGGCTGTTGTTATTCCAAGAGGCCCTCCCGGACTATATCCCAGTGTGTATAGTCCAGTGAAACGACGGGAAAACTATGACCATGAAGCAAATCTGGAGCACCACCTGATTTTTTAAAGTAGATTTTACTGAAACACATCCATGTGCATTTCCTTTCATATCGTTTGTGGCTGCTTTCACATTACAGCAGCAGATCTGAATAGCTGCAACAGAGAATTTGAATAATTCTCACAAAGCCAGGCCAAGACAAAGAGACAGCCAATCACTGCTGCTCATTGTTCACATTATCCTTTCCTATTTCTAATGGCCCGCCTATCTGTCCGTCCACCAATTTACATGAAGAGAAAATATTCTTCTTAGAGAACTAATGAATCAATAGTTCAAACATTAGGTGAATTTTAAAAACATTTTCCAGACACACAATATAATTTTTTTTTGCAATAGGTAGCTTAAATCTTACTGAGGCTAATTAAAGTGGCCCCCAAATGGTTATTTCTATAATATGTTCATGAAAATATCCCTTCAAAAATTCAGTTTATTATGTATATGTTGGCATATACATTAGTATATAAGTATATATTAGTATATAAGTAGTAGGGAAGTAGACGAAGCTAGATTATTGTGGGAAGCAGGAAAAAAAGATTAGCTTAGACTTGCCATAATTATAGCCTATATGTGATGAAATGTGGTAATTTGACAGTAGTTGATTTAATGGTATAATCCTTTTTTGCATTAGTAAGTACATATACATACATACATTTATCTTCACGCCTGAAGTCAGTCTTAGGCAGGCATGAGAAACCATGGCAAGCAACCCAGAAAGGGAATGCAGAAGGAGACTTTCATTAGTAGTTACTAGAGAGAGTGTGTTATCTCCAATTTGCTTGACGATCACCTCTGATCTTTTCATACTCAGGCTCCTGCTAAACTAGAATTATTTCTATTCCTTCCCTTTCCTAGTCTTTCTGAGGTCTTAGAAACTTAAAATCAGGCCAGGTGTGGTGGCTCACACCTGTAATCCCAACACTTTGGGAGGCCAAGGCAGGCGGATTACAAGGTCAGGAGTTCGAGACCAGCCTGGCCAACGTGGTGAAACCCCGTCTCTACTAAAAATACAAAAATTAGCTGGGCATGGTGGCGCAGGCCTGTAATCCCAGCTACTTGGGAGGCTGAGGCAGGAGAATCGCTTGAACGCAGGAGGCGAAGTTTGCAGTGAGCCGAGATCAGGCCACTGCATTCCAGCTTGGGCAACAGAGCAAGACTCTGTCTCGGAAAAAAAAAAAAAAATAGCCAGGTGGGGTGCCATGCGCCTGTAATCCCAGCTACTTGGGAGGCTGAGGCAGGAGAACCCCTTGAACCTGTGAGGCAGAGGTTACAGTGAGCCGAGATCATGCCACTGCACTCTAGGTGGGCCACAGTGTGACACTCTGACTCAAAATAATAATAATAATAATAAAATAAATAAATAAACTTAAAATTAGAGTGAAACTAGAGATAACCCTTAAAAAATATTCCAGCTGAGGGACTTACTCTTTGTTTTTTTCTTTTTAGATGGAGTCTCGCTCTGTTGCCAGGCTGGAGTGCAGTGGTGCACTCTCGCCTCACTGCATCCTCCACCTCCCGGGTTCAAGCAATTCTCCTGCCTCAGTGTCCCAAGTAGCTGGGACTACAGGCACCACCATGCCCAGCTAATTTTTGTAGTTTTAGCAGAGACAGGGTTTCACCACGTTGTCCAGGATGGTCTCAATCTCTTGACCTTGTGATCCATGAGCCTCCCAAAGTGCTGGGATTGCAGGTATCAGCCACTGCGCCCGGCCCAGCTGGGGGACTTATTCTTAAAAGGAGCTTGTGCAAAATGTTAATACTCACCATAACGGGAATGATAGCAATTTTCTGTGAAATGAGATGTGAAGAGAACCATCATTTATTGAGGATCTGCTATATGCCACATGATTTGTATATTAACTTCAGTGAATATTCACAATAAGCCTGTGATATATTAAAATTATTTGGTGATAGATCTGGCTGGAAAATGCAGAAAATCTGACTGCAGTGGATTAAAATTTATGGGAGTAGTCCACTAGGTGGTGCTGATATTGATGCAGCTTCTCAGTGACGACATTGAAAAACTAATCTCTGTCTGCATTACTATCCTTAGCAAGTTAACATTTAGCTTTGTTCATGTCTCATAATTGCAAGATGGCTACAGTAGCTCCAGATATCACATCCACATTAGAGGCAGAATTGAGAGAGGCCAGGCACGGTGGCCCATGCTTGTAATACCAGCACTTTGGGAGGCTTAGATGGGTGGATCACATGAGGCCAGGAGTTTGAGACCAGCCTGGCCAACATGGCAAAACTGTCTCTACTAAAAATACAAAAATTAGCCAGGTGTGGCTGGGTGCGGTGGCTCACGCCTGTAATCCCAGCATTTTGGGAGGCCGAGGCGGGCGGATCATGAGTTTAGGTGATCAAGACCATCCTGGCCAACATGGTGAAACCTCGTCTCCACTAAAAATACAAAAATTAGCTAGGCGTGGTGGTGGGCGCCTGTAATCCCAGCTACTCGAGAGGCTGAGGCAAGAGAATGACTTGAACCCAGGAGGCGGAGGTTGCAGTGAGCCAAGATCGCGCCAGTGCACTCCAGCCTGGTGACAGAGCAAGGCCCTGTCTCAGGAAAAAAAAAAAAAAAAAATTAGCCAGGTGTGCCAGGCGCGGTGGCTCACGCCTGTAATCCCATAACTTTGGGAGGCCCACCTCCCAAAGACCATGCTGGCTCACATGGTGAAACCCCGTCTCTACTAAAAATACAAAAAAATTAGCCAGGCGAGGTGGTGGGCGCCTGTAGTCCCAGCTACTCTGGAGGCTGAGGCAGGAGAATGGCATGAACCCGGGAGGCGGAGCTTGCAGTGAGCCGAGATTACACCACTGCACTCCAGCTTGGTCGACAGAGCGAGACTCCGTCTCAAAAAAAAAAAAAAAATTAGAGAGGTGTGGCTGGGTTCAGTGGCTCATGCCTGTAATCCCAGCACTTTGGGAGGCCGAGATGGGTGGATCACGAGGTCAGGAGTTCGAGACCAGCCTGGCCAACATAGTGAAATCCTGTCTCTACTATAAATACCAAAATTAGCTGGGCGTGGTGGCGGGCGCCTGTAGTCCCAGCTACTCAGGAGGCTGAGGCAGGAGAATCGCTTGAACCTGGGAGGCGAAAGTTGAAGTGAGCGGAGACCATGCTACTGCATTCCCGCCTGGCCAACAGAGCGAGACTGTGTCTCGAAAAAAAAAAAAAAAATTACCTAGGGGTGATGGTGTACATTTGTAATCCCAGCTACTTGGGAGGCTGAGGCACGAGAATTGCCTGAGGCACGAGAATTGCCTGAGGCACAAGAATTGCTTGTACCCAGGAGGCGGAGGTTGCAGTGAGCTGAGATCGCACCACTGCACTCCAGCCTAGGCGACACAGTAAGGCTGTCTAAAAAAAAAAAAAAAAAAAAAAGGGTAGAATTGAGGGAAAAGGATAAGGCCACACATAGCCTTCCTTTGGTTAGCAAAGAAAAATTTTCCCAGAAACCCCATCATCAGACTTCTACTTAGGTATTATTGACAACAAATGTTTCACATAGATACCCTTAGTTACAAAGGAGTCAGAGAAAGTAAGGGATAGGATTGTCAGGGTTGTGTTAGATTAGGGGTGGGCAAACAATAACCAAGTCTGGACCACTGCCTGTTTTTGTAAATAAAGTTTTCTTGCACCATATCTATACCCATGCATTTACATATTGTCTATGGTTGTATTCACACTACAATGGCAGAGTTGTGACAGAAACTGAATGGCCTGCGAAGTTTAAAATAGTTACTATTTGGCCCTTTTCAGGAAAATTTGCTGACCCCTGCCTTAAACCACTTGTGAGCCATCATCTAGGCTAGGCACTTCCCTCCCCCAAACAAAACTGGGAGAGCTTCTGATAAGAAGGGGACATTGTCACTGAGTAGGTCACTGACATTATCTGCCACATATAGCTGTTGTTACCTGTTTCAGATGAGGAGGATCAGAAAAGTTAAGTAACTTGCCCAAGGACACAAGTTGAATGAGGGCAGTCCTAATTTCAAGTTTTGATTCAAAGCTGACTTCATGTCCTTTTAACCATATCATAGTTTTGTGAGTTTTCTCATCTGTGAAGGAGCCGTAAGACAGCCACCTTTTATTCAATGCAGCCCTTAAATGAGTTGTACAAAAGGACAGAAAGCTAATGAATCTATCTAAATAGGTTCACAGTACAATTATTTATTTTTAAACTGCATTTCAGTGTTTGCTTTGTGGAGTCAAACTCTGTAAAATATTTGAAGAGATTTATTTTGAGCCAAATATGAGTGATGATGGCCCATGACACAGGCCTCAGGAGGTCCTGAAAACATGTGCCCAAGGTTGTTGGGGGGAGCAGCTTGGTTTTACACATTTTAGGGAGGCATGAGACATCAATCAAATACATTTAAGAAATACATTGATTTGGTTCAGAAAGGTGAGACAACTCAAAGCACGTTGGGTGGGGGGTGGGGGTGGGAATGGAGGTGGGGGGACTTCCAGGCTATAGGTAAATTTAAACATTTCTGGTTGACAATTGGTTGAGTTTACCTAAAGACCTGGGATCGTAGAAAGAAAATGTTCAGGTTAAAAATAAAAGATTGTGGAGACCAAGGTTCTTTTAAGTCTTATAGTGGCTGCCCTGAGAGACAATAGACAAATGTTTCCTATTCAGATCTTCAAAAGGTGCTAGACTTTTAGTTAATCTCTAGGATTGGGAGAACCTGGAAGAAAATGATCTAGCTATGTTAACAGAGATTCTCTACAGATGCAAATTTTCCCCACAGAGGACAGCTTTGCAGGAACAATTCAAGATATGGCAAAGAAACATGTTCTGGGGTAAAATATATTTATTTTCCTCCTTGTCTCATAATGTTATGCCAGATTCAGGTTGGAAAGCAAGTCACGCTATATAGGGTTAAATAAAACCCATCTGATGAGAATTTATGATTTCTAGGGCATGACTCCCCAGACTCCTTAGATAGGAATTGGGGCAAGATTAAAAAATCAAAGTTTAGTCCTCAGTTTCCCATTTGGTTCTCTTTCCCTTACATATAAACGCAGGCTATAATAACCTGAGCTACTTTAGAAAAGTTTATTTTTATTTATTTATTTATTTATTTATTTTTGAGACGGAGTCTTGCTCTTTCACCCAGGCTGGAGTGCAATGGTATGATCTCCGCTCACTGCAATCTCCGCCTCCCGGGTTCAAGCTACTCTGCTGCCTCAGCCTCCCGAGTAACTGGGCCTACAGGCACATGCTACCATGGCTGGCTAAGTTTTTGTATTTTTAGTAGAGACAGGGTGTCACCATGTTGGCAAGGCTGGTCTCCAACTCCTGACCTTGTGATCCACCCACCTCGGCCTCCCAAAGTGCTGGGATTACAGGTGTGAGCCACCATGCCCCGCCTAGAATAGGCTTTTTACAAATTATTTTTTGGGGCCGGGCATAGTGGCTCACGCCTGTAATTCCAGCACTTTGGGAGGCCGAAGTGGGTGGATCACATGAGGCTGTGAGTTCAAGACCAGCCTGACCATAATGGAGAAACCCCATCTCTACTAAAAAAATACAAAATTAGCCGGGCGTGGTGGCTCATGCCTGTAATCCCAGCTACTTAGGAGGCTGAGGCAGGAGAATTGCTTGAACCTGGGAGGTGGAGGTTGTAGTGAGCTGGGATTGCTCCATTGCACTCCAGCCTGGGCAACAAGAGCGAAACTCCGTCTCAAAAAAAAAAAAATTATTTTTCTCCCCAGCACTTCGCATATACCTAACACACAATAAGGACTCAAGAAAAGTTTGTTATACTCCATACTCCACTATTGTCTCATGTAAAGTAAATATATAACATTCATAATTTCATGTGTTATCTTCCCAATGAGGCTGTGAATTACATCTATGGATACCCACTCTGCACTTAACATATGCAAAATGAATAAGTGACAACCCCAACCCTCACCATTGGCTCCTTAGAACTGAAAATAATGGCAGTTGCAGTGTTTAAGGGCAACATGAATGGGCCACCTTTGGCCCGCCTGGTCAGTCTCATCTGTGTGTGATGGCAGCAGCATTTCTATGGAGCTCAGGCCTCAACATTGGGCTGTCTCTGTCCCTTTATTTACTCTGCAACCTTGAAACAGCAGCACAGGTGGTAAGAGAGCTAAGAACAGCATGATCAAGACAAAGGAAAAG
The DNA here is from genome assembly GCF_000001405.40 of Homo sapiens. Taxonomy (NCBI): domain Eukaryota; kingdom Metazoa; phylum Chordata; class Mammalia; order Primates; family Hominidae; genus Homo; species Homo sapiens. The sequence continues at coordinate 86,999,694 of NC_000011.10, forward strand.
GGCAAAATTTTGAGAGGAAGAAGAGGAAAGCTTTAGAATATTCATTTTTTTCTTTTTCCTCTCTCCATTCTCCATAACTCAATCAAGGGGATCTGGAAGAAACCACTTCCTGTCTTCCTGCCTTCCATTTCAAGTTTCTGAAGCTTCTTCAAATTTGTTCTCTCTCTCTCTCTCGCCTGCAGGTCATAGCCGTGCCTGGGAGAACCTTCTCTTCAACTCTGCCGCACCACTGTCAAGCTCACCTTTCTTCTAAGGTTTTATTTTAGAGTTAACATCCTCCAAAAAGCCTTCCTCAGGAGTTGAAGGTGCCCCTAATATCACAGCCATGGCATCCTGTACACTGGACCTTATTGTCTGTCTGCCTGTTGTACCTTGTATGAGTCTATAAGCAAAACCTATAAGAAGCCACATCTGGCTATTCTATGTACTCAAAAAATAATTGGCAAGTGAAAGAATGAGGAAAAGGAGAAAAAATTCAGAAGGCCCCTACCCCTTCCAATGGGTCAAGTCAGGAATTTCCTACCTGCATGTGATTCCCTGTGTCCTAGAGGGTTTTATTTACTCCTCAGACCTTGGAAACTGTTAACCAGAGTCTCTGTTTGGAGATCTTATCTGTGTGCTTCTCCATGGGTGTTGTTTCCCTGTCTCTGCAGCCATGCATTCCTCAGCTCTTTAAGTGGTGGAGCCTGTCTGCCTGGATAGAGTGCAAAAGCTACAGTGTAATCTTGCTTTCTTTCAGGGCCACTGACCAGAGGAAATAAAAACTGGACTGATTGGGCTCTCCTGATGTAGACCAGCCAGTGGCCCTCTAAGTTTCCTTCTATGTTTAAAATTCCTTATCTGACATTGCTAGCTGATCAGCAGGCCCACAGGTCAGCTGAGGGCTTATCTCCAGGGCTGGAGCTTCAAAGAGATACATGCACACGACTCCCCTGGGTCAGATGGGCTGTGTCACAGTGAGTTGGGGATAATTTGGGATCAGTCAACATAACACACATAACACAACCCATTAATTTTTTTTTTCAAAAAGCGAAGTTTATTTTACTTTTTCCCATTATGAAAGTCATCAATGCTCATTATAGAAAATTTGGCAAATAACAAAAAGTGGAAAGAAAAAAATTCCTTAATAATTTAGTATATTTGATATATTCATCCTTAATCCTTAATCTTTTACTATGTTATATCTTTAATAGTTGTGATGATATACTTTTTGTAATAAATATATATTTGTGTTGTGGCTTTTTTAAAATTTAAAAACATAACAAATATTTCCCCAAATTTCTATATTGTTTGGGTAAACAATTTTAATAGCTGCATAATTGTTTATATATAGCATAGTTTATTTAACTGTTTACTCGCTGTTAAGTATTTAGGTAGTTTTCAATATTTTTCTTTCTTTTTTTTTTTTTTTTGTGATGGAGTCTTGCTCTGTTGCCCAGGCTGGAGTGCAGTGGCACAGTCTGAGCTCACTGCAACCTCTGCCTCCCCAGGTTTAAGCAATTCTGCCTCAGCCTCCCGAGTAGGTGGAATTACACGTGCCTGCCACCATGCCTGGCTAATTTTTTGTATTTTTAGTAGAGATAGGGTTTCACCATGTTGGCCAGACTGGTATCGAACTCCTGACCTCAGGTAATCCACCCACCTTGGCCTCCCAAAGTGCTGGGATTACAGGCATGAGCCACTGCAACTGGCCAGCCCCATCTTCTTTTGTGCTGGCCTTACAAAGCTTTATAGCATGGTAAGAGGCAGTGGTATAGTGGTTAAGAGAAAGAAATATAGCATCAGACACACTTAAGTTTGTGTGCGTCTCAGCTTTGCTATTTGTCTGACCTTGGTGAACTTACTTCCCTGAGATTCACTTTTCGTATTTCTAAAATAAAATAGGAGTAGCAATAACAGTACCCGCAACAATCCAAATATCCATTACCTGATGAATGGACAAACAAAATATGATACATTCATACAATGGCATATTACTCAATTATTAAAAGGAAGTATGATAGGCCGGGCGCGGTGGCTCACACCTGTAATCCCAGCACTTTGGGAGGCCGAAGCAGGTGGATCACCTGAGGTTGGGAGTTCGAGACCAGCCTGACCAACATGGAGAAACCCTGTCTCTACTAAAAATACAAAATTAGCTGGGCGTGGTGGTGCGTGTCCGTAATCCTAGCAACTCGGGAGGCTGAGGCAGAATTGCTTGAATCCGGGAGGCAGAGGTTGCGGTGAGCTGAGATCGTGCCATTGCACTCCAGCCTGGTCAACAAGAGCAAAACTGTCTAAAAAAAAAAAAAAGGAAGTATGATATATACCACAATAGAGATAAACCTTGAAAACATTATGCTAAGTGAAAGAAGCCAGGCACCAAAGATCATATATTTTATTCCATTTAGATGAAATGTACAGAATAGGCAAATCTATAGAGACAGAAAGGAGATTAGTGGTTGCTTAGAGTTTGGGAAGATGGGGAAAGTGAGGGATGATAACTAAAGAATATGAAGTTTCTAGTTAAGACTTGCATGGTTTACACTGATTGATGGTGCTAAAGTTGTGTGCCTGCATCTTTGTTGCAAGGGAGACTGGGAATTTGAGTTCAATTTTTCTAAATTGAGAAATTTGCCACTTAAATATGAAAATTTTAGGCCAGGCACAGTGGCTCATGCCTGTAATCCCAGCACTTTGGGAGGCCGAGGCAGGTGGATCACGAGTTCAGGAGTTCAAGACCAGCCTGGCCAAGATGGCGAAACCCCGTCTCTACTAAAAATACAAAAAATTAGCCGGGCGCGGTGGCAGGCGCCTGTAATCCCAGCTACTCGGGAGGCTGAGGCAGGAGAATCGCTTGAACCCGGAGGGGCGGAGGTTGCAGTGAGCCGAGATTGCGCCACTGTACTCCAGCCTGGGCAATAGAGTGAGTGAGACTCCATCTCAAAAAAAAGAAAAGAAAAAAAGAAAAAAGAAAATTTCTCCTAACATAGAAACGTTAATCAAAAGACAATGGGCAGTCGTGACTATAGTCAGATGCCTACAACAAGGACAAAGCATAGACTCCTAGAAAACCCAGCATCATAGGGGCCAACAGGGGAAGAGGATCCAGAGAAGAGTACAGAGAAGGCAAGGTAGCAGTATAGATGGAAAGAAAATCCAAAAAGAAAAAAAAATCAGAAAGAGGATTAAATAATTTTAAGGAGGGAGTTATCAAGAGTGTTAGTATTATACATAGGTCAATCAAATAAAGGCTGAGAATTATCCATTGGTGTTAGCCATTAGGAGGTCATTCATATCTTTAGTATGACTAATTTCAGTGGGCTAAAATGGAAATGGGAGATGATGACATGAAAACATACGGTATCTGAAGACCTGGGGATCTAATCTCAACATGTAGGTGTTGTAATAAACATCATCATTTTCAATCCTTGTAAAGCCTTATGAGGAAGGGACTATTATTACCCCCATTTTACAGATGACCTAACAGACTTTGAGATGAAAGGTCACATAGGGGCAACTCTGGGTTTCACAACCAGACTTGTCTGACATCAGAGTTAGAAAGAACTCAACCACTAGATCACACTGCCAATGCTTTATAATAGCTGTGGGTTTTAGGACAATCCCCAGAATTAGAGATTCTCAGAATGGGAAGGGATTTGAACTGGGTTCCTTTTGGTTCTGATTCAGTGGTTTTCTTAGATCTGCAAAGCCAGAATATGTCTCTACCCTTGTCTGCTCATTATATTATGTTTATTCCTCTTTTATATTTGGTTTTGAATCCATTTCTTCCTCTCTGATTTCTTTTTATTTTTCTTTTTTAATAGAGGTAGGGTCTCACTATGTTGCCTAGGCTGGTCTTGAACTCCTGGGCTCAAGCGATCCTTCCACCTTGGCCTTTCAAAGTACTGAGATTACAGGTGTGATCCACTGTGCGCAGCCTTTTTTCTTTTTTCTCTGAGGAATCACCAATTATCTCAACCTTGGTCCATTTGCTTTTATAAATGCTAACCTCAGCTCTGTCTCCAGGGTTGGTCAAGTCACTCAGACTTGTCCAGTTAGAACATGACATTCCTTTGGCCACTGTGATAAGTTCAGTGTATCAATCAAATTCAGGCCACTGTAAGTCCTATCCAAGACTTACATCATACTATTGGGGAAGAGAAGTTCTATTTTCTGTCATAATTAAATCAGGGAATACATAGAGCTAGAGCTGTAGGAACCACCACATAGAGTGAGGGCTACACTTTGGAGAGCAGATGCAGAAGGTGAAGAGATTTGGGGTCCCAATGACATTACTTGAGCCTTTTGATCAACCCCCATTTGAAGCCAGACTTCTCTCTTCCTCCCTTCCTCCCTCCCTCCCTCTCTCCCTCCCTCCCTTCCTTCCTTCCTTCCTTCCTCTTTCTTTCTTTTTCTTTCTTTCTTTCTTTTTTTGAGACGGAATTTTGTTCTTGTTGTCCAGGCTGGCGCGCAATGGTGCAATCTCAGCTCACCGCAACCTCTGCCTTCCGGGTTCAAGAGATTCTCCTCCCTCAGTCTCCCGAGTAGCTGGTATTACAGGCATGCGCCACCACGTCCAGCTAATTTTTTTATATTTTTAGTAGAGACAGGATTTCTCTATGTTGGTCAGGCTGGTCTCAAACTCCCGACCTCAGATGATCCGCCTGCCTTGGCCTGCCAAAGTGCTGGGATTACAGGTGTGAGTCACAGCACCTGGCCGAAGCCAGACTTTTCATAATATAAGTGAATAATTTTTTTTTAAAGGCAGGTTCTTGCTTTGTTGCCCAGGCTGGAGTGCAGTGGTACGATCATGGCTCACTGCTGCCTCAACTTCCTGGCCTCAAGCAATCCTTCCACATCAGCCTCCCAGGTAGCTAGAACTACAGGCACATGGCACCATGCCCAGATTTTTTTTTTTTTTTTTTTTTTGGTAGAGGTAGGGTCTCATTATGTTTCCCAGGCTGGTCTCAAACTCCTGGCCTCAAGTAGTCCTCCTGCCTCAGCCTCCCAACGTGCTAGGATTACAGGTATAAGTCACCATGCCCAGCCATGAATAATTTTTTTGTTTGTTTAAGTCAGTTTGAATGGAGTTTTCTCTCACTTCATACCAAGAAAGACTTAATGCACGGCTTATTACTACCTACATGGTGTTTTCTCCCCCAGACGAATCTTAACTCCAATCCTGCCATATTTCTCTTTATGCTCTATTCTCATCAATGCCTAGGATGGTGTCTTGTACATAACATGTGCTCAGTAAATGTCTGATGGAGTTAATAGATTGAATGTGGGTTGATTCTGCAACATTCCCTAAAAGTTGCTTTAGAAAAGCCTTCTGTTGGCCGGGCGCGGTGGCTCACGCCTGTAATCCCAGCACTTCGGGAGGCCGAGGCAGGTGGATCACAAGGTCAGGAGATCGAGACCATCCTAGCTAACACGGTGAAACCCCGCCTCTACTAAAAATACAAAAAAATTAGCTGGGCATGGTGGCAGGCGCCTGTAGTCCCAGCTACTCCGGAGTCTGAGGCAAGAGAATGGCGTGAACCTGGGAGGCGGAGCTTGCAGTGAGCCGAGATAGCACCACTGCACTCCAGCCTGGTTGAGAGTGCGAGACTCCGTCTAAAAAAAAAAAAAAAAGCCTTCTGTCTGTAAGTTTTCTGACTGCTGCTTTTGTCTCTTAATCACAAAAGTAATCTGTAGAAGAACTTCCAAATATTTGATCTTTCTGTTTGTTTGAATCCGCATTGAACGGAACTTAGTGTAAATATGTACTTGGAATACTCACTACGTGCTCCAACAAAACAGATTGGAAGATGCAGAGTGGATTGCTCTATCAGTGGCTCAATCAAATGAAATGTTTACTTTCTGCCCTTTGAAAAAAAAACCTGTTTTTTTTCTCTGGAGCATGATTCCTTTCACACAAAGCTACTGACATCCTCTCAAATTAAAAAGGGGTAGAGAAATACGACATTTTTCTGTTTATTACTGTGAAAACGTGGCCTCAATTCTGTACCAGAATGGCCATGAGCTCTTGCTGCCATGCCCCGTTTAGGAACACTGCTCTTTGGGCTGAGCTCATTAAACCTGAAAGACTCAGACAGACAGAAATACTTTTAGAACACACTGAAGAACAGTGTGAAATGATGTGTCATAGCTGTGAATGGCTGGAAAAATCCTGATTTGCTAGCATTAATAACTGCTGAAAACAAAAAGAAATAAGGAAACAAAAAACAACTGCTGAGATGGCTGTGTCACATTGAAATAGGCAAGGAGAATCTTCTACCATATCTTGATGACAAAAAAACAGTGGAGGAAATGCAGTGAGTCGATTATATTAATATTTCACTTCATCATAACTATAATGACAGCTGACCCTTACTGAGTACTTATTATATACTCAGTACACTCAGGCACTGTTCCAATCATTTTACACATATCAATAATGAGTAGCGACTGTTATTATCCCCATTTTACAGATATGAAACTGAGGTATGACGTAATTACTTAACTTGCTTGAGGTCACACAGGTTGTAATGGAAGAGCGAGGATTTATACCAGATAGTCTTGATCTAAAGCTTCTGTTCTTAACCATGGTGCTTTACTGCTTCTCACAGTATTTGCACAGATAACTTAATAAGCTTGTAGGAATGTAGGAATACAACCTTTGGGAAAGTCATCTTGCAACACCTGTTAAAATTTAAATTACACGTACCTTTATTTTTATGTATTTATTTGTTTATTTTGAGACAGTCTCACTCTCACCGAGGGTGGAGTGCAGTGGTGTGATCTTGGCTCACTGCAACCTCCGCCTCCCGGGTTCAAGCAATTCTCCTCCCTCAGCTTCCCGAGAAGCTGGGATTACAGGCGTGCACCACCAGGCCTGGCTAATTTTTTTTTTTTTTTTTGACATGGAGTCTCGCTCTGTCACCCAGGCTGGAGTGCAGTGACACGACCTTGGCTCACTGCACCCTCTGCCTCCCGGGTTCAAGCAATTCTCCTGCCTCACCCTCCTGAGTAACTGGAACACAGGTGTGTGCCACCACGCCTGGCTAATTTTTGTATTTTTAGTAGAGACGGGGTTTCAGCATGTTGGTTGGCCAGGATGGTCTCGATCTCTTGACCTCATGATCTGCCCACCTCAGCCTCCCAAAGTGTTGGGATTACAGGTGTGAGCCACCGTGCCCGGCGGATTAATCTTTGTATTTTTAGTAGAGACGGGGTTTCACCATGTTAGCTATGCTGGTCTCAAACTCCTGACCTCAGGTGATTCACTCACCTTGGCCTCCCAAAGTGCTGGGATTACAGGCGTAAGCCACCATGCTCGGCTACACTTACCTTTAACCCAACAAACCAAGAACATATTCTACAGAAGTAATAGATACATACTTCTATAAAGGATGTACATACAAGAATGTTTATTGTGATATTGTTGATGGTAACTGGAAAATCCTGATGTCCATCAATAAAGGTTGAATTAGCAGCAAAACAATTATATTTGGCAGGTTTATTTTCAGTGAATTGGATCTAGATCTATTGACCTGGAAATATATCCATGGTGTACCATCAAATGAGGAAAGTAAATAGGAAGTTTATGGAATGTGATTCACTTTTATCAAACAATAAACAAATTATACATATATACATTTGTATGTGGTTTCATGAGAATTGAGTGGAATTAGGATACATTGGGCAGAGAGTATTTGGAGGTGGTTAGGGGAAAGAAGTGGGCACAAAAAAGGTAAGAAAGACTAAAACAACACAGAACAATAGACATGGAATAATGTCAAATGAAAATGTCAAATATAAAATTCTACAGTGTTATTGCAAATATGTAGTAATTGAGTGTGCATTTAAGAAAAGCTAGACAATAGCAAGAACAAATGTTAAACATTAATTTGATTAAAAGGTTATTTTGTGAGAAAACTTTTTCTTGGATTTTGCTTATTTTTTAACATATGAACCATTAGTAGGGGGAAAAAGATTACAAATCATTTTAGGAGATGACTAAGTCTGGAACTCACAGGTGAAATTAAGGTGAAATTTTAAGGGCTGGGCACAGTGGCTCACATCTGCAATCCCAGTGCTTTGGGAGGTGAGAAGATCACTTGAGGCCAGGAGTTTGAGGCTAGCCAGAGTAACATAATGAGACCCCCATCTCTACCAAAAAAAAAAAAAAAAATTAGCTGGGAATGGTGATGTGTACCTGTAGTCCTATTTATATGGGAGACTGAGGTGGCAGGTGGGTAGGGGGGAATAAGTGGGCACAAAAAAGGTAAGAAAGGGTAAGTGAGCCTAGGAGTTTGAGGTTACAGTGAGCTATCATTATGCCACTGCACTCCAGCCTGTGAGACAGAGCAAGAATCTATCTCTAAAAAGAAAAAAAAATGAAATTAAGTACTGTGGTCAATTTATTGCAATGTGAACATGGGCTCTGTGAAGTGTTATGGAGGTAGCTTTGCCAAACCTCATGGCTAAGAGCCCAGGAGGAAAAAGTCAAAGCAGCACTGAGATGATATGAGACCGATTTCCACATTCCTGATCTGTGACTTGTTTGGCCCCAAATCACAGCTGCCTTGAACCTATATATTTATTTGGGTGCCCACTAGCAATTTGAGAGCTTTGGAAACTACTTATCCCCATTACAAAATATTGGGCATCCACCATCCAGCTGTTCAACTAGCAACAGTTGTGTGCCTACCATGTGCCAAGCCATATACCAGGGGGTCCTTCTATGGTAAGGCTGCTTCTATCACAGAAGATAAATATATTCTCCTCTTCCTCCCATAAACTTTATCTATGCATAAGCATGCTCACTTACCCTGCTCACTATGCAAAACAGAAAGGAAACGGATTTTTTTTTTTTTAACTTTTAAGTTCAGGGGTATGTGTGCAGGTTTGTTATATAGGTAAATTTTGTCATGGGGGTTTGTTGTACACATTATTTCCTCACCTAGGTATTAAGCCTAGTACCCATTAGTTATTTTTCCCAATCCTCTCCTTCCCACCCTCCAGCCTCCAATAGTCCCCAGTGTGTGCTCCCCTCTGTGTGTCCATTTGTTCTCATCATTTAGCGCCCATTTGTAAGTAAGAACATGTGGTATTTGGTTTTCTGTTCCTGTGTTAGTTTGCAAAGGATAATGGCCTCCAGCTCCATCCATGCCCCTGATCTTACTCTTTTTTAATGGCTGCATAGTATTCCATGGTGTATATGTACCACATAATGAAAATATGTAGCCAGGTGGAGTGGCTCATGCATGTAATCCCAGCACGTTGGGAGGCCAAGGCGGGTGGATCACCTGAGGTCAGAAGTTCGAGACCAGCCTGGCCAACGTGGTGAAACCCCATCTCTACTAAAAATACAAAAAATTAGCCAGGCGTGGTGTTGGGCACCTATAGTCCCAGCTACTTGGGAGGCTGAGGCAGGATAATCGCTTGAACCTTGGAGGCGGAGGTTGCAGTGAGCTGAGATTGCGCCACTGCACTTCAGCTTGGGCAACAGAGCAAAACTCCATCTCAAAAAAAAAAATTTTTTTTGAAAATTTAAAAGTAAATTATTCTTATTATTTTTTTTTTCTAGCAGCCCCACTCTGGTTCTGTCCAGTTTTGAGGGTGAGGTCTGTAAAGGATTTTAGCCGATGAGTGATATTGTATTTTATAAATAGAAAATGACAGTTATGTAGAATGCTACTGCAGTATTTGGGCAAGAGAAAATGATGGCCTAAATCAAGGTTCTGGCAGTGAGGATGTAGAAGAAAAGATAGATTTGAGAGGTGTTTAGGAGCAGAATAAATAGAATGAGTGCCTATTGATGGGAGAGGGGTGCGGAGGGGTGTGGTGAGAGAGAGGGAGAAGTTATAGATAACATCAGTTTACTTGAATGAATGTGGAAGTATTAATGCCACTAACAGAAAAATGACTACAGAATAAGGAGCTGGTTTGGAGTAAGAGAGGATACATTTTACTTTATATACCCCAGTTTTGAGGTTCCCGAGAGAAATCCAGGTGGAGATGTCAAGTAAGATGTCAAAAATACAGGTCTGAAGATTAACATAGAAGTACAAATATATATTTAAAAGTAGTTGGAGTATGAATAATAACTGAAGTCAAGGTAGCAGTGTGCCAGGTGAAAAGGAAAGACAGGTGAATAATTAAATCTTGGAGTAATAATACGTAAGGTCTGGCTAACAGAAGAAGAAGCCAAGTAAGAAAATTGAGAAGAGACATTGTGATTCATTGGGAAAATCAGGAGAATGGATTGTCATGGAAACAGAGAATTCCAAAAAGAAGAGAGTGTTTGGGGATATCAGATACCCGAAAGAAAGCAGTGGAAACAAAAGTATTCATTGGCCTTGGCAATAAGAAAGTCATTGAAGACCTTTAAAAGAACATCAGAGTACACAAGCAACAAAAGCAAAAATAAATAAGTGGGACTATATCAAACTAAAAATCTGCACAAGCAAAGGAAACAATCAGCAGAATGAAAAGGCAACCTATGGAATGGGAGAAAACATTTGTAAACCATATATCTGATAAGGGGTTAATACACAAAATATATAAAGAATTCATAAAACTCAGTAGCAAAAACCAATGATCCAATTAAAAAATGGACAAAGGGCCTCAGTAGGCACTTGCCCAAAGCAGACATACAAATGACCCACAGGTACATGAAAAGGTGCTCAACATCACTAACCATCAGGGAATTGCAAATCAAAACCACAATGAGATATAATCTCACACCAGTTAGAATGGCTATCATCAAAAAGATAAAATATATCGAATGTTGGTAAGGATGTGGAGAAAAGGGAATCCTTCTCCACTCTTGATGGGAATGTAAATTGGTACAGCCATTATGGAAAACAGTATGGAGGTTTCTCAGAAAATTAAAAATGAAACTACCATATGACCCAACAATCTCACTCCTGGGTATATATTCAAAGGAAATGAAATCAATATCTCGAAGAGAATCTGCACGCCCATCTTCACTCTAGCATTATTTATAGTAGCCACAACACTAAAACAACCTAAGTGTCTATTGATAGATGAATGGGTAAAGAAATTGTGTTATGTATAGACAAACGGAATATTATTCAGCCTTAAAAAGAAAGAAATACCATAATTTGCAACATAGATGAACCTTGAAGGCATTATGCTAAGCGAAACAAACCAGACAGACAAAGCCAAATACTGTATTATCTTACTTATGTATAGAATCTAAAAAAGTTAAACCCATAGAAACAAAGAGTAGAATGGTGGTCGCCAGGGGCTGGGGGCAGGGGAAATGGGGAAATGTTGGTCAAAGGGAACAAAGTTTCAGTTATAAGATGAATAAGTTCTGGGGACCTAACGTATAGCTTGGTGACTGTAGTTACCATGCAATACTATACACTTGAAATTGTTGAGAGATCTTAAATATTCTTACCCACCCACCCCCATGAACACATACATACATGTAAGTTCACTAGTGAAGTGATAGGTGTGTTAACTAACTTGATTGTGGTAATCATTTCACAATATACATATATCAAATTATCACATTTATACTTTAAATTTATAAAATTTTGTCAATTATATCTCAAAGCTAGAAAACTTTTTTTTTAAAAAAGGAACTGTGAGGAGATGGATATATTAATTTGCTTGACTGTAGTAATCATTTCACTATGCATATGTATATCAAAGTATATTATATCCCTTAAGTATATACAAAAAAAAAAAAGAACTATTTAACATGAAAAAGACCGGGTGCGGTGGCTCATGCCTGTAATCCCAGCACTTTGGGAAGCCAAGGCGGGTGGATCACAAGGTCAGGAGATCGAGACCATCCTGGCTAACATGGTGAAACCCCGTCTCTACTAAAAATACAAAAAAATTAGCTAGGCATGGTGGTGGGCGCCTGTAGTCCCAGCTACTCGGGAGGCTGAGGCAGGAGAATGGCGTGAACCTGGGAGGTGGAGCTTGCAGTGAGCCGAGATCGCGCCACTGCATTCCAGCCTGGGGGACAGAGTGAGACTCTATCTCAAAAAAAAAAAAAAAAAAAAAAAAAAAACCATGAAAAAAACCCCATCAAAGTGTGAGGGTCATTGGTACTGGATTGTAGTATATTTAAGTATGAACACAGGGAAGCTGCAAAAGGATGCAGAGTGAGGTGGGGCATGGTGGCTCACACTTGTAATCCCAGCATTCTGAGAGGTTGAAGCAGGTGGATCACTTGAGGTCAGGAGTTCGAGACCACCCGGCCAACATGGTGAACTCCCGTCTCTACTAAAAATTACACAAATTAGCTGAGCATGGTGGCGCACACCTATAGTCCCAGTTACTCAGGAGTCTGAGGCAGGAGAATTGCTTGAACCTGGGAGGCAGAACCGAGATCATGTCACTGCACTCCAGCCTGGGTAACAGAGTGAGGCTCCGTCTCAAAAAAAAAAATAATAATAATAAAAGGATGCAGAGTGGAGTTTGGTGATGAAGGAAATAATAGTGACAGCTAACATTTGTTAAGTGCTTACTTTGTGTCAGGTTTAGTGTCTGACACATAACATCTAATTTTATGAACCATGTACAATTGTTGTCCCCTTTTATACACCAGAAACACGCTTGGAACTTAAGTGAGTTGCTAAAGATCACAGAACAAATAGGTTGCAAAACATGACTCAGACCTAGTGTTGACTGACCCAGGCCCAAGATCTTCACAGCCACATTGAGGCCAGAGAAGGTAGGGCTGAGAATATTCTTGTTTATATGGTTAAAAGATTATAAAAGGAAAGCTTCTTAATGTAATGATAGATTTAGTTTTTTAATAATAAAAATCACACACACAAAATCACATGGGACTATTTTCCTCAAATTGCCACTCTGTCTCATGTCTGGAATCAAATAATAATGAATGACTCCAATTCTTTCAATATTAAAACTTTTCACTCAACCAGCTAGCCGGTCAGTCATTAACACTTGCTGAGCATACACAGTACAGGATGGTATATTTGAAGTGAAATTAAAACATCAGTCTCAACTTCCTGGACCCTCGAGGAAAAGCAGCTGGTGAAATAGAGAGGAAAAGAGACTTCTAGATCTACCTTGGTGTTTCTGACTGGTGCTGGGGAGAGCCCAGAAAGATTTTAAGGTTACAGTGGCCCTTCAGTGATTCAGGTCCATCCTTGTTTCCCAATGGCATCTAGCCTCAGTCAGAAAGCTTTGCTGAGCCCAGTGCTCTGCAGACAGCCCTTCCCTTATGGCAAGTGCCTCTCTGGGGCCCTTGTTCTTCTTTCCTGCTGATAATTCTCAGTGAGTACCATATCAATCCATTTGAGGACCAGTAACCTAGGACCTCAAAGATAAAGGGTCAAAGCCTCTTTTCCTTTTCTTTTTTCAGGGCAGCTTCCTTGCAGAACTCCAGGGGTACCATCCACATTGTGCCTCTCAGAATATGTCCATCACAATCTATTACAATATGGATGATGTCCCCTGAAGTTGTGCAGCTTAGCACTGAACAGATATTTCAAGACCAAGTCATCGTATTATTCCCTTCTTCCAAGGCAGTAGGTCTCTTGTAGTATTGTAATTCACTCAAGTGACTCTTGCAAAATAAAGATCTATTCAAATGTGATTTTCCAAAGCTGTTTTTTTAAATAAAATTCATTTTCTGCTCCTCCAAGTGCCTCATTACACAAATAATAATAGCTATCATTTATTCAGCAGACATGGTACTAATGCTTTACATGCATTATCTCATCTCTGTTGCAGAAGAATTTGAGTATAATAGTGGAGCTAAAAAAATACAGAAATTATAGTATAAAGTGGAATGTGAAAAAGATCACATGAGTGAGGTAAGTGCAAAGCACCAGGGGAACTCAGAGGAGGGGGGATTATTTCCAACCAGAGAAGCTGATACAGCCAACATTCAACAAATAATTATTGTGTGCCTGTTACATCTTTGTCTCAAGAATCTCACATTCCATTGAGAAAAGGACAAGGAAACACATCATCTCAATAGTGAGATGTCATTTGATGACTGCAATCAAGCCATCGAGGCAGGCTCTTTGGAAGAGGCAGTACATGAACTATAGGCACTGAAGGTTTGGGGGACTTCTGAATAGACCAGGATGGGGATCCCTGATATCTCAAGGATTGTACCTGGATCTCATTACACTAGCCCCATCCTCTAGAAGAGAGGGAGAGAAACAAGGAGTTGTTCTCCATTCATTTCTCCACTCATTTCTCCTCTGAGGTCCCAATTTTGAAGACTTTAATGGTAACCAGTCCTTCCCCTCTGTACAACTGGCTTTTCTCCCACTGCAGATTGCACTGCACTTTGCTTAACTCCATTCGGTTTGTGACCTCCTCTCCAATTTACCAGTTCTGATTCACATGCTCCATCTTTATCCCACAGAAAAGAAACAGCCGGCTTTTGGACTTCCAAACCTCCTGGAAAAAAGCCAAGCTCCCATAAACTCCAGAATATGATTGTGTGAATTAAAATGTTCACATGATATCAACCATGCAGTTACTCCCAAGTTTATTTTGGAAAATATTACATTTGGAAAATGGGAAGCATTCCAGAGCATTCCCTTACCTTGAAATATCAGTAGACACAAGGGTATTTTGAGATCATTTCTTTCTCAAAAGTTAGCGAAGAATCTGTACAATTAGACACATAAAATTGCCTTAAATAACATTAGTTAAGGACTCTGGGGCTTAAAAATTTCTATAGAGTATTTGTTGAGAAATTTGGGACAAAAGGCTATAATTTTAACTCAGTGAAGCAAACTTTCATAATGCCTTTGAGTTAACTCCCAGTTGGCTTTTATTGCACATTTCACTTCCAATCATTGATGATTAGACCTTGGTCAGTTGCATGTTTCCCAAAATCTTACATGCTTCAAACTCTATGCCTCTGGCTATAAGAGGCAAAAGAGTTTAGAGTCCTAGCGAGAACTGTATCCAAACCCTAACAGCCCAGGCATCCAAGGGCCCAAGGGGCCTATACGTTTCTCCCCTACTCTCCTCTTCCATCCTTTTCTTCTCAGCTTGGTTTTGGAGTGCTAAAGCCACAAGAGGAGAGGTTCTACAAGGTCAGATGTCACAGGGAGATCTTATTGATGCACCTCTTTCTCTAATGCAGCCCAATTCCCAGTGCCTGTGATGTATTTGCAGTGGCTACAGTACAAATGAGATTGGAGGGCCTTGAGAAAAGAGGCCTAGAATGATAAACAGGTTATAGTCCTTGTATATTTATTCTGGCTTTGAAATATGAAAAGGCCTGAAACTCAATATTGTCCATTATATCATTTATGAAAAAGAAAACCCAATGCGTGTGTGTGTGTGTATGTGTGTGTGTGTGTGTGTGTGTGTGTGTGTGTAAATGCATAAAGAAAATGGTTACCTTTTGGGAAAGAAAGGGTAATTAGACAAGAGTAAAGGCAGACTCTTAAGTGTATATATAGAGAGATAGATAAACACACACTTTTTTTTTTTTTTGAGACAGAGTCTTGCTCTGTCACCAGGCTAGAGTACAATGGTGCAATCACGGCTCACTGCAACCTCTGACTCCCTGGTTCAAGTGATACTCCTGCCTCAGCCTCCTGAGTAGCTGGGATTACAGGCGTGCACCACCACACCCAGCTAATTTTGTATTTTTAGTAGAGATTGCATTTCACCATGTTGGTCAGGCTGGTCTCAAACTCCTGACCTCAGATGATCTGCCCGCCTCAGCCTCCCAAAGTGCTGGGATTACAGGTGTGAGCCACCACACCTGGAGGTTAAGTTTCTTAAACCCTCCAAGTCTCAATTTTCTCATCCATAAAATGATTTGTTATAAGAATGAGGGGTAAATGCTAATAACATAGGCAAACACCTAAAACAGTGTTTAATGCAATACAATGGTAATTATTATTGGTACTTTTATCATCATTATTGGTTCTTTCTATAATTGATAATTCTTCTTACTTTTTTTTTGAGATGGAGTCTCACTCTGTCGCCCAGGCTGGAGTGCAGTGGAGCAATCTTAGCTCACTGCAACCTCTGCCTCCCAGGTTCAAGTGATTCTCTTGCCTCAGCCTCCCGAGTAGGTGGGACTACAGGCATGCAGCACTATGTCCGGCTAATTTTTTTGTAGTTTTAGCAGAGACGGAGTTTCACCGTACTAGCCGGGCTGATCTCGAATTCCTGACCTCGGATGATTCACCTGCCTCGGCCTCTCAAAGTGCTAGGATTTCAGGATTTCAGGTGTGAGCCACGGCAGCTGGCCTCTTCTTACCTTTTTCTGTTGCTGTTTGTTTCCAAAACCTCTTCGAAATGCATTATCTTCTTGTGTTATCAATTCTCCTCAGCTTCTAATCATCAATCACTTTATGGTAAAGATACAAAACATCTAAATAAAAATAATTTTTAAATTCAATTGTACTTTCCCATTTTACAAAAAAAAAAGTGTTACACAGCATGTGTGCCTTCTGTGATTTGTACTGGGATAGAACCCGGATTTTGTCTTTACCTGGAATACAAAGATGATTATTGAAATGCAGGCTCCAAGGAGCTCCTAGTCCAGTGGAAATGATAGATAGCAGATATTGCTAAGTACTTGTTCAGAGATGTCTGAAACTGCCTTTCTTTCTCATTGCTGTGTGGGAGACTGTCATACTCCCTTATTAGGTATGGCATTTAGGCAGGAAACTTCAATTGGAAGTAAAACCCCCTGATTTCTGAGAGCAGTCAGAGGGTAGCTCCTGCCTGCCTTCCCAGCTAATTGCCTTCCATTAAGATAGTGAGTGGGTACAGGACAGGGAAAGGAGACAAGTAACTAAAGATAAGCATGAGGAATTAGGAGCAGAGGATGCCAGGGAGTGAAGAAGAGGAAGCAGTGTAATTAAAAGAGGCAGTAGAGGGATGTTGGCGGGACTAAGCAAAATGACTGAGGGTCCAGGCTCTGGAATCAAAATGCTTGGGTTCATATCCAGCTCCTTTACCTATGAAGTCTTTGACCCTAGACAATCCTCTTGATCATGAGTATCTCTGTTTTCCTTATCTGTAAAACGGGGGTCATAAATTACTATCTTCATAGGGTTGTTGTGAGAATTAAATGAGATAATAGATATAGAACAGACAGAGCCTGGGATACAGTAAATGCTTAACAAATATTGACCCGCTTTATGTTAGTGGAAGATGTCTAGGGTGATGCTCATTGTTTTGGGCATAGTTAGCCAGGTAAGACAGCCCTCTAGGAGAACCTGTGTGACTCAGCCACATGGAGGACACAGACAACAAGCTGCCTGCATAGCTCTTTGCCTTCCACCTCCAAGAGAGGAGGAGAGTTGTTTGCCTTGCTTCTTGCTCTACCCACAGCAGCTAGAATAGTGTCACTCACTGTGCAGATACTTAGTAGATACTTATTGAATTAGTGATATATGAATGCATACCTAGAAAGGGTTTAATGCCTTATCCATCAGGAAAACTGCTACTATTTCTTCGAGGCATAATTAAAATTATTTGAACTCCTCTCATCTATCCCTCCAGAACCCCCAGAAAGTTAGGCACTTCTGCCTCTGCCTTTATTTACTCATATATCTTTATTTATTTATTTTTTTGAGAGTCTCACTCTGTTGCCCAGGCTGGTGTGCAGTGGTGTGATCTCGGCTCACTGCAAGCTCCACCTGCCAGGTTCACACCATTCTCCCGCCTCAGCCTCCTGAGTAGCTGGGACAACAGGTGCCTGCCACCACACCCGGCTAATTTTTTGTATTTTTAGTAGAGACGGGTTTCACTGCGTTAGCCAGGATGGTCTCGATCTCCTGACCTTGTGATCTGCCCGCCTCTGCCTCCCAAAGTGCTGGGATTACAGGCGTGAGCCACCACGCCCGGCCTATTTACCCATATATCTTACATTATACTTTTATTTTAATTTCCATACATATCTTCCCTATTAGATAGGAAATCACAGAGGCACAGATTGTCTTTTAACCTTTGACACAAGAATGCCTTGCAAGGAACTAAACATAAGTTTTGTCTCCTCTGCTTTGGGAGGCCTTGGGGCATGAATTATTGAGACACAAAAGCTAATTGCCTCTCAGGAGGTGATAGATGGGAATCCTGGAATTTGGAGTTTGGGATTCATGGCAAGCTTTCTAAATCCTATTGCCAAGGAAGGAGCTTTTGTGTCTAAAGGTCAACAGAAAACTGCTGCCAGGAGAGGTGGCCCTGGAGACCACCTAGATAGTCACTTTAGCTGAGGGCATGAAAGGGCCTTTTGTCTGTGAGAAATATGAATATAGCACTTTTGTATTTTTACAGTTGAAATGGAAAGTGGGCTGGCCTCTGGTTTTGCAGTCTGCGAGGTGCTAACACTTCAGCCAGTCTGAGTGAAGGTGGGGTGATGGTGGGGATTGAAGGGGAATGGTTTTATGTGATGCAAAGGACTGAGCACTAAATGCTGCAGACTGGGAGATCCAGCAAGGGACATTCTCTGTTGATCATGGCATCAAAAGAATGGAGTCTCTCATGAAGACACCTTCCATCAAAGTACCACACTAGCTGATGTAGTAAACTGGATCAGCAGCAGTGTCTGACACTGAGCTGCTGCAGGGCCTGGCTGACAGTGGAAGGCCAACTTTCAACAGCAACACTATGAGGCATGCAGGAAAAGCAGTGGGTGCTTGGATATCAGGGCTTACCTTAACTTGAAGCAGAAATCAAATGGATCTCCCAGTTGGAATGTGTATACCCTCCAGGGTTCTCAGAAGAGCTAGAAGAAGGGAAAGGGGTCCTAAAAAAGAGACAAACCTAACATCAGGGGACTCAAGTCACTTTTCATTTAAATAGGAAAATTGTATATGCTGTCATAATTCTACCTTGAGTGTTGAGGAGTTGACACCAGCTACATGTCAGTGGATCGACTTTGGTTTCCACCATACTACTTGGCACATGATGGGGTTCATTACCTGGTTGGAGTACTAACAAATGGATACATGGAATGTGGCTATAAAATGATCAATAAGATTTCCACAAATTCGATTGGGAACCCATTTCGGTTTTCTTTTATATTCTGCAAACCCATGAAACAGGTTACTAAGATACAAAGACTGTGTTTTATGGTGTGCTCCATATACATATACCCAGTCTACCTGGACGCACCAGATGGTGATTAAAGAGGAGGTCAGGTTTACCTTGTAATGTCCAAATTACTGTGGCTCAAACTTTCATCTCATCTAATGACAGAAAATCCTATCTTTTATGAGGCCCTCTCCACAAGTAGGTCTTTGTACCTCCCAGTCAGTCCCATGTTCCACAAACCCATACTGCCCTAGCTGTCCCTGTGGTGGCAGATTGCTCATCGTAGCTCCACCACTGTCACCCCTCATCTCCCACAACCTCAGGATTGATGCCACTGCAGCTATGCTGGTCTCAGGGGGAGAAAGGCTTTTCTTCCCTTTACTAGATGATCCCAAAGGTGGACACAGACCCTTTAATTTCCCACAGCATGACGAAGACCAAACTGCAATATGTATCATTATTTTGCAGAACGTTTAAGGATATGAGAAAGGAATTATAAAACTGACAAACAAAAATGTCTACTAATTCTGAATGTTCTCAGAGTCCACAAGCTAGAGCATAGGCTGCCTTGGGCTCTTAAAGCAGCAGTCCCCAACCGTTTTAGTACCAGGGACCGGTTTTGAAGAAGACAATTTTTCCATGAATGGTGGTGGGAGAGGGTTTTGGGATGAAACTGTTCCACCTCAGATCATTAGGCATTAGATTCTCATAAGGGGCCCGCAACCTAGATCCCTATCATGCACAGTTCACAATGGGGTTCCAGCTCCTACGCTGCTGCTGATCTGACAGGTGGTGGAGCTCAGGTGGTAATGCTTGCTTGCCTGCCGCTCACTTCCTGCTGTGCAGCCTGGTTTCTAATGGGCCACGAACTGCTACTGGTCCACAGCCCAGGAGTTGGGGACCCCTGTCTTGGGAGTGTCTCCCTATTCTCAAACTTGGGCCTTCTGGCAGTGTCTGTTTATCTTTTCCCTTCAGGGGCAACCTCCAGTGAGTTTGCTCTGCTAAAAGTCCAGGCCTCAATCTCCAGGAGCCCAGGAGAGGACCACATTTCTCCCTCTGTCTCTCTAGTCTCAGGCCTGCCTCCCATATCCTCTTTTCCTGTTTATTTCCTGTGGGTAAACTCCAACCCTCCCCCATTCATGGGGTCAGGCCTCTCCCTACGGTCTCTGTGATATCACCATGTAAAAGCAAAATATCCAATGGGGCATATTCTCCAAAATCTGCATTTGAATATTACTGTGTATGACAGAATAGCAGGCCAGTCTTTTAGCATTAAGCCTAGCCCAGTCCCATTATTTTTACAACATTTTATCCAGCATGAACTCAAAATCAGAACCACAGTTTCTCTGCAGTCCTAAAGTCTTCTCTCCCAATCTCCTGTGAGAAGCTGTTTAAACAGGAAGCATGAGCATTTCTACTACAATAAACAATACCAACCAGGCTAGGGTAGCCTACACCCACACTTTAAAGGAAACATTTCCCCAAAGGCATAGTAAACTGCTGGTATATAACTTTGCCCATAATAAAGACAATTTTTGCTATTACTATGCAGAAAAGTTTAGCTCTCTAGAGATACAGCTGTCAAACTCCCATTCCTGAAAAGGATCTGGCTTAATATAAGCATATCTAACCTGGTCCATTTAGATAATTATCCTCAAACCAAGGATGAATCTGCCTCAAGATGAATGAAAGTTTCTACCTCCTGCAAAAACTACATGAAGTTCTGAAATTACAACATTCAAGGCACCATCCCCACTCTAGCCTTCACAGATCTCAGGCCCATTTTTAATTAGGGCTCTGGTTACAAGTATTGTGTGACTGCCTACTCCCAGGGGTCTCTGCTTTTCTTAAGGGGATCACTCACAAAGGGGAATCTAGCCCTAAAAAGAGAGCAGAAGGGAAACTGCTGCCTCCTTCCAGGGGACACAGCCTTTTCCCTTTTCCACGGCCACATAAATATGGAACTAATTTTGATTTATTTTTCTTGAAACTTAGATACCTGGCTTGTCAACAATAATTCAAAAATAATTTTATAAAGCTTTAAGAATTAGAGTTAGTCAAATAGTGAAATTGAGATTCTTTAGAGATTCGGTTTCTGTAATCATAGGTCATACAGAACTAAATGAATTTGGAGGTGTGGATTCTAATGGATTTAGGTTGTAGAGACTGTCAACTCAGATAAATGGAAACAAAAGGTGAATTTTCTCAATAAGTTTCTGAATAGACTTTAAGGTTTTGTAATGAACAACAGCTGGCAAGTGCTTACGTGTCTCTTTCCATTTATTTTGGCCACTAGCCCAAACAATGAAAATAGATTTTTGCCAATCATAGACTTAAAAATCATCAATGGGGAATGCCATTTTAAATTTAAAAAGACAAGTAGGTATGCAGTATACAGAAATGAGCCATAAAGAACTTTCTGTTTTCTTGCCTTCAGTTCTATTCATTCAAATGTTTATTGCCTACCATGTACCAGGCATTGTGCTAGGTCCTGAAGTAGATAGCAAAATGAATAAGCAAAGCTGCCATGTCCTGGTCGGGGAATAGAGGTGAGTGGGGTGACAGAATACACTGTTAACTAAAATATTAAAATAAAAACCCTGTTCTCAGTTGATAACAGATGTGTGGACCATGTTCAGAAAAGACAACTAACTCTACCCAGAAGGCTTCACAGAGAAGTTGCATTTCAGTTGGATCCTGAAAGGTGAATAGAAGGTCACCAAAAGAAGGGAAGATAAATTAAGTATTTGTTTGTTGTTTATCTTTGTTACTAGACTGACTATAAGTTCCGTGTGGGTAGGGACTGGATCTTGCTCAATGTTGCATTTTTGGTGGTCAGTGCTTGAAAACACCTCAAGTGTTCTAAACTATCTGTTGACTAACCAACTGAACAGTATTTCAGGCAAAGAGAACCATAGGCACAATAACAAAATAAATAACAGAATGATTTTTCTAGGCTATGGCTTGTAATATTAACACTGTTCACTCCTGGAGAGGAAGAGTATATCATAAGACAGCTAAAAAGGGCAGGTATTATAGAAGGAACCAGAAGATTTGCATTCTAGTCCCATCCCTGTTATTAACTAACTACATGACTTTGAATAAATGCTTAGCTTATACCACCTGTAGTTTTCTCACTTGTAAAATAGCTTTGGAAGAGTATATTCTTGTAAGAAAAAAAATTAAAGAAAGATCAAGAATGTATGACTGCATTTTTCCCTTCTTTTTCTAAATGCAAAATGGGGTCGGGCGCGGTGGCTCACGCCTGTAATCCCAGCACTTTGGGAGGCCGAGGCGGGCGGATCACGAGGTCAGGAGATCGAGACCATCCCGGCTAAAACGGTGAAACCCCGTCTCTACTAAAAATACAAAAAATTAGCTGGGCGTAGTGGCGGGCGCCTGTAGTCCCAGCTACTCGGGAGGCTGAGGCAGGAGAATGGCGTGAACCCGGGAGGCGGAGCTTGCAGTGAGCCGAGATCCCGCCACTGCACTCCAGCCTGGGCGACAGAGCGAGACTCTGTCTCAAAAAAAAAAAAAAAAATATATATATATATATATATAAATAAATGCAAAATGGATATATGCATCCCAGCTTTAAGATGGCCAACCACATGCATACTGATCATCTCTTCCTCCCTCAACAACACTGCAGCACTGACAAAAAAAATTAATGAATGTTCAAAAACAAGACAGAGATGTCCCTTGGATCAGAAGCTGTGAGTAAATAAGAAACCAGAGCAGTGAGCTGTGGCTCTCCCCACCTCAAAGCTGCTGTTGTTGGTCATGTATTGCCGTAACTGAGGGCCTTCTAGATCTCTGTCACCTAGCTAAAGAGATAAAAAGATAGAAAGATTGAAACAGAAAGAAAAGCTAAGAGATATATATGGAGGTTACAGGAATTTTACAATCAATCTAATGCAGGCATTTAAAAAATGTTTTTGTTCTAGGAATCTCTTTAGCAGTTTAGTGAAGACTATGGATCGCTTCTCAGAATAATACCTTTAAATGCATAAAATAAAATACAGAGGAGGACAACTTCTGTATTGTTGTTGTCCACTAGAAGCAGACAAGTGGAACGGCTCCCTCGACCACCATGGACACTTGAGGTAGCAGGGAGAGCTACTTAGAGAAGTGGGGGGCAGCAAGCCAGCTGATGTGGAGCCCAGAGGGTTTGGTGCCAGAGTATTTGTAGTGGAGCACAGCCAGGGATGGCCATCCCTCTAGGCTTGACTTGCTCTCTTAAGAGACTTTAGCCCCAGGGAAGCTGTCAGACCTGATCTCTGCAGGGCAGTCTTGCACATCAGATGGGGCTGGTCCAACCTGAGCACTTCTTGGTTTGCTGGCCTTTCCCGGGGCCCCAGCATGGCCATGCCTGCTTACAGGGCAGTCTTTTTTATGAAAAAAAAATTTCATAATGCAATCACAAGTGTTGTTTTTTGTGATGAAGTCTCAAACTGTCACCCAGGCTGGAGTGCAGTGACACAATCTCAGCTCACTGAAACCTCCTCCCAGTTTCAGGTAATTCTCCTGCCTCAGCCTCCTAGGTAGCTGGGATTACAGGTGCCCATCACCAATCCTGGCTAATTTTTGTATTTTTAATAGAGACGGGGGTTTCACCATGTTGGTCAGGCTGGTCTCAAACTCCTGACCTTGTGATCCACCCGCCTTGGCCTCCCAAAGTGCTGGGATTACAGGTGTGAGCCACTGCGCCTGGCCAACATTCTTCAAAAAAAGAAATTCCAACCCAGAATTTTATATCTGGCCAAAGTAAGCTTCATAAGCAAAGGAGAAATAAGATCCTTTTCAGACAAGCAAATGCTGAAGGAATTCATTACCACCAGACCTGCCTTACAAGAACTTCTGAAGGAAGCACTAAATATGGAAAGGAAAGAGAGTTACCAGTCACTACCAAAACACACTGAAATACACAAACGAGCGACACCATAAAGCAACCACATAAACAAGTCTGCAAACTAACCAGCCAACATCATGATGACATGATCAAATCCACACATAGCAATACTAATCTTAAATGTACATGGGCTAAGTGCCCCAATTAAAAGATACAGAGTGATAAGCTGGATAAAGAACCAAGATCCATTGGTTTACTGTCTTCAAGAAACCCTTCTCACATGCAATGACACACATGGGCTTAAAATGAAGGGATGGAGAAAAACCTACCAAGCAAACGGAAAACAGAAAAAAGTAGGGGTTGCGATCCTAGTTTCTGACAAAACAGATTTTAACCCAACAAAGTTAAAAAAAAGACAAGGGCACTAAGTAATGGTAAAGAGTTCAATTTAACAAGAACTATCTAAATATACATGCACCTAACACAAGATCACCCAGATTAATAAAGCAAGATCTTAGAGACCTTCAAAGAGACTTAGACTCCCGCACAATAATAGTGGGAAATGTCAACACCCCAGTGACAATATTAGATCATCAAGACAGAAAATTAATAAAGATATTCAGAACCTTAACTGAGCACTGGATCAAATGAACCTGATAGATATCTACATAACTGTCTACCCAAAAACAATAGAATAGGCATTATTCTCATTGTCACATGGCACATACTCTAATATCGATTATATAATTGGAAATAAAACACTCCTCAGCAAATGCCAAAGAACTGAAATCATAATGAACAATCTTTCGGACCACAGCATGATCAAATTAGAAATCAAGACTAAGAAATTCACTCAACATTTTGTGAAGAGACGAAGACTGAGCTGTTGTGGCCCATTGCTGCCAACCTCAAGCAGCAGTTGGCTGTCTTCACATAGAACCCAGGAGTAGGAGACCCAGAATCGAACCTCTTCTCCCTCCCCATCCTGTTTTCAGCGTTATGAGAAATCTTATTATCAAACACAATGGCCAGCAATGTTACCAACAAGAAAGATCCTTGCTCCATGAACTCCTGTGTGTTCTTTGGGAATCTTAACACTCTTGTGGTCAAGAAGTCTGATGTGGAGGCAATCTTTTCAAAGTATGGCAAAATTGTGAGTTGCTCGGTTCATAAGAACTTTGCCTTTGTTCAGTATGTTAATGAGAGATATGCCTAGGCTGCTGTAGCGGGAGAGAATGGCAGAATGATTGCTGGCCAGGTTTTAGATATTATCCTGGCTGCAGAGTCAAAAGTGAACCTAGGAAAAGCAGGTGTGAAATGATCTGTAGCAGAGACATATGGCTCCTCTTTTGATTTGGACTATGACTTTCAGTGGGATTATTATGACAGGATGTACAGTTACTTAGCACATGTTCCTCTTTTTCTCCTATTTCTTGGGCTGTAGTACCATCAAAATGCCACTGTGTTTCAGCAAACACCTCAAGAAGGGGCAAAAGTGGCTGGGTGCAGTGGATCACATCTGTAATCACACCATTTTTGGAGGCCAAGGTGGGTGGATCACGAGGTCAGGAGTTCGAGACCAGCCTGACCAACATGGTGAAACCCCCATCTCTACTAAAAATACAAATTAGCCAGGCATAGTGGCGCACGCCTGTAATCCCAGCTACCCAGGAGGCTGAGATATGAGAATCTCTTGAACCCAGAAGGCAGAGGTTGCAGTGAGCCGAGATCACGCCACTGCACTCCAGCCTGGGTGACAGAGTGAGACTCCATCTCAAAAAAAAAAAAAAAAAAAAAAAAAAAAGAAGGGCCAAAAGTAGCTTCAATTCTAAGAGTGAATAGTGGGAATCTTCCAAGTCTGGAAAGTTGAAAGGAGATGGTCTTCAGGCCATTAAGAAGGAATTGACACAGATAAAACAAAAGTTGGATTATCTCCTGGATAACCTGGAAAAAATTGAAAAGGAACAGAGCAATCAAGCAGTAGAGATGAAGAATAAGTCAGAAGAGGAGCAGAGCATCAGCTCCATGAAGAGAGATGAGACTAATGTGAAGATGGAGTCTGAGGGGGATGCAGATGTCTCTCCTGAAAGGGGAACCTACTAGATGATGATGATATTGAAGATGGGGGATGACCAGATGAAGTTGATCAAGGATGATGAAAAAGAGGCTGAGGAAGGAGAGGATGACAGAGACAGCGCCAATGGTGAGGATGACTCTTAAGCACATGGTGGGTTTTGGAAATCTTATCCCATTGTTTATTTACCTAGGTGCTTGTCTAAGATCAAAATTTTCACCAGATCCTCTCCCCTAGTATCTTCAGCACATGCTCACTGTTCTCCCAATCCTTGTCCTTGTTATGTTCATTAATTCATATTGCCCTGCTCCTAGTCCCATTTTCACTTCCTATGATGCTCCTGGTAGTTTTGTTAAGTCTTACCCTGTAATTTTTGCTTTTAATTTTGAAACCTCTTTGTGACTTAACAATAAAAAGGATGTATGGGTTTTATCAACTGTCTCCAAAATAATCTCTTGTTATGCAGGGAGTACAGTTCTTTTTATTCATACATAAGTTCAGTAAATGCTTCCCTAACTGCAAAGCCAATCTCAGGAGTTGAGTAGCTCCTGAAAGAAGCTTTGAGTTAGAAGTATGTGTGTTACACCCCCACATAAATGTGCTGTGTGGGGCAGCTCAACACAAATGTAACAATGTAATTTTGTGAATGAGAATTGGCAAGTCAAATGCATCCTCCAGAAAAATACTGTTATTGTCTTATGATTTGTTTTCTAAAGTTGATACTGTGAATTATTTTTGTGAACAGCCTGATGTTTGGGACCTTTTTTCCTCAAAATAAACAAATCCTTATTAAGCCAGGAATTTGGAGAAAAAAAATTCACTCAAAACCATAAAATTACATGGAAATTGAATAACCTGCTCCTGAATGACTTTTGGGTAAATAATGAAATTAAAGCAAAAGTCAAGAAGTTCTTTGAAACTAATGAGAACAAAGATACAACATACCAGAATCTCTGGGACACAGCTAAAGCAGTGTTAAGAGGGAAATTTATAGCACTCTATGCCCTCATCAAAAAGTTAGACAGATCTCAAGTTAACAACCTAACATCACAACTAAAAGAACTAGAGCACTAAGAGCAAACAAATCCCAAAGTTAGCAGAAGACAAAAAATAACCAAAATCAGAGCTGAACTGAAGGAGACGGAGACACAAAAAACCATTCAAAAGACAATGAATCCAGGAGCTGGTTTTTTGAAAAAAATAAAAAATAAAAAATAGATAGACTGTTAGCTAGACTAATCAAGAAGAAAGGAGAGAAGAAGATTCAAATAAACACAATCAGAAACAACAAAGGAGCTATTACCACTGACCTCACTGAAATACAAACAACAATCAGAGAATATTATGAACACTTCTGAGGGGAAATTTACTTGGAATCTATAATTCTTTTTTTTTTTTGAGACGGAGTTTCGCTCTTGTTGCCCAGACTGGAGTGCAGTGGCATGATCTCAGCTCACTGCAACCTCCACCTCCTGGGTTCAAGCGATTCTGCCTCAGCCTCCCAAGTAGCTGGAGCACCACCATGACCGGCTAATTTTTTGTACTTTTAGTAGAGATGGAGTTTTGCCGTCTTGGCCAGGCTGATCTTGAACTCCTGACCTCAGTTGATCCACCTGCCTTGGCCTCCCAAAGTGCCGGAATTACAGATGTGAGCCCGGTTTATAATTCTATAGATAACAAAATTGTCATTATTTTGAGGTAGAATGAAGGCAAAATAATGATACATTCAGAAAAATTAACACTCATTACCTAAAAATAAACTCTAACAAAAGAAAAATTTCTTTAGAAGGAAGTATTGGGCTGTAAGAATAATGCATACTAGTTGGGAAAAAATTAAATAATATATTAGTGTATATATATTATATATAAAGTAAAAGGTGAAAGGGCTCTGCCTATCCCTTTATTTGTTGTATATTCTCCTACACCTTTTTTAATGACTACATAAACATATATAGAAATATATATATATATACATACACCCAATGTCTTTTATTCTTTAAACAATGAGCTCACTCTATATAAAATACTTTGTGCTCTTTTCCCCTTATTCCCAATTGAATATCATAAATATTCTTCAATATTGGCATGTGCAGATCTACCTTATCCTTTTTGCTGTCTGCATTCGATGATATAAATATAAGTTTATACATGTCTATTTAATATGAACGTTTAGATTATTTTAAATCTTTTTTGCTCTTATAAATAATGCACGATTCAGTTTTTTGTTGGTATTTCTATAGGATAGAGGCCTAGAAGTATAATTGTTGGGTCACAGGATAGAGACATTTAAAATGCTGATAGTGGCCCACTCCTGTAACCCCAGCACTTTTGGAGGCTGAGGTGAGAGGATTGCTTTAGCCCAGGAGTTTGAGACCAGGCTGGGCAAGATGGGGAGACCCCCATCTCTACAAAAAAGAAAAGTAAAATGTTTATAGATCCTGCCAAAATTTCTTCTAAAAATATTGCTAATTTATAGTCAGACTAAAAATATATGGAATGTAGTATTTTAAGGAAGAAAATCTTCAAACATGAGAATAGGCACAAAATACAAAGAATCTGGTTGATAATATTTTTAAAAAGAGATAGAAAATATGCATTATTGGCTGGGTGCAGTGCCTCACGCCTGTAACTCCAGCACTTTGGGAGGCTGAGGCAGGCAGATCACAAAGTCAGGAGTTCAAGAACAGCCTGGCCAACTTGGTGAAACCCTGTCTCTACGAAAAAAAATACAAAATTTAGCCAGGCAGGTTGGCGTGCACCTGTAATCCCAGCTACTCAGTAGGCTGAGGCAGGAGAATTGCTTGAACCTGGAGGCAGAGGTTGCAGTGAGCTGAGATCGCGCCACTGCACTCCAGCCTGGGCAAATGAGCAAGGCTCCATCTCAAAAAAAAAAAAAAAAAAAAAGGAAATATGCATTATTTTGAGTGCATATAACAGATGGCTTTGTCCATCAGACCATGTGGAAAATATATTTCCAAAAGGGATTACAAACTAATCCAAAGAGATTTAGTAAGCAAGGAAGTCTTCAACTATCATTATGTCTTATTCTATTAAAAGCAGATCATCAAATAAATTCTTGCACATTAGTTTGTCTTTTACAAAGTAATCTTAATAAGGAAAAACCTCTGCCTTTGGACTTGATTCTAACTATAATAGGATACTGAGTTGTACCCGTGAAAGTGACAAGATCTTTGATAAAAAGTATCTGTATCATCTTAGAATTTGTAGTGTTTGTAATGTGCAAGGATATGACTGATGAGCATGTTTAGACATGTACTTAAGACTTTGGGAAAACAGATATTGAAAACTTTAGAGAGAGAAAAAATATAGGGCCCATTATTTGAGTCTTTAAATAAGAAAGTTACTGTGAGTGCTATCTATAGAGGTTTAACTATGTAAGTATATATAATCTCTGCATTTTACTAATCGAACAAATGGTTGAGTGTGCCTATATAGTAGATCCTGGGCTAGGCACTAAAGGGGCTGTGTTAATTTTGGAGGAAATTGCAGTTTTGGAGATTTTAATATATTTGATATAGATCAATTCTCTGAATTACTTTCAGCAAAAATGTGTCTCAGTTTTGCAAGCAAGACTGTCAGTTGCAAAAGGCAAACAACAGCATTTCTTTTAAAAGATTATATTGATAACCTATTATGAGCACCATCTGTCACACAAAGAAATACAAGAGATGGTCCCTCACTTCAAAGTACTTGCAGTTGTTTTAAGTATTTGAGTTTCAAGAAAAAAAAAGTATTGTTTAAAAAAAGCAGTAGAACCTTCACAAAAGTAAAATAAAATGCTGGTACTGCATGTCATGCAGGGATTTTCAAAGGAATTGTGAAAAGAAAGAGGCGCCTCACCATCAAAAACAGGCACACAGCATAGCAATAAGAACACTGAGGACATAGCAAATCCCAGAATGAGTAATTGAGAGTTACAATATGGTCAACAAATAAGACATTGTTCCTATGTTTGGCAGAGGCTTCTGATAAGGAAAGGGGTAAGCTCTGTGCTTAGGGGCAAATGTTGCAATCTGAGTGAATGGTAGGCAGAATACAAAGTAACTAACTCTTCTTTTTTCTTTTTTTTTGAGACAGAGTCTCCCTCTGTTGCCCAGGCTGGAGTGCAGTGGCGCGATCTCTGCTCACTGCAACCTCCGCCTCCTGGGTTCAAGCGATTCTCCTGCCTCAGCCTCCTGAGGTGTGTGCCACCACACCCGGCTAATTTTTGTATTTTTTCAGCAGAGTCGGGGTTTTGCCATGTTGGCTAGGCTGGTCTTGAACTCCTGACCTCAGGTGATCCACCCGCCTCGGCCTCCTAAAGTGCTGGGATTACAAGCATGAGCCACAACCGGCCTTAACAAGAGTACAGTGCTTTCAAATTTCTCTCCCACCAAGACTTCTTTTATTAAATATTAAACATGTTCTGTGTACAAGGCACTGTGCTATGTGGTACAGAAGATAATAAAGATGTGTCAGAAATAGATCTTGTCCTTAAGGGGCATTATGATGACTGGAATTTTGTTAAAAATATAAAACTGCCAGGTGTGGTGGCTCACGCCTGTAATCCCAGCACTTTGGGAGGCAGAGGTGGGCAGATCACAAAGTCAGGAGATCGAGACCATCCTGGCTAACGGGCTGAAACCCCATCTCTACTAGAAATACAAAAAATTAGCTGGGCGTGGTGGCGTGTGCCTGTAGTCCCAGCTACTCAGGAGGCTGGGGCAGGAGAATGGCATGAACCCGGGAGGCAGAGCTTGCAGTGAGCTGAGATTGTGCCAATGCACTCCAGCATGGGCAACAGAGTGAGACTCCATCTCAAAAAAAAAAAAAATATATATATATATATATAATATATATAACATATATATAATATATATTATATATATATTATGTGATGATCAGTTTGCATTAGTTCATTTATAGTAAGCTATACTATTGCACATATATTCATTTAAGAAAAGAGAGTCATACAGTTCACAAAGATGGAAGAGAATCATTGGAGGTTAGCTGGTTGTCTTACAGGTAGCCTGACCCTGCAGTTGATATTTGTGACAGAGATGGCGCAAAATGCTTAACAAAATCTCATTTCATTTTCCTTTCCTGGTTACATGGAAAGACTACGTTTTCCATCCTCCTTTGTGGTTAGGTTGGGGACATGTGACTAAGTTCTGGAAGTGGGATGTAAGCAGAAGTGATGTAAACCACTTCCAGGTCTGGCCCTTAAAAGTGAAAGCAGTGATTGGTATCTGCGAAAGTTAAATGTATGCTGGCCCCATGACGTAGCACATCTACTCTTAGGTATATGCTCAAGAAAAACAAAAGCATACGTCTACAAAAGTCAAGTAAAAGAATGTCCCTTGCTGGGTAATTCATAGTAGGTTCAAACATGCAACAACACAAATGTCCTCAAATGAAAAAATTGTGCTATATTCATACAATAGACCCAATATAGCAATAAAAATGAATGAACTATAGCTACATACGACAACATGCATAAGATCTTGAGTGAAGGAAGCCAGACACAAAAAATATTCAACGTATGCATTTGTTACTATAAGCTTTAGGAACAGGCAAAATGAAGCTATGATGCTAGAAGTGAGAATAGTGGTTACCTCTGTTTGCAGGTGTATTTACTGGGAAGGGGCACTAAAGAGCCTTCTGGGGTGATGGAAATACTTTTTTTTAATCTGCATAGCAGTCTCAGGGCAAATAGTAGTCTCAGTAAAGGCAAATTTAAAAATTCATCAAGCTGTACACTTAAATTTTGTGCATGCTGCTATGCAAAAGAACTAAAAATTATGCACACATGAAAAATCAAAGAAGCAAGGAAAAAATTAAAAAAAGTGACCACTGACGAAGGCCCAGTGCAGATGGAAGAGGCTATATTCCTGAATCACTGGTTGCCCTTGCCCTGAAGAACTGGCCAGTCTGCTTTGGAGTTTGTGTAAACACAAAATAAATCTTTCTTATTTTAAATTCTCTGAGATTTAGAGTGTATGTGGTATCTCGGCATAGCCTAACCATTCTTGGCTAATACAGAATTTATTGCCACAAACAACCAGGGTAAAAAACCTGGCTTTGGAAGCATATCAGGGAGGCTCTTCCTTTCTCAGGCTAAGTGATATAAAACAAGCTTATAAATGAGTGCATAAATCAAGCTGCCAATTTATTAAATAACAATAGAAAATTAAAACCTGTCATACAAACTAGGATATCTGTTACCTAATATATAACCATTCTGTCTCTCAAGACAGACCTGCATGGGAAGCCAAACTGTAATAAAAGTTTGTTTTATTCTCAGAAAGAAAACATTAGTTAGATGAGTCAGTTATTTAATGACATCTGTCCAGGAGAAGCTATGCATCCCATTTCATAGTTAATTCCTGAGGTCCCTGGGCTGCAGTTCTCATTCCCAGGCATGCACCTGAATTGCCTCAGGGGGCTCCTCGTTTTTTTTTCTTCCAATTCTATCAATACACTTGTCTTCTACAGATATGTTATTGCATAAGTCTACTGTTTTTAGAGAGATGTGGCTGGCCTCTAAAGCATTCCTTGTACACATCTACATGTTGATTTTGTGTTTTTCCTCTCAAAGAATAATCATAAATCTTTTACTTTTTTATTATTTATTTATTTATTTATTTATTTATTTGAGATGGAGTCTTGCTCTGTTGTCCAGGCTGGAGTGCAGTGGCACCATCTCGGCTCACTGCAAGCTCCGCTTCCTGGGTTCACGCCATTCTCCTGCCTCAGCCTCCCAAGTAGCTGGGACTACAGGCGCCTGCCACCATGCCCGGCTAATTTGTTTTGTATTTTTAGTAGAGACAGGGTTTCACTGTGTTAGCCAGGATGGTCTCGATCTCCCGACCTCGTGATCCTCCCACCTCAGCCTCCAAAAGTATCTTTTACTTTTACATTCTGTGGTTGGAGTGGTAGGGGTTTGGAGAGAATGGTGTCCTTAGCTGTAGCTTCCAAGTACTGGTAACATCAAACTAATATAGATGCTGAGAATTCTAGACAGTGTATGTACCTGAATATTTTGTAAGGCCACTTGAGAGTTTTTTCTACAATCTTTGAAGGCTTGAAGGGAGGAAACTGTTAGGAAAGGCTGGAGAAAAAGGGATCCCTGTTATGCAGTGGCAGAAAGTTTGGCAACACTGTTGCATGCTGAAATGCAGAAAATAGAAAATATATCTAACAAACTGGTGTATTTGCAGTTAAGGAAATTTCCAGACAGACTGTTGAAAATGCCAACTGATTAAAAAAAAAAAACCTATGTGGAATAAGATGTAGAGAGGTGAGATATAAAAGGAACAATTTCATTTTTAAGCAAAATTTAGAGAAAATATACACAGTCTGGGAACTTTGGGTTCAAAAATAAAACTGCTTTTCACTTCCAGCCTCTCCAGATGGTGAAACAACTAAGGCATTGCCTTAAGGGGAAGGTACAATCCAGGGTGCAGCTATTTAGATTTTTTGTAAAGACTGTACAAAGATTTAAAGCCATTTTACCTAGACCATTTCAGCTAGACAAAAGCACTTCTAAGTGTATAAGGGTGTTTTCCATCAGCTTTCTTACTCTCAGCCCAAGACGGAAAGTGTTTGTCTCAGAGGTTTGTGAGTGTGGCTTTTTTTTCTATTGGAGTGGATTATAATTTGATATATATGAAGTCCCCAAAATCTTAAAGAGAATTGTATTGGCAGACACACTGCCTACTTGGACTGAAAGGGCATATGTATCTTTTAATACTCCAGATTTGAATATTAAAATTTATATTTACATATTAGAAACTCAATATTTTAAATAAAATGACGTAAGGAAAAACCTGAAGTTATGTTGCAACAAAAATTAGTAGAAAATTAGAATTATGGCTGGGCATGGTGGCTCATGTCTGTAATCCCAGCACTTTGGGAGGCTGAGGCAGGTGAATTACCTAAGGTCAGGGAGTTTGGGACCAGCCTGGACTACATGGTGAAACCCCGTCTCTACTAAAAATACAGAAATTAGCCGGGTGTGGTGGTGGGTGCCACTAATCTCAGCTAGTGAGGCAGAAGAATCACTTGAGCCCAGGAGGCGGAGTTTGCAGTGAGCCGAGATCGTCCCATTGCACTCCAGCTTGGGTGACACAGCAAGACTCCGTCTCAAAAGAAAAGAAAAGAAAAGAAAATCAGAATCATATGTAGCTTTGTGAAAAGCTTGGTTACTGACTGTTGCTGGAATCAAGAGCTACTACAGTGTCATACTTCGAGTTTGCCGTACTTTGCCATTGTACTTGTGCCTGATAATTATTTCTACAATGACTGCATGTAGATCTAAACTAGATTAGTGTCGTTAAATCCTCTGCATTAGATCTTAAGAGCTCTTCCATTCTTTTTCGTTGACATCTTCAAAACTAGAATCCTACAAGAGCAACAACTTTGTGTTTTTTTTTTTTTTTTCATTCTTCCATCACAAAGAAAGGGGCAACAATTTTCATCTTGGCGTTTCTTCAAAGCCTTTGAATTCCATCATAAATTGCCAGATTAGTTTTCTTCATCCACTGTGCACCTTCTTTGGAGAAACTCTTTGCTTCACCTTGTTGATGAACCCTAAAGCCCTCCCTGCGTTTTTTTAATGAAAAAGAAGAAACAATGAAGCCCCCAGAAAGTATCCAATCAAGCCACTGTCATAGCCAACCTAAAAGAATAAATGACCCATGCAGATGCAATGTTTAACATTATCTTTAAACTTAATGGTGGCATGAAGAGAAGGCTTTCTTTTAAAAAACAGCCTGCTATATCTTATAATACCATATAAAGAAATTTACAAATGTAAGCTACTGGTTTAACTGCATACTGCTCCATTTTGCAATTTTTTTTGCATCCTAAAGCACAGATCATCTCCCCTGAGGATTTATCAATGCCTTCCTGTTTTGGAATCTCCATAGCAGCACTAGAAAAGATAGAGTATCCTTTCTTTTGAACTTGGGAGTTTCCCTGAAATCACCCCTTTGCCACCCAGCTCATCAGCATTGTCCCCTTTGGCACCATCCCCTTTTTCTCAAATTTCTTTATGCTTCAAGTCTCCATTTAACAGTTAATTAGGACCAGGTGTGTTGGTGCACACCTGTAATCCCAGCAGTTTGGGAGGCTGAGGTGGGTGGACAGCTTGAGCCCAGGAGTTCAAGAGCAGTCTGGGTAACACAGGGAGACCCTACAAATAATTTAAAAACATTAGCCAGGTGTGGTGGCGTACCTGTGGTCCCAGCTACTCAGGAGGCTGAGGCAGGAGGATCTCCTGAGCCCAGGGGATATAGGCTGCTGTGAGCTGTGATTGCGCCACTGCACTTCAGCCTGGGTAGCAGAGTGAGACCATGTCTCAAAACAAACAAAAAACAGTTAACTAAAAGAAACCACCTGGTTTTAATTGTAATTTTAAAATTTCCTTATTTATTAATGTGTAATTGCTGGGCCACATAGTAAACATATTGTTTATTATCAGGCATGAAAACTATATTGTGCTATTACATTCAGAAGCAACTGAGAGTTAACAATCATATTAAAAATTTTTTTTTTTTTGAGACGGAGTCTTGTTCTGTTGCCCAGGCTGGAGTGTAGTGGCACCATCTCGGCTCACTGCAACCTCCGCCTCCCAGGTTCAAGTGATTCTCCTGCCTCAGCCTCCTGAGTAGCTGGGATTACAGGTGTCCACCACCATGTCTGGCTACTTTTTGTATTTTTAGTAGAGATGGAGTTTCACCATAGGCCAGGCTGGTCTTGAACTTATGACCTCAGGTGATCCACCAAGCTCAGCCTCCCAAAGTGTTGGGATTATAGGTATCAGCCACCGTGCCCAGCTCGTATTAATTGTTTGGTGAATAAGATGTTATTTGTATAGTATTGTACATCTTAACATGATCATTTTTTGTTAATATTTGATACTATGTTTTAAATACTTGTTAAGAATTTTTTGGTTGATATGTAATGCATTTTATTTTTTCCCATTTAAAACTAAGTTCCTATTCAGCATTTTCTTGTGAAAGGATCACAGATATTCAGGAATGGATTATTGAAAAAAAATAAGCCTGCACTGCTATTTCTGTAATTTTTTGGATAAGTTTATGCTGTGTTTTTGATCTTCTTAGTTTCTGAATTGGAGATTTGAAAAAAATTGTGATTATCTTGTTCCTATTCTACCATTGTATATTGGATGTGTTGAGGCGGATGATAACTTTATCATGAGATCTGCATCTGGTCCTGAGGAATATTCTGGACTTTGGCTAGGATTCAGCAACTGCATGGAATTTTAGGTTGTCTCCCTTGGAAAAGGGAAGGTATGTCTATCTGTAGAAAGAATGGTGTGCCCGGATATTTGGGTAGCCAGAGACATAGAACTATGGCAGACACTGCTAGTTGCCTCTAATATCTGTTTTTTCCATTTTGCTCAGTAATAAAACCTCAAATGTTAGCTGGGCATTTGTCCCATTAATTAAAAAAGATTGTATTCACCATCCTCTCTTGCAATGAAGTGTGGCCATGTGATTAAGCTTTGTCCAAGGAACGTAAGTTGTAGTAGTTTGTATGGATCTTCTGGGAAGTTTTTTTAAAAACAGGAAGTATGCCCTTTTCTCCCCGCCCCCGCCCCCCCGTTTTTTTTTTTTTTTTTTTTTTGAGATAGAGTCTCTCTCTGTTGCCAAGGCAACAGTGGTGTGATCTTGGCCCACTGCAACCTCTGCCTCCTGAGTTCAAGCGATTCTCCTGCCTCAGTCCCTGAGTAGCTACGATTACAGGAGCGTGTCACCATTTCTGGCAAATTTTTGTATTTTTAGTAGAGACAGGGTTTCACCATGTTGGCCAGGCTGGTCTCAAACTCCTGACCTCAAGTGATCCACCCGCCTCAGCCTCTCAAAGTACTAGGATTACAGGTGTGAGCCACCGCGCCCGGCCTCTCTTCCCCTTTTGCTGGTCTTCCTGGCTAGCATGTTGATGTCATGTTATTTTCTAAGTTAGGGTGGAAATCACAGGTAGCAGATGGCATAGCAAACTGTCACAAAGAGGCTGGGATCCCTAATCGTTATGGAGCCACCATTTTATTCTAGGACTGCCTACCTTTACCTGAGAGAAAGATACTTTTATCTTTTTGCCATTGTTGTTTTGGACTTTTCATCTGAGTATTTCTCTTTTATTTTCTTCAAACAACTACACCTATCTGATATTATCTTGTTCAGTTTTCTTTGTTATTTTCTGTCTTCTCCCTCTAGAATACTAGCTTCGTGAAAATAAAAATCTTGTCTCTCTTGTTTCTGTTTGTTTCCTTAGCACAGTGCCTGGTAAATAGTAATGACTCAGTAAATATTTGTAGATGAATGAATGAAGACTAGAAGATTCGAATGGAATTCTTCTAAAGGTAGTTCGTTTCTGCTTTAAGAGACTATGGAATTTAGAAATCCAAAGAAACTGGCAGGTTTGTTACATGTGAGGAGATTGACAGAGGGGTTATATGACTCAAGCAACACAGGACCCTTGTCTTGCTAATTGTTGGCCAAGTTCCCTAGCCAGGTCTGAGTTCTAACACACGACTGCCGCCTCTACTGTGTGTGCTGTTTGGTTGATAAGCACCTATCAAAGATGCTGTAGACAGGATTGCTCCGTGGCCTAAGGTTTGGACAGGATGACCTATTGCCCTTCCCCACACACGGTCGGGGTATGAACATAGCTGAGACTTTTCAAGCCTTCGCAGGTATCACAGAGCTTGGAAAGCCCAGCACTTGGGGGTAGTTAGTTGCAACTAGCAGGCAGCCCTAGCTGTTTATTACCTGGGACTCTCGGGAAGGCAAGCTCCCGGTGCTGGGGAGGACGTTTGTCCCAGGCATTCCTCTGGCAACCCTCTTCCTCCACCAGCTCCCAACAAAGACATTTAATCCCTTTCTTCCACTACCCTCCGCTCTACTTGGCTTGCAGTTGGAAGCTGAAGTACAATTTGACCCAAGCCACCCCCTACTGCGCACCTGCCATAGCGCTTGCGCCCCGGAGCCGGGCACGGCGTCGCGGGGGTGGGGAGGCGGCTCGTCCCCGAGCTGCGCTCCCTCGCGTACAGCCTCGGCTCTGGGTGCGAAGATCCTCTCTGCCTCCGCTCACCCAGCCGCGCCGCCGCGCGGGAACGCGCCCCAGCGGATGCCCTCTTGAGGGAGCGCGCACGCGCCGCCTCTCCCCGCCTCCCCGGTGCGCGTCCCGCCCCCTTGAGCTGCGATACGCCGAGCGCTCAACATCCGAGGACTTTGGCCCAGAGTAACCCCGCTCTCGTGACCTTTCCCCTCCATTCCGCACCTCCGAGTGCTGGCCGGGCGAGAGGCTGGCGGCTGGGCTCTCGCGCCCCTCCCTGCAGGGCTCAGGCTCTCCCCCTCCTGTCTTCTCCGCGCTGTTCCTCGTCATGGCGGCCCTCAGCAAGTCCATCCCTCATAACTGCTATGAGATCGGCCACACTTGGCACCCTTCCTGCCGGGTCTCCTTCCTGCAGATCACCGGGGGCGCCCTGGAGGAGTCCCTGAAGATCTATGCTCCTCTGTACTTGGTGAGACCCGTCACCCGTCCCGCAGGGCGAGTTTAGTCTGGAAGATGGGCCGGGGGCTGCAGTTGGTGCTCCCGAGGGGCTCTGGGGGACTTGCCTTGTGTCGGGCTCTCTTTTGGAGGGGTCGGAGTGTTTTGGGGGGTCGGTAGGGGGAAGGGGGAGGTCGCAAGGGAAGGATATACCAATTCCTGCAAGGGAGAAGGAGGAGGGGAATTAGAGATTGAGCTGTCATCTGAATGCCTGTTGCTAGGAAGAGGATGGCTCCCAACTTTTAGAATTAAGTTTAGGACACTTAAAAACGTTAATTCAAAGACCAGCCTTATTTTCCTCTGGCCTGCCTTGTGATGGAGAGGTATTTGTAGGTCAGCGAGGCTATGAGAAGGACCTGCAATCTTTCCTCATCTAGTTTCCCCTGTTTTATTTTGCTTTTTTTTTTTTTTTTTTTTAATGAAGAAGGCATATTTGGCCCTAAGTCCCTGTGGCCTCAGATCTTGACTCAGTTTTGAGATGACAGGATTGTGATTTGGGGGTTTTGCAAGTGTTTTTGCAAGTTCACAGAAC
The DNA here is from genome assembly GCF_000001405.40 of Homo sapiens. Lineage (NCBI taxonomy): Eukaryota > Metazoa > Chordata > Mammalia > Primates > Hominidae > Homo > Homo sapiens. The sequence continues at coordinate 87,038,745 of NC_000011.10, forward strand.
AGACTCCTGGGTTGAGATTGTGTGTGGTGATTTAAAGGGTGATGCCAGTCTTTCAGTCAGTGAACTTGGTTAGGACATCTGACTTTGTGTCACCTAGGACCTTCTGTTACACAACTTTACATACAGGGCAATTAATAGGGAATATTTGGCAGTATGTATATGTAACACTGAGGACTATTAAAGATGCTCTTAAATGTTCTCCGCAAAATCTTTTTTTCAATAATCTTATCCTTGATATTAAAGATTTATTATTACTTTGGCCATTGAAGTGCATTGTCTCATTTTCTTGCCTTACAGTTTGTGTCCTAAGAAGACAGATCATATTTTTTGTATGTCTTCTAAAAGTTTCAATATTCAGCAGATGATCAATTATTATTTCTCATTGAAGTAATTTAGATTTATACCCTAATGTTCCTGAAAGTGTGTCATGGCTGTATCTGTAGTACTTCTTGAAAAGTCTGATTATGTATTTCAGAGATAACACAGGAGAAGGTGATGACTTTGTTTGAGGTTGCAGGCACCCATTTCATTTTTATTGTATAGACTGATGCTTCTCACATTTTCATGTATGTTAGGAATCCTCTGAGGATTATGTTAAAATGGGGGTTCTAATTCATTAGGTCCTGGTGGGGCCTGAACCTCTGCTTTCCTAACAAACTCGTGGTAATGCTGATGGTGGGGGCTGCACTTTGAATAATAAAGATCTAGAGTAGAGGCCAGTAATTGTTATTGGAGCTGGAAATTTTTTCCTTGATTTTCTTTGGCAAAGATTCATGTTTATCTGCTTTTCCACATTCACTGTGGCCAGTCTATGTCTCAGAATTTTTCTTTTTATTTTTGGATACAGGGCCTTGTTGTATTGCCATTCTGGCTGGAGTGCAGTGGCGCAATCACGGCTCACTGCATAAGGCTCAGATTTGTAAAAAATAAAACATCTACAAACATTATTGAGCTCTTGATATACAACTATAGAAAAGATTGTTCCTGCTGTGAGAGGATTATGATATAGGTGGAAAGAGAGTTTATGCTATCTACTTCTCCCTCTGAAAATCCATAGCACTTTTCATTCATTAATTCATTCACTTAACAAATATTTGTTGAATGCCTGATACTTGTTATATCAATAGCCTAGACAATTTATGGATTATAGTCTATGATAGGGACATTCAGGGTAGCAATAGAAACATAGGTTCTCCTACTCCAACAAGGTAGGTTGGGGGTGTTCAGGAAAAGAGTTGTGTTTTACTACTATATCTCCAACAAGATTAAGTACTTATTGAGGATAAATTTTCCATCTCATGTGGCCTTGTACCCTTACATCTGTGTATTTGAAAATTTTGGTTGCTACTCCTCGGTAGTTGTGAAATAAAATTAGTGGGAACTGAATAGCATTTTATTTTATATTAGTGAAATGGAAGAAAATAAAAAATGTTAGGACATATTGCGCATACTAAGGGTAAGCATTATTTCATGACAGTTTTGTTTCAGTTATCCATGTAGGTATGGGTGGGGCTACTTGGAGCATATAGCTGTTCTCTTTGTGAGTGTTGGATAGTTGATTAAATGTATACCCCCATGTACTAAGATGCAAGGTGGTGTGGTGGAAAGAAATTGGACTTTAAAAAGTGATCAGGCCAGGTGCAGTGGCTCACGCCCATAATCCCAGCTCTTTGGGAGGCCGAGGTGTGTGGATCACCTGAGGTCAGGCGTTCGAGACCAGCCAGCTTGACCAACATGGTGAAACCCCATCTCTACGAAAAATATAAAATTAGCTGGGCGTGGTGGCACATGCCTGTAATCCCAGCTACTCGGGAGGCTGAGGCAGGAAAATCACTTGAACCTGGGAGGTGGAGGTTGTAGTGAGCTGAGATCATGCCATTGCACTCCAGCCTGGGAAACAAGAGCAAAACTCCATCACAAAAAAAAAAAAAAGGGATCAGGGTATCAGGATTTGAATCTCAGCTCTATCATTTACCAGCTATTTGACTTTGTATATGTTACTTTATCTTTCTTTTTGAGAATTAAATGAAATCATGCATTGATGATGTATCACATATTTTCTAGTTTATCATAGGTTTTGAATAGTTACGCATATTTTTCTTCCTCCCTTCTCCGGTGGCACTTAAGAGTGAAGTTCATGGAAGGTGGGTAGGGAAGGCCTCTTGAAGTAGGTGGCCCTTGACTTGTGCCTTGAGGGTAAGGCTATACAGACATTTATTCATGCAGTAGACATTTATAGCATACCTATTCTTAATGGAGAGGAGGGAGGATAATGTAAACTGAGGCAGAAAACTAAGTGGTTTTGTAAGAGAAGCAATGAATACATTGTCTATAACAGAACGTTTGCGTACAGGAGTTGTGAGCGATAACAACTTACATTTATTATGTGCTTAGTCCTTTACGTATTTTATCTTTTTTAACCCTTACACAACCCCAGCTTATTATCCCCATTTTATAGGTAAGATACCTGAAGGTTAGAGACATTAAGTGATTCACAAGATTTAGAGCTAGTAAGGAAAAAGACAGGATTCGGTTCTCATTTTTTTTTTTTTTTGACTGAAAGACTGAAGGACAGGCTAAAGGAGCCACTGTTCTGTGTGCATGCTATTGAGGTTTCTTTTTGAACAAAGGGGTTACAAGTACAAAATGATGCTTTCAGATGCTAAATCTGGTAGCACTGGGAAGACCGGATAGAAAAGATTTTTGAGAAATTGATGCAGCAATTTCACTAAGTAGTGGAAAGAGTCAGAACTCCTGTGGAATCTCACCCTGCAATTTACTATCAATATGATCTTTAGAAAAATTACCGAATCGCATGGAGCCTTAGTCCCCTTGCTTTGCAGAAGATGATTGTACCCATTTTTTAAGGTCTGTTGTGAGGAGTTAAATAGGGTAATAGTGCATTAATTATGATATATGTCTCTATCTTCTGTTAAAACAGTGGTTTGTATTTAGACTAGTGTAGTACCTCATTAAATGCTTAATATATGTCTAAATGAGTGAAGGTATGAATGAATAAGCATATGAATAGTGCGGGAGTGAAGACATATTTGGCAGGTCTGCCAGAGAAGATGAAAGGGCAGTTCTAGAGGCATTTTGTGGCAGAATGAACAGGACTTAGAGACCAAGGATATTGGGGCAGTATGAGGACTTCTTTATACTTCTAGGTTGTCAAGTCAGATTGTTGCAGTTGCCATTATTGCTAGAAATGGAGAAGTTCTAAAGACAAGCTGGTGTAGGGACCAATGGAGAGCTTTCCCCTTGGCCCTCTGAAGGTTCACCAAAAATCACTGACAGGAGGCCGATGGATTAATAGGAGAAAGGGCATGTACCAATTTATTTAACGTGTATACACGGGAGCCTTCAGAATGAAGACCCAAAAATACAGGGGAAATTATCTGTTTTTATGCTTAGGTTCAACGAAGTATAGACAGCTATGTAGAAATGTGATTGGACAATAATGGTAATAGACTGATTGGGGAAGCAAGGTCTGTCTGTCTAGATTCTTCTTGGCCTCTCTGTCTAAATTCTTCTTGGCCTCTCTGAGCATTCCTTCTTTTCTTTTGAGTATGGGGCAGGACCCTCTCTGGAATGGGGGCTTATGACCTACAGTCAAACAAGGTAGGTCAGATAGTTTCTTTATGGCCAGTTTTTACATGGAAAGGCAAAGGGAAAGTTAGTATGATATTTTAAGTTTTATGGCTGGCTTTGGGGAAAATAGGTTTTGGTTTTTATGACCTGCCTTGGGGAAAATTCTAGTTTCTAAGGCTAGCTCAGGGGAGAGTGGGACTAGGAGACAGGAGAGCAGGAGAAGGTCAGAAAAAAACTTCTGCTTCTAAGGCTGCTTCTGAGGCCTTCATTTTGTGGTATTGTATTCTGAGCCCCAACATGAAGGAAGATTTTTATCAAGAGTGTTTTCTGGAGCCTATAAAATGGGTCTTATGTATCTGCTTTTCATTGGAAACATTATCATGTGTGTTGTACTAAACTGATTTCTTCATGTCATATTTACTTTCTTGTTCTATACATTTGCCCTCATGCTTCTTTTAATCTTAGTATCTACAACTGTTTAGTCGGTATTCATCTTCTACTGTTTAAACTATTTCAAAATGTAGATGTATGATTCCTTTTATTATAATAGTGAATCTTTGTGTTTTCACAATTTGTAAAGAATATCAGCTCTCACTCATCATTTATTTCTGTAGTTTTGTTTTGTTTTTTTTTTTTTGAGACAGAGTTTCGCTCTTGTTGCTCAGGCTGGAGTGCAGTGGTGTGATCTCGGCTCACTACAACCTCCGCCTCCCAGGTTCAAGCCATTCTGCTGCCTCAGCCTCCCGAGTAGCTGGGATTACAGGTATGCACCACCACGCCCGGCTAATTTTGTATTTTTAGTAGAGACGGGGTTTCTGCATGTTGGTCAGGTTGGTTTGGAACTCCTGACCTCAGGTGATCCACCTGCCTCAGCCTCCCAAAGTGCTGGAATTACAGGAGTGAGCCACTGGGCCCAGCCTATTTCTGTAGTTTTTTTAAAAAGCAGATTCTTACATATTTTGTGATATACGGTAACAATGTATGCATGTACCAAAAATATATTTTAGAATTTTATATTGTATTTCTTGAATGTTAGTTATTGCTACATATTCTAAATAGGTGGTACCCCTTGCTGCACACATACATATGAAACAGTTATTAAACTGTTGGCTGGGTGCGGTGTCTGACGCCTGTAATCCCAGCACTTTGGGAGGCTGAGGCGGGTGGATCACGAGGTCAGGAAATGGAGACCATCCTGGCCAACATGGTGAAACCCGTCTCTACTAAAAATACAAAAATTAGCTGGGCATGGTGGTGTGCACCTGTAGTCCCAGCTGCTCGGGAGGCTGAAGCAGGAGAATCACTTGAACCTGGGAGGCGGAGGTTGTACTGAGCAGAGATCACGCCACTGCACTCCAGCCTGGCAACAGAGCGAGACTCTGTCTCAAAACAAACAAACAAACAAACAAAAAAAACTGTTTAACCCCTAGACTACCACTAAGATTAAGGAAAGCATAAGGCCCTTGTTTTTGTGGCAAATTTAGAATATACAGTTGCCCACTTGGGAGTATGGATTCTATGCTGTTGAGATTCTTAGGTACCTTCCCTAAGAAGGAAAACTTGTTCACTAACCTCAGATGGTTCTAACACTAAGACCTTTCTTTTCCTAGTTGGTTTTCTTTAGGACCTCTAGATTAAGGTACTGGCATTTACCTTTAGCTGAGTCCAAAGTAGAATCTTTTGCATTTTTGGGAAAGAATGATTTTAAAACCTGTTTTTTCACTGACCTTTAGATGTTTAGACTCTTCAGTGGATGAACATGTTTACTCAATATTTACTCCCTTTGAACCATGTAATCCAACAAATCTGTTAGATTACTAAGGATCAGTTAATCACTTCTAGGCTCTGAATAAACATTTAAGCCAGAGTTGAAATTTCTAGGAATAAAAAACGGTTTATGGACAGTCTCATTGGTTGCTAAAGGCTTGAAAACCACTGATTGAAAAAATCAGTTCAGTGATACAGACTGAGTGTTTTAAGGCAGTGAGTGCTTTAGCAAGTTTTCTAGAGGCTACAAGACCAGCAATGAGACTAAAAAGTTTTTGGTAATAGGCATTTGTTTTTGTTTTTGGCTTAAAAAAATAAAATAAGAAACCCTGAAGTCATTAAAGAATGTAAACTACTCAGAATATCTGTCTAGATTATCTGAGCTTTGGAGACCATGGAATTGTAAATGTGTGCATAATCCCTCTTTGATTTTTGCTTGAGACCTAACTTATGGGGGTGTAAATAAGGGGCTCACTTTATCTTTCTTTTCAATAACTAAATGATTTTTACATAATTTCTTATTATCTCTTTGGAGATATAAGTCATATGGTTTTATTTATTTATTTGAGACAGAGTCTTGCTCTGTCGCCCAGGCTGGAGTGCAGTGGCACAATCTCGGCTAACTGCAAGTTCCACCTCCTGGGGTCACGCCCTTCTCCTGCCTCAGCCTGCCGAGTAGCTGGGACTACAGGCCGCGCCACCACGCCCAGCTAATTTTTGTATTTTTAGTAGAGGTGGGTTTCACCGTATTGGCCAGGATGGTCTCCATCTCCTGACCTCGTGATCCACCCACCTCAGCCTCCCAAAGTGCTGGGATTACAGGCGTAAGCCACCACGCCCGGCCGTCATGTGGTCTTTTTTAAATGAACAATTGAATAATGGGTTTTCCTATTCATTAATGTGACGTTTTGAGTTTGTTGAAGGTGTTTTTATTTTTATTTTTTTGAGACGGAGTCTGGCTTTGTTGCCCAGGCTGGAGTGCGGTGGCGCGATCTAGGCTTACTGCAAGCTGCGCCTCCCGGGTTCATGCAATTCTCCTGCCTCAGCCTCTCGAGTAGCTTGGACTACAGGTGCCTGCCACCACGCCCAGCTAATTTTTTTGTATTTTTAGTAGAGACGGGGTTTCACTCTGTTAGCCAGGATGGTCTCGATCTCCTGACCTTGTGATCCGCCCGCCTCGGCCTCCCAAAGTGCTGGGATTACAGGCGTGAGCCACCGCACCCGGCTGAAGTTGTTTTTATATGTGAGTTCTTGTTATTCTTTGGCTGCTCTCTGTTGAGTACAAACTACAGCCTCTAGCATGTCGCTTCCAGTTGAGAGGTAAGGGCTTAGTATTGCAGTAAACACTTTCTCAACTCACTGTTTTCTGTAGCAGCTAACTCTGAGTAGAGCAGGCCAATTCTGATTTACCATTATTTGCCTCTTAGTTGTCATAGATGAGGGATAAAAATACATATTGGTAGAAAGAGACCCACCTGGAGGAATGAGGGAGTCAATTCTACACTAATAATCCCTCTGGTAACAGATTTTCCATCAGATTGCCTTCATATCCAACTAATTAGTTGATTTTATTGTGATAGAGATTAGTCTGAATAATCAGGCCTTTTATTCATTTTTTAGAAAACTATGCTTGAACTTTTGACTCTTAAAAACTTTCTTTTCATTATTTGCCAATAAATATTGATGAAATATATGGTGAAGGGGAGACTGATATTTGATGATTAGTTTAGTAATATCTGAACCTAGACTATTGGTATTGAAATATTTGTCCCCTATTTGTTTACCAAGTATTTATTGAGTCTGCTATTTGCAGGGTGCTGTTTGTGGCAGCTGTGTGCTATGTGGTATGGTGAAGAATAAAATGAATGAGACATACTTCTTACATTGAGTTTATAGTTTAGGAGGGGAGATTAGGCACATATACTCCTGTAATGCAAATTCATTGAGATAAATGCCATAAGGTACAGATAAAAATAAAAGTAAAGTAGTATATATAACTATTAGATTAACAGTGTAACTCAGGCCGGGCATGGTGGCTCATGCCTGTAATACCAGCATTTTGGGAGGCTGAGGCGGGAGGATCACTTGAGGTCAGGAGTTCGAGACCAGCCTGGTCAAATGCTGAAACCCCTCCCCTACTAAAAATACAAAAATTAGCCAGCGTGGTGGTGGGCATCTGTAATCCCAGCTACTTGGGAGACTGAGGCAGGAGAATCGCTTGCAGCGAGTGGAGATCTCAGCTCCCCAGCCTGGGAGACGGAGCGAGACTGTGTCTCAAAAAACAAACAAACAAACAAATAAACAAACAACAAAACAAACCCAGTAACTCAGTTTTAAAGATGTAAGTTCGAAGGATCAAATAAAGCTGTAAGATTTTAAGCCTTGCTTATTAGGATATGTAGAAGTTAGTGCTGTGGAAAAAATATTTTCAGTGAAACATACTGGCTTGCTTTGGGACATACTGAGTTTTAATTACCAGTGCGGTATGTAAGTGGAGAATGACCATGAGACATTGAGAAATGCAGGGGTAGAGAGAAACTGAGGCTAGAGATTTAGGTTTATATGTCCTAATCCTAGAGATGAAAGTTGAGCCCATGATTATGGGTTAGGTCGACGAGGGAGAGAGTTTAGAAAGAGAAGACAACCTAGGGAATGCTTATATTTGGAGCAGAGGAAAAGAAAGAAGCAGACAGAGCTGTATGAAGAGATTGAGGTGGTAGTGTTACTGAGTCTTGAAGTAAAGGAGTTTTGAGAGGTATTGTAAGAGATGGGAAGAGCATGGACTTGAATCTCAGTCCTGCCACTTACTGGCATTGTGACCTTGAGCAAGGTTCTTAACATTTGTGAACCTCAGTGTCCTCATCTATAAAATGAGGATAAAATACCTATCTATTATCCTTTAAAAATGCAAGTCAGCTTTTGTTATTCCTCTGCCCATAACTCTCCAGGGACTTTCCAATGCAATACAATGTGAAATCCTCACCATGGCCTTCAGAGCCTTATGTGGTCTATCTGTTGCTTGTTTAATTACATTTCATGCGATTTTCCCCTTTGCTTTTCCACCTCGATCTAGATGTAATCACACAATTTATTTAATATTTTGAATCTATGTTTTATGTAATTTACAACAGAGAGCTCTTGATTTTCTGGGGAATATCTTAAATTGTACAACAGCCAGATTGTTAAAAAAAAAGTGTATTTTGGGAGGAGCCAAGATGGCCGAATAGGAACAGCTCCGGTCTACAGCTCCCAGCGTGAGCGACGCAGAAGACGGGTGATTTCTGCATTTCCATCTGAGGTACCGGGTTCATCTCACTAGGGAGTGCCAGACAGTGGGCGCAGGCCAGTGTGTGCGCGCACCGTGCGCGAGCCGAAGCAGGGCGAGGCACTGCCTCACCTGGGAAGCGCAAGGGGTCAGGGAGTTCCCTTTCCGAGTCAAAGAAAGGGGTGATGGACGCACCTGGAAAATCGGGTCACTCCCACCGAATATTGCGCTTTTCAGACCGGCTTAAAAAACGGCGCACCACGAGACTATATCCCACACCTGGCTCAGAGGGTCCTACACCCACGGAATCTCGCTGATTGCTAGCACAGCAGTCTGAGATCAAACTGCAAGGCGGCAACGAGGCTGGGGGAGGGGCGCCCGCCATTGCCCAGGCTTGCTTAGGTAAACAAAGCAGCCGGGAAGCTCCAACTGGGTGGAGCCCACCACAGCTCAAGGAGGCCTGCCTGCCTCTGTAGGCTCCACCTCTGGGGGCAGGGCACAGTCAAACAAAAAGACAGCAGTAACCTCTGCAGACTTAAGTGTCCCTGTCTGACAGCTTTGAAGAGAGCAGTGGTTCTCCCAGCACGCAGCTGGAGATCTGAGAATGGGCAGACTGCCTCCTCAAGTGGGTCCCTGACCCCTGACCCCTGAGCAGCCTAACTGGGAGGCACCCCCCAGCAGGGGCACACTGACACCTCACACGGCAGGGTATTCCAACAGACCTGCAGCTGAGGGTCCTGTCTGTTAGAAGGAAAACTAACAACCAGAAAGGACATCTACACCGAAAACCTATCTGTACATCACCATCATCAAAGACCAAAAGTAGATAAAACCACAAAGATGGGGAAAAAACAGAACAGAAAAACTGGAAACTCTAAAATGCAGAGCGCCTCTCCTCCTCCAAAGGAACGCAGTTCCTCACCAGCAACGGAACAAAGCTGGATGGAGAATGATTTTGACGAGCTGAGAGAAGAAGGCTTCAGACGATCAAATTACTCTGAGCTACGGGAGGACATTCAAACCAAAGGCAAAGAAGTTGAAAACTTTGAAAAAAATTTAGAAGAATGTATAACTAGAATAACCAATACAGAGAAGTGCTTAAAGGAGCTGATGGAGCTGAAAACCAAGGCTCGAGAACTACGTGAAGAATGCAGAAGCCTCAGGAGCCGATGCGATCAACTGGAAGAAAGGGTATCAGCAATGGAAGATGAAATGAATGAAATGAAGCGAGAAGGGAAGTTTAGAGAAAAAAGAATAAAAAGAAATGAGCAAAGCCTCCAAGAAATATGGGACTATGTGAAAAGACCAAATCTACATCTGATTGGTGTACCTGAAAGTGATGTGGAGAATGGAACCAAGTTGGAAAACACTCTGCAGGATATTATCCAGGAGAACTTCCCCAATCTAGCAAGGCAGGCCAACGTTCAGATTCAGGAAATACAGAGAACGCCACAAAGATACTCCTTGAGAAGAGCAACTCCAAGACACATAATTGTCAGATTCACCAAAGTTGAAATGAAGGAAAAAATGTTAAGGGCAGCCAGAGAGAAAGGTCAGGTTACCCTCAAAGGAAAGCCCATCAGACTAACAGCGGATCTCTCGGCAGAAACCCTACAAGCCAGAAGAGAGTGGGGGCCAATATTCAACATTCTTAAAGAAAAGAATTTTCAACCCAGAATTTCATATCCAGCCAAACTAAGCTTCATAAGTGAAGGAGAAATAAAATACTTTATAGACAAGCAAATGCTGAGAGATTTTGTCACCACCAGGCCTGCCCTAAAAGAGCTCCTGAAGGAAGCGCTAAACATGGAAAGGAACAACCGGTACCAGCCACTGCAAAATCATGCCAAAATGTAAAGACCATCGAGACTAGGAAGAAACTGCATCAACTAATGAGCAAAATCACCAGCTAACATCATAATGACAGGATCAAATTCACACATAACAATATTAACTTTAAATATAAATGGACTAAATTCTGCAATTAAAAGACACAGACTGGCAAGTTGGATAAAGAGTCAAGACCCATCAGTGTGCTGTATTCAGGAAACCCATCTCACATGCAGAGACACACATAGGCTCAAAATAAAAGGATGGTGGAAGATCTACCAAGCAAATGGAAAACAAAAAAAGGCAGGGGTTGCAATCCTAATCTCTGATAAAACAGACTTTAAACCAACAAAGATCAAAAGAGACAAAGAAGGCCATTACATAATGGTAAAGGGATCAATTCAACAAGAGAAGCTAACTATCCTAAATATTTATGCACCCAATACAGGAGCACCCAGATTCATAAAGCAAGTCCTGAGTGACCTACAAAGAGACTTAGACTCCCACACATTAATAATGGGAGACTTTAACACCCCACTGTCAACATTAGACAGATCAACGAGACAGAAAGTCAACAAGGATACCCAGGAATTGAACTCAGCTCTGCACCAAGCGGACCTAATAGACATCTGCAGAACTCTCCACCCCAAATCAACACAATATACATTTTTTTGAGCACCACACCACACCTATTCCAAAATTGACCACATAGTTGGAAGTAAAGCTCTCCTCAGCAAATGTAAAAGAACAGAAATTATAACAAACTATCTCTCAGACCACAGTGCAATCAAACTAGAACTCAGGATTAAGAATCTCACTCAAAGCCGCTCAACTACATGGAAACTGAACAACCTGCTCCTGAATGACTACTGGGTACATAACGAAATGAAGGCAGAAATAAAGATGTTCTTTGAAACCAACGAGAACAAAGACACCACATACCAGAATCTCTGGGACACATTCAAAGCAGTGTGTAGAGGGAAATTTATAGCACTAAATGCCTACAAGAGAAAGCAGGAAAGATCCAAAATTGACACCCTAACATCACAATTAAAAGAACTAGAAAAGCAAGAGCAAACACATTCAAAAGCTAGCAGAAGGCAAGAAATAACTAAAATCAGAGCAGAACTGAAGGAAATAGAGACACAAAAAACCCTTCAAAAAATCAATGAATCCAGGAGCTGGTTTTTTGAAAGGATCAACAAAATTGATAGACCGCTAGCAAGACTAATAAAGAAAAAAAGAGAAGAATCAAATAGACACAATAAAAAATGATAAAGGGGATATCACCACCGATCCCACAGAAATACAAACTACCATCAGAGAATACTACAAACACCTCTACGCAAATAAACTAGAAAATCTAGAAGAAATGGATACATTCCTCCACACATACACTCTCCCAAGACTAAACCAGGAAGAAGTTGAATCTCTGAATAGACCAATAACAGGCTCTGAAATTGTGGCAATAATCAATAGTTTACCAACCAAAAAGAGTCCAGGACCAGATGGATTCACAGCCGAATTCTACCAGAGGTACAAGGAGGAACTGGTACCATTCCTTCTGAAACTATTCCAATCAATAGAAAAAGAGGGAATCCTCCCTAACTCATTTTATGAGGCCAGCATCATTCTGATACCAAAGCCGGGCAGAGACACAACCAAAAAAGAGAATTTTAGACCAATATCCTTGATGAACATTGATGCAAAAATCCTCAATAAAATACTGGCAAACCGAATCCAGCAGCACATCAAAAAGCTTATCCACCATGATCAAGTGGGCTTCATCCCTGGGATGCAAGGCTGGTTCAATATACACAAATCAATAAATGTATTCCAGCATATAAACAGAGCCAAAGACAAAAACCACATGATTATCTCAATAGATGCAGAAAAAACCTTTGACAAAATTCAACAACCCTTCATGCTAAAAACTCTCAATAAATTAGGTATTGATGGGACGTATTTCAAAATAATAAGAGCTATCTATGACAAACCCACAGCCAATATCATACTGAATGGGCAAAAACTGGAAGCATTCCCTTTGAAAACTGGCACAAGACAGGGATGTCCTCTCTCACCGCTCCTATTCAACATAGTGTTGGAAGTTCTGGCCAGGGCAATCAGGCAGGAGAAGGAAATAAAGGGTATTCAATTAGGAAAAGAGGAAGTCAAATTGTCCCTGTTTGCAGACGACATGATTGTTTATCTAGAAAACCCCATTGTCTCAGCCCAAAATCTCCTTAAGCTGATAAGCAACTTCAGCAAAGTCTCAGGATACAAAATCAATGTACAAAAATCACAAGCATTCTTATACATCAACAACAGACAGAGAGCCAAATCATAAGTGAACTCCCATTCACAATTGCTTCAAAGAGAATAAAATACCTAGGAATCCAACTTACAAGGGACGTGAAGGACCTCTTCAAGGAGAACTACAAACCACTGCTCAAGGAAATAAAAGAGGACACAAACAAATGGAAGAACATTCCATGCTCATGGGTAGGAAGAATCAATATCGTGAAAATGGCCATACTGCCCAAGGTAATTTACAGATTCAATGCCATCCCCATCAAGCTACCAATGACTTTCTTCACAGAATTGGAAAAAACTACTTTAAAGTTCATATGGAACCAAAAAAGAGCCCGCATCGCCAAGTCAATCCTAAGCCAAAAGAACAAAGCTGGAGGCATCACACTACCTGACTTCAAACTATACTACAAGGCTACAGTAACCAAAACAGCATGGTACTGGTACCAAAACAGAGATATAGATCAATGGAACAGAACAGAGCCCTCAGAAATAATGCCGCATATCTACAACTATCTGATCTTTGACAAACCTGAGAAAAACAAGCAATGGGGAAAGGATTCCCTATTTAATAAATGGTGCTGGGAAAACTGGCTAGCCATATGTAGAAAGCTGAAACTGGATCCCTTCCTTACACCTTATACAAAAATCAATTCAAGATGGATTAAAGATTTAAACGTTAGACCTAAAACCATAAAAACCCTAGAAGAAAACCTAGGCATTACCATTCAGGACATAGGCGTGGGCAAGGACTTCATGTCCAAAACACCAAAAGCAATGGCAACAAAAGCCAAAATTGACAAATGGGATCTAATTAAACTAAAGAGCTTCTGCACAGCAAAAGAAACTACCATCAGAGTGAACAGGCAACCTACAACATGGGAGAAAATTTTCGCAACCTACTCATCTGACAAAGGGCTAATATCCAGAATCTACAATGAACTCAAACAAATTTACAAGAAAAAAACAAACAACCCCATCAAAAAGTGGGCGAAGGACATGAACAGACACTTCTCAAAAGAAGACATTTATGCAGCCAAAAAACACATGAAAAAATGCTCACCATCACTGGCCATCAGAGAAATGCAAATCAAAACCACTATGAGATATCATCTCACACCAGTTAGAATGGCAATCATTAAAAAGTCAGGAAACAACAGGTGCTGGAAAGGATGTGGAGAAATAGGAACACTTTTACACTGTTGGTGGGACTGTAAACTAGTTCAACCATTGTGGAAGTCAGTGTGGCGATTCCTCAGGGATCTAGAACTAGAAATACCATTTGACCCAGCCATTCCATTACTGGGTATATACCCAAATGACTATAAATCATGCTGCTATAAAGACACATGCACACGTATGTTTATTGCGGCATTATTCACAATAGCAAAGACTTGGAACCAACCCAAATGTCCAACAATGATAGACTGGATTAAGAAAATGTGGCACATATACACCATGGAATACTATGCAGCCATAAAAAATGATGAGTTCATGTCCTTTGTAGGGACATGGATGAAATTGGAAACCATCATTCTCAGTAAACTATCGCAAGAACAAAAAACGAAACACCGCATATTCTCACTCAAAGCTGGGAATTGAACAATGAGATCACATGGACACAGGAAGGGGAATATCACACTCTGGGGACTGTGGTGGGGTCGGGGGAGGGGGGAGGGATAGCAAAAAAAAAAAAAAAGTGTATTTTTATGGAATACATAAAAGGTAACTCTTGTGAGTTATGACTTTGAGAAAAAAATTCGTGCCTCAATTTGTGCATAAGCAATATATATATATATATGGATACTTTTTTTATTGATTATGAAAAGATGATGTGGATTGAAAGGCTGGAATGCAGACTTATGTTGTATAAATCTATCTGTATAAGCTTTGGAAGTGAAAAATGTGGTAAGACCTTGACAATAGATTGATCGTTTATTTATTATCATATTAGTTATTGAGTACTTACTTAGGTGGTAGGCAGGTGGTAGGTGGTAATTAGGGAAGGGGAGTTGAAGTGATGGCTTAACAAAGAACTAAATAAAATATTTTGAAGAAAGTCTTTTTAAAATGTCAGTACAATTTCTTACATTACAGTTACTTCCCTTACTTTTATAGTATAGTGAATGTGAAATATGTTTTCATCCCCAAGGACTTAAACTGGGCACATAGAATGCCTAATAGTGGTTGATGCTTTGATGATTAATGGTCTTATAATACTTCAGATTTATTATTCTTCCATTATCGTAATATATACATAATATAGTACTGTATTAAAGACTTAATTTGAATCTCTGTTGACCGCAGGTTAAACTTTTAAATTGCCTTTTAATTACTCACTAATCTTAGTTTTCTTTCTACTCATTGATATGCTCTTAATGTTGTGATTGAGATTTGTGTATTTTTTCCTTCAGGTAATAGGATATGAATCTGTTTTATCTTTGGATACTAGGAATATAGTTAATAAGTATTTGTTAGTGAGCCTGAATAATTAATGAGTCAAGTTAGTATGGTGAATTGTTCTTACATATCATATGTGAGGCTCTGTCTTCCTCATAATTATACTTGAGGGGAATCAATAACTGAAATAAATTAAAGAAGATTTTAACTAACTTGGCTCATAGCAGTATTGAAAAATATTTAGTGGCGGGGCAGGTTGGCTTACACCTGTAATCCCAGCACTTTGGGAGGCCAAGGTGGGCAGATCACCTGAGGTCAGGAGTTCGAGACCAGCCTGGCCAACATGGTGAAACCCCATCTTCACTAAAAATACAAAAATTAGCTGGGCATGGTGGCGTGTGCCTGTAATCCCAGCTACTGGGGAGGCTGAGGCAAGAGAATCACTGGAGCCCGGAGGCAGAGGTTGCGATGAGCCTAGATTGCGCCACTGGACTCCAGCCTGGCAACAGAGTGAGACTCTGTCTCAAAAAAGAAAAAAAGAAAAAAAGAAAAATATTTAGTAAAATGGACCTTAAATAATTTATATGTGAAAGAAAAGTATTAAGGAAGAGTGCTAAATCAAGTATCATCAGATTTGAGCAAGTTCCTTTTATAAGAATGCTGAATTTTTTCAACTTACTGTCATTTATTTTGTATAGCCCTTTGACTCATTAGATTTGTCAGGTTGCTTTGGTTTCTTGATTCTTACTTGATCTTGGGGGTTTGGATTGTGATTAATCCACTTTGGGAGTTTCCTTGAAAGATTCTGCACCTATTGCCAGTGATGAAGGAAGGCTTATTCTGATTAGATTCGATTTTTAAACCTTGAAAGAAATACACATGGGACAATTTTTTTTTTCAGACCCGTATGTCAGAAACTCTCAAGCACAGGAGGCACTGAATTAACCAGAAACAGCCAAATTTCTGTGTGCCCCTGGCTGCATTTGGAGTGTAGTATAACTGTATTTACTCTGAATCTTCATTTCCTTTCACTGTCTCTTATCTACCCTTATTTCATTAATCAAATATTACATGTTACCTACAATGAGTAAGAAATACTGGAGTGAGGGGAACGTGGAGGTTAACAATGAAGGGGGAAGGTAAACTTTAAATAAATACGAAATTATCTGTGGTAAGTGCTATTAAGAAGACGTTCAGAATGTTACTAGGCTGTTTACAAGAGGATCCATTCTAGTGTAGAGGGTTTGGGAAGCCTTTCCTAAGGAAGTGACATGGTGATTATATGAATATATATGAAATGCACATATATTAGGTTTAACATTTATGGCACAAAAAACAAATTTTAACGTGACAAATCAAGAGAAATAAGAAGCAATTACTTTATAGAAAAATAGTTTATTTGACAATTTCACAAATCCAATACCCTGGTCAAGAATTTGGCCTTTACTTACCTGAAAGTCAAAGGCAGTAAGAAAAGTTAACTGCCTACAAACACCTCGATTAACAGATGCTCTGAAACTGAAACTTCCTTCTAGTAAAATCTATGTTTTAAATTATAGTAGTCAGAAATTTTCAATTACAAATGTTAGAAAAACTATTTTGAATAACTTCTATTTGTCTTCCTCCATTTAAAGGTAAGTTGGGATTTTTTTCGACAAAATTGTGAAGTCTGAGAAGTTAAGCATCTTTTTTTTTTTTTTGAGATGGAGTTTCGCTCTTGTTGCCTAGGCTGGAGTGCAATAGCACGATCTCGGCTCACGCCAACCTCCGCCTCCTAGGTTCAAGTGAGTCTCCTGCCTCAGCCTCCTGTGTAGCTGGGACTACAAGTATGCGCCACCATGCTTGGCTAATTTTGTATTTTTAGTAGAGTTGGGGTTTCACCATGTTGGTCAGGCTGGTCTCGAACTTCTGACCTCAAGTGATCCACCCGCCTCTGTTACAGGAAAGGGATCCTGATTTAGACTCCAAGAGAGGGTTCTTGGATTTTGCGCAAGAAAGAATTCAGGGCAAGTCCGCAGCGCAAAGCAAAAGCAAGTTTATTAAGAAAGTAAAGTGGTGAAAGGACAGTTACTCCATAGACAGAGTAGGATGTTCCTCAAAGTCAGAAGGGGAACGCGTCCACCCTAGGTACAATGCTTGTATATAGGGGGAGGTGTGCTCTGCTACAAGGGTTTGTGTTGTGGTAAAGGATTAATTTTCTTAATTGCTATATTTTGCAAGAATTGATAAAGCAAAATTAGGAATGCCTTTGTTCTTCAGATATTGGGATATCTGGC
This sequence comes from Homo sapiens, assembly GCF_000001405.40. Taxonomy (NCBI): domain Eukaryota; kingdom Metazoa; phylum Chordata; class Mammalia; order Primates; family Hominidae; genus Homo; species Homo sapiens. The sequence continues at coordinate 87,056,184 of NC_000011.10, forward strand.
CACTACCAAGTCTGGGTCTGTTTTAGTAAACGTTATTAATTTGTTCCTTTAACCGTAAACATCCAGAGGCTAGGAATGCCTAATTTTCTGAGAATGCAGCCCAGCAGGTCTCAGCCTCATTTTCCTAGCCCTCACTCAAAATGGAGCCTCTCTGGCTTGAACACCTCTAACACCTCTGCCTCCCAAAGAGCTGGGATTACAGGTGTGAGCCACGGCACCTGGCCAAGCATCTTTTTAAAGCTTTCTTTTTCTGTGCTCTTTTCTCTTTTTCCCATGGTTAAATTTCATGATTAGATTTCCTTTCTGGTTCAGGTAGGTGGTTAGGATTACCCTATCAAAGATTAGTAAAGGATTTTATGTCCATCAAATGGTTGACAGACTAATTATTAGACTTTAATATTAATGTGTTGAAGTGCAGTTTAAACCTTTTAACATTGGCTTTATCTTCTTTTTAGTGGAATTTATGTATCAACAAATAGTGAGGCAGTTGTTATTTTTTAGTCAAGTAGTTACTGTTATCTGTGATTTCTTCTCTTTCTCAAATCATCCTTCCTGGGCTTGAACTCTTAGTGTTCATGAGTTCTGTTTAAAGGATTCAATTCATTACCCAATATTCACCCAATTTGTCACCCAGTATTCTTATTGGAGAGACTGGAACAAATATGTATACTTTCTATTTTTTATCTGAATATTGTTGTTCAATTAGAAATATATTAGTTTTTTCCAATTAATTAAAGTATTTCACATTAGAGTCCATGATATTTGTACTTAAGTATGCAGAAGATGGCAGGGTATGAAAGAGTGTTTTGGTTTAAAGTTGTAGTGCTGCCTGGGAGTTCCATCACTAAAAGTTGAAGTGACAGGTGTGTGTTTTCAAGACTTTCCCTATATTACAAAAATATTGGTATTACTCAGTTTTGAACATGGGTATAATATACGCAGGACTCAGTCTGAGTCTTGTTCCTGATCACATTTTGTTTCAGTATTGTAACTTAAGTATATTTTTATTTTTATCTTGAAAGCCTATCTCAACTTTTATATAAAAATTTGAAAATGTAGGAGAGGAAGGCTATTACAGGTAAGGTATGTAAGGCTTAATGGTCATCGCTAAAGTTTGAATGGTATGATTTTCATTACAGGGAGGCTTTACAGTATCATCATTACGGAAAACTTTTGAAGATTGCTTGTATCTTCCCACATATATTATTAACAAGTTGCCCTAGTTTTTTGGCTTTCTTGTTTTGTTTTTAATAAGCTGATTCTTGTATCTGTTGGGGGCAGCATGGTGTAATGCACTGGTTGTGAGTTACAAGATCTGAGTTTTTGTTTTGCTTTGCGATTTATGATGCGATTTCTTCATTTATAAGTAGAAGAGAATCTTGCCTTAACTTCGTGGCTTGCTGTGGGAATCATATGAGATAGTGCACATATAAAAGCTTTAAAAACTGTAAGAAGATAGGTAAATATTGGTCTATAATACTTGGTTTCTTGTTATTTTGTTTGAGATATTTATATTTGGCTTTTGTAGCTTATGATTCTAACCTTAAAAATAAAGACGTTGGAAGCAATTCAGATTTAGCTTATTAGAGTTCTTCAAAGAAACAGAAGCCTCTGTGTGTGTGTGTGTGTGTGTTTGTGTGTGTGTATAAAATAAGGAATTGGCTCACAATTTTGGAGGCTTAATAAATGCCAAGATCTGCAGTTGGCATGCTGGAGACCCAGAGAGCCAATGTGTAATTCCAGTGTGAGTCCAAAGGCCTGAGTACTAGAAGAGGACAATGGTGTAAGTTCCAGTCTGGAAGCCAGCAGGCTGTAGACCCAAGAAGAACTGGTGTTTCAGTCAGGTCTGAAGGCAGGAAAATACCAGTGTCCTAGCTCAAGAAATCAGGCAGGAGGAGTTTGTTGTTTTGTTCTCTTCAGGTCTTCAACTGAGAGGATGAAGCCTACTCACATTAGGAAGGACAATCTTTTTCTCAGTCTACTGATTCAAATGTTAATCTCACCTAGAAGCACCCTCATAGACATACCCAGAATATCATTTGACCAAATGTCTAGGCATTCCTTGGCCCAGTTAGATTGATACATAAAATTAAACATGGTATACAGAAAAATTTGTTTGTTACAACAAATAATTCTGCCTCCTTTATTATTATTATTATTATTTTTTTGACAGTCTTGCTCTGTCACTCAGGCTGGAGTGCAGTGGCGTGATCTTGGCTTGCTGCAACCTCTGTCTCCTGGGTTCAAGTGATTCTGCTGCCTCAGCCTCCTGAGTTGCTAGAATTACAGGCGTGTGCCACCACACTCCACTAATTTTTTGTATTTTTAGTAGAGACTGGGTTTCGCTATGTTGGCCAGACTGGTCTTGAACTTCTGGTCTCAAGTGATCCACCCGCCTTGGCCTATGATAAATTGTTTTTTAAAAACAAGGTCTTATTTTATTTTATTTTATTTTTGACAGAGTCTTGCTCTCTTGCCGAGGCTGGAGTGCAGTGGCGCGATCTCAGCTCACTGCAAGCCCCACCTCCTGGGTTCATGCCATTGTCCTGCCTCAGCCTCCCGAGTAGCTGGGACTACAGGCGCCCACCACCATGCCCGGCTAATTTTTTTGTATTTTTAGTAGAGACGGGGTTTCATCATGTTAGCCAGGATGGTCTCCATCTCCTGACCTCATGATCTGCCTGCCTCACCCTCCCAAAGTGCTGGGATTACAGGCATGAGAACAAGGTCTTATTTTTAATTTTAATTTTAATTTAATTTTTTTGTTTGTTTGAGACAGAGTCTCGCTCTGTCACCCAGGCTGGAGTACAGTGGTGCAATCTTGGCTCACTGCAACCTCCACCTCCTGGGTTCAAGCAATTCTCCTGCCTCAGCCTCCCAAGTAGCTGGGATTACAGGCACCCACCATCATGACTGGCTAATTTTTGTATTTTTGTGGAGACGGGGCTTCACCATGTTGGGCAGGCTGGTCTTGAACTCCTGACCTCAGGCGATCCACCTGCCTCGGCCTCCCAAAGTGCTGACGTCAGCCACCGCGCCCAGCCGAAAAATTTTTAGAAAAAAAATACAGGAGGTCTTTTGATTATGGATGAATATCCTACTTTAGTTCTGTTGTTTGAAGTTCTTTTTTTTTTTTTTTGAGATGGAGTCTCGCTCTGTTGCCCAGGCTGAAGTGCAATGGCGTGATCTCGGTTCACTGCAATCTCTGCCTCCCAGATTCAAGCGATTCTCCTGTGATTCTCCTGCCTCAGCCTCACAAGTAGCTGGGATTACAGGCGTGTGCTACCACGCCTGGCTAATTTTTGTATTTTTAGTAGAGACAAGGTTTTGCCATGTTGGCTGAGCTGGTCTCGAACTCCTGACCTGTAGTGATCCACTCGCCTCAGCCTCCCAAAGTTCTGGGATTACAGGCATGAGCTACCACACCTGGCCTTTCCCAGATACTCTGATTACCAGAGAGGAAATCTCTTCTTAACACTTAATAAAACAAAACTGCACAACACAAGAAGGAATTGGGGTTGAATCAGGAAGCAATTCTGCAGAGTGAAGGAAACTAGCATTTTCAAAATGCCTACTATGTGCTAGTTACTCTGCTAAATACTTTATATTTGTTATCTTATTTATAAAAAGTACTTATTAACAGATCTTGGGGCCGGGCGTGGTGGCTCACGCCTGTAATTCCAGCACTTTGTGAGGCCAAAGCAGACAGATCACGAGGTCAGGAGTTCGAGACCAGCCTGCATAAAATGGTGAAAATCTGTCTCTACTAAAAATACAAAAATTAGCTGGGTGCAGTGGCACATGCCTGTGGTCTCAGCTGCTTGGGAGGCTGAGGCAGGAGAATCGCTTGAACCGGGAGGTGTAGGTTGCTGTGGGCGGAGATCGCGCCACTGCACTCCAGCCTTGGCAACAGAGCATGACTCTGAATAAAAAAAAAGAAAGAAAAAAAGTAAATCTTATAGATCTTGGACAAGGAAGAGGGTAAAGTTAATTGCACAGCTGGTTGTTGTCCAGTCTCTGCTATTGGAATTAATTCTTTTTATTTGCTAATTTAGTGTTGTGAATGTTGTTTTTCCATCTTCTTTCCTCTTTATTTTTTTGTAGACTGGAACTGTAGTTTCTAGCCCCTGAGTCATCATGGGTGCCTTATTTAGTCTTTCTGCAGGTTAGATCACCAAATTTTTGAAGAGTCAGGTTATTTTTATATCTTAGTTGTAGTTTCCCTATGTTTTTGTGTTTTTCTCTGAGAATAGGCAACTTGATCTTCTGTAGGAGCTAGTAAGTCACAGGTTTAAATTTATAACATGCAGTATGGATAAGTGATAATTCTCCTTATTTAGAATGTGTTTTGACTTCAACATCAATTGGTAGTTAAGAGCCACTTGCCTGACTTCAATCCCTGCTCTGCCTGTATCAGTCACCTTGAGTAACTTCGTCTCTCTGTACTTTTTCTTTTTTCTTTCCTTTTTTTTTTTTTGAGACGGAGTCTCGCTCTGTCACCCAGGCTGGATTGCAGTGGCGTGATCTCGGCTCACTGCAAACTCTGCCTTCCGGGGTCATGCCATTCTCCTGCCTCAGCCTCCTGAGTAGCTGGGAGTACAGGTGCCCACCACCACGCCTGGCTAATTTTTTGTATTTTTAGTAGAGACGGGGTTTCACTGTGTTAGCCGGGGTGGTCTCAATCTCCTGACCTCGTGATCTGCCCGCCTCGGCCTCCCAAAGTGCTGGGATTACAGGTGTGAGCCACCGCACCCGGCCTGTCCTTTTTCTTATCTCTAAAATGGTGATAATAAAATCATGCCCATTAAAATCATGCCCAATAAAATGAGGAGATTGAAATCTAAAGAGCATCTAAACAAGGATTTTTCATAGAAATAGTTGTGGGGTAAAGATTGTTATGAAATTAAATGAGTTGACATTTGTATGGTATATAGGATGGTGCCTGGCACAAGTGCTATATAAGCATTTTTTTTAAATAAAATAAAAATTCTGGAACTAACATATTCAAAATATATAAATTCATTATGCTCTTTCCTTTAAAGCAGTTGTTCTTACTCAATAAGGGGCACAATCTTACCTCCTAGGAGACATTTAACAATGTAGGCATTTTTGGTTATCACAGCTGGGGGGATTCTATTGCCATTTAGAAAGTAGAGGGCAGGGATGCTGCTAAACATCCTTCAATGCATAGGACAGCCCTGCACAACAGATGATCTGGCCCAAAATGTCAATAGTGCCAAGGCTGAGAAACTCTACTTTAAAGAAATCATTTTTTGCTAGAGATTACTTTAAGAAAGATTAAATAGATACAACATAAAATTGACTCTTATTTGCAAACTATTTAATTTTCCAAAGAAACTAGATTTCTCACACTATCACCCTTTAGAAATGTATTCTTCTAGAAGAGTTTAATGATCAAACTCGGAGGCTCACAGTAACTACTAATTTAGAGTTTGGTACTAGTAAGGCTAAGATCATGGGTCTTTGAGGCCAATTAGCTTTATTCCATGGCCGTAAAGTGCAATCCCAATACAGTCAACCATCTCTATGGCAAATGTGCAGCACTAATCACATGGGGAAAGAAACGGGAATAACAAGAGAATGTATATAGTGCTGATGGATGTTTAATAGTGATAATCTTATGAAGAGATACTTCTAAATTGGGGGCCTGACCTTATAATTTTGTATCACTCTTCAGTCTGTGCCCATCGTATTAGTCAGGTTGGTCTCCATACTTGCGTTTAATCAACTCTGCTTATTGCTGCCTGTCTTTTGACTCATGCCTGGAATATTTGTGAAGATATTAACTTATGTTTGCTTCTGGGTACTTTTTTTTTCTTGAGACAAAGTCTCACTCTGTTGCCTAGGCTGGAGTACGGTGGCACAATCTCGGCTCACTGCAGCCTCCACCTTCTGGGTTCAAGCAATTCTCCTGCCTCAGCCTCCTGAGTAGCTGGGATTACAGGGACACACCACCACGCCTGGCTAATTTTTGTATTTTTAGTAGAGATGGTATTTCATCATGTTGGTCAGGCTGGTCTCGAACTCCTGATCTCGTGATCCGCCCACCTCGGCCTCCCATAGTGCTGGGATTACAGGCGTGATCCACTGCATCTAGCCCCTTTTTCTGGGCACTTTATTGTTTTATAATTTTCAAATTTAGGTACATGATTTATTTCAAATTACTTTTTGTGTATAGTTTCAGGTAGGGGTCAAAGAACATTTCCCCCCAAGCCCCCCCCCCCCCCCGCATAGATGTCCAATTCTTCTAATATCATTTATTTATTTATTTATTTTTGAGATGGAGTCTCACTCTGTCGCCCAGGTTGGAGTGCCATGGTGTGATCTCAGCTCACTGCAACCTCCACCTCCTCGAGTTCAAGCGATTCTCCTGCCTCAGCCTCCTGAGTAGCTGGGATTACAGGCGCCTGCCACTGTGCCCGGCTAATTTTTGTATTTTTAGTATAGATGGGATTTCACCATCTTGGCCAGGCTGGTCTTGAACTCCTGACCTTGTGATCCATCTGCCTCGGCCTCCCAAAGTGCTGGGATATAAGCGTGAGCCACTGCACTCGGCCCATTTATTTTTAAAAAAATTACATAATTTTAGAAGTAGAAAAAATGAACAGTTTTGTTATTTAATTTAACCTCTTTATTTAGTAAATGAGGAGATTGAAATCTAAACAGCACGTTTCTAAACAAGGATTTTTCATAGAAATAATTGTGGGGTTAAGATTAAAAATAAAATCTGTTAATTGTATTGTATTATGCTGATTGTTTCCACTCCCTGTTGAGATTTGTTTCTATGATAATTAATCCTTATTTCTCACACTTGTTCTCCTTGCCCCAATATTATAAATTGTAACATATATTTATTGTAGAAAGTCTGGAACGTATCCAAAAGTGAAAAGAAGAAAATTAAAATAATCTATTATCAACCATTTAGAGATAATCAGTGTATAACATTCTAGTATTTGTTCTGTATGTTCATTACAAATTATTTTTTGGTAATCTGTCTTTTCACTTTATATATTTTGATTCATTTTCCTAGGGCATGAAATAGTCTTCTAAAACCAGGTCATGTAAATACATAAATACAGATATGTATTTTAACCATAGTGGTATGATGTGCCTTTTTTTAGCTAAATCTTTATATGCATGTTTGAAAAATTCATAAGAAATTAATGAATGTGGAATTATTTGGTCAAAGCATATGAACATTACGAAGTCTTTGATTATAAAATGTGATGTTTCTGAAGGTATCTGATATCTGATGATTTTATACATGAGTGCAAGTGCTATTGTAATTACTACATGGCTAACACAATTATTGGTATGTTATTTGTTTAGATTAGTGCTTCCTAACCTTTTTCATGCTGTAGTGTGCTGTGGTTTACATAGAAAATGATAAAAATACGTGGCACACTGGGGAAAACAGAGGCAGTGGTCACCCTGCCCTGTTACCTTGTGTCTGGCCTGGCTAACTAGACTACTGAGAGGATCATTATTTTAGCCACTTGTAAACCTTGGTTAGAAGCTCTGGGTTACAGCACAGTGATGATAAGGTCCTAGGTTATTTTCTGTGTCTTGTGTTAGATATTTCCTGTTTCTCACAATAGACTGTACAGTTTGGTCTATCAATATGGTAAATATGTACAATTTATGTACTTTACTGTTAATGGACATTTAGGTGGTTACAGTATTTGTAATGACAGATAATGCTATAAATATGTCTTTTGGCGGACATAAGCACTTATTTCTTTTGAGTAAAATACCCGGGAATGGAATTGCTGAGTTATGGGGTAGACATTTAATTATGTCTGGGTTATGGGGTACACATTTAATTAGATGCTATCCAACGGTTTTCCAAGGGGACCACAATTTTATATTGTCATGAGCAATATATGAGAACTAATCCTAAAGCTGTGTGAGAATTGTAGTTGCTCTACATTCCCACCAGCACTTTATATTATCAGTTCTTGGCATTTTAGCCATTCTAATGTGTGTGTGGTGGTATTTCTCTGATGACTAATGGTGCTGGTAGCCTTTTATATGCCTATTGGTCATGCGAATGACTCCTTTTTTTTTTTTTTTACACAAAGTATTGAACTTTTAATTTTGAGATAATTGTAGATTCACATGCAGTTGTAAGAAGTACAGTTCTTCAAGAGATTCAGTTAACTCTTTATCCAGTTTCTCCCAATTGTTTCATCTTGCAAAGTAGTAGTATAATATCACAACAAAAATACTGCCATTGATACAGTCAAAATACAGAACATTTCCATCACCAGAAGGATCCCTAATGTTGCCTTTTATAGCTATACTCACTTCTTTTCCACTTACCCACTCCCCCTTAATCCCTGGCAACCACTAAGTTATTCATTTCTATAATTTTGTCATTTTAAGAATGTTATAGAGGCCAGGCACGGTGGCTCACGCCTGTAATCCCAGCACTTTGGGAGGCCGAGGTGGGCGGATCGCCTGAGATCAGGAGTTCGAGACCAGCCTGACCAACATGGCGAAGCCCCATCTTTACTAAAAATACAAAAAATTAGCTGGGCGTGGTGGCCGGCGCCTGTAATCCCTGCTACTTGGGAGATTGAGGCAGGGAGAATTGCTTGAATCTGGGAGGTGGAGATTGCAGTGAGTTGAGATCATGCCATTGCACTCCAGCCTGGGCAACAGAGCGAGACTTTGTCTCAAAAAAGAAACCCAAAAAAACAATATTCTAGAAATGGAATCATACAGTATGTAGCTTTAGGATTAGCTTTTTTTTTTTCCCCCCACTCAGTATAATTCTGTGGAAATTCATCAAGGTTGTTTCATATATGCTTTTTATTGTTCATTTTTATTGCTGAATAGCATTTCATGTCATGGCTATATCACAATTTGTTAAACCATTTACTTTTTGAAGGGCATCGGGGTTGTTTCTGGTTTTTGACGATTGCAGACAAACCTGCTATAAACATTCCTTCACAGGTTTTTGTATAAGCATATGTTTTTATTTCTCAGAGATAAATACCCCAGGACTACAATTGCTGGGACAAATAATAGTTGATTGTTTAATTTTTCAAAAAACTGCTAAGCTGTTTTCCAGAATTGCTATACCATTTCATATTTCCACCAGTAATGCATGAGTGATCCAGTTTTTCTGAATCCTTCCAACATTTGATGTTGTCACTGTTTTTTATTTTAGCCATTCTGATAGTTGTAACACCTCATTGTGGCTTTAACTAGCATTTTCCTGATGGCTAATGTGCTTATTTGCTGTCTGTTTATCCTCTTCTGTGAAATGTCTGGTCATATATTTTCCTATTTTCTAATTGGGTTGTTTGCTTTTTATTGTTGAGTTTTGGGACTTCTTTATGTATTCTAGATACTAGTTCCGTATTAGATATGTGATTTCTAAGTATTTTCTTCTCTTCTGGAGCTTGCCTTTTTAAATTTCCCAACAGGTCTTTAATAGAGAAAAAGTTTGAATTTTGATGAAGTTCAGTTTATCAATTTTCTCTTTTGTGAGTTGTGCTTTTGATGTCAAGTCTAAGAATGCATTGTCTAGCCTTGTATCCATAAGATTTGCTCCATTTTTTCCCCCTAGAAATTTTGTAGTTTTATGTTTCACATTTGTGCCTGTGATCCATTTTAAATTAATTTTTGCATAAAGTGTGAGACTTAGGTTGAGGTTTAGTTTTTCTTTTCTTTTAACCTATCATTTACCACACTGGCATATTATAGCTTACTGCTGTTGTTTGTGTCTATTTCCCTACGGAGATTTTATGTTCCTTGAAGGAAAAGATTGGGTCTTATTCATCATTGTTTTGCCTGTGTATGAGAGTTGAATCGAAGTAATAGATGGTCAGTTTCAGAGGCTTGAAGAGGGAGGGAGTAACAGAAGAATTGAGAAGATGCCATTAGATTTGTTGATCACTGACTTTCGGAAAAGTATTATCTCTAGAAAGATGGAGAATAAATGGAGAGTTTTATAGTCTTTCTGTTCTGAAGTTAGTTTTTCTCTTTCTTACACCCTCTTACTCCTTCCCTATTATGTTCTAACCTTTTTGGTTATGTTGTTTCATTATGATGGAGAAGTACTCTTTTCTACGACTAGTGAGGAGTCTATTATTCTTCCCAGTTCAGCTCATATCCCGTTCTCCATGAAATTCCTGCCTTCCCCTGTATTAAACTGACTCTGCTAAAATTCTGTGGTACTTTCTATTATATTACTAACACTTAATCAGTCCTCAGTATCTATATATCTTGCACATATTATGATTTATATTGCTTTATTTCCTGGAACGTTAATAGTCTGCTCAATAAATACTTAGATTTCATGTCTATCCATATAATTGCTAAATTATTTCAGGGCCTTTTTTGGTTTTAATCTAGAAATCTTCCTTTCATATTCAGAGTTCACCAAAAAAAAAAAAAAAAAAAGGTTTTCAATCTAAATTTAAAAGCTAAGTCATGAAGACTGATAGGTTGATATTTTTTATAAAACAGTCCTATGATAAACTTCTGCAGTCTTTTGTATTGGGACTTATTCGTGTTTCTGTGTTCTGGTCACAGGTGATACATACTTGTGTTGTTACTAGATTCTTTCTTTTTTTTTTTTTTTTGAGACAGAGTCTCACTCTGTTGCCAGGCTAGAGTGCAGTGGCACAATCTGGGCTCACTGCAACCTCCGCCTCCCGGGTTCAAGCAATTCTCCTGCCTCAGCCTCCCAAGTAGCTGGGACTACAGGCGCCCACCACCACGCCCGTCTCATTTTTTGTATTTTTAGGAGAGACAAGGTTTCACCATGTTGGCCAGAATGGTCTTGAACTCCAGACCTTGTGATCTGCCCACCTCGGCCTCCCAAAGTACTGGGATTACAGGTGTGAGCCACCGCGCCCGGCCTAGATTCTTAATATTATTTTTTCAGGTCTTTTTTTTTTTAATGGGCTCCAGGAGGCCAGAAATCATTATTTTTTAAATTTACTAAATATATATATATATACACACACTATGTATATATATAGTAATATACTATATATATGTAGTATATATATATTTTTTTTTCTTGCCACACAGAAGTCAAGTTTGAATAACTGAATGAATTTCTCTGGTTTCTATTAGTGAAGTTCTCTAATAGTAATAGCCTGATAAAATCTGTAATATAGTTTTATTATACCATCCAGTTTTTATTTGAAATGGAATTTTTTTCATTTAAAAATATATTCCATTTTTCAGTTTAAAATTGTTTTAAGGCATTACAAATATTTACCTCAATGTATGGAGATTATTCAACGTATGACCCATATCGTAATTCCTTGGTGTATATTTTACCCTCAATAAATTCAGGTGTCTTCCTTTCTATCCTGAACATTGTATTTTTATAGAAGATCCAGTGAAATGCCAGCATTTTTACTTTAACTTATAAATATATGCTTTTATACAGTAGCTTCCACATATAAGCTAATTTAAGTGGGAAATGTTGGTTGGATTAAACAAAAAATCCTTTCTCTTTCCAGATTGCAGCAATTCTCCGGAAACGGAAATTAGACTATTATTTACACAAACTACTCCCTGAGATCCTACAATCCGCTTCATTTCTAACTGCTAATGGGGCCTTGTATATGGCTTTCTTTTGCATTTTAAGGTTGGTACTCATAATCACCATAGATACTAATATAGGTTCTTCTATTGAAATGGAAACAAGTATGTGTTTACATAAATGTTATGTGGGTTACTATCCCCGCCCCCCCTTTTTTTAATCTGTGAAGTGACATTTATGTCAATGAAAGCTTGTAAAACCAGGAACTGTGGGCCTCTTGACGTCAAGATGTAATATAAACTTTAAATTATTGGTGTAATTATATAGCATAAATACTTTAAGATGTTATACATATTCTGAGGCCTGTTATATTTACCAAGTTGTTGAATAGGATTTCTTAGCTTTTCAGTTTCATAGATCAGGAATTCAAAGCAACTGTCTATGACATGGGTTAGGGCCACATGCAGTGAACAAACTTCAAAAGGACTATAACATACACATTTTTATTTGTAAAACAGTAAGTTAACTCCTGGTATATTCTGTTTTTGGAACTTTTGGTCCTGATTCAGTCTTATATATATTACCTGTGCTACATCTTTATACATTGTAGAGATGCAGATAGAATTCAGTCTTTTGAGTGCTCTTACTTATCTGACATATTTATTAGCTATTCTTTTTATTTTTTTCCTGTTGATTGCTGAAAACTCAAACTTACGTTTATTTATTTATTTATTTTTTAAAATACTTTCTGTTAGTGTTGAACAAAGTAGTTGTGCAGGTATATTTTAACTGCAATTAAAAGTATAATTTCTGACCGGGCGCGGTGGCTCACGCCTGTAATCCCAGCACTTTGGGAGGCCGAGGCGGGTGGATCACAAGGTCAGGAGATCGAGGCCATCCTGGCTAACATGGTGAAACCCCGTCTCTACTAAAAAGTACAAAAAATTAGCCGGGCGTGGTGGTGGGCGCCTGTAGTCGCAGCTACTCGGGAGGCTGAGCCAGGAGAATGGCATAAACCCGGGAGGCGGAGCTTGCAGTGAGCCGAGATCGCGCCATTGCACTCCAGCTTGGGGGACAGAGTCAGACTGTCTCAAAAAAAAAAAAAAAAAGTGTAATTTCCAAATGTCTTTCACAGATTTTTCCCTAAGATCATTATCAGATCATTAATATTTATAAACTTTTAGATTATGCAGAAAATAATTGATAAGGCTTTTATACTATTGAACAAATCATGCCTTTAAATTGACATGAAAATCTATGTAAGGAACTCTCTTTATCATGTGCTCTCTAGAAAGTTTCTATGACGGCCGGGCGCGGTGGCTCACGCCTGTAATCCTAGCACTTTGGATCACGAGATCAGGAGATGGAGACCATCCTGGCTAACACAGTGAAACCCCGTCTCTACTAAAAATACAAAAAATTAGCCGGGCGTGGTGGCATGCGCCTGTAGTCCCATCTACTTGGGAGGCTGAGGCAGGAGAATTGCTTGAACCCGGGAGGCGGAGGTTGCAGTGAGCCGAGATTGCACCATGCATTCCAGCCTGGGTGACAGAGTAAGACTCCGTCTCAAAAAAAAAAAAAAAAAAAAAAAAGAAGAAGAAAGTTTCTATGATTAGGTTTTTAAAAAAATTGCAGTTAAGTATACCTTGCTATTGCAGCATCTTTATGTTCTATGAACCTGTTTGGTTAAGTTGTAGAAGCATGTATCCTGAAGATACTAGGAGACCATAAGAACTCATGAGGTGGTTGAGGGTCAGGGTGGAATTGAAAATGTCACTTACATTTTGTTCCTAATTGGGTAGATGAGATGCTGTTACTTGAGGTAGGGAACTCAGAAGTAAAAGCACATTTGAGAAATACAGTGAAATCTGCTTTGGACATGTTGCTTTTTATGGTGCCTATGGACATCTACGTTAACGTGTCCAATAGACATTTGAAATTTGAACTTAGAATATATTTAAGGTAACATTCATGTTCTCCCTATAACTGATTCACTAAGTCCATTTTTCTTAAGATTTTACATTCAATAACTTAAGTCCTTTATGGATTTTATATTGGAGTCTTCACAGGTGGAAGGTTTCTGATGTCCATGTCAAAAAATACCCAAGTTACATGTCCTCAATAGCTTTTCTAATCTTTTTGAATCTGAGCTTCAGTTTAAGAAATTATTTCAGGCCAGGTACGGTGGCTCACACCTGTTATCTCAGCACTTTGGGAGGCCAAGATGGGAGGATTGCTTGAGGCTGTCAGTTCGAGGCCAGCTTGGGCAACATGGTGAGACTCTGCCTGTTAAAAAAAAAAAAAAAATTAACCAGGCATGGTAGTGTGCCCGTAGTCCCAGCTAACTTGGGAGGCTGAGGCCAGGAGGATCCCTTGAACCCAGGAATTTCGGGCTACAGTGAACCATGATTGTAGCACTGCATGCCAGCCTGGTGACAGGGCAAGACCTTGTCTCTAAAAAAAGAAAAAGCTTTATTCTTATATATATCTATCTATATAATTTTCATAATGTATAATTTAGCAATTTACCAACTTTGTTCAGATAATTTCTTATAATTTTTACTTGCTACTTCTCCCTTTCTTAGGAACATATGTTTTCAAGGAAAAAAAACTTCCTCATGTCTCCAAATATTTTTTTTTCTCTTAAAAAACCTGCGTTGGCTCACGCCTGTAATCCCAGCACTTTGGGGGGCCGAGGCAGATGGATCATGAGGTCAGGAGTTCGAGACCAGCCTGACCAACATGGTCTCTACTAAAAATACAAAAAATTAGCCGGGCGTGGTGGCAAGCGCCTGTAATCCCAGCTACTCGGGAGGGGCTGAAGTAGGAGAATCGCTTGAACCCAGGAGGCAGAGGTTGCAGTGAGCCGAGACTGCACCACTGCACTCCAGCCTGGGCAACAGAGCAAGACTCCATCTAAAAACAACAACAACAACAAAAAACCAAACCAAAAACGAAACCCAGACAGCTACTGGTCATTTGTCATTTGTCATTTATGAGGCACTGTGAGGATTCCTACTTTCAAGGAATATACTCTAGTACATGAAAAATGATGTACACATAAAACTAAAACGTATAAAATACTTTAGTAAATGCTGTAAGAAAAAGTTATCAAGGGTTGTGGAAGCAAAGAAGGGAAAACATTTATTGAATGTCTACCATGTGTTGAAAAAATAGTCATAATAATAGTGATAACAGCTAACACTTTCTGAGTACTTGTTATGTGTCCTGCCTGGCTCTGGGAAATATCTCATATAGTTCTCTTAATGGCTCTATGAGATAGGTAATATTATCCTCATTTGATAAATAAAGGAAACTGAGAAGCCAGAGGGTTTGCATAGCCAGCAGGTTTGGATCCAGGGAATGCCTGAATGAATGTGGCCGGCTGTTACTGAAAGGAGTGTTACCCATTAGTTGTTACTGTAGCCGCCTTAATGAGAGTTAGTGAGAGACTTAACTAAGGCAGGGGCAGTAGGTTGGAGAGGAATTTGAAAGATAAATTGCATCTGTAATAATTTAAGGGAATAATTTAATATGTGGGGTAAGGGAAACAAAGTTGAGGATGACGCCTGTCAAACATAAGTGGATAGGTGGTTGTTGATGCTATTAACCTAGGAAAATAGAGGAGAGAGAACAAGTTCATGGGGCTAGGGGAGACAGATAATGAGTTTGATTTTGAATATGTTTATTTTGAGGTAGTGTGGTACATTTAAATAGAGTATGGATGGAGAAGGGAAACTTCTATTCATAATAACTGAAGTGACCAACTAGGAATTTCATACAAAAATTCCAAATTTGAATTTCAGGAAGATACTTGGAAAATTCTACTCATGGACTCCTGGCTTTGGTGCCGCTCTGCCAGCATCTTATGTGGCCATTCTCATTGAAAGAAAAAGCAGGTAAAATTTCATATATTTATTTAACGGAACTGATTACCTGTCCCCTACCCCAACTATAATTTTTTTTTTTTTAATTATCACTTACAGGGATGAGAAATATTTCTAGATATATTTTTTCGGTTCTGCAGATATTTAATTGAAAATTAATTTTATATTAATGTTTATATGTATTTTATATTTATTGTCTATAAAAATATAAAAGTGGACATTATAGAGCAGTAATAGCCTCTGTTTACTAAAAGATTAGAGAGTTCTATAATGTGACCTAACTAAAATATGGCTATGCAAATTCTAGGCCAGGCAGCTCATTCCTGTAATCCCAGCACCTTGGGAGGCTGAGGCGGGTGGCTCACTTGAGCCTTGGAATTTGAGACCAGCCTGGCCAGCATTGGAAAACCCTGTCTCTACGAAAAAAAATACAAAGAATATTAGCTGGATGTGATGATGTACTCTTGTAGTCCCTGCTACTCAGGAAGCTGAGGTGGGAGGATCACCCGAGTCCCCAGAGGTCAAGGCTACAGTGAGCCGTGATCATGCCACCACACTTCAGTCTGGGCAACAGAGTGAGACTCCTGTCTCAAAAAACAAGCAAATAAACAAACAAATTATAATCAAAGATTTTTTCCATAGCCATAATAGCATTTCACACTTAAGAAAATTAACAATAGTTTTTTATTATCATCTAGATCTGTACTTCGCTTACTTTGCTTCAGGCTCTTTGAGTAATTGAGTAATTGATCTCAAATCAATTATTATTATTATTACTAATTTATTTATTTTTCTGAGCCAGAGTCTTGCTCTGTTGCGCAGGCTGGAGTGCAGTGGTGCGACCTCGACCCACTGCAACCTCCGCCTCCCGAGTTCAAGCAATTCTCCTATCTTAGCCTCCCGAGTAGCTGGGATTACAGGCGCATGCCACCATGCCCGGCTAGTTTTTGTGTTTTTTTAGTAGAGACAAGGTTTCACCATGTTGGCCAGGCTGGTCTCAAACTCCTGACCTTGTGATCCGCCCGCCTTGGCCTCCCAAAGTGCTAGTATTACAGGTGTGAGCCACTGTGCCTGGCCCAATTATTTTTAAGACATCTTGTATTTAAAAAAAATTTTTTATTGTTATCAGCCTGAAATTTTCCATGTGAATAAATATGATTTCTATAAAATGTTGCAAACTTACATAAACTGTTCAGTCAGGTAAACAGTTAAAGTTTAAAGGTTTTGCCATAAGAAAATACTTGCCATCTCATGAATAATTGTTTTTATTGCTGAGGAATTTATCCACCTTTGTCCCAGATAAATCAAGAAAGGATCATGTACTGAAACCACTTATGAAGATGCTTATTGTAGTCATTGGCCCTCTGGTAAGAGTGTGAGTAATTCTCATCAAATAACCAAATATTAAACTACTGGAAGCCACTCTTACTTATTTATTTATTTATTTTTTTGAGGTGGAGTCTCACTCCGTCTCTAGGCTGGAGTGCAGTTGTGCGATCTCAGCTCACTGAAACCTCCTACTCCCTGGTTAAGCAATTCTCTTGCTTCAGCCTCCCAAGTAGCTGGGACTACAGGCACGTGCCACCACGCCCAGCTAATTTTTGTATTTTTAGTAGAGACGGGGTTTCACTTTGTTGGCCAGTATGGTCTTGATCTCCTGACCTTGTGATCCGCCCACCTCGGCCTCCCAAAGTGCTGGGATTAGAGGTGTGAGCCATCGCACCCGGCCCATGAAGCCACTCTTAATACATTTTTGTAAGTGTCATAGTATCTAAATTTTTGTGGTTCTCTGTTTGATTATATCAATGACTACAATACTTAAACTTTTGGATTATTAGAATGACTAAAATCAAAGGATTGGTGAATGTTATAACCTCAGCAAAATCAAGTCAGTAATTCCAGGAACATAGGTTACTCCACCTGAAAAGAGAGTACAGCATGATTGTTGAAGCATGGATTTTGGAGCTGTGCTATCTGTCTTAGGAGCCCAGCTCTGCCACTGACTGCGTGATATTCATTACTTGAAAAATGAAAATAATGATAATCTATTTGTAGGATTGTTTATTTTATTTTTTTTTTTTTGAGACGGAGTCTCGCTCTGTTGCCCAGGCTGGAGTGCAATGGTGCAATCTCGGCTCACTGCAACTTCTGCCTCCCAGGTTCAAGCGATTCTCCTGCCTCAGCTTCCCATGTAGCTGGGATTACAGGTGCCTGCCACCACGCCTGGCTAATTTTTGTATTTTTAGTAGAAACGGGGTTTCACCATGCTAGCCAGGTTGGTCTCAAACTCCCATCCTCAGGAGATCCACCAGCTTCGGCCTTCCAAAGTGCTGGGATTACCTGCGTGAGCCACTGCGCCCAGGCTTATTTTATTTTTTTTGGGACAGAGTCTCACTCCGTCACCCAGGCTGGAGTATAGTGGCTTGATTTTGGTTCACTGCAACCTCTGCCTCCTGGGTTCAAACGGTTTTCCTGTCTCAGCCTCCCAAGTAGCTGGGACCACAGGCATGAACCACCAAGCCTGGCTAATTTTTGTATTTTTAGTAGAGATGGGGTTTCGCCATGTTGGCCAGGCTGGTCTCGAACTCCCAACCTCAGGTGATCAGCCTGCCTCAGCCCCCCAAAGTTTTGGGATTACAGGCATGAGCTACTGGGCCCGGCCTGTCGGGTTGTTTAGATAATTAAGTGAATTAATATATGTTAAAATGCTTAGAACAGTGCCTGACACATAGTAAGAGTTATATATGTGTTAAGTATTATTTTTGTTTTTTTTGCCTGTAAGTAGAGTTATTCTGGTGATGGTAACTTCCTAATCAATAGAAAAACTGTGTATATTGGTTTTGAAAAGATATTTTTGAAATATGTCAGTTACATTAAACTAAAGATGCTTTAAATCAAGGTAGCTACTATTTACTCTTATTTAGCACTCAAATAATTAGATAGCATTTTTGCAGTTATGTACCTACTTTTCAACACAAACTGTTGAACACCTTTGTAACAATCAACTAGAGTCAATGGTTATTAACATTTTGCCATTTTAGTTTATTTGTATGTGAATATATGTGAATGTGTGTTTTTTCTATGTGTGTGAGCCATATGGAAACATGTTATAAACATCATGCCACTTTACTCCTGAGTACTTCAGCACGTATCTCTTAAAAATAAGGATATTTTTCTACAGAATTACAACACTCTTATCACACACAAGACAATTAGCAACCATTTTTTCATACCATCCAGTTCATATTGTCCTAAAATGGCTTTTAATGCTATTTTTTTGAACCAGAATCTAGTCAAGGTTGATGTGTGTTGATGTATTTCTTTCTTTTCCTTTTTCTAAAAGTACTTTTTCTTGAGATAGGGTCTTGCTTTGTCACCTAGGCTAGAATGCAGTGATGTGATCATAGCTCACTGCAGCCTCAATCTCCCGGGCCTAAGAGATCCTCTTGCCTTAACACCACCCTCCCACCGCCTCCCCAACCCCCGACCAGTAGCTGGGACTACAGGTGCACACCACTATGCTCAGCTAATTTTTTATTTTTTATTTTTTAATTTAATTAGTTTATTTTTTTTGAGACGGAGTCTCGCTCTGTCTCCCAGGCTGGAGTGCGGTGGCGCCATCTCTGTTCACTGCAAGCTCCGCCTCCCGGGTTCACGCCATTCTCTTGCCTCAGCCTGCCGAGTAGCTGGGACTATAGGTGCCCGCCAGCTAATTTTTTTTTTTGTATTTTTAGTAGAGACGGGATTTCACAGTGTTAACCAGGATGGTTTCGATCTCCGGACCTCGTGATCTGCCCGCCTCAGCCTCCCAGAGTGTTGGGATTACAGGCGTTCGCCACTGCACCCGGTCCAATTTTTTATTTTTATATTAAGTAGCTGAGGTCTCACTGTGTAGCCCAGGCTGGGCCGGTCCTGAGCTCAAGTGATCCTCCTGCCTTGGCCACTGAAACTGTTGGGATTACAGATGTGAACCACTGCACTTGGCCTATTTTCTTTTAATCTAAGATAGTGTCTCCACTTTTTCCCTCTACAGCATTGCTTTATTGAAGTGACCAGGCCAGTTGTCTCGTTGTATGTAATACATTTCTGATTTGTCTGAGTTATTTCTTCATGGAATTGGTGAATTGGTTCAACAATTGGGTCCCAAGCCCAATATCATTATGGTTTTTGCTGACGTGTAGAGGTACGTACTGCCTTGGTGGTCTTGTATAAGATCCAGAAGAAATCTCTGGATTAAAGCAGAGATTCTTGTTCTTTTCCCTTACTTTCTCCTAAATAAACAGGGTCTCTCTCTCTCTCTCTGTGTGCTGAACTGCTTGGAACTGAGCATGAGGTGACACAAGCATCCCTGTGGCTACCATCCCTGGGACTGCGCTGGGTCAGACTTGAAGCTAGCACAGCAGTGGGTCTTGCCCAAGGCTTGCTGTAACCATTACTTGGCTACCACTTGTGTTCACTCAAAGCCCTAGGGCTCTATAATCAACAGGTGGCAAAGCCAGCCAGGTTTTGTCCTTCCCTCTGGGTGACAAGTTCTCCCGGGCCCTGGGCAGGTCCAAAGATATTGTCTGGGAGCCAGGGATAGGAGTAAGAAAAGTTTGCCTGATATTCTTTTCCACTGTGGCTAAACTGGTGCTCAAACCACAATATAAAGTCCTTCCCACTCTTCCCTCCCCTTTCCACAGGCAGAGGAGCCTCTCCATGTGGGCACCACCACCACCAGCCCATGGCAGGCTTCTGACTGGCCACTGCTGATGTTCACTTAAATACCACAGGCTCTTCAGTCAGCCTGTAGTAAATGCTGCCAGGCCTGGGACTCACCCTTCAGGGCAGTAGGCCCCCCCTCTGGCCTAGGGTAGGTTCAGAAATGCTGTCCAAGAGCCTAGACCTGGACTTGGGGACTCCAGGAGCCTGCTTGTTGCTTTACCCCACTGTGTCCAAGCTGGTACCTACGTGCAAGACAAAGTTCCCTTTTGTTTTCCTTCTGCTTTTCTCAGACAGAAGGAGTCTTTTGCCATAGCCAGCCACAGCTGGGAATGTGCTAGGTCACATCTGTAGTGGGCATGTCTCAGAGCCCAAGGCTACGGCATACTCCTTGGGTATCGCTCCTAATTATTCAGGGTCTAAGGGCTTGTTAGTCTGCAGGTGATGAATCCTGCCAGTACTGGGTGCTTTCCTTCAAGGCAGCAGGTTCCCTTTTGGCCCAAGGTATGTCTAGAAATGTCATCCAGGAGCAAGGCTTGGAATGGATCCTTCATGACTCTGCCTGGTCTCTTCTCCTACTGTGGCTGAGCTGGTATCCAGTGATGACATCTTATTTAACTGTAGTATAATATAAAACCAGGAAGTTGACATTACTGTCAACTACACTATAGACTTCATTCAGTATTCACTAATTCTTATGTATACTCATTTGTGTACATGTCTATGCAGTTTGTTCCCATGTATAGAGTTGTTTACCCACCACTACAATCAATGTCCAAAACTGTTTCAACACTACCAAGGATTGCCCTTGAACTATCCCTTTGTAGTTGCACCATTTTCATCAATTCCTGTCTCCTGGTAACAACTAGTCTACTTTTCATTTCTATATTTATATCATTTCGAGGAAGTTATATAAATGGAATGATGCAATGTATAACGTTTGGACATAGGCTTTTTCTTTTTTAAACTAAGCATGATGCCTTTGAGATCCATCTAAGATGTAGCTTGTATTACTAAGCTTATTCCTTTTTTATTGCCCAGTAGCATTCTACTATATGGATGTACCAGAGTTTGTTAAACATTCACTTGTCGAAGGACATTTATGTTATTTTCAGTTTTTGGCTGCTCCATCCATGGACATGGTTTATCTCTCCATTTAATTAGATCTTTTATTTCTTTTCATCAGTTTTTATAATTTGCAGAATGCGTTTCATATACGTGTTAGATTTACACCTGTTTCCCTTTTTGGGAACAATTGCAAATGATTTTTCTGTTTTTGTAATAGCTTTATTGAGTCATAATTCATATTCCATACAGTTCACCCTTTTGAAAACTGCACAATTCATTTGTTTTTAATATATTCACAAAGTTGTTTAACTACCATCACAAACAATTTTAGAACACTTTATTCACCTCAAATAGAAACCCCTTTAACTGTCACCCCCTAATCCTTCATCCTCCTCACCCAGCCCTAGGCAACCACTAATTTCTGTCTCTAAAGATTTGCTTCTTCTGGACATTTTATATAATGGAGTCATACAATATGTGTCATTGGTGACTGGCTTCTTTTACTTAGTGTAATGGTTTTGAAGTTTGATGTCATACGTATCATTTCATTACATTACTTTTTATTGCCAAATAATTCATTATATGGATATGTCACATTTTATTTATTCATAAGTTGATGGAAATTTGGATTGTCCCACTTCTTGGTTATGAATGTTGCTACACTAAACATTTGTGGACACATTTTTGTGTGGACATATGTTTTTATTTTTCTGGATTATGTACTCAGGAATGGAATTGCTGCCTTAATATGGCAACTCTGTTTAGCTTTTTGAGGAACTGCCAAACTGTTTACCAAAGTGGTTGTACCATTTTCTGTTTTGTTCAGCAGTATATAAAGGGTCCAATTTCTTCGCATTTTGGCTATCACTTGTTATTACATGTCTTTCTGATGATAGTCATTGTAGTGAGTGTGAAGTATTTCATTATGGCTTTGATTTTTCTCAGATGACTAATGATATTGAGCATCTTTTCATATAGTTTTTGATCATTTACATATCTTCTTTGGAGAAATGTCTATTCAAATCCTTTGCCCATGTTTTAATTGGGTTATTTATCTTTTAATTATTGAGTTGTAAGGGTTCTTTAGATATTCTAGATATAATTTTCTTGCCAGATATAATTTGCAAATATTTTCTCCCATTCAGAGTGTTGTTTTTTCACTTCATTGATCTTGTCTTTGAAGCAGAAAAGTTTTTAATTTTGATGAAGAAGTCCAAGTTATCTATTTTTTCTTTCTTTTTTTTATTTGTTTGTTTTTTTGTGACACAGTCTTGCTCTGTCGCTGAGGCTGGAGTGCAGTGGCGTGATCTTGGCTTTTGCAACCTCCACCTCCTGGGTTAAAGCAATTCCCCTGCCTCAGCCTCCCAAGTAGCTGGGACTGCAGGTGTGTGCCACTACACCTCGCTAATTTTTGTATTTCTTTTTTTTTAGTAGAGATAGGGTTTTGCCATGTTGTCCAGGCTGGTCTCGAGCTCCTGACCTAAGGTGATCTGCCTGCTTCCACCTCCCAAAGTACTGGGATTACAGGCGTGAGCCACTGTGCCCAGCCCGTTGTGTTTTTGGTGTCGTATTTAAGAAATCATTACCAAGACGAATATTTAGCTCCAAGTTTTATTTTACTTTATTATTTATTTATTTGTTTATTTTTTGAGGTGGAGTCTTGCTCTGTCTCACACTCACTGGAGTGCAGTGGCATGATCTTTGCTCACTGCAACCTCCACCTGCCTGGTTCAAGCAATTCTTCTGCCTCAGCCTCCCAGGTAGCTGGAACTACAGGTGCATGCCACCACACCCAGCCAATTTTTGTATTTCTAGTATTGATGGGGTTTCACCATGCTGGCCAGGCTGGTCTTGAACTCCCGACCTCAGGTGATCCACCTGCCTCGGCCCCGCAAAGTGCTGGAATTACAGATGTGAGCCACTGCGCCTGGCCATGTTTTCTTTTAAAAGTTGTATAGTTTTAGTTCTTACATTTAAGTCTTTCATCCATTTTGAATTAATTTTCGTCGGTAGTGTGAAGTAGAGAGTATTAAGTTTTAAATTTCATTTTCCACATTTGTTAATATGACATATAAATATAGTAGATTTTTTTGTGTTTTATCTTGACTTCTGTGACCTTGCTGAATTTATTAGTTTTAAGAGTTTTTGGTACATTCCTTGAGATTTTCTATACAGACAATTATGTTACCTGCAAATAGGGATGGTTTTCTTTCTTTTCCAATCTGTATGTCCTTTTTTCTGCTTGTATCTTGTATCTGCTCTTAGCGGGAGGCATTCAGTTTTTCATCATTAAGTGTATTGTTAGCTGTGGGGTGGTTTTTCAGATGCTCTTTGTTAGGGTTAGGACGTTTACATTCATTTCTAGTTTGCTGTGAACCTTTATCATGAATGGATGTAATATTTTGTTATATGGCTTTTCTGCATCTATTGATAAGATCATATGATCTTTTTTCTTTTTTTCTTTTCTTTTCTTTTTTTTTTTTTTTTGAGACGGAGCCTCACTCTGTCGCCCAGGCTGGAGTGCAGTGGCGTGATCTCGGCTCACTGCAACCTCTGCCTCGTGGGTTCAAGCGATTCTCCTGCCTCAGCCTCTCAAGTAGCTGGGACTACAGGTGCGTGCCACCTCGCCTGGCTAATTTTTGTATTTTTAGTGGAGACGGGGTTTCACCATATTGGCCAGGCTGGTCTCGAACTCCTGACCTCGTGATCTGCCCTCCTCAGCTTCCCAATGTGCTGAGATTACAGGCATGAGCCACCAGGCCTGGCTGAGCTTTCTTCTTTTGCCTGTTTGCAGTGTTTTTTTTTTTTTTTTTGATATCAACAAGGACAAGATCATTGACAGTGATGTTTGTCTACAGCTGGTTTTCTCAACTTTGGCACTATTGACATGTTTTGGGCCAGGTAATACCTTACTGGGAGGGCTCTCTTGTGCAGTGTATCTATACATGCCATTAGCACTGCCTTCCCCACCCCACCAAGTTGAGATAACCAAAAATTCCTACAGGCATTGCTACATCTCCCCATGGAACAAATCTCTCCTTGTTGAGAACTACTGATCTATATCTTTACTAATTTTCTTAGTCTAGTTTTATCATTTGCTGAGAGAAAAGTGTAAAATCTTCAACTGTGATTCTGGAATTGTCTATTTCTCTTTTTAATGCTATCAATTTCTGTGAAGGTTTTATTGGTACATGCACTTTTTTTTTGTTACCATTTCTTCATGATGTCATGATGAATTGAACCTTTTATCCATATGGAATGTCCTTCTGTAGCTCAGATATTATTTGTTCTGAAGTTTATTTTTATTTGATTTTTTTATTTCTTATTTTTTTGAGATAGAGTCACACTCTGTTGCTCCTGCTGGAGTGCAGTGGCATGATGTCGGCTCACTGCAACCTCCACCCACCGGGTTCAAGCAACTCTTGTGCCTCAGTCTCCTGAGTAGCTGGGATTACAGGCACGTGCCACCACGCCTGGCTAATTTTGTATTTTTGGTAGAGACGGGGTTTCACCATGTTGGCCAGGCTGGTCTCAAACTCCTGACCTGAAATGATCCACACGCCTTGGCCTCCCGAAGTGCTGGGATTACAGGCATGAGCCACCGCGCCTGGCCTATTTTTATTTGATATTGATATAGCTACTCCAACCTTTTCATATTTACAGTTTGCAGAGTGTATTTCTTTCCAGTTAATTTCAAACATCTGTGTCTTTATAATTAAAGTTTTTTTTTTTAGCAGATAATATACAGTGGGGTCTTATTTTTTTATATCTATTCTGCTAGTGTTAGCCTATAAATTAGATTATTTAGTTCATTAACATTTGAGGCATTTATTATTTATTGGTATGGCTAGGTTGAGTGAGCCATTTTATTATTTGTTTTCTGCTTTTCATTTGTCTGTTCCTCCTTACTTCCTTTGTATTGTTTGATTTTTTTTGTTTTGTTTTTAGAATTCCACTGTAATTTTTTTTTTCGTTATTTTCTTTTAGTGCTTGCTCTATAGACTACAATATACATCTTTGAAGTTTCTTAATGTTACCATTTTACTACCTCTCAAAATGTGGCAACCTGTCTAGGTCCATCTTAGGACTGCTTACTATTGGATTTGTTTTTTGTTTGTTGGTTTGTTTTTTCTCTTTCTTTGAACGCTAACATTAGTTCAAATACAGTAAAACCAAAGTAAAAGAGTGTTACTGATATTAAGAGCAATAACTTCTTAGGGCATAACGAGAGGTTTCCTGGATGTAAGGTGATAACGTGGATTTGGGTTGCTAGTTTATTTTCTGTTTTATTTTCACTTTTGATAGCTGAGGGTTTTTTTTTTTTTTAAGCTTTCTGTTTTTCTTTTCCTGTAGATGAGCTTTTGCACTAGTGTTTCATTCTTAGACATTGGTTGTTCAAAGAAAATTTTTAGGTATTACAGATTATGACCTATTCTAAATATTAGCTGAAGTAGTTTTATTGTTTTAACGACTTAATAAGAAATTTAAGTCTAGCTTTAACTTCTTTATAACTGTTATCACATGGTTGCTGAAGAAAAATTGATCCTTCCCTTGATCTCATTGTTACATTATTGAACTCTTTGTGTATGTGTTGATTTAGTTCTTTTGTTTATTAGGTGATGCAGTTAACAATACTGGGAGATAGCTCTGTAGTTCTTTCTGTTGAGAGTTGTGTATGTCTATGCATACAATCACAATTCCTGGTTGGATTTAATTAAAAACTTTAATTTTTGTTTTTTAGTGTTGTTCACAAGCTTAGTGACTTTAAGAAAAAAATCAGGTTTTGTATTTTTTCTTTTCCCTTTGGAGTTAAACTTTAAAACTCTTTAAATCTCTTGACAAGTTGCCTTACAGTGTGTCTTGTTTTAAGTAAATGTGTCTGTGCGTATTTGGAATTTGCGAGTTACTTTAGTAGCTTAATTTGCTCTGAAAAAGTATTCTTGACTTACCACGAATTTATGTAAGACTTCATTAAATATCAAGATCCATTAAAAGCTTATAAGTAATTTGCAAGAGTTGAAGTTATGCATATTTTAAAATTATTACATCTAGTGCCAAAAATCAAGCATATTAGTATTGTAGTTCTTGTTTGGTAAGGAAAAAGAATTTATAATTATGCCTTTAATTCACAGAGAAAATCAATGATATGCTGGTGGAAATAGCCAGCAGGCAGCTGGAAATGTGAGTCTAGGTTCAAGGGAAAGATGGTAGTTAGAAAAATAAAAATGGAAAGTTTTCCTCTAATAGGTGGTCGTTGAAACTGTGGAAGTAGATTCATGTGTGAAAGCCCAGTATGAGAGGAGGTCT
This sequence comes from Homo sapiens, assembly GCF_000001405.40. Lineage (NCBI taxonomy): Eukaryota > Metazoa > Chordata > Mammalia > Primates > Hominidae > Homo > Homo sapiens. The sequence goes on from NC_000011.10 coordinate 87,082,680, forward strand.
AAGATTGAACGTTTAGAAGCAGCAACATTTAAGGAGCCAGTTGTCAATTGAAATGTGTACAGTTCAGTCTTTAAATTTAATGTCAGCAATATACGAGAAAGAGTAGAAGAAACATATTGTGATGACTAGCAGTTTCTTTTTAAAAAATAGCAAATAATGGTAGTCCTAAGTTTTAAACCTCTAAAGCTTTAATAGTGCAATCTTTACTCTGAGATTTTGCATTCAGTTGTATAATCAGTTTTTCAAAAAGTATTTAATGAGGTGAGAACATACAATATGCACTTATCTCTCTATCTGGATATAGATATAAATACATAGATAAAGATCTATCTGTAAATATCTTCATCTATATTGGTTTAAGTTTCTTTCTTCCTCTTTTTTCCTTCTCTCTAATCCATTCATCAATTACCCCCTCCCTTTCTAGTAGTATTAAGCGTGCTTGCTTGCTAGTTTCTGACACCCAGTAAGAGGGCAGCTTACTTAAATCTTAATCGCATCATTGTGGGGTTCTGAGAGAGCTTTGAGGTTGTTTCCAGGGTTGCTTAAAAAATTTGTGCCACAAAGGACTCTGATCATAGTAACTCAGTAGGAAGCATTGGTAACATCTAGTTTATCTGTAGGAGGGCTGTTAAGAACTAGTCTTCTTTTTCTTTTTCTAGGAAGTGCTTTGTTTGTGGTTTAGAAAGAAGTTGTTCTGATGGATTTTGTTTTGTAGAATTGCTGTGGAATTTGCTTTGATATTTAGTATTAGTTAAGAATTGCAGTGTGCTCAAACATGAACATGGATTAAAGTATCAACAATTGCATATTTATTGCAAGCATACTCATTTGTTGAATTATTAAATTGCACTATAGTACTTATGAAACTCCAAACCAGGTATGACCAGAATGAATGATCTATATAATATGGGAATAAAAGAATACTCATAAATTTGGTCTGTAAGTTCTTGGTATCTTCAAGTTTCATTGGCATGTTAACTTCACCAGAAGATTAAACACTTTGTAGCCTTCTGTAAAGTTTACTCTTTATGTACTATATAAGATAGAACATGATCATAGACTCTTGCTCTAGATTAGAAATTTATTCTATTAATTCCTATGCCTCAAGGAAGTATTTTTATACCTTCTAAAACATTCTGACAGTTAAAAACCCATTATACCTTGAAAGATTTTCTGAGATGATTAAATAGCATTTCTTAATAAGCCATTACAATGTTTAGGAATTTTCACTTTCTTTTATTTCTAATATCTCCTTATTTATAGAACATATAATTATTTTTATATGTATATTTCATATGCATATATAGGATATATACATATTTAGAATTTAGAAGTTGCATTGTTCCTACTGTATTCCCCAGCGGCCTCTTGTGAAGTGTGATATGTAGTATTATTCAAAACTTTGAGGTTAGCTAAATAATATATACACCAAAGCTTCTGGAAAAAAAACCCATTATTGATTACGCATCTAATTAGAAATGATAATGCTGTTAGATGATAATAATGCTTAGAATTTCAGCAGGATGTGTGGATACTTTTTAATCTACTAAGATGTTACAGAACATTTATGTTATTTAATGTTTTCCTATAAGAATGATGATACTCTGACTACACAGTTCCTGTAGCAGTGGTTCTTTTTTTTTTTTTGAGACAGAGTTTCACTTGTCATCTAGGCTAGAGTACAGTGGTACAATCATAGCTCACTGCAGCCTTGATCTCTTGGGCACAGGTGATCCTCCTGCCTCAGTCTCCCCAGTAGCTGGGACCACAGGCATGTGCCACCGTGACCAGGTCAGTTTTTTATTTTTGGTAGAGATGTGATAGCACAGGCTATCTCAAACTCATGGGCTTAAGTGATCCTCCTATCTTGGCCTCACAAAGTGCTGGGATTACATGTATGAGGCACTGTGCCTGGCTGCAATTGTTCTTAATACTTTTTTTGATAACACCCCTGGAGGTGCACAAAGTTGTATGCCGCAACTTTGAGAGATTGAATACCTTCTCCAACCAAAATAAATAGATAAATAAAAGAAGGGAACAATGAGAAAAGCTTATGTGGTATAAAGGAATATTGGACTGCTTATCTGCTGAGCTTTCCCAGCCTTCTAATCTAGTGACTCTCAGTAGAATGGGAGTATAGGATATGGGTATCAGAATCTCCTGTGAAGTTTAACAAGTTACTTATTGTACTTCTTGGCCCCAGCTTCTCCTTTTCAGGCCTATGCCATCATCTGTTCTAATGGGCACCTCCCCCTCTCCATCATTGTATTAGCCATGTTTTAATAGATAACTTGGTTTCCAAAGAGGATTTACTCACCAGTAAGGGAGTGGCCTATTTGTCTTCAGATTTAGGCTAAATATAGTCAAATGTAAAACAATAAATTGGCATTTAATTGACTTCTCAGTTTTTCGTAGTGCTTAACATAACTGAAGAAGTGATAAATTATTGGTCTGATATAGTACAGTTATAAAGTTGACATTGGAACAGAGGATGAAGATGTTGCGTGAAAGAAATCCTGTCAAAGAGTGTGGCTCTATAATCCAACATATCATACCCTTCAGAGATAATATTCTCTCCGGGTCTGAATTCAGCAAAAGCTGTTAAGGAGGTGATTTGGGGAAAGATAAATTGAAATTTTGAGAACAGAATAGGACTTAATCTAATAGCAATACATTCTCTGCTTTTTCATAATAGTAACAGTATGTGAAGGCTTTAGTCTTCCTCAAAGAATAGAAGCCTGTTAGGATGCCATGTTAAACAAGCAAGTGAATTACAGAACTTAAAGATGATTTAGGGCCAGGTGCGGTGGCTCATGCCTGTTATTCCAGCACTTTGGGAGGCCGAGGAGGGCAGATTGCTTGAGCTCAGGATTTCGAGACCAGCCTGGCCAACATGGTGAAACCTTGCTCTACCCAAAATACAAAAAATTAGCTGGGTGTGGTGGTGTGTGCCTGTGGTGCTGGCTACTCGGGAGGCTGGGGTGGGAGGATGCCTTGTGCCTGGGAGGTGGAAGTTTCAGTGAGCCAAGATTGAACCGCTGCACTCCAGCCTGGGTGACAGAGCAAGACTGTCTCAAAAACAAACAAACAACAACAAAAAAGATAATTTAGTAGTGCAAAGATTTTCTGTAGAAGTAATGCATTGGACAGAACCTGAAACTGGAGTCAGATGAACTGACTCTGAATTCCAGCTTGTCTTTTTGTTACTTTTACCTTTTTAAGGAAACCACTTCACTTCTCTGATTCTTGGTCTTCAATAGAGTAAGGATAATGGTATCTGCCTTACACTTCATGGTACTATTGGGTGGGTAAAATTTGATTTCATAATATTGATTATACCTTGTAGATTGTTAAGTTTTATGCAACTTTAAGGAGGTCTGATCACTTCTTTGCTAATAAATTGGTATCATTAATTGGCCCTCCCTTGTCCTAGTGGTTATCTTTGGTGATTATATGTCTATAATACACTTTTTTTCTGTAAGGATTTGTTCTTAGAAATACCTTGTTGGCTATGTCTAGTAATTCCATAATCATTTGTTTAGTGCCTCGTATGCCTTAGGTGTGAGGTATTGATGCAGGATTTTTCTTGTCCACTTTGCCAACTGGAGATCTCCACAGCCAGTGATGCCCCCTGCCCTGCACCCAGGCCTTGCTTAGCCCCAGGCCTTCCACTGGAGGCAGCACCTCTACGTGGCCCGCCTGTGTTATGGCTTGTACCCATGTTTGGCAGTTTCCAGGCTCTTGTTCCGTGTCCAAGAAGAATTAGGATATGCTGATAATTTGAAGGGTGAAGAGGGCAGAGAAGAATTTTATTAAGCGGTGGAACAGCTCAGTGGAGAGGAGACGTGGGGGTGGTCCCCCACCCCCACAGTTTGGTGTTTTTTTTCCTCTCAGTGTGCCTGTGTCTGGGGCTTTTATGGCCTCAGAATAGGGAAGTGCTTGCTGATTGGTTTGTGAGTATGCAAAAAAGTTTAAAACAAAGACTACTCAAAGGTGGGCATGACAGCATAGAAAACCAATTAGGAAAGGGTAGGTATATGTAAAATAGGTGGAGGGTGGGGATTAATTGGAGGAAAGTATGCCAAACAGGAAGGCAAGTTCTTAATCTGGTCTGTGGATTTGACTTGTAGCTTGGCTTTCAGGCTTTAAACTATCTTTGGCTTGGAGGTAGGATTTCACCAGGGACCCACCCCTATCTGCCTAGGCATTTGACTGCCTCCTGCTGCTATCAATTTCCCCTTCTGAAGAGGTACCTCTAATTGCCGTTAGGTTAAGGACGATGACCAGTCTTAACTGCTTTCTGCTGATGGGGGTGCTGTTTTGGGAAAATGGCAGTCATGTCTCTCTTAGAGGCCTATCTAAGGGTCCCCAGTAAAAGGGAGCCATCATTTGAGGCTCCGGTTGCATGACTGTTTGGAGTTTGATGGCCTGAAGGTGAGAAGAGACAAACCAGGATATTAGAAGACATGCATCAAAACAAAACATGGGGGTAAGAACAGCTCAAAAACTCCGAGGCTGCTGACATGCCCAGATAACTGGTGGCTATAGTTATGTCTGCTAAGACCTGGGTGCATGGGGCTTGGTTTGGTTAGCACCTTTGGTCTTATTTTCAAAAAAAAAAAAAAAAACCTTCAGGTTATGGGCACCCCATTTATTCTCACCACTTGGCAGGAGTTGCAGGATAATTGCCCAGAATTAGAGTGTTGATCCAGATTTTTACATTACCCATCCATTTTCTTTCTTCTTAGCTGCAGCCAGAGATCACTGGCTGGTTCACAGGAATAAGCAGGGTTAGTCTAAAATGCAGACAAAACTTAAAAACAACTAATGAGGTGAGAATTTAATGAGAAGTGTATGATAAGTTTTGAAACTTACTTCTTTCTCTCCAGTCCTCATTTTGTTACAAACAAGTCATGATAGGACCGAGTTGTTTGCAGAATAAACTTCAGTGTTATACTCGGCTTAATCATTTGCATCAAGTGTACCAAGAATAATTATTTTCACATAGGCTTTTAAAATTGGCTCTGATGGAATTCTATTCCATACGGAATCTCAGATAAGACTGTTTTTTTTTGAGTTGGAGTTTTGCTCTTGTTACCCAGGCTTGAGTGCAATGGTGCGATCTTGGCCCACTGCAACCTCTGCGTCCTTGGTTCAAGTGATTCTCCTGCCTCAGCCTCCCGAGTAGCTGGGATTACAGGCATGCACCACCACGCCCAGCTAATTTTTTGTATTTTTAGTAGAGATGGGGTTTCTTCATGTTGGTCAGGCTGGTCTCGAACTGCCGATCCCAGGTGATCCGCCCTCCTTGGCCTCCTGAAGTGTTGGGATTACAGGTGTGAGCCACCACACCTGGTTCAGATGAGACTTTTTAAAGCTGAGCCCAGCCATGGGTTTGTACCCTCAAATACCTGTGAATTGGGTAAATTCCTCTCTTCTTGAGGTGTCAAGATAACTTGGGGCTCCTGGACCTGATAGAAAGTGACATTCTTTACTCACCACAAGTTAGGAACCCTGTACAGGAACTGTGTAGACAGGGTATGAGGCCAGTTTCCCCAAGGGGCTTTTATTGGCTCTGCAAGTCAAGCTTAATTCCTTAAGGGAAGCACACCCTTCCAGTCAAAGCCTTGGTAAAACAACCAGTCTCTCCAGTTGTGTCTTGTTGCAAAAGAAAATGGATTCTTATTGCAGTGATACAAATAACTATATTACCCTATGTTAAGAATACTCACAAAGTTTCCAAATTCTGAAGAAACCAAGCAGAAAGAAACAAATATTCTCCAAACTTTGTTCATAGGAGTATACCTTACTCAATTGTTGAAAACTGTAGATAGCTCAAGAGAAAAACTTCCGTGACTCTGAAAAATAAAACAAGGATCAGCAATGTTTTAAGCAAAAAGTTAAAAAAGATTACTTAAGTTTTCTATTAGTTCGGTCTATTCAGTTAACTCTTGTCCTGCTTGATATTCATGAACATTTCAGCTCTTCATGAGTCCTGAATGATTTTCCTTTATTCCAATGTCACAATCTCCAAAGATATTAGAAACCTGCATTTAAGAGCACCTGTCAGAGTCCTGTAGCTGATTATAAACCATTTTTGGAAGAGGATCAAGACAACTGTCTGTGAATGACAAAATGTCCAGGGTAGCTCCAGTCAAAAACACAATTGTCAAAGAGATTTGTTTATTTCTGTGGTTTACAATAACAACATAATAACCTTAGTTATGATTGAGCACCAGCATGATGCCATAAGTGGAAAATTTCACATTTAAGTACTGAACACAAACTTTGTTTCATGCACAAAATTACTAAAAATGTTATATAAAATTGCATTAAGTTGTATGTATTTAGGTTGGTGCAAAAGTAATTGCAGTTTTTGCCAAGTATAAGGTGTATATGAAACATAAATGAATTTTATGTTTAGACTTGGATCTCATCCCCAAGTTATTTCATTATGTATATGCAAATACTACAAAATACAAAAAAATCAAAAATTGGAAACACTTCTAGTCTCAGGCATTTTGGATAAGGGATACTCAGCTTTAGCTCATTTCACCTTGAAATGCATTTGTCAGCGGGGTACGGTAGCACATGCCTGTAATCCCAGAACTTTGGGGTGCCAGGGCAGGAGGATGGCCTAAATCCAGAAACTTGAACCAGCTTGGACAGCATAGCGAGACTGTGTCTCTACAGAAAATTAAAAAATTAGTAGGCATGGTAGTGTGCACCTACTGAAACAAGTAGTTTCAGCTATTTGGGAAACTGAGGCAGTAAGATCACTTGAGCCCAGGAGTTTGAGACTGCAGTGAGCTATGACTGTACTACTGCACTCCAGCCTGAGTGACAGAATGAGATCCTGTCTCAAAAAGAAAAAGAAAAAGAAAAAAAAATTGTCAGGCTCTCTCACAGAAAGTAAAGAAATATTTTTATTTTGGAATTTGTAACATATATGTTTTTTCTTCATATGTAACCAGCTTTTGGTAAAAATGGGTATCCCTTGAGAAGCACTTAACTTTTCTTTCTTCAGTGTATGTGGGACTCTTGGATGTTAATGTTACCCTAATTTTTCTCAGTATAACTTATTTAGAATAAGCAGTATTAGAGTATTTTTGATTTAGAATTTGGTGGGAACTAATGGTGAGAACTAGTAAGAACACTTTCAATCCATATGTAAAAATCATAGAAAAAAGGACATTAAAAAAACCTTATAGATAATCTTACAAGTGATTTTATTATTATTTTCTTTTCCTAACTTTTCAGTTCAGGAGTACATGTGTAGAATGTGCAGGTTTCTGCCATGTTCGTTTGCTGCATAGATCATCCTATCACCTTTACCAGTGATTTTTAAAAATTCTTTTTGTAAGGGCAATTGGGTTCTCTTGTTCTGCTGAAATGCATTAGGATCTGCTGAGGAGAGATTCCTAGGAGTGTATGGCACTGGGTGTATGGCACTGTGGGTCCTATATCCCCTTCCCCTTTTAACCAGAGTAGGTCCAATGTTATATTTTATATATTGGTGATAATGTAAATTTTTTCTTTAATAATTTTTATGTTAAAAAAAGTAGATTTAATAAGTAGATAACTAGTCCCTCAAATGTTCCCTAATTTTAATGACAAAATTACAGAGTCCCAGAGTACCTAACTTTACTTTAGTACTGTTCAGTTAAATCATACTGCCTGCATGTGGCTTTAGGAATATTAAAAATCTTACTAAACCATTTAAAATAATGAACATTCAGGACTGTGTATGAATCGGGCATCAAGAAGATTTCATTGATAATATTAATATGAAGATTCGGCATATTTAAATGAAAGTGATTTGACATTGGTACTTTTTATATATATTTTATTTTCTTTGAGTACTGAAAATGTTCATAAAGGAAACTAAAATAAGTTTTTGTAATTTTCAGAGGTCAAACTCTGCCCTTGAATTCTTAAAACCTATTGAAGACATTTCCTAGAGAATAGAATGTGCTTCATTCATTTCTCATATGCAGTATAAGCTAAGTAAACTGATTAAGGGCAGAAAAAAGTTGTTATGTTTGACTTTCTACCTGAATTTTTATTAAATAAGTTTGGTAAATATGCAGTTTTTCTGTAAAGTGTTCATAGAACTTTTGTTTGTCCTTTGGCATTAGAAAGTTCCCTTAGTGCCTGACTTTTCGTTTAAAATGAAATTAAAACCAATGTGATTTAGTATGATTTGTAATATTATTTAATGAAACAATTGTATTGTGTGTGAAACAGATAGAAGGCTTGTTTTATTTATTTTTTCATAAATTTTTATTTGGTCAGAATTGTTCTTTACATTTTGGCAAGATGAATTAGAATTCTTTATTACAAAATTTAGATTTCTCTAGCATAAACATAGACTAGTAGGAAATTATACCACTCTTGCCAATAACAAATAACAATGGGGAAATAGTAATTTTAAATATTTACTTAATGACTTCTAAGAATATTTAATGACCACAAAACAAGTGACTTTATGGAATTTATTTAGATGCAGCTAAATTTAGGTCAGAGAGAAATTAGTTCGGCATAATTTACCTGTTTTTCTAAGATACCAGTACGTTTCTCAATTTCTGAGAATATAATTCTTTTTATAGACTTCTAATAAATGATAAAGTGATTACTAAGTCAAATTGAAGTTTAATATCTTCCTTTTAAAATTATTTGCAGGAGAGGGCTGCTCACAATTTATATGGCCAACTTGGTAAGTATTTTGTTTTAACCTTTGATGTCTTCCCATAAGCTATATCTTTTTAAAATCAAGTTTTCTTAAAAAAAGTAAAAGAGGAAAGCCACTTGTATTTGAGGATAATCTTCTCTGTGTTAATGGATAGAATTAAATGTTCAAAAAAGCCTTGATACCATCTGGTTTGTTCCATCATATAGGATTGAATTTCACTTATTTTAGAAGGAAATCACTGTCTTGTGCTCTTCATTGCCTTTTTTAAGTTTACGTCTTCATCTCTGATAGGCTGTACTTGTATGTGTATATATCTGTCTCTTTATATCTCTTTATATATCTAATTTCATATTCTGCCTCTGTTGTGATTTCTTATGGGAAAAATGATATAAGGATGGGTTTTTATGATGTATGTTCTTCTTGAATATAAAAACAACATTGGTACTATCTCCAAACACTCAGTGCATTTAATAATATAATTAGCTAGGCTTCCAAATTTTTAAGTTTACAAAAATGAAGTTAATGTTATGTTGTTTGATATTCTTTAAAGTAAATATATAATCAAGTTTATGTAAATTTTATTGCCAAGTTAATATTTTAAAAACATTTACATTAAAATCTTTTCAGGTTGTTTAATAGACTTGATAGGCAACATTAAAAAATTTAACTAGGAAAGATTAATAATTATTTATTTACCTAAGGTTTAGTTCTTGAATTCTGTAACAAGGGAGTATATTTCAGAGTTACATTTAGCAATTCATTTTAGTTATAAAATATTTAGTTTTTGCTCTGTACTTTTGTGTTTCTGTGCTAGATGCTGGTAAACAAGAGATAGCTTTTGCATTCATGGAGTTTTACTCTCTAGTGGGAGAAGTCACGGCAGAAATAATAATGTATGAAAAGGACTGAAAGATGATTTATAGGGTCCTGTGGAAATTATATAGCAGCAAACTATTCTGGGTGTGTGCGGTTGGGTCAGAGAAAAGTGGGTGTAACCCCTTTTGAGTCATAGACCTCTTTGAGAATCTGATGACATATGTGGACATTCTGTATAGAAAACTGCTCATGTAAGGAATGATACCTAAATTTCATTTCAGAGTGTTCATGGACCACCAATTAAGAAAGCCTAGGGTATGCCATCAAGTAAATTTATTTTAAAATACTCCAGAAAATTAGGAGTTCTAAGGACTTTTAATTGTAATGAAATGGAAATTTCAGGACAGCAGGAGAGCAGGATTTCTTTTTGGCATTATTCTCCTTGAAAGAATTCTTACTAGGATGTAAGCTTTTGAGCTTCTAAATAGAGTCTGTCATGTAATAGAGATTTGATAAATATTTGTTGAATTAATGACAATCTTGCTGGGTATAGAATTCTAGATTGACAGTGATTTAAAGATAATCCTTTATCTTTGTTCTCTGTGGTTACTTTTTTTTACTTTTTGTAGTCTGTTGGTTTTACTTTTTAGGTAATCTCTCTTTTTTTCTCAAATTTTTTTTTAAGATTTACTTTTGAAGAATTTATTTTTGGCATATTGGGTTTACTAGGATATAGATTTATTTTTATTTAGCTTGATCAGAACTCAGCTTTTGTAGTCCGAGAATTCATGGTTAGTTCTGGAATTAAATTCTTATCCATCCCCTCTTTGAATCTTGCTTCTCCCCATTCTCTATATTCTATTGTTTTGGAACTCCTTTGAGATACATGTTAAACATTGTTATGTCCCTCTTCATATTTTCTTAATCACTCTTTAACATTTTCCTACTTTTTCATCTCTTTGTGCTGAATTCTGGTTATCTTTTCAGATTTGTCTTCAAGTTAACTCATCTATTTACCTGTTTCCATTTATTTTATTTATTTTATGTTTTTGGTCTCATTGTATTGCCCAGGCTGGAGTACAGTGGTGTGATCACGGCTCACTACAGCTTGAACTCCTGGGCGCAAGCAATCCTCCTACCTCACCCTCCCAAGTAGCTGGGACCACAGGCATGTACCACAATGTCCGGCTATTTTTTTTTACTTTTATTTTTGTAGAGATGGGATGTTGCCTACGCTGGTCTCAGACTCTTGGGCTCGAGTGATCCTTTTGCCTTGGCCTCCCAAAGTGCTGTGATTATAGGCAAGAGCCACTTTGCCCAGCCAATTTACTTGTTGTTTTTATTTATTATTATTATTTTTTGAGATGGAGTCTCGCTCTGTCACCCGGGCTGGAATGCAGTGGTGTGATATTGGCTCACTGCAACCACTGCCTCCTGGGTTCAAGTGATTCTCCTGCCTTAGCCTCCTGAGTAGCTGGGATTACAGGTGTGCACCATCACGCCTGGCTAATTTTTTCTGTATTTTTAGTAGAGACGGGGTTTCACCATGTTGGTCAGTCTGGTCGTGAACTCCTGACCTCGTGATCTGCCTGCCTCAGCCTCCCAAAGTGCTGTTATTACAGGCATTAGCCACCACACCCGGCCAATTTACTTGTTTTTAATGCTGAACCTGTCCAGTAAAAATTCAGTTTGAGTGATGATATTTTAATTTTAAAAAGATGATAAACACCAGACTTAACATAAAATCCAGATTTTATGTTAATTAAATGTTACGTAAATATTCATCTAACATACCTCCACAGTACTTTTTTCCTTCATATATTGGTTATAAACTCCATTCATTTCTTCATATGATTTTATATTATAATTTTCTTTTAAAAAATTACTGAGACAATACTGATTTTATACAAGGAATTTCCATCGTGATCTTTCATTTATTTCTAAAATAATAGACTCTGGGTTTTTAATTGGTCGTGAAACTTTGATTGCTTTGGTGTCACCAGCTTTGTTTGGAGACTGCTTGGAATGTTTGAATGTCAATGTAAACTTTATTCCCCAAAAACCAAATTACATATGGCTAGACTTCCTTTTCAGTTCCTATATAATACTTTTCTGAAGCCGTCACGCTACAGGTTCTTATTATTTGTCTCTCATTTTCTTCTTACAGCCTAGGACCAATTCTGTGTTTGATATATTTCTCATTTTGTTATAATTTTTCAGTAATTTAGAGGTCTTGGAATGAGTTCTGTGCTATTACTGGCAGACTCTGGATCTGGAGCTCCTCATTACTTCTTCTCCCCTTTTTTCAATACTACTTCTTTCAATTCCCTCCGCCTAGTCTTTCCTCTGTCTCATTAGAAATTACAGTATAGGCTAGGTGTGGTGGTATGGGCCTGTAGTTCCAGCTACTTGAGAGGCTGAGGTGGGAGGATTGCTTGAGGGCAGTAGCCCAAGACCAACCTGGGTAACATAATGAGACCCCGTATCTTTTTGCAGTGAAGTCTGACTTGATTCATCTTGTGTCTTTCTGAGCACTCAATGAATCTGCAACCAGAACCTCAGGTGACTTATAGTTGCTCCCAGATGTTTGAATTTTTTCTTCCATTATTTTCTCAATATTCTTTAAACTGAATCCCATTTGTGTAGCTTCTTGTAACATAGGATTTTGAAAGATGGTATAATCCATTCTTATAGTTAGTGATGACATTTTTTTCAGCACTTCTCACCAGTGACTCCTCAAGTGAATGGGTTAAATGGATATTACTTATATATTCTTGTTCTTCTCCTGTAATAGATATTTACACCTTGGATACCACTTAGCATGTTGTTCCCGGGGGTGTTCAATGGGTTTCCATCAGTTAGCCTTCTTCCACAGCAAAAGCATTTTACTTTATCACCTTTACCTAAAGCATAAAATTCAGCTCCTGCATGCTGCTGCTTGTTAACTGAGTACATCCACATCCCCAAAGTAATGATCTGTGCTTCATAATGCTCCATGGATGGATTTCTTCAGAGGATTTGTTGAATTGGGGAAATTCCTATCAGAACTCAACAATGTCAGATTCACTTCAAATATTAACATTCTGGCCGAAAACAAAGAAGCAATTAAGAAAGTGTTGCCTATGTTCTTCTGCCACCAGCCAGCACTATAAGGTTCCCAATTTTTCAGTTTTCTACCACAATAAAAGCACTGCACTTGGTCATCAATACTTGTGTATTAGAGTTCAGCACTAACTCTCTCTCTTGGGGTTAAGTGGGCATAGTTTGGCCAGTTCTGGAATGACTATAGTTGAGCTTCCTCACTATACATGATGGGTTTCTGGGTTTCTTGGGTATATGGTATCTGATACATTTAAGCCTGTCCGGTTATCAAAAGATAATCTGCATGAATCTCAGATGGCCTGCCTAAGGCAAATTGATTACTGTTTCCCAGTTTTCAACTTTGTACTGACCATTTTGGATACTAGGATTTGCAGGTTTTGTGTCACTATTTTAAAAGTAAATGCCGGCCGGGAGCGGTGGCTCACACCTGTAATCCCAGCACTTTGGAAGGCTGAGGTGGGCAGATCACGAGGTCAGGAGATCGAGACCATCCTGGCTAACACAGTAAAACTCCGTCTCTACTAAAAATACAAAAAGTTAGCTGGGCATGGTGGTGGGTGCCTGTAGTCCCAGCCACTCAGGAGGCTGAGGCAGGAGAATGGCGTGAACCCGGGAGGTGGAGCTGGCAGTGAGCCGAGATCGCGCCACTGCACTCCAGCCTGGGCAACAGAGTGAGACTCCATCTCAAAAAAAAAAAAAAAAGCCGTTGGTAATCTGCAATTTGGGATACTTTCTTGTGTCTGCCAACTGTTGAGTCTCCATATTGCCTTCTCTCTACTCCTGCATGACCACTAAAGCACCACATGGTGTCTCCTTCACCAATATAAAGAAAACCTACTTGTGCCAGTGTTGATGCTGAAACAGGACTACTACTTGGAAAACTAGCAAAAGTTTTTTATCCGTTAAACTCTTCTACAAATTCTTCGTCCTTATTGATGTCTGCAGATACACAGCTTTAGATCCTTCAAAACTGTTAAAAGCCATCTTCTCTTGAAAATAGAACTTGTTCACCTTTTCTTAGGTGTCAAAGAGTTTGGAAAGGCAGTCTTGGAGAGCATAAGCTACCCACCCTCCCACCCAGTTATACCTTCCTTCGACAGTCCTGGGAACCCAGTCACGGAGCCCTTGCTGGGTGGGTGCGGCTTTCCTGCCCTCCCCAGCAGCCTATAATATCATTTTATACAGAGAAAATAAAAAAGATATTTCAGTCTTTCTTCTTGCATTATTGATCACATATGCTTTAATAATTATTCATATTTGGAATAGTTAAAACCATGTTACTTAATACACAGTCACCTTTTTTGAATACTGATACAGGTAGTGATTCTCAAACATAGGCATTCTAAAAAATTTTCTGTAGTACAGTTTCCATTGGGAAAAAACCCTACAAAGTTATGTTGCATTTATAATAATTATAATTGTATTCACTTCATTTCCTTGACAGGAGATAAGTTGGATTTTGGCTAGGCTTTGATAAGAGTCAGATCTTCTGCTTACTACATTGCATGTCTGATGATTGGTAGAAGTTTTAACCATCTGTCTTTTAGCCATGTGCATTTTAAATTTATTTCTTTTTCATTACCCACATATTTTCAGGGCTTGGCACCCTAGGATGTATCTATATATCATTATGGCCTCTGGTTCTTCACCTTTGTGTCATTGACGGGGTAAGTTGGCACAGTAGACAGTAGAGTATTCCTGGAAGCCACTCTTTTTTTTTTTTTCAAGACAGGGTCTGGCTCTGTCACCCAGGCTGGAGTGCGGCGGCATGATCTTGGCTCACTGCAACCTCTGCCTCCTGGGTTCAAACGATTCTCCTGCCTCAGTCCCCAGAGTAGTTGGGATTACAGGCGCACACTGCCATGCCTGGCTAATTTTTGTATTTCCAGTACAGACGGGGTTTCACCATGTTGGTCAGGCTGGTCTGGAACTCCTGACCTCAAGTGATCTGCCCGCCTCGGCCTCCCAAAGTGCTGGGATTACAGGCGTGAGCCACCGTGCCTGGTTGCCACTCTTTTAATGAGCCACTAGGAATCAATGTTCTATACCTAAAAGCAACTGGAAAGTAAATTAATGAATATATCATGCTAAACCCAAACTCAATATATCTTGCTAAACTCAACTCTACTAGCAAGCTGGATTCCAAAACCTAGTGCTGTTCATCACAAGGTGAAGTGTGACAGAGAAATCAGAATGTAAAATGATAGTAATCTTAACTATCTATGGTTAAAATACCTTACTTTTGCCAATGTTACCAAAGTGACTATGTGAACAGATTTTGTAGGGCTCTTTTCGAGGTTTGCAAGAAGCCTGTGGTTATGGGGGGGTCTTTATGTTTCTCTGGCTTCCTTTTACCACCACTGTCTGCTTCCTCATTCTCCACTTCAGCCACACTGCCCTCTCTGGTGTTGAGTGAGCATGACAAGCATGCTTTCTCTTCAGGACTTTGATACTTGCTGTTCGCTCTGTTTTGAGCTCTTATCGCTAGATATCTGCATGGCTTGCTGTTTCATTTCACTGAGACTGCTGAAATGTCACTGTTGTGAGGCCTTCCACATCTATCTCACATAGTAACAGTCACCCTTCATGTAACTTATACCCCTGCAGTCCCAAACCTCTGTATCTTTTTTTCATGGAGTTGATCAACATCTAACATGTATCTTTTTTGCTTATTATTTTATTGTCTGTCTTCCCACCTTGGAATTTAAGCTTCATGAATGTAGAGTTTTTGTGTGTTTTATACATTGCTGTATTAAGCCTAGAACAGTACCTAAAATGTACTTTGTGCCATAATTTGTTAAATGAATCATAGATGAATGTGTTTATTAACCCATCTATGCTGGAGGTTGCAAATTTTTTTTTTTTTTGTGAAAAATCAGACCTTGGCGATGACCTTGAGCAGTAGGAAAATAATAACTCCTGTAAGCTTAGCGTTCCAATAATGGAACACTAGGCATAAATGGGTTAAAGAGAAGGATTTATAGGAGACATACCAGATTAAACCTAGATGTTTATTTTAAAGCTTGTTTTAAATATTTTAGGTTGGTGCAAAAGTAATGGTGGTTTTGCTGTAATATTATTTACAAGTAAAACCTTGCTTTATTTGACTGCATTAATGTTGTATTTTAGATTAAAAGATACAAAGATTAAAAGTTGGTGATTGTGGTACATAGATGAAGTACATGACTTATTTTGAACTGCGTGTGAACACTCCTGTTTTGCCAGCTCATGGTGTTGTAATCAGAATCCAGAAAAATAAATAACTTGAAGAAATCATCTACTTTAAAATGATAAACTTAAATTATTAAGTGATAATAAATACTACAACCTGAAAAGAATCTAAAACAATTGATTAATCTTGGTTATAGATTATTTATATTGTATAACAAAGTATCTTATATATATATATATTTTTTTGAGATGGAATCTTGCTCTGTCGCCCAGGCTGCAGTGCAGTGGTGCCATGTCGGCTCACTGCAAGCTCCGCCTCCTGGGTTCATGCCATTCTCCTGCCTCAGCCTCCCAAGTAGCTGGGACTACAGGCACCCACCACCACGCCCGGCTAATTTTTTGTATTTTAAGTAGAGATGGGGTTTCACCATGTCAGCCAGGATGGTCTCGATCTCCTGACCTCGTGATCCGCCCGCCTCGGCCTCCCAAAGTGCTTGGATTACAGGTGTGAGCCACCGTGCCCAGCCAAATATCTTAAATTTTCTTAATGGCTTTGTTGTTGTGCTGCTTTTCTTATGTTTTCAAGAAAACTTTAAAGTATTATGCCTGCACGCTAGCATACATTTGAGTTTTAGTGTATTTTTTTAGACACTCACATGCTTTTCTATAGTAGCACACGCTGTGTACTTCAATACCCAAATACTGTGCGTATTCATACACTTATTTGAAAATTATAAGTAAACTTACTAAAACTTTTGTGTGTTGTCTGCTTTAGATTGTGAATTCCTGGGAAAGAGATCTTTGACTTTGATATTATTGATGTTGGAGAGCACACTTAAAATACTGTATTTAAAAAAAAATTAAAACTTTTATTTTGAAATAATTATAGATTCATATGCAATTATAAAAAATAATATAGGGATCCCATGTTCTCTTTACCCATTTTCCCCCAATGGTAGCATATCGCAAAACTATAATATAATATAATATCAAAACCAGAATATTTAATTGATACAGTCAGGATACAGAATATTTCCATCATAGCAACACCCACTTCTCTCCTGTTGTCACCCCTCCTTAACCCCTGTTCATGGTTTTTAGCTGTTATGAACAAAGCTGCTATAAATATTCATGTACAGATTTTCATGTTTTTATTGGTCTGGGATAAATGCCCATTAGTGCAGTTGCTGGGTTTATATTGTGGTTACATGTTTCATGGTGGTTTTTTTTTTTTTTTTTTTTGAGGCAGAGTTTTACTGTCATCCAGGTTGGAGTGCAGTGGCGTGATCTTGGCTCACTGCAACCTCCGCCTCCCAGGTTCAAGCGATTCTCCTGCCTCAGCTTCCTGAGTAGCTGGGATTACAGGTGTGCACCACCATGCCTGGCTAATTTTTGTATTTTTAGTAGAGACGGGGTTTCACCTTGTTGGTCAAGCTGGTCTCGAACTCCTGACCTTGTTATCTGCCCTCCTCGGCCTCCCAAAGTGCTGGGATTACAGGTGTGAGCCACCAAGTTTAGTTTTTAAAGAAACTGTCAAATGTGTTCCTGAGTGGTGGCTGTATCGTTTTGTTAGGGTTCCCAACGTAGAAGAAACCTTTGAATCTCTAGTTCTTTAAAATGGAAAACTTTTTTGAGGGGGTACATTTGTCTGTAAATTTTAGTATTAGAAAAATTTCTGGGAAAATGCAAAATGTGAATTGGTGTTTTTAGCCATTTATAAATGCTCAGTAATTCAAAACTTTAATGAGATCAAAGACTTGATACATAGATTTTGACTATGTCTGAGGGAAAGTGAATTTGAACATGATCATAATATTTTCTGGATACTAATAATTACCTGATACACTTCATCTTCCTTTTTATCTAAACAGAGCCATTTATTTATTACTGTATAACTTTTACTACATGAAGAGGGTGCTTGTTTCAGAACAGGTAGGGATTTAAAGATTCAGGGAGAACTGAATTCAATCTAAAGAAGTAAACTTTTCTTATGACTTGATTATATTGCTTATGAGACTAAGTTGAAATTGTTGGCTTATAACATCCAACAATAAAATTTCTAAATGTTGTGAGGTTTTATTTAAACAAAATATTTACTGTTTTTTGGTATGTGTTTCTGATTTGGAAAATAAAGAGGAAAGTAAAAGTCATCTGTATTTTGGAGGCCAAGGCAAGTGGATCACCTAAGGTCAGGAGTTCGAGACCAGCCTGGCCAACATGGTGAAACTCCGTATCTACTAAAAATACAAAAATTAGCCAGGCGTGGTGGCATGCGCCTGTAATCCTACCTACTAGGGAGGCTGAGGCAGGAGAATCGCTTGAACCCAGGAGGTGGAGGTTGCAGTAAGCCAAGATTGCGTCAGTGCACTCCAGCCTTTGCAACAGAGCAATACTGTCTCAAAAAAAAAAGAGCTTTAAGAAAAAGAGCCATCAGATACAAGTAAGTTTTGATAAGTTGCAATTATTAGACCATTAGTTTATAGCCTTAACGATTAACTAGCACTTAAAAACATACAAATTGAAGGCAATTGTATTAATACCCATCTGAAAATGTTGCTTTCTTGTTACATGTTAGTTAGTGTGTATTAGAGTGAAAAGTACCCAATTTAAAAAATAGTAGTTTTCTAGATTTTAAATGTTGATAGTGAATTAGTTATTAAAGGTCAAAATGAATGAAATGTATATAGAAAGAAGTATAAAGAGTTAAATATTTTCTCTGGCCAAGATATGTCTCTAAAATTATGAAAAAATTTTCCTGGGGCTAGTATGCCAGAACCAGTTACCCATAAGAGAACACTTGCTGTTAGAATTTAACTTTGCCACAGTATGATTTAAAAGAGAACACATAAGCAAAATTTGCACTTGCATGATTTTCCTTTATTATATCAGTTGTGACAATAACTAAGTTTTCCAATCTTTCAAAATTTATTATATGCTGCTAACATGTTTAAAATGTGATGTCAAATGTAGTTAGTTCACTTACATTTTATTATAAGAAAAAAATTTAAGACATTTAAAAATCCTTCTGTTTGAGTCCTTTTGAAAACTTCTCTGTAATTTTATTTATGCCACCAAACATTTTAACAGTATCTACGTTTTAATTGTAAACATACATGTAATGTATGTTAGCAATTTGTCTTTAGCATTTGGTTTTTAATGTTAAACATGCAGTGTCTTTTATTAAAACATCTGTATTTGATTTTTCAAACATAGGTTTGAAAATGGTGATTCAGCCTAGGCACAGTGGCTCACGCCTATAATCCCAGCACTTTGGGAGGCCGAGGCGGGCAGATCACCAGAGGTTGGGAGTTCGAGACCAGCCTGACCAACATGGATAAACCCGTCTCTACTAAAAAAACAAAATTAACCGGGTGTGATGGCGCATGCCTGTAATCCCAGCTACTCGGGAGACTGAGGCAGGAGAATAGCTTGAACCTGGGAGGCGGAGGTTGCATTAAGCTGAGATCACGCCATTGCACTTCAGCCTGGGCAACAAGAGCAAAACTCCGTCTCGGGGAAAAAAAACAAAAGAAGAAGAAAAAAGTACTTTCTCTTGTTCTTTCACTCAACAGAGAATGATCCCCACAGACCAAGCAGTTCTCTGGAAGCACATTCTCTGGCAGACACCAGCTTAGTGTCCTCTAATTCAATTTAATTCTAATACTGTCTACCTGGAGATAGCATCAGATTCCACTGGTTGAGGGCTCAGTTTCATAAGACTGCCTCCACCTCAGATGCCAATAGAAAGTAATAGTTGTTATCTGTACTTCCAACTGATCAGCTATAAATTGGAGTTCCCACTACCCCCTCTTCAAGTTCAGCTAATTTACCAGAGCAGCTCAGAACTAAGGGAAACACTTTGCTTACATTTACTGGTTTATTATAGAGGATATTAGAAAGGTTATGGATGAACAGCCAGATGGACGAGATGCATATGGCAAGATATGGGAAAAGTCTGACAAGAGCAAATGTTGGTATGAATATATAGGAACTGGAACTATCATATTCCTGCATGTGGGAATGTAAAATTGTTTAACCACTTTGGAAGCCAATTTGACAGTTTATTAAAAGGATAAACATATACTTTTCCGTATGAGCCAACCAATCTACTCATAGACATTTACTTTAGAGAAATAAATTTTTATTTCTTTTTAAGTTATTTTTAATTGACAAGTCATAATTGTATACATCTATGGGGTGCAATGTGATGTTTTGATATATATATGTGTGTGTATATATATATGTATATATATGTATATATATATATGTATATATATATGTATATATGTATATATACAGCATGAAATGATTAAATCAAATTAACATCACCTCAGTTGTCAGACATTTGAAATTTACTCTTAGCTATAATATATTTTGAAATGTACATTATGTCCTTATTAACTATGGTCACCCTGCTGTGCAATATATCTCAAAAATTTATTTCTCTTGTCTCACTGAAACTTATCATCACAACCCCCTCTTCCCTTGGGCTCTGTTAACTGCCATTCTACTCTGTACTTCTATGAGTTGGACTTTCATAAGATTCCACATATAAGTGAGATCATGTGGTATTTTTTTCTGTGCCTGGCTTATTTTAACTTAGCATAATGTCTTCCAGGTTCATTAGGTTGATTCCATGTCTTGGTTATTGTGAATAGTGCTGGAGTGAACATGGGAATGAAGACATCCCTTTGACATACCGATTTCACTTTCTTTGGATACATACTCAGAAGTGGGGTTGCTGGATCACTTGTTAGAGAAAAATCATATGGTATTTTTAGTTTTTTAAGGAGCTTCCATACTGTTTTTCATAATGACTGTATCATTTTACATTCTCACCAATAGTGTACAAGGATTCCTTTTCCTCCAGGTACTTGCCAACACTTTGTTATCTTTTGACTTTGATAGTAGCCACTCTAACAGGTGTTAGGCAATATCTCATTGTGATTTTAATTTGCATTTCCCTAATTTTTAGTGATGTTGAGCATTTTTAAATGTGTGTGTTAGCCATGTTTTTTTTGTTTTTTTTTTTTGTTTGTTTTTTTGTTTTTGAGAAATGTCTGTTCAGGTCCTTTGCCCATTTTTTTAATTGAGTTGTTTCCTTGTAATTGTGTTAAATCCCTTACATATTTTGGATATTAACCCTTTATCAGATGTATAATTTGCAAATATTTTCTCCTAATCTTTGGAATCTGTGGGTTGTCTCCTTTTTTTTTGAGACAGGATCTCGCTCTGTCACTCAGGCTGGAGTGCAGTGGCGCAACCTTGGCTCACTGCAACCTTCACCTCCCAGGGTCAAGCAGTCCTCCCATAACTTCTTGAGTAGCTGGGACTACAGCGCATGTCACTATGCCCGGCTAGTTTTTGTACTTTTTGTAGAGATGGGGTTTCACCATGTTGCCCAGGCTTCCAATCTGTAGGTTGTCTCTTTACCCTGTTAATTGTTTCCTTTGCTGTACAGAAGCTTTTTAGTTTGATATAATCCCATTTGTCTATTTTTGCTTTTATTGCCTGTGCTTTTGGGTTCATACCCCCAAAAAAATTGCCTAGACCAGTGCCATGAAGCTTTTGCCCTATATTTTCTTTTAGTCATTTTATGGAAGAGCTTATATTTATTGTCTTTAATCCATTTTGAATTAATTTTTATATAACATATAGATAAGAGCCCAGTTTCATTCTTTTGCAAGTAGATATCCAGTTTTCCTAACGCCGTTTATTGAGGAGACTTGTTCTTTTCCTGTTTTGTGTTGTTAGCACCTTTGTCAAAAATCAATTGACCATAACTGTGGGTTTATTTATTTCTGGGTTATTTATTCTGTTCCGTTGGTCTGTCTGTCTTTTTTTATGACAGTACAATGCTGTTTTGATTAAAATAGATTTAAAATATATTTTAAAATCAGGGAATGTGATGGCTTCTAGCTTTGTTCATTTTGCTCAGGATTCTTTGGCTGTTTGGGGTCTTTTGTGGTTCCATTTGAACTTAAAGATTGCTTTTTCTATTTCTGTGAAAAATTACATTGGAATTTCAGTAAGGATTGCATTGAATCTATAGATTGCTTTGGGCAGTATGAACATTTTAACAATGTTGATTTTTCCAATTCATGAACATGGGTGTTTTTCTGCAGTTTTGTTTATCAGTGTTTTATAGTGTTTTTAGTATGTGGATCTTTTACCATCTTGGTTAAATATACCCCTAAGGATTTTATTTTTTGTTGTTGCTGTTGTAAATGGGATTTTTTTCTTAATTTATTTTTGAATAGTTGAGTATTAGTGTATAAAAATATTACTGATTTTTGTATGTT
The DNA here is from genome assembly GCF_000001405.40 of Homo sapiens. Classification (NCBI taxonomy): domain Eukaryota; kingdom Metazoa; phylum Chordata; class Mammalia; order Primates; family Hominidae; genus Homo; species Homo sapiens. The sequence goes on from NC_000011.10 coordinate 87,104,763, forward strand.
GACACTGTGTCCTGCAACCGTACGGAATTTATTTATCAGTTCCAACAGTCTTTTGGTGGAATCTTTAGGGTTTTTAGTGTATAAGATCATACAGTCTACAAACAGAGATTGTTTTACTTCTTTCTTTCCTACTAGGATTACTTTTATTTGTTTCTCTTGCCTAATTGCTCTGGTTAGGGCTTCAAGTATTATGTTGAAAAGAGATGGTGAGAGTGGGCATCCTTGACTTTTTCCTCATCTTAGAGACTGCTTTCAACTTTTCACTGTTGAGTATGATGTTAGCCGTGGGCTTGTCATATATGGCCTTTATTGTGTTGAGGTACATTCCTCTATACCTAATTTGTTGAGAGTTTTATTGTGAAAGGATGTTGAATTTTGTCTGCATCTCTTGAGATGATCATAAGGTTTTCATCCTTCGTCCTGCTAATGTGGCATATCACAGGGGTCCCCAAACCCTGGGCCATGAACCTTGTCAGGAATCAGCCTGCAAAACAGGAGATGATACGCGGGTGAGCGAGCATTATTGCTTGAGCTCTGCCTCTTGTCAGATCAGCAGCGGCATTAGATTCTCATAGGATCCCGAACCCAATTGCGAACTGCACATGTGAGGGATCTAGGTTGCATGCTTCTTATGATGATCTGAGGTGGAACAGTTTCATCCTGAAACCAACTCCCACGGACCCACCCCGCCCTGCATCCATGGAAAATTGTCTTTCACGAATCCGTTTTCTGGTTCCAAAAAAGTTGGGGACCGCTGGCCTATCACATTTATTGATTTCATGTTGAACCATCCTCGCCTCCCAGGGTTAAATGCCACTTGATCATGGTGAAAGATTTTTAAAAAACAAGTAAAAACACTTAAATGGATATATATTACTTGTACATATTTATATGCTACATGTAATATTTTGATACATGCATAGACTATGTAATGTAGGATATCCATCACTTTGAACATTTATCATTTCTTTGTGTTGAGAACATTTTTCCTTTTTTATTTACAGATTTCTGTAGTGTTGGGAACATTTTAAATCTTTTCTTTTAGCTATTTTGAAATATACTGTTGTCAACTATAGTCACTCACCCTACTGTGCTATAGAACACTAGAACTTATTTCCTGTATCTCACTTTATGTTTGTACTCATTCACTAACCTCTCTTCATCTCCCTTTCCCCTACACAGCTTCTGGTATTTATCATTCTGCTGTCTGTCTCCAGGAGATCAACTTTTTTAGCTCTCACATATGAGTGAGAATATGTGATGTTTATCTTTTGTGCCTGGCTTTTTTCACTTAATATAATGATCTCCAGTTCCATCTGTGTTGCTGCAACTGACAGTATTTCTTTCTTTTTTTTTTTTGAGACAGAGTCTCTCTCTGTTGCTCAGGCTGGAGTGCAGTGGGGTGATCTCGGCTCACTGCAACCTCCACCTCCTGGGTTCAAGTGATTCTCCTGCCTCAGCCTCCTGAGTAGCTGGGAATAGAGGTGCCTGCCACAACGCCTGACTACTTTTTGTATTTTTAGTAGAGATGGGGTTTCACCATGTTGGCCAGGCTGGTCTCGAACTCCTGACCTCAGCTGACCCATCCGCCTTAGCCTCTCAAAGTGTTGGGATTACAAGCATGAGCCACTGCACCCGGCTAACTGACAGTATTTCAAGTGAAATATTCTTTTAATGTATTAATTGGATTTAGTTTGCTAGTATTTTGTTAAGGATTTTGGCATCTATGTTCATCAGGGATATTGGCCTGTAATTTTCTTTTCTTGAAGTGTCCTTGTTTGGCTTTGGTATCAGGGTAATACTGGCTTTGTAAAATGAGTTTGGGCATATTCCTTCTATTTCAATTTTTTGGAAGAGTTTGAGAAAGATTGGTATTAGTTTTTCTGTAAGTGTTTATTAGAATTCACCAGGTCCTTGGATTTTCTTTGATGGGAAACTTTTTGTTATTTATTCTATCTGCTTACTCATTATTGGTTGTATAAGGCCATTATTGCATTGCTATAAAGAGATATCAGTATCAGAGGCTGGATAATTTATGAGGTTTAATTGGCTAATGGTTCTGCAGGCTCACGGTTCTGCAGGCTGTACAGGAAGCATAGTCCTGGCATCAGCTTCTGGGGAGTCCTCAGGAAGCTTACAGTCATGGCAGAAGGTGTGAAGTGGGAGCCAGCATGTCACGTGGTGAAAGCAAGAGCAAGGGTAGGGATTGAGGGTGCCACACACTTTTAAATAACTGGATTTCACGAGAACTCGCTATCACGAAGACAGCACCAAGCCATGAGGGATCCAACCCCATGATACAAACACTTCCCACTGGGCCCCACTTGTAGCATTGAGGATTGCAATTCAACATGACATTTCATTGGGGACAAATATACAGACTATATCATTGGTCTATTTAGATATTTTTTATTTCTTCATGATTCAGTCTTGGTAGGTTGTATGTGTCTAATAATTTATCCATTTCTTTTAGGTTATATAATTTGTTGGCATATAATTATTCATAGTTTTTTTTATTATACTTTAAGTTCTAGGGTACATGTGCACAATGTGCAGGTTTGTTACATATGTATACATGTGCCATGTTGGTGTGCTGCACCCATTAACTCGTCATTTACATTAGGTGTTTCTCCTAATGCTATCCATCCCCCCTCCCCCCACCCCACGACAAGCCCTGGTGTGTGATGTTCTCCACCCTGTGTCCAAGTGTTCTCATTGTTCAATTCTCACCTATGAGTGAGAACATGCAGTGTTTAGTTTTCTGTCCTTGTGATAGCTTGCTCAGAGGGATGGTTTCCAGCTTCATCCATGTCCCTACAAAGGACATGAACTCATCTTTTTTATGGCTGCATAGTATTCCATGGCGTGTATGTGCCACATTTTCTTAATCCAGGCTATCATTAATGGACATTTGGGTTGGTTCCAAGTCTTTGCTATTGTGAATAGTGCCACAATAAACATACGTGTGCATGTGTCTTTATAGTAGCATGATTTATAATCCTTTGAGTATATACCCATATGGGATTGCTGGGTCAAATGGTATTTCTAGTTCTAGATCCTTGAGGAATCACCACACTATCTTCCACAATGGTTGAACTAGTTTACAGTCCCACCAACAGTGTAAAAGTGTTCCTATTTCTCCACATCCTCTCCAGCACCTGTTGTTTCCTGAGTTTTGAATGATGGCCATTCTAACTGGTGTGAGATGGTATCTCATTGTGGTTCTGATTTGCATTTCTCTGATGGCCAGTAATGATGAACATTTTTTCATGTGTCTTTTGGCTGCAAAAATGTCTTCTTTTGAGAAGTGTCTGTTCATATCCTTTGCCCACTTGTTGATGGGGTTGTTTGATTTTTTCTTGTAAATTTGTTTAAGTTCTTTGTAGATTTTGGATGTTAGCCCTTTGTCAGATGGGTAGATTGCAAAAATTTTCTCCCATTCTGTAGGTTGCCTGTTCACTATGATGATAGTTTCTTTTGCCATGCAGAAGCTCTTTAGTTTAATTAGATCCCATTTATTAATTTTGGCTTTTGTTGCCATTGCTTTTGGTGTTTTAGACATGAAGTCCTTGCCCATGCCTATGTCCTGAATGGTATTGCCTAGGTTTTCTTCTAGGGTTTTTATAGTTTTAGGTCTAACATTTAAGTCTTTAATCCAATGTCTCTTTCATTTTTCATTTTATTTTTCTTCTCTCTTAGACTAGCTAAGGGTTTGTCAATTTTATTTAAAAAAACTCTCAGTTTTGTTGATTTTTTTATAGTGTTTTTCTAGTCTCTATTTATTTCTGCTTTGATCTTTGTTATCTCCTTCATTTGTTTACTTTGGGCTTAGTTTGTCTTTTTCTAGTTCCTTAAGGTGTAACATTAGATTTGTTATTTGAAATCTTCGTTTCTTTTTTGACCTAGGCGTTTAGTGCTATAAATTTCCCCTTTAGAACTACTTTTGCTGCATCCCATAAATTTTGGTTTGTTGTGCTTCCATTTTTGTTTGTCTAAGGCATATGAATTCTGATTTCTGTGTAAAGACTTGTATACAAATATTCTTAGAGCCTTTGGTTGTTTGCCAAAAACTAGAAGTAATCAAAAGTTCATTAATAGGTGATTCGATAAGCATATTGTGCTATGTCCAAACAGTGGTATACGTCTCATGTATAAAAGGGAAAGAGCTTTGACATACTGAACAATATGGAAGAATGTCAAAATCATTATGAGTGAAAGAAGCTAAGAAAAAAAGGATAATGTAATCTATAGTAATAGAAAGCAGGTATGTGGTGGGAGAGTAGGGAGTGAAGGGATTGGGTGAGAGAGAGTACAAAGGAACACAAGGAAACTTTGGAGGTGATAGATGTGTTAACTATTTTTGTCGTGATGATCATTTTAGAGTGTGTACATATGGAAAAACTTTTCAAAATATGCTCTTTAAATTTTTGGTGTTTATTGTAAAGTTGTCCCCCTTTATCTGCCGCTAAATACGTGTTCAAAGACCTCCAGTAGATGCCTGAAACCTAGACACATGATGTTTTTCCTATATATGCATGATATTTTTCCTATATATGCATATCCTAATGAAGTTTAATTTATAAATTTGGCACAGTAAAAGATTAACAACAATAGCTACAATAAAATAGAACAATTATAATAATACACTGTAATAAAAGTTATGTGAATGTGGTATCTCTGTGTCTCTGAGAATTCCTTGGTGTACTGTGCTCACCTTCCTCTTCTTGTAGTGTTGTGAGATACTAAATTGCCAGCATGAGGAGATGAAGTGAGGTTGATGATGTAGGCATTGTGACATAGCAGTTAAAACTTATGAGCTGTTTATTTGTGGAATCTTCTATTAAGTATTTTTGGATCACAATTTATTGCTGGTAACTAAAACCATGGAAAACAAAACCATGGATAAAGGGGGACTATTATATGTCAGTTTTATCTTAATAAACTTAAATTATGTTTGCAGCATCAAAAACCCTTCAATCATCCTGGAGTTTTACGTGTTCCTGCAGTATGTTAAAGTAAATCAGCTTTTGCTAACATACTTTGAAATAATTTAAAAGCACCAACTCTTTTTTTTTTGCCACTGTTATTGTACTGTATGTCAGTGTATTGGTGGATTTTAAATTTTTCTTTATGTGTTAATTAGATAGAGAAGTAAGCCATATATGAGTAAATGTTATTGACTGGCAAACAAGTTATCTTCCTCTTAATGGAATGGATAACAGAATGACTTCCTCTGGGTTCTTCCTTCTCTACTGCCTGGCTTTTTTATGTTACTCCAGATTTTTGGTTGAGAGAACTTGGTTGAAATGTCCATCCCTAAAGCAATCATTTATGACCTGAGTGGCAGTGTACCCACTGTAGAGGTATAGCTGGTTGTGGCAGTGTCGAAATTCCTCAAGGAGAGGGCAGTTCTCCGTGGTATTATTTTTGGTCTGTATACCACTTATGCAAAAGGATATAGATAGTTTTCCAACTCAAATTACCAAAAAACACAGTAAAGTGGTTAAGAACACTAGCTCTAGAGTTAGATGGATTTAAATTTGAATCCTGGAAGGCCGGGCATGGCGGCTTGCATCTGTAGACCTAGCTACTTGGGAGGCTGAAGCAGGACAATTGCTTGAGCCCGAGAGTTTGAGGTTATAGTGAGCCATGCTTGCACTCCAGCCTGGGCACAGAGTGAGAACCTGTCTTTGAATTTAAAAAAAAAAAAAATTGAATCCTGGTTTACCATTTAATAGCTTTGTGACTATAACTGCAAATCTAAATTTTCTCATCTGTCAAATGGAATAATTCATAGATCATTTTTTGGTGATTATTACAAAGACTAAGTCAATATGACCCAAGAGGGAAAAGAAGCTATTAAACCTAGCATTTCTACACAGTAATAATGGATTATTCCACTAGGTAAGAGATGAGTAATTTAAAGAAATGTTTTTTTCGTAACATTCTTTGATAAAGAAACATAGAACTCTATTTTTGACTGCTTTTTAAAGGAATGTGTGTGTGTGTATGTGTGTGTGTGTGTGTGATGAATAAATGAATAATTCAGGGTCAATAAAAAATTGCATACTTTTAAAAATTACAGGCATTATATAAAGGAGGAAGTAATATTTAGGTTACTAGCATTGCGCAGTCATATTCATAATATGTGATTAGTTTCCCAGAATACTTGCCTGGAGCTGACATGAAAGTAAGTTCTGGGACTTAGCCCTGCCATAGATGCCTTATGTACTTCAACCTAGATGTTTCATTTTCTAGTTCTGCATTCTTTCGCTAACTGTAGACAAAATAAGTCATTGTTGAAGTCTTAAAATGTAGTTTCCTAAACATAGCTATAGAGTATATGTAGAAGCTTAGGACTCCTTAGCAAAGAAGGACGAAGAAATGCTTAGTTATTTTTCTCCCATCTCTACTTTCCTTAATTAATCCTAGGAGTTTTTGTTGATGGCCTATTTTTTTGGTCGTGAATTTAAAGGGATTTTTTTGTTTCACATCTTTTAGTTATTTAATATATGGGTTTTCTGTATTTTTATTTATTGTTCTCTGAAATAAGCTCTTCCATGTCTGAGATTTTGTCTTCTATGTCTATCTTTGAAATTTCCTAGCCTGGCGCTGTGGCTCACGCCTGTAATCCCAGCACTTTGGGAGGCTGAGGCGGGTGGATCACGAGGTCAGGAGATTGAGACCATCTTGGCTAACATGATGAAACCCTGTCTCTACTAAAAATACAAAAAAAAAATTAGCCAGGCGTGGTGGTGGGCGCCTGTAGTCCCAGCTACTCGGGAGGCTGAGGCAGGAGAATGGCGTGAACCCGGGAGGTGGAGCTTGCAGTGAGCTGAGATCGCACCACTGCACTCCAGCCTGGGCGACTGAGCAAGACTCCGTCTCAAAAAAAAAAAAAAAAAAAAAGAAAAAGAAATTTCCTGCATTAATAACCTGAATGCTTTGTATTCAGTGAATTATACCCACATAGAAATATAGCTTGTGTTTGTTTATTGCTTTGAAACATGCTCCCATACATTTTTCCATTTAACCTGTCAAAAGCACCCTGTTAAATAGGCATGACTGGTTTTATTGTCCCATTTATAGATGAGCAAAACTGAATATAAAAGGATATATGACTTCTCTAAACTCAGAGTAATAATATATAAATTAATATTGAAAACTCAGGATTTGATCCTGGGTTTAGTGCTTTTACTCTGCTATTGTAGCCTATCTAAATGTTATTGATTGATGACCTTCTAGAACTTGAGGCTTTTTAAATAGTGATACCAGGAAACAAACCTTATATGTGGCAATAGTTGCAATATAGAGCATGATTGTTTTATTTATGGTTTTTTAATTAATGTTGAATCTAAAGGGCTGGATATAATAGCAATGCTTATAAAAATTTAGCACTACTATGACAGCCTTAGGCAGCCTCAGCATGGATATTGACTCAGTACACGTCTGTGTTAAATCATTTTATGTGACTTTGGTCTAGAAGGTAAGCATTACTTGTACTTTTAGGAATTAAATTATTCAAGTGTATTGTACTTTTAAAACCAAAGGAAAAATAACTTATTTAATTTACATTCATTCAGTTAACTACTTAAGCCCTAAAAAATCGCTCACTGTTTTACTGTGTTCTGTAGCTCTCTGGTCATCAACCGTATTTCACAGAGTTTTTATCATTTGTATGTGTTTCTTTTATTGTGATATCCATGGCTATGGTTTATTATAATATTTAGTAATTTTCAAAAACAGAAGCGAAGAACGGTGTCTTTCCTTGCATGATATTTATTGAACTCATTCTTCTTGTGAGATACAGTTTAATTGCAAGGTTAAATATCATCTTTACAATCTTGTATGTAAAATTATTATAATACTAAAATGTAAATGTAAGTGGTAAAAACACATTTACAAATTTAAGAGTTTAAGTACTTTAGTTTTAAAACAATACATTATATGTTAAATTTTTTGGAAGAAAATCGTGTAGGGCTGATGCCTAGCATGATACAGGTTCTTATCATTTGTTAAATTATATGGCTGAATGGCATATGATAAGGGTTTTTTTTTCTTCCAATAATGAATTACATCATTTAGTAGTACCTCTCAGCAGATTTTCATGAAAATAACATAAGTTTAACACTGAATTGTACTGCTTATCAGAAATGATTAATTGAGGAATTATGCCTAGATGTATCCTATAATGCATAGATTCTGGAATTTTTTGCACTTTGGCGTGCAGAAAATTGGTAATTGGTTCAATAAAGTGAGCTGTACAATGAAGAAATTTAAGAGATTATAAATGGCTTAAATGTATAGGAAAAAGTATCTTATTTAGAATATGTCTCTAAGGCATGCCCTTTGTATCTCCAATAGTGATTAGCAAATAGAAGATGAAAAGTCATGGCCCAACTTATAAATGCCATTTGATGAAAGATAGTTCACATTGTAATTTCCATTTTTACTAAAAAGCTGCAGGAGTCAGGCAAGAATTACTTTTCTTGGTACTTGATCTTGTGTTTGTGAGGAAGTATTTAAAGAAAAATAGAGAAAGGAAGAAAAATTGAAAAGGAAAGAAAAACCTTTTCTCTAAAATGCACCTTGACAATGTAGGCCTGAATCTTTCAGCTCTGGCTTGTATTATTTTAACTCTACAATTATTTTCATTGTTAGATGATTGATGAGTTTAATAATTTAATAAAGATATTTTAAAGATTTAACTCTTTTATAAAACCAAACACTTGTAACAAGATTTAGTTTATTGTGTTGGTTAATATTAAGTTGGCTTTCTGTTCTTGTAAATGTGGCAGCAACCTGGTAAACATGAAGAGACAAAAAGAGAAAGCATGGAAGAGTGGAAAGAAAACTGATTCTATAACAGACCTAAATTTTGGTATCAGTTTTCACACTAATTAGTGTCCATTTGACTCCTAGGCCCCTGATTTACTAGTCTGGGAAAGCTGAGATCTTTTCAGTACTATTTCAGGACTTTGGTCACTAAGAAAGATTTTCCAGACACTGTCTCTTACTGGTTGTATAATGATCTTGGTGAAACAATTTTACTGTTATGCCTCCATTTTCTCAGCTGTGAGATATAGGGATCATCACAATATGATCCCTATATATTGTGTATGTTGTGAAAAATAATACATATAAAAGACGTACTAGTGCATAGGAAGATCTCAATCAGTGTTTGCTTTTATTATTGCTATTGTCATTGTTGTTGTCACTATGATTATGATCATGTCTGTGAAGCACCTTCACAATTCTGAAGGAAAATGATTTGGATCTAGAATTCTATGTCCAACCAAACTGTGAATCAGAATCAAGTGAAGGCAAAATATAGACATTTTCAGCCATTTGAGGACTGAGAGTTTACCTCTCATCTAGTCTCTCTTGAAGGAAAATTGAGAATGTACTCCAGCAAAATAAAAAGGAACCCAAGCAAGAGAAAAATAACAGATCCTAGAAACAGTGAAACCAACTCAAGAATGCAACACAAAGAAATTTCAAGATAACAGCTATTCAGCACATCTTGCAAGGCATTCATCCAAGTTTAAATAGGAACTCAGAGGTTTCAAAAAAAATGTAGATATCATTTGGAAACATCTGACTAAAGAAGTGAAAAACTCAGTGATGTACTAAAATTGTGTTTTTTCCAACAATGAGAAAAGAAAAACAATTACAAGCTCCGTAAAAAACAACAAGCTGTATAGGAAGGTGATAGTCCAAATATGAAACAGTAGAATATGATTTTGAACAACCGATGGAGAATTGACCTTGACATTTGGAACATACTTGTAGAGCAGTACAGTTTTAGTTCCTGTCATTACACTGATGTTCAATTATATGAATCCCATCACATTTATTGATTCTGAGCTTTATATATTTAGTATTTTAAACATGTATTCATTTTTAACTTTTGAGCTGCATATGTTGGAAAAATGGACTACATTATAACAGTTAAGCTGCTTTTGTGTGTGTTACCAAACCATTGTAAACAAGGTGGGCAAAAGAACACAGTATTGGCACTGCCTGAGAACTGAGGGGCATAGCTGTACAGGACTTGGAAATAATTGTACACACTAGTCAACCGAGGATGCAGTACTTGTAATAGCATGCTTCTTTTTATAACAAAGGGCTTTGACAGACAAGTTAGTCTTGCAAATAGCTAGGAAAACAGAAGCCTAGAATAGATGGCTGACCATATTCCATTATATTCATGCATAGTTACCATTATTGATCATCTTTAAACCTAAATGAAAGCAATATATACAAAGACTTTTGGAGGAATGTTGAATGTTGAGCTATGTAAGAGAAGCTCTAGTCAAAGATGGGGGCTGATTAAGCATTTAATAGTATAATGTATAGTGTAGATTTAAAATTATATCAAAGAAATTTGTTTAATTTTATTTAAGAAATTTGTGTAGGCCAAACCTTAAGAAACATCTCTCTGCTATCCATTATTTTGTTAAAAAACTATGTCATAATGCTCAAGTCCTATAGCATATTATTAACATCTCTTTAATAATTAAACCAAAATTCTAGGTCATTTTAGTTTATAAGCATTTTGTCTCTGCATTGGAAATGACTGTAGCAAATTTAATCTTAAAATATCTCTATCCTTACATTTCAAGTAGAACATTTTAAAAAAGTAAAATAAAGTGATTTTATTTGGCATCAGAGCTATGATTTCCCCCTACCCCACCTAATGCCAGTCCCTCTTTAAGTAAATACTTTTGTAATTACTTTGCCTTTGACTTCTGCAACTGAACTATATTTACATTTAATTTACAGCCTTTGAGGTATATAAATTGTGCAATTTAATGGTTTAATTGGCATAGACTTTTCTATTAGTTTTTACATCTAGTTGATTTTAGACAGCTAAATTTAGAAGTATTTACTCTTGATTAAAATATTCATGATTCACCTTTTTAGAGAGTATTTGTATGAGAATTTACTTATAACATCAACATTTTTCTTTTTAAATGAAAAGTCAGTTTTATACACATAGCATTTTGGGTTTAATGTCACAAAGAGAAAAACAGTAAATCCTGTGATACTTAAATTCATTATTGGGCTGATCATGTTTGAATCTCAATCCAAGAAGATCCTAGGGAAACTTGTAGCATAGTCTTAGATATTTATTAAACATTAAATTGATTTATATGCTATTTAGTTTATTTAACCTATCAGTGAAATAAATTAAAAATATTAATCTATTTTTAAGAATATAGATTAATGGTAAATTTTAGTTACATTACCAAATCTTAGGATTAAAAAATAGATTTATAGAATTACTTTTCATTTGTAACTCTTGAAGAAAATCAGTTAACATTCATTCTGTTACTGTTTTATAGTTTCCATTCCAGTTTGGCCAATGAGATGTGTAAACATGAGAATACCTATTTATTATGTGCCATAAGTACATATATTGTCATAGTTTAAAATGTAAAATTCCACATTTTCTAGATCTGGAATTGACAATTTATCTGAATAATTGTTAGCCTTTATAAACATAGTTTTACTGTGCCTAAAATAAGAAAGCGATGATATTGAAAGCCTGTGCTTTCCAACATATGGCTTCAATTTGCATTTCAATCAGAATATGGAAGTCATTACTCTGACATCTGAAACTGAGGTAGCAATAAAAAATTATCACTAACAGGACAGCAGACACAATTTATTTTGTGTTTATTACTGGGTGGCCCACTTGAAACTTTTCAGAAACTTAATTGATTCCAGATATTGGAAAATTATAATTAAATTATGACATTTATTTTAGATGCATTTAAATTAGCTGTCTTAATAGGATTGGTATAAATTGATTAATATCTATTAAGATTTATAGTATATATGTACAAACACACACACACACATACACACACACACACACAGACACACACATACATATAGTATAGGCATACCTCAAAGATATCATGGGTTTGGATCTAGACCACTGCAATAAAGTGAATACTGTAATAAAATGATTCACATGAATTATTTTTTGCTTTTCCAGTGCATATAAAAATCATGTTTACATTATATTGTAGTTTTATGTGCAAAGCATTATGGTTTGTTTTTTTTTTTGACATGAAATTTCACTCTGTCTCCCAGGATAGAGTGCAGTGGCGTGATCTCGGCTCACTGCAACCTCCGCCTTTTGGGTTCAAATGATTCTCCTGCCTCAGCCTCCTGAGTAGCTGGGATTACAGGCATGTGCCACCACACATGGCTAATTTTTGTATTTATGGTAGAGATGGGGTTTCACCATGTTGGTCAGGCTGGTCTCTAACTTCTGACCTCATGATCCACCTGCCTCGGCCTCCCAAAGTGCTGAGATTACAGGCGTGAGCCACCGCGCCCAGCCAAAGCATTATGTTTAAAACAAAGTACACACATTAATTAAAAAAAACTTATAGCTACAAGTTGATAGTGATATCAGGAATGATCAGGAAGTCATAATCTTTGGAAGGCCTTGCCCCAGTGTTGATGATTGCTAGTTAAGGTGGTAGTTGCTGAAGGTTGGCATGACTGTGCCAATTTTTTAATATAAGACAACAATGAAATTTGCCATATTGATTGACTCTTTCTTTCATGAAAGATCTCTCTGAAGCATGCAGTGCTGTTTGATAGCATTTCATCCACAGTACAATTTCTTTTAAAATTGGAGTCAATTCTCTCAAGCACTGCTGCTGCTTTCTCAATTAAGTTTATGTAATATTCTAAATTCTTTGTTGTCATTTCAATAATGTCCACAGCATAATCACCAGGAGTAAATTTCATTTCAAGAAACCTCTTTTTTTGCTCATTCATAAGAAAAAAACAGAACTCCTGATCTGTTCAAGATTTATCATGAGATTGGAGGCATTCAGTCACATCTTCCAGCTTCATTTCTAATTCTAGTTCTGTTGCTCTTTCAACCACATTTGCATTTACTTCCTTCACTGGTCTTGAACCCCTCTACGTCATCTATGAGGGTGAGAATCAGTGGCTTCCAAACTCCTGTTAATGTTGATATTTAGACCACCTCCCATGAATCACAAATGTCCTTAATGGCATGTAGAATGGTGAGTTCTTTCCAGAAGGTTTACAATTTGCTTTGCCCCAATCCATCAGAGGAATCATTCTCTCATCAATCACTCATAAAGCAACTATAGCTTTATGAAATAGTTGTAAGTAATAAGATTTGCAAGTTCAAACTACTCCTTGATCCATGGGCTGCAGAATGGATATTGTATTAGCAGGCATGAGAACAACATTAATCTTGTACATCCAACCTCTTGGGTGACCTGGTGTGTTGTCAATGAGTAGTAATATTTTGAAAGGAATTTTTTTTTTCTGAGTAGCAGGTCTCAGCAGTGGGCTTAAAATATTCAGTAAACCATGCTATAAACACGTGTGCTTTGTTGTTTCATTTATGGAACATGGGCAGAGTAGATTTAGGTAATTCTTAAGGGCCTTAGTATTGTCAGAATGGTAAATGGTCATTGGCTTAAACTTAAAGTCACCAGTTGTATGGAAAGTCAGTCTGTTCTCTAAAGGTTTGAAGCCAGGCATTGAGTTCTTTTCTCTAGCTGCGAAAGTCATAGATGACATCTTCTTCCAATGTAAGGCTCCTTTGTCTAAAATCTGTTGTTTAGTATAGCCACCTTCATCAACAATCTTGGCTAGATCTTCTGGATAACTTCCTGTAGCTTTTTTTTTTTCTTTTTTGAGACGGTGTGTCACACTGTTGCCCGGGCTGGAGTGCAATGACACGATCTCAGCTCACTGCAACCTCCACCTCCCGGGTTCAAGTGATCCTCCTGCCTTAGCCTCCCAAGTAGCTGGGATAACAGGTGCCTGCCACCATGCCCAGCTAATTTTTTGTATTTTTAGTACAGATGGGGTTTCACTATGTTGGCCAAGCTGCTCTCCTGACCTCATGATCCGCCCATCGTGACCTCCCAAAGTGCTGGGATTACAGGCGTGAGCCACCGTGCCCAGCCCTTCCTGTAGCTTCTATGTTAGCACTTGCTGCTTCACCTTGCATTTTTATGTTATGGAGATAGCTTCTTCCCTTAAATCTCATGAACCCACCTCTGCTAGCTTCACACTTCTGCAATTTCCTCACCTTTCTCAGCCTTCATAGAATTGAAGAGAGTTAGGGCCTTGCTCTGGATTAGGTTTTGGTGAAGGGAATGTTGTGGTTGGTTTAATCTTCTATTCAGACCACTAAAACTTTCTCTGTGTCAGCAATAAGGCTGTTTTGCTTTCTTGTCATTCGTGTATTCACTGTTATAGCACTTTTAATTTCCTTTGAGAACTTTCCTTTGCATTTACAACTTGGCTCACTGGAACAAGAAGCCTAGCTCTGGCCTATCTTGGCTTTCAACATGCTTTCCTCACTAAGCTTAATTATTTCTAGTTTTTGATTTAAAGTGAAAGACATACATCTCTTCTTTTCACTTGAACACTTAGAATTGCAAGGTTATTAATTGGCCTAATTTCAATATTGTTGTGTCTCAGGGAATAGGGAGACCTGAGGAGAGTGAGTGAGATGGGGGAACAGTCAGTTGGTGGAGCAGTCAAAACACACACAACATTTATCTATTAAGTTTGCTGTCTTATATGGTTTGCAGTTCGTGGCACCCCAAAGCAATTGCAATGGTAACATGAATGATAATAGGCCAGGCGCGATGGCTCATGCGTGTAATCGCAGCACTTTGGGAGGCCAAGGAGGACAGATCACTTGAGGCCAGGAGTTTGCCACCAGCCTGGCCAACATGGCGAAATGATGTCTTTACTAAAAGTACAAAAATTAGCTGGTGTTGGTGATGCACGCCTGTAATCCCAGCTACGCTAGTATCTGAGGCATGAATCACTTGAACCTGGGAGGTGGAGGTTGCAGTGAGCTGAGATCGTGCCACTGCACTCCAGCCTGGGTGATAGAAAGACTCTGTCTCAAAAACAGAACAAAACAAAAACATTAAAGATGACTGATCACATAACAGATATACTAATAATGAGAAAGTTTGAAATGTTAGGAGAATTACCAAAATGTGATTCAGAGACAAAGTGAGCACATGCTCTTGGAAAAATATCTTGGATAGACTTGCTCCATGCAGCGTTGCTGCAAACCTTTACTTTTTTAAAAAAAAAAAAACAGTATCTGTGAAGTGCAATAAAATAAGATTGCCTGCATATGCATATGCAGTCATTGTATGTATGTAGTCATTTGCATGACAAAGGACTGAAAATATTCATTTGAAAATGCTGAATGAATTAATAATTATAGTTAATATTTGAAATGGGGAACATTGGTGGGAAAAGGGTTTCATGTTATATAAATGAACTTATTAGTCTGTTTTTTTCTTCTTCTTCTTTTTTTTTTTTTTTTGAGACAGTCTCACTTTGTCATCCAGGCTGGGGTGCAGTGGTGCAATCACAGCTCACTGTAACCTTGATCTCCTGGGCTCAAGCCATCCTCCTGAGTAGCTGGGACCACAGGCATGCACCACTATGACCAGCTAATTTTTTAATTTTTAATTTTTGTAGAGATGGCATCTCACTGTGTTGCCTAGGGTGGTCTTGAACTCCTGGACTTAAGTGATTCTCTCACTTTGGCCTCTCAAAACTCTGGGATTTAACAGTCATGAACCACTGTTCTGGACTACTTTTTAGTCGTATCATGGGGATATATTACTTGTATAATAAAATATAGCATGAGATGAAATTTCTTTTTTTTTTTTTTTTTGAGACAGAGTTTCGCTCTGTCACCCAGGCTGGATTGCAGTGGTATGATCTCGGCTCACTGCAACCTCCACCTCCCTGGTTCAAGCGATTCTCCTGCCTCAGCCTCGTAGTTGGGACTACAAGCATGTGCCACCGTGCCCAGATAATTTTTGTATTTTTGGTAGAGACAGGGCTTCACCGTGTTGGCCAGGATGGTCTCGATCTCCTGACCTCATGATCCACCTGCCTCGGCCTCCCAAAGTGCTGGGATTACAAACGGGAATTTCATTAATTTCTAAATTTTGTTTGAACTAAAATATTAATTATAATCGTTTAAAGCACTTCAGTGTATTGTGAAAGCTAATTTCTAAGAGTGAAAATACATGATCTAGAACTTTGTTATCTTGAATTAAATTTTCAAGATAATGTTAATTCATTTACCCAGCAAATTTTGACTCTTCATATGTTTTGTACATTGAATTAAGTGTTGGGGAAACAATGATGAATTGAGAAGCTCAAGGTTTAGTGAGATGTAGGTACCATTCAATATGTACATTACTGTATGATATGGTAAATATTGTTTCAGCAAAGTGGAAGAAGGGGCAGAACAACTGCCAGAAATTGTAGGGAAAGATTTTCTGTGGAGTCTGCATTCTTGAAGGATGAGCAAGAATTTTCTGGATAGGTAAACAAAGCAAAGAGAATTCTCACCTGAGGGAGCGTTGTGTGCACAGGGAGTCCTGAGTTGATGGGGCATATTTATTCATCCTTTCTTTGTTCATTTATTTATTCTTTATTCAACTAATATTTATTGTACACCTATGTACCAGTTTGGGTGCTGTGGATAGCATAGTGAACCTGACAGACATAATCCTGTCATAAATTCAGTATAATGTAGAAGAATAAATAATTAAAATTATGATGAGTATTGCAAAAGAGTAAGCATGGGGTGTTACAGGTGTATGTAACAATGTTAAATATAGGAGAAGCTTCTGGAATATTGAGGAGTGGTATGAGATGGGACTGGAAGGAGGGATTTGGTCCAATTTTGAAAGGTATTATATACAGAGCACAGGAGTTTAAATAACATTTTATTAATTTTTAAAAAATTAGCTACAGAAGTTCCACAGGAGATTAAACTTTCTACTTTAGGACAATCATTTTGAATGTACTTTTTTTTTTTTTTTTTTTGAGATGGAGTCTTACCCTATTGCCAAGGCTGGAGTGCAGTGATGCAATCTTGGCTCACTGCAACCTCCACCTCCTGGGTTCAAGTGATTTCCTGCCTCAGCCTCCTGAGTAGCAGGGACTACAGGTACACGCCACCAAGCCTGACTAATTTTTGTATTTTTAGTAGAGACGGGGATTCACCATGTTGGCCAGGGTGGTCTCGAACTCCTGACCTCAGGTGATGCGCTCGCCTAAGCCTCCCAATGTGCTGGGATTATAGGCGTAAGCCACTGCGCCTGGCCTGAATGTCATCTTAAGGGTAGATCATAGTAGGACTAGATTTGATAACTTGGCCAGTTAGGTTCTTATGGTGTTCAATTAGTAAAACATTTTAATTGCTTAGACTTGGCACATCAACAGCGAAGAGAAGATTGGAGGGTGTCAATCTACATCTGAATTTTAAATCATTTTTTTCAATTCCATTTTGTACTATTTTCAGGAGATCTCTGCTAGATATTTTCTGCCTACATTATACATATTAAAGCAAATTAATAGTTTTATTCCACATTCTTCCATTATATCCAGCTTCCCCATAACAATGACTGCTGTCATCTAAGTTATTTCGCAAAGACAACAGACTATTCTTGACTGGCAGGTTTATGTTTTGCTAGGTTTTTTTTTTTTTTTTTTTGTCAAATCCTGATTTATTTTAAAACTTTAAATATTTTAAAACTTTAAATTTGTCATCATAAAATCATAAAAATCTCCAGAGTTTTTGTTCATTTATCATTTAGTTTTTATATTTATTTATTTATTTATTTATTTATTATTTATTTTTTTTGAGATGGAGTCTTGCTCTGTTGCCCAGGCTGGAGTGCAGTGTCATAATCTCGGCTCACTGCAACCACCACTTTCCAGGTTCAAGTGATTCTCCTGCCTCAGCCTCCCAAGTAGCTGGGATTATAGGTGCTTGCCACCATGCCTAGCTAATGTCTGTATTTTTAGTAGAGACGGGGTTTCGCCATGTTGGCCAGGCTGATCTCAAACTTCTGACCTCAGGTGACCCACCCGCCTTGGCCTCCCAAAGTGCTGGGATTACAGGCGTGAGCCACCGCGCCTGGCCAGATCATTTAGTTTTTAAATCTATCCGGCTATTACTTGGTCAGATCTCATCAGTACTATGCAGTACTCATCAGTACTCAGTACTGCACCTGAACCCTCTCTCAGGTATTAATTCCTCCCTTAAACATTAATGCTGAAGTCCAGAAGTTGAGTAACTTTTTCTATTTAGAGCTTCACAGTAAATTTTGCCAGCTTTGTGGGTCATATGGTCCCCTGTGGCAACTATTTAACTTTGCCAGCGTAGAATGAAAACATACATAGACAATGTGTAAACAAATGAATGTGTCTGTGTTCCAATAAAACTTTATTTATGGATGCTGAAATTTGGTATCATATTATTTTCACATGTCAACAAATATCATTCTTTTGTTCTCTTAAAACTGTTTATGTTAGTCTTCTAGGGCTGCTGTAACAAATTATCACAAACGTGGTGGCTTTCGGCAACAGAAATTTATTCTCTCTCAGTTCAGAGGCTAGAAACCTGAAAGCAAGGTGTTGGCAGAGCTATGCTCCTGAAGTTTCTAGGGAAGAATCCTTTCCTTGCCTCTTTGAGCTTCTGGTAGATCCTGGGAATCCTTGGTGTTCCTTGGTTTATAGCCGCATCATTCTAATCTTTACCTCTGTCATCACATGGCCTTCTTCTCTCTCTGTCTGTGTGATTTTGTATTTGGATTCCCTCTTCTTTCTCTTATAAAGACACCTGTCATTGGATTTGGTGCTTCCTCTAATACAGTATGACTTTACATTAGCTTGATTACATCTGCAAAGACCCTATTTCCAAATAAGGTCACTTTCACAAGAACCAACATACAATTTATCATTTGTGGGGACAATATTCAACCCACTACACTATTAAAAAATAGAAAAATAATTGTTATTTTGTGGGCCATACAAAACAGGTGGTGGGGTGGATTTAGCCATGTGCTCTATTTGCTTATTCCTGCTCTAGCCAGAGTTGCCTTTTTATTTATTCTCTCAATAGATGCCTTATTCTTACTGGGAAACAAGTTGAGAATTAACATTTATTGAGCCCCTACCATCTTCCAGACATTTTGCTGGGTTTATTGACATCTTTTCTCTTGTTTATTCTTCAAACAATCCTATAAAGCACATATTATCAGTAGCTCATGAAACAAGCTGAAAACATTATTAAATTTACTTGCTCAAGCTTACATAATATAGCTAAGAAACAGTGACTCTAAGATTTGAATCTGCACCTGAAACTAAGTGATGATAATGTTTTTCTCTTTCTACTCTATCACTGTAGTTTCTCTGTGTGTAATGACTTAACATTGCTCCTTGCAATAGGTCTATAATCCTTAATCTCTTGTTTTAGCCCTTCATTAGGATGATTTCACATGAGCAATGTTTCACGTCTAATTTAGTTGCTTTGGCTTTATAAACAGAAACCAATTTGGTTGGCTTAAGATAAAAAAATAGGAATTAAGGGGAAGGACAGTTTGATGGCTCAGAATTGAAAGAAGTTCTAAAGAGTCGAGTCTCAGGAAAAAATGGAACTAGGGCATCTACGGGAACTTAGCAGCAGGACCTTTTATATGACACTGCCATTAAAGTGACTCAGCTCTAACATTCCCCTCCTTCCACCTTGCCTTTAACCTCAAATTTTAATTCTTTAGAGGGAGAATCTGTTTGGCTTATTTAGGTATAATCTTGTGCTGGATCAAACTACCTTAGCAGGTGGGAGGCCGCAGGGGAAGGGGGCATGGCTCAAATGTGACCTGTGTAGCATTCTTCCTGAATTAAAGCATAACTCAGTTTTTTTTCAATGACATTTTTTGAGTCAAGTGACATTCATGAGGCTTCTCTGTGTCATAAAGGGTCGTGTGGAATAATCTTCATTTAATACGTATGTGTTGATATATCCTGATATGTACCAATGACAGTGATAAATCTGAATTTGGAAATCTTTCCTCTATGTTAGGTTATATTCTCTTCTGTTCTTCCATAGCTGTTAGTTCATTATTCTGTAGTAGTAATTTTCCTTCCTTTCTCCTCCTTCCCTTCATTTATCCCTTCCTCCCTCCTTTTTCCCCTCTATGCCTTCCTCTCTTACTTCTGTTCTTCTCTCATTACACTGATAAGCTTTTCCAGAGCTGGGATTTTATTTAGTCATATTTATCTTTTAATGCTTGAAACAGAAAATGCTGTTAGGGTAAATACTAATTTTGTTTCCTTGCTTTAGTTGCTACTTCTCTTACTTCACAAATACTGAGTAATTGCTCTGTGTCTGGTATTGTTTTGAGGCCAGGGCACGAATGAGGCTCTGTACTTGACTTGACTCGTTAGAACTTCTTTCAATTCTCTGAGCCATCAAAGTGTCCTTCCCTTTAATTCCTATTTTTATCTCAAGCTAACCAAATTGATTTCTGTTTATAAAGCCAAAGCAACTAAATTAGGTATGAAACACATACATGTGTGTTGTGTTTGAGGCCAGGGCACAGATAGCCAATGCGCTGTCTTTGTAGACCTTACATAATAGAGGGAAAGTGGGACAATAATCCAATAAGTAAATAAATTAAAATTGTAAATGTCAGAGGTGGAAGTGCTAGGTAGAAAATAAGCAGGGTAAGAGTAGTTGTGGGGGAGTAGAGGTGCTTTTGGTCTGGAAAGGCCTCTCTGGAGAGATGACATTGAGTACACTCCGAATGATGTAAAGGAGCTGTTAATACATCTTGAGAAAATCTTATGCAAGAGTGTAATGAATAATAAGTAAACAGGTCCCAAGATGACAACAAGTTTGATTCATTTGATTTATAGCTAAGGAGTCTGTTATGTCTGGACAGAATGGTATGAAATGAGGTTGGAAAGATAGACAAAAGCAGATTATATTTAGGATATTGTAGGCTGTGGTAAAGAGTTCGGACTTTAAGTGTAATAGAAAACCATTGGAGACTTTTAAAAAGCAAAAAGTGATGTGATAGGATTTGCATTTTTAAAACTGTTACTCCAGCTGATTTGGGAAGAAGTAATTGTAAAGGGGATGGACAGCAGTTTTAGAAGATGGGGGTCAGTTCTCAGACTACTGCATCAAATTATAAGAGCTCTAGAAAATTTACATACAAATGTTTTACAAAATTCATTTAAACAATCTTTACAGATAATTTACTTAAATGAAGATAAATTCTGTTTAACTCCTAAAATTTATACTGATTTTACTGTTTTAACAAAGCAAATTTCGTACTCATTACCTGGAACATATACCTTTTATTTCCCTGCCATTCTCACTCACCCCTTCTTGTTTGTTTTCAACAGTGATATCAAGGAACAATATTTTATTGTATTGGGATCTGCTTTATGGCCAGGCTGGTCTTGAATTCCTGACCTCAAGTGGTCCACCCGCTTTGGCCTCCCAAAGTGTTGGGTTATGGGCTTGAGCCACTATGCCCGGCCTACAATACCTGTATTTTAATTCACAAAATCAACATAAATCTTTATTGATCATTTTGAAAAATAATTATAATAATATTTATCAGTAGGCTCTTAAAACTTAATTTTTGTGGCTGTCTCTTTAGAAGTTCATACTATTATGCCTGTGTGCATAAATGTATATTTATATGTATAAAATAGTGTCAAAAACATTTATATTAAAATTACTTCACTTTTATCAAATATTTTATAATTTCATTAAACATTTACTAATAATTATTCATCCTTTCAATAAAAAAGTTTAAAAATGACTATAATTGAAACAATTACATTAACTTTCTAGCAAAAAATTTAGTATACTGTGTTCTTTTTTTTGGAAGGAAATTTAGTTCTCGCTAAAAATGTATACATTTAAAAGTGCTAAGGGTTTTGTTTTGCTTTGCTTTTTAAAATATATATATATACTATATGTACATACTTGCAGGAGAAAAGGACTCATTGTATGGTTAGAATGTGATGGTTTTAAAAAAACATGGTTTTCATTTTTTGTGTTAAAAATTGTTAGTAAAGTCCCCATGAAGTATAGCAAATGCTATAGAAATACTAGAAGGAAGCATTACCTTTAATGAAGGCTGGTTTTAATTACTAAGTAGGTGTATGTACTGTATGTGTTTATAAAATTTATGTTTGGATTCTGAATTCTTATTAGAGTAATTTATGATGGAATTAAAAGTCAAAAGCAGGGGTAAACTAGTACAGGAAATGGTGAGAAATTGTGGAATTAGGGGGAATGATTAAGAATTGGAATCTGTTACATCCTTTTCAAGAATACATATATAAGTGTAGATAAAAAAGTCTGAGCTCATTTATGGTATATTTATTAACAGCCCTAGCCTGGTAAAAAACAACATTGATTTGAACAGTTTTGGATATTTTCCAGCTCCTGTTTACTTTGTTAAAACCATAAAAAAAGTAATCTGGTTCCTTTTGACTTAAATAAGACAAAGAATTCAATACCGAGGCCCTGTTTATAGGTTGTTAAACATTTCACTTTGGTGTCTGAGGATAATGTTTAGCATTGTGTTCAATTAGTGTGAACTAATCTAAGTTGAAGTGTCAGATTCCTAAACGTCTTACTTCAATTAATACAAAATACTAAGGGCTCCATTCATTCCAAATTATTGCTCCATGGGTGCCAGCCACACAGTCTCCATGGCAGGCCTTTCTGTGGGCTAATCAAGATTCATGGCCTCCAGGTTTTGTGGCACTGGCGTTTTAGTATCTGGAACGTCACTTTTTCTTTTTGTGAGCTTCTCTGTTTTGATCCCAGGTTCTTTCTCCCATTCTAAGTTATGTGTGGAATTGAACTTGTATGATACTCTGATGTAGTTAGAAGTGAGTATAATTTGGTATAGTATACTGGAAATCTATTAAATTATATAAATTCAAACAAAACTATATGCCAATTTAGGATGTTAGTCTTCAGTAGACTAAGTTTCTGTAAGAGGCCAGTTAAAGACAACAGCAAGTTTGTTTCTTCCTACCTACCAGTGTTAGGGCTAGGTGTTGATTAAGTGGTGAAGTAGGCACATTTTTTGTTTGGTGCTTTGGCACCTTTTTCAGCATGTCTGTTCCTAGTTTTGTTTTTATTATTTTTTTCAGTTGCTTATCTTTTTAAGTTTCTTGTGTCCATTGATATTTGTAACTTAATGTAAATATTTGTTATTGAATGAAAAAAAATGCTGAATGTCCAGCAGAATACAATAATGTACATGTGGTTTCAGGCTCTGTGAGAAGAAATATCTGCTTTGGAGGTGGGAGGAACTTTGAACATCTCTTAAATTCAAATAGGCAAATAAGTGTTCTATCTCATCATGCTTGATCTAGAATCTTACTTTGGCTTTTTTTGGTCCAACTCTAGTTATTCTCTGAAGTGGTTACACGGATAATAGAGACATTGCTATAGATAATAGTGGTATGGTCTAGTAAAACACTTGGTTTCTAACCTTAATTTTCTGTTAAGGATTTTAGAGCTGGAAAACAAAACTACAGCCCTTCTATACCTTGATGACCCCCTTTTTCCTAGTCTTAATTGTGCCTGTATATGCATGTATGTTAGCATGTATGATTGTATGCATTTGCGTATACATGTTTACGTATTTGCTTCAAATCTCTTACTGCTTTGTATTCCTTTGACTCCAGATCTTTGCTCTAGCTGTTTCAACCTTCTGCGTGTTCTTTTTTTTCTTGCAGATTTCTGATACTTGTAATAAGAGAATCTCTACAAGACTAAGTGTTGATTCTCTTCCTACTAAGAGAAGTTTCAGGAAATGCTTTTGATTACTGAGTTACTGCTATATGTATGGTACCATTAAGCAGGTAGTCAGTAAATATTTGTTGAACAAATAATTATGCTTTGATGTATGTTTAGATACCTTCAGGATACTTGATGAACTGTTTTGTTAACTCTAAGAAAAATACTAGTAGGAAATGAACTCTTATCTATTGCTGGTAGGAGTGTCAATTTGCAAACACTTTGGAAAACGGTTTGTTACTTTTAAATAAAACCAAACATGTACACATCAACCCATTCTTTAAGTATATTCTAGAAAAATTTCTAACTGTATGTAGAAAATAGGAGAAACCAGCAAGAATATTTAGAGCAGCATGTTTGTAATTATGAAAACTCAATTCAACTCGAGGGTCCCTTAGTAGTTGAATGAATAAGTAAATTCTATATTTATGCAATGGAATACTATACAGTATATAAGCTTAAGTTGATTCTAAGAAACTCCAATGAATTATTTCTTCCAAATGCCCTTGCTGTTCCCTATTTGGAAATTAAGCAGGTTTAAGGTTTTTTTTTTTGTTTTTTTTTTAACCTAGAGTTATAGCTTAACTCTAAATATGTGGAGCTTTTGTGTCTTCTAACTATCTGATTTTAAAATTTAAAACCTCTACTTTGCTCGTAAAAAAAACTTAGCATAGGTTTGTAGTTGAAAGGAGCAGCAAGGTTGGTATTATTAGCAGAATTTGCTTTTTTCTATACATGTTCCTTATTCCTTAATTTTTTTTTTTTTTTTTTTTTTTTTTTTTTTTTTTTTTTTTTTTTTTGAGACGGAGTCTTGTTCTGTTGCCCAGGCTGGAGTGCAGTGGCACGATCTCAGCTCACTGCAACCTCTGCCTCCCAGGTTCAAGCAGTTCTCCTGTCTCAGCCTCCCTAATAGCTGGGACTACAGTCGCACACCACCATGACTGGCTAATTTTTGTGTTTTTAGTAGAGATGTGGTTTCGCCATATTGGCCAGGCTGGTCTCGAACTCCTGACCTCAGGTAATCCGTCTGCCTAGGCCTCCCAAAGTGCTGGGATTACAGGCGTGATCCACCATGCTTGGCCAATTTTTTTTTTTTTTGAAATGGAATCTTGCTCTGTCACCCAGGCTGGAGTGGAGTGGGGCAATCTGGGCTCACTGCAACCTCTGCCCCCCGGGTTCAAGCAATTCTTGTGCCTCAGTTTCTTGAGTAGCTGGAGTTATAGGCCTGTGCCCCCACACCTGGCTAATTTTTGTATTTTTAGTAGAGATGTGGTTTTGCCATGTTAGCCATGCCGGTCTCAAACTCCTGACCTCAGGTGATCTGCCCTCCTTAGCCTCCGAAAGTTCTGGGATTACAGGCGTGAGCCATTGCGCTCGGCTGTTATTTCTTAATGTTTTTGTCATAAATACTATACAACTGGTTACATTCTGTCTTTGGAAAAAATGTACCCTAAATTAATAGAATGTAAGTAATTCAGGAAATGATTTCATAATTCTCCAGACATCTAGAATAAAGAATATGGGAATGCAGAGTGTATACTCCAAGATAATGATTTTATTTTAATAAATTGAGGCAAGTTCTTCAGTGGGCTTCTAGATTTCTTAGGATACAAGTAGCAGGATACGTAATTACAGGTGACTTGCAGTATAAGTACATTTTTAAAAAAAAAAAATTATAAGGAGTCTTGAGGGTACCAGTTCCAGCATTTTTTTTTTTTTAAGTAAATTACAAGGAGTCTTGAGAGTACCAGTTCCAGGATTCAGTGATATCGAGGGCCCAGGCTTTTTCCATCCCCTACTCTGCTGATCTTGTTTCATTTGTGTTTTGCTTTCATGCTTATCAATAAATTCTATGATAATGATGATAGTAAGGATAGTGAAGGACATAAAATTTCATCTTTCTACTGTTTTCCTAAGAGGGCCTGGATGAACAAACTGGAAGTTAGGACATACCTCTTTGAAAGTAATGTTCTATTGAGATCATGTTAGAAATCATATGACTAATTCCTGATGTGGAAAGAGAATGGCCTTTCATATTGACAGTTCCTCCTTGTGTCCTGCCATCCCCTCTTCTTTCCCTACTGTCTTTTTCATGGGTTATAGAGATTAGACTGTGTGTCTGGGTATCGCTATCATTATCAATGACTCTTGGAACTATAGTATGGGATGAGTAGCTGTTAAACCTTTTGTAATTTTAATTTCTTCTAATTTTTTATTTAATTGTGGAGACTGGGTCTTGATAAGTTGCCCAGGCTGGTCTTGAGCTCCTGGCCTCAAGCGCTCTTCCTATCTTGGCCTCCCAAAGTGCTGGGTTTACAGGAGTGAAACACTGTACCAGGCTCATTAGATGTTTTAAAATGAGTTAAATTCAAATTATTGGAGTGATCTAATTTCACCCATTTTTTATATTGATTAAATAAATTGGTTTGTATAAAAGGTGCTAATTCTAATTTATGTGTTTAGTTACAGTTTTCTTTTTTTTTTTTAACCTTGGGATGTGACCTTCTGGTTTCTTCTTTCTTTTTAGATTGTACATATATCCTTTAACAAATTAGGCTTTATTTATTTATTTATTTATACCCTTCCTATTGTGCTGATAGGCTTTATTTTTTTAAACCAGTTTTTGCTTTATAGAAACCTTGAGTGGAAAGTACAGAGAGTTCTCATATTACTCTGTTTCCCCTATTTTTAAAATCTTGCATTAATGCATTACATTTGTTACAATTAATGAACCAATATTGATGCCTTATTATTAATTGAAGCTTATAGTTTACATTAGGGATAATTCTTTGTGTTGTGTAGTTCTATGGGTTTGGACAAATACATAATGTCATATATCCACCATTACGGTATCATACAGAATAGTTTCACTGCCCTGAAAATCCCTTGCAGCCACTTTTTACTGTCTCTATGGTTTTGCCTTTTTCAGAATGGGAGAATTGTTTGTTGGTGTATCCCTCACTAGAGTGTGGTCTGCTGGGGATAGGGAATGTGTTATGTATACTATTATATCTGCAATGCTATGTGCCTGGCCCACAGTTAACATTCAACTCCTCAGTGATGAATAAATGAATAATTTATTGCCTAAGACTACCATGAATATAATTTAATCTTCATGAGAGGATATACTGCATAGTGATTATTATAAACTTACTTGGGCTTTGGACATAGAATACCTGATTTGTGATCCTGAGTTTGCCACATACAGTGTGTCCCTGGGAAAGTGACTTTTCTATGCCTGAATTTCCTTACCTATAAAATAAAATTAAAATAGAACATACCTCATAGGGGAGGGGTCCCCAGCAATACTGGTCCGTGGCCTGTTAGGAACTGGGCCATACAACAGGAGGTGAATGGCAGGCTAATGAGAGAAGCTTTGTCTGTATTTACAACCTCTCCCCATCGCTTGCATTGCCGCCTGAGCTCTGCCTCCTGTCAGATCAGTGACAGCGTTAGGTTCTCATAGGAGCGAACTCTTTTATGAATTGCACATGTGAAGGATCTGGTTGCTCACTCCTTATGAGAATCTAATGCCTGATGATCTGGCACTGTCTCCTGTCACCCCTAGATGGGACCATCTAGTTACAGGAAAAAAGGCTCAGGGCTTCCACTGATTCTACATTGTGGTGAGTGTATAATTATTTATTTCATCATATATTACAATGTAATAAGATAAATAAAGTGAACAGTAAATGTAATGTGCTTGAATCATCCTAAAACTATCTGCACCCCCTCCCCGCCACCACCCACTGCTGGTTCATGGAAAAATTATCTTCCATGAAACCAGTCCCTGGTGCCTGCTGTCATAGGGTATTGTGAGCATTACTTGAGATAACACATACAGTACCTAAGGCAGTGATTGGCACATAGAAAAGTTAATTAATGTTTTTAAAAATTATTATTGTTATTAGAGTTTTGCATAGGCTTATATAGGCTAGCCTGGCTTATGTGCAAGAATTAATGGAAAGTCCTTATGATTTAAGAGTTAATTAGTAGTATATATATAAGTGGCTTTACTATTGTCACTATTGATTATAATGTACATGATATTGGATTCATTGTAGTATAACACTAACAAAATTAAACTTTGATTTTGAGGTAGTCTTGACTCTTTTAATATGCTTAATGAAGGGTATAATCAGAGATAAACCTCTCAATATATGACATTTGTCTGTTTAGATCTTTGTAATGCTAACTACAATTATTAGTGTTTAACAACAACTTTATTGAAGTTTATTTAATATTTAATAAAATAGGCTTGCAGTAGTCCCTGTCTATCCACAAGGGATACATCCCAAGACCCCTAGTGGATGCTGGAATTTGCAGATTGTACCAAACCCTATACATACATACCTATGGTATGTTTTTTTCTCTATACGTACAAACCTATGATAAAGTTTATCTTACACATTTTTCACAATAAGGGATTAGTAACAATAATAAAACAAAGCCGTTATAACAATATGCCAGCACCACTATTTGTGCACTTTGGGGCCATTATTAAGTAACGTAAGAGTTACTCAAATACATGCACCATGATACCAGGACAGTCGATGTGGTAACTGAAAGGGCTAAGTGCTAACTGGTACATAGCATCTATAGCGTGGATACCTGGACAGGGACAATTCACATCCTGAGGTGAGAGGGGGCAGGACAGCTTAAGATGTTATCAAACTACTCATAATGGCAAACAGTTTAAAACTGATGAATTATTTATTTCTGGAATATTCCATTGAATATTTTTGGACTGCAGTTGATCATGGATAACTGAAACTGCAGAAAGTGAGACTGAGGAAAAGACTAGACTACTGTATTTACAAATACAATTCAATACGTTTTGACATGTTTATACACCCACGTAACCATCACCACATACTAAGATAATGAACCTAAAACATCATCCCCAAAATTTCTTCATGCTCCTTGGTAAGTCCTCCCCACCACTCACATACCTCATGGATGCCTTCTATTACTGTAGATTTGTTTATATTTTCTAGAATTTTATATAAATGGAATCATAGACCATGTCAACTTTTTCTGAAGTTACTTACTCTTGATCCCTCTTTACAAAACCAGTTTATTGAGGTATAATGAAGTATAAAAACTATACATATTTAAAGTATATTGATACATTTTGACATACATATATATCAGTGAAACTGTTACCACACTCAAGGTAGTGAACATACCCATTACTCTACAAATTTATTTCCTTTGGTAACCTCTCCTTTCAGCTTCTCCCTCCCACTTTCCCAAACAACCACTGATCTGCTGTCACCATGGATTAGTTTGCATTTTCTGGAGTTTTATATAAATGGAATCATACAGTACATACTCTCTTTTTTTATCTGGCCTCTTTCAGCATAATTATTTTGAGATTCATATATTTTATTTTGTGTAACAATGGTTCATTTTTATTGCCGATAAGCATTCTGTTGTTTGGTTCTATCATGATTCCTTTTTCTATTTGTTATTTGGGTTGTTTCTAGGATTTGATGATTATGAGTAAAGCTGCTACAGAATTCACATACAAGTCATTGTATGGGCATATGCTTTCATTTTTTTTTTTCCCTAGGGGTGCTGGTTATATTAGTTTTCTAGGGCTGCCATAACAAGTAACACAGACTGTGTGGCTTAAACAGCAGAGATTTATTTTCTAACAGTTCTAGATCTAGAAGTCTGGGATCAAGGCGTTGGCAAGGTTGGTTTTTTCTGAGGCCTCTTTCCTTAGCTTGTAGATGGCTGTTTTCTCCCTGTGCCTTCATATGGCTTTTCTGTCCGTGTGCCTGTGTCTAAATATTTTCTTCCTGTAAGGATGCCAGTCATATTGGATTTGAACCCACCCTAAAGGAGCTCGTTTTAACTTAATTACCTCCTTAAAGATCATATCTCCAAATACAGTTACATTCTGAGATATTGGGGGTTAGGACTGTAACATATATATTTTTTGGTGGGTTGGGGTGCACAATAAAGCTCACAGTGGAGGTTATATGGAGAGCACATGTCTAGTATTTTCAAATTTCGTTTAGTTTTGTTTTTAGAGACAGGGTCTTGCTCTATCATCCAGGCTGGAGTGCAATAGCATTATCACATCTCACTGCAATGCAAACTCCTGGGCTCAGATGATCCTTTCACCTCAGACTCCTGAGTAGCTGGGACTGTAGGCATGTGCCACCAGGCCTGGCTTATTTATTTATTTATTTTTGTAGAGGTGGGGTTCTCACTATGTTGCCCAGTCTGGGCTTGAACTCCTGGACTCAAGTGACCCTCCCACTTTGTCCTTTTGAGTAGCTGGGACTACAGGCGTGTGCAACTGCACCCAGCTGTATAGCTTTAGTATTTTAAGAAGTGTCTAGGCTGTTTTCCAAAGTGATCATACCATTTTACATTCATGCTGGCATTGTGTGAGAGTTCTAGTTGCCCTACATCTATGCTAACACTTGGAAAGGCCAGTCTTTTAAAATTTAGCCATTCTAATAGGTATATAGTCATAGCTTTAATTTGAATTTCCCTGATGACTAATGATGATAAATAAAAAATTAAATTTTATGTGATTATTAAGTATCATAGGCTGTTCTCAGTGAACTGTCTTTTCAAAACTATTGCATATTTTAAAATTGGATTGTTTTTCTTATTATGGGGCTTTGAGAGCTCTTTATATATTCTGGATACATGTCCTTGATTGGATCTATATTTTGTAAAAAATTTTTTTCCATACTGTGGCTTCTTTTTTCATTCTCTAAACAATGTCTTTTAAAGAGAAGTTTAAAATTTGGATTTAATCTAATTTGTGAATTTTTTTCTTTATTGATTCACTTGATGTGTATCTAAGAAAATTTTGCCTAATCTAAGGTCATAAGAGTTTCTGCTATATTTTCTTACTTCATAGTTCTAGATTTTACGTTTAACTCTATGATACAGTTTGCCCTAACTTTTATGTTTTGTGTAAAGTATCGATCACAGTTCATTTAATGTCATTATTTTTGCATATAGTTAAACAAATGTTCTAGCACCATTTATTGAAGAGTTCATCTTTTTTTTTTTTTTAACGGAATTACGTTTGCACTATTGTTGAAAAATCAGTTTTACACATATATGTGGGTCTCTTTCTGGACTCTCATCTCTTTCACTGATCTATTAGTCTATGTTTAAACCCAAACCATGCGGTCTTGATAACTGTAGGTATATGATAACTGTAGCAGTCATGTAGTATTAGTCTTCCAATTATATTCTCTTTAAGTATTGTTTTTGACTGTTGTAGGTCCTTTGCATTTCCATGTAAATTTTAGAACAGCTCTTCAATTTTTGTATAAAAAGCCTTTGAGATATCTATTAGAATTATATTTAATCTCTAGATCAATTTTGGCAGAATTAATTTCTTGACAATATTGAGTATTTTGACCAATGAAAATTGAATAGTTCTGTATTTATTTATGTTTTCTTTAATTTTTCTCAGCAGTGTTTTTACTTTTCAGTGTACAGGTCTTGTATATTTTTGTTAAACTTAACCACAAGTATTTAATATTTTTTAATGCTATTGTCAATAGTGTTGTTTTATTAGCTTGAATTTTCAGTTATTCATTGCTATTTATTTTGTATATTGATCTTATATCCTGCAACTTTGCTAAAGTCAATTTTTAGTTCTAGTAGCTTCTTTTTGATATGTTTCATAGTATCCTCTATATAGATGAACATGTCATCTAAGAAAAAGAGAAAATTTTACTTCTTTTTAAATCTGTATGCCTTATGAGAGTTAAAAAAATTTTTGGAATGGAAGTTTGATTATGTCAGATGCTTTTTCTGTATCTATAGAGATGAACATGTGCTTTTTCTTTTTTAGCTTAATATAGTGAATTACATTGCTTGATGTTTGGCCTTGTATCCTAGAATAAATCCCATTCAGTGTATTATTCTTCTTATATATTGTTGGATTCAGTGTGCTCAGATTTTCTTAAGAACATTTATAACTATGCCCGTGGGGGATATTGGTGTGTAGTTTTCTTGTTAATGTCTGCATTTAGTTTTGCTGCCTAGACAACACTGCCCTCATAAGAATGACTTAAGTAGAATTTCTTTCTTTTCAAATTCCTAGGTGAGTTTTGAGAAATGGGATTATTTCTTCCTTAAATGTTTGGTAGAATTTATGAGTGAAGCAATCTGGTCTTTTTTTCTTTGGCAAGATATTTTACTACTATTTCAACTTTTTTTTTTTTGAAGACATTAGTGCTATTTAGGCTAAGTATTTCTTCTTGTGAGAGCTGTGGTAGTTTGTGTCTTCCAAGCAATTTGTCCATTTTCCATTACATTTAAGTTGTCAATTAATAGAAACAAAATTGTACATAATATTTCCTCATTATCCCTTTAATTTCTGAAGAGTTTGTAGTTTGTGTCACCTCATTCCTGATAATGGTAATTTGTGCCTTCTTTCTTCTTTTCCAGATTATAGTCTGTTTTAGGAAATGCCTTGTGTGGATCTGAAAAGAGTATTCTGCATTTGTTTAGTGCAATGCTCTATAAACATCAATTAGATCAAGTTGATTAATAGTATTTTTTACCAGGCTCACATCTTTACTGATTTTCTCTCTACTTTTTCTGTCAGTTATTAGAGAAGGGTGTGGAAATCTGTGACTATAGTTACGGATTTGTGATATTTTATTGTGAAGTTGTATCAGTTTTTGATTCATGTATTTTAAAGCTCTGTTTTTAGATGCAAAAACATTTAAGTTTGTTATGTCCTTCTGATAATTTGTCCCTTTTATTGTTATGTAACAACCTTTTTCATCTCTGGCACTCTATGCCTATATCTAAAAAAAAAAAAATCACTGACATGAGGAATGGGAATACTATTATTGACTGAGTTAAGTGAATGTCTTTGTAAAAGAAGATGAATTATCTAAATGAAATCAGCTTTTTGTGAGAAGAGAGGAAGGAATTGGAGGAAGGAAGACGAATGTTGTATACTCATCCAACAATTATTTATCACATATGCTAAGTTTGCCTACTTAAAAAAATTTATGATAATTAAATGAAATGTCAAATTTAGATATAATTCTTTATTCCTCACTCTCAAATTTGAAATTAAACAGACTCTCAATTATTATAATATTTGGTATTATCCCCATTTAATGGTTGAGAAAGTTCAGCTCTGATAGGAAGAGGGACACTATCTTGTTTTGAAACATAGTTGAAGTATAACTCTAAATCTCAGCATTTTTTTTTTATTATTTTGTTTGCTTTGACGTAAGTGTAAGAAGATAGCATGATGGGGGAAAAAACCTCATGCTTTTCTTTTGTTAATTTTCATTATGTTAAAAGAAGCAAAGCAAGACATAACATAGTATGTTGTTACGTCATGTCACATTGGGTAAAACATGACAGAACATATATTTACAAAAGTACACTCTTCTTTAGAGCCAGATGACTGCTCTCAATTTGGAAACAAACCATCTGCTTATCATTTAAATTCCTGAATTACTTACCAGCCCACATCTCTAAACAGAAGTAACATACTGTTACTTCTTAAAACCGCTGTTAAGGTCCATTGTCTCCATATGTAATGCATATTTCCTGTGTACTGAATGAAAACAGGTTAGACATTTATGATGTTTAAAAAGACCAAGTTGATTTCTTTTTTTTTTTTTTTCCTTTTAGACTGAGTCTCGCTCTGTCACCCAGGCTGGAGTGCAGTGGTATGATCTCAGCCCACTGCAACCCCCGCCTCCTGGGTTCAAGTGATTCTCCTGCCTCAGCCTTCCAAGTAGCTGGGATTACAGGTGCCCGCCACCACACCCGGCTAATTTTTGTATTTTTAATAGAGATGGGGTTTCACCATGTTGGCCAGGCTGGTCTCAAGCTCGTGACCTCAGGTGATCCGCCCGCCTTGGCCTCCCAAAGCGCTGGGATTACAGGTTTGAGCCACTGCGCCCAGCTCCAAATTGATTTCATTAATATGAAAAGCTAATGAATTATTTTTTCAGCATTTGAAATTGCTTTAATGTAGTTAAGGAAATATTTGTTCATACTTTGCTAAACCACATACCCCAATATAATCAGTAAATAAGCACTTACTTGACATAGTCCAAACAATGACTTACTCATTAGCTCTTACATCTTGCATTTATTCAATATTTTTTGAGTGTTTATCAGGTGTAAGTGGCAGAGGTATATTAGTGAAATAGAATCTATATTCTAGTGAGAATTGTAAATGAATAATTAGTTACTATATAGTATGATACATTGTGGCAGAAGAAGGATTCAGGTCTGACAACTTTTTGCTTGGACAAATGGTGGATGGGAACACAGGTGCAAGAGCACTCATCTGCAAGTAAAGGTGAGATTGGCAATGCTTGTTTGCCAACTTGCTGGTTTTTATATAGAGTACATATTTTTCTTCATGATCAAGTTAAGTGTATACTAGAGCAGTGGTTCTTAATTGGTGACATGTGGAATTTTGTATGGAATGCAGGGTTTTCATAACTTACTTATCTTGGATCCCCAGCGTACCTACGAGTATGACATGCAGGCTCTGTTTCATCTTTCCTGGATTATTCATCTCTAGTATTTATTACTGGCTTTAGTATTTCTGTTGCTTTCGGCAGCTTCCACCTCTGCTCCCAGTTTCTATGAATTTAAGAAGTTTATATGAATTTAAGATAAAATCTATCTCTAAAGCATATGAATTTCTTTCTAAAGCATCTGTGTCCTTCCTAAAAAATTTTTCATTAATGTAGTACCCAGATTTTTCCCAATGATAAGGGGGAGTTGAATTACCACTGAATTGAGAGCTACTTTTGGGTGGGACTGGGGAGGAGGGACAGGTAGTATTTTGAGAAAACAGCCTTATTTATATTTAATGAACTTCATGTATTTTAAGTTTACAGTTTGATGAGTTTTGGCAAATGTTTATAGTCATGTGACTATAAGCACAATCAAGATATAGAATATTTCTCTCTTCCTTAAAAAGCCCCTCTTTCCCCTTTGCGGTTTTCTCTTCCCATGTCCTAGATCCCAAGCAGTCACTTGTCTGCTCTCTGTCACTAAAATTTTGGCTTTTCTATAGCTCATATAAATGGATATATGTTTTCATTTATCTTGGGTAGATACCTAGGGATAGAATTGCTGGGCCTCATGGTAAGTATATGTTTAAATTTACAGGAAACTGACAAATTGTTTTCCAAACTGACTGTACCATTTTGCCTTCCCGCCAGCAATATATGAGAGTTCCAGTATCTCCATATTCTCACTATCACTTGGTATTGTCATTCTTTTTACTTGTTCTAGTGCATGTGGAGTGGTATCTTATTTTGGTTTTAATTTGCATTTTCCTACAGACTAATAATATTGAACATCTTTTTGTTGGCTTTGGCTATTCATAAATATTTGTGTGTGTGTATACATATGCACATATATTCATATATAGTATGTATATGATATATGTAGATTTTTTTGTTCAAGTATCTGTTGAAATCTTTTGATCATTTCAATTTTTTGGGTTGTGTAGCTTATTTTTGACTAGTAAGAGTTATTTATATATTTTGAATTTAAGTGCTTTGCCACATATATATTTGCAGATATTTTTTCAGAGTTTGTGGCTTACTTTTTCTTTCTTTCTTTTTTTTTGTGTTTGAGATGGAGCCTCACTCTGTCGCCCAGGCTGCAGTGCAATGGTGTGATCTCAGCTCATTGCAACCTCTACCTCCCAGGTTCAAGCAATTCTCCCGCCTCAGCCTCTGAAGTAGCTGGGACTACAGGTGCATGCCACCACGCCCGGCTAATTTTTTGTATTTTTAGTAGAGATGGGGTTTCACCCTGTTAGCCAGGATGGTCTCGATCTCCTGACCTCGTGATCCGCCTGCCATGGCCTCCCAAAGTGCTGGGATTACAGGTGTGAGCCACCACGCCCAGCTGCTTTTTCATTTTTTAAATTAAGTAATGGGCTATCATGGGCAAACAATTTGACTGCAAAGAGCAAAAGGTTTTTAATTTTGATTAGGCACATTTTATCAATGTATTAGTTGTTCTGCCTCCTTCTATTTATGTTATAGTTACAAAGGTAGTTTTAAAGGTCCCTGGTACAAGGAGAGGGAATATGTATGGGGGACAGTCAATGTCACATTTTAAGAAGCACATGTGGGATAGGATATATATTTTGGTGTGGGCATCTTTGGATGGTATAATCTGCAGTGATGAAATTTTTTCTTTAATATTTGTTTTTTTATCCCCAATGTAGTATATCTTTGCTCAAATCAAGATCATAAATGTTTTCTCCAGTGTTTTTCTTCCAGAAGTTTTATGTTTTGAGCTCTAACATTTAAGTCTGTGATTTATTTTGAGTTAGTTTTTGTTATGGAGTGAGTTACGGGTTGAGGTTCATATATTTCCGTTTGGAAATTCCGTTGTTTCACCTCTGTTAGTTGAAGAACCTATTGATTCTCCATTGAATTATATTGATATCTTTGT
The DNA here is from genome assembly GCF_000001405.40 of Homo sapiens. Classification (NCBI taxonomy): domain Eukaryota; kingdom Metazoa; phylum Chordata; class Mammalia; order Primates; family Hominidae; genus Homo; species Homo sapiens. Next base: position 87,140,920 of record NC_000011.10, read on the forward strand.
AGAAAATCAATTGGACATATAGTGTTGGGTCTATTTTTGAATTCTAACTTTATTCCACTACCACACTGTCTTGATTACTTGAATCTTTATAGTAAGTCTTGAAATAAGTCTGCCAACTTTGTTCTTTTTTTTTTTTTAACATTGTTATGACTATCTTGTATCCTTTGCATTTTTAATATAAATTTTATACTCAGATTGTCATTTTCTGCAAAAATGCCTGTTAGGTTTTGATTGAGATTGCTTTGACTTTATGAACAATTTGAGGAGATTTGATAATATTAAATCTCTGTTTATGTACATAGCATATTTCTGCACTTTCTTAGGTTTTTAATTTCTTGCAGCATTATTTTTCACTTTTTAGTGTTTAGGTCGTTTACTTCCTTTGTTAAGCTTTATTCCTAAATGTTTAATATATTTGTATTCTAATGGAATGGAAATGTTTTCTAAAATTTCATTTTCTAGTTGGTTTTTGGTAGGATACAGAAAACAATTGTGTATTGAATACGTACATTGTTTTTAATGAGTTTGCTAAACTTATGACTAGATCACTTTCTTATACATTTCTTAGGATTTTTCTACCTGCACAGTCATGTCCTGTGTGCATTTGTAAAGTTTTATTGCTTCTTTCCCAGTGTTTATTTTTATAATATCTTTTCTGTGTTTTATTTCACTGGGTTAGAGCATCCGGAAAAATAGCAAATAGAAGTGGTGAGAGTGGCCATCCTGACCTTATTTCTCATTTTAGGTAGAAAGTTGTTCACTTATAAGTCTGATGATAGTTGTCACTTGTCAAATCAAGGAAGTTTCATTCCATAGCAGTGTCTACCCTGCAGACAGAAACTCTATTAGTTATTAGAATAGGAAAAATTTTAAAAATTTAATATTTTAAAAAAGTAAACATTTAAAATTAAAAAAATTTAAAATTTAACAAGGAAGGCAAAAACTCACAGTTCTTACCTTATACAGCAGCAGTCTTTTATGTTTTCATATAAAGAAAGATTAGCTATTGAATGGTGTCTTAATTACTAAAAGGGGTACAAGAGGAATCTGAGGGATCTAGCAGTAGCAGGTAAAAGCTAGGGGAGGTTAGCAAATGAAGGAACCCAAGGACTTGAGAGAGGGTCCTCCTCCCCAAACCCCCTCAGGCTTTGCTTTAGATCTCTTTAAAGAGAGTTTGTAACTCATTATTTGCTGGTAGTGTAGAAACTTGCTAGAGGGCATGGGCCACAGGTGGTCTGTAGAAGAGTCCACTCTTGCCAGAGCATGGATGAGCTCGAGCAGGTCTGTAGAAAATGCCTGCTGTCTTGGTAGTGTTGGTAGGGAGTTGCCTAGGGGTGCAGCTGAAGCTACTGTGGAAATCATCTTCAGGAAGTTCTCAGAAGCAGCAACTAGTTTAGGAGAGCCTCGCTTGAGGGCATGGATAGAGTACTGTGGAAGCAGCCTCATGTAGCTGTGCTGTAAGTGCTACTGGAAAAGGCTGATTTGTGTGCAAAAGATTCTTTTGGTTTTCCCCTATCTCAATTATTATTTCATTTGCATTTTTCAAAAATAGTTATTTTTGGATGTAGAATTCTGGATTGACAATCCGGCATCTACTATTTGTGTCGAGAAGTCTGCCATTAATTGTGTTTTCTCTCCCTAAGTATAAAGTGTTTGCTTTTAAGATTTTTTTCTCTATCTTTGGTTTTCAGAAATTTGAGTATGATGTGTCCATGTGCGAATTGCTTTGTGTTTTTCCTTTTTGGAGTTCTTTTAGCTTCCAGATTTCCTCCTCCTCCTCCTCCTTCCTCCCTTCTCCCTCCTTCACCCCTTCCTCTCCTCTCCCTCTTGTCCTCTTTTTTTCCCATTTCCCTTTCTTTTTCCTCTTTCTCCTCCTTTTACTTTTCCTTCTGCTCCTTTTTTCTCTTCCTTCTCCTTTCTTCTTCTTTTCTTCCTCTTTTTTTCTTCAACATTCAGAAGGTTTTTGACAATCATTTCATTTTTTTTTTCTTCCTCCTTTTCTATCTCCTTTCCTGTTGGGACCTCAATTACATGCATTGAACTATTTGATATTTCTTGGTCTCTGAGTCTTTCATTTCTCTTCAGTCTTTTTTTCCTCGATCTTCTTCAAATTAGAAATTTCTGGTATCTATCTTCAAGATCACTGATTATTTTTCTCTGCCATCTCAACTATTCTGTTGAGCTCATCTAGCAAATTTTTATTTCAGTGATTGTACTTTTTTAGCTCAGTTATTTCCATTTAGTTCTTTGTTATACTTTCCTTTTTCTGTTGAAATTCCTTATTTATCCATCTATTAAATAACATATTGCCAAGAATTTTTTGAACATGTTTTCTTATAACTTTTGAGCATATTTATAAAAGCTATTTTGACATCTTTGTTTTTGAAATGCAATACCTGGACCCATTTGGATTCAGTCTTCATTGACTTCTTTTCTTTCTTTCTTTCTTTTTTTTTTTTTAAGCTGACCATGGAGCACACTTTCCTGTTTTGTTTGTTTGTTTGTGTGTCTAGTTGTTTTTGATTGGAAATTGGACATTTTATTCTATATATTTCCAATTGGTCCTCCAACCTTAAGTTCTGCCCTCTGAAACTTCAAGCCAGTAGGCTTTTGCTTTCTTTCACCTGAGCTGTGTGCAGTTGCAGAACATAACTTAGTGAAAGGTGCAGCAAACACACAGCAGCTTTGTCTTTTAGGTGTAGAACCCTTTCTAGTTTTTGCCTGACTTTTTGTCAGGCTCCTGAGTATTTCCAACATGTATGCAAAATTAAGCAGTCAGTCAAGCTTTTGAGTAGAATTTATATTCAGAATTTGTGTCTCAGTCTTTCTGTGGATCTTTCCCCTCCAGAATTTCCTTCTTAAACTATAGTTGCTCTAATTTTTGAACTTTGACATGTAACCACTTTGATGTGGTAAGGATATAGTTTTCTGCTGTCAGAACCGCTGGGGAGTTTGGTGCGCACCCCTTGGCAAGAAAGGCAAAAACTAAGTTCTTACATTATACAGTAGCAGTCTTTCATGAGTAAATTCTGCTCGCATTTTGTTGTTCTTCCAATATTGTTTTAAATACTTTTGTCCAGATTTTACATTGTTTTCTGTGAGACGAATGATGTGACCTTTACCTCACCATTATTAGATGTTCCTGATAAATTTCTTTTAAAATTTCAAAACTAATATATGTACCTGATTAAAAAAATTGGGAAAATAGTATAGTATAAAATAAAAAAAACTACAGAAATTATTAGTAGAGCTGTAAATTGTATTTGCTAAGTTATTGCTTATTAAAAAAAACAAACAGGTAAATATTTACAATGAATTATCCTGATGAATGCATGCCTATCCGAGTAGATAAATACGGTGTTTTTGTGTTAAATTAAATCAGTGGTTAGCATGCTTTTTTTTCTAAAGGGCCAGTAAGTGTTTTTGGCTATGCATGCCATACAGTCTCTGTTGCAACTATTCAATTCTGCTATTGTAGTTTGAAAGCAGCCATAGACAATAGGTAAACAAATGGGCATGGTGGTGTGCCAGTAATACTTCATTTATATAAACAGGTGGCAGGCTGAATTTTGCCTGCAGGCGTTGCTTTTTTGAGGAAAGAAAGTCATTCCCTTCATGGGAAATGTTTGGTAATGTAAACTGCTGTTTCTCATCATGAGGGATTACTCCAAGTGTCAATTTTTCATTTGTAATGAAGAAAGTATTACCTTTAATCTTCTAGTTGGGAACATACTTTGGAATTCACTCTATCTAACCATAATGTTTTACTGTATGTACTTTGTGTGTGAAAGTGTGTGTGTGTGTGTGTGTGTGTGTTTTCTGGCTACTTTCAAGAGTTTTTTTTTTTATTTAGATTTTATAATTTTGTTAGTGATGTATCTGGGTATGGTTTTTCTTTTTTATTATAAATTCACAATTCATAATTGTATACATTTATTGGGAACAAAGCAATGTTATAATCTATGAATACAATGTGGAATAATTAAATCAAGCTAGGTAACATATCTATTACCTCAATTACTTAACTTTTTTGTGGCAAGAACATTTGAAATTTACTCTGTTAGCAATTTGGAAATGTGCTGTACTCTATTATCAACTGTATTCACCATGTAGTGCAATAGTACTCAAAAGAAGAAAAATAAAAGCCATATTTCTCTGGAGATTTTCTACCCTTTGATCAAATCTCCTCATTTCCCCACCTCCAGCCTCTGTAACCACCATTCTACTTTCTGCTATGGGTTTCACATAAGTGAGAACATGTGATATTTGTCTTTCTGGGTACGACTTATACAGCATAATGTTCTCCAGTTTCATCCATGTTGTCTCAAATGACAGAATTTCCTTCATTTTAAAGGGTGAATAGTATTCCATAGTGTAAATACCTCACCTTTTCTTTATCCATTCATCTGTTGATGGACACTTAGGTTGATTTCATAACTTAGCTATTGTAAATAGTTGCTGCAGTGAACATAGGGGTGCAGACATCTCTTCAACAAACTGATTTCAAATCTTTTGGGTGAATACCCAGCAGTGGGATTGCTGGGTCATATGGCAGTTCTATTTTTAGTGTTTTTGAGAAACTTCTATACTTTTTTCCATAATGCCCGTACTAATTTATATTCCCACCAAGAGTATATAAAGGTTCCCTTTTCTCCATATCCTTGCCAACACTTATCTTTCATCTTTTTGATGAAAGCCATTCTGACAGGTGTGAGATGATACATCATTGTGGTTTTAATTTGCATTTCTCTGCTAATTTCTGATGTTGATTTTTTTTTCATGTATCTGTTGACCATTTGTACGTCTTCTTTTGAGAAATGTCTATTCAGGTCACTTATCCATTTTTTTCAATTGAATTTTTTGTTTTCTTGCTATTGAATTGTTTGTGCTCCTTACATATTTGGGTTATTCATTCTTTATTGGATGGATGGTTTGCAACCATTTTCTCCCAATCCATGGGTTGTCTCTCTACTCCGTTGTTTTCTTTGCTATGCAGAAGCTTTTTAGTTTGATGTAATTCCCATTTGTCTATTTTTGTTTTTGTTGCCTGCACCTTTGGGATCAAATTCAAAAAGTCATTGCCCAGACCAATGTTGTTTAGTCTTTATCCTGTGCTTTCTTTTAGTAGTTTTAGAGTTTCAGGCCTATGTTTAAGTCTTTAATCCATTTTTCACTGATTTTTGTATATGGTGTGAGACAAGGCTCTAATTTCCTTCTCCCGTATGTGAAAATCCAGTTTTGACAGCACTATTTATTGAAGACACTGTCCTTTTCCCATTGTGTATTTGTGGTACTTTTGTCAAAAATCAGTGGAAGCCATGTGTGGTGGCATGTGCCTGTAATCCCAGCTACTCAGGAGGCTGAGGCAGGAGGATTAGTTGAACTCAGGAGTTTTTTGAGATCAGCCTGAGGGAATGTAGTGAGACTCAGTCTCAAAAACAAAAATTGGTTGATTGTATATGAACCTGCTTTAGCCTCTGGAGTACTTGGGAGTAGTGCATCACCATGCCAGGCTAATTGTTTTATTTTTATTTTTTAGAAAATAAAACTGGCCTTAAGCGATCCTCCTACTTTAGCCTCCCAAGTAGCTGGGAGGCTACTTCCGTGTGTGAGCCACTCTACCTGGTGATTTTTGCTTTTCATATTCACAGCTATGATTAGCGTTCCTTTGTTTTTGGTTTTTCATTAATCCATCACATATTTTTACATTTGAAAAGTCAAAATTAGTATTTGTCAAACATCCGTTAATCTCAAAAAGTGCTGTACTAAACTAGACCTTGGATTCAATGTTTTACGCCATCTAACTCTTTATGGAGTGTTTTCACGTATATTAATACCTGCATTGACCACTTTCAGGCAGGTTGATATTAACTGTGACCATCTTACAGACAAAATCAATGTGTAGAGAGTTTAAATGACCTGCCTAAGGTTGCCCAAGTAGTAAACAATTGGAAATGAGATAACTAGACATCTAGTTGCCTAATAGGAAATAAATATCTGCTAAATACAACTATTTTTGTATTTATATTTATAAATTGCATGTTAAATTGACCCACTGAAATCTTTCTATAAGATGATGCCTACGTGATTAAAGGTATTGTAAGATAATGATTGAAATATATTATAATAATACTCCTCACACCAGTAATCCCAGCACTCTGGGAAGCCGAGACAGGGGGATCACCTGAAGTCAGGAGTTCAAGGCCAGCCTGGCCAACATGGCGAAACCCCGTCTCTACTAAAAAATGCAAAAATTAGCCTGGCATGGTGGCGTGTGCCTGTAGTCCCAGCTACTCGGGAGGCTGAGGCACAAGAATCGCTTGAACCTGGCAGGCGAAGGTTGCAATGAGCCGAGATCGTGCCACTACACTCCAGCCTGGGTGACAAAGCAAGACTGTCTCAAAAAAACAACAAACAAACAAACAAAACTTTTAGTGTAACAAAAATTGTTACTTCTTTTTTAAGAGAAGGAGTCTCTGAATATTGCCCAGTCTGGCCTCTTAACTCCTGGACTCAAAGGATCCTCCTGCCTCAGCCTCCTGAATAGCTGGGACTATAGGCATGTGCCACTGTGCCTAGCTTACTGTTATTGTTATTTTTATTATTACCAAACAATGTGTGTGCATAGCAGAACATAGAAAATAACTAAAGAAGAAAATCACCCAGAGATTACTGCTGTTATCACCTCAGCATACATCCTTACAGATCTTTTTGATTTGCACACATATACACAAAAACACACACACAAAAGTCCAATCCAGAAGTTTGCATTTATTACATCTAGGTTTTATGTCTCTTAAGTCTCTTGTCTAGCACTGTTCTTAAAAACAGTCTCTTGTTAACTTATTATTTTTTTGAGACAAAGTCTTACTTTGTTGCCCAAGCTGGAGTGCAGTGGCACAATCTTGGCTCACTGCAACCTCCACCTCCTGGGTTCAAGTGATTCTCCTGCCTCAGCCTCCCGAGTAGCCAGGACTACAGGCACGCACCACCATGCCTAGCTAATTTTCATATTTTTAGTAGACATGGAGTTTCACTATGTTGGCCAGGCTGCTCTTGAACTCCTGACCTTGAGATCTGCCCGCTTCAGTCTCCCAAAGTGCTGGGATTACAGGCGTGAGCCACCACACATAGCTGTTAACTTATTTTTAAACAAAGACATTGTAGACAGTTATTTCCCTCTGTCACTGACATAGAATGAATGTTTTTAGTATTAATCATCTTAGATGTAATAAAAACTCAAAAGAAAGAGACATTTCAATCAAGAATTTACTATAGGTAAATTTACAAATGCTGAGAATTAGCTCTGAATTCATTATTTTTGACCCTTGTTAGTAGTTCTTTAGGTACAAGGAAATGAAAAGCAATCTCTTTAGCAGAGGTCAAAAGAAAGTTGTACACTTCAGTGCTTTCCCATAGAAACAAAGGAAGCTTAGCTGAATTGGCAGAATGCTATTAGAATGAGATATCCTTAAAAATGTTGGTGGGAAGAGCTGATGAAATAAATAAGTTGGGAACAAAGGATTGAATTTGGTATTCTTCTTCTACTGGAGAAGGTACCGAAAAAGAATTTGATCCTCTGATTGCCTAGGGTTTTGAGACATGAGAAATAATGTACTTTGATCTGGTTTTGAGAAATTATTGCATATTTTATTTTAAGTGCTTGCTGCCTCTGCCTTTCCCCTTTTGCTCCTCAAATATATAAAGTAAGTAGCCTGACCTACAGGAGGACTGTTAAAAATCATATCACTAGATTAAATAGAATTAAAAAAGAAACAGGAAGATTGAAGATGTAGTTTAATATATGTATCATTAATAATAGAATAAATACAAGAACATAATGGGTGAGAAATTTATTTCTTAATAAAAATTTCTGAGACTAGACCTTTCAACATTTAGTTATACATACTTTAATAAAAATCTATCATAGTAAATTTATAATTTTTGTTTGAGTATGTGAATAATCCTTCTGCGCATTATTGGCCTGTTATAAATCTTTCAATGAATTGTGGGTTGGAGTTAAATTCATATTGTGCTGAATTTACAAAATTTAACAGTTTGCTTTAAACGTTTTAAAAATTTTCTAACTTAGCACCAAATCCCCCCATACCTTTGTGTGTGTGTGTGTGTGTGTGTGTGTGTGTGTATGCCTGTGGAGAAAAGTTCCAGAGATTCTTATTTCTCATTTAAAAAAAGTTAGAAAAAATTTAGCTCTTATGTATAAATTACATGCTGTATTTTACTAATTAAGTCTATAGCCTTGCTTAACTTTGTCTTGACAACTTCTAAACTGAATCTTTCTATTTTTCTAATGCCATAACTGTGTGGATTTGCAACAACAAAGATCTGTGTTTTTCAACTTTAGCTGGGCTTAAGTACTACTTAGCAATTCTATGTTCTATTTACTTATGTGTTCCTATACTCTCACCCCTGTCCTTAAGCTAGTGTCTTCGTCATTCTCAGAGGTTTATTCTTCTAATTCAGAGAGGGAGAGGGAAGGGGAAGAGAAAAGGGGAAAATTTACACAGTGGGAGAGGGTCAGGGAAAGGGAGAGGAAGAGAGTTTAGTTATATTTGCACCTGCTTTCTTTTAACACAGACAACAGATTGCTATGTATGTTCTTAATATTGTCTTAAACAGGAATCTTTCTCAGTCATAGCCATTTTCCTTCTTGTATCTGTAATTTCTTCCACCTTACTGAGCACTGACTTCTACTTAGCCAGTAAAAACATGTTTAAATATCTTCTCTCCTAAAAATATCCTGTTACCAATTTTCTCTCAACTATGATTCTCATTCTAGCCACAAGTCAATCTCCTTCTTTACCTTTATTGTCAAACTTTTCACATTTACTTATACAATTTATATCTTCTCATTCAGTCCTCAACTATATTCTCATCTGCACTGCTCTATTAAAATTGTAAAGTATTTGACCTATTGGACACTGTTGATTACTTCTATAATAGTTTTTTCAAAATGTAATTAAATATTTACATGTAGTTTAAAAGTGAAATTGTGGCTGGGCGCGGTGGTGCACGCCTGTAATCCCAGCACTTTGGGAGGCCAAAGCGGGTGGATCACCTGAGGGTCAAGAGTTAGCGACCAGCCTGACTAACATGGTGAAACCTGTCTCTACTAAATACAAAAAAATTAGCTGGGCATGGTGGCACATGCCTGTAATTTGAGCTACTTGGGAGGGTGAGACAGGAGAATCGCTTGTACCTGGGAGGTGGAGGTTGCAGTGAGCCGAGTGCACCATTGCACTCCAGCCTGGGCAACAAGAGCGAAACTCTGTCTCAAAAAAAAAAAAAAAAAAAAGAAAAAAAGTGAAATGGTATGCTGCAAAGGTTACAGAAAACAGTAGTATTCTTTTCTACTGCTTCTAACACATGAATTCCACAATGCAGAGGCAACCACTTGCAGTCTTTGCCTTATTTCCTCTGTTGCTTCGTTGTATCTAAATTAACTTGCCTACACTGCTATTCTTGTTTTGGTTTACACATTACTGACTTCCTACTACAGAAGATGGGAATTTGGTTTTCTTTACACTCTGTGGTGGTGTAGGGATGTTCACAGTATGGTAATACATAAATTTTGTTTAAAATAGTATTTAATGTTTAACATATTCTGTTCAAACTGTGTAACAATTACTCGTAGCTGAGCCATTGTACAACTTTTCTTGCTACCTTATGTTTTTTTCATAGTTAATAATTGCCTCACTTTTTATTTGCTTAGTTTCTTTGTACCTATTACTAACTCCCTAACTTTGTGACATAAGATTCCTTTCAATATTTTCAAGAACACCTAGTAATTTTTCAGTTATATTTTTCCCTCTGTGGAGCTACATCATTTGTTTAAGTTTGTTATCTTGTTCCGGTCTTGTCTGACTGCTTGAGACTTCCGTTTACCTCTGTAATTTGTTGAATCCCAGTTGTCTTTTTGGATTTACTCTGTATTTTACTGCTTGTGGCCGTAGGTAGATATTTTTAGATCTTTAGATCTTGCAAATCTGGAAATATTTTTATATTATTTTCATAATTAAGAGTTTGATTAATACAGATTTCTATGTGAGAAATTCCTTACCTTCCAAATTTTAAGGCATTATTTTATTGTCTTCTAGTTGCAAGTATTGCTGTTGAGTAGTCCCGGGTTGTTTTGATTCCTGTTTCTTTGTTTAATGAAATTTCAGGATGTGGTTTAATGTGAGTCTCTAAAAAATCACTGTGCTGAGTATGAGTACTTAGCAGGCTCTTTCACTTTGGGAATTCATATCCTTGTATTGAGAAATATCCTAGTGTAATTTTGTGTCCTCTACTCTATTTCTTTGTTTTTCTGTTTGAATTCCTGGAAGAGTTTCTCAACTTTTATTTGGAATTTTTTTACTAAAATTTATAGTTTTGCTGTTATAATTTCTTAGAGTCCTTCAGTTCTCTAAAGGGTTCCTTTTCTTATAACATCCTATTCTTGTTTTATGGTTGCAGTGGATGTGTTTTTGTGGGTACTTTTCAGAAATTTCTTTTGATCTTCCATTTAATTTATTTCTTCCACATTTCTTTTTTCTGTTTATTTTGCTCTGTCTTTCCTGTTAAAGGAATTCCTTAAATGCCTATTGATTCTTGTTTGCCTTTTATTTAAAAGTTACTTTGAAGCTTATGGAAGCTCACTGTTTTTATTTGTGGGTCTTTTACCTATTTCAATGTGTAATTTCCAAAAGTTAGCATCTACCTATTTCAATATGTAATTTCCAAAAGTTAACATCTTGTGGGTCTTTTTTCTTGGGCTGCTTTTTTTTTTCCTAGAGAGGGATCCTCTTATTACCTATCACGAGAATGGGAAAGTGGTTGGGATATAAGCAGAGTTCCACTGCTTTTGGATCAATGGAAAGAGATATAGTAGGTGGTGAGGTGGGATGGATGGTGGCCTAACATTCGCTGTGTATGGTTTGACTTAATATCCCATCGTTATTAGTATAGTGTCTCACTTCTGCCCTAATTATCCTACCTCTGTTTTTTTTCCTTTAGGGAATCTTCTCTTAGTATGAGAGGGAGGTGATCGGTGTCTAACTGGGTAGACAAGAAGAGAGGAGTCTAACTCCTTTTTAGACTGCTTTGCAGCCAATCCACCAGTTCTCAGTCTTACCTGCATTCTGGCTTTCTGGTGCCTTTCTATTGATGCTCCTAATTCCTAAGGTTCTGCTGAACAAATTAGCATGTCTTCTGACTCTTCAGAGAGTGAAATTGTAGCTACCTTTGTACTGTTAAGTCAGTTACTCTCTTGTTCATGCTCCAAAGTTTCATTGATATTTTTTGTGTTCTGTCTGTCCCTTATTGTGTTCTTTTTTTCTTTGTGGTTTATACTCTTTTATTTCCTTCTGTCATTTTTGTAGTATTTCTGGAGGGAGTAACGTTAAGTCTATATGTTCACTGTAGTATATTTAATGTAATGGCTTTTCTTCATTTTGAAATTCTTTACTCTTGAGAAATTGTTTACTCTTGACTTCTAGGATTTTATTTTTCTGGAATGCCTTCTGATTCTCAATGTTACTTTATTTTTTGAGACGGATTTTCACTCTTGACGCCCAGGCTGGGCTTGGCTCACTGCAACCTCCACCTCCTGGTTCAAGCGATTCTCCAGCCTCAGCCTTCCAAGCAGCTGGGATTACAGGCATGTGCCACCATGCCTGGCTGATTTTTTGTATTTTTAGTAGAGACGGGTTTCGCCATGTCGGTCAGGCTGGTCTCCAACTCCTGACCTCAGGCGCCCCACCCGCCTCGGCCTCCCAAGGTGCTGGGATTACAGGCATGAGCCACCGCATCCGGCCCTTATGTTATTTTTGAGTCTTCCCTGCTGTATCCTTTTCTTTTGCCTCATTTTATATGTTGTTATTTCCTATTATTCTTTTCTTCTGTTTAACTTTCTTGATTTGCCTCATCAAGTTTTCTGGTTATAATCAACTCTTTATACACTGATGACACCAAAATGATATTGATAGTTCTTACCTATACTCTGAGGTCCGGTTCCATAATATCTGTTAGGCATCTTTTTTTATGCATCTCCCACATATATCAGTTTCCTTACCTCTTCTCCAGTTCTCCACCTCTTGTACCCTTGGATTTTATTTGATGTATGTTTAGTTTTTAAATTTAAAATTCCGTGATGTTTCTAAGTTTATAAATTCTTAAAATTTATATTTAGTAGAGCATCCTTCAAATTACATATTTTTGATTATTAAAGGTTAGAAATGCATTCCTATTATGCCAGGCTAGAAAAATAAAAGCACATATTGAACAGAGGAACATGCACCCTATTCTTGTCTCAGCCATCATGCACTCTCAACCATCTCATGAAGTCTTTTTCCTTCAGCCCCACTGGCCATCTTATTTGTACTCAAACATGCCAAGTATGATCCTACCTACAGGCTCTTGTGGTCTTTTGACTAGAACCTTCTTTCCTCCAGTTTTCAAATTAGTTGATATATTGACATCTTGTAGAGGGGGTTTTGGCAAATAGTAGGTATCGAGTTATTGTCAGCAAGTATTACTGTCATTATCGTTGTAATATCCATACTGGCTATTCACTTTCTGGTTTCACTTAGTTTCCATTCAAATTATCTTCTCCTAAAAGAGGCCACCCTTGATTTACTCTATTTAAAATATCCCTTCTACCTCATTGTTATTCATATGCTTATTATGCTTAATTTTTTTCATTGCACATATTCACATGCATATGACTTATTTATTTCTGTAGTTATTTGCTTCCACTTTCCCCTAGATGTAAACTCCTTAAAAATAAGGGCATTGTCAAATTGACTCTATCGCTAATTCCTTCAATTTGCCCTTTACAGTGCTTATGAAATAATTGTTCGATAAATTCTAAACTAACCAATCAATATCCTTTTCTTTCTGTATATTACAGTGTTCTACACTGTATCAATGGATTTTCCATTAAGTACTCTTTAGATACAATCCTAAAGAATGTTTTATTAGGGTCTAAATCCTCAGCAGTTGTAAGATGGGGAAGCATTGGAAATAAGAATAACTATTTTTTTTAATTGTGGTAAAATATATACAATGTTAAGTTTACTGTTTTGGCCATTTTTCTGTGTACAGTTCACTGGCATTAAGTAAATTCACATTGTTGTGCGTTCACTACTACTATCCATCTCCAGAACTTTGTCATTAAACTGAAACTCTATGTCCATCATATAGTGCCTCCCCATTTCTCCTCTCTCAGCCTCTAGTAACCACTGTTCTACTTTCTGTCTCAATGAATTTCACTACTCTAGATACTTCATATAAGTGAATCATTCAGTATTTGTTGTTTTGCTTCTTGCTTAGTTCACTTAGCATAATATCTTCAGTGCTCATCCATGTTGTATACTATATCAGAATTTCATTCTTTTCTAAGTCTGAATAATACTCCATTGTATGTATATACCGTATTTTGTTTATTCATTTATTCATTGATGGACACTTGGGTTGCATCTACATCTAGGCTGTTGTAAATAATACTACTGTGAACATATGCAGATATCTCTTTGAGAGCCTACATTCAGTAGTTATGGATATATACCCAGAAGCAGGGTGGCTGGGTTGTATGATAATTCGATGTGTAAATTTTAAAGTAACTGCCTTACTGTTTTCCACAGTGGCTGTGCCATTTTTCATTCCTATCAGCAGTGTACAAGGGTTCCAATTTCTCCACATCCTTCTCAACACTTGATATCTTCTGTCTTTTTGATAATAGCCATTCTAATGGATGGGAAGTGGTATCTCACTGTGGTTTTGATTTGCATTTCCCTAATGATTAGTGATGTGGAGCATCATTTCATGTGCTTATTGGCTATTTGTATATGTTCTTTGGATAAATTTCTTCAAGTCCTTTGCCCAGTTTTTAATTGGGTTGTTTAGTTTTTGTTGTTGAGTAGTAGGAGTTCCTAATATACTCTGGATATTAACTCCTCATCAGATATGCAATTTGCAGGTGTTTTCTATTTCATGAGTTGTTTTTTAATTTTGTTGATAGAGTCCTTTGATGCACTAAAGTTTTTAATTTTTGGTGAAATCCAGTTTTATTTATTTATTTATTTATTTATTTAGAGACTGAGTTTCACTCTTGTTGCCCAGGCTGGAATGCAGTGGTGCGATCTTGGCTCACTGCAACCTCCGTCTCCCAAGTTCAAGTTATTCTCCTGCCTCAGCCTCCCGGGTAGCTGGGAGTACAGGCATGTGCCACCAAGCCCAGCTAATTTATGTGTTTTTAGTAGAGATGGGGTTTCACCACGTTGGCCAGGCTGGTCTCGAACTCCTGAACTCAGGTTATCCACCCGCCTCGGCCTCTCAAACTGTTGGGATTACAGGCGTGAGCCGCCATGCCCAGACTGTTTTTAGTTTTGTTGCTTGTGCTTTCGGTGTCATATTCAAGAAATCATTGTTAAATCTAATGTCATAAAGCTTTCCCCTTATGTTTTCTTTTAAGATTTTTATAGTTTTAGGTCTTAAATTTATGTCTTTGATCCATTTTGAGTTGATTTTTGTATATGGTAGAGGTAAAGGTCTAACTTCATTCTTTTATATGTGGATGTAACTGTAAGAGGTCCATTGCCCAATGTGTGCAGCAAGTCAGTACACCAAGACATCAGATTGTAGCAGAGAGAGATGTTTAAGTTTAGGGCCACTGACTGAGGAGATGAAAGGAAACCTCAAATCCATCTCCCTGTGGAATTTGGGGCTAGAGTTTTGAAGGCTTTTGGAGTGTGCCAGAGTTTGGAGATGGTTGGTTGGTCCAAGAGTGCAGGGTGAGATCATGGGACAGGGAGACAAAGGAACTGTATTCTCATGCTGATTTGGTTCCTCTTTGGGGATCTTTAAGTTGGTTGGTGTCAGCTGTTTTACTGGAATTCAGGATCTGTTTAAGTATTCCATATCTTGAATAAGCAAAAGCCTTATGATTCTAACATCAGAGACCCTATCTGTCTTAAAAAATGTCTTACAACCTTAGTGTCAGAAATTCTATCTATAGTAACAATGGGGATTCAAATGGACAGTATGTACTGTTTCTAGACTTTTTCTTACAAGGAAGTGGGTCAAAGTGCAGCTGATTTATGCTTAATTATAACTATATTTCTATTCAAAATTCTTGTTAAGCCTGTGAGGACAGTTTCATGGATTTCCAGTTTTTTAAAGTACTTTTGAAAAGATTGTCCTTTGTGCACTCAATAGTCTTATTACCCTGGTCAAATATCATTTGATCATATATGCAAGGTTTTATTTTTGGGTTCTCTGTTCTATTCCATTGTCTTAGATGTCCATCTTTATGATAGTACCACATATTTTTGATTACTGTAGGTTTGTAGTAAGTTTTAAATCCGAAAGTGAGTCCTTCAACTTTCTTCTTCTTTTTTCAAGTTTGTTTTGTTTATTTGGGGTCCCTTAACGTTCTATATGAATTTCAGGATGGATTTTTCTAGTTCTGCAACATGTGCCATTGGGATTTTAATAGGGATTGCATTGAATCTGTCGATCACTTTGGGTTGTATTGTCATCTTAATAATAAGTATTCCAAACCATGAGCACAGGATGTCTTTTTATTTATTTGTGTCTTCTTCAATTTCTTTCAGCAATGTTTTGTTGTCTTCAGATTACAAGTCTTTCACTTCCTTGTTTTATTTTTCCCTAGGAGTTTTTTTTTATGCTGTTGTAAATGGAATTGTTTTCTTAATTTCCTTTTCTGATTGTTCATTGTTAGTGTATAGTGAGCAATAACTATTTTGGTGTGTCACCTAATATATGACATTACTAAATTACTTTATCTCCTGTCTCTATATTAGTAGCAGATAAGTGATTTGAACTAAATTCAAATGGAAACTAAATTCAGAATAAATGATAACTTCCAAGTTGAATTTAAATGCTACATTTGAACTTAATTTTTGTTCATTAAACTAAGGTTTAAACTTGTCTAAGCAAACTAATTCGAAACTATAGTCCTGGAAGAATACCAGATTATCAAAATAACCATTTGAAACAATTAAGTTTGAGCTCTTAAAAGATTGTGATTATGATATTTCTGGGGTACAATTTATAACTTCTAGCTCTTATTGTGCCTTGTAGATGGTTCTCTAGTTGCGTTGCATTTCTTTTCTTTCTTTCTTTCTTTTGTTTTTTTTTTTTTTTAGACAGGGTCTCACTCTGTCATCTAGGCAGTGGCTCAATCATAGCTCACTGTAGCCTTGAACTCCTGGACTCAAGTGATCCTCTTGCCTGAGTAGCTAGGACTATAGGCATATACAACTTATTGATCGTTCTCTAGAAGTTGCTGGATATATAATAGTATTGAATGTTTTTCACATTTAGGGTGTGGGATATACAATTGAGGAGAGATTGTAGATCATATATTTTTGCTGTTTTTTTTTTTTAATTTACAGGCCACAGAAACACTATTCAGAATGGGTGTAGCAAGAGGAACCATCACAACATTAAGAAATGGAGAAGTAAGATGAGAATTTTGATATAGTTATTAGTTGTTAATTTATAGTTTGCGATTTTAAAATATAAAATGTGATGAAATCTATGATGCTTTGTCTAAGAAATAGAGAGATATCTGATGTATATAATATTGAGTGTACCTGATGAACAAATCCATTTTAATTCATAGTCATGTTGGAACCAGATCTTAGATTGAAAACAAATTACTGTCTTTTTACCTTTAGTTATCAAATATCTTTACTCTTAAAAAATGACATTTTATTAGTAACTTCTACAAATGTTTGTAATGAAAAAAAGAATTCCTTAGCTTTTGCTTTCTTTCTATTTTGTGTTATACAGAACTGATACTTATTTCTTAAGATAAAATAATCGGAAATGTTGAACATTTACTACACGTGGAGAGAAGGGAAGGAAGAGGGAGAGGGAGAGGGAGAAAAAAGCTGGAGAGGATTTTGTCTGCAGATGCTAAGTTTTGACTTTTTAAAATGCTCCTGTCAATCCTTTAGAAGATTTTTCTATCACCTCACATACATTTTCATGTTAAAATTATTACCAGCTTGATTACCACTTTGTCTGCTCTTTCTTTATTTTCTCCTTTACTAAGACAAATTTAGGTTGAGGTCGAATGTAACACCAAATTGTTATGTTCCTTTTTCTATTCTAATGGCAAATACTTAAGGATAAAATACAGAAATCCCTATTTTTGAGGAGATGGGGTCTTGCTATGTTGCTTAGGCTGGTCTTGAACTCCTGGCCTCAAGCGATTATCCTGCCTTTACCTCACAGAGTGCCGGCATTACAGGCATGAGCCACCATGCCTAGCCCTTAGAATTCCCTATTCTTGAATTAAGTTTGATGTTATTTAATGTAATATTTATAATTCAGAAACCTAAATATTTAGTAGTGGAAGTGAGTATCTAAGGAGTTAAACAGAATTGTATTACTTCATGACTATAAATGTGTTGGTTGATGTATTTGCTCATTAGGCAGAAATGTGCCAACATTTGAAAAGTATGTACACTCTAAATATTTAATTATATATTTGCAAATCACCTTGGTATAATTTTTTTTTTTTTTTGAGACAGAGTCTCACTCTGTCACCCAGGCTGGAGTGCAGTGTCATGATCTTGGCTTACTACAAGCTCTGCCTCCCAGGTACATGCCATTCTCCTGCCTCAGCCTCCCAAGTAGCTGGGACTACAGGTGCCCGCCACAACGCCCGGCTAATTTTTTGTATTTTTTTTACTACAGACGAGGTTTCACCATGTTAGCCAGGATGGTCTCGATCTCCTGACCTCGTACTCCGCCCGTCTTGGCCTCCCAAAGTGCTGGGATTACAGGCGTGAGCCACCGCGCCCGGCCTAACCTTGGTATAATTTATAAAGTATATTTTGTCTATACAGAAAGACTTAATTGATCCCTTTGTATTCTCAAACATTGAAGTATGTGGTGTCATTTTGAAAAAAGAAAACTTACAGCAATAAGGTCAGATGTAGTAATCTGCCTATGATGTCTAAAAATGAATTTCAGATTTTAGTAATTACTATATATTTTTTTCATAGGGTGGGCAATGAACTGTTGAACTTATCTTCTTTTATAGGATGGTTAGGGAAATGTATGCAGCACAGCTGTATAAGTAATCACCTGAGCATATCAACGCATTGGATATATACTTATTTTACTTAATAGGCAGGAAATAGTTAAAATAGCTGGCTTTTGATCAATTTTTCTACTAATTATTAGGTGTTGTTCCATGTGGCCAACCTGGTTAACAAGTATTAGTGTCAGACAAAGTGTTTAAGCACTCTCTGACCTTCAGTTTCTATAATGAGGTTAAAAGTGTAAGATGTACATATATTTCTTACATTTTAAGAGCTCTGAAAATGGAATGTGTCTTCTAATTAATGGCACCTCATAGTTACCATCTGCTATTCTTCACATTTTAATGTCTCTAAAATTAGGAAATTTCTTTTTTTCCCCACTGACTTTTTTGGTTCTCAGGAAATTTGTCTGTGGTATGTCAGGGTTGATAAAATAATATTTTGTGGTTTAAAAAGTATAGAGTGATGTGTAGCATGCATTCATTAAATGGTAGTTAGGATAGGCCACTAATTAGTTTTAATTTAATGATTTGATTTTTGGAAGTAGAGGAGACAAAACAAATCAAAGATACTACTGAATACACACACGCGCACACACACACACACACACACACACCATAGATTTTCCGAGACGGTTGGCTAAATGCTATGGAAATGGGTGCTATGATTCCTGACTTTAGAGGAGCTTACTCTCTGGTCGGGGAAACAATTCTATCAATAATTGGAAAAAGGAAAAAGTCTGGGAGAGTGTGGAAATAGTTTAAGTTGAGTCTGGAACTAACCAGTGTCCAGATTCTACTTGGATTGTGCTAAATTTAAACTGTGTTTTAGTATAAGAACAATGGTAGATAATCTGTTTGAGAGTAGGAGTAAACTAAAAGGTTAATAATTTAAAGGATTATTTAAAATACAACCTGAAATCATTGTATTTATCAATATTGGAAAATTTATAATATGCTAAGGGAGGAGAGCAGCAAGTGGTTAATTTATTTGTCCTAGGGCATTTAAAAAAATGTGCTAGGCCAGTACTGCGAAAATATTTGTTAAGCGGGGATTCATAGGTAGCCTCATGACAAGTGTATCAGGTAAGAGAAAAAAAGTTGGTATATCCAAATTACAAAAATATCAGTCTTTCAGTGAATTTATCCAGATACATGATGACAATAAACTTTGCATGTGTTTCCTCCTCCCTGTTCTGGCTTTAATGCTGTATTTTGTGTACTTACTGGACATTTCTGCTTAGATATTTGAAGAAATTTTGAAATGGGAGAAGATTTTCCGCTCTCTGAAAGTAAGATAGTCTTTGAAGGTGTTTGAAACTTATTTTATAGGTTATAGTGTATTATAGGAGGTCTTAAGCAGAGGAGTGATACTTTATCTTTTAAAAATCCTCCTTTTAACTCTCCAAGGGAGAAATTACACTGGTCATCTTATAGATGAACTGAGGCTCAGAGAAGTTAAACATTTTGCCTGTGGTCAAATAGCTAGGAAATTGGAGAGCTAGGATTTGAACCCTTGTCTCCAAAGTTCATTGATTCTACTATGCAATATAATTGCCCTGAATGTACAGTAATTCACTTACTTAGACTAGAGTTTCCTAATTTTTATTAGCTGTAGGTAATTATTATTAGTTTGACAGTTGAAAAATAACATTGCAGTTAAAGTTTCCAAGATAATCAGCAATGACTTTTATGCATTCTAATTATTACTATTATCTTTTCATGTTCACAGAATAATATATGGCTTAAAATGAATAGGAAAAAAATACCCTTCACAAATCTATTACCTCATTAAATGTTTAACTATGGTGATGTTCTTTATAAAGTCCTGTATAAGGAGTAGCTGGACCTTTGTGCATTAATTGACTCACATAAGCTGGAAAGGAGATCATTTTTCTGTGTTGAATTTTGTTTTTGAGATGGAGTCTCACTCTCTCGCCCAGACTGGGGTGCAGTGGTGCAATCTAGGCTCACTGCAACCTCTGCCTCCCAGGTTCAAGTGATTCTCCTGCCTCAGCCTCCTGAGTAGTTGGGACCACATGCATCCACTACCACACCTGACTAATTTTTGTTTTTTTAGTAGAGATGGGGTTTCACCATGTTGGCCAGCATGGTCTCCATCTCTTGACCTCGTGATCTGCCCTCTTCCGCCTCCCAAAGTGTTGGAATTACAGGCATGAGCCGCTGTGCCTGGCCTGGGTTGAATTTTTTAAATGGGTTTCCCTATTTGAGGGGCTAACTTTTAAAATAATCATTAAAATTAATGAATGAACTGCAGATTCAATAATCAGTAGTTATTGAATGTGCTTGGTTCAAAAGTGGTATTTTTCTATTTCTGACAGAAAGATGTAGTTCTGTCTTCTGCCTTCTGGGTGTTTGTGTTTAGGGTGAAACAAGTACTTTGTTAGAAGATAAGGTTACTCTCTTAAATTTATATATTTTAAAAATTATCTCTTTTCTCATATAACTTGAGACTAAAGCAGAAATTGGTGTTTTTTCATTTGGTTTTTCTTAATCTCAATTTTTGAAAGAGAACAAAGTTTAACAATTCTTTACCATAGGAAGGCAGGATTTCAAACCCTGCTTCTTAATTAAATCATTTAGTTTCTTTTTATCAGCTGATACCATATATCTTTCTTACAGCAGTGACAGAGAGTCACTGAGAACATGTAATGAACAAGCTAAGTGACTTCTGTAGCCAGTGAGTTGATTTGTCTATTGTGGCTCTATTGTTTGAATTTTTAAAATTTTTAAAATACCAGACATATCTATTTTCATTTACTCAGGCATTTAAAATTTTCATATATTTGTGTTTAGCATTATATTTGGAGTTTTAGAGAGATTCATGAATGGAAAGAGAAATATACCTGCCTGTTAATTCAGCAAGAATTTATTGAACAGTTCTATATTCCTGACATTGTTTTAGATGCCTGTGATGCATCAATGAATAAAACTGGCCGGTATCTCTAGCCTTGGGGAGCTTATAATCTAGCCTATTAATAGCTCATGTTCTAATTATGAAAGAAAATAAAAAACATGCACAACAATTAGGTAGTAATTGCAGTTACTAAACTTCAAAAGAATAAGCAAGTATATGGATTAAAAGCTCAGGTAATTTAAATAATAAAGAAATAAATGACTAATTAAAGTGGGGTTCAATTAATTCAGAAGATGTCTTAAAGGAGGTATATCTTTTATTTTTTTTTGGAGAGTTTATTAAATAATTTTTTTTTATTATACTTTAAGTTCTGGGATACATGTGCAGAACGTGCAGGTTTGTTGCATAGGTATACACGTGCCATGGTAGTTTGATGCACCCATCAACCCGTCATCTACATTAGTTATTTCTTCTAATGCTATCCCTCCCCTAGCCCTCCAACGCCCGACAGGCCCCAGTGTTTGATGTTTCCCTCCCTGTGTCCATGTGTTCTCATTGTTCAACTCCCATTTATGAGTGAGAACATTTGGTGTTTGGTTTTCTGTTCCTGTGTTAGTTTGCTGAGAATGATGGTTTCCAGCTTCATCTGTGTCCCTGCAAAGGACATGAAGTCATCCCTTTTATGGCTGCATAGTATTCCATGGTGTGTATGTGCCACATTTTCTTTATCCAGTCTATCACTTATGGGCATTTGGGTTGTTTCCAAGTCTTTGCTATTGTGAACAGTGCTGCAATTAACATACGTGTACATGTGTCTTTATAGTAGAGTGATTTATAATCCTTCATGTATATGCCCATTAATGGGATTGCTGGGTCAAATGGTATTTCTGGTTCTAGATCCTTAAGGAATCGCCACACTGTCTTCCACAATGGTTGAACTAATTTACACTTCCACCAACAGTGTAAAAGCATTCCTATTTCTCCACATCCTCTCCAGCATCTGTTGTTTCCTGACTTTTTAATGATCGCCATTCTAACTGGCGTAAGATGGTATCTTATTGTGGTTTTGATTTGCATTTCTCTAATGACCAGTGATGATGAGCTTTTTTTCATGTTTGCTGGCCTTATAAATGTCTTCTTTTTTTTTTTTAATTTTTTTATTTTTATTTTATTATACATTAAGTTTTAGGGTACATGTGCACATTGTGCAGGTTAGTTACATATGTATACATGTGCCATGCTGGTGCACTGCACCCACTAACTCCTCATCTAGCATTAGGTATATCTCCCAATGCTATCCCTCCCCCCTCCCCCGACCCCACCACAGTCCCCGGAGTGTGATATTCCCCTTCCTGTGTCCATGTGATCTCATTGTTCAATTCCCACCTATGAGTGAGAATATGCGGTGTTTGGTTTTTTGTTCTTGCGATAGTTTACTGAGAATGATGATTTCCAATTTCATCCATGTCCCTACAAAGGACATGAACTCATCATTTTTTATGGCTGCATAGTATTCCATGGTGTATATGTGCCACATTTTCTGAATCCAGTCTATCATTGTTGGACATTTGGGTTGGTTCCAAGTCTTTGCTATTGTGAATAATGCTGCAATAAACATAAGTGTGCATGTGTCTTTATAGCAGCATGATTTATAGTCCTTTGGGTATGTACCCAGTAATGGGATGGCTGGGTCAAATGGTATTTCCAGTTCTAGATCCCTGAGGAATTGCCACACTGACTTCCACAATGGTTGAACTAATTTACAGTCCCACCAACAGTGTAAAAGTGTTCCTATTTCTCCACATCCTCTCCAGCACCTGTTGTTTCCTGACTTTTTAATGATTGCCATTCTAACTGGTGTGAGATGGTATCTCACTGTGGTTTTGATTTGCATTTCTCTGATGGCCAGTGATGATGAGCATTTTTTCATGTGTTTTTTGCCTGCATAAATGTCTTCTTTTGAGAAGTGTCTGTTCATGTCCTTCGCCCACTTTTTGATGGGGTTGTTTGTTTTTTTCTTGTAAATTTGTTTGAATTCATTGTAGATTCTGGATATTAGCCCTTTGTCAGATGAGTAGGTTGCGAAAATTTTCTCCCATTTTGTAGGATGCCTGTTCACTCTGATGGTAGTTTCTTTTGCTGTGCAGAAGCTCTTTAGTTTAATCAGATCCCATTTGTCAATTTTGTCTTTTGTTGCCATTGCTTTTGGTGTTTTAGACATGAAGTCCTTGCCCATGCCTATGTCCTGAATGGTAATGCCTAGGTTTTCTTCTAGGGTTTTTATGGTTTTAGGTCTAACGTTTAAGTCTTTAATCCATCTTGAATTGATTTTTGTATAAGGTGTAAGAAAGGGATCCAGTTTCAGCTTTCTACATATGGCTAGCCAGTTTTCCCAGCACCATTTATTAAATAGGGAATCCTTTCCCCATTGCTTGTTTTTCTCAGGTTTGTCAAAGATCAGATAGTTGTAGATATGCGGCGTTATTTCTGAGGACTCTGTTCTGTTCCATTGATCTATATCTCTGTTTTGGTACCAGTACCATGCTGTTTTGGTTACTGTAGCCTTGTAGTATAGTTTGAAGTCAGGTAGTGTGATGCCTCCAGCTTTGTTCTTTTGGCTTAGGATTGACTTGGCGATGCGGGCTCTTTTTTGGTTCCATATGAACTTTAAAGTAGTTTTTTCCAATTCTGTGAAGAAAGGCATTGGTAGCTTGATGGGGATGGCATTGAATCTGTAAATTACCTTGGGCAGTATGGCCGTTTTCACGATATTGATTCTTCCTGCCCATGAGCATGGAATGTTCTTCCATTTGTTTGTGTCCTCTTTTATTTCCTTGAGCAGTGGTTTGTAGTTCTCCTTGAAGAGGTCCTTCACATCCCTTGTAAGTTGGATTCCTAGGTATTTTATTCTCTTTGAAGCAATTGTGAATGGGAGTTCACTCATGATTTGGCTCTCTGTTTGTCTGTTGTTGGTGTATAAGAATGCTTGTGATTTTTGTACATTGATTTTGTATCCTGAGACTTTGCTGAAGTTGCTTATCAGCTTAAGGAGATTTTGGGCTGAGACAATGGGGTTTTCTAGATAAACAATCATGTCGTCTGCAAACAGGGACAATTTGACTTCCTCTTTTCCTAATTGAATACCCTTTATTTCCTTCTCCTGCCTGATTGCCCTGGCCAGAACTTCCAACACTATGTTGAATAGGAGCGGTGAGAGAGGACATCCCTGTCTTGTGCCAGTTTTCAAAGGGAATGCTTCCAGTTTTTGCCCATTCAGTATGATATTGGCTGTGGGTTTGTCATAGATAGCTCTTATTATTTTGAGATACGTCCCATCAATACCTAATTTATTGAGAGTTTTTAGCATGAAGGGTTGTTGAATTTTGTCAAAGGCTTTTTCTGCATCGATTGAGATAATCATGTGGTTTTTGTCTTTGGCTCTGTTTATATGCTGGATTACATTTATTGATTTGCGTATATTGAACCAGCCTTGCATCTCAGGGATGAAGCCCACTTGATCATGGTGGATAAGCTTTTTGATGTGCTGCTGGATTCGGTTTGCCAGTATTTTATTGAGGATTTTTGCATCAATGTTCATCAAGGATATTGGTCTAAAATTCTCTTTTTTTGTTGTGTCTCTGCCTGGCTTTGGTATCAGAATGATGCTGGCCTCATAAAATGAGTTAGGGAGGATTCCCTCTTTTTCTATTGATTGGAATAGTTTCAGAAGGAATGGTACCAGTTCCTCCTTGTACCTCTGGTAGAATTCAGCTGTGAATCCATCTGGTCCTGGACTCTTTACTAGAAAAGCAAGAGCAAATACATTCAAAAGCTAGCAGAAGGCAAGAAATAACTAAAATCAGAGCAGAACTGAAGGAAATAGAGACACAAAAAACCCTTCAAAAAGTAAATGAATCCAGGAGCTGTTTTTTTGAAAGGATCAATAAAATTGATAGACCGCTAGTAAGACTAATAAAGAAAAAAGAGAGAAGAATCTAATAGACGCAATAAAAAATGATAAAGGGGATATCACCACCGATCCCACAGAAATACAAACTACCATCAGAGAATACTACAAACACCTCTACGCGAATGAACTAGAAAATCTAGAAGAAATGGATAAATTCCTTGACACATACACTCTCCCAAGACTAAACCAGGAAGAAGTTGAATCTCTGAATAGACCAATAACAGGATCTGAAATTGTGGCAATAATCAATAGCTTACCAACCAAATGTCTTCTTTTGAGAAGTGTCTGTTCATGTCCTTTGGCCACTTTTTGATGGGGCTGTTTGTTTTTTTCTTGTAAATTTATTTAAGTATTAGCCCCTTGTTAGATGGATAGATTGTAGAAATTTTCTCCCATTCTGTAGGTTGCCTGTTTGCTCTGATGATAGTTTATTTTGCTGTGCAGAAACTCTTTAGTTTAATTTGATGCTATTTTCAATTTTGGCTTTTGTTGCCATTGCTTTTGGTGGTTTAGCCATGAAGTCTTTGCCCATGGCTATGTCCTGAATGGTATTGCTTAGGTTTTCTTCTAGGGTTTTTATGGTTTTAGGTCTTACGTTTAAGTCTTTAATCCATCTCGAGTTAATTTTTGTTTAATGTATAAGGAAGGGGTCCAGTTTCAGTTTTCTGCATATGGCTAGCCAGTTTTCCCAACACCATTTATTAAATAGGGAATCCTTTTCCCATTGCTTGCTTTTGTCAGGTTAGTCAAAGATCAGATAGTTGTAGATGTGTGGCGTTATTTCTGAGGCCTCTGTTCTGTTCCATTGGCCTATATATCTGTTTTGGTACCAGTACCATGCTGTTTTGATTACTGTGGCCTTGTAGTATAGTTTGAAGTAAGGTAGTGTGATGCCTCCAGTTTTGTTCTTTTTGCTTAGGATTGTCTTGGCTATATGGGCTATTTTTTGGTTCCATATGAAATTTAAAGTAGTTTTTTCTAATTCTGTGAAGAAAGTCAATGGTAGCTTGATGGGGATAGCATTGAATCTGTAAATTACTTTGGGCAATATGGCCATTTTCACAATATTACTTCTTCCTATCCATGAGCATGGAATATTTTTTCCATTCGTTTGTGTCATCTCTTATTTCCTTGAGCAGTGGTTTCTGGATCTCTTTGAAGAGGTCCTTCTTATCCCTTGTAAGTTGTATTCCTAGGTGTTTTATTCTCTTTGTAGCAATTGTGAATGGGCATTTGCTCAAGATTTGGCGTTCTCTTTGTCTGTTATCAATGTGTAGGAATGCTTGTGATTTTTGCACCTTGATTTTGTATCCTGAGACTTTGCTAAGTTGCCTGTCAGCTTAAGGAGATTTTGGGCTGAGACGATGGGGTTTTCTAAATATACAATTATGTCATCTGCAAACAGAGATAATTTGACTTCCTCTCTTCCTATTTGAGTACGCTTTATTTCTTTCTCTTGCCGGATTGCCCTGGCCAGAACTTCCAATACTATGTTGAATAGGAGTGGTGAGAGAGAGGGCATCTTTGTCTTGTGCCCATTTTCAAAGAGAATGCTTCCAGCTTTTGCCCAGTTAGTATGATATTGTCTGTGGGTTTGTCATAAATAGCTCTTATTATTTTGAGATATGATCCATCAATACCTAGTTTCTTGAGTGCTTTTAGCATGAAGCGGTGTTGAGTTTTATCAAAGGCCTTTTCTGCATCTATTGGGATAATCATGTGGTTTTTGCCATTGGTTCTGTTTATGTGATGGAGTACGTTTATTGATTTGTGTATGTTGAACCAGCCTTGCATCCCAGGGATGAAGCTGACTTGATCATGGTGGATAAGCTTTTTGATGTGGTGCTGGATTTGGTCTGCCAGTATTTTATTGAGGATTTTCGCATCGATGTTCATCAGGGATATTGGCCTGAAATTTCCTTTTTTTTGTTGTGTCTCTGCCACGTTTTGGTATCAGGATGATGCTGGCCTCATACAATGAGTTGAGGAGGAGTACCTCTTTTTGTATTCATCAGAATAGTTTCAGAAGGAATAGTACGAGCTCCTCTTTGTACCTCTGGTAGAATTCAGGTGTGAATCTGTCAGGTCCTGGGCTTTTTTTGGGTGGCAGGCTATTAATTACTGCCTCAATTTCAGAACTTGTTATTGGTCTAGTCAGGGATTCAACTTCTTCCTGGTTTAGTCTTGGGAGGGTGTATGTGTCCAGGAATTTATCCATTTCTTCTAGATTTTCTAGTTTATTTGCATAGAGGTGTTTCTAGTATTCTCTGATGGTAGTTTGTATTTCTGTGGGATCAATGGTGATATCTCTTTTATCTTTTTTTATTGTGTCTATTTTATTCTTGTCTCTTTCGTTCTTTATTAGTCTGGCTCTGGTCTATTTTGTTAATCTTGTCAAAAAACCAGCTCCTGGATTCATTGATTTTTCGAAGGGTTTTTTGTATCTCTATCTCCTTCAGTTCTGCTCTGATCTTAGTTGTTTCTTGTCTTCTACTTGCTTTTGAATTTGTTAGCTTTTGCTTTTCTAGTTCTTTTAATTGTGATATTAGGGTGTTGATTTTAGATCTTTCCCACGTGCTTCTGTGGGCATTTGGTGCTATAAATTTCCCTCTAAAGACTCCTTTAGCTGTGTCCCAGAGATTCTGGTACGTTGTGTCTTTGTTCTCATTGGTTTCAAAGAACTTATTTATTTCTGCCTTACTTTCATTATTTACCGAGTAGTCATACAGGAGCAGGTTGTTCAGTTTCCACTTAGTTGTGCGGTTTTAAGGGAGTTTCTTAATCCTGAGTTCTAATTTGATTGCATTGTGGTCTCAGAGACTGTTTGTTATGATTTCCATTCTTTTGCATTTGCTGAGGAGTGTTTTACTTCTAATTATCTGGTCAATTTTAGAAGAAGTTCTATGTGGTGCTGAGAAGAATGTATGTTCTGTTGATTTGGGTTGGAGATTTCTGTAGATGTCTATTAAGTCACTTGGTCCAGAGCTGAGTTCAAGTCCTGGATATCCTTGTTAATTTTCTGTCTCGTTGATCTAATATGGACGATGAGGTGTTAAACTCTCCCACTATTATTGTGTGGGAGTCTAAGTCTCTTTGTAGGTCTCTAAGGACTTGCTTTATGAATCTGGGTGCTCCTGTATTGGGTGCATATATATTTAGGATAGTTAACTCATCTTGTTGCACTGATCCCTTTGCCATTATGTAATGCCCTTCTTTGTCTCTTTTGATCTTTGTTGGTTTAAAGTCTGTTTTATCAGAGACTAGGATTGCAAACCTTGCTTTTTTTTGCTTTCCATTTACTCTGTAAATTCTTCCTCCATCCCTTTATTTTGAGCCTATGTGTGTCTTTGCACGTGAGATGGGACTCCTGAACACAGCACACTGATGGGTCTTGACTCTTTATCTAGTTTGCCAGTCTGTGTCTTTTAATTGGGGCATTTAGCCCATTTACATTTAAGGTTAATATTGTTATGTGTGAATTTGATCCTGTCATTA
Organism: Homo sapiens; assembly: GCF_000001405.40. NCBI lineage: Eukaryota > Metazoa > Chordata > Mammalia > Primates > Hominidae > Homo > Homo sapiens. Next base: position 87,169,345 of record NC_000011.10, read on the forward strand.
TGATGCTAGCTGGTTATTTTGCCCATTAGTTGATGCAGTTTCTTCATAGTGTCGATGGTCTTTATAATTTGGTATGTTTTTGCAGTGGCTGGTACTGGTTTTTCCTTTCGATATTTAGTGCTTCCTTCAGGAGCTCTTGTGAGGCAGGCCTGGTGGTGACAAAATCTCTTAGCATTTGCTTGTCTGTAAAGGATTTTATTTCTTTTTCGCTTATGAAGCTTAGTTTGGTTGGATATAAAATTCTGGGTTGAAAATCTTTTCTTTAAGAATGTTGAATATTGGCCCTCACTCTCTTCTTGCTTGTAGGGTTTCTGTAGAGATACCTGCTGTTAGTCTGATGGACTTCCCGTTGTGGGTAACCTGACCTTTCTCTCTGGCTGCCCTTAACATATTTTCCTTCATTTCAACCTTGGTGAATCTGACAATTATGTATCTTGGGGTTGCTCTTCTCGAGGAGTATCTTTGTGGTGTTCTCTGTATTGCTTGAATTTGAATGTTGGCCTGTCTTGCTAAGTTGGGAAGTTCTTCTGGGTAATATCCTGAAGAGTGTTTTCAAACCTGGTTCCATTCTCCCCATCATTTTCAGGTACACCAATCAAACATAGGTTTGGTCTTTTCATATAGTCCCATATTTCTTGGAGGCTTCCTTCGTTCCTTTTTAGTCTTTTTTTTTTCTAATCTTGTCTTCGTTGATCTTCAGTCTCTGATATCCTTTTTCCACTTGATCAGTTTGGCTATTGATATGTGTTTATGCTTCACAAAGTTCTCATGCTGTGTTTTTCAGCTCCATCAGGTCATTTATTTTCTTCTCTAAACTGGTTATTCTAGTTAGCAATTCCTCTAACCTTTTTTCATGGTTTTTAGCTTCCTTGCATTGGGTTAGAACATGCTTCTTTACCTCAGAGGAGTTTGTTATTACCCACCTTCTGAAGCCTATTTCTGTCATTCCTCAAACTTATTCTCTGTCCAGTTTTGTTTCCTTCTGGCCAGGAGTTGTGATCCTTTGGAGGAGAAGAGGCATTCTGGTTTTTGGAATTTTCAGCCTTTTTGCACTGGTTTTTCCTTATCTTTGTGAATGTATCTACCTTTGTTCTTTGATGTTGGTGACCTTCCGATGGGGTTTCTGTGTGGACATCCTTTTTGTTGATGTTGTTGTTACTCCTTTCTGTTTGTTAAATTTTCTTTCTAACAGTCAGGCCCCTATGCTGCAGGTCTGTTGGAGTTTGCTGGAAGTCTACTCCAGACCCTGTTTGCATGGGTATTCACCAGCTGAGGCTGCAGAACAGCAAAGATTGCTGCGTGTTCCTTCCTCTGGAAGCTTTGTCCCAGAGTGGCATCCATCAGATGCCAGCTGGAGGTCTCCTGTATGAGGTGTCTGTTGACCTGTGCTGGGAGGTGTCTCCCAGTCAGAAGGCATGGGGGTCAAGGACTCACTTGAGGAGGCACTTTGTCCCTTAGCAGAGCTCCAGTGCTGTGCTGGGCGATCCACTGCTCTCTTCAGAGCTGGCAGGCAGGAACGTTTAAGTTTGTGGAAGCTGGGCCCACAGCCTCCTCTTCCCCAGGTTTTCTGTCCCAGGCAGATGGGAGTTCTATCTATAAGCCCCTGCCTGGGGCTGCTGGCTTTCTTTCAGAGATGCCCTGGCCAGAGAGCAAAGGGGGTACATCTTCAAACTGAGCTTTGAAGAAACTAATGAGCATTAAGCAAGGAGAAGAGGCCAAAAGGCTTTGCCAGTTAGGAGAAACAATATGAAAAGGGGCATAGTTGAAGATTAAAGTGAGGTACTAGGGACAGGTAACTTTAATTGCAGAATCTAAAAGGAAAGCAGGGTGGGTGGTGTCATGTTGAAGGGAAGTAACATTTGTTGAATGCCTTTATATGCCCTAGGTGCATTATAATTATCCAGCTCATTCATACATCAAAACAACTTTCCATTTTTGGTACTCTTATCACTGTTTTTCCAAAAGAGGTATTTCAGGTTCAAGACAGTGTAGTGTTTTTTTTTTTTTTAATCACATTTCCCTGAGAATTTGTGATATGAGTGCTGAGGGTATTGATAAGCTTGTGGTAGAATCAAGAATTAGTATTCTGTCTCCCAACTGGAGTAGCCAGTGTCCTATGCTAAGCCAGTACTGCAAACATATATGTTAAGCAGGGATTCATAGGTAACCTCATGACAAAATTATCAGCTAAGGGAAATAATGAAAAAATACTCGTCTGCATGTCAGTAGACTTTACTAGCTGAGACCTTGGACAGTTTACTGAACTCCTCACAACTTCAGCTTTATACTTCAGAAAATGAGCTGATTAGATGATCTTTAAGGTCCTATATGGCTTTAACATTTTCTGCTTACAGGCAGCTTTGTATACCCTTTCTGCCTAGGTAGTGGTGTCCGACCTTTTTGGCACGAGGGACCGGCTTCGTCGAAGACAATTTTTCCACGGGGGGCTTGGTTTTGGGATGAAACTGTTCTACCTCACATCATCATTAGATTATCAAAGGGAGCACACAACCTAGATCCCTCCCATGTGCAGTTCAAAATAGGGTTCACACTCTTATGAGGATCTGCTGCCACAGCTGATCTGACAGGAGGCCAAGCTCAGGCAGTAATGCTCGCTTGCTTGCTGCTCACCTCCTGTTGTGCGGCCTGGTTCCTAACAAGCCAGGGACCAGTACCTGTACATCTCCCAGGGGTTGGGAACCCCTGTGCTTAATTAAGCCTTTAAAGTTGTGGTTATAAACTTTCACCGAGCTTGAGAATTGCCCATAGAGCTCTTCAAAACTATAGGTACCTGGGCTCCATCACCAAAGACTTTGTCTATGAGGTCCAGTTTGGGGCTCCAGTATCTATATTTTTTAAAATGTCCGCTGATTTTAATACTTAGCTACTGTTGTAAACCACTGTTTTAGAAGTATTTTTTAATTCTTTCTTCTTTGAACTCAAGGAAGGTACACTCTGTATGAGACAAAACAGGTTAAGAAATAGAAAAGAAATTTAAAGTATATTTAAAGATTTTTGTATGTAAAGTAGAACAGAGTATTAAGGTTTGTTGCTGTTTTAGCAAGAAAGAAAAGTAGGTTTTTTTTTTTTACCTACTTTTGTTTTGTATTACGACACGGTATTAGGTATTCTGAATGATTTATTAGAATGGATTTTTTTTAAACCTTCCAGGAGCATGGTGTACATAAGTAATATAGAATATTTAATTTTAGACTGATTGCTAGAGTGAGAGTAGGGACTCTTTGTTAGGGATTTCTATTTCTTAAAGTTTAACACCTGGCTGGCACAAAATAAAGATCTCAATATATGTCTGATGAATAAGTAAAAGATTTATTGAGACAGAACTCAAGTGGCAAATACTACTTTAATTCAATCAGCTTTCATTTAAGATAAGTATATCTTTATGGATTTGTATGGATAATTATAAATATTGGTGTTATTTTAAAATCATGATATTTATAATACAGTGATAATTATTTTTGACATTAAATTTTTTCATGAAGAATATTCGTGAATTAAATAATTAAATAATATTTAAAGAATACAATTTACATATTTGATATTTCTTATGCACAAAGATACTTGATTATTCAGATATTAAGATATATTTCCAACATTACTAAAATTATTACACTTAATTTTAATATTATATTTAAAGAAACCAAGCATTTTCTTACTGTTGAATGTGAATTCTTTATACAAGGAAACCTAGAAGTAAACTCTCAAATATATATTTTTAATGTTGCATCTATTTTTTCTTATATATTTTTGTTATTATTTTTGTCTTTACTGCTTCCCTTCTAGCACTACCTCAGGAAAAAATGTAAGTCTTTAATAAGCAAAGTATTAGTTCAAGTAGTTCAAGTAGTGAAATCTCTGAGACTGATGCCTAGTAGAATGCCAGGAACTGGTGGCTTGTAAAATCTAATCAAATAAACAAATATTCATTGATAGCGTCCTAAAGGCAAATGTGATGCGTGGCACTGGAATCAGATCTAGTGTTCCTTCTTTTTTCTTTGTTCCCCTGAATAATTATTATGAGGTAGATTAGTAGATACTGGGTTTTAATTGTAAACTAAACCAAAATGGTTTCAGCTTTCAAAAAGTTTTATAGTCTAGTGGCTGAGTCATAACCTGCTACTTAGGACCTTGCCAGTGTTGTCTTCTGTAAACAGACCAGCAGCAAGCTCATGCATTGCTTTTGTGAGAAATAAATTAGATAATGTCTGTAAGGCAGCTAGCACAATGTCTGCCACATGTCTGCCACAAAATAAGCCTATTAGAATTAGCCTGTTCTAAATCTTAACTTATTTTTATTTTATTACATATGTTGTATTATTTTCTATATTGGGGTGAGTAAATGGAGATCTTATGTTTATTTATAACAGTGTGTGAACTGGTAGTTGATAATAAAAGACAGAGTTTTGATATTTTGATCCACAGCTATACTAATAGCAGTGTTATTGGCACTTCTGAGTGATTATTTCCTTCCTGTGTGAGTCATGATATTTGGGTTGGCATTTGTTGCCAGTGCGCTCTGCTGTCTAGTGCCAGTATCTCAGTAATATACAAAACATGTTTAATCACAAACTTGATGTGTACTACTCAACCAAATTCTGCTGATCATGTTTTTGTTTCTTTGCATAAAGTAAATATAACAAGGGAAGTGCAATAATAGAAAAAACTGACTTGTACAAACAAACATGAGAATACTGTTAGCCAAACAGGGTAAAGTTATAACATGGTGAAAACTTAGTTTTGATAATTGCAAGTCTTAGTTGAGCAGAAGTCCCACTGAGATTGATGAGACACTGGCCTTCTAGAAATGCAGACTAAGGCTTAGTTGATCCTGTCAAAGAAAATTGGATTATCACTTTTGCAATAAGACCTCTGATTTATCTATCATATTTTAATGGGAAGAAAATATTAAGATACCTTACACATGTCTATTGCCATTGAAATATACTTTCTATTAACATGATTCACTTCTGCCAATATCCCCATATCATGTAGGAAAAAAAAGAATTCTGACCACTCTAGAATGTTCCTGATAACTTTTTCAAGTCTATTCTTTTATTCTTCTGTTGTTGGTTTTCAAAGTGTATACTTAGTAAGCTCTACATAATCTATTAGAATATAGCCTAGAAGAGTTAGAATGATTTTTCCTTTTTAAGCAGCAATTCAAATATAGCAGTGTTAAAAAGCATGTGGGGAGAATGGATAGCATCTAGAGAAGAAGAGAGGAAATAAGTATGGAAAAGAATCTTGAGAAAAAGGAAAGAGATATGATATGGCCTAGGGAGTATTTATTATAAGCAAGGTACAGTAAGTCCTCACGTCATGTCATCGATAGCTCCTTGGAAACTGTGACTTTAAGTGAAATGGCTTACAGCAGGTCCTCCAATCATATCCCTTTGTTCAATGCCCTTTTGTTATAACATTGATGAGGGGAAAAATAGTTTTGTTTGTCATACATTGTTTCACTTAAAATAGCAGTTGTCAAGAACCTATCAAGGACATTATGTTCAGATTTACTGTATATACAGAGACATCCCAATCCTATCTCTAATGTGGTGGGAAGAAATTAGTTTTGAACACAGAACAGAAAGTTTGAGATAACTGAAGCCACTGGTCATCACTTTCAGGGTGATAAAGCATTAAAAAAGGCTTCAAGAAGGTTGTGGAGTTACTATTAATATCTTGCTCATGTAGAAGAAATGTATCTTTTAATAGCCATAAGTCTGGATGGTATAGATACTGAACCACAAGAGGAAGAAGACTGGACTAATTATAATAATATCTTGATATTTATTTCAGTTCTCCAATTCCATGAATCAAAACAACATATTATATTTTGGCAGGTTCTTAGAAAATTTATACTTCATGCCAGAATCACATCATAAAACATTAAGCTTCAGAATTTGTATTTTATTCTTTCTGGAATATTTTATCCTTGTCACTAAATCTGCTTTAAATAGCTTACTGTGTTATATGCATTATTGCATACTCCTGATGAACAAACAGTTTATTTTGAAAAGTTGGTGTAGACCAAGAAGGCCAAAGGTCAAACCAAGATTTTAAAAATATCAGATCATAATGTTTAAGTTTGTTGGCCTTGTCTGTACCAACTCTGTGTGTGCCTTTCTACACTGAGATGATTATCTTTTGAAATTCACTTATTTTCTTCATAATAGTCACTCTGCTTTTGATTTAAATACAAAAATAAATGTGTCATAATTTTGTCCTTAAACAAAACAAACAACATCTGTTTAAGTATGGAACAATTAGGTTTTATTTTTCAAAAATTAGAAGGGTTCTTAAGATCATATCAATTTGTTTTGATTCTAATGGGAAGAGCTTTAGGTCAAGAAAGCAATTATTTCCACATGGGTAAGGCTGTACCTCCGCTACACCAACCACCCACTAAACTTAAATTTGTCTACTCTGGTTGTATAGCTAGATGTGGTTGAATGTATTAGAAGACACAGGCTTTATTTAAGAAACAAAGATTTTAGATATATAGAAAATGTTTCTTTGTAGAAACATACCAAAAGAATTTTGCATATAATATTAGGTGAGTTCAGCGGCAAGTAACTTAAACACTTTGAATTAGCAAATAAATTTAACTTTATACATATGTGTATGGCCAAATGTAATTTTTACCATTTTGTTTGCACATCATTTTTATTTTTAATTGACTTTTTTGTTCTCAGTAGGTAAGTGCTGTAGTTTGGATATTTGACCCTCCAAACCTCATGTTGAAATTTGATCACCAGTGTTGGAGGTGGGGCCTAATGGGAGGTGTTTGGGTCATGGGGGCAGATTCCTTATCAATGACTTGGTGCCTTCCTTGTGGTAATGAGTGAGTTTCTATTCTGTTAGTTCCCGTGAGAGCTGGTTGTTAGAAAGAGCCTGGCACCTCCCTGCCCCTTCCTGTCTCCCCATGTGATGTCTTCACATGCCGGCTCCCCTTTGCCTTCTGTCATGAAGAGAAGCAGCTTGAGGCCCTTACCATATGCATATGCTAGCCCCATGTGTCTTGTACAGGCTGCAGAACCATGAGCCAAATGAATCCCTTTTTAAAAAAATAAATCACCCAATCTCAGGTATTCCTTTTTAGTAACACAAATGGACTAAGATAGTGAGTTTGCTATATAATGGCAAGTATTATTTGAGATGGTTCAGTAGGGATGTGGCAGGTCAGAACAGAGAAGATTTGTATTTAATGATAAAGAGATGTCATTAATTTCAAATAGGAGATTGTACAAATTTCCATATACCTTTGAATTTTAGAGGATTGAAGTCCATGGGAAAGATTGTTAAGGTAGGTTGAAGAGTTGAAGGAATTTGATAAAAGTCTGGTTTAGTGATTTTCACTGTAGTGGTTTTAGCCTAATGGCTGGGATTGAAGTCAGGTTATAGTGGGTTAGGGAGTGAGTGAATGAGAGGGGAGGATGAATAAGATTTTACACATGTATACCTCTTTTTTCAGGAAGGTGGTTTCAAGAAGAGAATTAAAGGACAGTATCAAGAGGGAAAGCTCAAGGGTTAAAAAACAGTGCATCCCATGCATATAACAACTTTCTTTTCTTATTGTTTAAAGTGTCCCATTAGCCAGTGCTGAGTGCAAATCTGGCTTTAATATTAATATAATATACATGCTAGCAGTCCTTTTGATATAATTTTCAGTAATGGATTGTAAAATCATCAAGTGAAAGAACATTTAATAGGCAGAATCACAGTTGACCGTAAAATCTCTGAGACTAATGAGAGCACATAGGGCATTGGCTAACTCCAGATTGCCCCAATTGAAAGCACTTTACCATTGCCTCGCCCTTTCATTTTAAAATATTTTCCACAAAATGTGGACCTAATCCATCCTACCTACATCCTACATCCTACTTGTGAGATTTTTAACCTCATTTATCATTGCTAATTTTGATAGAGTTCTGTATATCTAATGGAATGCTCTTAAGACAGTTGAAACCCTTCATTTCTTGTTATTTTTTCACTGACTGTTGCATTTAATAAGTATTTGGTGTTCATTATGAGAATACAGAATGAAGAAATACATGATTATTATAACTTTGAATGCCTTCTATAATCTTGGAAACTTATTAGATTTTAAAAACCAGTTTTATTGTGGTATAATAGCCATAAGTTATACTCACTGAAAGTGTGTAATTCAGTAATTTTTAAATATATTTATGGAGTTATATAGCCATAATCAAATCTAGTTTTTGAATATTTCTATCACTCTAAAAAATATTTGTTGCTATCACTTCCCATTGCTACTCCCAGGCCCAGGTAACCACTAATCTTTTTGTCTCTTTTTTTCCATTTCCGCCCTCTGTGGGTATATTGTAATACAGTTCTGACACTAACTGCCCATCAATTAGTATCAGACTCCACAGGTTTAAGAGTTTAGCCCTCCAGAAGACTGCTCTCAATTCAGATGCCAGCCACAAATGCAGAACATTCATGCTTCTGACGACTGACTATAAAATTGGAGATTCCCAAATGTATAGGTTCAGTAATTCTCTGGAATGACTCACAGAGCTCACTAAAAATGTTATATAGTTTTATTATAAAGGGTACACATAAGACAAGGTTTGGAAGGGACCTGGACCTAAAGCTTCCATGCCCTCTCCCTGTAGAGTCAGGGTACATTACCCTCTCTGCATGTCAGTGTGTCCACCAAGCCTCAGTGTTCAGAGCTTTTATTGGGGTTTCAGTATATGGGTGTGATTGATTAAATTATTGGCCATGTGATTGAACTGTCTCCAGCTCCCCTCCTGTCCTTGGAGGTGCTGTTGGCCTAGAGTTCCAACCCTCTAATCATGTGTTTGGTTTTTTTGGTGACCAGTCCCTAGCTGGAAGCTATCACCATGAGCAACCTCATCAGCATAGCAAAGACAGTACTGTCACCTTGAAATTCCAAGGGTTTTTGAAGCCCTGTGCCAGGAACTAGGAACAAAGTCCAGATATATTTTTATTATGCCACAATCTAAACTCTCTTTTTCTGAAAATTTTATATACATGTAATTATACAATATATGCCCTTTTGAGTCTGCCTTCCTTTCCTTAACATAATGCGTTTTGTTTTTTTGAGATGGAGTCTCACTGTCTTCCCCAGGCTGGAGTGATTTCAGCTCCCTGCAGCCTCTGCCTCCCAGGTTCAAGGGATTCTCCTGCCTGAGTCTCCTGAGTAGCTGGGACTACAGGGGTGCACCATTACACCTGGCTAATTTTTGTATTTTTAGTAGAGACGGGATTTCACCATGTTGGCCAGGTAAGTCTTGAACTCCTGACCTCAAGTGATCTGCCTGTCTCGGCCTCCCAAATTGCTGGGATTATAGGTGTGAGCCACCATGCCTGTCCAACATAATGTTTTTGAGGTTCATTCATATCAGTACTTTTTTTTTCCCTTTTCATGACTGAATAGTATTCCATTGTTTGGATTACATTTTGTTTATGGACATATTAATTGACCATTTGGATTATTTCCAGTTTTCAGTTATGAAAATTGGAGAGAAGTCTTTGGGTTGACATATGTTTTAATTTCTCTTGGCTTGATACCTAAATGTAGAATTGTTAGGTCATAAGAATAATGCTTAAAAAAAAAGTAGTTCCATTTTACATTGCCACTTGGCAGTGTATGAGGGGTCCAGTTTGTCAGCATCCTTGCCAACATTTGGTATGATCAGACTATTTTATTATAGCCATTCTAGAAATGTATGGTAATTTTTATGGTAATTTTCATTTCCCTAATGACTAGTGATGTTGGACTTCTTTTCATAGTGCTTATTGGGCATTTGTATACATTTTGTGAAATGTCTATTAAATTTTCTTGCCCTTTTTTCATGGGGTTTATTGTCTTATTACTGAATTGCAGGAGGTGACTTTGAAAAGTTTTTCATTTTGGATCAAATCTTTTATTAAATATAGGATTTGGGAATATATTTTCCCAGATCGTGGCCTGTGTTTTCACTTTCTAAATAGTGCTTTTTGAAGACAAAATGTTCTAAATTTTGATGATGTTCCATTCATTAATTTTTTTTTCTGTTAGGAGCTATACTTTTGCTATCATATCCAAGAAATCTTTACCTAGTTGGGGGTCACAAAGATTTTCTCCTTTGTTTTTCATTTAGGTCTGTGATCTGTTTTGAGTTTACTTTTAAATATGGTGTGAGATACTCTGGTTTCTCTTCAGATCATATAAGTCTTTGTTTCATCTTTTAAATACGGTTTGAGGTGAAAATCCAAGTTCATTTTTTTTTAATTTTTTGCCTGTGTGTATTCAGTTGTACCAGCAGCATTTTTTGAAAAGTCTGTCTTTGCCCATTGAATTGCTTTGGCATCTTTGTTAAAAAACAGTTGACCATAAATATCAGGATTTATGTCTAGAATTTCTGTGGTTCTGATTCTACTAATATGGAGCAAGACTCTGTCCCGTGCATTCCAACTAAAAACCCTGGACAGAATACACAGCACAGCTGTTTGAGGTCTCTGAAGAGTAAATAATAGCAGGAGGTTCAGGATGCACTTCCAACCTGGAGATATGACTGATACTGGCAAGTTTTCTGTTTTTTTCTGTTGTTGTTGTTGTTGTTTTCTCTGCCCTTTTCCCCTTTCTTTTTCTCCCAGCTTGGACTCCAGGGCATCTTATTCTTGGTCTGCACAACAGATGCAGACAGAAGAATCCTCTTTTTCTCTGTTTATGGTCAGAGGACTGGAAAGAAGGGCCCCTGTGCGAAGGAGTCTGTGTGGAACATCACTGTTTTCTTTGTGTTTTGTATTCTGGTTTTTGTTTTACTTTTCTGGTGGGACCCCAAGTAAGCCTTAATCATGAGGCCGTTCCCCTGCAATGGTAGTGGTGGTGGCAATGGCAACTATGCAGGCATTTAAAACTCTGAAAGATAATCTTTTTCTTTGACCAGATAAACGGGAAAAACGGGCCCCTGTAGCCCAAAGAATGAGGGGAGAATATCTGTTAGTTTTTGCTTTTTTCCCCCCTTTCTTGCCACTTCTCCCCAAGGCAGATGCAGTTGCAGAAAGTATATGAGTGTGTGTGGAGGCAAAAACACCAGTTTTGTAGCCAGAGAATTAAGATAAGGGGTCTAGGAGACAGATAGTGTTGGGGAAATTATGGAGAGGCAGTAGGTAGAGAAAAAGATGACCTAAATCTGTGCATGAAGACCCAGACATCCCTAAGCTGAGCATGTGTGGAACTTTTTCAAGGAGATGAAATAAAAAGTTTGATAACTGAACTACATTGTAGACCACCATCTTTGTCCTAGATTGGCTTTTAGGTGACACATATGAGGATAGAGTAAATATCACTAAAAAGACTTGGGAAACTGAATTGACTTTGAAGTCACAGCCCACCAGGTAGGTTGGGACTTGTGGTTTGAAGCTAACAGGGTTGATTGTCAACAACAACAAAAATATTAAAAACGAAAACAAAAACAAATCCATTCTCCAGAGGACCAAAAGCCTTTAGCATGACCAAGAGTGTCAAAATGCAATATTCAAAGTCTCCCTCCCCTTTCTGGGATACACTCCAACATTATTGGACATAACCACGACTCAGGGAAATCATCAACTGTTGTAGGAAAAACAGCAGCTAACAAATGCCATTCCTAAGATGACCTGGATGCTGGAATTATGACAAAGTTCTTAGAGCAGCTATTATAACTCTGTCCTGTTGAAGTCAGAGCAAACACTTTTGAAGTGAACAGAAAGAATGAAGTTCTCAGCAAGGAAAGTAGAAAAAGAACCAACAGAAACTTTTAGGATAGGAAGTAGCAATAATCCAAATATATTAAAATACTAAAATACCTAAAAATGTTCTAGATGAGTTCAACAGCAGAATGGAGGGGACAGAAAAAAGATTAAGTGAAATTGAAGAAAGGGCAATAGAAATTATAATATCTGAACAATAAAGATAAAAGACAATAAAATGAGCACAGTGTAGAGATCTATGGGATGATAGAAAAGGTATAACAATTACGTCATAAGAGACCCAGAGGAGAGGACAAAGAGGTTGGTACAGAAAAAATACTGAAGAAATAATAGCTGAAAACGTTCATCTTTGGTGAAAGACACATTTACAGATTCATAATATTCAGTAAATTCCAAAAATGCCAAATATCGTGTGATTCAGTTTATATGACATTCTGCAAAAGCAAAAACTGTAGACATGGAGACCCAGATCAGTGTTTGTCAGAGATTGGAAGCACAGGGAAGGGTTGATTACAAAGACAGAATGAGGGAATTTTCTGAGTGATGAAACTGTTCGGCATAGTGATACTAATAATGGATACATGACTCCATGTATTTGTTAAAACCTATAAATTATAGGTTAAAACTTATAAAGTAAATTTTATTGTAATTAAAATATTAAAAAGTAATTCTTAAGATAAAAAAAGTATTGAGAGCAGTAGTGCTCAGAACACTTTGGTTCTAATGATTTCACCTGGCATATTGAAGATTAAGGTGCACAATTAAAGAGGCTAGTTCTACAGATTCTTTTATAAGAATTGAATCATTGTAGTTTGTGTTTCTGTATGATGATAAACTATTCAATTTCCTTTTGAATGAGGGTGGCTTTTTTTTTTTAAAGAGAGAATTGTTTTCATGGAGTGTATTTGAAATGAGAGTAAGCCTTAATATTCTTATTAAAGTGTAAGAAAAAGAACTTGAAAAGCATTTGCCAAAACTAAAAATATAGAATAATATTTTTATATGTAATATCTACTAGTATTAAAATGAAGTTTCTACTTATTGCCTTTTCATGAAAACTTGTTTAGTGTGTTTGCATTTCAAATGAAATGTACGTTTTTTAGTTTTTATTAATATTATGTGTGAACAGTGTATATTGTGTGACCTACATGCTATTTTAAACAGATTCTGCACTCAAATTAAGATAAGAAAAAGGAACAAAAGCTCTCTTTTGATTGTGTTTAAGTTATGGTTTCTTGTCCATTGCCCAGACTTGTAATACTGGATCTTCTTCATCTATTACAGGTTGTTGAATATAATCTGTAATAATTGTATATACCTAGTTAGGATAAAATGATTTAAATGGTAGCACCTTGACTAAGGTGCTGTGAGTGGTAGATGATGAGAAATATGTGTTTGTGAGCAGAAATTTGAATCTCCTTGCATCACTAACATCTAAGTATATGGCAAATGCAATTTCTGTTTGCTTTTCTTCTTTCACAGTGTTTGATTATTAAAACAATTGACCTTAATGTTAATATTATGGAGATGTCTGAAGGTACTTTCATTTACTACTTTTTATTTTACTTCATGGAAGATCAGATTTCCTTTATGAAATATTTTTTTCTCTAGAAAATTTTTGTGTTTTTTAACTGTTTTCTAGACACAGGTGAATGTAATAATAAATGAGCTATGGTTTCTGCTTTCATAGATCTCACTTTTAAAATTGTTTCATTTGTGTTTTTAAATTTTTCTCTTGAATATTTACTGCTAAATATTTTAAATGTGATTTTCTTTGTGTAATGGCCTACTTTTATATAGAATATAACTAGAATTATATTTATCTTAGGATCTTAGTATGGTATTAGATAGAATTTTTAATCATATGCATATAATCTGTTAGGATTTGATTACTTTTAATTCCAGGAGAACATGTTTCCAAGAGTTGAGGTTAATGGAGGGCAATGAGAGAAAGCTATTGATTGAAGCTGAAAGCTCTACTGTATCTGAATTGTAGCTGTCTAAATTACTGATTTTTTAAAATTAACATGAGTTGGTAATCACTAATTTTTTTTTTTTTTTTTTTTTTTTTGAGACAGAGTCTTGCTCTGTCGCCCAGGCTGGAGTGCAGTGGCTCAATCTTGGCTCACTGCAACCTCTGCCTCCTGGGTTCAAGCGATTCTCCTGCCTCAGCCTCCTGAGTAGTTGGGATTACAGGTGTGTGCCACCACGCCTGGTTAATTTTTGTATTTTTAGTAGTGACGGGGTTTCACCATGTTGGTCAGGCTGGGCTCGAACTCCTGACCTTGTGATCTGCCTGCCTCAGCCTCCCCAAGTGTGGGGATTACAGGTGTGAGCCACCACACCTGGCTATCACTAAAATTTTTTTGTTATTTGTTTTCTCTATACTCAATAGTAAAGTTAAAGGTAAGTTAAATTTAGCTTTTAATGTTTTAATTCCTAAAACACTATTTTCAAAAAGGACATTGCGGTTAAATTGTCTGATAAAAGTAAGGTGGATTTCTTAGGATAATTGAAATGTATGCATTGACACTAAAACTTGTGAATGGGCTTACTTTCTATATGCTATGTGTTTAAAAATTCTGGCCAGGTGCGGTGGCTCACGCCTGTAATCCCAGCACTTTGGGAGGCTGAGGTGGGTGGATCACCTGAGGTCAGGAGTTCGAGACCAGCCTGGCTAACACGGTAAAACGCCATCTCTACTAAAAATACAAAAATTAGCTGGGCGTGGTGGCGGGCGCCTGTAATCCCAGCTAGTTGGGAGGCTGAGGCAGAAGAATCGCTTGAACCTGGGAGGTGGAGGTTGCAGTGAGCTGAGATCATGCCATCACACTCCAACTTGGGCAACAGAGCCAGACTTCGTCGCAAAAAAAAAAAAAAAAAAAAAAAATCCGAGAGTTAAACGAATATTTACCTTTTTTGTTCTAAGAGCACGTTCAGTGAACATTTTCTACTTAGAAAAATTTTGCAATATATTTTTCAAGTATTTTAGAATGTTTTAACTTCATAAAGTACTTAGTGTCATAGTTGTTTTGTTTGTTCTTTTAGAATATTATATGTGAAATTAAAACCTTGTCTCTGATTTGTTTTGTGAATTATCTGTGATCCAAAGAAGTCATCAAAAAATTAAAGAATGGGTATATGAATATCACATATTTATTGCACAAGAACTGTTTGATTTTCGATAGCCTTTCTATTTAATATTACCTGAATAATTGGATTAATTATTTTATTTAACAGTTTTCAGCCTTCAGTAGTAATAGAGTATGACTTTTAATGTTGGTCTGGGAAAAATGCATCATGAGGAATTAATCTGTAATTTAGACTAAGAAAATGGCCTTTGGGTAAAAAATTCATAGAATGAAGGGTCTGACGATTACTTTAGGTCTTTAAAAACAAAGACAATACATAGTGAATTTTAGAACTGCTTAGCTCATATAGTAAATGAAGGAGTTTCTAGTGGCAAATATGTTTGAGAAACTATAGATATGACAAATTGTGTGGACTTTATGTGTATTTCATAGTGTGTGTAAGATGCCCCCCTCTTTTTTTCCCTTAAATAGTATTGTGTTATATAAGAGACTCTAAATATAATGAAATCACTGTCTTTATTCTGTATAGATTACTTTTTGTATTGAATGCCTGTAGCTTCTAGCACAATGCCTGGAATGTTGATGTTGTTACATACTCTTATAAGTTAACAATGATTTATAAGAATTTAATGTACCCAAGATGGAAGTATTAACACACGTTGGTTTACCTTTGTGAAAACCCAGTATGGCAAACATCCTGTTTGCTAAATAAAAACTTAGGGTGCCACTTTGTATATTATAAAATGATTTTTCAGTTAAAATTTCTTTTTATTTTAGAAAATTTTAAACTTATACAAAAGTAAAGAGGATAATCCCCCAATGTAGCCATCATCCAGTTTTAATAATTCTCACTGATTGCCAGTCTTCTTTATATCCCTAACCACTACTACCTTCCCTCAATAATTTTGAAGCAAATTTCAGACATCATATCACTCTATGTAAATATTTCAGTATGTATCCTTAGAAGATAAGGACTCTCCTTTTAAAAATATAAACACAATGCTATTCATCTCACTGAAAAATTTTTCCTTATTATCGTATTTAGTCAGTGTTCACATTTTCCCAGTCACCTCTCTCTCATTTGTTAAAATCAGAATCCAGATAAGATCTATATGTTCCAGTTAGTTAAGATCTTAAATTTATTTGAATTGGTTGGTTCCCCCCTCATCCCTCTCTCTATGGTTTCCTAGAAATTTATTGAAGAAACCAGACCGTAAAGCTTCTCACAGTCTGATTTTTGCTGATCCTTGTGGTATTCTTTCTTGGTTCTCTGTATTTCCTGCAAATCAGTAATAGATCTAGAGGCTTGATTAAATTCATATGTGGTGTTTTTTTTTCTCCTCTCAGAAATAAATCATAATTGGTTTTGTGTACTTCCATGAAGAGACACATAATATCTGGTTGGCTTTGTTTGTATGTCTTGTTAGCAGTCATTGGTGACGATTACCTATCATTACTTGTGTTTATTAGGCTTGCAAAATGGATATATTCTTTTATCAGTTAGAATACCTGTGTAAAGGGAAACTTGTATTCTTCAACTATTTGGTTGCCTTTCATATGGGAAAGATAAGATAAAGTCTTGATTTTTCTCCCTTTATTTAACATTATTCAAAATGATGCATTAGTTTATAAAAATCCTCAAAAGATGAGTAATGATGTTTTATAAATCATTATTAGGAAATCATAGATTTAAACATATTTTGTGTGTTTCAATCTGTTGTAGTTATCCTTCTTTTTTTTTTGTGAGACAGAGGTTCATTCTGTCACCAGGCTAGAGTTCAGTGGCGTGATCTTGGCTCACTGCAACATTTGTCTCCCAGGTTCAAGTGATTCTCCTGCCTCAGCCTCCCGAGTAGCTGGGACTACAGGCATGTGCCACTACATTCAGCTATTTTTTGTATTTTTAGTGGAGACGGGGTTTCACCATGTTGGCCAGGATGGTCTCAATCTCTTGACTTCATGATCTGCCCGCCTTGGCCTCCCAAAGTGCTGGGATTAAAGGCATGAGCCACCGTGCCCAGCTGTAGTTATCCTTCTTGAAGGTAAAGTTGTCCCTTTTTTGGCCAGTGGAAACCTCTACAAGTTGCCTTCTGAATCCTTTGGCTATAACCCTAGTAGTAGTCTGGTAAGATAAGAAGTTCTAGGTTCATCTTGTATAGCTCCTGGCCCCAGCTACAATCAGCCATTTCCCCAAGGGACTGTTGTTACTTCACAAAAGGATTTTTAACTTATATAGTGTTTTATTATTTAAGAGTTACTCATACCCCATGAATTAAAGTTTTCATCTGATATAATTTTGGTTGTATAGGATATAGGAGTGGATGATTTTAAAAGATTTGTCCACTATGAAGTTAGTAGTGTGGGATTTAGTTTTCCCCTTGAGAAATCTGTTACTTACAATAAAGTTCATCTTTTTTTGTTAATAAAGTTTATCTTTAAAGCTGATTAAAATTTTTCTCACAGGAGATTTGAATAATTCACATTGTAATACTCATTTAACCTCGTATATATTTATTAAAATTATCTCCACTTAATAGTAGGAAAATATAAAGATTTATAAAATTATGATTTTGTTTGTGAAACATTTTGAAACTCAGTAATTAGAGTCACCTGATTTATGGCCTAATTTTTTTACTCTGTGATATCCCACATTTTGATTTAAAATTGGTGGAGGAATGAGCAGAAAGTGATTTTGTAAAACAAGAGAGGGGAAATATTAAGGATAATAAGGATAATAAAACAATGTTTATAGGGGATACACTAGAAAATATAATTATTGTGTAGTTAATACTATGGGTACTTTGATTTTATGATTTATAATCAGGTGGGTCTTATCTAACATAATAGTTTGACCAAATGCTTATGATTAGCTAAGAATATTTTACTTTATCCTACTGGGTTCTCAAACTTATTTTGACTTTGAGATTTTAAATGTTTAGTGCTTGCTTTGTGTCTCATGGGGAGCTATGTCAAGCCAAGTTAAGAATTCATTAATAAAACTCTTACAATTTATTTCCCACAGAGGGTTAGCTTGAACTTATGTGCCAGAGGTTACATAGCGGTGCTTCACAGAAAGTCTCCAAGGTAAAGAGCAATAAGTTAGAGGGGCCAGCAGGGAAAGTATGTGTACTAAGTTGACCATGTGGAATACCTGAGGCCAGATTCTGATTAATGTGTTCATGTGAGATGAAAACAGGGAATGGAGAAATAGTTACTATTTGTCATAAAGTATTGTGGTTGAGTTGGAACACTAACTGCCAAATCTAATAGATCCTATTGAACTCGATATAACCCTCCCATGGGCTTTGGGGATCTTGCAGATCTTGACCTTAACTGTCATGGATCCTCAAACCACACTCTCTTTGTGCCCTAACAAAATGTAGTTTGTTGTAATGATTGTATGGTAAGATGAGCTGAAACATGCTGTGCGTGTATGTGTCTGTATGCACTTGTGTGTGAACGTAGTTGCCATTAAATTTACTTAATGCGTATAGTACTTTGACTATTGATAATCTTTTGATGGTATTTTATAACTTCAAATCTTAAAGATTGGAACATTTTTCAACCAAATTGTAAAATTGCAAAGAAAACATCTAGCCACCATCCAATTACAACAACTTCTTGTTGTTTGTGGGAAAATAAGCAAAATCAGATTCTTTTACCGTTCATTCATCTAGTACAGAATATTACTTATGCCTGGCTAGGGGCTGTTTATTTGCCAGTCTTTCAAAATTAAATCTTCTTAGACTATATTATACTTAGAGACCCAGTTAATGTTGTCTTTATCTGTCTTTGTTTAGAAATAGTGTTTTGTGTTTATGCTACAGGATATTTTGCTAAAGATTATTTATTCAGAATTCCCACTTACAAGTTCAGTGTTGAACAATGAGAGAGAGAGCTCCCTTACAGAACCCCCTTTGTTGTGATGGTGAAGTTCAGCAGATCGCTATGTGGTGTTCTTATGCTTGATTCTTTAGAGTGTTGTAGAGGAAGCCAGTGTAGTTTGTACAGTCATATTTTTGTTCATACGCCACCCCTCAATCTCATACAGAGGGCTTTATGATGAAGTCTTGGAGTTTCTCTAGGTTAATTGAATTGAGCCAATTTGAATTCAAGTCTGAAAAAAATAAGAAGTTATAGCCTAGCTTTCTGTATTTTGTCTCGTTTTATTCACCCTCTTTTTACCCTTATCTTGTCTTTTAATGTTTCCAGTGGGTAGCTAAAAAATAATAGAAGCGGCCTGGGCGTGGTAGCTCATGCCTGTAATCCCAGCACTTTGGGAGACTGAGGTGGGTGGATCACCTGAGGTTAGGAGTTCGAGACCAGCCTGGCCAACATGATGAAACCCCCCCTCTCCACTAAAAATACAAAAATTAGCCAGGTATGGAGGCTGGCGCCTGTAATCCCAGATACTCAGGAGGCTGAGGCAGGAGAATCGCTAGAAGCCAGTAGGTGGAGGTTGCAGTGGGCCAGGATCGCGCCATTGCACTCCAGCCTGGGTGACAAGAGTGAAACTCAGTCTCAAAAAAAAAAAAATTATAGAAGCAATATACACTATTAATACTTGACAAAATTTCAAAATATGTAAAAATGTATAAAGTAAAAAACGAGTATCCCTGTTTTTTCACTCTTTTCTATTCTTGCCTTCTGGATTAACCACTGTTAATGGTTTGATGTATCCTTGACTGTTTTGTATTCATCTTCACATAAATGCATACATCTATATGAACATTTGGTACATGTGCCAGTTCAACTTATTCTTCATAACTATAATTATTCCATAGTATAGTTATACCATAATTTATTTACTCATTCTGTTGTTAAACATTTGGGTTGTGTTCAATATTTCATGTCTGTAATAATGCTATTCCTTACTTTTCCTTTTTTCTTTCCTTTCCTTTCTTTCCTTCCTTTTCCGTTTCCCTTTTCCTTTTCCTTTCCCTTTCCCTTTTCCTTTCCCTTTCCCTTTCCTTTCCCTTTCCCTTTCCTTTCTTTGCTTTCTTTCTTCTCACTCTGCCTCCCAGGCTGGAGTACAGTGGTGTGATCTCGGCTCACTGCAACCTCTGCTTCCCGGGTTCAAGCAATTCTCCTGCCTCAGCCTCCCAAGTAGCTGGGATCACAGGCATGTGCCACCATGCCTGGCTAATTTTTATATTTTTAGTAGAGACGGGGTTTTACCATGTTGGCCAGGCTGGTCTCAAACTCCTGACCCAAGGTGATCCACCTGCCTCAGGCTCCCAGATTGTTGGGATTACAAGCGTGAGCCACCGTGCCCAGCCTGTCAGACATTTCTTAATTGATAGAAGCAGTTAAATTTGTACGGTGATGAGGATGGCAGACAGAATATCTTCTCATGGGTGGCATCCCACTGATTACACATTTGTTTGACAAAAATATTTATAGAACTGTGAAGTATACATTCTGAAACTACTATTAAATAGATTTAAAAAAATTAGGGTAAGTACAGTGCCTCACACCTGTAATCCTAGCACTTTGGGAGACCAAAGAGGGAGGATGCTTGAGCCCAAGAGTTTGAGACTAGCCTGGGCTCAACATAGTGAGATCCCGTCTCCACAGAAAAAAAAAAAAAAAAATTGACCGGGCATGTGCCTGTAGTCCCAGCTACTTGGGAGGCTGAGGTGGGAGGATCATTTGAGCCTGGGAAGTTTAGGTTTCAGTGAGCCTTGATCATGCTTTGCATTCCAACCTGGGTGACAGAGCAAGATCCTGTCTCATAATGAATGAATGAATGAATGAATAAATAAATAAATAAAATACATAAAATAAAAAATCATTTGGAAAGGCCAAAGACAGAACAGTAGATACAAAATCAGCACTTTTCTTTTTAAATCAGTCATGTAGAAAAAGGAACTGCTTTATGATACTTTTGAATCTGATTTCTAAGAGAACTCTTACAAAAATCTCATATACTTTATTTAATAATCTTGTGAAATAGGTTCTACTTGTCAAATTCTTTCTTGCTTCTTTATAGATTTTCCTCCAGACTTCAAAGCTCTTACTACTCCCTGATAAACATAATCAGCATCTCTGTGAAGTACTGTCACTGACTACTTCCACTTTATTTTTGGTTGCTGTCTGTGAGGATTATTGTAGATAATGCCATGGAAAACAGAAAACCATCTGGTTAAAAGAGAAGTAGTGGTAATGATGGTGTTCGGTGAGAGAGAGGGAGAGAGAAGGAGAGAGAATTTTAAACAAGAATCAAGCAAACTTTTTCTTAGTTTTTTTCTTTTTCAATGGTGTTTTAATAATTGGAAAATTTGAAACTTCTAAAATACTTAGAAGTCTTGAAATTTCTAAGATATTTTTAAAAAGGTAACTCTCTGTAGGTATTTGTTGGCAATCACTGTGAGACAAAGTTGCCTTAAAAAAAAAACTTTAAAGTGCTAGGTAAACTATTTGTCATTAATGTTAAGGAAGCTAGCATTAATATGAAGGAGATTCCTGAAGGCTACCAGTATCACAGAATCAGAGCAGAAGGTCCTTGGAGAGTGACCTGAAAGAGAAAGACAGCAGCAGATATTTGATGTCTTCCTGACTTTCTATTGTGGTCTAGGTTGTGTAACCAATGAGTTTATTATTTTTGCAATAGATATTTCTCGATCTTACTATTTTTTTGTCTTCATGTATACTTAAATTGTATATTCACAGACAATATACTATTTTAAAATTTTCTTTGCTGGTTACCAGTTTTTGGATAATATGTATTTGCATATCAACATAACCACTACTTTTATTTTACTTGGTTCATTAACTACAGTTGTTTTATTCTTCATTATTCCATACTATAGTTTACTAATTTGCAACATAGGTTCTTATGAATCTTCCAAAATCGCTCATTCACATAGCCGTTGACACAAAACTCTAATTCCTTGCCGGCTGGTTGCAAGGAGGCCTTAGTTCCTCACCAGCTTGACCTCTCCATAAGTTTGCTTCGTCCTTATGTCCTCTAGAGTGAGTGTCCTAAGATAGGGCAAGGAGGAAGCCACAATGTCTATTATCTCCTGATATCAGAAGTCACACACCCTTACTTTGGCAGTATTTTTTTTTTTTTCTGAGACAGAGTCCCGCTCTTTCACCCAGGCTGGAGTGCAGTGGCACGATCTCGGCTCACTGCAAGCTCCGCCTCCTGGGTTCACACCATTCTCCTGCCTCAGCCTCCTGAGAAGCTGGGACTACAGGTGCCCGCCACCACGCCCGGCTAATATTTTTGTATTTTTAGTAGAGACAGAGTTTCACAGTGTTAGCCAGGATGGTTTCGATCTCTTGACCTCGTGATCTGCCTGCCTCGGCCTCCCAAAGTGCTGGGATTACAAGTGTGAGCCACCATTCTATTCATTAGGAGCGATTCACTAAGTACAGTCAACACTTTGGGGCAGGGAAGAATTAGATTCTACTACCTTTGGAAGGAAGAAGTGAAGAATTTGTGGGATATATTTTAAAACCACGATGATCATCATATATGATTTCTAAGCATTTCCTGTTAGAGTCTATTATTCGGAATTGTTTGCAACAGTGTTGACAATTGATATGTGTTGTGTAGTTTCTTTTTGACTGCCTTGTTTTTAGGTTTGGGGATCAGTGTTATATACTCACTTTAAAGACATAACTTAGAAGTTTTCCTTATTATCTATGTTTTTGGAATAATTTTAAAGTAGCATTGGGAGTTTATACTTTTAAAAAGTATGCTAGCATTCTCCTGAGAAGTCATCTGGACGTGGGGCATTTTTTTGAGAGCTCTATTACTGGTTTTTCTATTTCTTTTGTTTCTTTTCTTTTCTTTTCTTTTTTTTTTTTTTTTTTCGAGATGGAGTCTTGCTCCAGGCTGGAGTGCAGTGGCGCGATCTGGGCTTACTGCAACCTCCACCTCCTGGGATCAAGCGATCCCCCTGCCTCAGCCTCCCGAGTAGCTGGGACTACAGGCATGTGCCACCGTGCCCAGCTAATTTTTTTTTTTTTTTGTATTTTAGTAGAGACGGGGTTTTACCATGTTGGCCAGGATGGTGTCGATCTCCTAACTTCGTGATCCGCCCAACTTGGCCTCCCAAAGTGCTGGGATTACAGGCATGAGCCACTTCTATTTCTTTTATAATTGATTTATGTAGATGTCTGTCTTTCTTAAGGCCATTTCTGGTACCAATTTCAGTATTTTTTAGGTTAAATTTTAAAGACAAATTTATATTCAGAAGATTGTTTCTTTTTTTTGCTGTAAGTCAATAGGAATAAAATGAATTACGTATTTATGTATGTTATATAAAGGCAAACATCAGAAGTTTATCAGTTCTTTAAAGAGAAGTAAACTTGTTTTACCCATGTTTGTGTTTTAACTTGTTTTTGAAGGCAATTAGGTAAATATGAGTGAATGTAAGAGTTTTCAAAAAACCGCCTATGTTCTTTTGAAATGTGTGTGCTACTTGAAGATATCAGCTATTATTTTATTTATAAATAAGAGAAATAAGCTTTATTCCATGTAATTTGATAAAACAATTTGAATTTTTGTTTCTAGATCTATTACTGTTTATAAAGGCTGGTACAAATTCATTTTTAATAAAACCAGTTTACATATTTATAAGAATGTGATTGTATGTGTGGGTGAGCCGTGTATACTGCTTTTAATAAATATTTTGGTTTGCCGGGCATGGTGGCTCACGCCTGTAATTCCAGCACTTTCAGTGGCAAAGGTGGGCAGATCACTTGAGATCAGGAGTTCAAGGCCAGCCTGGCCAACATGGGAAAACCCCGTCTCTACTAAAAATATAAAAAATACCCAGGCCTGGTGGCACCCACCTGTAGTCCAAGCTACTTGGGAGGCTGAGGCAGGAGAATCACTTGAACCTGGGAGGCAAAGGTTGCAGTGAGCTGAGATTGCACCACTGCACTCCAGCCTGGGTGACTCCATCTCAAAAAAAAAAATTGTCATTTTTTGTGTATTCATTTCTTTTTTCATCATATATAATAGGCCATCATTAAGTTAAGACTGAGTGATACACAGCAGTGGAGTGGAGACAACAAGGTACCTGCTCTTGAGGAGCTTGTGTCTAGCAGATTCTAAGTGGGGGTGTAGTGGTGGTGAGATCTGATTCAAGAAATATTTAGGAGATACTTGAAAATTATAAGACAAATTTATCAAATCACTTAATCTAGAGTTTTCATATAGATTAAGATACAGATTGTTATTTAGTTTAGCCTCTGCTAATTTTTATCCATTTTCCTTGTAATCTGCAAAATTTTCAGGTTCTTCTGTTTTATTTTCCCATTTATTTTTCCCAAGAGCTAAATATTGATGAGACTCCAGATATGAAATTACTTTAATTTGGTAGTGAGAATTGAAAATCACTGTTTTTGGTGGGGGGATAACTGTTAATTTCTTCTAAGTACCCAGGGAATAATTGTTAAGCTTTTGATTTTGTGGCTTATGTAATTAAGAATATCTGACTTCTCTTTTCAATGTGTAATCAGAAATAAAGAATTAAGAACTCAGTTAGGTTTTTTAAATTTTTTCTTTAGTTGGTTCAGATTTAAGTCTTGAATTGTTCACTTAAAGACCATATATATTCTTATATATTATATTATATATTATATAAACATATATATTTGTATGTATATATGAAGTCATACATTATACTTGTTTTGAATTTTTTAATAGGCCTATGATCATGCTAGGATACAGTAGATACACAATACATTTATTTAATTTGTGTGCATTGAAGTATTGCTGTGGACTGTGATAAAGAATTTTTGTGGTAAGCCATAGGCTTGTTATCTTTGCTTTTTTCACTTACTAGCAGAGAAGATTAATGTAGTAATGTTCATGACATTCATGTTTATTCTTTAAAATCTTCATAAAATGTTTTGAATCAGTTAAACACATTTAAAAGAGTTTGTTCCTGTGTGAATTTTAAGCCTTTTAATGGATTTTACTTCCATTTCATTTAATGAAAAAGAAACTGTGGCTCCACACAAAAGACAACATATTTTCTGCACAAGTTAAAAAAAAATTGGTAAATGTAGATCTTTGTTGACTGAAGTGCTGGGAAAGCTGCTGTTTCTTGCACGTATTCTTAAAATCAACAAAATACCTCCACAAGACAACTGGCAGCTGTGGTTGAACTTAAAAAGCACTCTTACTTATGCTAAAGTTTGCAGTATTTTAGTCCAGCTAACTGTATACTATTCTGCAAATGAAAAAATCTCAAATCGTTTAGTGGGCAAAGACTTTTGAAATTCTCTTGTACTATCCTGTGTCAGATCTTTACTACTATTTACTTGTACAGTATAGTTTATTCTACATTTTATAGTTCCACCTTCTTAAAGAATAATAATACCTGTGTATGTGTGTGTGTGTTGTGTATTTGTATGTATGTGTATATACAGTGGAAAACTTGGTTATCATAAAATATACAAATTAAAGCACCCATAAAAACTCTGGTTAAAATTTTTGCCTTCTTGTTCCTAATTTATTATATTGAACAAGATTCCTGTTGCTCTTCATATTCTCTGTTCATCTTCCATAATTCTCTTTGAAGTCAGTAGTTGCTGTAAGTATGGAAATAGAGAAGGGAAAACCTAACTAAATCCAGTGTACTTAGAGCTCTCGTGAAAGTCAATGTTGTGGCATTTTTTTAAAGGAAATTATAGGTATCTTGCTAATTTCTTGATACTGTGTCATGAGGTTATCTTTTACATAAACTCATAAATGGATGAATTATATTTTCTTACTAAAATGATGCATATATGTTACTTAATGAATGCTTGTTTCTAACTTTTTAAATTTTAAAACCATATCAGCATTATACATTTTACTTTTTAGAAACAAAGCATGCCTTTTATTTAAAGTGTGAAACATACATTAAAAATTTAGTCTTCTTTATGTGTTATCTGAAGGAAGCTTATTAAAATCTGAATTATGTTTGTTTTACCAAGAAACATGAGTATTCTTTGCAAGACATCGAATGCAAATCCAACCATCCAAATTTAGGTAATTTATTTACTGTCAAATGTCTTTCTTTCCTTCTCCCCTGTCTTCTTTTTCTTTTTTTAAAATATGATTCTGACAAGAATGATGAATTTTAATTTGTATAATTGAAAAAGTCATTTTCTCTTTCTTTCTCTTTCCTTCCTTCCTTCCTTCCTTCCTTCCTTCCTTCCTTCCTTCCTTCCTTCCTTCCTTCCTTCCTTCCTTCCTTCCTTCTCTCTCTCTCTCTCTCTGTTTCTCTCTTTCTTTCTTTCTCTCTTGTTTTTGAGACGGAGTTTTACTCTTGTTGTCCAGGCTGGAGTGCAATGGCATGATCTCAGCTCGCCGCAATCTCCACCTCCCGGGTTCAAGCGGTTCTCCTGCCTCAGCCAGTCGAGTAGCTGGGATTACAGCTGGCTAATTTTGTATTTTTAGTAAAGACGGGGTTTCTCCATGTTGGTCAGGCTGTTCTCGAACTCCCAACCTCAGGCAATCTGCCAGCCTCCGCCTCCCAAAGCGTTGGGATTACAGGCATGAGCCACTGTGCCCAGACGAAAAAGTCATTTTCTTACTTCACACGAGTAAAAATTGTTTTTGCATGCCTGTTATTTTCATCCTACAGTTGCTTAGGGTGTGCCTGTCAATGTTGATGTTCGATGTTATTAATAATGAGTAAAATTTGAAGACATTTAAAGAAAAGCATTTGGGTAATAGTTTATGGTGGTTTTTTAAAAACAGTATGTAGTATCTGTTCGAGACTATTTTATGGCAGTTATAAACTTGTATGGAATGATACCATTAACTTAGTTTGACACAGATGCTGAGGAAATACTATTAAAAAGTGATCAAGTTCCAAAATTTTACATAGTATCTGTGCGAGACTATTTTATGGCAGTTATAAACTTGTATGGAATGATACCATTTTGTTTGCTGGAATTATTACCCAAGAAAACAAACCAGTTTTTAAAATGTTCCTTTATAATTTGAGTGAGAGAGTAAAATTATGTTGGAACAATATTTGTGACAGATTTTGGGGGAAATATTTTAGGATTTTGTGCTAAAAAGTGAATTGTAACACTCATCATCCTTTGCAATGGTGAAATGTCTGCAAATTCTGAACTTAAATATTTGATTAAATATTGCAGGTATATTCATATTTTAATTTGATATGCTTAAAATAAAAATGAAGATTATTAAGGTTACAGTATCATTTAACACATTTTAAAAAAAATTTCTAAGAAATTAACTTAGTTTGGCACAGATGCTGAGGAAATACTATTAAAAAGTGATCAAGTTCCAAAAATT
Organism: Homo sapiens; assembly: GCF_000001405.40. NCBI lineage: Eukaryota > Metazoa > Chordata > Mammalia > Primates > Hominidae > Homo > Homo sapiens. Next base: position 87,196,462 of record NC_000011.10, read on the forward strand.
TACATGTTTATTTTAGGATATGCAAATCTTTTGGTCCTAAAAATTGTTGTCATTTTTCTACATCAGGCTTAGATGCCTGGCAGTAGACTGTTTTCTTTTTCTCTTGTTTATAGTGGGGAATATTATTTTTAGGGAATTTGATGGGGGGAACCTGAAATTGAGGCTTAGTTTTACAGGAAGATCTTTTTGGAGTTGTCAGGAAGTAGACTTCAAATATACTTATGTACATTCTAGCCACTTATTCAGAATTTCCTGACTTTCTGATAAGATAGAGACCAGAGCCAGTGAAATTTTCAATGAAAACATGAACTTTCAGACTTTAACGCATAATCTTCCAAGTGGGATAATCCACTGTGTATGTTTAGTGGCTTGTAAAAGTATTTAGAATTTTTTAAAAAGTTACTATCCAAAATTGAATTTAAATTACTTTAAGAATGGATACGTATTTTGGATCTCTTAACCTTTGCTGATGTTAAATATTGGTGTTTATAAACTAGCAATTTAGAGCATTGGTGAGATACTGATGAAACATAGTTACATTTCTCCTAATGAAAAAAAATTAGCAAAACTTATAGTACCAAAATAAAGGAAATTCAGATGTAGGCTATTTTTGTCTTTAGACAAACAGCATTAAAATTTTTACTTTTTTTCTTTAGAAAAAAATACAAGATGTCTGTACTAGGTTTCCAATTCAGAGTATAACAAATATTTTCTAAGGCTAAGATGCTCCTTTCTGTAAATTTCCATGGCATTTTGTACATAATTCTATTATGTTTAGAAGTTTCCTGATATAAACAGAAGGTGCAATAGCTGGACGAGTACATATTCTTTTAATTTAATGCAAGAAATTCTAATTCGGCATAAAGGGTAAAACGTATCAGACTCTCATACAGAGTTATGAAGTAGTATAAATGGAAAAACACTAAATTCCTTTGTGTTGTCCCATAAAACAGGAAGCATCTTAAGCTATTGGATGCCTAAATATTTGTATATCAGAATCTAGAAAGGAGATGGTAACCTGTAATTTGACATTAGATACAGAATTGTGTCTGAAGTTACTAAGTGCAATTTGCTAAATTTCTTCTATTGATAGATTTCTTTATGATGGGACTTTCCAATTCTGTTAAAATTGGTAGTTTTTTTATTATTGTCATGGTTTACTTATGGCCAGTGTGGTTTTATGTGTAGCTTAGCAAAAAAAAAATGTCACTTGAGGCTATGCGTTGGCATGAGTCTAAGTTTAAATCCTAATTTCATATTTAATTATTTGATGTATGTTTTGCAAATTCACTTATTAGGGATATCATATAAATGCAATGCTACTTAGAATGAAAAAGTTACTAAAAAGTTTTTTTTATTTGTATGTTATCAGAGAAGAAAATGTATATTTTATTTATTGGGAAAACAGTTAAATTAATTCCATCTCAAAATCCATTTAGAAAATATTTATCTATTTTTATTTTTAGTTTTTGGATACTTTTTTATTTTTATTTTTTTAGGTACATAATAGTTGTAAATCTTTATGGGCTACATGTGAGTATTTCTTACACGTAATGATCAAGTCAGAATATTTGGGGTATCCATCACCTTGAGTGTTTATCATTTTTATGTGTTGGTGTCATTTCAAGCCCTCTCTTCTTGTTATTTTTAAATATACATAATACTGTTGCTAAATATAGTCACACTAGTCTGTTATCAAACATCCTCCCAACCATCCTCCTCAGTTCTATTCTTTATGTACATGAGATTAAAGTTTTTTAGTTCCCATATTTGAGTAAGAATGTATGTCAAAATCCGTTTTACAATTTATTTTACTACACATTTGTATTAGGATACCTCTTTCAGATCTGTTGTTTTTGGATGGAGGGTTTTGGTATTCCAAGAGCAGGATCCTTGGAAACCCTTCAAAACCCTTAGAGTATTCTAGGGAAAAACAAAACAGAACAAAACAAAGTCAGCAACAAAAAAGTTAATAAGGGTACTTCCTGAGCTGAAAATGTCTGTTGTCTGAGGTTGTTTTTTGTTAGTTGGTTTTTCCTTCCCTCTCCTCCCCGCTCTGTTTCTCCCCCACTCCTCCCTTCCCTCCTCCCTCCCCTCTCCCCTCCCCTCTCCGCTCCCCTCTCTCTCATTCTCCTTGCTTCCTCTTCCTTTCCATCTCCTCTTTCTCTCCTCTCCCTCTCTTCTCTTTTCCCTGTTTCCTCCTTCCCTCTCTTACTTCCTCCAATTTCTTCCCTCCCTCTCTTTTCTTTTTTTTTTGCAATGGATGAGCAAGTGATGATTCAACATGTACCATGTAAAGGCACTATACCAGGTGTTAGAGACAAGTATAAATAATAGAAACAACAGTTTAAAAAGATGCTTAGAAATGAAGAACGTTTGACTGAGTTCCTAGTTTTATAAATTCAGCAAACAAATATTGTCTTCTATGTCTTTTTTTATTTTGCTAGGCACTAGGGATTTTCCTGCTCTCAAGAGGCTTATATTTTAAATCTATGCAGTGCTATAATAGAATTATGTACAAAATGCCATGGAAATTTACAGAAAGGAGCATCTTAGCTTTAGAAAATATTTGTTATACTCTGAATTGGAAACCTAGTACAGACACCTTGTATTATGAGTAGTTATCGCTGTGGCTCACATCTGTAATCTCAGCACTTCGGGAGGCCGAGGCAGACAGATCATGAGGTCAGGAGTTCCAGACCAGCCTGGCCAACATGGTGAAACCCTGTCGCTACTAAAAATACAAAAATTAGCTGGGCATGGTGGAACTCCTGACCTCCTTGTGCAATGCTTTTACAAGTGGTTAATGTTTCTGAAGAGGGTAGGTTAGAGGGAGTGTTAAGAGGATGGAAACCTCCTTGTATTGACCTCTCCAAGACGGTGCGTTCATGTCAAAAACTAATCAAGTGCAGCTGCAAGATTAATTGTGTGAGGAAGCTGTAAACATAGAAAACTATGGCCTCTACCCAGAGCTCTGTTTTATAGACAAGCATTCACTTTAGAACTACTGTCAATGAACCTGACTGAGCAATAATTTGCTCACTTGAGCCTACAGTGGTAGTATTTAAAAATTACTGAGCTTGTAGGGGATGAGGTAGATACATATAGATTTCTAGTTGAGGCATTTGAGGAAACTAGAGTAGGTCTGAGTAAAGGAGAAGATGGAATAAAATAACTTGGGTTTGTGGCTAGGAGCGGTGGCTCATGCCTGTAATCCCAGCACTTTGGGAGGCCGAGGCAGGCGTATCACCTGAGGTCAGGAGTTCGAGACCAGCCTGGCCAACAAGGTGAAACTGCATCTCTACTAAAAATACAAAAATTAGCCAGGCGTGGTGGCACGCGCCTGTAATCCCAGCTACTAGGGAGGCTGAGGCAGGAGAATTGCTTGACCCTGGGAGACAGAGGTGGCAGTGAATCGAGATCATGCCACTGCACTCCAGCCTGAGCGACAGAGCAAGACTCCATCTCATAAATAAATAAATACATAACTTGGGTTTGTAAAGCCATTAGAGAAATTTGCCATTATTAACCTCTGAATCTTTTAGCACTGTAAACTAAATGGAATTTCAATTTAATCTTCAATATGGTTTGCTTCTTTCTGTAAGTTTCATTAATAATTGTTAAAAAGCTCTCATTGAAATTATAATTATTAGTAATTTTCACTCAATAATTATAGTCTTAGATAAGTAAAATAATAATTTAAAATTATGGGATGATAGTTAACTTTTAATTTTAATAGGAAATAGCTTACTCACCTAAATAGTTGTAATTAACATGAACCTTCACAGGTTTTAGACTCTTCTAAATACACCCAAAAATATAATAAGAAAATAACCTAACTGTATAATTGAATTATCTTGTTATGATTTTGGTAATCTTGGAATTCAAGATGGTCAAAGTTATAAAATGATTTCTCTGTAAAGTATATAGGTAATTTTGTGATTTCCTTTAATTTTTCTTCTTCATTACAGACCTTATTTTTAGAGAAGTTTTAGGTACACAGCAAAATTAGGTGGAAAATAGAGAAACTTCCCATGTAGAGTTCCAAATACAGAAAGGGTACTGTTCTCCCCAGTGTGCACAGACTCCTCCATGATCAACATCCACTCCAGAATGATATACTTTGGTACAATCAAAGACCTTACATTGACACATCATTATCATTCAATGTTCATAGTTTACATTAGGATTCACTCTTGGTATTGTATCTTCTGTGAGCTTCAACAAATGTATAATGACATGTATCTACCATTATAGCATCATACAGAATAGTTTCACTGCTGCAAAAATCCCATGTCCTGTTATCCATTGAGCCTTCCCTCTGCCCAAACCCCTGAAAACCATTGATCTTTTCACTGTCTTCATATTTTTGCCTTTTCCAAAGTAAGTTATAGATGTAAATGTATGGTATGTAGACTTTTCAGGGTGGCTTCTTTCACTTTAATATGTATTTAAGACATTTAAATATTTAATAATAGGCATTCTTCCATGTCTTATCTTAGTTGGATTGCTCATTTCTTTTTGGTGCTGAATATTAATCCATGGTATTCTTTTAACTTTTAGGAAGTGAAGAAAGCTTATATATGTTAGCACTCTTTTTTATTTTTTAATCTCAATTTCCATTTCTGCTAAGTACAGTTATTCCTGTTTGTACGTGAGGAAGATGAGGTACAGAGAAGTTATATAACTTTCCCAAGATCATATTGGTAGGAATTATAAATTCAGGATTTGAAACTGGAAGATCTTGCTCCTGATACATCATCCTGTCTTGGAGAAGGAATATGTAAAACATACATAAAATCTTATGTATTGTAATTTTAAGTACAACTTAATTTTCATTAGAAATACTGTCTTTTTACATCCTTCATGTTCCATTTTTTCTGTATGGAAAATAAATAAGTGGGTTTTGGAAAATTCAAATATAATGAGTTTGTATAGTATATATTCCTGTTTCACTAAAGTTTTAACTAAGGTCTCGTAGATGCAGTTTAAATTTCACTAACTTTAAGTTTTCATTCAATACAAAGTAACCTTGGCTTTCATCCTTCAGTAATCTTGTGATTATACAGCTCTCTTGAGGCAGTCAGTGAATAAAGTATGGTAATTTTTAAGGCCATTTTTAAGACGCCTGCTGGTTGGAGGAGTTAATTTTATCATATGATGGCAGTTAATGTTAGCTGTACATTATAAAAGCCCCTGCTTTGTGAAATGTGAGGAGTGAATTTGGTGTTTAACATGCCTTTTTTCTACTTCATATTCTTAGAAAACTGACATGAAAAATTACATCTATAATAAGTAGAATGAAAAATCTCACTTAGTTTGCTAACATATATTAATACTTACTCTGCACTAAGCCATCCAGGAACTTTGTTTTAATGTCCAGTAAAGATGTATTTCATAGATATCATTTTATAATGAAATCTGTCTTATGATAAAGATTTAAACACACACACATACACATATATGCATTCACTTTTGGTATTTATTTTTTATGTTATGTTATGTTATGTTATGTTATGTTATGTTATGTTATGTTATGTTATGTTATGTAATGTTATGTTATGTTTTACGTTATGTTATGTTATATGAAGTCTGGCTGCGTTGCCCAAACTGGAGTGCAATGGCGTGGTCTCAGCTCATTGCAACCTCCACCTCCCTGATTCAAGTGATTCTCCTGCCTCAGCCCCCCAAGTATCTGGGACTACAGGAGTGCACCACCACTCCTGGCTAATTTTTGTATTTTTAGTAGAGATGAGGTTTTGCCATGTTGGCCAGGCTGGTCTCAAACTCCTGACCTCAAGTGATCCACCCACCTCGACCTCCCAAAGTTTTGGGATTACAGGCGTAAGCCGCCATGCCCAGACTGTTTTATTTTATTTTTTGAGACAAGGTCTGGCTCCATCACCCAGGCTGGAGTGCAGTGGTGCAATCTCGGCTTACTGCAACCTCTGCCTCCTGGGCTCAAGTTATCCTCCCACCTCAGCCTCCTGAACAGCTGGGACTACACACATGCCCTACCGTGTCCGGTTAATGTATGTGTTTTTTGTAGAGATGGGATTTTGCCAGCTTGCCCAGGCTGGTCTTTAACTCATAGTTTGCATTTTTATTAACCTGTGCAACTGTTGAGAGACAAATGGCAAATCATATGTGTGTATGTAAAATATATTTTTATATTATGTAGGTGTGTATGTTTAACACTGCATGTAAATAACGATTGACATTTGTTGTCAAGCACTGTGTCTCCCAAGTGAATTTTTTTAAAAGACTTTAAAAAAAAAAAAAAAAAGCAGACCGGGCACGGTGGCTCAAGCCTCTAATCCCAGCACTTTGGGAGGCCGAGGCGGGCGGATCATGAGGTCAGGAGATCTAGACCATCCTGGCTAACACGGTGAAACCCCGTCTCTACTAAAAATACAAAAAAATTAGCTGGGCGTGGTGGCTGGCGCCTGTAGTCCCAGCTACTCGGGAGGCTGAGGCAGGAGAATGGCGTGAACCCGGGAGGCGGAGCTTGCAGTGAGCCGAGATCATGCCACTGCACTCCAGCCTGGGCGACAGAGTGAGACTCCGTCTCAAAAAAAAAAAAAAAAAAAAAAAAAAGCAGTTTTAGTTTATGAGCAAAATTGAGAAGGTCCAGAGATTTCTCATATACCCAATGGCCCCACACACATTCATACCCTCCCCCATTATTAACATCCCGCACCAGACTGGACACTTGTTACAATTGATAAACCTATATTGACACATTATCATTACTCAAAGTACATAGTTTACATTAGGGTTCACTCTTAATGTTGTACATTCTATGGGTTTGGATGAATGTATAATGACATGTATCCATCATTATAGTATCATACAGAGTATTTTTGCTCCCTCAAAAATCCTCTGTGCTCCCTCTATTCATCCTTTAACCCCCTGAAACCCTTGACAATCAGTAATCTTACTGTCTCCCTAGTTTTACCTTTTCCAGAGTGTCATATAGTTGAAACCATACAATATGCAGCCTTTTCAGATGGGCTTCTTTTCACTTGGCAATAGGCATTTCAGCTTCCTCCATGTCTTTTCATGGCTTGTTTCTTTTTATGGCTCAATTTCTTTTTAGAACCAAATGATATTCCTTCTGGATGTACCAGTTTATTTACTCACCTACTGGAGAACATCTCGGTTGCTTCTAAGTTTTGACAATTAGGAATAGAGCTCTAATAAACATTTGTGTGCTGGTTTTTGTGTAGACATAAGTTTTCAGCTCCTTTGTATAAGTACCGAGGAGCACAATTGCTGGATTGTATGGTAAAAATATGTTTAATTTTGTAAGAAACCACCAAACTGTCTTCCAAAGTGGCTGTACCATTTAGTATTTCCATCAGCAATGAATGAGAGTTCCTGTTGTTTCACATCTTTAACAGTATTTGGTGCTGCCAGTGTTCTGAATTATGGCCGTTCTAATAAGTGTGTATTGGTATCTTATCGTTCGTTTTCCAAGTGAAATATTTTTGCCTTTATCATTTCTTTTCTTTTCTCCACTACTCAGTTTTTACTAGGTTCTTGTCAATCGTGCACAATAATTTTTAGAATTATCCTTTTTTTTTCAACTTGACTGCCCATACACCATTCTGTACCCTGTTCCTCTTTTGGCTCGTTTACTTTCAGTAATCTAGGAAGTCTTTTCTGTTGCATTTTCTCTGTCACTCATTGATTTTGTTTGTTTTTTTTATCTAAAATGGTTCTCTCTGAAAGTCCCCTATGAATCTATCATGGATTTATGTAGCCACTGTTTGTTGAGGGAATGAATGAAATGAATATTCGTACAATTTTTTTTTACCAAACTCAAGCTGCTTTGCCTAGTTTGCAAGGCCATCTGTAATTTGATTTTTTTCTTATCTATTCTGTTGTTCTTCCTACTTCTTCCCTAGAGAGTACCTTTTGTCCCATTCAAGCAGTTATGCAATACAGTTGACCTTTGAACAACACAAGGATTAGGAGTGTTGACCCCTTGCACAGTTAAAAATTTGAGAATAATTTTTGACTCCTCAATAATTTAACTACTAATAGCCTACTGTGGACCAGAAGCCTTACTGTAGCATAAACAGTCAATTAATGCATTTTGTGTCATATGTATTATATACTGTATTCTTATAATAAAGTAAGCTAGAGAAAAGAAAATGTTATTAAGAAACTCATAAGGAAGAGGAAATATGTTTACTGTTCTTTAAGTGGAAGTGGATCATCATAAGTGGAAGTGGATCATCATAAAGATCTTTTTTCTCATCATCTTTACACTGAGGAGGAGGCTGAGGAGGAGGAAGAGGAGGAGGTTGGTCCTGCTTTCTCAAGGGTGGCAGAGGTGGAAGAAAATCAACATACAAATGGATCTGCACAGTTCATACTCATGTTGTTCAAGGGTCAACTTATATTACTTGTTTTATGACTATTCTTTTCTTTAATTATTTCTTCTATCAAAAATTCCCTTTATATTCTTTTTCTAAATTCTACATTCTGCTTTACCTTCTCCATGAAACCCTCTCAGATAATACTTAATGTTCCCATTTTGTAAACTATTGCACTTTTAAAATTAGTGCTTTATTGTTTAATACTAATTATTCTCTAATTGAAATCATTTTTGCCATTTTACCTCTGGCAAAAGTCTGACTGTCATCTATGTTCTTTATCTGCTGCTGAAAGAAGTGTTTAGCTTCAGAAGAAGAAACGAGAAGTGACATAGATGGAAAATAATGGAGGTCTGAAGATGGCTCTAAATAAGACATGGGAGCATGATTGAAACATACGGTTGTTTTATGGAATATTCTGAGATTAGATTAGATAGGGATATGATTATTTGATAGAGTAGTAGCTGTGGATTTTTAGTAGGCAATAAGGAGCTACTGTAGATACTTGAGTAAGCATGATGTGGTGAAAACATTAGAAAGACATATCTCTCATTAGTTTATAATAGATTGGAAGAATTGAATACTAAGAAACCCGCTAGAAGTTGCTTGTAGTAATCCAGATATTGATGGATAATGTATATATTCTAGAGTCAAAACTCATAGTTGAGCAGGATCAGAGGATGGAATAGGGTAGAAGTTTTTCCATTTTTGTAGAGAGACATAATTATACCAGTTTATGTGAAACTTTGATACTCTTTGAAAGTTTGATGCAGCAAGCTGTGTTACAGCCAGCTTTTAAAAATTATTAATTAGTCATTTACATTTGTGATGTTAATGTTGTAGGTGCTAGAGGCATATGAATAAGACAGTGTCTCGTAATATTTTTTCAAACCTAAGACTGGGCTGAATATAATATTTTAAGTTAAGTTTCGTTCTTGATCTGTATCCTCTTGTTTTGAGTCTGTGCCACATTCTCTGCCTCTCACTGTTTCCCAACATGCTACTGGTCAGAGGATAAGGAATTGGGGACTTGGGAGAAATAGTGAGTACCTGAGTGTCTGTTAGTTCTCCCTCAGTTCACAGAGAACATCTTTTTGGCAGATATCCTTGATAGAATGAGTATGAGGACTCACTTTCTTACTAATTATAATAAATCTTTGTTTTTCTTATATCTGTAGGTCTCATCTGGTCTATCTGCGCTAGTGGTTGTGAACTACTGCTCTAGTCATTTTCAAATGTGATTCATTTGCAATATGTTTATTGAAACCCAACTTTGTAATAACATTTTATGAAGTTAAGAAATGATATGCATTAGTTTGAAAGGACCATACTCTGTTTTAGACTGTTGGCAAAACTTCAGAAACAGCATCTGAGACTAACTAATATGCAGTTTGTGAAATGCTGTGATTAATGTTCAATAATAGTAGTAATACATGTATATATGTAGTTGATAGAAATTGAAGATTGCTGTATTGTTATATTTCATATATAACATGTTATAATTAAAGATTGTTATATTTCATCTCAAATTATTCCAGGACTACAGGAAGGCAAATGATGGTACATGTAACTCATTCAGAAATTTTTGAATGTTGTTTTTTTCCTCCTATTACATGGTACAAATTACTTCCATAATTGTTCAGAGTTGAACATATATTGAAAAAAACAGTATAAAAATGAATCTCACAGTGAAGGCAAATTTTTATGAAGTATCCATGATATAACCTGTGGCAGTGTTGCTAAGAGGTTAATCAGAAACATCTGTAAACAACACAAACACTTAATGTTAGTTTAAGAATATTTATTATATACACATCATTGAGTTACCTAAAATAAAAAGTTTAGTCTACACAAGTTTAATATTTAAACGTATTTTGACAGGATACTAATAGCTTTTAAACTATTATAGTAGGAACTATTAATGTGGGCATTTTCAGTTTTACTTCATAGTCTTGTGCATACATTTGATAATTGCATTAGATGGTTATTTAAACTTGAAATTATCTCTGTGCCTAGAGGCTTTATTTTTAACATGTATTTTAAGTTTAGTATGTATGTTAGAACCTGTATTGGTCAGAATATCCTGCTCAAGAGTAAGATTAAAAAAAATTATCCCCAGCCTTCTATGATGCCTAAAATCATTAAGACGTTCATTTTATCTACTTGTAACATGATTAGGCAGGATAGCTAAGCTGCCAAAGTGGTAGCTAGCTACTACTATAATCAGATATTTTTCTGATTAAACTCATTGATGATTAGTACAGAACAGAATGCTAGGAGAATAGGACAAAAGATGGGAGAAGAGAGGTAGGAAACATTTTGGAACATGCAACTCAGATATATTTTACATTGGAGCTTTGGGCTATTTGCTTTAGGACTTTGGGTTCTTGGGAAGAATTCTCAAAGTGGCAACAAGGATAAACTTTCCTTACAAAGTTTTCCTAGGAGTGGTAAAATTAATAATTCTGCTTTTTTATTGACTTTGGAAGTTCCGCTGTGACTCTCTTACCTTATGGCTCTTTTTCTGTTATTCCCTGTGATCTTTGCTGTATTTGAAATCATTTTAGTAGAGTTTTCAGATGTCCCTTAGATCTCCTTTTGGGATTCAAGGGCTGCGTATTTCCAGTTTAACAATTTGTCATTAAGCAACATTGTTTACTTAATTGAAAGCATAAAATTTCCCAGATATGATAATAATCATCACCATTTATTGAACCTCATCAGTGTGCCAAGTAATGTGCTAAATGCATGATATTCATTTACTATTTCATTAAGTTCTCAAAACAGCCGTACAAGGTATGCATTCTTAGTCCCATTTAATAAATTTAACACTGTCATTTTCTATTGCTATAATAGAATACTGCAGACTGTGTGATTTATAAAGAGAAGTTTATACTCCCCTACTGGAGCACCTCATACCTGTGGTGTCCCCACTGCCTCTGCTGGAGCACTTATGCCCATGCCTCCCCTGCCATCCCCATGGTGTGCTCTTGCCAGTAGTCTGGGAGCACGTTGACTCCTCCAGCCCAGCTGGGGCTCGACCTTAAAGGACCAGAGGACAAAACTGTGAACCTGGTCTCAGGCTTTTAGGTTTAGAGTATGCAGCCCAGGAGTGTGGAGCTCAGCCTTGCCCCCTAAAAACATCAATAAACAAAGCCATTCAACTATACCCAACTTGTGCCACAGTCAAAGCCCTCAAGGGTAATAAAGACCTTAGAATAAAAAAGCCCCATCCAAAGGATGGCAGCTTCAAAGGGGAAAGGAACATCAGTGCTCACAGATGAGAAAGAACCAGCCAAGAATTCTGGAAGCTCTAAAAGCAGAGTGTCTTTTTACCTCCAAACGATCGCAATAGCTCCTTAGCAATGGATCCAGATTGAAATGGCTGAAATGTCAGACATAGAATTCAGAATCTGTGTGGCAAGGAAGCTCATCAGGTTACAAGAGTTGATTGAGACCCACTCCAAGGAAAACAGTGAAATGATCCAAGATTTGAAGACTACATAACCATTTTAAGAATAAAACAAACTGAACTTCTAGAAATGAAAAATTCACTACAGGAATTTCAAAATACAATTGGAAGCACTGATGGTAGAATAGACCAAGCTGAGGAAAGAATTGAAGAGCTTGAAGACCACTCCTTTAAGCACGCATGCAGATAAAAATAAAGAAAAGAAATTTTAAAAAACAACACCTCTAAGAAATATGGGATTAGGTAAAGAGACCAAACCTACAACTCATTGGCATTCCAAAAAGAGAAGTAGAGAGAGAGAGCAAGCAACTTGGAAAACATATTTCAGGATATATTTCATGAAAAATTTCCCAATCTCACTAGAGAGGTTGACATGCAAATTCAAGAAATTCAGAGAACCCCTGTGAGATACTATGTAAGACAACCATCTCCAAGACATATAGTCATCAGATTCTCCAAGGTAAACACAAAAGAAAAAATCTTAAAGGCTGCTAGAGACAAGGGGCAGGTCACTTACAATGGGAACCCCATCAGGCTAACAGTGGACCTTTCAGGAGGAACCTTACAAGCTAAATGAGATAGGGGGCTTATTTTCAATATCCTTAAATAAATAAATTCCAACAATAATTTCATATCCCTCCAATCTAAGCTTCATAAAGCAAAGGAGGAATGAAATCCTTTTCAGACAAGCAAACGCTAAAGGACTTTGTTACGACTAGATCTGCACGATCTCCTAGAGGGAGTACTAAACATGGAAAAGAAAGAAAGATACCAAAACATGTATAAGGACATAACCCCATTGGCACTATAAAGCAACTATATAATCAAGTCTACATAACAACCAGCTAACAGCACAATGACAGGATCAAATCCTCACATATCAATATTGACCCTTAATGTCAATGGGCTGAATGCCCCACTAAAAGGCATACAGGGGCAAGTTGGATAAAGAAGCCAAGACCCACCTGTCTACTTTCTTCAAGAGACCCATATCACAAGTAATGACAGCCATAGGCACAAAATAAAGAGATGGAGAAAGGCCTATTAGCCAAATGGAAAACAAGAGCTGGGGTAGCTATTCTTATATCAGAAAAAAACAGACTTTAAACTAGTAATGATCAGAAAGGACAAAGAAGGGCATTGCATAATGATAAAGAGCTCAATCTAACAAGAAAACCTAACTATCTTAAATATATATGCACTCAACATTGGAGTACCCAGATTCATAAAACAGGTTCTTATAGATCTACAAAGAGATTTATATAACCATATATTAATAGTGGGAGACTTCAACACCCTACTAGACAGATCATTGAGGCAGAAAACTAACAAAGATATTCTGGACTTTAACTCAACACGACCAGTTGTACCCCATAGAGATCTACAGAACATCCAAGAACAACATCCAAGAACAACACATGTTACATACTCTAAAATGACCACATGCTTGGCCATAAAGCAAGTCTTTTTGAGCAAATTCAAAAAAATTGAAACACCAACCACATTATTGGACCACAGTGCAATAAAAGTAGAAATCATTACCAAGAAGATCTGTTAAAACCATACAATTACATGGAAGTTAAACAGCCTGCTCTTGAATGACTTTTGGCTAAAGAACAAAAATTAAGGCAGAAATAAAAAAAATTACCTGAAACTAATGAAAACAGAGACACAATATACCAGAATCTTTGGACACAGCTAAAGCAGCGTTAAGAGGAAAGTTTACAGTGCTAAACACTTACAACAAGAAAGTAGAAAGATCTCTAACAACATAATGTTGCACCTAGAGGAACTAGGAAAACAAGAGCACACCAACCCCAAAGCTAGCAGAAGAAAATAACCTAAATTAGAGCTGAACTGAATGAAATTGAGTTGTGAAAATCCATACAAAAGATCAATGGAACCAAAAGTTCGTTCTTTGAAAGATTAAACAGGATTGTTGTGGCACTAGCTAGATTAATAAAGAAACAAAAAGAAGATCCAAATAAACACAATCCGAAGTGATGAAGGTGATATTACCACTGACTCCACAGAAATAGAAAAAATATTCTCAGACTATTACAGATACCTCTAGGCACACAAACTAGGAAACCTAGATGAAATGAATAAATTCTTGGAAACACAACGCCTCCCAAGATTGAACCAAGAAGAAATTAAAATCCTGAACATACTGATGATGAGTTCCCAAAATTGAATCAGTAATAAAAAGCTTACTGACCAACAAAAGCCCTGGACCAGATTGACTCACAGGTAAATTCTATTAGACATACAAAGAAATGCTACTACTAATGCTACTGAAATTATTCAAGAAAATCAAGGAGGGGGGACTCCTACCTAACTCACTCTGTGAAGCCAGCATCATTCTGAGAGAGCAACAAAAAAGGAAAACTTAAGGCCAATATCCCTGATGAATATAGATGCAAAAATCCTCAAGAAAATACTAGTAAAACGAATCCAGCAGCACATCAAAGAATTAACTCACCATGATTAAATAGGCTGCTGCCTGGGATGCAAGGCTGATTTAACATGCAAATCAGTAATGCAATTCACCATATGAATGGGATTAAGAATGAAAACAATGTGATCATTTTTAATAGATGCAGAAAAGGCCTTTGATAAAATACAATATCACTTCATGCTAAAAACCTCAACAAATTAGGCATTGAAATAATATACCTTAAAGTGATAAGAGCTATATTATGACAAACCCATAGCCAATGTCATACTGAAATGGCAACAGCTGAAGCATTCCCCTTGAGAACTGGAGCAAGATAGGGATACCTACTCTTACCGCTCCTATTCAATGTACTTCGATTTTATAAATTTAAAACTGAGGCCTCTGAGAGCAGGTCATACACAGTAAGGGCTTGAACTTCAAAGACTTAGTACTTTATAGAATAACACACTACATCTTAGAATATGAAATTTTAATGAAGTTGGATTTTGTTATTTCATATGAATATCCTCATTAAAACCCTTATACAACTTCATACTTTTTATGCATCCTTAGTTCATAGAGTATTTTAATAGCAGAGCTGTCATTGTGAACTTGTATATCCTTGGTCTTATATTGCATCCTATTGTCATGGACTCAGGGAGATCCACAGGATAAAAAGTATATTGAAGAGAATCAGGGAAAGAACATAGAAGGTAAGGAGATACTGTAGAATTGAGGAGGCCACAGGAACCATTGCAGAATTTGGTGACTTTGGCCCATTCACCCTCTTGAATTCGTGTACATTGTCTTTCTATGTCTTTTAAAGGTTATTTAGCTGATTGGGAGGAAGAAAGTAGAAAGAGAACAGCAAAACAGATCTGTTTTTCGACTGCTCTTTTCTACTGAGCCCTTATTTATAAAAATTGTCAATAAAATATCATTGAAATTCTCTTGGGACAGAATAGCAGGATAGTTTACTGTTTAAGAAAAGGCTCCTGGCTAACACGGTGAAACCCCGTCTCTACTAAAAATACAAAAAATTAGCTGGGCGTGGTGGCAGGCGCCTGTAGTCCCAGCTACTCGGGAGGTTGAGGCAGGAGAATGGCGTGAACCCGGGAGGTGGAGCTTGCAGTGAGCCGAGACCACGCCACGGCATTCCAGCCTGGGTGACAGAGGGAGACTCCGTCTCAAAAAAAAAAATAAGAAAAAAGAAAAGGCTCATTGGCCTTGTAGCTTCAAGATCTTGGGCATTTTTATCAACTTTTTTCATATGTAAAACAAGTGTAATAATAACTACTCATATGATTATTTAGAGGAGATATTGTACATCTGTCTATCCATTTGTAAATGGTAAGACTTGATACATAGCAAATGCCCAATAGCTGGTAATGAATGTTACCAGGTAGTACAATTAATCTGCATAAAAGTTTTGTTTTTGAATTAAAACATGTAGATCTCTTTTAGTTTTCTACCCCAAGTAGCTGTTACGCATTTTTTTTTTCTAGTGAATGGTAGTAACTGTGAATACCTCTCGCCCCAATTGTGAGAGTCACAAATGGATTAAACAGAAACATGTAGAATAGTTACTCTAAATGATCAGAATTGTTCCCAGGTCAAAATAAAACTTGGATGAAATACAGTTGAATATATTAATAATTTTAAAGGAGAACTTTGTAAATTACAGAAGGTATTGGTCATTCAAGAAAGGGAGAACAAAGGGTTGCAGATGAAAGGTTAGCAGTGCCTGAGAAGAGAGATACCAAGGCTCACGTATATAAATATTCTGGCTGGGTGTAGTGGCTCATGCCTATAATTCCAGCACTTTGGGAGGCCGAGGTGGGTGGATCACCTGAGCTCAGGAGTTTGAGACCATCCTGGGCAACACCGCAAAACCCTGTCTGCACCAAAAATACAAAAAATTAGCTGGACATGGTGGCATGTGCTTGTGGTCCCAGCTACTCAAGAGGCTGAAGTGAGAGAATCTCTTGAGCCTGAGAAGCGGAGGTTGTAGTGAGCTGGGATCATACCACTGCACTGCAACATGGGTGACAGAGTGAGACCTGATTTTGGAAAAAAAAAAAAAAAAAAGAATACAAATATTGTCTAAGAATGGGCATATTTTTACTGATTTAATAAAAATTAATATACAAATTTATAGAAATTACTATTTATTTACAAATTAGTAATTACTAATAGAAATGATTGGTTTTCTTAGTTTGACATCACTACATAATAGTCATACTTTAACTCATCTTTCTCTGGTCTCATGTTCACAAGTAAATCTTGTGATTATAATCTGGGTTCTTATGGAGCTTACATTCCAAAGAGAGTATTCATTGATAAGATTCTGAGAATGTACAGCCCTTTGGCAGTTAAATTTTATAGCGAAAATTTATGAATTACATTTCTGCTGGATCTGTTTCTCATTGCTTAGTGTAATTAGGTGTTTATAAAATGGTCTCTGTGTGTGTTAAGAAATCAGGTTTCTTTGCCTGCTAAGAGCCAAACTGATGCTTCTCTACCAGTGTCCTGTGGAAGATGTACCATGAAATTTTAATAAATGTAACTTCTATTACTACTGCAACTATACGATTTTGTTTTGGCAGTGTATAACAGAATATCAAGCTGAATACGTCATAAAAAATGACCGAGGGTACCTAGAGTGTAATGAGAAGTCAGCATCAAATAAAGATTTCTGGACCATTTGCTTCTAGAGTCAGTGAGGGAGCACAGTTAGAGCAGCATCTACTTACACTCAGAGATCATCTGCAGAAGATTAATTTTCAAGCTTCCATATTAATAGGTAGTTTAAGTAGTTCTTCCGTATTAGTAGGTGGTTTCTGTTTTGTTCTTCCATATTAGTAGGTAGTTTCTGTTTTGTTCTTCCATATTAGTAGGTAGTTTCTGTTTTGTTCTTCCAAATTAGTAGGTAGTTTCTGTTTTGTTCTCTACTGAATCTCCAGAATGGTAGTAGGTGTTCAGTTAATTCTTATACAGTGAATGAGTGAATAAAATAAATATTCAATCAGCGTTGAATAGAAGGTCATTTGTGGACACATTAGAACCTAGAACATACCTCTTAATGACCTAGTAAAGATGCAGAATTTTGTACTAACATATCCATTATCTTGTTCTCAATGTAGACTGAAAACAATAATAACCGTTCAGTGTAGCAGTAGAAAATATGTATATAAGTGAACCATAACTTCAGCCTTTGCTTCCTTTAACATTCCACAGTGATGTGATATATGAAAAAGAGTTTTAAATACTTAGACTGTTTGATTAAAAATGGATCTTTTTATGGGTACTGTGAGACATTACTCTATGGTGGTGTGGTAGTAGTAGTTGTTATAATCATTGCTGACTTTAGTGTTTTTCTGAGTCTTAATTCTTTAATTCCAAAGTGCTCTGAGACCACAAAAGGATGAGATCCCTGTTCTAAAAAATAATAATAAAAATAAGAAGAGATCCCTGTTCTAGAATGGGGTGAATGCTCAAGGTAATGTAATACTTCTGGGGACTTACAGGACCAGCAGGTGATCCTCTCCTGGTACCTTGCCAGTGCAAAGCAGCCTTTTTTCAAACTTCCATGTACTCAATCAGTCTTTACTATTACAGCAGTGCAGTACAGTTTTTCTGGTGAACAAGAGAAGTGAATGGCAGGATTAGTTGTAGGCATGCTAACATTTTATTAACAGAAGACCTGTATTGGGAAGTTACATCTTTTTAGGCTGTGGTTTAGATTATCAGGTGAATGAGAATTTCCTTTAAGGAAAACACCTTACCTATGTAGACCAGACTCTGTAACACTTTTTTTTTTTTGTATTTTCTTTTGGCTACAGCACCAGGTTATGAGGCAAAATATGTATAAACTAATAATTACAGTGTTTGCTTAGTTAAGTGGTTTTATTCTGAGTATTTAAAGCTTTTTCCCCCTATATTACATCACTACAGAATGTTATGGGAAGGAAAAACTGAAGCTATGGTTGACTTATGTAGAGTTTTTGCTATAACGACTGATTAGTTACAAGATCTTTTTCAGCCAAAGTTCTTAATAAAGTATAGAGTTAAGATGTGTTAGCAGCCAAAGTATGCATATTATTAGGTCATTGTAAAATATATTCTAGAGTTTATATATCCATAATTGACCTTCTATTTTATTTAACACTGATGGAATAGTTAATGAAGTATGGGTGCTAAATAATTTTATTGATTGTATTGAATGTTTAAGATCAATAGAATTTGTTATTTGGTAATGCAGAAATCCAAGTTTTCCATGAGTTTGGGACTCTTTAAAATATATTTAATTATATTAAATTGTTTACAGAAGGTGTCACATATTTCTTTTTCTTATTTAGAACATACTAAACAACTTGTATCATTTATTATTAACTATTACTAATATGAAATACTTTATAATACAATAATATTTACACATTTAGGACCTACTGAATTGGATAGGGTTCTTTGTTCTACCTAAGTGATTTCCAGGTAACTATTAATTTTGAGTTTCAGTTACTTATTATCTATTACCATATAATGAACTACCCCAAAACTTACTGGCTTTAAAACAGTGACAGTTTTATTTGCTCATGATTCTGTGAGTCAGTAATTTGGTCAGGGCTTAGCTGGACAGCTCTTCTGCTGGTATCTCTTGGGATTAGTCATGCAGCTATAGTTGTTTGGGACCTTGACTGGGGCTGCCTGGTCTTAACATGGTGTCACCTGTTAAGTTGGTCATCGGCTTCTCTGTCATTGTTGCCTCTCATCCTCAAGTTGGCTAGTTCATATTTATGTAATGCCCTCAAGGTTCCAAGAGAGGAAAGTGGGGCACTGGACTTGGAAGTTACACAGAGCTACTTTTGCCATATTCTGTTGGTCAAAGTGAGTGATAAGGGCTAACCCAGGAAGGATGGGGAACTTACCTCTCTATCTCTGTCTCTAGGAGTGGAACAGCAAGTCAAATGGCAAGGGAAGTATGCATACAGGGATGGGAGAAATTGTTGTGGCCAACTTTGTAAACAGTGTATCATTCTTATTGATGCTTTACTTTTCCTTTGCTTTCAACTATAACTTCATTGTTATTTATATGTTTCCCTCTAGTATCTCCTGTTTTCCCTCTCCCTTCTATGCTGAATTTCCTGCTATCTAATAGCCTCCTCTTAACCATAGTGTCAATAGTTTTGCTTTTCCTGGTTTTAGTTACCTGTGGTACAGTACAAGAAGATGAGAGAGAAAGAGAGAGAGACCATTCATGTAACTTTTATTATAGTATATTGTAACTGTTCTATTTTTTATTATTGTAATTTCTTACTGTTCCTAATTTATAAATTAAACTTTATCACAGGTATGTATGTATAGGAAGAAACATAGTGTATATAGGGTTTGGCATTATAAGTAGTTTCAGACATCCACTGGGGGTCTTGGAATGGATCCCCTGCGGATAAGGGGGGACTACAGTCTTTTTGAAAATCCCTTAGCTTGTATTGCCAACATGATATGTAAACTAAGAACAGACTTACCTTGAGAGTAGACCTAAGATATTCTACTACAAGTTAAGTGCATGGTGGGTGTGAATTTCTCTCTCCTGCCTCTGAACCTTTTTTTTTTCTTTTGAGAAGCAAGTGCAGGGGAGAGGGTACAGTGGCTTACTCTACCCTGTTGTTTGACTATGTGTTGACGTAGTGTTTTCCAAGATATTCTTCATGTATTCCCAGAGTTTTGCAGAGCCTACCAGGAACTACTATGTAACACAGTATGAGAGGCAAATCAGGACTTTAGGGTACCTTATCCTACCTCAGGCAGAGCATTTCTGCATTCATTTGTTTTACTAAAAGTTTTGCAGGTCTGGTTTTGTTTGAGCAAAGAGTTTCTTTGCTTAAAAAACAAAACTTTAAAACTACTATTTAGATAATTGGACTTGTTGGCTGAGTTTTGGATATGTGATGTTAATTATACAGTTAAACCATAAGCACTTTAAGGTTTTATAAAAATATATTTGCCTTAAGCCATTTCTAAAATATATTTTCCAATTGAGGGATTTAAATGCTTTGATTTGATCAATTACTTTAAAATGATGCTTTAAAAACACATTTTAGAACACAGCAATCCAAAATTTAGAGCATCAATTACACAAGAAGTAAAATTGTACAAAATTAAGGGCTTATTTACATCTAAGTAAGTAGTGTATGTAATAAAATAGCATAATAAAAAGGCTCTGAGTATATTGATGGAGGCATATCATTTGGTCCAACAATGAGGGAATAGGTCTTTTTAAAAACTAACAACTTAATCTTTATCAGAAATTGCCTGTTTAAATGAAAGGTAAATAATTTGAAAAGAAAAATGTAATAAATAAGAGGGTATGTTTTTGAGAATATAAAAGTTTAAATATTAAAGTGTTTATAAATATTGCTATAAATGCATGTGTGATCCAGGGCTGAGCTCATCTGGAATCGGGAGGTAGACCAATTTCTCTATATCCCATGAATGGCTTGGGCAACTCCTTGACCATTGGGTATACAGAATGTTAATTGATGTTGTTTGTGTGTCTCTTGTAGTTCTCTTGACCTACAAAGAATCAAGGTGTAGAAGTTATATATTTGAAGGGCTGGGTTTGTGGAAAAATGATCAGTGTTTTATAAATCTAGGAATTATGAATATAATTTAGAGAAAGGCAAATTTCAGTACAATAATGAGAACTGACCAAAAATGGATTTCAAATAGAACTGTTCTAAAAAGGGATTTGGGGCCGGGTGCGGTGGCTCCTGCCTGTAATCTCAGCACTTTGGGAGGCTGAGGTGGGCAGATCACCTGAGGATGGGAGTTCAAGATCAGCGTTACCAACATAGAGAAACCCCGTCTCTGCTAAATATGCAAAGTTAGTTCGGCGTGGCGGCTCATGCCTGTAATCCCAGCTACTCGGGAGCCTGAGGCAGGAGAATCGCTTGAACCAGGGAGGTGGAGGTTGCGTGAGTCGAGATCGTGCCATTGCACTCCAGCCTGGGCAACAAGAGTGAAACTCTGTCTCAAAAAAAAAAAAAGAAGGTTGGGGTGGTGGGTTTGGTTGCCTGGTAAAGTTGAGAATTTCCTATTCTAGGAGATGTTTAAACAAAAGCTAGACAGTGATCTTTTAGGATCATTGCAGAGGGGATTCATGTCATGGAGAAGAGGATGGATTAGATAGTTCTCAGGCCTTTTTCAGTGCTTAAGATTGTATGAGTGTTCCAAGTCTTTAAGCTTCTTCTAGGGCAGTAATTCCAACTGGGGGCAATTTTGTACATCTTCCTAAAGACATTTGGCTATGTTTGGAGGCATTTTTAGTTGTCGTCATTGGTGGGGATGGCAGAGGGGTGCTGTCTAGGTAAAGGCCAGCGATGCTACTAAACATCCTATAATACAAGACAGCCCTTCTTCCCTGCCATGAGCCCCACCCAGACAACAAATAATTTATCCACCCCCAAATCTCACTAGTGTCAGTGTTAAAAAACTCTAGGGATTTAACTTAGAAGTGGGCCCTTTGATCTTTAAAACTTATCTGGGCCTGAAGTTATTAGGCCAGATAATACTGGCCTTTGGCAAAGGTATGAAGTAGGAAACACTTACTTTGAACAGATTCTTGCCATATTTGTAACATCATCACTTCCATTGCCCTCATGCTCTGTACCACCCCTCTAGACCTATCCTCACTAATGATTCTTGGTCTCATCAGGCTTAGCTCCCTTGGGCTCTATTTCTTTAACATCTACTATCTGTTACCTAGATAATCTGAAAAATGAATATACCAGCTGATATTGCTTTAGTAGTTTTTCCTTATGGTGATAATGCCTAAATCCCCTTTTCTGTCACAGTGATTCATGGTAATCCTGTTGGAGCCATTCATGATTCCAAGCCGTCAACTCACAGGGCTATAAAAATGTGCTGTAGGCTGGGCGCGGTGGCTCATGCCTGTAATCCCAGCACTTTAGAAGGCCGAGGCAGGTGGATCACTTGGGGTCAGGAGTTCGAGATCAGCCCGGCCAATATGGTGAAACCCCGTCTCTACTAAAAATACAAAAATTAGCCAGGCATGGTGGTGCACACCTGTGATCCCAGCTATTCGGGAGGCTAAGGCAGGAGAATCGCTTGAACCCAGGAGGCAGAGGTTGCAGTGAGCTCTGATCACGCCACTGCACTCCAGCCTGGGTGACAGAGTGAGACTCTGTCTCAAAAAACTGTGCCGTAAAATTTACAAGTTGTCATTCACATAAAACATATATGCATACTTTATTAAAGCAAGACAATATGATTCTTGTCTAATATCTATTCAAAATTATTTAAATAAAATTAAAACATTAGAAATATTTACATGCATTTATATGTAGCTAATTAGAGCTAACAACTCAGAGGTAGATTAGAATTTCAATAGAAGCAGTTTGAGTACTGGAAATTATCAATACTGAGAATGGTCTACAATCATCTGGGTAGAAATCACCTAAATTTTGGAGGTCGTATTATTAATCTACCAAGGCTACCGTAACAAAATACTACAGACTAGATGGCTTATTCAATAGAAATTTGTTTTCTCAAAGTTCTGGAGGCTACAAGTCTAAGATCAAGGTGCTGTCAGGGTTGGTTTCTGGTGAGACCTCTTTTTTTGGCTTATGGACAGCAGCCTTCTTGGTATTTCCTTACATGGGCTTTCCTCTGTGCATGTGGTCAGGGGGTGGTGGCGGGGCTGGGGGGAGAGAGCCAGGGAGAGTGAGAGAGTGAGAGCGAAAGAGCGAGCAAGGAGCAAGCATGTGAGTAAGTGAGAGCTCTCTCTGGTGTTGCTTCCACTTCTTATACAGACACCAATCTTACTGGATTAGGGCCTAACCCTTAAGACCTCATTTAACCTGAGTTACTTTCCTAACAGCCATCTCTTCAAATACAGGTGCATTGGGGATTAGGGCTTTAACATATGAATTTTTGGGGGACACAATCAGTTTTATAACATGAGGTAACTGACCATAAGTTTTACATGAAATAATCAGACAATAGTTTTCTGTTGAAACTTAGTTGGCATAAGTAAACTGCTCTGATGTGTTTTGTGGTTTAGTGTCATAACAATCCAAAGTGAAATTCATGTCACTATATTATTATAGATAATATGCAAACTTTTCTTCTAGTCATTCATGCTGTAGTCACTACTAAGTATTGAGTGTATAAAATTGGATAATTTATTTTTGCTCAGATAGGTCTCAATAAAAAAGCATGTAAATGTCTAGGTTCTCATGAAATTTTTGAAGCAGAGTAATTAGCAATACTTTAATGTTTAGTTTTCATTAACAACTGGTCATTTTACCCACTTTCCTTTATATAAAAATGAAATCATGCTCCACAAATGCCGGTTTATAATTTGGCTCCTAACTTGATTAAGATGAAGGAATGTATGCTTAGGATAGCTCAGACACTGAGATATTGTATACCAGGAACCACCTGCTTTCCTTAGGGCATTTTCTGTTAAAATATTAATCAAACTATTTGTTATTAAAGACAGAATTTCCATGTGAAGATTTTGGCTGACATATATAAACATACCTCATTTTTGCCAAGTCCTATATTTAACACACTAAAAAGAGTACATTTAGAAATACTCTTCAGGATTTGTAGCTTCCATCCTAAATTAGTCTGGCTTATTGTTACTAATTAAATTTTGAAGACTGAGAAGGCCAGGTCATATCACTTTCAAAGTGCTTTGGATATTGCGAGAACTTAGTTTTTGAGGTTATTACCCTGTTTCACTCCAGATCTTCCTGGCATGACAATATGGAGTTGTTCTACTCTGCTAAGATACTGCTTGTTCATCTCATTTCTAACTTTGTGGGTGGAGACAGCAATGGTATTTAGACATCGTGTTTTAGAAATATCCCAGAGAGAATGTTCTACATGTTTTGGTGTGTAGAATTTTATTTCGAGAAGACTCTAGCTTGCTTTCTAACCTGTAAGATATTTTTAAAAGTAGACACTTAAAAAATCTGAGAGTTGGATAAGAGGTATGCCTATAACTTATATGAGTGATTAAAAAGAATTTTTAAAAATCTTAACCATGAAATCTATGTCCAATATGTCTATATGTTTAATAACCTACATTTTCAAGGTAGTTCGTTGGAATAAAACCTAGAATAAATATACATCCATGTTACTGCTATTTTAAAATAAAAATTAATGCGGATGTATTCACAAAATAAAACAGGAGAAGTAAGCTAAACCTCGTTGCTATGCTATTGCTACTAAAAAAAAGACTGGAAACATTAAGAATGCTGTTGTCATAAAGTTTAAGGTAATTTGTTCAATTCTTCCCATGCCTTTTAATGACATCTTCTGGAGAAAAAAGATTGAGAAGAAAAACCAAAACTAGTTTTTCTTTTTGTGACAATTTCTACTGGAATTGATGATTATCAGGTTGTGAACATAATTGAGGGGCTAAAATACCATATGAGGATTGCATTCTTCATTCTGAAACCTGTTAGTCTTCTTAGATGCAGGCATTATGAAAAAACCAGCTAAAGTGGAGACTAGACTCAGATTTTTATAGTATATTATTTTGGGTTTATTTAGAAAGTTCAGTGAATACTTCCTTTGGTAAGAGGATTCCAAAGGGGAATTGTGCACGTAAACCTATTTATTTATACATACATGCTAAATATTGACACCATCGTTGTTAGAGTAATGTTATTTTAGGGGTTAAAGTTTGTATAAACATTTCCAGATTTTAATTCCTAAAATTATGGTTTTGCCTGTAGACAGACACTGATTGCCTGTTGTGTTTTAGGTTATATGGACTAGATTCATTCTTGATGCTCTCTGTACACAAATTTTGTGTAAGATCTTAACCACATGCAACTAGAATACAAAATAAAAGAGAGATTTCCATGATAGAGGTAACGTCTGGTCTATAAATTTCTTTCTTCTATCACTTTGGAATTCATAACTAAGAGCTGATCCTGGATAAATGTGATTTTACAGTTTCACTAGATTTTCATCCCTATGTTTATTATCAAAATCATTTTTACTGTTGAAACAAAGCTAGCTCAGCATTTAAGTTTTTACTAATTGCTCTAGACTCACTGGATATTGAACAAAGTTGGCTGAATTTTTAAAAATATTAAAATTTCAGCCAATATTAAAATTGGGCTGGGGCCCGGCACCGTGGTACACACCTGTAATCCCAGAACTTTGGGAGGCCGAGGTGGGCGGATTGTGAGGTCAGGAGATCGAGACCATCGAAACCCCGTCTCTACTAAAAATACAAAAAAATTAGCCAGGCGGTGGTGGGCGCCTGTAATCCCAGCTACTCAGGAGGCTGAGGCAGGAGAATGGCGTGAACCCGGGGGGCGGAGCTTGCAGTGAGCCGAGATAGCGCCACTGCAGTCCGGCCTGGGCGAAAGAGCGAGACTCTGTCTCAAAAAAAAAAAAAAAAAAAAAAAATTATTGCTGGTCCGGGCATGGTGGCTCACGCCTGTAATCCCAGCACTTTGGGTGGCTGAGGCAGGCAGATCACGAGGTCAGGAGATCGAGACCATCCTGGCTAACACGGTGAAACCCCGTCTCTACTAAAAATGCAAAAAAAATTCGCTGGGCGTGGTGGCGGGCGCCTGTAGTCCCAGCTACTCGGGAGGCTGAGGCAGGAGAATGGCGTGAACCCTGGGGGGCTGAGCTTGCAGTGAGCCGAGATCGCACCACTGCACTCCAGCCTGTGTGACAGAGCAAGACTCCGTCTCCAAAAAAAAAAAAATAATTACTGGGCCGAGCGTGGTGGCCCACGCCTCTTATCCCAGCACTTTGGGAGGCTGAGGCGGGCGGATCACCTGAGGTCAGGAGTTCGAGACCAGCCTGACTAACATAGTGAAACCCCGTCTCTATTAAAAATACAAAAAATAGCTGGGTGTGGTGGCGGGCACCTCTAGTCCCAGCTACTCGGGAGGCTGAGGCAGGAGAATGGCGTGAACCCAGGAGGTGGAAGGTTGCAGTGAGCTGAGATCATGCCATTGCACTCCAGCCTGGGCAATAAGAGCGAAACTGTCTCAAAAAAAAAGAAAGAAAGAAAGAAAAAAAAATCACTGTTGATTATTGTTATATCACTCTCTAATCTATAAACTGTTAAAATACTTTTGTAAGTATTTTGCAAAACTCTATTCAACATCGTTACATCTTGTAGTGATAGACTGGATTGCTGAGTTTGTCATGCTAATTGGAGAGGGGGACAAAAGCACAGAAAATGAAGTTTCTTAAGGTTACACAACACAATTGATAGGTTATGGTCAGTTGTTTCCTTGCTATAATAAGCATAGGAAGCTTGAAAGGAAAAAATCTTGTGTGTAGATTAATTTGGAAAGACATAATCGAGAAGTCTATATTCTGCAGTAAATGGAGTTGAAAAGCACTTTTTTTTTTTTTTTTTTTCTGAGATGGAGTCTCGCACTTTCGCCCAGGCTGGAGCGCAGTGGCGCGATCTCGGCTCACTGCAAGCTCTGCCTCCCGGGTTCATGCTATTCTCCTGCCTCAGCCTCCCGAGTAGCTGTGACTACAGGCGCCAGCCACCATGCCCAGCTAATTTTTTTTTTTTGTATTTTTAATAGAGCCGGGGTTTCACCGTGTTAGCCAGGATGGTCTCCATCTCCTGACCTTGTGATCTGCCTGCCTTGGTCTCCCAAAGTGTTGGGATTACACGCGTGAGCCACCGTGGCCCGGCCTGAAAAGCACTTCTACAGTTCATCTGATTCAGAATTTAAGTGCATACACTCATTGCGCTTTAAGTCTTCATTTAACTGCATTAGAAAAAAAACCCCAAAAAGTCTGGGCATGGGGGGATCACCTGAGGTCAGGAGTTCCAGACCAGCCTCGCCAACATGGTGAAACACTGTCTCTACTAAAAATACGCACATGCACGCACACACACACACACACACACACACACACAAAATTAGCTGGGTGTGGTTGTGTATGCCTGTGATTCCAGCCACTCTGGAGGCTGAAGCAGGAGAATCGCTTGAACTTGGGAGGCAGAGGTTGCAGTGAGCCGAGATCACACCACTGCACTCCAGCCTGGGTAAGAGAGCAAGACTGTCTAAAAAAGAAAGAAAGAAAGAAAGAAAAAACCCCCAAAACATTATTAGTTCAGGACCTTTTCTGACTGAAGAAATGATAACGGGAACTGAGTATGAAAAGAGGAATTTGCAGCTGGATAGGTCCAAACCAAACCAGATATGAGCAATACCATGCCTAATTAAGGAAAGATTTTCTCAAATGAATTTTGGAATGACCATATGCCCAGGGAACTGGTAGATGGCTTGAGGTTGGGCAACAGGGCAGACTATTTGGGAGAACTAAGTGTTACTCTGTTATACTAATATGTGAGTAACGTACTCATGTGCTGTAATTAAAACAAGTAAAGAGATTATATGTCCTACTTGTTGTTGATGGGTGCTTTTTCTTGAATTATGTATTGGGATTAAACTGGCTATCAATATACACTTAAAAAAATGTGGAACTCAGTTAGAGGGCCACTGTTGGCCTTTTGTCCACAAAACCTTGTAGTTTAGTGAAGTAGTGAGTGAGTGCTATCTTATTGGCCACCTTAGTGAACAATAATCTTCATTCTAGTGATCTTTCTTAGCTTTTGTCAAATGACAGAAATCTGAATTGCCATATTGGTATGTGCTGTTTGTTATGTGGCCTTGCTGTGACCTTTCTAAAGTAATCTAGAAGCTCTTATTTATTTATTTTTTTAATGTCTCAGGAGGAAAAACATAATATCACCTTAAGCCTGGTTCTTATTCTTACTTGAGGTTAATGGGAATACCACCCTTTGGATGAAAATACTGAACTTACTACAAATTGTTCATTTATAACAAGCAGACTTCACATAGATGACCTGTCTACTTTGCCCTACTGAAAACATAATATTTTTTCAGCTGTAACTTTGCCCTGAGTTCATATAGCACCTTTCTTCTCCTTCTCCGTATGCTGAATGACATGTGAGTTTTTTTTTTTTTTTTTCTGAATTTGAAAAAGTAACATGTTTGGCAGCATTAGGATAAAGAATGATCTCTTGTAAGTTTATATAAACACATTGAAAAGCTTACTCATGCAGTTTATCCTCTCATCTTACTATATATGTAAACAAGTGAGGTTTTAGTTTTTGTTCATAATATTTAGATTATTTATTTTGGAAATTTAAAAATTATGCTTCTTACATTGCTGTTCTTCACTAGAATAAATAAGGATTATGGAATTTTCCTGTCACCTTTTCTTAAATCTTGTTCATTGTATAGGTAACGAGCTTCTTAACACAGACTATATTTTAACTTACTGTTTCATCTACTATACATGAAAATAGTATGAAAATTTCATAATGAAATTGAATGAAATTTGTAAATGCTATAAATCTTTAATGGGATTTTTAAAAGTACTTGAGAGAAATCCATGACAGCTCATGGGCTTTGGAATCTTACCTGGTTTCAAAACCTGGCTCAATCGCCTAACTATCTATGTCTCTCTAAATCTCATCTCTAAAGTAGGGGTAATGATCCCTACATCGCAGGGGTGTTTTGAGCATTACATGAAACAGTGTATGTTAAGGACTTCATATAACATGTAACATATGGTGACCATTCAATAACATCTGCAATTTATGAAGTTATTACTCTATAATTATTATTATTATGCTGAACTCTGAGATTCTCCTCACTCCCTTTTTTACAAGGACAGACACATCTTGTAAAAAAAAAAGTCATTATCATTAAAAATGCAATTCAAAATAAACAAGAAAAGAATTAATGTGGACAGGAAGAGTGAGGAACTAAAAGGAGCCATGGGAGAGTTTAAAGATGGATAGTTAGTGAAGGCAAATTTCTTTTTACCTTTGGAAGCATTAGGGGGATTACTCCTACTTTGGAAGCTCAGTAGTCACTAAACCAACATTATTAAGAATAAAGTACTTTTTAGAGGCAGAGGGGTATAATTGAAAGCTTCAGTTTGAAGTCAGACAGTCCTGGCTTTGAGTCTTGCTTCAGCTACTTAAATATTCTGTGATTTTAGGTGAGTACCCTAACTTTTGAGTCCAATTGCCTTATCTTTAAAGTAGGAATGGTAAAAACTTGTCTAGTGCCTGGCACCATTAATAATTTATTATTATGAATATTGTTTTATTCCTCCTCTTTTCTTTTTCTCCATGTTCATTGGTTACTTTAAAAAGAAATTTGCCTTTATTAACTATCCATCTTTAAACTCTCCCATGGCTCCTTTTAGTTCCTCACTCTTCCTGTCCACAGTAATTCTTTTCTTGTTTATTTTGAATTGCATTTTTAATTATAATGACTTACAATGACCAATTAATTGACCATAAAATAGAGGAACCATGGGAAAGAAAAGATGCAGCTGAATGTCTTGGTAAATTGTAAACCTAAATCATTAGCTAACCTTTACTTCCAATAAACTGCATTTCCTTTACATGGTAAATAGAGATGTGAATAAAATGTTTTGGGTGTTTAATGATGATGTCTAATTAGCTTTTATAGTCCCAGCTCTGAGAGTATACTTGAATTAGTATTCTGTTTCATGAATGATTTCTTGTCTTGATTGTTATTTGACCATTGAATTTTCTTTTATATTTTAAATAAAGGCTGGATTTTTCCATATGTAAATCTCTATCTGTAATCTTTCAAGTAGCAAGTTATTTTAAACTGTTTATTTTTAAAAATCTGTCAGCGGAATTAGAATTTTGTTGTAATAAGGACTCTAACTTCCAGGATATAGTTAATATTACTTACTGAGTATTGAAAACTTTACTTTAAATTGTCCTGTTTTTACAGAAGACAAGATGCAACTACAAATAATGTACTTACTATAAAAGGACAGGATAGCATATAGGCTGTACTTCACCCAGCCACTCTAACATATCTGCTTCTACAAATGGAATATTTAAAGGTTAATGTGTTGCCAGACTCTGTTTAGTGGCCTTGAAGGTATAAATCAAGAATGGTTGCCTGGGTGTGGTAGTTCATGCCTGTAATCCCAGCACTTTTAGAGTCCGAGGCAGGTGGATCACCTGATATCAGGGGTTTGAGACCAGCCTGCCTGGCCAACATGGTGAAACCCCGTGTCTGCTAAAAATACAAAAATTAGCTGGGTGTGGTGGCAAATGCCTATAATCCCAGCTGCTAGAGAGGCTGAGGCATGAGAATCACTTGAACCTGGGAGGTGGAGGTTGCAGTGAGCTGAGATTGCCCCAGTGTACTCCAGCCTGGGCAATAGAGTGAGACTCCATTTCAAAAAAAGAAAAACAAAAACAAAAAAACACAATGGCCAATAGTGCAAGTAAGAGTCTAGGCCTAAGTTTCTGGCATATTTACTGTGAGTTTCCACACTCAATTCAGTGAAAGTAATTTTATTTTCTTGGTGTATACATAAATTCTGAGACTTGGCTTATTCTATATTATTATAATATTATATATTAGTTACAATATGCATTGAAATGTTTCTTCTACACTGAAAAAAATTGACTTATGGAATGATAGAACTTTGAAGTTCTGAAGTATCTTAGGGATTAATGTAACTTCTTTTTATGGGTGAAAAATTAAGGTTTAAAGAATTACAGTGATTTCATCAAGTTTACAGTCTTAACCTGGAGACCCAGGACTTCTTTCTTACTTCTAGTCTGGCATTTTTGGCTCTAAATGCTCTTTAAGATTTTTATACTTTCCCTGTATTTGTTTTATCAAGGAATAGAAACATAAAAAAAAATTAGGTAAAGCTGCTAATCCAACACAAATGAACTAATTAAAAAAATGGACTGTATATTATGGGAGATTTTAATTAAACAATGATTTAAAAAATTTGTTATATGACAATACATAGCTATTTAACTTTAGGATAGTGTTGCTTAAAATTACATATAAGACAAGTAAATATTATGATAATGATATGTTGCATATATTTTGACTTTGAACACACATTGTAAATTATAATAATACTTACTTGTTCAGTAAGAGCTGTATTCACAAAGAGACCATGCAATAGTCTGTTTTCAGAAAAGTTGAAGATGCTTAGCAGAGTCTAAAGTTTAGTCTTTTAAAAAAGTATATGAATGGGAGTACTGTTTAGTTTCTTTGACAGATGGTTTCTTTAAATAGAAACTAACATTATAAAAACTCTTATTATCAATAACGTATCTACGTATGTGGTTCTAAAAGACTCTGCCCTCTGGGACTTTGTGTTCTAAGTAAGTAAGAGTTATAAAGAAAGTATACAAACAACACCAAAACCATTGCTTAAATGTATTAAATAATTAAAATAACAATATAATCAGATGTTTTGGTGAGTGCCACCTATAGGATGAAGTGTAAATACTTCTATCCTATTGTGTTCTATTGGAATATGCCTGCATTTCCACCAAACTATGTTCTTCAGGGCAACAAGAATCAAGTATTAGGTAGTTATTTTCCCCTAGTGTGCTGGGACTATAGCAGATATGGAATAAATAAATGAAGGAGGGTGAGAATTTGTGGTTCCTTGTCTTTTCTGTTTTATTCAAGATCATGAAGGCTCCTGAATCCGGAGCTTACCTTTCTACATCTGTCTCCTTTCAAGTTGCAGAGTTATAAAATATTAGAAACACATGACACCAGATTAATTTTTGTTGAATGGATAGGTAGAAACATGTCTAAAATATGAATGAAGTACAGACGGCGCAAGAGGAAGCGTATTGCTCTTCTTGAGAAGAGCAATGAGTGTCAGTATTTATCTGAGTCATGGAAGGAAGAGGATCTTAATGAATACGGGGGGAGATGAGTTTGGTGAATAGTGAAGGCTAGCTAGGTTCACTACTCACTAAGCACCAATGTCTTTGGAGATACTCAAGAAGGAATGGCCACAGGCACTGTGATCAGGTGCAAAAATCAAATAATCAAATACACTAATGAAAAGCAGAAGAGTTCTGTGGTGGGAAATAGTTAAATGTACCATGTGTTCAGTTCTCTAGTAGAATTTAAAATGGATATATGTTTTAACCACTTGCAGGCTTAAATAGTAAAAACAGCTTTCTTTAACAGGCTGTGTTTACCTTCAGTCATGTTCACATTTTTGATATTTCTGATTATTTTAAGGACTTCCTATATTGTGATTTTGTTTCTTTGCTACTGCTTGTGAGGCATAGTTTTCGTGTAATTCTACATGACATAGTGATGACAGAATAGTACAGTTTTTCTTGAAAGTTTTGTAAGACCTATAACAGGAAACAATATATTGTAAATCTGTCATTTCCTACAAAGTCTTTGCAGAGAGAAAACACTATTTTCCAGCTGAATGAACTTTATTTGCACATTATTTGTTATACTTTCTGTACCCTCATGTTATATTGGCTTAATACATTTTGACGTTTCTTTTATGTGTTTGCTTTTATTTAACCATCCATATTTTTGTTGATAATAAAATTCCATGTTTTCATATAAATATATTCAGTTTCAAAAAAACAAAATGGTTTCTAAAAGGCCATTAACCCAACTAAAAATAAAGCATACGAAAAAGTAGTTTAACCAACCAACCAGCCAACCAAAAAAACAAACAAAAGGATTATAAACCTGGGAGGCTCAGCTTCACTAATAAGAGAGATGTAACTATAATATGAAATAATATTTCTTTCACCCATCAGACTGGCAAGGATAAAACAGTTTGATAAAACACAGTTTTTATGGGTATAGGAAAATAACTAGTGTAAGGGAATAGCTACTTTCATATGCTGTTGTGGGGAGTATATATTGGTATAGTTTTCTTTGGAGGTCAATTTGGCAATATTTGTCAAAATTAAAAATGTACTTGTCCTTTGACAAGAATTCACCTCCAGAGATGTTTACAAAGTATGCTTTGGTATTTAGAAATGTTTATTGCATCCACTCTGATTCATAGGAGACTTTAAATAAACTTCAGCATATCCATATGTGTATGCTTTGTGTATGTAAAATTGAAAAGTATATGTCTTTAAGACAATGTCTTTATTTGATGTGTATCTATGTACAAAGGTATGTACATACTCATACAACATTCTATAAAAGTCCAAAAGTCTTAGAAGGGAACTTTCTTTTTGTTGTTATTCTGTTTGAATTTTTGTTTTTATCATGTACATGCATTACTTTTTTTGTATCAGTTTAACAGCTTTTTTGAGGTGTAGTTTATATGCTATAAGATTTACCAGTTTAATATATCAGTTTCGTGGGTTTTTCAAATATTTACTGAGTTGTGTGGCATCCAACCCTGCAATCTAATTTTAAAACCTTTTCATTTCCCCCAAAGAATTCTTGTACCTATTAGCAGTCCTTCCTCATCATCCCTTAGTAGTTCCTCTCCATCACCCCTTACTCCTCCAACTCTAGGCCACCACTGTTCTACTTTCTATAGGTGGACTTGCCTGTTCTGGAATTTTATATTAAGAATATCATACATAATTGGTCTTTGTAATTGGCCTCTTTCACTTAGCATAATGTATTAATGTATTTGAGGTTCATCCATGTTTTAGTATGACTGATATTAATTTTTGAATTTAAAACTTTTTTTAAAAAAAGTGAAAACAGCAATTTCAGAATTACTCATCCTTCTGAAGTATATTGCCCCATGGCTGTGAAGTGGTAATGAATTATAGAGAAATTTTTTCAAGTTAAAAATTACCATGTATTGAGCATCTATGATGGTGCTAGTCACACTATTAGGCTTTATGTATGTTACATTATATATAAATCCTTATGGCATATGTAATAGGTAGTATTATATTGTTTCTACAAGTGAACAAATTAAATGATATGATCATTGATTTTTTGTGTCAATTTACACATGAAAGTGTAAAGTATATATATGTGCAGATGTATACTTTGCAGCTAAAGTTAAAATATGTAAAGTGCTAAAACATTGCTGTAATACACAGTGAAAATGTCATTCACTGTCTAGAGATGTCCAGTAGAACTTTTTGCAGTGATGAGAATGATCTATATCTGTCCTGTCTGTTATGGTATCCACTACCACATATGGCTTTTGATTACTTGAGATATGGCTAGGGTGAATGAGGAAACAAATTTTAATATTATTTAATTTAATTAAAATTAAATTAATTTAAATTTAAATAACCACACTCTGATTCCAGTCATGATTTGATACCCGTGATAGATTTGCTCTTCCAGTTGGAGAGTGGAAGCAACTTGATCAAAAACATGAACAAAGTCTATGAAAAAATGGTATGCAAGATCCTGGATATTAAGTATTGAAGGACAGTGTTCCCTGAGATATAGGAAACAAATGTGCTCTACAGTTACCCAAGCTTACTGTCTAGAGAGAATTTCCAGGCATGGATCAAAGAGGCGTCACTCAGACAAAACCTAGAGGACTTTCTGAGTTGAGGAAATAAAGCTCAAAGTGTAGGCGGACCATGCTGGATAGAGTTCACAGAACAGGGGACTAGAGAGGAAAGTACTCAGCTGATTACTGAGTAGGGCTTACATGTGAGGAAACTGCTCCAGGCCAAAGAAGGAACAATCTGAAGAATTAGAGGTTTTTAATTGAGTAGTTAGCACTCAAACAGGAATAGGAATACTGTTTTATTAGCCAGACTGGAAAATCTCAAAGATTCACATGGCATTGGGTAAAGTACACATAATGTTTTACCTTAGTAATGGGGAATAATTAGCCCTGGATTTCATTTCTTGTTAAAATATCTTAAAAGCAAGTCTTTAAAAGATCAAACCATTTCCAAGTAACTGTGTCTCACGACAAAGCTCAAGAAAACTTATGGGAATACAAACATAGACAACATCCATTAAGGTAAAATTTAGAATGGCTGACAGCCAGTAAAAAATTACCACCATGCAATAAGAAATAGGAAAATTTGAGCCATAATGAAGAGATAAATCAGCAAATTAATGCCAAATGAGAACTTATAAATATGTTAAATTAGCAGGCAAAGACATTAAAAAGAGTTATCATAACTGAATTTTATAGTTTCAAAAAGTTAGAGATATGGAAATAGGGGGAAAAAGGAAAAATGAAACTTCTAGAGATGAAAATTAAAATATGTGAGATGAAAAGCTTACTGGATTGTATCAATGGCAGATTATACATTGCAGAATAAAATATTAGTGAACCTGAAGACATAAGAATAGAGACCATCTAAAATGAAACATAGAGAGAAAAGAGACTTTTTTTTTTTTTTTGAGACAGAGTCTCATTCCATCACCCAGGCTGGAGTGCAGTGGTGCAATCTCACTCACTGCAACCTCTGTTTCCTGGGTTCAAGCAATTGTCATGTCTCAGTCTCCCAAGTAGCTGGAATTACAGATATGCACCATTATGACTGACTAATTTTTGTATTTTTAGTGGAGACAGGGTTTTGCCATGTTGGACAGACTGGTCATGAACTCCTGACCTCAAGTGATCTGACAACCTTGGCCTCCCAAAGTGCTGGGGTTACAGGGATGAGCCATCGCGCCTGGCCAAGGTTTTGTTTTTTCTTTTTTAATCACCAAATAAAGATAACATCTGTGAGTTGTGGGTAACCTATTCATGTAGTTGGAGTTCTTGAAGCAGAGGAGAAAGGAGAAGAAAAAATAATGATGAAATAATGACTGAAAATTACTCAAATTTAATAGAAACTGTAAACCCACAGATCCAAGTAGCCTAATAATTCCTACTACAGGAAATATTTTGAAGACTACCCCAGGCACATCATAACAAATTGTGAAAAGACAATGGAGTGACATTTGTAAACCACTGAAACAGAATGATCCATCAACCCAGAATTCTATACCCAGCAAAAGTATCTTTCAAAACAAAATGAAAAAACTTTTTGCAGACCTACATTTTTAAGTCAAAGTGATTAAAATATGATGAATTTAGATGTATCTGTACATACATGCACTATGGATGACAATAATAGCACAAAGGTCGAGGGCAGAAATGGAAATACATTATTGGAAGATTTGTATTCTATGTGTTAAGTAGTATAATGTCATTTGAATATAGACAATTTAGAGATGTGTACTATAAACCATAAAACCAACACTAAAATAAACCAACAAAGGGAATAAAATGGAATTATTGAAAAATACTCAGTTACTGGGGGCAGTAGCTTATACCTGTAATCCCAGCACTTTCAGAGGCCAAGGTGGGCAGATCACCTGAGGTCAGGAGTTTGAGACCAGCCTGGCTGACATGGTGAAACCCCATCTCTACTAAAAATACAAAAATTAGCTGGGTGTGGTGACACATGTCTGTAATCCCAGCTACTGGGGAGGCTGAAGCAGGATAATTGCTTGAACCTGG
The DNA here is from genome assembly GCF_000001405.40 of Homo sapiens. NCBI lineage: Eukaryota > Metazoa > Chordata > Mammalia > Primates > Hominidae > Homo > Homo sapiens. The sequence continues at coordinate 87,233,078 of NC_000011.10, forward strand.
GAGGTGGAGGTTGCAGTGAGCCGAGATTGCACCACTGCACTTTAGCCTGGTGACAGAGTGAGAGTCCGTCTCAAAAAACAAAGCAAAACAGAACAAAAACTCAGTTAATCTAAAAGGGGCAAAAAGGAGGGGAAAAAACAGTAAGAGACAAGTAGAGAAATAAATAGCAAGATGATAGATTTAAACATAAGGATACCAATAATCACATTAAATGTAAATAGTCTAAATATCTCAATTAAGACACAAAGATTTTCTGATAGAATAAAAAAGCAGGAAACTATTATATGCTGCCTACAAGCAATGCACTTCAAATATAAAGACCCCAATCAGTTAAAACTACAAGAGAGCTAACATCAAGCCAAAGAAAGGTGGAATTACCATCCAACAAATAATGGGAGAATGCTATAAGCAGCTTTTTGGGTGAATATGTTTATTATTTTGCTTATGATGATTATTTTACAGGTATATAGCTATGTTGAAACTTATGAAATTGTACACTTTAAATATGTACAATTTATATTAATTATACCTCAATAAAGCTATTAAATCATTTAGATAGCCACACGTGTCCAGTAACTACAGTATTGGACTACAGTATCCTGTAATGTCCTTGAGGGTCAGAATTATATTTAAATATCCTATCTAGCAGGTACAGAGTAACCACTTGGCCAATATTTGTTTAATGAAGGAATGTAAGATACAGCTAGCTCAGTGAGTATGGGCATATCACTTACCTTTTCAGGATCTGAGTTTCCTGATGAAAAAATATGATGGTTTGTTTCAAAATTTATCTCAGCTCTAAAATTCTGTAATTTCAAACACAGAGGAAATATTCTTCATTATTTAACTGTGGATTTAGATTTATTTGGAAAAATACTTTGTGAAAGTCACAACGATAAACTAGCACAGTTTTAAAAACTTTTTAAAAACTTAGCTAAAAATGAAATGTTGTTTTTAGCATCTTTAACTAAAATAATAACAAACATATTTTGCATTAAGTTCCCATCTTTCTTGATAAAATCCAAAATCCTTCCAGGGGCTCTATGCATATGGTCCTCTGGCTTTTCTCTTATAGTGTCTCTGCTAACAAGTCTCTTCTTCTTTGACCACTTTGTATAAAATAACAATCCCCAGTCTTCTGTATTTCTTTTTTCTTATTCTACTTTATTTATCTCCAAAACTCCTACTACTGTCTAACATACATCTTTTTAAAAATATATTCTCTCACCTGGCTAGAAGATAAGTTCCATGAGGGCAAAGACTTTTGTCCATTTTGTGCATTGTTCTAAGTTTTAGAACAGTGCCTGGCACGTGGTAGGAATTCAGTAAATATTTGTTTAATGAATCAGTCAATTGCACTGTAATATCCTTTTGATTTATTCTCCTAATTATTGGTGATATTAGAGATTTCAAAAGGGCTGCCTGATTAAAAATAATTTCTTTCCAGATTTATGTCTCTGGGTTAGGTTTTTCTATCTAGATCACTTATGTCAGTTACAAAACAAGATAAAAACAATCTGCTGATGCCTCCACTTTTATATGCATCATCTCACTAATTCTTCTAAATAATTCGAAGTATGATATTATTCTCAGTTTATAGATAAGGGGTCTAAGGTTTAGGGAAATTATATAAAGTATCTAGAGTTACCCAGAACTAAGATTCAAACCCAGATCTATCTTACTCTAAAGCTTGAGTTCTTAAACATTGTACTTTTTCTCAGTTTCAAGTGTATTATTTGTAAAGATAATTATCAGTTTAGTACGAACACAGATAGGTTAGCATATTAGGATAGAACCTGGCAACATTTTGAGGGAAGGCAGACTTTGGATATTTAGAGAAGATGAAGAGTGTGTGAAAGATTTGTGGGATACTTCTAGAGAGGTTTTTAGTGTGATCTGCAAGGGGGACACTGATTAGTGCAGGAAAAGTCTGAAGCATTGAACATCTGGGAAGGATGACATTGTCCAACGGGGATTGAATGATAGAGAAATTTAAAAAAATTGAGTGTCATGACTGGGTTTTGTTAGGCAAATTATAACCAGTAAATAAACCCACTTAGACTTCAATTTATAATCAATTAGAATAACTGAAAGTTATTTTACATGCTTTAAGTTATGTTTCTAAAAACAGTGAAATGGTAAAATGAACCTTATGCATCATGGATAGGGTGTTTTAAGTCAGTGGAGAAGAGAGATGGAGAGAGGAAGGAAGGAGGGAAAGAGGGAGGGGAGGAGAGTATGTGTGTTTAGCACAGAAAGATTTTATAGATATAAAATGTTACATAAATATATATAATATTTACTTCATATTAATTGATAACAATCCTCTTTTTCATTGGTATATTTATATATTTCTAAGTCATTCAGGCTGTATGTATAATGCTTATCTTAGGCTAAGACAGCAAACTTGTCAAGCTTGATTTGTAATGGCAAAACTACCATGCTTTCATCAGGTTGACTAGAAATTATTTGTGTTAGAAATAGCAAAACATTTTTTGCAGTGTTTTCATTTCTGTTCTTGTGGTCACCCTTTCACAATAGAAAGAAGGTTCATTTCTTATTTGTCTGTGATGTGAGGCCATTGACGATTCTTAGGCTTAATTTGTACTGTTGTTTTTTAACATAAGAATGCATTCTACAATTTTAATTTTTGTGATTTAAAACAACTTTTCTAATCTGTTTTTTTGGTATAACTAAGACGTTAGTCAGGACTGGAGTTCTGGGTTCCTTCAACATACCATCTTAATATGTTGTGTTTACTGTGATGTTTTTGAGATCATCATTTCAGATGTTCTTGTGCCTGCTTCTAGAGGAATTACTTTTATAGCTAGTCTGTATTCCACAAAGGAATATTGTATTTTTATGAGCTTTTCTTATTGATTAGAATTGGTTGACAACTGGACTATATTTTACATTAGAAGATCTGGTCATCTTCATATCATAGTTAATAACCTTTCTGATTTATTCACTGAACTGATTATACAAAAGCTGTTGTCCTTGTTTTTAAGTTAAGCTTGCATGTTTAGGCTTTCTAACAGACAGTTAAAAATTAGCTGTTCCCTTTTTTGTGAACCCTGTTACCCTTCTATCCCGTCTATATATGTATGTATTATATATAATTATATACATGATGATAGTTACATATAAGTATTGCAATTTATTCTCCTAATATGGGCTATATTAGGGGTGTCCAATCTTTTAGCTTTTCTGGGCCACATTGGAAGAAGAAAAATTGTCTTGGGCCATACTTGAAATACACTAACACTAATGATAGTTGATGAACTAAAAAAAAATTGCAAAAAAATCACAATGTTTAAAGAAAGTTTACAAATTTTGTTGGACCACATTCAAAGCTGTCTTGGGGCTCATGCAGCCTGCAGGCTGCAGGTTGAACAAGCTTCGTTTATATGAAAGGTTGAGGAATATGAAATGTGTGTGACTGGTTTGTATATCCTTTTATTGTTTCAGGCACAAGATTTAATAGTATTTTGCTTTTATGAGTCACTCAAATGGTGATGTCAGTGTTCTTTTGCAAGTAATATATTTTCTCTTTGTTACAGGTCCTTTTGTTTTGCATCACAGCTGCCATGTACATGTTCTTTTTCAGGTATGTTCTGTTATACTTATTTACTTTAATACCCCAAACAGTATCTCTTTGTAATTTCATCAACCACGAAACTAAAGTATTCTCCAAATAATTATCCCTTACAAGCAGCATACTCCCCCCGCACCCCCGCCCAGAGTGGACAGAGGTAAATCATTGCTCCTTTGTGAGTTAAGAAAAGAGAAAGAGAGGGAAGGAAGACTTATTCTCCCCACCCCCCATTCTATTTATAAGTTCATCCTAGAAAGTTGAATATGTCAATTAATAGGACTCAAATCCTGATAAGTGAATTTTTATCTTTTATGGACCTGATTGTATGTAAATACCTAAGTGTTTTTCACTCTGCTTGTAAAACAATCAACATTTTACATTTGGATAAGAAAAAATGACAGTAGATCTCTATCTAAGCCTTCTGCAAGGATAACCTAGCACATTAATGATAGTCTGTAAAATATTGTTTGTTATAATGTCAAAGTTGTACTTTTCATTGACACTGGTCTCAGGTTTGTTGGGGGCTAAGGGGAAGAGTGTTAGGATGGCCCAAGATTTAAATGCCAGTAAGAGGGATTTCTGCCATCTTCGTATAATCCCAGCAGTGTGCGAATGATTTTTGATTAGGGAGAGTCCCCTCCTTTATAATCTTTATTTCTTTATTTTTAGTGATACCAATTAATTTCCATTTATTTTACTCTTATTGCCCTCATTTGGATAGATCTTTTTATATATTTATGGATCTAGCAAAATTCAGTCTTAGCAGACAGGACCAGGCTTTTCAAATTAAAATCTGTGCTTAATTAGCAAAGACAGTTGCGGATTTTTAGTAGGATATATTTGGTAGATATATTTCTTTAAGAATAAAACAATCCAACCATACCAGAATTTTTAAAAAAATTTTTATTTTTAATTTTTGTGGGGACATAGTAGTTGTACATGAGATGTTTTGATACAGGGATATGATGAATAATAACCAGATGCTATTATCCTTTGTGTTACAAACAATCCAATTTACACTCTTAGTTATTTAAAAATGTACAATTTATTATTGACTATAGTCACCCTGTTGTGCTATCAAATAGTAGGTCTCATTCTTTCTTTTCCTGTACCCGTTAATCACCCCCACCTCCCCCTGCTCCCCACTACTCTTACCACCCTCTGGTAACCATCATTCTACTCTCTATGTCCATGAGTTCAATTGTTTTGATTTTTAGATCCCACAAATAAGTGAGAACATGTGACATTTTCCTTTCTGTGCCTGGCTTAATTCACTTAACATAATGATCTCCAGTTCCATCTGTGTTGCAAATGACAGGATCTCATTCTTTTTTATGGCTGAATAATACTCCATTGTATATTATGTACCATATTTTATTTATTTATTCATCTGTCAGTGGACACTTAGCCTGCTTCCAAATTTTGCTATTGTGACCAGTGCTGCAACAAACATGGGAGTACAGATATCTCTTCGATATATTGATTTGCTTTATTTTGAGTATATACCCAGCAGTGGGATTGCTGGATCACATAATAGAGATCATAAATCTCTATTATGTGATTTTTAAACCACCAATTTCCTGCTAGTATGTCCTAATAAACATTTTATAAAGCACAATTATATAATTTTAAATTGTTTTGAGTTTTAAAAATGTCATATGCAAATAAAAAATGATGATGTTACTGTAATTATTCTTGTAAAGAGACAGCCAGGCTTTTAGAAGGGGAAACATAGATGACGAGTCAAGGTAGGGAGGACTTGAACTGCAAAAGATTTTGTATCAGTCATTGGGATGCATAGGATTTTGTATCAGTCATTAATGACTGAAGAATTATTGGAGCTGTCTGGTTGTCTTTGTGAAATTGTTTGATCTATTTATTACTTTTACTGTATCTGCATATGCAATACACTTTTCCTGTGGCCTCTTTCCTATATTTTAATAATTTAGAAGTGGGTTGTGGGAGTTAGGAACAATGACTCATTGATTTCTAAAAACTTCTTAATTGTATTCAGACACATTATTAAGACAATATTCCAAAAAGTTCACATAGTTTGTCTTCATATTTTTATGTTCTATCTAGCCTGAAGATATAGCATACCCAGTAGGGAAAATGCAATCGTAAAAAGCTTAAAAACTAGAAACATAACTTGTTGACATACACAAGAAGAAAGTCCAATCTCAAGTAAATTTTCTTTTTCGTGAAAATTCCTAACAGAACAGGTATTTAAAATCTTTCCCATTGTGGCACTTAAAGACATATGTGATTAACGTGTAGCATTTCTTAGTCATCAGAAGTTTTTGAGGTTTAAAAATAAATCATTTGTTAAATACACCAATAAAGACCCAATTTATAGCATGGGTCTAGGAAATTATGTTTTGAAAACTGCTGCCATCAACCCAGTATTTTTGGTGTAGAAAGAAAATCAACCCTATAAATATGTGTTTTGGTGCAGAGCTACGGAACCTTTTCCTGTTTCAGTCACAAGTCTAGGTTAAAAACAACAGTTTAAAATACTTTCCAGAAGGCTCAATACAAGGTTTAAGTGCCAAAATAAACACTTTTAATTTTCTGAGGAAAGGGGTTGTTTTTCTCCTAAAAGAAGTACTATCACCAAATTCGCTGTTCTTGGCAGAAGTTTGTTTGAATAGCTCAACAGAGGTTTGGTAAATGGTAAAATCAAACAATTTATAAAGTATTACAACCAAACAAAACAATATTAGATTTGTCTGTATGCTAGCTTGTGTTGGGAATGAACAAACACTATTGTACATAACACTTGGCAGGTCCAATTGCATTTGAATATTTTATTTTAAAATTAAATTTTATTATAAATACATATATTTGAGGACACATTTATTTCATTTATTAACAATTATGTTAAATCTAATTGCATGAAGTTGGATAGTCAAATGATATTGTTCCCAGGACTCCATTTATGGTAACCTCCTTTGAGAAGAGGATAGGGAAGAATTTTATATTTGAAATAAGTCAACTTGTGTTTTTATCCTAATCTGTGAATGGGCAAAGGGGAAATGGGGAAATGAGGCCTGCTTTCAATAAAAAGAAAATATGCCAGTTTTTTTTTTTTCAAAGAAAGAACTTGAGAAGTAGTTTCATAAATATTTTCCAAAGATGTCACAAGATGTGATGACTATACTATGAATTTACTTAAAAGCAACACGTTTTTGATATTGAAAACTATGTGAAAACTATAATGTGTAATGAAATAACTTCCTTTTACATAGCTCTTAATAGTTTTTTAATAGTTATTTTACATATATTATCTCATATGTTATAATCAGATTTTCATATTATGCACCAGAAGTAAGGCTTACGTTCAAATGGAATCATCCACTTACTTCTGGTGTGTAATGTGAAATGCTTCAAGGCTTGGGCTGGCAAAAGGTACTGTGCGAGGAGAGGGCTCTACTTCTGTTCTGGTCAGCTGGCCTGCCAGCCATGTAGCTAGCTATCACAAGTGTCTCTTGATACCCATACATGCTATGGATTCTGTTAGGAACTGGATTACAAGGGAAGGTGAAATATATCCTGAGGATGTTTTGAAAGAGCTTTTTGTATAATCTTAGTGGGCATTCTTCATAATAGTTTTACATCCTTTGTTCAATCACCTTATTATTATTATGTATGCTATTATCATTGCTGTACCTTAGGGCATTGTTTGTTTCTATCGATTTTGGCCAAGCAGAAGTCATATTTAAAAACTTTTTAGAAAATTTGGTCTCATGCACCCCTTGAAATAATTTCTTTACTTCCAAATATGTATTTATGGGCAAAGCAGTTTGCATTCATCATAATTTTTCATTCAGGATTGATTGGGGTCTTCCCAACAGTCATGTAGAAAAGAGATCAGTTTCTTTTGATTACTAAATCTTTTAATTAAGAAGCAAAAGAAAGAATCAACAATAAACATCAAAACTATTGCACTTAACCCTACTCACACATAAAAAAGAAAAATGCAACATTTAAAAATATTAATTCATTGATTTTATACCCACCATTAGGTATCTGTCTATGGGGAATATTTGAGAGAAAAGAAGTAGTTTTGCATAATTTTTATAGATAAATTTAAAATAGTACTGTAAAGTGTATTATAACTCCTTCAATCCCAACCTAGTAAGTACCAGCTAGAAATTCTTTCCACATCCCTTTGCAAAAGCAACAACAAATCCAAGTTTATTTTAACATATAGATTGAATTGTCATAGCAGTTAATCTATAGACTATATGGGACTGATTCACAGTAGAAATATCTTAAATAATCTGATGTCAACATTGTGCAGCATGGCAGTTTCAGTTAGAAATCAGTGTAAGTCAGAGTTTATTGTTATACTTTAAACTTTTAGAAACATTTCTTTTTGCCATTTGAGAATTCTAATCAATTCTCTGTGAAGGCATAAATAAATGATTTTATTAGTCTCAAGGTGTAGATTTAGTTTATCTATTTAAGAAAACCAGACTATTTATTGGCTGGACAACCTGCAAGTCTTGAGTGAAAGACTTGTGATTATTCTTGAACATCTTTATATAAACATACCTTAGTATATTAGAGATAACTTTAGAAGCATATAAAAAACTTTTGATCTTGGCGTTTAAACCATTTACTGATTTTTAAGTGAAAGGTCTTTAATGTTAATTCGGTTCTATGTTTATTTTTAATTTTTAAAATTTTTAATTTTTATAGGTATATAGTAGGTGTATATACTTACAGGGTCCATGAGATGTTTTGATACAGGCATACAGTGCATACCTAACTGTCACATCAGGATAAATGATTCATTGCCTCAAGCATTTATCATGTCTCTGTGTTACAAACATTCTAATTATATTCTTAGTTATTTTTAAATATACAATAAATTATTGTTGACTGTAGTCACCCTGTTGTGCTATCAAATAGTAGTTCTTATTCTTTGTATCTAACTATATTTTTGTACTCATTAACAAACTCCACTACCCTCCACCCTGCCCCACCACTATTTTTTCCAGCCTCTGGTAACCCGTATTCTACTGTCTATCTCCATGAGTTCAATTGTCTTAATTTTTAGCTTTCATAAATGAGGGAGAGAACATGTGATTTTTCTCTTTGTTTTCCTGGCTTATTTTACTTAAAGTCCTTGAGTCCCATCCATGTTGCTGCAAATGACAGCCTTTTTTTTTAAAAAAAAATTTATTATTATTACACTTTAAGTTTTAGGGTACATGTGCACAATGTGCAGGTTAGTTACATATGTATACATGTGCCATGCTGATGTGCTGCACCCATTAACTTGTCGTATAGCATTAGGAGATATACCTAATGCTCTCTCCCTGCCCCCCACCCCACAACAGTCCCCAGAGTGTAATGTTCCCCTTCCTGTGTCCATGTGTTCTCATTGTTCAGTTCCCACCTATGAGTGAGAACATGCGGTGTTTGGTTTTTTGTCCTTGCGATAGTTTACTGAGAATGATGATTTCCAATTTCATCCATGTCCCTACAAAGGACATGAACTCATCATTTTTTATGGCTGCATAGTATTCCATGGTGTATATATGCCACATTTTCTTAATCCAGTCTATCATTGTCGGACATTTGGGTTGGTTCTAAGTCTTTGCTATTGTGAATAGTGCCGCAATAAACATACACGTGCATGTGTCTTTATAGCAGCATGTTTTATAGTCCTTTGGGTATATACCCAGTAATGGGATGGCTGGGTCAAATGGTATTTCTAGTTCTAGATCCCTGAGGAATCGCCACACTGACTTCCACAATGGTTGAACTAGTTTACAGTCCCACCAACAGTGTAAAAGTGTTCCTATTTCTCCACATCCTCTCCAGCACCTGTTGTTTCCTGACTTTTTAATGATGGCCATTCTAACTGGTGTGAGATGGTATCTCATTGTGGTTTTGATTTGCATTTCTCTGATGGCCAGTGATGATGAGCATTTTTTCATGGGTCTTTTGGCTGCATAAATGTCTTCTTTTGAGAAGTGTCTGTTGATATCCTTTGCCCACTTTTTGATGGGGTTGTTTGTTTTTTTCTTGTAAATTTGTTTGAGTTCATTGTAGATTCTGGATATTAGCCCTTTGTCAGATGAGTAGGTTGCAAAAATTTTCTCCCATTTTGTAGGATGCCTGTTCACTCTGATGGTAGTTTCTTTTGGTGTGCAGAAGCTCTTTAGTTTAATGAGATCCCATTTGTCAATTTTGGCTTTTGTTGCCATTGCTTTTGGTGTTTTAGACATGAAGTCCTTGCCCATGCCTATGTCCTGAATGGTAATGCCTAGGTTTTCTTCTAGGGTTTTCATGGTTTTAGGTCTAACGTTTAAGTCTTTAATCCATCTTGAATTAATTTTTGTATAAGGTGTAAGGAAGGGATCCAGTTTCAGCTTTCTACATATGGCTAGCCAGTTTTCCCAGCACCATTTATTAAATAGGGAATCCTTTCCCCATTGCTTGTTTTTCTCAGGTTTGTCAAAGATCAGATAGTTGTAGATATGCGGCGTTATTTCTGAGGGCTCTGTTCTGTTCCATCGATCTATATCTCTGTTTTGGTACCAGTACCATGCTGTTTTGGTTACTGTAGCCTTGTAGTATAGTTTGAAGTGAGGTAGCATGATGCCTCCAGCTTTGTTCTTTTGGCTTAGGATTGACTTGGTGATGCAGGCTCTTTTTTGGTTCCATATGAACTTTAAAGTAGTTTTTTCCAATTCTGTGAAGAAAGTCATTGGTAGCTTGATGGGGATGGCATTGAATCTATAAATTACCTTGGGCAGTATGGCCATTTTCACGATATTGATTCTTCCTACCCATGAGCATGGAATGTTCTTCCATTTGTTTGTATCCTCTTTAATTTCCTTGAGCAGTGGTTTGTAGTTCTCCTTGAAGAGGTCCTTCATGTCCCTTGTAAGTTGGATTCCTAGGTATTTTATTCTCTTTGAAGCAATTGTGAATGGGAGTTCACTCATGATTTGGCTCTCTGTTTGTCTGTTATTTGTGTATAAGAATGCTTGTGATTTTTGTACATTGATTTTGTATCCTGAGACTTTGCTGAAGTTGCTTATCAGCTTGAGATTTTGGGCTGAGACAATGGGGTTTTCTAGATATACAATCATGTCATCTCAAAACAGGGACAATTTGACTTCCTCTTTTCCTAATTGAATACCCTTTATTTCATTCTCCTGCCTAATTGCCCTGGCCAGAACTTCCAACACTATGTTGAATAGGAGTGGTGAGAGAGGGCATCCCTGTCTTGTGCCAGTTTTCAAAGGTAATGCTTCCAGCTTTTGCCCATTCAGTATGATATTGGCTGTGGGTTTGTCATAGATAGCTCTTATTATTTTGAGATACGTCCCATCAATACCTAGTTTATTGAGAGTTTTTAGCATGAAGAGTTGTTGAATTTTGTCAAAGGCCTTTTCTGCATCTATTGAGATAATCATGTGGTTTTTGTCTTTGGCTCTGTTTATATGCTGGATTACATTTATTGATTTGCGTATATTGAACCAGCCTTGCATCCCAGGGATGAAGCCCACTTGATCATGGTGGATAAGCTTTTTGATGTGCTGCTGGATTCGTTTTGCCAGTATTTTATTGAGGATTTTTGCATCAATGTTCATCAAGGATATTGGTCTAAAATTCTCTTTTTTGGTTGTGTCTCTGCCCGGCTTTGGTATCAGGATGATGCTGGCCTCATAAAATGAGTTAGGGAGGATTCCCTCTTTTTCTATTTATTGGAATAGTTTCAGAAGGAATGGTACCAGTTCCTCCTTGTACCTCTGGTAGAATTCGGCTGTGAATCCATCTGTCCTGGACTCTTTTTGGTTGGTAAGCTATTGATTATTGCCACAATTTCAGAGCCTGTTATTGGTCTATTCAGATATTCAACTTCTTCCTGGTTTAGTCTTGGGAGGATGTATGTGTCGAGGAATTCATCCATTTCTTCCACATTTTCTAGTTTATTTGCGTAGAGGTGTTTGTAGTATTCTCTGATGGTAGTTTGTATTTCTGTGGGATCAGTGGTGATATCCCCTTTATCATTTTTTATTGCATCTATTTGATTCTTCTCTCTTTTCTTCTTTATTAGTCTTGCTAGCGGTCTATCAATTTTTTTGATCCTTTCAAAGAACCAGCTCCTGGATTCATTAATTTTTTGAAGGGTTTTTTGTGTCTCTGTTTCCTTCAGTTCTGCTCTGATTTTAGTTATTTCTTGCCTTCTGCTAGCTTTTGAATGTGTTTGCTCTTGCTTTTCTAGTTCTTTTAATTGCGATGTTCGGGTGTCAATTTTGGATCTTTCCTGTTTTCTCTTGTGGGCATTTAGTGCTATAAATTTCCCTCTGCGCAGTGCTTTGAATGTGTCCCAGAGATTGTGGTATGTTGTATCTTTGTTCTCCTTGGTTTCAAAGAACATCTTTATTTCTGCCTTCATTTCGTTATGTACTCAGTAGTCATTCAGGAGCAGGTTGTTCAGTTTCCATGTAGTTGAGCGGTTTTGAGTGAGTTTCTTAATCCTGAGTTCTAATTTGATTGCACTGTGGTCTGAGAGACAGTTGGTTATAATTTCTGTTCTTTTACATTTGCTGAGGAGAGCTTTACTTCCACGTATGTGGTCAATTTTGGAATAGGTGTGGTGTGGTGCTGAAAAAAATATATATTCTGTTGATTTGGGGTGGAGGGTTCTGTAGATGTCTGTTAGGTCCGCTTGGTGCAGAGCTGAGTTCAATTGCTAGGTATCCTTGTTAACTTTCTGACTCGCTGATCTGTCTAATGTTGACAGTGGGGTGTTAAAGTCTCCCATTATTATTGTGTGGGAGTCTAAGTCTCTTTGTAGGTCACTCAGGACTTGCTTTATGAATCTGGGTGCTCCTGTATTGGGTGCATATGTATTTAGGATAGTTAGCTCTTCTTGTTGAATTGATCCCTTTACCATTACGTAATGGCCTTCTTTGTCTCTTTTGATTTTTGTTGGTTTAAAGTCTGTTTTATCAGAGACTAGGATTGCAACCCCTGCCTTTTTTTGTTTTCCATTTGCTTGGTAGATCTTCCTCCATCCTTTTATTTTGAGCCTGTGTGTGTCTGTGCACTTGAGATGGGTTTCCTGAGTACAGCACACTGATGGGTCTTGACTCTTTATCCAATTTGCCAGTCTGTGTCTTTTAATTGGAGCATTTAGTCCATTTACATTTTAAGTTAATATTGTTATGTGTGAATTTGATCCTGTCATTATGATGTTAGCTGGTTATTTTGCTCGTTAGTTGTTGCAATTTCTTCCTAGCCTCAATGGTCTTTACAATTTGGCATGATTTTGCAGCGGCTGGTACCGGTTGTGCCTTTCCATGTTTAGTGCTTCCTTCAGGAACTCTTTTAGGGCAGGCCTGGTGGTGACAAAATCTCTCGGCATTTGCTTGTCTGTAAAGTATTTTATTTCTCCTTCACTTATGAAGGTTAGTTTGGCTGGATATGAAATTCTGGGTTGAAAATTCTTTTCTTTAAGAATGTTGAATATTGGCCCCCACTGTCTTCTGGCTTGTAGAGTTTCTGCCAAGAGATCCGCTGTTAGTCCAATGGGCTTCCCTTTGTGGGTAACCCGACCTTTCTCTCTGGCTGCCCTTAACATTTTTTCCTTCATTTCAACTTTGGTGAATCTGACAATTATGTGTCTTGGAGTTGCTCTTCTCGAGGAGTATCTTTGTGGCATTCTCTGTATTTCCTGAATCTGAATGTTGGCCTGCCTTGCTAGATTGGGGAAGTTCTCCTGGATAATATCCTGCAGAGTGTTTTCCAACTTGGTTGCATTCTCCCTGTCACTTTCAGGTACACCAGTCAGACGTAGATTTGGTGTTTTCACATAGTCCCATATTTCTTGGAGGCTTTGTTCGTTTCTTTGTGTTCTTTTTTCTCTAAACTTCCCTTCTTGCTTCATTTCATTCATTTGATCTTCCATCACTGATACCCTTTTTTCCAGTTGATTGTGTCGGCTCCTGAGGCTTCTGCATTCTTCACGTAGTTCTCGAGCCTTGGCTTTCAGCTCCATCAGCTCCTTTAAGCACTTCTCTGTATTGGTTATGCTAGTTATACATTCGTCTAAATTTTTTTCAAAGTTTTCAACTTCTTTGCCTTTGGTTTGAATTTCCTCCTGTAGCTCAGAGTAGTTTGATTGTCTGAAGGCTTCTTCTCTCAACTCGTCAAAGTCATTCTCCGTCCAACGTTGTTCCATTGCTGGTGAGGAGCTGCGTTCCTTTGGAGGAGGAGCGGCACTCTGCTTTTTAGAGTTTCCAGTTTTTCTGTTCTGTTTTTTCCCCATCTTTGTGGTTTTATCTACTTTTGGTCTTTGATGATGGTGATGAACAGATGGGTTTTTGGTGTGGATGTCCTTTCTGTTTGTTAGTTTTCCTTCTAACAGACAGGACGCTCAGCTGCAGGTCTGTTGGAGTTTGCTAGAGGTCCACTCCAGACCCTGTTTGCCTGGGTACCAGCAGCCGTGGCTGCAGAAGAGCGGATTTTTGTGAACCATGAATGCTGATGTCTGATCGTTCCTCTGGAAGTTTTGTCTCAGAGGAGTACCTGGCCGTGTGAGGTGTCGGTCTGCCCCTACTGGGGGATGTTTCCCAGTTAGGCTGCTCGGGGGTCAGGGGTCAGGGACCCACTTAAGGAGGCAGTCTGCCCGTTCTCAGATCTCCAGCTGTGTGCTGGGAGAACCACTACTGTCTTCAAAACTGTCAGACAGGGATATTTAAGTCTGCACAGGTTACTGCTGTCTTTTTGTTTGTCTGTGCCATTCCCCCAGAGGTGGAGCCTACAGAGGCAGGCAGGCCTCCTTGAGCTGTGGTGGGCTCCACCCAGTTCGAGCTTCCCAGCTGCTTTGTTTACCTAAGCAAGCCTGGGCAATGGCAGGCACCCCTCCCCCAGCCTCGCTGCCACCTTGCAGTTTGATCACAGACTGCTGTGCTAGCAGTCAGTCAGACTCCGTGGGCGTAGGACCCTCCGAGCCAGGTGTGGGATATAATCTCCTGGTGCGCCGTTTTTTAAGCCTGTCGGAAAAGCGCAGTATTAGGGTGGGAGTGACCCGATTTTCCAGGTGCCGTCTGTCACCCCTTTCTTTGACTAGGAAAGGGAACTCCCTGATCCCTTGTGCTTCCCAAGTGAGGCAATGCCTCGCCCTGCTTCGGCTTGCGTATGTTGCCCTGCACCCACTGTACTGCACCCACTCTCTGGCACTCCCTAGTGAGATAAACCCGGTACCTCAGATGGAAATGCAGAAATCACCCGTCTTCTGCGTCGCTCACACTGGGGGCTTTAGACTGGAGCTGTTCCTATTCAGCCATCTTGGCTGCCAGCTTGATAGCCTTTTTAAAAAAAAAAAAAAAAAGAAAATAGCTGAATAGCATTCCATCGTGAGTGTGTACTATATTTTGTTTATCCATTCATGTGTTGATGGGAACTTATATTGCTTGCAAATCTTGGCTGTTGTGAATAATGCTGCAATAAATGTGAGAGTGCTTGATATCTCTTTGATATACTGATTTGCTTTCTTTTGGGAGTACACCTAGCAGTGAGATTGCTGTTTCATATTGTAGTTCTATTTTTAGTTCTTTGAGAAACCTCTAAACTGTTCTCCATAGTGGTTGTACTAATTTACATTGCCACCAACAGTGTACAAGGGTTCCTTTTCTTCACATCTTCTCACAGCATTTGTTATTGCTTGTCTTTTGGATAAAAGCCATTTTAACTAGGGTGAGATGATATCTCATTGTATTTTTGATTTGCATTTCTCTGATGATCAGTGATGTTGAGCACCTTCTTATATACCTGCTTGCCATTTGTATGTCTTCTTTTGAAGAAGTAGTGTAATTGTAGTGTAATTTGAAGTCAGGTAATATGATTCTTCCAATTTTGTTCTTCTTGCTTATGATAGCTTTGGCTATTTTTGGTCATTTGTGGTTCCATATAAATTATATGATTTTTTTTTCTATTTCTATGAAGACTGTCATTGACATTTTGATCAGATTGTACTGAATCTGTAGATTGCTTTGGGTAGTGTGGACATTTTGACAATACTGATTCTTATAATCTATGAACATGGAAATCTTTTTATTTTTTGGTGTCCTCTTTAATTTCTTGCATCAGTGTTTTATAGTTTTCATTGTAGAGATCTTCCATTTCTTTCGTTAATTCCTAGGTATTTAATTGTATTTGTAGCTATTGTAAATGGGATTACTTTCTTGATTTATTTTTCAGAATGTTCATTGTTGGGATATAGAAATGCTACTGATTTTAGTATGTTGATTTGGATCCTGCAACTTTACTGAATTTGTTTATTCTAATAGTTTTTGGTAGAGTCTTTAGGTTTTTCCATGTCTATCATCTGCAAAGAAGGATAATTTAACTTCTTTGTTTCCAATTTGAATTTCATTTCTGTCTCTTGTCTGATTGCTCTAGCTAGGACTTCCAGTACTACGTTGAATAACAGTCATGAAAGTGGGCATCCCTGTTGTGTTCCAGATCTTAGAAGAAAGGCTTTCAGTTTTTTCTCATTCACTATGATACTATCTGTGGGTCTGTTGTGTGTGACTGCTATTATGTGGAAGTATATTCCTTTGATACCCAGGTTTTTGAGGGTTTTTATCATGAAAAGATGTTGAATTTTGTTAAGTGCTTTTCCAGCATCAATTGAAATGAGCATATGTTTTTTGTTTTTCATAGTTTATATGATGTATCACATTGATTGATTTATCTTTTCAAAAAAACCAACTTTTTGTCTTGTTGATCTTTTGTATTTTTTGTGTGTATTTCATTTATTTCTACATTGATGTTATTTTCTTCTGCTAATTTTGGGCTTGCTTTGCTCTTTTCTAGTTCTCTAAGATGCATTGTTAGGTTGTTTAAAGGTTTTCTGTTTTTTTGATGTGCTTATTGTTATAACTTTTCTCTTAGTACTGCTTTCACTTAGTACTGATTTGCTTATGTTGAAACATCCTTGTATCCCTGGGATAAATCCCAGTTTTTCATGATGAATTATCTTTTTACTGTGCTGTGGAATTTGGTTTGCTAGTATTTTGTTGAGGATTTTTGTATCAGTGTTCATCAGATATATTGACCTGTAGTTTTCTTTTATTGCTATGTGTTTGGTTTTGATATCAGGGTACTATTGTCCTCATAGAATGAGTTTGGAAGTATTCTTTTCTCCTTTATTTTTAGAATAGTTTGAGTAGGATTGGTATTAGTTCTTATAGTAAAATTCTGCAGTGAAACTATCAGGTTCTGGACTTTTCTTTGCTGGGAGGCTTTTTATTACAGCTTCAATCTCATCCTTTGTCTTTGATCTATTCAGGTTTTGGAATTCTTCATGGTTCAATTTTGGTAGATTGTATGTGTCTAGGAATGTATTCATTTCTTGAAGGTATTCCAATTTATTGGCATATAGTTGATCATTATAGTCTCTTAGGAGCATTTGCATTTCTGCTGTAATTCAGTTGAATTACATGAATCGCACTGTCTCCTTTTTCATCTCTGATGTATTTGTGCATTTTGTTTAGTTATTCTGGCTAAAGTTTTGTCGATCTATTTATCTTTTCAAAAAACCAACTTTTCATTTTTTTGATCTTTTGTATTTTTGTATGTATTTTATTCTATTTTGATATTATTTTCTTCTGCTAATTTTGGGCTTGGTTTGCTCTTGCTTTTCTAGTTCTTTAAGATGCATTGTTATGTTGTTTGCTTAAAGTTTTTCTGCTTTTTGATGTAGGTGCTTATTATAAACTTTTCTCTTAGTATTGCTTTCACTGTATTTCATAGATTTTGGTTTGTTGTGTTTCCATTTTCATTTGTTTCAAGAAATTTTTAAATTTTCTTCTTAATTTTTTCATTGGTCACTCAGGAGTGTATTGTTTAATGTCTATGTGTAGTTTCCAAAGTTTCCTTTGTTATTGACTTCTAATTTTTTTCCGTTCTGGTCAGAGAAGAGACTTGATATGATTTCAAGTTTTTGAATTTTTTAAGACTTGTTTTGTGGCCAAATATATGGTCTTAGGTTCTTTTTAAAAAAATATTGCTTAAAAATACATAAGAACCTAGCCTAAATAAATCAAATTATATACAGAATTTAGAGGTTAAAAGTTGTATTTCAGAGTTAGGAGATGTGCCTTAAATAATTAGATTTTATTGTAAAGGGATTACTTGCAGCAATGCAGAGAGTGAATTTGGGATTTGGAGGGAGTATATCACAGGTAATAGGGGATGCTCTTGCAGTTATCCAGCAGAGAAATGGTGAGGACTTGACCAAAACTTATGGCAATGATACGGTGGAGAGTAGGTTTATCTGAGATATGAGGATTGCTGCTTGGATGAGGAAGATGAAAAACGCTGGAAGGTAAGCAAATTATAAAATAGGAAAAATGTGTGAAAATTGAATACAAGCTTTGCAAATACTGAGGCTGAGGTTCTTTTATGACATTCAGCTAGAGAAATAATGGGTAACAGTTGGGTATTCAGAGCTCAGGTGATAAATCTGGGTCAGGGATAGAAATTTAGGAGTTATCAGCATGTAGATATTAGTTTAAACCATGCAGGTTGATAGTGTTCTGTAGTGAGAATATGGAGAGTAAGAAAAAGTGTTCCAAGTATGGACTGGAGAATCTTGATGTTTGAAGCATAGGCAGTAGGAAAGGAGTCAGTAAAGCAGAGGCCAGAGTAGTGGCAAGAGGCATTATAAATACCTTGTTAAATTTAGGTGCTACTGTTAGCTGTCACACTAGCTGTCTGACTTTAGACGAATTACATAACTTTGCTACACCTCATTTTCTTCATTATGAAAAGTGTAAATTAACATGTGGGCCTCATAGGTAGGGCTTTGAGGATTGAATACGACACATTGTCTTTCAAATGTTTTTGATGTGACAACCCAAAATAAGAACGATATTTTATATATTATGATTATGTTACCATATATACATGTATATATATGTATATAAATTTCCCAGAAAAATACTGAACCTTCCTACATGTGATATATTTGGATATTTCCTATTCTAATTTATGTAATTAAAAAGCTGCTGTGACTCACTGATGGCTAACAGCCAGTAGTGAGAAAAAACACTGAACTAAAACGCGTGAGCACCTAGAACAGTGACTGATCACTTAGCAAACGCAGAGTTAAGAGTAGTGATTGTTTTTAAACCAAGAGAGAAAGTTGACTAAATACACAATTTCAGTAAGGACAGCATTATCTTTATTGTTATTGCTCTAGATGTATCCAGTAAGTGAGAGGTAAAAAGTCTTCATCTGCAATCTGATGGTCAGTGGTAAGCTGCTAGAGAAATTTCTGTAGGTGGGTTGGGGTAGTGGATTAAGAAATAAATGTGAAATAAGGAAGTAAGAGTGAGTTTAGTAAACTCAAGAAGCTTGAGAGAAAAAGATAGGGCCATTTGCTAGAGGATTAAGGGTTTTTCTTTTCTTTCTTGTCCCCTTCCTACCCTCCTTCTCTCTCTTTCTTAGACTGGAGAGACTAGACTCTGGGAAAGTTTAAGTGAATAAGAGAAGATTGAAGAAGCAGACGAGATTGATAAATTGGGGAATGGGAAAGAGAATAGAGTCTAAACTCTGGTCCATAATGTCAACATTTAGGGGTAGATTATTAAAATTGTCTGGGAAAAATTATTATAAATGATTAGGAAGAAATAAAATGGTTTGGAAGCCTTGCACATGTGTTTTAAGTGAAAGAGGACTGAAAAAAAGTAGAAAATAGAAAAATCTAATGCTCGTGGCTTTCTAAATACATGGTCTTTCTTAAAAGATAATTTAATTTCTTATAAAAATAGACATGGAGCCGGGCACAGTGGCTCATGCCTGTAATCCCAGCACTTTGGGAGGCTGAGGCAGGTAGATCACCTGAGGTCAGGAGTTTGAGACCAGCCTGACCAACATGGAGAAACCCCGTCACTACTAAAAATACAAAATTAGCCAGGCATGGGGCACATGCCTGTAATCCCAGCTACTTGGGTGGCTGAGGCAGGAGAATCGCCTGGACCTGGGAGGTGGAGGCTGTGGTGAGCCAAGATCACACCATTGCACTCCAGCCTGGGCAACAAGAGCAGAACTAAATCTCAAAAAAAAAAAAAAATTAAAATATATATGTGTGTGTGTGTGTGTGTGTGTGTGTGTGTGTATTATATATAGACAAGGACAAACATGAAGCCATTATTCCTCAGAAGATATATACAGATGAAATGAGGCACTTCTATTATTGGCAGCCAAACCTGTGAGTTTACCAAAAATGCAAAATTTGTTCAATGAGAAGAAGTATTGAGATTGTTAGGAGTGTTACTTTCCTCAAAACAAATGGAAAACATGAGAAAACATAGGTTCATAAATGCTGTGAATCATTTCCTGTGAGAATACAAAGCTTATTACACCAAGTCACATGACTGTGATCTGACTTTCTTTATTGGTAGAAAAAAATTAGCCTGCTCATTTGTTGAGTGTACTCTAAGAATGAGAAACTTGTGGCAAATCTGTTGTCATTTTTTTACCTGTCAGTCTTTGAGGTAGTTGTGCCCAGATAGTTACTCTAACATTTTATAATGAATATAAATTGTTTTAGTAGAAGGCAAAGAGAAATATTGTATGGAGAAACAGCATGAACCTAAAATGCGACCCCTAAGGTAAGGACTTAATGGGACACAATCATGTCAAAAATGGCCAGTTGCCTTTCAGACACTTGCAATAAAAATGACATTCTTAGGTGGTTTTAAAAATGTGAATATTTTGTTTGTGATTTTTCACTGATGTCAAAGTTCAAAAGTGGATGACATTCACATGTTTTTAAATCAGTGGAAAACTCACACCACTAATATGTTATTCATTGCTGATGGTCTTATTCTAGTTCTACAGTAGTTCCCAGAGGTTCCACTGGATACAGTAGCCTCTTTGTCAATCAAGATTGTTGTTTGAACTTAAAGGATGAGCCATATATATATATATATATATATATATATATATATATATATATATATATATATATATATATATATATCCTGGTGTACACTTCTAACCTGATGGAATTTTAACCTGTTAGCATTGTTAAGGTACATCAAATTGGCACTGTGTAATCTTATTTCTAAGTTACAATTTACCTAGAATTTAATAGTAACAATCGTTGTCTCATGAAAAAGTAAATTTGTTTCATGTTTTACAAATTCTTTTTATATTATTGACAAAAAATTGATAATTCTTATAAATTCAGTTTACTCTTTAGAAGTTATGAGAAATGAAAATAAATTATTCTTGTTTTGAAAATGACAGTCCACAGATTTTAAAAAAACATTTTTTCAATAAAGCATTTCTGTTTTGAGCAAGAAGGGTGTCTTATATATAACAATCTGTTACCTTTGCAGAAGTCTCAGCACATCAAACATTCATAGGTAAAAGAAATAATTATGATAAATTTCTAATATCAGTGGTGAGTTTTTAAAATAATTTGAGTATTTTTTTCATTGACAATGTCAGTAATAGTTTATTAGTATTGGTGATTACTAGAGGGAGTTTTAGGTAAAACAGTACCCAGTAAATGTTTGAATGAATGATACTCAGTTAAAAAAATTTAAGGATTAGAAGTAAAATTTTTAGCCTTTCAGAGTTTTCATTGACTTAATTAAAAAACATACATGTGTTTTAGGAGATTCCATGGTAGAATAGAAATTGTACAGTCTTCAATGCCATATATAACAGACCCCTCTTTAGGTTTTGGCTCTACCACTTACAAACTCTGTGGCCTTCAATAAGATACTTGGCTTCTTTCATTTTAAATTTGTCATGGATAAAATGATCTCTGTGGCTATGAAAAGTTAGAACACATAATCCTACAAGAACATAATATTTTTAAACATTATTTATGTTTCCAAGCCCATCTTTAAAAGTTATTCAACCTATAAATGAATCTATAAAATATAGTTGAAGTGCAGTGCCAATGCTACTATAGAAACAAATAATATTTATGATAATATTTCTTTGGGAAAATACATTGATGTCCAGCATGTTAGCACTAAAGCAAAAGGACTGGGAATTATCCAGATGTGAGCTACTCCACAATCCCATATTTGGAGCTAGAGTTCAGTGTGTGGGTGGATGGCGAGTGATGGGACAGAAGGACAGAACTGGAGATCTTAGGGAGAGAATGGTTAAAAACAAAATAAGGGCCTGGTGTGGCAGCTCATTCCTGTAATTCCAGCATTTTAAGAGCCAAGGCAGGAGGATTGTTTGAGCCCAGGGGTTCGATACCAGCTTGGACAACATAGGGAGACCCCATCCCTACAAAATATAAAATAACAAAACTAAATAGGTTAATACTACAAATTGAGGAGCCAAAGGATTGGGATAATGATTTAAAGTGGGGCTTTTCCTTTCCTTCCTCTTTTTTTCCCTTTCTTCTCCATTTCTCCCCCACTCTGACACCATTCTGACTAGAGGAATTTGGGACAGCACAGTAAATGGGACTGGACAAAAAGGGATCTTGGAGTATAGAGTGGAGATTGGCACTTCAGAGCAGGTAGGGGTCGGAAGAAGAGGGCAGGGCAAAGAAACAAATGTGTTGGCCCTGAATTTGCAGAGGAGCAAAATTCTGCCATCCTTCTCTCTATTGCCAGCCTTACTCTGAACTAGTTGTTAGTGTATCCATTGAAAACTGGATTTAAAAAGCTAGAAAGATTAAAATGAGTGATGAATGAAGCCAAACAAGGTATCCAATTTTTCTTCATTATTTATATCTTTCTGGACATGTTTTATCATAACTAAATAAAGCCACAGGTGACTCTTAAAGTATCTGCAAGAGCTGGGCATGGTGGCACATGCCTACAGTCCCAGTTACACAGGAGGCTGAGAAAGGAAGATTGCTTGAGCCCAGGAATTCAGGGCTGTAGTGCGCTACGATTGTGCCTGTGAGTAGACACTGTACTCCAGCCTGGGCAACATAAGGAGAATCTTGTCTCTTGAAAGAAAAAAAAAAAAGTATCTACAAGCAATTTAAAAAATTATCATAGCCAAAGAGCTGCCATGCAGTTGGCCTTCTTTCTTTATAGTTGACTGTTTCTCTCCCTGCCTGTAAGAGAGGAAGTGAAGGTGAAGAGAAGGGAGGGTTAAGAGGAAATGGTTGCTAGAAGCAGTGAGGTAAGAGGAGGTCTTCAGTATTTATCTAGAGTAGCCTTTTATATTTAAAGGATATATATTCATTTTGTGTGTATCTTCAATGTAGCTATAAGACATTATTTTCCCAGAATTTGCTAGTATATCATCTGGTTGGTAAGTTACAAAACTGGGAATAACTTTTTAACTTTATAATGAAATACATTGATGTTTCAGGGATCTATTAAAAACATTGACCTCAAGACCTGCCTATTACCCTAAGGGGTAGATTACTCCCTGTCTCCATGTTAGGACAACCTTTTAATGGATGTCTTTTAAAATGAGGTTTTGAAGTTATAAACTTATTTGAATTTACTTTTAAACTAAATGTCGCTTTATGTTTAAATATTATTAGAGGATCCATTATATTAGCCAAAATAAGTGATTCCAACTATATAAACTTACATACCTTTATACCTCAGTTTTAATTACAACTAATTCCACCTCATTTAGGCTTGAGATATAAATATAATCTGATTTTGAAAATATGAGATTAAAGTTATTTGGAATAAGATATAATTTGCAAATTATAAATTCAGAAGTTGGAAGCGGTTCGCTATGAAAAGATGAAAAAATGCAGATACCTTAAAGAATTAACTTTTGGGTTTGTTTACTTAAATTATGTTGTAATATGTAGTATGATTCCTCAAAATATTTTTTAATTTGGGAATTTATGATGAATATAAAAAGATTCATTGAGAATGAGGAAGCTTCATATAGAGACATGATGCCCTGTGAATTAAAGTCAATAACTGGAGTTCTGTAGAGTATTTTAGAGGACAATGGCCTCAAATTAAGATTATATTAAAGTGATTTTTTGGGGGCAAAAACATGTCTTTTGCTCATTGTGGAAAAATGAGCAAATATGATTGAACAAAATAATAATAATTATCACCCATAATCTCTTCTTTCAAAGACAAGTAACTACCAGCTTTGTTTGTATACTTTTAGTCTGTTGGCTATGCCTCTATCTGTCTGTTGGTCCTGCTTGCCCTCACTCTTCCTCTTTTCCTCCCTCCTTTGCCCCTTTCTTTCCTCCTGCCTTCACTTCTTTCCTCTCTCCTTCCACACATTTGTGTGTGTGTATGTGTATGTGTATATGTGTATATATGTCTTTCAGCTTCTCAAATGAGATTATATTATGTAGGCTATATGATTATATGCCTTTGTATTTCCATATAAACCCTAGAAATGGATTCTTATACTAATCTTCAGTTCTTCACTAAGAAACTGGTGATAACTCTTAGCAATGTTGAGTGTGACTAAACATCCAAACATTATATCCTTTCGAGTTCTGGAATCCTCTTTTGCATGCTGTCTGCTTCTTGTTTAAGGAGCATTATTACTAATCACAGAAAGTTCTTAGATGAGACTTTACTGATACAGATGCTCAAATTTGAAGCAGTTAAATTTAACTGTTTGCTTTACTGCTTGTGAGGTGCTATAACTCATTGGGCTATGCTATAACTCACTGTGTCTTTCTCAAGCCTGATTCTTTCTTTCTGTTATTTTCTTTTGTTTAAGTTCTGTGTCGGAGGTAATCAAAAGACACTATAGTGTAGTTGAGAGGGAACTCTGGGGTTCAGCTGTGTTGGTTCAAATCCTTCTCCATCTTACTTGTTTTGTGACTTTGGGTAAGTTATGTAGCCTCTTTGTGCCTCACATTTCTCGTCTTCAGTGGGGATAATAATAGTACTTACCTCATGGGGTTATTGTATTGAATATCTACTGCATAGTAAGCACTCAATAAATGTTAGTTGTTTTTATTATTTAAATCTAAGCTGTAAACGTCATATTTATATGATTCTATTTATCAAAAATGTCCAGAATAGAAAAATCTGTAGAGATAAAAATTAGATTGGTGGCCTAGGGGAGTTGGGAGTGTAGGGAATGACTATTAATGGGTAAGGGTTTTTTTTAGGGTTGATGAAAATGTTCTAAAAGTAATTGTGGTGATGGCTGCACAAGTCTGAATATACCAGAAACCACTGACTGATACAGTTTAGATAGTGAATTGTATAATATTTCAATGGTATCTCAATAAAACTGTGAATGTATTTTTAAATATAAATCTGGCACATTCTTGATCAAAATTAAGTCACAGATTGCCAGATACAAACTGACCACAAGCACGTACTTCCTATACCATATGTACGTCTAAGTCCCTTTCTAAGAATACATTCCAATTTAGTATGAATAGAAATTACATTTATAGTCTTTAGAAATATAATCAGTTAATAACTTGATTATATTTTCTGCATATATTATATATATTTGATTATATATTGATATTGATTATATTTTACACAATAATTATTTTACTGTATTCTGTGTTTATTTTGGGGAAAAGCCTTTTTTTTTTTCAGTTGGAATCACTTTTAATATTTAAATACAAAAAATGAGCACTGGCTTCTCTTTTTTTAAACACACACACAAATCTAACAGCCAAAATGTGCAGAGGAAATGAGCTCCTGCTCTGTCTTCCCCAGTCCCCATCCTGTGGCTAAAGCTGCAGCCAGCCTCTTTCCTCTTATACATAGGGATTCATAGTGGCCACATTACACCACAGTTGTAATGCATTTTGTCTGTTTTACATTGTGTGCATGTCCCTCCCCAACAGCTCCATTCTTTAAGGAAAAAAAAGAAAGCAGTCATTAATGGTCAGGGGCACATCCCTCCCACTGGTGTCAGTTCCTACCCCACAGGAGAAAGTGAGATCTTCCAGTTAGGAGCAATTTTGTGAAAAGAGTGTGTGGCCAGAGCTGGAATAACCATTTGCATGGCTGCACTGTGGTATCAGAGTGAAGACTGAAGTAAGTCAGGATAGTGTGGAGGGCACAGTTGCAATTAAGTCTCTTCATGAGACAATGTGGGGAGATTTCTTCCCACCAGGTTTAGATGGATCAATGTGCCAAAGTTAAAAAAAAATCCAAATAATCAGCAGTTCAAACACAATTGAATTTCTGACTTCTCCCACGGAGACAGCTCATATACGGCAGTAACAATCTAGATCTTTCCAGGAAGTGAAGGAAGAGCCCCTTGCATTCTTCCTGAGAGCCCTGTGTTAGGCCCTAGAAGTATCTGCTGCTGCTGCAGTTGCTGCTGTTGCTCGGTTTGCATCTTCTCAGTCTCAAAGACAACGGGAAGAACCAGGATCATAAAGGAAGTGGTCCCAATCCACACGGCTGCCCTGGGAAACCTGTACATTTTGTGAGCCACAAAGAGGGAGAGAAAGAAGAGGTTCTGGCCGCAGACCGGACCCTCTTCGGAAACATCTCCATCAGGCCCCATAGTCTCTCCGACCAGGTCTCATCTAGCTTCTCCTCGTCGTCCTCCTCCAACTCCTCCTTAGTCTTCTCCACGTCGCCTTTTGGGAGCAATTCCTCCGGGGATAGGGGTTCCCCTGCGACAGCGGCCATGGCTGTAGGGGACACCAGAAGTGGAAAAAAAGGATAGGGAAAAGATATTTCCAAACCACTGTACTTGCCATGGATAATTTTTGAAATGAATGACAACACCCAGAAGGAAATTTTATGTGTGTGTGTATATGTGTATGTGTGTACGCGTGTAGAGCGGGAATACACACACACACTACATATATATATCATGTTACATTTTTTTCCTCTTCCATGGGTCTATTTCAGACATTTTTAAGAATTAGCATAGATAGCACAAATGGAAATTTTTTGGCCTTATTCCAGTCTACATCCTTAAAACTTCAAATAAAACATCCATATTTGGAGGCTTATTTTTCATGTTGTATAGTTTCAGTGAATGGGATCATTGGGAGAGAAAGTACACCATCGATATACAAGTTCATCTAAAATTCACAGCAAAACAGAATATTTTCCCACCATTATCAATTTTCAGCACATTTTGTTTCAGATGTGTGATTGAGTCACTGAGCCAGGAAAATGTTTACCTGCAAAGTGAGCTAATAGAAATGGGAGAAGCTTTTAAGTTCTAAAATTTCAGTCATCTCTGTCTAGCGTCTTCCCTAGAGGAAGGAAAAAGTGGGTCTCTTCCCTTTTTTATTTTCCCTTGTTAATCACAAAGCCTCTTTGTACTGGTAGGGCCTTGATGGTGGCTGAGTGCTGGCTGTTTATCATGTTCCTGTCATCCTCAAATGCAAAATGTAAAGAGGAGGAGAACACAGCTTTGGGTTTTCAAGCTTTGTGACAGCTTAGGACCTCTGAATCTCAGCTGCTCTCAAATGCTTTCTAAAGTGATTTGATCACTGAAATGGATTATGCAATTTTTATGGTTTTGAGCTCTTTGGGCATGTTCAGAACAAGAATAATATTAAAAATCAGACAGTGGAAAACAATTGAGCTTATCAGGTTAGATTTCTTTTATTATCACAAAAGCATCCAGTTCTATTATTGGAAACACAATTGTTAACTTCTGTTTCTTCCTTGAATGTTAAAAAATGTTTGTTGTATTTGATAATTCCAAATTCTAATATTGTGGATGAACCTTCCTTGCAGGGTGTCATTGTAAGATATTTTCAGGGATTCTTATGAAAGATAAGGCTTTCCTTATCTCACTTTTGAAAACCACCAGCAACTTCTACTGATATGAAACACGTAGAGACATTTATTATAGCAAGCCTAACTTGTTGAAATTACTTGAATGCTAAGAAGTCTATAATCATTAAAATTCCGGTCACTTTCCTGAATTTATTATCTATTTTTTTTTGGATTTGTATTACATCCCTTTTAATTTTCTGTTACATTATAATATTTAACAAAAACTGTGTGAGTAAATGCGAGTTAGACTGATGGAGCTTTTACCTTCTTAAAAGAAATAGGCCTAATAAAATAGGGCATTAATTTTTTATTGTTCTTTGGGAAAACAGAAATAGTACTGATAAGGATGAAAAAGAAAGGTTTTTTTTTTTAATCAAATGAGGTATTTCTCTTTATTGATTCCTAATGTGCAGTTGTTGTTAATAAACTGTTACAAATTTAAATGTCTGATGTAAGGGCTATAAAGCAGTTCCCAAACTTTAACATTGAATCTTTTAAAAATGCAGATTAAGATTCAGTAGGTCTGGGGTGGGATGTGAGCTTCAGTAGTTCCAACACTCTCCCAGGCGATGCTAGTTCTGGTCCTCGTGTCACACTCTGAATAGCAGAGCCATAAGTCACATCAGGAAATAACTTCTGTAATTGTCTTTAGAATCTGTAATTTTAAGAAATTCCAGAGAATTTAATTCCACTGCTTCTCTTGGCAACCTATTCTAGTACCTCACAACAAGTAGAGTCAAGACGTTTTTCTCAACATCTTGAATTTCTGTAATGGGAATTTTCTCAGTTAAAACAGAAAATAGCTATTCATATAATTACTTTAGAAGGTCAAAGATTATCAGGTCTCTTTCCCCTCCCTCTTCCTTTCTTCTCAGCGCCAACCTCCTTTAATATTTCCTTATGTATATTTTGCCAAAATACATATTCTGCCTTGATTTATTACCCAGTTTTAACTACAAATCTTCTATGTGGGTTAGAAATCATGAGTCTGTTAATTATTTAGTAGATGAATTGATAAAATAGAGACTTTTCTTATCCAAAATTTCTCGTTAATTAATGTGTGAAACAAAAAAATTAGAAGTCTCCGTTTCTTTTTAAAATTTTGTTAATTGTATAAATAATACAGTTTCATTTAAAAATTCAAACAATGCAAAAGTATAAATAATAAAAATGGAAAATTCTCACCCCTTTATATACCTCCCTCTTTGTACTTCTCTCTTTTTAGTTCAAACCATCTTAACAGTTTGCATATATCCTTCTAGAATTCTTTTTTTTTGAGACTCGCTTTCATTTACCCTGGAGTGCAGTGGCACAGTCATGACTCACTGCAGCCTCAAACGTCTGGCCTTAAGCAGTCCTCCCACCTCAGCCTCCTGGGTGGCTGGGACCACATGTGTGCACCACCACTCCTGTCTAATTTTTTAGTTTTGTTTTTTAGAGGCGGGATCCCCTTACGTTGCTCAGGGTGGTCTAGAACTCTTGGGTTCAAGGAATCGGCCTGCCTTGGCCTGCCAAAGTGTTGAGATTGTGGACATGAGCCATCAGGTTCAACACAGAATTATTTCTATACATACCTTTGTACCTATGTTTATATTTTTAAAAATGAGATCACAAATTATATATTGTTCTGTAGTGTTTTTCTATTTAATAATGCATCTTCGGATTCTATCCAAATGTCAGTACATATCCTCATTGTTTTTAGGGGCTGCAAAAAAAATCTATAAATAAGTATTTAAACCTTCTCAACAGACATTTACACTATTTGCAGGTTTTCGTTGTTGCAAACTGTACAACCATGAACATTGTTTTTAAAATATCTTTGTGCTCCTGTTCCAGTATTTCTAAATTTATGTTACTGTTTATATATTATTGATAGGTTAGATACTTAGCTACAAATGGATTCGCTGGTTCAAATGTACTAGACATATTTAATGTTAATAGATATTGCCAGATTGTCCTCCAAAAAAGGCAGTATCCATGTATTTTCGCTCCAAGAGTGCTTATTGATTCCTACATCCTAGTTTATGTTGGTAATTTTTATCTTTTTGTCAGTCAAATCATCTAAAATGTAGGTAATACCTCATTTTTGCTGTACTTTGAGGTGGAACACCTTTTCATTGGTTTATTAGCCATTTCGATTTCCTACCTCTACCTATTTTTTATTTTTAAATTTATTGCTCTGATTTGTAGGAGCTCTTTACATGCTATTAATGTTTGTTCCTTCCTGTTATATTGTTGTATCAATCAGCTACTGTAAACACAACCATAAAATCTGAGTGGCATATAACAGCAAGCCAATTATCTGGCCAGCTCTGTTTCATGCTGCAGGTCTGTGGGGGCAGTTGGGGAAGTTCAGCTCCCCATATCTTCATTTTGAGCCGTGAGCGGAGGGGACAAAAATCTATGCAAGGAAGGCTGTCTTCATAGCAGTAGCATGAGATTTGTTTCTATTAACATTGTCTACAAAATATTGGATACATGTATACATTAAGTACTTTATTTCAATTTAGCACATACATATCTGCTCATTTACCAAGGCGTTTTTTGTGAGTATGAGTTGCCTAGGTGGAGTTCTGAGTTGTTTTTGTTATAAGATATTGTCTTTTCAAAGCATTCAACTCAGTTTTCATGGAAAAAAAAAACCTTTCTTCCTTTTTGTTTTATGTAATATGTAAGCCAGTTACGTAATTACATTAAGAAGTACAACTGACATGAACACATTTGGGGACAAATACAGCTGAGTCTTGACAAGCATGTAACAACTAATATGAAGAGAGGTGTATGTGGTCCTATTTGGAGTAGTGTTTTATTTTTGAGCAATCAATGTGCATATTAGAATATTTACAGAGAAAATAAGGAAACTAAGATAAATTTGTCCTATTTAATCTCTTAAATGGAGATTGGATACAAGAACTGTTACTGTGAAGAGCACATTTTGAAAATATTTGCTAAATTCTGATTCTTCATATTTTGTTACTGCAATATCATCATCACTGTCCTCTTCTCCATTCCTTTAGAATTTTTTCCATGTCTTAAAGCTGTCAAGATTTGGCTCCTACCATTTTTGCTTTGGCTCATTATTTATCCTAGTAGAGCCAGACTTCACTCATACTTTTACTCTAGGAACTGGTTGACATATTTGACATATGTCTTGATTCTTACGTATTAAAAGTAACTGAAGTTCAAAAATTCATAAACTGTAAGCTGATTTAGTGTTCTTTTTAGTCCAGTATGTTGCAACATTTCATAAATAAAAGTGTTATTCTCTAAAGTGAATAATACCAATACTTAAGTTTCACAGAATCATAGGGTTTTAGAGTATGAAGCAAAGTAGAGATTATGTAATAAGCATTGTCTATTTTCTGGTGAAGAAAATGAACGTGAAAAATTTTTGTAGCTTTTCTTAGATCACACAGCAGTTAGTGGCAGAGACAGAAGTGGAATTTTTGCATAATTTACTTTCAAATACCATTAATTATTTTAAAACAATTGAATATTTTGAAATTTATGTGAGGGACATGGCAAATAGACCCAGTATTATTTTTGTACTCGTAAATACCACATTGTGATGGCAAGCCTTTTAGAAAGGAAATATGAAATTAAATGAAAAACCTAGAAATTAAGGAAGATAGAAGTTTGGTAAAAAAATTCTTAATGTATATTTTGGATTTTACATATGACATAGTTTAAACTGTAGTGGAAATATCATACCATGTCATGGAATGCTTTATCTTTCTATTTGAAATAGTAAATATTTCTAATTAGTGCTGTTAAAAATTTTTGAAATTCCTTTATTGTGACTAGGTTTTAAACTAGAAAAGAGGATAAAAGCTACTTTGTAGTCAGATGTCTATGATCTCTGTCTATGTTTCAGTCTCTCTCTCTCTTTTTTTCTCCTCTCCTCCCCAATCTCACTTTTCTTTTCTGTTCTTTTTCTTTTCTTTTTTTTTGTTGTTTGTTTTCTGCTTTTACTTTAATTTATAATGTCTAGGAAGTAACTAGTAATCCACTATGGCACCTAACATTATTAGTCATGTCATTTTAAGTTTGACAAGTATGTAGATAAATGGTATTTTAGATCCAAATTAAATTTATGTTACTGTTTATATATTATTGATAGTTTCTTTTTAGTAGGAAGGAACTATACTTTGCATTAGCATATGTTTATAATCGCTCCTGATCTTTTATCATGAATTGATCACTTTTTCTTATGAAATGTATTCAGATATGTATTGAAGACTTATTTGAATGCAGTCTGTACATTTTAAGAATTTCAGCTGTTTAATCTCTACAATGTAGTTCCAGCCTTAAGCTCACTGTATATAGTCAGTTGTCATTTAAATTCAGTCTTCCAGATCTATGGTAGGTTAATTTTATCAATAAAGTCAAAAAAATCTTAAACTTTATTCTTTGTTTATTAGCTTTAAGGGCATTATCTTGCTTATAGTATTAAAGTTCATTTTGTTGAGAAATAATTGACTAGATTTTCAAAGAGACATAAAAAGAGATTGTGTGTTATTTTAAAGCTGTGAACTACTTGAAATGTCATGAGATGGGTCTGAAATTAGTTGTAGAATATAGTTATATTATAGGTTATACATTCTTATTTTCTAGAGTAAATTGGCCACAGTAATAATAAGCTACAATTAAAACATGAAACTTTGACATAAAGAAGAAATTGGAATGTTACTCACAGCTGTTGTCATAAAAGAGATTGACTAGAAATTTATTGTCTATTCACACTTAGATCAGCTCTTTTGGAAGGAAGAAATTTAGAGCTAGAACAAATAATATTTAATGCTCATTTTATAAACTGATAGTGAGAAATATAGCTAGAAGCCAAGATTTTTAGTCCTACACATCTGGTTGTGATGATTTTGGAATCTTTACACTCTGATAATATGTCTTTGTTATGATTTTAGAATATTTTCTGGCCCATTCATTAAGCAGATATGGAAGCAAGTACTGAGTCAGACCAAGTTCCTGTCATCCATGAAGAATACTGGACTCTTTTCATTCTGAAAGAGAACAATTCTTTGGATTGTTTCAGGGAACCATTTTACCATATTACATATAAATTGAGTCTATTACTCCTCAATGTTTTCTCTTCTCTTCTTTTTCCTCTCTTCCTCCAAATTTGTTTCTTTTGTTTGACTACTATGTCAGATCAAATTTTAATAAGCATCTAAACACTTCTGGAAAATAATTGGTATGCACCTTTTATGAAATATTTGAACGTTCTCTTAAAGATGAATTTAACCCAATCAGCCACCATTTGATAGCATATTTAAAGAAAATAAAAGAAACACTTAACTTTAAAATAGTGTTTAGGTGGCTTGTATAGGATGCCAAATTATCTCTGAGATAAAAACAGGAGCACATGGTATTTTGTATTTCATTTCATCCCTTAGGTCATAGCTTATTATTAAACATTGTATAGAAAATATCAGTGATCATTGTATGCACTGAGTCAATTTCTTATTGAGAATCTTCCTAGTTTTCTCATTGTTCCTTGAGATTCTGAGAAAGTAATTTAAGATCTCTTTACGTGCATATAATTTGTAGTAGTATACTGAGCTATTGATCTATTAGCCTTACAGCTAAAAGGTTTTCTTGAAATCCTTTCTGTTTTTGAACAAAGATTAAATGTTATTCATGACTCACAGTAATGAAAAAGGAAATATTTATTTTGAGGATAAGCCAATTTATATATTATTGGACATTGCACAGACCACCCAGGCCTGAAGCCTACTGTTTATAGTTAAGGATTTTAAATCTACATATGCTCTTGAGGAGCCAGAGTTATCTATATTACAACTGGAAAGTTTTGTGTCTGCAAAGGGTAATAATTTCATGTTCTCCACCCCTAAGTCCCTCACCCTTGGCTGGTAAAATTCCTGTCAAGATTATTTTATTTCCACAAGAGAAAAGGCTCTTTGGACCTCAGTAATAATAACATTGTGAAATTTCATCTATCAAAGGACTGATGTTTTAATATTGTTGGAAAACACTAGAGTCGTATTTGTCTTCAAAATCAGTTTGTTTGAATATATATGTATGTATATATAGCAGAATGTAGCTGACTTGTTTTTAGTGCAAATTTCTAGTTTCTTTGAAGGTTTATTTTCCTGGCCATCAAACTTTAGAATTCTTCAAGGATTGGTTCTAGTCTCCCTTATTGTCTCTCTTTTTTTCATTGTAAATAATTTATCCCATGCTTATAGCTTTAACTACTATCTAATGTAATAGGAGGGGAGAAAAGAGAAAATGGTGCAAAACAAAAGCTATCAGACATGAATGAACCTCCTCAGCTTCCCATTAGAAGGTCATATCTGTTAGCTTCTATGGTTCTCACTAAAGCAGGAGGCAGGGTCTTTGCTGAAAGAAAGGATAGAGGGTCAAAGGCCTGAAGAGAATTTATGTGGTTTGACGTACTTGTTTTGTATAGATCAGACTAAAATGACAGGTTTACCTGGGCTGTATTCAGGATCCCTTTGAGTGTGGTGATTATGTTTTGTTGTGTGGTTTTCTCTAGCAGTACATAGTTGCCTCATTATAGGCATGGAGAAGGTGATTAGTTTCATCTCCGGTTGGAGTTTTGCCAGGTGGAGGTGATGTAAGAACTGAGGAGAAAGGAGCTTAAGGTGGTAGAGTGTTTCCTAGGGTCATAGAATTTAAGCTGGATAAGGAGGATAGTGAGAAGAAAGTATTGGAAATGGAAAGAACTATGGAGCTAATGAATTGGAAGTGTCTTAAGAGTCCAAAGAACTCTGCCATGAGTGGTAAGTGAGGTCTAGTTATACATTCATATAAAATGTGTGTTATATTATTAACAAGTTAACAAAAAGCAATATTAGAATTTTAGTTCCTTCATGGAGAGGGAATGGATGAAAAAAATTATCATCTATTTATTTCATTTATTTAGATATATAGGAAAAGATAGATTTTGAGCTGAGAAAGTCCTAAATGATAAGTAGGAAGTCACTTTCTAATTTCCTTCTTTTACACAAGATAAGCATTCTAGCCAACCTTCTCTAAAGAATGGAAAACTTGCTGTATCTGATTTCACATGATTGTGGGGGCTTTATTATATAGCAAAAGAAAAACAAAAGTGTTTTTGTGAAAAAAACCATTTCACTGGAAAGGTATTTTTGTCCACGGAAGTTAATAGTAAGCATCAAATAGTTATGTAAGTTTATTTCTTTTTTTATTTGGATTTCGTGATTGTTTTTTGTGATACACTATATAAAAACTTCATGAAAGTATAGAATTATATACGTGATATACATTTCAAAAACTAATGCATGAAACTAAATGTCATGATCAGTATTCTTTTTTTTTGAAATGGAGTCAGTCTGTTGCCCAGGCTGGAGTGCAGTGGCATGGTCTCCACTCACAGCAACCTCCACCTCCCGGGTTCAAGTGATTCTCCTGCCTCAGCCTTCCGAGTAGCTGGGATTACAGGTGCCACCACGACGCCTGGAGAATTTTTGTATTTTTAGTAGAGACGGGGTTTCACCATGTTGACCAGAATGGTCTCGAACTCCTGACCTCAGGCAATCAGCCCACCTTGGCTTCCTAAAGTGTTGGGATTACAGGTG
Source organism: Homo sapiens (assembly GCF_000001405.40). NCBI lineage: Eukaryota > Metazoa > Chordata > Mammalia > Primates > Hominidae > Homo > Homo sapiens. The sequence goes on from NC_000011.10 coordinate 87,267,973, forward strand.
TGAGCCACCACGCCCGGCCATGATCAGTGTTCTTATTTCCCTGTAATACAGTGTGCCCTAGAGTACAGGATAACTAAACAAAGTCCTGTTCACATGTTCACTTTCAGGGGAGATTAAGTACCTACTCTTTTTTGCCCGGCCCTCCCCTTCCCCCTCTCTTCCCTTCCCTCTCCTTTCCTTTATTTCCTTTCCTTTCCTTTCTTTTCTTTTCTTTCTTCTTTTCTGTTTTTTTGAGACTGGGTCTTACTCTGTCTCTCAGGCAGGCACCCTCACCACACCTAGATATTTATTTATTTATTTATTTATTTATTTATTTATTTATTTGTAAAGACGGGGTCTCCCTATGTTTTCCAGGCTGATCTGGAACTCTTGGGCTCATGCAATCCCCCCACCTTGGCCTCCCAAAGTGTTGGGATTACAGGTGTGAACCACCATGCCAGGCCCCTGCTCCTTTCTAAAGATGGTCTGAATATGAATATTTACATGTCTTACTGATTATATACCCTTTGTCTATCAATGATTGCATTTTAGATGACTTAAATTTCTAACAAATGATTTAAGAATTTAAACTGGAATGAGATAACCTTCTTAATCTTTGTTTTAAGAGTGTATTAAGACCAAAATGTAAATCTTTAGGGTCAAGAACATTGAATGGATGCTCATAGATTTAACAAAGAATTCTATTTTGTCTCCTATTTGCTATTTTTTTTTTGGCTGCACAATTAGTAAACCCAATTTACTAATGTTGTTGATATTCTTTATTTGTTTTGTATGTTTTGTTGCTTGTGGAAACCTGATTAGAGCTTTTGAGAGTGTATTTCGGTCAGAAGTGATTTATTTTGTGTATTTAAGCTGGATTTCAGCTGTTTGAGGTTTTTCTCTTAGAAGCCTAAGTTTCAGATAGCATCTAGATTGAAAAGACAGTTCTGCTTAAGATGCCTATCCTAGTCTTTCTTAAATAGTTTAAATTATTTGTTTTTCTAAGTTTCTTATAAGTTTATTTAGATTTTTACCTTAAAAATAACAATTTATGCTTAAACTTGTTGTAGAGGTAGGATTATAGATTTTCAAAATCGCTTTTAAAAATGGCTAGTTTTTTTTTTTTGAAATACGCAATGCACATTTTATTTCTCATTTTTCAAAGCCTGGATTTCCTAATTCTTTTTTTATTATAGTCTTTTAATTAATAACAGCTACAGATATAAGCTTAGAGTTTCCCCCCTACTACACATTGTCCCCGAGGGGACAGAAAAGCATAATCTACTAAGAATCTTGTAATAGATTTCAGAGAGGAAGTTTGCTTTAGGGTTTTTTTTTTTTTTTTTATGAGGAAGCTTTTTTTTTTGTGCAAGTGTGGATTTCTTTTCTTTTTTTTTTAAATTATTATCATACTTTAAGTTTTAGGGTACATGTGCACAATGTGCAGGTTAGTTACATATGTATACATGTGCCATGCTGGTGTGCTGCACCCATTAACTTGTCATTTAGCATTAGGTATATCTCCTAATGCTATCCCTCCCCCCTCCTCCCACCCCACAACAGTCCCCAGAGTGTAATGTTCCCCTTCCTGTGTCCATGTGTTCTCATTGTTCAATTCCCACCTATGAGTGAGAACATGTGGTGTTTGGTTTTTTGTCCTTGCGATAGTTTATGAGAAGGATGATTTCCAATTTCATCCATGTCCCTACAAAGGACATGAACTCATCGTTTTTTATGGCTGCATAGTATTCCATGGTGTATATGTGCCACATTTTCTTAATCCAGTCTATCATTGATGGACATTTGGGTTGGTTCTAAGTCTTTGCTATTGTGAATAGTGCCGCAATAAACATACGTGTGCATGTGTCTTTATAGCAGCATGATTTATAGTCCTTTGGGTATATACCCAGTAATGGGATGGCTGGGTCAAATGGTATTTCTAGTTCTAGATCCCTGAGGAATCGCCACACTGACTTCCACAATGGTTGAACTAGTTTACAGTCCCACCAACAGTGTAAAAGTGTTCCTGTTTCTCCACATCCTCTCCAGCACCTGTTGTTTCCTGACTTTTTAATGATGGCCATTCTAACTGGTGTGAGATGGTATCTCATTGTGGTTTTGATTTGCATTTCTCTGATGGCCAGTGATGGTGAGCATTTTTTCATGCATCTTTTGGCTGCATAAATGTCTTCTTTTGAGAAGTGTCTGTTCATGTCCTTTGCCCACTTTTTGATGGGGTTGTTTGTTTTTTTCTTGTAAATTTGTTTGAGTTCATTGTAGATTCTGGATATTAGCCCTTTGTCAGATGAGTAGGTTGCAAAAATTTTCTCCCATTTTGTAGGATGCCTGTTCACTCTGATGGTAGTTTCTTTTGGTGTGCAGAAGCTCTTTAGTTTAATGAGATCCCATTTGTCAATTTTGGCTTTTGTTGCCATTGCTTTTGGTGTTTTAGACATGAAGTCCTTGTCCATAAAAATGGCTAGTTTTAAAGAAGGGGAATGTGTTAAAAAATTACTTCTACTTTAAGAATTTTAATTAGCTAAATTAATAGCATTCAGTAGGTTGTCTGTAAAAAGTCCTACAATATATAACTAAAGAACATTTCCTTAGTGTTTCTAATTCAGAGGTTACATCCTCTTTTAATATGAAGAGGAATTAAATCATTCCCACCATATGATTTGTCATATTTACTTTTTCCTCTGAAACTAAGTAAGACTTTTTGTAGCTCTCCTGTACTCCAGAGCACACTGTTCTTGTGGAGAAATAAGAATATTGATCATGACATCAAGTTTCTATAAACTATTGCTTTTTTATTTTAGTCACCAAAATATAAGCAATTTTATATGTAATTTTGGCTTATAGGACTTATCAAACTTTTCCTCTATTATTAAAGTTGAGTTTTACAAAAATCATAATGCATAAATTTAAAAAATGTTAACAATATTTTCTAGTCAGACATGAGCTGTCATTATTCTTTGGCTACAGATTGCTGTGTATTTTCTCTCACAAGCTTTTTTTTTTAGAAACTTTTTCAGATTCAGATAATAAATACCTGAAGGAACACCCGAATAAATCATAATTCATTTTGTCTTCATGTGACTCACAGTGATAAAATACTTTTCATGAAGCTTGCTATATCAGGTTACCTATCAGTTTACTTTTAGGAAGGTCATTGTGATTGCTGCCTTCTTGACTATAATCTTTAGAAGAAAGACCTCCTTGAAAATTATATACCACCACCAAAAAAATATCTGTAATCATTGTCTTACTTAGTTTAGGAGCTGTTCAATTTGATCAATAACCAGCCCCCAAGAGCTACAGTATGGTCACATTAATGTACTATGAATTTTTTTATGATTTCAATATGAATGAAGAGAAAAAAGTTGTGCCATGCATTTTATTACCACCCTATGAACTTTAATCTTTAGAAAGTCACTTGATGTCTGCAGGCTGCAGTTACTTTCGTGATTATGTAAAACAGCATTGTCCAATATGGTAGCCACTAGCACATACGGCTATTGAGCCCTTGAAATGTGGCTAGTCAAATGTAGATTGCCGTAAGTATAAAGCATACATCAGATTTCAAAGACTTGGTATGGATAAAGAATGCAAATATTAATAATATTTTATATTGATTATTTGTTTACATGATAATATCTTGGATATATTGGGTTAAGTGAAATATATTATTAAAATTAAAGCCTGGGTGCAGTGGCTCATGCCTGTAATCCTAGCACTTTGGGAGGCCAAGGTAGGCAGATTGCTTGAGCCCAGGAGTTCAAGATTAGCCTGGTCAACATGGTGAAATCCCCTCTCTATAAAAAATACAAAAAAAATACCTGAGCTTGGCAGCATGCGCTTATTGTCCCAGCTACTTTGGAGGCTGAGGTGGGAAAATCACCTGAGCTCAGGAAGTCGAGGCTGCATTGAGCAGAGATCATGCCACTGCGCTTTAGTCTGGGTGATGTCAGAGTGAGACCCCCATCTCAAAGAACAATTAAATTAATTTTATATATTTCTTTTTACTTTTAAAAATATGGCTACTAGAAAATTTCAAATTACACATATAGCCTGCATTATATTTCTTTCTTTTTCTTTTCTTTTTTTTTTTTTTTTTTTTAAGACAGAGTTTCTCTCTGTCACCCAGGCTGGAGTGCAGAGGTGAGATATCTGCTCACTGCAACCTCCCCCTCCCTGGTTCCAGCAATTCCCCTCCCTCAGCCTCCTGAGTAGCTGAGATTACAGGCACCCGCCACCACACCCAGCTGATTTTCTTGTATTTTTAGTAGAGACGGGGTTTCACCAGGTTGGTCAGACTGGTCTCAAACTCCTGACCTCAGGCAATCCTCCCGCCTCAGTCTCCCAAAGTGTTGGGATTACAGACTGGAGCCACCGCACCTAGCCAGCTTGCATTATATTTCTATTGGATGACTCTGCTCTAGAAGATGTAAGATGACCTCTGTGAACCTTTCTAGTCTCAGCACTGTGATGATTCTTAAAAAAGTTTTTTTTTAATTTCTATTTTTTGTGATGGGATCTCACTCTGTCACCCAGGCTGAAGTATAGTGGTGTGATCACAGCTCAATGCAACCTTGACCTCCCAGGCTCAAGTGAGCTTCCCACCTCAGTCTCCTGAGTAGCTGGGACTATAGGTGTGTGCCACCATGCCTGGCTAACTTAAAAAATTTTTTTGTAGAGATGAGGTCTTGCTCTGTTGCTGGGCTGGTCTTGAACTCCTGGGCTCAAGCAATTCTCCTGTTTCAGCCTCCCAAAGTTCTGGAACTACAGATGTGAGCCATCATACCCAGCATCCAGCACTGTAATGATTCTGATTGATACTCTGATTAATTCTGGAACTATCATTTTATTTTTAATTGTTACAATGTCTCTTTTGAGGATTTTTACAGTATGTTATTTTGGTATGTAGAGCTCTCGGAAAGTTCTTTTTTTAAAATGTCTTAGTACATTAACCATACTCTGAAAGAATTTAGCCTGTAAGCTTTTAGGCTATAGCCGATAAGCCTAGGTCTTCTCATTTTTGAAGCTGGACCATTCTGCCTCGTTATAGCAATTATCCTGTCTTTCTTCCATCTTATTATTGTTTAAAAACCTCTTATATTTATTATTCTCAGTGATTTTATTTATTCCATCCAAAGCTTTGGACCTCTTTCTTCACTAGGGCTAGGATACTGTAGTAGAAATAGAATGTAGGATTTAGATTAAAGACTTAGATTCTAAATCTGGTTTCTTTTTTTATTAGCTGAGCAATTCTGGACAAGACACTTTGCTAAGCCTCCTTTTCATCTGTAAATCTGATGTTGTGAGGATTAAATAAAATACCATACAGATATTGTTATTACCTACCCGTGTTTATCAGAGATCTTTTCTTTTCAGACTTCTTGACAATATTTGACTTCAAGGATATTATACTTGTCTAGTATCCTTTATTATTTGCCATTTATTCTTTTTATCATTTTGATCTTTTCTTTCCTTTATCCATTGATATTCTTGGTTCTACCAATCTTTAGTCCATCAGACTATGGTTATAAAGAAAAATAGAAGAAACATATTGTATTGCTCACAAAATGAAAATCATCACTTGGAACCTGCACCTAGATTTGTAAAAACTGAACTAATAAATTCAGAAAAGAATCTCAAACACCAAGCTGGAGAAGGGAGAATAAGACAAATTGTTGGAAACCAGACCCAAGGGAAAGAGAGAAAGGAACTGAACTACACTGAATATATGTCATGTTCCTGGCATTGCTTTTGTTAGATAATTGATATATTACTTTATATTATGCACAGCAAAATCTTTATAATAAATCTTTTAAGGGAAGGTCTCACCTATTTTATAGAGGAGGAAATTGAGTAACAGGCATATTAAATAACATTCTCCTAGGCTATTTGGGTCCTTATTGTTTATTTGCATTTTTCCCCCCAAGATCATTGTTTTGGTAAACATTGTTTACTTTGGACAGTTGAGTTATATGCTAATTATGTAGGTAGAGTTGGTCTCAAGTATGCTAGCAAAAATAAATGAAACTTGAGTGTTTTTAAACAAGGATACCAGATATGAGATTTATGAAATATATTTTGCACTGTTTCGGAAATGTATTTCTCCTGACCATCCTTTAGAGTGGGTTGAGTGGGTAGAGTGGGTAGTAGTAATAATTCAGGAAGCCATTCCTTCCTAATCTAGGTATGTCGACAAAACTTTCAGGTCTGAAGGCTGCTGAACACTAAATAATTCTAAATAAATGAAATAACTAAATAACTCTAGCTATTCTGCCATCTATTCCCTTTACTGGTAGGCAAAGCTAAATTGGTAACTTAAATCTGTGAATTATGCCATGACTTTCAAGGCGAAATCCAGACGTATTTGAAATGTCTTCACAAATGTGGCTTATAACAGTCTCTGCCCTCTTCCCTCAAATGTTTTCTCTCTGTCTATACTTTTCTGCTTATAAGCTCCTTACTGCCCTATTCTCATACATGTCTTTCTTGCGTTCTACTAGTACATTCCTCCTTTCTGAGATTCTTTTTCAGAAAGACTAAAATATGCTAAATATCTTCTTGTGCTTTAGGAGTCTTACGGCAAAAATTCTGTACTGACTCAAGGATACAATACTTAGTAGGAGTGAATGAACTCTTGAAAAATATATTTTCAACTCCATGTCCTCATATTCTCATATTAAAGAAGATTAAACAAGATAAATATCATTTGAGCCAGGTGTGGTGGCTGATGCCTGTAATTCCAGCAGCTCAGGAGACTGAGGCAGAAGGACTGCTTGAGGCTAGGAGTTCAAAACCAGCCTGGGCAACATAGCAAGACTGTGTGTGTGTGTGTGTGTGTGTGTGTGTGTGTGTGTGTGTGTTTATATATTTATATATGTGTGTATATATATGCATATATATTTATATATATGTATTATATATAGATAAGATGATTATTAAGTTAACTGGTTTCTGAAGAACTCTTTTTTCCCCCTAAGGAGTTCTAAGAGACATCTTTTGTATTTCTAGAGCAAATAAATTTTAACTTCTTTTTTTGTTTTATTATTAAATTAATATTTTGTTGTAATATTAAATGAATGAATATTTGAGATGCCCTTGTGTTTATGTTCAGACCCCTGCAATTTTTCTGTTAAAATAAAAAAGCATGTGAAGTGTTACTATGACATTTGGCAATTTTATTTCAAAGAACTAAATATAAAAATGTTATTTTCTTCTCTTCTGCGGCATGGTTGTCTTTTGTGTTTTCACTTTATTTTCCTCTTTATCCTCTTGGAATTTAGACTCTGAAGCTTGAATTTCCTTCCTTTTTTTCAACAAAGTGAGATGCAGAAAAAGGCATGGCATGAAGTCAAAAGTAAATTCCTATACTTAAGTGCTAGCAACCATTACAGACTTCTTGAGACCAAAGCCTGCCTATCAGATGCTTATTGGTTGGGTGACCATATGTTCTAAGGCAAGGGCTCTTGACTAACTTTAAAGAGGTTGAATTTTGATACCCTGTTGCCAAAAATTAAAAAAAAAATAACCAAATATATCACCCTGTGTATTAAGTATTTGTCTGGCAGGATACTGAAAACCTAAAATATAGCCCACACATGCAAACTTGTTGGAAGACAAAGTACATTTTTTAGCAAGTTAGAGTCTCAGAATAAGAAAAGCCAAACTAGTCTGGATTTTATTATTTATTATTTATTATTTTTATTTTTTTGAGATGGAGTTTCACTCTTGTTGCCCAGGCTGGAGTACAGTGGCGCGATCTCAGCTCACTGCAAACTCCTCATCCTGGGTTCAAGCAATTCTCCTGCCTCAGCTCCTCAGTAGCTGGGATTACAGGCTCCCACCACCACGCCCAGCTAATTTTTTGTATTTTTTAGTAGAGACGGGGTTTCACCATTTTGGCCAGGCTGGTCTTGAACTCCTGACCTCAGGTGATCCGCCCGTCTAGGCCTCCCAAAGTGCTGGAATTACAGGCATGAGCCACCGCGCCTGGCCGCTAGTGTGGATTTTAACATTGTCCTTCTGCCTTCCTCTACTGCCAAGCTCCAGAAGGACCCCAACCATGTAGCATGGAAGAGAAAATTATTTTTTGCATTTTAAAATCAGAGTATTGCTTTTGACTCAGCAGGATTTCAAGTTACATATGCAAAGGAAAATATAAAATTATAAAGACTGGACACTAACGCACATAAATCCTATGTTGAGTGAGTAGTTTTGAGATTTTTATAACTCTTTTATTATAAACATTTAATCCTCAATACATTGTTCTTGATCATTTTCTCTGTTTCAGACTGTATAATATTCTTTAGTTTTCATAACAGTCTTATATAGTAAGTAATAGTATCTGATTTTACATTTGAGGAAACTGAAGTTCTGTGATGTCAAGTACTTAACCAAAACTGGCCAATTTTTAGAACTTGAGTTGTAACTGCATCAGAATTTGATTTCTGAGAGCATCAAAGCTCTGATCAGGTCTTCTTACTTTAATCTTAGACTTTTAGCCAATTTTGTTACTCTAGTACATTACTATCAAAAGTTTATATATATATATATATACACACACATATATACTTAAGTTTATATAAGAGTGTTTGTGTGTGTGTGTGTGTGTGTATTCACTGGGAGAGATTTCATTGAATGTAACGCATAGAATTTTATATTCATAAGTTATACAAAACTTCTTTTAGTGTGTTTGTGAATTTTTTTTTTTTTTTTTTTTTGAGATGGAGTCTAGCTTTGTCACCCAGGCTGTATCGCGGTAGCGTGATCTCGACTCACTGCAACCTCTGCCTCCCGGGTTCCAGTGATTCTCCTGCCTCAGCCTCCCAAGTAGTGGGGATTACTGGCATGCGAGGCCACCATGCCTGGCTAATTTTTGTATTTTTAGTAGTGACAGGGTTTCACCATGTTGGCCAGGCTGGTCTTGAACTCTTGACCTCAGTTGGTCCGCCTGCCTCGGCCTCCCAAAGTGCTGGGATTACAGGCGTGAGCCACTTTACCTGGCTTTTTTTTAAAAAATAATTTAATATTTATGGAACTTTGGAGTAGGAGAATAAAACTGCAGAATTTATATTATGAATTTTTAGGATTAATAAAATTTTGAAGGTTTCAATATATGTATTTTTTACCCAACATTTCTTACCCAGAAGTATTGCTAACATTATGTAAAAACAAGATTTTTTTGAGACCGAGTCTCGCTTTGTTGCCCAGGCTGGAGTGCAGTGGTGTGATCTCAGCTCACTACAACCTGCACCTCCCGGGTTCAAGCGATTCTTGTTCCTCAGCCACCTGAGTAGCTGGGATTACAGATTTGTGCCACCATGCCTGGCTAATTTTTGTATTTTTGTAGAGATGAGGTTTCACCATGTTAGCCAGGCTGGTCTTGAATTCTTGGCCTTAAGTGATCCACCTGCCTTGGCCTCCCAAAGTGCTGAGATTACAGGTGTGAGCCACTGTGCCTGGCCCAAAAACAAGATTTTTAAAAACGTGAAACTGCCGTATTGGATCACATTTGCTGTACTCTGAGAATAAGCAGTAGTAAACAACTCTGTTTTTGTTTTTTGTTTTTTTTTGAGACAGAGTTTTGCTTTTGTCCCCCATGCTGGAGTTCAGTGGCACAATCTTGGCTTACTACAACTTCCACTTCCTGGGTTCAATCAATTCTCCTGCCTCAGCCTCCCTAGTAATTGGGATTACAGGCGCCCACCACCACGCCTGGCTAATTTTTGTATTTTTAATAGAGACAGGGTTTCACCATATTGGCCAGGCTGGTCTCGAACTCCTAACCTTAGGTGATCTGCCCTCCTCAGCCTGCCAAAGTGTTGTGATTACAGGCGTGAGCCACCATGCCCGGCCAACTCTTAACATAAAATGTTACTTTTATAAATTAGAAAGACTTTAATTGTCTACCCTGTGACCTAAACTTGCTTCTTAATGATACTCTGGAGTCAGTCACTTTCTAATAGATCTATAGATGATTTAAAACATTTTATCTATTTTTCCCTTGTAATGCATAGCTATGATTATGTCATTCTGTTCAGAAATCCTCTGTGATTTCCTATTGCCTTCAGGACAGTCTAAATTCTTGGACCAAGTCCTTCCATTGTCTAGCCTTGCTCTACCTGTATAGAATTCTCTTCACTCAACTCAAGCTATGGTGATGTTCCTCAGGCTTTTACCTTGTATCCTTTGCTAGCCTTTGCATCCTTACTGTTACCTCTATACTAAAAAATTCAGTCTGCACAAATGATATCTTTTCCCTAAAACCATCTTTGATTCTTTAGTTTTGAGCAATTTCTTTATTCTTTGAATTTCATAAAGTGTAATGTGTTTCATAACACATATACATTTGTAATCTCTAAAATATATAATTTTTTACCTCTAGTTCTGTTACTGATTCAGGCAAATTTTCGTTCTTTTTTTTTTTTTGAGACAGAGTCTCACTCTGTCACCCAGGCTGCACGATTTTTGCTCACTGCAACCTCCATCTCCCGGGTTCAAGTGATTCTCCTGCCTCAACCTCCCTATTAGCTGGGATTACAGGTGCCTGCCACCACGCCCAGATAATTTTTGTATTTTTAGTAGAGACAAGGTTTCACCACATTGCCACATTGCCCAGGCTGGTCTCGAACTCCTGACCTCAAGTGATCTGCCCGATTCGGTCTCCCAGAGTGCTGGGATTACAGGCATGAACCACATAATTTTCATTCTTTGAAAATTAACTTTGAGTTATAATTTATATACAATAAAAATATACACATTTGAAGAGTATACTCTATGAGTTCTATGAGTTTTGACAAATGTAACCACCCCCAAGGTCAAATTCAGAATATTTTCATCATTCTTTAAAATTTCTTTTGTGCATTTTTTTGTAGTCGGTTTCTATCTCTCCTCTCATCCCTGATAGCAGGAACAGATGGATCTGCTCTCTGTCACTTTAGATTATGAAACTTTTTTCTAGAATTTCACACCAGTGGAATCATACAGTATGCACCTTTGTGTCTGGCTGCTTCTCAGCATTTTTTTTTTTTTGAAATTCATCTATTTTGTTGAGTGTATTAGTAGTTTGTTCTTCTTTATAGCTGAGCAGTATTTTATTATATGGATATGCCACAATTTGTTTATGCATTCACATGTTGATGGACTCATTTCTAGTTCAGGTCATTTTTTTTTCATTTGGCAATTTATATCACATGTACCATTATCCTCAATTAGTAAATGATTGTGTACTAGTATGATTATATCAGTTTGTATCTTTGGAGGAAGGCCTGTAGTGATACATCTTTTAGATCATGGTGTTAATTTCAGGGGAGATGGTGTGTCTACTTCTTTTTTTCTGTCTGTGGCTCACTGTTTCACCTTAGAGTTTAAGCCTATGAGCTTGCTATGGGTAGGAACTGTTAAATTTTTCTTGTAGTCTCAGTGTGTAAGACAGCAACTGCTATACCCTCATCTTTGTAGTTGTGTTTGTTTTAGTAATAGCAGCAGCAGTAGTAATAATAAATAACATTTCTTGAGTGCTTAGTACAATAATCACATGATGTAGGTCCTATTATTTGCATTTTACAGGTGGAGAAACAGGCTCAGAATGTAAACAACTTGCTTCTCTGAATCTATAGCCCTCGCTTTTAACTCTACTGCCTCAGTGCTTAATAATTGCTTGTTGAACAGATATATGATTGTGTAAATGAATAATATTTGCTTCATAGATCTGTGGACATAGTGGTAATTACAAAAAAGTATATTGCTTACTCCACCTCATGTAACTTATTGGTATAGTCTTGGCTTTCATCATTCTTCCCTGTCCCCACAATACATTAATGATGTGACTTTATTATTCACATACACACAGAACAATATCTAGAACGACATTATAGCTGACTGAAATGAGGTTACTCTTTGTGTCAGAGACAGCCTGGATGAATGCCTGAGTGAATAGTGATAAATAAGCAGACCTTTATTATGTGGAGGCATCAAGATTTTGTGATTAGTTTGTTAAAACAACTAGTATTAATTACCTGAATTTTATAGTTTAATTAAGTTTGATATTTTATGTAGGCATCTTTACTTAGTTGTAATTTTGAAGGTTATTATTTTTAAACTAATTTGTTAATCTATCAAAAAGTTATTAAAATATGTCTTAAAGTTAATGTGTGGTTTAATCTTTTAAAATAAAGAACAAAGTATATGTTTAGATGGCATTAATATCAGTTGCTTTCAAAAATTCAGCGTGTAGGCTGTCATTTAAAAAGTTTAAACAAATAGTACCAAATGAGATTATAATTTAAAAATAAACAATGGAGTGAGATTTGGTAATAGGTCATGAACATCAAACCTGGAGTATCTTTGTTAAACATAGGTCTGGTTATGTCATTCCTCTGAGTAGCAGGACCTTTTGCTTTAGAAGTAAAGTTCAAATTCGTTTTTGGCATGGTGTGACATGTGCCAGTCTTTCTCCATTTGGTTTCCATGTCTCTGTGTTACAGTCATATTAAACCTCTCAGTTCTCAGAATATCCAGTGTTTTCTTTTTTCTAAGTCTTATATGTATTTTTCCTCCCTGCTTTCTTCCTCTACTTCTTTTTTATAGCACCTTAAATGTCTTTTTCTGAACAGCCTTCATGACACCAAAATCAATGTCAGACACACTTGCTTTGTGCTCCTAAAGCACTGTGTACTTTATATTAAAGTACTTTCTATAATGTAATATCATTATTTGATTGTACCTATACCTTCTGGATTGTGAATTCCTGAAGCCATCGGCAATGGCTGTCCTCAGCACTTGCAACCTGCCTGGCACATTGTCAACTCTTTATAAATACTTATGAAATACTTAACTGTGTGAAGGAGTGAATAAATGATGTAAAGGTGAACAACACTCCAACCTATAGACTTTATGGTCTCACCTCTTTTGCTGGATTTCAGTTCCTGGTAGCGTGATGAACATGCCTATCAGCCGTATCCGCCTTCCTGCCTTTTGGATTTGATAAATTCATACTATAATCACTGTTCCATTTCATTTGTGGTATTAAGAAATAGCTCCTAATTAAGAAAAGACTGGAAGCCCCTATTTAGAGTATGTATGTTTATGTCTAAATGTAAATTCATAGCACATTATCAATATAAAGAAACTAATGGAACTTTATATTAAGGATGATCTCTGGGAGTTGTTAATGAGTATAGAGGTACTTGATGTAAAATAAACAAATTTCTTTAGAAATGGAAAATCAAAACAAAACAAAAAACCCTACAATTGCTGTCAAAGAAACAACTACAAGAAACTTGGCACCCAAATAGAAATAGTTAATATAAAAATGCAGTTTTTTTCAGTGATTACATGGACAAAAATTTCTTTCAACATATATTTCTTGAGTTACTCATGTACTATGCACTGTACTAGGCACTGGGGACACATGCAGACAAACACGTTTATGTATTCACATATAGTGTAAAATACTAATTGATGTGTTGTAGACTATCCTATTTCTGAAACCAGTACCAGAAAGATTTTAAATATTATCACACTTAAAGTGAAAAAAGTTATTGTGAAAAAGACTATTGATAGTATTTTATGAAGAAAAAGAAATTGTGCTTTGAATTTTCTTAAATATAAACAAATACAGTTGATCTTCAACAATTATATACTTGGCGTGTATGGTAGACTGTGTTATTGTTCAAAAACCTTTGCTGCCCCTCCCTGGAGAAACTTTATACTTCCCTTCCCTATTGACATCATGCCTGGAGTTACGACATGTTTTGGCTAAAGAAATATGAGTGGAAATGATTTATGTATACTTATGAGCAAAATCTTTAAGTCAGAACACAGTTTCCTATGTTTGTTCTTTTTCTCTGCTGTGACAATCAGCATTTGCAGATAAAGTTTCTCTGTTACCCTAAGGTACAAAATGAAGATTTCACGTAGTTGAGCCATAGCTAACTCTTGTTTGACATGTAGCGTGAGCAGAAAATAAACTTTTTTTGTTAAAAGGCATTGACATTTTGTTACTGCAACATAACTTAGCTCAGTGGTTTTCAAGCTTTAGCATTTTTAAGAATCCTGTGGAGATTTTGTTAAAACACAAGTTGCAGAGATTGTTGGGCCCCACACTTAGAATTTCTGAATTCAGGAGGTCTGGAGTGGGGACCAAGAATTATATTTCTAAAGTGAAAAGCTTTTATGAAGGGGAGGTGGATAAGAGAAGCCAGCATGAAGTCTTGACCAATGGTACACACTCAGGCAAATCATGTTTAGATAGGAGAACATGTGGAAGTGAGCAACTGGACATTGGTTCATTTTTTTTTTTGCCTTTTCTTTTTGAGTTGGAGTTTTGCTCTTGTTGCCCAGCCTGGAGTGCAATGATGCAATCTCGGCTCACTGCAACCTCCGCCTCCCGGGTTCAAGCGATTCTCCTGTCCCAGCCTCCCAAGTAGCTGAGATTACAGGCACGAGCCACCATGGCCGGCTAATTTTTGTATTTTTAGTAGAGAAGGGATTTCACCATCTTGGCCAGGCTGGTCTCGAACTCCTGACTCTCAGGTGATCCACTCGCCTCGACCTCCCAAAGTGCTGGGATTACAGGCGTGAGCCACCGCATCCGGCCAACACTGGTTTCTTTAAAACTATCCATGCCTGTTGTCCCTTGTAAAGTCTTTGCATAAAACCAGTTGGAAGACCATTGTTCTCTACTTCATTTAGGTGATTTGTGTTTTCTTTTATATTGTCCAAGATCCCTTTACTTGTCTGTAATATTTCATCTTCACTGTTGAGACTTCAGCAGGTACAGACAGTTAGGTGATTGGGATGTATTTACAATTTGATCACTTAACCTCCTTGGGCCTTGGTTTCTTAATCTATATAATATAATTCTCTCATGTTACTTTTGTTCCAATATTTTATTTTTCTAATACCATTCTATGGGCTAGCAAGATTCCATTATGTGTTGACTCTCCCAATTTCTATTATTCATACCACAGATTAAGTTCAAAATCTTTGAGAGGATGTAAGCTGGAGTATTTGAAATTAAATGTTTCTCTTTCTTGGGGGTCAGGATACTCTATAAGTCTTCAGCTAATCAGAAAATAGTAGCTTCTGGCCAGATGCAGTGGCTGCCTGTAATCCCAGCACTTTGGGAGGCTGAGGCAGGTGGATCACCTGAGGTCGGGAGTTCGAGACCAGCCTGGCCAACATGGTGAAACCCTGTCTCTACTGAAAATACAAAATTAGCCAGGTGTGGTACCAGGTGCCTGTAATCCCAGCTACTTGGGAGGCTGACACAGGAGAATTGTTTGAACCCGGAGGTGGAGGTTGCAGTGAGCCGAGACCGTGCCATTGCACTCCAGCCTGGGCAACAAGAGTGAAATTCCATCTCAAAAAAAAAAAAAGAAAAGAAAAAGAGAATAGTAGTTTGGAAAAGCTTACAAAATGTTGTTTTTGCTCCATTACTAGGAGATGCATATTTTATTTAACTTTGGTATCAAATAAGCATAAATTTATGAAAAATTTTAGCCTGTTATAGTTTTGAATAGCTGCTCATTTTGTTCAATATGAAAACAGATTGCTATATTATTTTACTGACATATATGCCAATATGCATTTGAAAATAAATTAATGGGGCTGGGTGCGGTGGCTCACGCCTTGTAATGCCAGCACTTTGGGAGGCCAAGGCAGGTGGATCATGCAGCCAGGAGTTCAAGACCAGCCAGGCCAAGATGGTGAAACCCTGTTTCTGCTAAAAATACAAAAATTAGCTGGGCGTGGTGGCGGGCGCCTGTAATCCCAGCTACTTGGGAGGCTGAGGCAGAGAACTGGCTTGAACTTGGGTGGTGGAGGTTGCAGTGAGCCGAGATCGCGTCATTGCACTCCAGCCTGGGTGACAGAGCGAGACTCCATCTCAAAAAATAAAAAAAGAAAAGAAATTAATGTTGATTCGAAGATTCTGTTTAATTGAAAACATTTGTTTTCATATTTTTCACTATGTTTGTAGAAGGGAAAAAACTGAAAGTATTTGTTTGTCTTGAGGTCTTTAAAAAATAGATTGGTTCAGAATTGTGATTATAATTTTGTTTAATGTAAATAATTTTGGTTCGTAGCAATGCCATAATTTTAAGACACTTGCTAAATTTTTCCTTGGATTTACATGAAACATTATTTGATATTTTTTTGGTTGTTGCCTATAGTTAATTTGTTAAGTCTGCACTCATGCCATTTCCTTGGGAACTGCAAACAGGCCTTTCAGTTTAGGTCCAATGAAACCACAATCTGCTCCTTTTACAACTATTTTAAAGTTTGACTAGTGTTACTATTACCAGTTCATTTTCAGAAGGAAATTTATTCTGATTAACATTTCTTTTAGAAACAGTCTGAAGGTGATTCTTGGTTTCTTAGCAATTTAAGGCTGCTTTGGAACATGACCTTCCTAGTTTGGACTTTAAAGCAGAAACAGTTCCAGCTTCTCCAAGTTTAAGGAGAAATCTGATTCTATTGGAGTTGTTGCTGTAAGTTTTAGTCCAACTGTTTCCAATTTATAGTTAGGACACACCAGAAAAAAGTGCACAATTATCGTCTGGGGACTTAGAATCTCACTTGATTACCCATAACTGCGGCCTGCTTCAGCAGCTTTGCTTGGGCTCTTGAAGACAAAGCCAAGTATCAGTGTTCCATTCTGTATGAAATAAATGTACTGTGAAATATTTATCAGAATAGAAAATAATATTTTTAATACACTGGGGAATTTCACTATTTAAAGGAATTCTATTGGAAGTTATTGAAGATATAATGTGTTCATAAAGGAAACAAAATAATCTTCCCCAAATTTCTTAATTTCTTGCTATTTCAAGTTCAGATATTTGTATGTGAGTTTTCTTAAAATAGGGATACAACATTAGTAGTTGAGTTTTCTCATACTAAGTGCCATATGAAGGCTGAAACTGAACTCTCTTAGTCCATTTTATTATTCAAACAAAATTTAACATGAAAACCTTTTGTATGTATATAAGCCATGTAATCTATTAACCACACACTACAAGTTTTGCATAGTAAATTGAAATAATCAATTTAACCTATTGGAATATACTTATGTGATTAGAATATTGAACATTTTTCAAAACAAAACAAAAATAAAAGTCTGAAAGTAATTTCATGTTAATATTTTCTTGGTAATCGTATGATAAGCAAGCATCAATCAAAATGTACAATTGTTGATCATGTGTCAAATACTAAATTATAAGTTAGTACTAAGGTAAGCTCTATACTTGAAAATGGGTTGGAAAATTAATTACAAAATCTAGTGTATTCTTTTACGTGGGTTTTTAAAAACAGAATAAGAAAAATTTAATTAAAACTATGTCTGAAATTGGTGGGTTCTTGGTCTCACTGACTTCAAGAATGAAGCTGCAGACCCTCGCGGTGAGTGTTACAGTTCTTAAAGATGGTGTGTCTGGAGTTTATTCCTTCTGATGTTCGGATGTGTTCAGAGTTTCTTCCTTTTGGTGGGTTCATGGACTCACTGGCTTCAGGAGTGTAGCTGCAGACCTTCATGGTAAGTGTTACAGCTCTTAAGGTGGCACGTCTGGAGTTGTTCGTTCCTCCCACCCAGAGTTGTTCATTCCACCTGTTGGGTTCATGGTCTCGCTGGCCTCAGGAGTGAAGCTGCAGACCTTTGCAGTAAGTGTCACAGCTCATAAAAGAAGTGCGGACCTAAAGAGTGAGCAGCAGCAAGAGGTATTGCAAAGAGCGAAAGAACAAAGCTTTCACAGCGTGGAAGGGGACCCGAGCAGGTTGGCACTGCTGACTCTGGCAGCTTGCTTTTTTCCCCTTATCTGGCCCCACCCTCATCCTGCTGATTGGTCCATTTTACAGACAGCTGATTGGTCCATTTTATAGAGAGCTGATTGGTCCGTTTTACAGAGAGCTGATTGGTCCGTTTTGACAGGGTGCTGATTGGTGCGTTTATAATCCCTGAGCTAGACACAGAGTGCTGATTGGTGCATTTACAATCCTCTAGCTAGACATAAAAGTTCTCCAAGTCCTCACCAGATTAGCTAGTTACAGAGTGCTGATTGGTGCATTTACAAACCTTGAGGTAGACACAGGGTGCTGATTGGTGCGTTTACAAACCTTGAGCTAGACGCAGAATGCTGATTGGTGTATTTACGATCCTTTAGCTAGACATAAAAGTTCTCCAAGTCCCCACTAGATTAGCTAGACACAGAGCACTGATTGGTGCATTTACAAACCTTGAGCTAGACACAGGGTGCTGAGTGGTGTGTTTACAAACCTTGAGCTAGACACAGAGTGCTTATTGGTGTATTTACGATCCTTTAGCTAGACATATTCTCCAAGTCCCCACCAGATTAGCTAGCTACAGAGTGCTGATTGGTGCATCCATGAACCCCGAGCTAGACACAGAGTACTGATTGGTGCATATACAATCCTCTGGCTAGACATAAAAGTTCTCCAAGTCCCCACCCGACTCAGGAGCCCAGCTGGCTTCGCCTAGTGGACCCTGCGCCAGGGCCACGGGCGGAGCTGCCTGCCAGTCCCGTGCTGCGCGCCTGCACTACTCAGCCCTTAGGCGGTCGATGGGACCGGGGGCCACAGAGCAGGGGGCGGCGCCCGTCAGAGAGGCTGGGGCTGTGTGGGAGCACACCACGGGGTGGGGGTGGGGCTCGGGCATGGTGGGCTGCAAGACTACATAAAATTGCATGAATTTTCTTTAGAATAAAGAGAATTGGGAGTCACAAATTAGAGGCATTTAAATAGGCATCCTGGTTCCTTTTTGACTTTCAAATTAAACTTTTCAATTGTATTCACTCTGATTAAATTTATGCTTACGGTAACAAGACTAATCAGAATTTTGAAGTTCCAGCTATTGTCTGTAACTGTTATATGTCATTCTTTTCATAACTCCAACATAAATGTTTACACTTGAACTTTCAGCATTTTCTGTTTTAATTAATTTTGTTCACATAAAATAATGTAACTTTTAATTTTGATACTGAGTGACTTAGATGGCTGATATAATCAGAATAGAATAGAATATTTTAAGAATTATCAATGTGCACTATTTTAAATCCAATTTTTCTTTATTTTTTGCTAACTGAATCTTTTCACATATTTAATTGTGCTTTAGCATGTATGTAACACTTTACTCCAATTGAATAATTTGAGGTAGATGATGTAAAATGCTGAATAAAAGAAATTTAGAGCTGAACTCATGAAGTACAAATAGAGTAGCTCTTAAAAAGCTACCTTTGCATTCTTCAAGTGATCAGCAACACAATGTCTTCTGTATATTAGATGCTCAATTAATGTTGAGTGAATAAAGATATATCATGTAATATTTAATGAATATTTGAGTTTCCTTCTAGTTTAATGAGTAAAAGAAGGACTCTGAAGTGCCCCAATTGATACTTAATAAATGTTTGTTTTTTGGCCGGGCGCAGTGGCTCAAGCCTGTAATCCCAGCACTTTGGGAGGCTGAGGCGGGCAGATCATGAGGTCAAGAGATCAAGACCATCCTGGTCAACATGGTGAAACCCCGTCTCTACTAAAAATACAAAAATTAGCCGGGCCTAGTGGCAGGTGCCTATAATCCCAGCTAGTCGGGAAGCTGAGGCAGGAGAATCGCTTGAACCCAGGAGGCGGAGATTGCAGTGAGCTGAGATCACACCACTGCACTCCAGCCTGGCGACAGAGTGAGACTGCGTCTCATAAATTAATAAATAATAAATAAATGTATGTATGTATGTATGTATTTTTTATCATTATAGTTACCTAATTATCCATGTTCATTGGGATCATAGTTTCAAAAAATTTCAGCCTAAATCATTTATTTCAGATAGTTGTTTTGTGCCTCTTTCTAGCAAAACTTTTACAACCCTGTTAATTAGTAAAGTTGACTAGTTTGAGTTTTATATTCTTTGCCATTTGTTGGTGGAATAAAGATGAATAACTTTTGCCCTGTTCAATCTGTTCCTAAATGATCAAGAATTGATTTTTAAGATTAAACTGTACAAATAATATATAAATTTATGCTTATTGTAAAAATTTAAAGTGATGTAGCCCCATAGAAAGTAAAAAGTTATATTTTCCTGCATGCCTCTTAACTCATCCAACTTCAATAGGTAGTCCACTACCCACAGTTTGGTTTTATACGTATCCTATTAGAGGACTTTCTGTAACAATGCCATATGTAAATAATAAACAGCATTTTATATTTTACTATTAATATTTTAGCACCAATGCTAAATATAGCAATAATATTTTATCATTAATCAGATTATGTATATCGAATTGCTTCTTTTACTTAACAGTGTTTCATACAGGTCTTTCTATAGCAGTGTATATCTATCCCAGTAGTTGGTCTTGAAAGACCAAGTTTGAAACTTGAAAAGTTTCTCTTTGAACCTTTGCATGAAGAAGTTCCACCTCAATAAGTTTTATAAAATGATAAGCAAGTATAATACTCTTAGTAGCAACTAGTAATCTTAACACAAATTCAGAGTTTTGTTTGTATGTTTGGTTTTATTCTTGGGGCTAGTGAGATCATTTCTCTTTTTACATCATAAGTGATTGAGAAGAATTCATTCTGTTTTTCCATTGTGATTTTTAATAATAAAGCTACCATTAACTAAAATGATGAAATTTCAGAATTATAAATCATTTAATCAGCCAGTTATTTATGGTAGTCATTTACTTTTAGTTTTTTTATATACAAGGATATTGAGCCCTAAAGTTAAGTGATTTACTCAAGATTGTAGAGAAGTTATGAGTAGCATCTGTATCCTTTCTCATATCAAGATTTTTTTCACTACACCATGCGTTGCCTCTGAAGAAATACTTTTTTTCATTTTTTAGGTGTTTATTTAAAATGCGTAATATAAGCACAGTGGCACATGCCTGTGATCCCAGCTACTTGGGAGGCCGAGGTGGGAGGATTGTTTGAGTCCAGGAGTTTAAGACCAGCTTGGACAACATAGGGAGATCCCATCTTGGGGGGTGAGGAGGAAGAAGTAATAAATAAGTAAATAAAACAAGTAATATTGTTTTAGATGCTTATATTTTTCTTATGTAAAAATTGACACATTAACTTTATTGTGAAAACGTGATTACAATCACAGACATGCAATGGAAAAAAATTCCATATTGTCTGCACCTTCTTCTGAGACCACATTTTGTGTGTATGTAATGTATTTTATCTTTTAAAAAATTGAGAAATAATTGTACATATTCATGGGAGTATACAGTGATGTTTTAATACATATATAGTTATTAGATCTGGGTAATTGGCATATCTGTAATCTCAAATATTTATCACGTCTTTGTATTGGGAATATTCAATATTCTCCTTCTAGCTATTTGAAACTATGTATTACTGTTAACTATAGTCATCCTACAGTGATATAGAACCACTAGAACGTATTTCTCCTACATAGCTGTGATTTTGTATCCTTTAACAAATATCTCCATATCTTTTTTTTTTTTTTTTTTTTTTTTTTTTTGAGATGTAGTTTTGCTCTGTCACCCAGGCTGGAGTGCAGTGGTGCAGTGGTGCGATCTCAGCTCACTGCAACCTCCATCTCCCAGGTTCAACCGATTCTCCTGCCTCAGCCTCCCGAGTAGCTGGAATTACAGATGCCCGCCACCATGCCTGGCTAATTTTTTTATTTTTGTTAGAGACGGGTTTCACCATGTTGGCCAGGCTGGTCTTGAAATCCTGACCTCAGGTAATCCGCCCGCCTTGGCTTCCCAAAGTGCTGGGATTACAGGTGTGAGCCACCGCGTGCAGCCATCTCTTCATATCTTTACCTTCCCCCTACTGTTTCCAGCCTTGAGTATTTTCTGTTCTACTTTCTACTTTTCACTTCTATGAGGTAAACTGTTTTTAGCTTCCACATATGAGTGAGAACATGCAGCGTTTAACTTTTCTGTTCATGGCTTATTTCACTGAGTATAATGTCTTCCAGTCCATCCATGTTGCTGCAAATAACAGAATTTAATCCTTTTTGTGGCTGTATAGTATTCCATGGATATATTCTGGATATTAATCCCCCCTAGGATGTATAGTTTGTAAATATTTTCTCCCATTCTGTAGATTGCGAAGAAATATTTTAAAGATTTATAAAGTACATCTTTTACATCTTTTATATTTACCAAATGAGTGAAAACTGAGTAGACAATAAAAAAATCTTAGAAATCAAAATAGTTTGTTCTCATTCTTTTCAGCTCATTAGAGAGCACATAATGAAGCAGCACATTTACGTTATCCAATTTTGTGTTGGTGCCAAACAATGGGGTTTATATAAAATATAAACATTTTATATTGAATGGATTATAGGAACATCACCCATCATTAAAAGTCTAATATCGAGATATTTACTTGAGAGAACTTAATGTACTTTAATTAAGATTAGTAACATTTTTGCATCCCTATAAATGTGTTTTTAGAGGAAAACCTACAGTAAAGTGTTTGCTATAGAAGTCACACCAATGAACTACAAATTCTTCCAAAAACAGTTTTCTAGCGACATCTGCTGGTACAATGTAATAAAGATGACTATCTCATGAAAGTAATTTCATAGAAAATATCTTTGTGGGTAGAATTGTTTATTTTACTATCATTTACACTTCTAATTGAAAATTTGAACATTTGACCAAGAGTATTATCCTGATAATGATAACATTGAGCTTCTTTATACTTTCCTGTACATAGTATGCGATTCCAACCTGAACCTCTACAGTTATTTGTGTATTTACTAAGTTCTTTGATATTATTATGCAACATATTTCTTTTCCTCCATGTCTTTTTTGGCTCAGTTTTATATCATAATTTGCCTTAGTGCAGAACCTTGCAAGTAGAGATTCAGTAAATATAGACTGACTTACAGTATTTATTTTGTCATTTGCATAGATTAAGTTGAAAAGTCTACATATATGAGTTAAATGCATTATTTTTATGTGCACTTGAAAATAAAAATGAGACTTTATATTAGAAAAGAATGTGATTAGGATAAATGGATTTTTATTTTTCTTCCTTTGAAGAGATTTTCTGCATTATAAGTTGTGGAGAAGCAAAATATATTCAGTCCTTGGACATTTTCTTTACAATTATTTCCTGTATGATTGTATCTAGTCTCATGCATTTAAATACTACATATAAACAAATCAGACCTCTCCCTTAATCCTCAGACTTGTACAGCCAGTTACTTGCTTCCTCAACATTACCGTTTAATTAGTTAACACACATTTTAAACTTAACATGTCCAAAACAAAAGTTTTGATTTTCTCCTTGAAACTGTTTGTGCTTAGTATTCCCTACTTTAATGAGTGGCCGTATTATCCTTCCGTTTGATCAAACCAAAAATTATTTCAGTAATTTGTAAATTCCCTCTCTTTTACTCCACGTTTAAACCATTGAGAATTTCAGTCAGCTCTACTTCTCTCCACCTTCTACAACTATGATCTAGATGACCACAATCATCGTTCCCCTCCTAACTTGCTTCCTTGCTTCTAACCTTGCCCTCCTGTAAGTCTATCCAGCAGCCAAGTGATTTTTTTTTTTTTTTTTTTTTTTTTTTTTTTTTTGAGACAGAGTCTCACTCTGTCACCCAGGCTGGAGTGCAATGGTGTGATCTTGGCTCATTGCCAACTCTGCCTCCTGCCACCTCCCCAGTTCCAGCGATTCTCCCTGCCTCAGCCTCCCAAGTAGCTGGGATTACAGGCATCTGTCACCACGCCCGGCTAATTTTTGTGTTTTCTGTAGAGATGGGGTTTCGCCATGTTGGCCAGGCTGGTCTTAAACTCCTAACCTCAGGTGATCCACCAACCTCAGCCTCCCAAAGTGCTGGGATTACAGGCGTGAGCCACCGTCCCCGGCCTCAAGTGATTCTTTTAAAATTTAAGACAGATCTTGCCACTCCTCTGATGAGAACCTCCCAAAGTTCTTACGTTGCCTAAAGGGCTTATGTGGAATGTAGACCACTCCCTCTCTCCACCCTGATTGCTAGGACCTCATTTCCTACCGCTACTTCCCTCCCCTATTTTGCTCCAGCTACAGTAATCTACTTGCTTCTCTTTACATGCCAAGCTGACTCTGTATCATGGGCTGTATACTTGATTACCTCAAACGGAAATGCTCTCCCCTCTACTCACTAGTGTTTCTGATCAGATTACCAAATTTTACCTCTCGGAGAGGCTCTTCTTAACCATACTGTGTAAAGTAATGAAGCCTGACTACGTCACTGTTTCTCCCCTTATCTTGGAGGTTTGTTTTTTGTTTTGTTTTATTTTGTTTTTTTACCATACCTGTTATCACTATATGACATATTTACTTTTTTATGTATCTCTTTCCCAACTAGAATGCCAGCTCTATGAAACCAGGGATTCTTTATTGTTCACAGTTATGTCCTTAGAACCTAAGGCAGTGCTTATACATAGTGGCCATTTAGTTAATATTTATCGAATAAGTTGGTGAGCCTTAATACTTAAATGGAGAATGTGATTTGATTTACACTATAATAATCAAATCCATAGAATAATGAGGAACCTTCAAATGGAGTCTGCTTTGTTTAAATCTTTATATTGTATTTTCAACATTGAACACGGATTACAATTGTGTTTCATAGTTAGGTTAATGCTCATACAATACTCTTAGTGTCAAAATGTGGGATCATATTACTATTTTAAAGATTCTTTTTATGGGAATAATTACGTTTTTGTTCTTTGGACATAGACATCTGACCCTCAATTACATTAACAAACCTTATACACATGAATGGAAAGAAGAATAGCCTCTTTTGAATCCATGCTAAGACTTTATCAATATGAAGTGCTTCCCACAGAGTTCTGCTGAAAGAACTGAACTTCCATCATAATGAAATTGCAAATTCATTTGTATATGCCCCTCTTATATTTGAAAGCTACTTTTTGATGTTTTGGTTGGCAATTAAATTTATTGTTTAAGGTCACAAATATGCAATTCTGACTAGAACAAGTTGTCAGAATTCTTTATTCAGCATAGCACAAAGATAAATGGCTGTCTTTTAACAATAACATATGAAAGCCAAAATTTGTTCCCAGTTATACATAATCTTTTAATCAGTCTACTGCTTTCTGTTTTCCAGTCAATAGACCCCTTAACCTGCTTCCTCACCATCTTACCTATCTAGATTATGGGTTTTTAAATTACTGCAAAACACTTCATCAGATGGAAAAAGATAAGTTTAAACATTTTGATGCTATAATTTTCCCATGCACATTTTATCCTTCCATCTGAATTCTTTTGCCTTTACCCCTATTCTGTGTAAGGTGGAAAATTATGTAGTATGTTAGCTAAATTCTATGGTTACATTTCTCACTGTTAACATGACTAGAAAGTAGATCATGTTGCTTAATTGAAATTGAGTTTTTAAGTGTTTTTTTTTCTTCTTAAAAAAACAACAAAAAACGAGATACATGTGCAGAACATGCAGGTTTGTTACATACGTATACGTGTGCCATGGTGGTTTGCTGCACCTATCGAGCAGTCCTCCAACTTCCCTCCCCTCACTCCCCACACCCCAACAGGCCCTGGTGTGTGTTGTTCCCCTCTCTGTGTCTATGTGTTCTCAATGTTCAACTCCTACTTGTGAGTGACAACATGTAGTATTTGGTTTTCTGTTCCTGTGTTAGTTTGCTGAGGATTATGGCTTCCAGCTTCATCCATGTCCCTGCAAAGGACATGATCTCATTCCTTTTTATGGCTGCAGAGTATTCCATGGTGTATATGTACCACATTTTCTTTATCCATTTGATCATTGATGGGCATTGGGATTGGTTACATGTCTTTGCTATTGTAAATAGTGCTGCAATAAACATAACGTGTGCATGTATCTTTATAGTAGAATGATTTGTATTCCTTTGGGTATATACCCAGTAATGGGATTGCTAGGTCAAATGGTATTTCTGGTTCCAGATCCTTGAGGAATCGCTATACTGTCTTCCACCATGGTTGAACTAATTTACATTCCCACCAACAGTGTAAAAGCATTCCTACTTCTCCACAGCCTCACCAGCATCTATTGTTCCCTGACTTTTTAATAATCGCCATTCTTACTGGCATGAGATGGTATCTCATTGTGGTTTTGATTTGCATTTCTCTGATGATCATTAATGTTGAGCTTTTTTCATTTGTTTGTTGGCTCCATAAATGTCTTCTTTTGAGAAGTGTCTGTTTTCATATCCTTTGCCCACTTTTTGATGGGGTTGTTTTAAAACATCTCTGGGCATGTGGATTAACTTATTTTCTCAGATTCTGTACTGCATCTAATAAAAATGTATATGATTTTGATTAAAATAGATTTCTTAAATTTTTATGCATTTCCTTTGTGGCCTTTCCTACAGAAGACATAGAGGAATAATTGCCCTGTTATATTTGAGGCCTTACTCTTTGTTTTTTGAGACAGAGTTTTGCTCTTGTTGCCCAGGCTGGAGAGCAATGGCGCAATCTTGGCTCATTGCAACCTCCGCCCCCCGGGTTCAAGCGATTCTCCAGCGTCAGCCTCCCGAGTAGCTGGGATTACAGGAATGTGCCACCACGCCCGGCTAATTTTGTATTTTTAGTGGAGACGGGGTTTCTCCATGTTGGTCAGGCTGGTCTTGAACTCCTAATCTCAGGTGATCCGCCGGCCTCGGCCTCCCAAAGTGCTGAGATTACAGGTGTGAGCCACTACACCCGGCCTAGGCCTTACTCTTTATCTAAGAATATCCAGTGTCTTTATAGATTTATTCAAGGGATTTTGATAATAAATACTCAAAGTCCCTTTGTTTAAGGTGATCATAGCTATAAAGAAGAACAAAGACACTGAATAACAGCAGCAGAATGTTGTAAAGCCGGCATAGTAATGTCCCCATTTTAAGATCTTGTTTAAATATTTTTTTGCAAATCTGAGAATCTTTTTTTCTTAACTACCATGTAATTTGAATCTTCCCCAGCTGAAGAGAGTAGACTGTTTCAGGAGGATATATAAGAAAAATACATAACTTTTAAAGTCAGACAATCCCCTCCAGCCCCCAAATTCTGGAATTCTGACTGCTATTACTTTTGTGACCTAGGTTACTGCATTTTTTGAGCCTCTGTGTAGCAATGCAATAGAGAAAAATCTCTATTCATACAGTTTAGTGATATGATTAAATGAGACAACACATATAAAGAGCTGAAAACAGTGCCCAGCTATAGTGAGCACTCAATAAATACCATTTAGAGTCCTGTCTTTCTGCTCTCCCCTCACCCCAACTCTGTTCTTCATGCTCTGTGATCTGTTCTAATTGGGCTTAATCAGAAATTAAAACTGTTGAACTAAACTTGAAACCTTTCTGTGCCTGCCAACTGTATATTATGAATACTGTGCATTCACTGATTTAATAGGTAGGGCGAAGTCAGGACCTTGAATTGATCTATATATAACACCCACCAGGTGTATGTGGTCTTTTTCTTCTCAGCAAATTGGTCCCCTAGGGATTTGTAGAGACTGCTTTACTCCCAGCCTTCATTTTAAGTCCAGATGGAGCCCTTAGATTTACTTAAGTCTCTCTTCAACCTGCCTATTTGAGAGCTGAGCTCTAAGTAATGTTAATGTGACATAGGAAGGCATTATCATATTAATCATTTTGTGTAAGGTGACTTACTTCATTGCTTGTTGCTCTTTTGACCATTCATAATGTTCAGATTTTTGCCTTAAGAGTTTCATCTTTTAAAACATTATTTTCAGAAAAAAATTGAATAGGTACTTGTATCTCAAAATATGTTATTTTATGATTGTAAATTCTTATTGTTTTAGGTGCAAGGATGGCTTGAAAGGATTTACATTTTCTGCACTTAGGTAAGAAACATTTATTTTTATGTTGAGAGAGAATTTACAAGTTAACTTAAAAAATTATACATAATTACAATAAATAGGTATTGACTAAGCATTTAAACTGAAAATAATTTTAGAATTCACAAAAGTATTTCCAAGCCTGCGGATAAATAGCTCATTGAAAGAGTAATTTGTCAGATTTTTCTCTCTAAAAATTAATCAACGACTTCTTTTGGACCTGTTGTGTGCTTTCTACTGTGGGGTATTTGAAAAGAAATACAAGAACTCACTTCAGGGAGCTTGGAAAGACAGAGCTGCTCATGAACAATTACTGAAAAGTTAAGTATTTAATTGTGTGGTACTAGATTATGGGTTTGCTTTAGGGCAGGACTCATGTACTGTCAAACACAGATTCGATTTTAAGTATCACTAGAGTCTTTTCACCTCATAGCCCATCTTTTAGCATAGCAATTGGCACATAGTATATACTGTAGAAATGTTCGTTAGCATTAGCATTATATTTTATAGTTCACCAAGAATTTTCTCATAGATTAGAAAATTAAATTTTTGCAACAGTTCTGTGAGATGTAACATGATGAGAAAACTGAGGCTTAGAATATTTGACTAATTTAACATCACACAAGTTAACTATATATACTGACTCCATACCCAGTGTTTGTCTAGTTTATATCATAAATGTTGCCTGTTTTGTAATCCAAAGGACATATAGTAGATGCTTGGTGAAGATCAGTAGTATGGTTTTTACTGCAAATATTGAAGGGAAAAATTAGGGAAAGCTTCAGTACTAGCAAAAGTTTTTACCTAATTGTCTCAAGGTTATTTTGAGGATCAAATGAGTCAATATGTGAAAAATATTTCAAACAGTGGCTGGCATGGAGTAAATACTCCAGAAATGTTGGATATTATTTTTGTTATATTCTCATAGATGATGTGCCTTAAACTGTACTTTAAGGATAGCTTTCGATAACTACAGGGAAGAGGAAGTGCACTCTGGGTGGAAGTGAATAATAGTAGCAAGAGAGTGAAAATTGTAAAAATGAAGTGTGAGGTAACAGTGAGAAAATGGCATGAAAAGTTTATATTAGGGAATATAAAATATTTTTTGATATGTAGAGTAGGGCCAGATTATGGAAGACCTAGGGGAGAAAAAAGACAAACTTGGATTTGATAAGGTCAGCAGTAGGGAGCTACTAATGCTTTTTGAGCAGGGTGGTTGACATTGTTTCAGAAAGATTGGTCTGGCCGCAGTATTTGAGACACTGAAAAAGAGAGAACCAGAAGGTGGAAAGACAATAAAGACTAGAATTTGGGTGATAGTGGGAGGATTAAAGAGAAGGAGAAAAAGTTAAGACTTGTAATGAGTGAAAATGAGGACTGATATTTTCCTTCTTTCTCTTCCCCTCCACCCTGCAATCCCAGCCACGTATTGAAAACCAAAGTGCCTGAAAGAAGGTGCTATTAACAGAAAATCACATGGCATGCAAGGAAACTGGTTTGGGAGGGAACAAATGGAGTCTACTGTATGATAAGAATGTCTTTGGTTGTGAGAACTCTGTGGGAACAATAACTTTCTAAGTCATAATACACAACACTAATTACTGTTATTTTTCAGTAAAAGATCATGAAATTTATTAGAAAATAAAGATTTTCTTATTGTTGTTGCATTGGCTAGAAAGCATTTGGTATTAAGTTTAAAGTTGATAACAAAAACAAAAGTTAGGTTTTCAAAAGAGAAGGAAAAACTTAGTCTTGTTTTCCTACATCTCCTTAGACTCCCAGAATTCTTGCAAAAACTTAAAATGTGTCAGATGGTTTTGTGTCTTTTCTTCAAATCCACTTTTAACAGAGGGCTAGTTTGGACTATTTGCACTTAAATTTTCTCTGTATTATAGAAAAATATTCCAGAAAAAATGTTTGTTAATTCTTGCTAATATTCTTGTTGCTAAAGCAAGACAATTGTTAACTATTGTGAATGGTCATGTTTATTTGTGCATCTCCTTCCACTAAGCAAATTCAGTTTCGTAATCAATCTGCAGTGTGGTGAATTTGGATTCAAGAAATGTGGCTATTTCTTGCATTTATATGGTGAATATGGACTCACCACATTGCACATGAATTAATCTCAAACTTATAAAGTTGATTCTCAGAAGAATGTTACTAAAAGCCAAATATATTTTTTATTGTCAAGTTTCATTGTAAAAAAATAATGTGAGTTAATATGTGTGCTTCTTGTAGGCTTTCAAAAAGTATTATCTGACATGTCTTTCCTGCTACCTCTTTGCAGTCCTGGCGGTCGTGATTTTTATTGTAGACGTATGCTGTAAATTTATAGCAAGTCAAAAGTGCAAAATTTAATATTAATTACAAAGGGAATGGGAAAGGAAAATGCTTTTTGTAGCACAATTTAATATGAGCTCCTGACAATATTAAACTTTGGTGAGGAAAGGATACTCAGAGCTTGATACATTTGAGAATGGTGAGATTGAAAGGAATACAATCATAAAATGGCTTAAGGAAGTGCTTATCTCATACAGATCATAATTGCTGTATCATGAAAACATACATTGTTCTCTCAGAGGAAAACTGTCCTTTATCCATAAAGGACAAATATTTACAAAGTACTCCAGTTTAATGTGTCCTAATTAGACAAAGGCTAAAAAGCTTTAAAATATTAAATTTTCCTTCAGGCTGGGCATGGTAGCTAACGCCTCTAATCCCAGCACTTTGGGAGGCCAAGGCGGGCAATCACTTAAGGTCAGGAGTTAGAGACCAGCCTGGCCAACATGGTGAAACCTGTCTCTATTAAAAATACAAAAATTAGCCAGGCATGGTGGTGGGCATCTGTAATTCCAGATGCTTGGGAGGCTGAGGGAGGAGAATGGCTTGAACTTGGGAGGCAGAGGTTGCAATGAGCTTTGATCATGCCACTGCACTCCAGCCTGGGTGACAGAGTGAGACTCTGTCTCAAAAAAAAAAAAAAAAAACAGCCGGGCACAGTGGCTCACGCCTGTAATCCCAGCACTTTGGGAGGCCAAGGCAGGTAGATCACGAGGTCAGCAGATTGAGACCAGACTGACCAACATGGTGAAACCCCGTCTTTAGTAAAAATACAAAAAAATTAGCTGGGTGTGGTGATGGGCGCCTGTAATCCCAGCGACTTGAGAGGCTGAGGCAGGAGAATTGCTTGAAACCAGAAGGCAGAGGTTGCAGTGAGCCGAGATTGCGCCACTGCACTCTAGCCTGGGCAATAAGAGCAAAAACTCCATCTCAAAAAAAACAAAACCAAAACCAAAAAACCACAAAACTTTACTTCAGTTTAGCACCTTTTTAAAAATCACTTGTATTAGTCTGTTCTCACACTGCTATAAAGATACTACTCAAGACTGGTTAGTGTATAAACAAAAGAGGTTTAATTGACTCACAGTTCCTTATGGCTAGGGAGGCCTCAGGAAACTTACAATCATGGCAGAAGGCCAAGAGGAAGCAGGCTTCTTCTTCACAAGGTGGCAGGAGAGGGAGAGAGCTAGAGTGAGGGAGTGCCACACTTTAAAACCATTAGCTCTCCTGAGAACTAATTCACTATCATGAGAACAGCATGGGGGAAACTGACCCCATGATCCAATCACCCCCACCAGGTCCCTCCCTCAACATGTGAGGATTACAACTCGAGATGAGATTTGGGTGGGAACACAGAGCCAAACCATATCAGCACTCCTCAACAAGTGTGAGATAATACAGGAGGTACAAAGCTAACATTCACTGATAGATATACTTAGTGTACATTTATTCTGCCCCAGGTCTTGTACTAAGTATTAAGAATACACTCGGGAATGAGCCAGATATAGTCTCTGTTCTCAGAGAGCTTATGGTCTAGTGGGGAAGACAGCATTAATTTTAACTGTGCTGAAATGTTGCAAAAGAGAAGTGTAGGTTATCTCAGGAATATATTTTAGGCAAACCTTACCTAGCGTCTTTCCCCAAGCTGTGGATAGGAGTAAATGAAGAGAAGAAAGCAGGAAATTTGCACAAAATTACTTATAGACTAGAAGAACCCAAATGTAATAATAGAAGTTAAGTGTTCTATAATTCACAAATTATTAATACTTTTATTTTCTGGTGGGGGCGAGTGGGAATGAGAGAGTGGAAGGAGCATTTAAGATGAATTTTAAAAGACAAATAAGATTTTTAGTAAAGATGTAGGGAAGAATGATCCAGATAAGAAGAGCAATACAGACGCATGGTTTATTTGGAGAATGTCAAATAGTTCATTTAATTGTAATATAATAATAGCTTCTATAGTGAGCACTCACTCTGCACCAGATACTGATTTAAGCTTGAAAAGTTTGTATTTAATTCAGTAGGCCATAAGCCCATGAAGTTCTTTGAGGATATGTGTAGTCAGTTCAGATACGCACTTTGGGAAGCTTCCTCTGGAAACTGTATGTAGGATGATTTGAAAATTATCTGTGTATATAGATAACAGTAGAAGTCAAAAGAATAGTGTCAAGAACACAACCACGGGAGAAAAGCCAGTGTGAGACTCTGAAGGTGCGCTAGCCTTATTCATCATAGTTTAAAACATAGTTAGAAATATATGTAGCTTAGTGTTTAAGAAGCCAAACTTTAGGCCAGACAATTCTGGGTTCAAATAATTACTGATAATTTATTGGTTGTGGACAAGATACTTAACCATGCCAACTCTCGTGGGAATTGTGACACCTATAGTATTGTTGTGAGGATTACATGAATTAATTATATTTGTAAAAGGCTCAGTTGGCACTGTGCCTGTCGTATAAGATATGCTCAGAAAATTCTAGCTATTACTATGTTCATTCATTCATTCATTCAATATGTATTAAATATTTACCATGTGCCAGACACTATGCTAGATGCTGGGATATAACAGCAAAGAAGATATACATGGTCTCACAGGCCTCACAGTTGAGTAGGGGATGTAGTCTACTAAAATGGCACGTACATTACTGTACTGGCAGTTCATTGGGCTCTCCTAGCACAGAAGAAAGATTATCCCCTTATTCTGGCCTGGGACAGGGCCAGCTTCTCCAAGGAAGTGACCTCTAATCTGAAACAGTAAATCCTGTAAATGAACAGTAAATGAAAGGTGTAAGAGAAACTGTTCTATCTGTTCTGGCATAGTTTTACCCTTGTTGCTGATAAAGAACAGCAGTGCAGATCTTAAACTCTCTATGTACACCCGTAAGTAAGAAACAAATTCATTTGAACTGACAGCTACCAAAGATTCACAGCTGCCATCTGGTGACAAACAAAACCCTTGCACACCCCTTATGATTTGATAAGCTAGATGTTTTACCAAGGTTGTCTGAACAGGATGAGTTGCAGTTGTTGGTAGTAACAGCTTTTTCTTTCTAAGTATTTACACTTTCATATTCTGTTTGTCACAGGTCTCAAGTTACATTTTTTTTTTTTAAAGAGACAGGGTCATACTGTATTGCCTAGGCTGAAGTGCAGTGGCATGATCATAGCCCACTGTAGCCTTTAATTCCTAAGCTCAAGCAATCCTCCCACGTCAGCCTCCCAAGTAGCTGGGACTACAGGCGTACACCACCATGCCCAGCTGATTTTTAATTTTTTTGTTAAGGTGGGGTCTCACTTTGGTGACCAGGCTGTTCTTGAACTCCTGGCCACAAGTGATTGTCCTGCCTTGACTCCCATAGTGCCAGGGTTACAGCAGGAGCCACTATGCCTGGCTCAAGTTCCAGACTTTTAGTGTATTGTTATTGATCCCGTTCTATCTGTATTTTACTATATTTTCGGAAAGCTTGGAAGGTAGTATTGCCTTGGGAAAGCTTAGTTATTCTTTATAAGGGCAATGACTCTTACAGGATAGGTGTAAACAGTGATACTGCAAACTCTGAGAAAGGATACTTCTTGAGGGATATCTAATTGTGATAATATTTTCCATTCATCGTCTTTGGAAAAATATAATCTAGTTTTGTTGAAATAGGAATATTATTTTCTAGATATTTTATTTTTCCAAAGAAAAATAAGTAGATTAGAATAACATCAGCTTTCAGATTTTCTAATGAAATAATATGAGGACTTGGGGAATCCTGACTGTTTTCTGATTCCTGGTCTGTACTGTCCTGTGTTTCCCTGTGTGAATACAGATGACCTAGTGTGCTGCAGCTGTTTATGACTCAGTGTCCCAAGTTAAAGGGTGCTTCATTAAGTGTTGTGCTGTATTTTACTTGGTCAGTTTGATTTTTAAATACCTGCATTATCAAACAAATGACTATTAATTTTTTTTGAGTATTCAGATTTTGAAAGTCTATTTTTCTTCATAGGATGATTTGATTTTATGTAAATTGTGAAAATACTATCTCAAATGATAAAATACTTGCCAAAGCGTATTTGTTTATAAACAAAGTCTTTTTTTTTTCCTCATTGACTATTTTTAAGTGAAAAATGCCTCACATTGTGCTCTTTTCTTTAGGTTCATTGTAGGGAAGGAAGAAATTCCCACACATTCTTTTTCACCAGAGGCAGCATATGCAAAAGTGGAACAAAAGAGAGAGCAACATGAGGAAAAACCCGGAAGAATGAATATGATTGGTCTAGTCAGGAAATTTGTGGATTCAATGTGAGCTCTTTATCTTGATATTTTAACCTGCTTTGTCACTGTTTCATATGATATTTGTACCATGCCAAGGTTATTTTTGTTTTCTATTCAGGTAATGATGATCATTTTTCACCAGAAACTGTGCATAGAATTTTATAAAAGGCACACAATGGCAAGTGAATATTATTTATTATTTCTGGCAGGACTGTAGACCAGCATATGCCTTTAAAAGAGGTTTGCATAAAATTGGAATACTTTTGTATTTCAAACCAGGCAGAATTACAGGAGGCTATGATGGAGAACTTCAGGAAACTGATTACTATGTGTTGATTTAATATGCCAAGTATGGAAAGAAGGAAGCAAAATTCCTGAGAGAGATTGAAGAAGATTAAGGAATAATAAGGGATAACCCTTAAGTAAAGGATATTTTGTAAGAGTGAAAATTTTTGGGGTTCTCAAACTGAAATGTTTTTATTTGTATATTATAAAAAGAAGCTATCATGTTTCATACAAATTTTCATTTATATTTCTAGGATAGATACTTAAGAAAATAAATTTAATAGTTTGAAATTAGATTATCAACCAATAAAATCTTGGTAGTGATATTTTAGAGAGGGTGGAATGAGTAGGCAATAAAGAAAGTTAGGGGATCAATTATAGCAAGGGTCCTGAACCTCTGGGCCATGGACCAGTACTGGTCCGAGGCCTGTTAGGAACCTGGCCACACAGCAGGAGGTGAGCAGCAGGCCAGTGAGCATTACCGTTTGAACTCTGCCTCCTGTCACATCAGCAGTGGCATTAGATTCTCATAGGAGCACAAACCCCATTGTGAACTGCGCGTACAAGGGATCTAAGTTGCGTGCTTCTTATGAGCATCTAATGCCTGATGATGTGGGGTGGAACAGTTTCATCCTAAACCACCCCCCTCTCCAGCCACCCAGTCAGTGGAAAAATTCTCTTCCGTGAAACCGGTCCCTGGTGCCAAAAAGGTTGGGGACCATTGAATTATAGGAAGCTGAGGTCCTTTAATAAATTAGAAAACCTATGTTTCACTCTTATTTTCCCTCTGCCAGCATTGTAACTTTGGACGAGAGATTTAACCATTATGCATTTCCAAGTTCTTATCTGTTAACTGGGGTTAATAATCTCTATTAAGAATTGCTGTGAGCATTAAATGAGATAACATTTATGAACTTGCCTGACATAAAATGTTAGCACAGGGAGCGTACTCAAATTTTTATTGAATTTAAAGATTTTGTCTTCATCTTAACAAATAATACATCTAGAAGATAACAGGAATAATTATGGTAGTTGAATTTATTAAACAAGTTCAAAAATAATTTTGGGTTACCTCAGTGGAGAAAAGGGAGAAAGGACCCTATTAATGGAAATAATTTCAACAGTAATCAGAGGGGAATGCAGAGAATGAATTATATGGGTGAATGATGCCTTGGGCGTCAGAACTGATCAGGTCATGACAGAACGTATCATAGTAGCCTCAGTGGATCTTCTGGTATGAAAGTGGATGCAGAATACTACAGAAGCAAAGCAAATAATACAAGAGACAGGCATTCCAGGTGCTGGGAAGCCATTTATGAGTGACTAAGAAAGACTAATTGACAGTACGGTTGATATCAGGATTTAACTTCACTAGCAAAGAAAATTTAGGCCAGGCATGGTGGCTCACACCTGTAAAACTAACACTTTGGGAGACTGAGGTAGGAGAATCACTTGAGGCCAGGAGTTTGAGACCAGCCTAGGCAACATAGCAAGACCCTGCCTCTAAAAAAAATTTAAAAATTAGCTAGGATTGATGGCATGTGCCTGTAGTCCTAGCTACGCAGGAGGCTGAGGTGGGAGGATTGCTTGAGTCTAGGAGTTCAAGGCTGCGGTGATCTATGATCATTATGATCATGCCAATGCACTCCAGCTTGGGTGACAGAGTGACACCCCCATCACTTAGAAAAAAAAAGGAAACTTAACAAATTTCAGTGTAGTTCTGGTAGCAGTGGTTGAGAAATATCTTTGAAGTGGACACTTAGAAGTGTGAAGAGTGATGGCTTGCCTGAGGCAGCCTTTCTCTTATTCACTGCTTGTCAGGTCTCCAGCTTTAATCACTCAACAGCTTCACATGGCCAGATATGCCTTAGCATTCTAAAGATATAAGGGCTGTGGCCAGTGTGAACTGAACTGTTGCTGTCACCCTTGACTAGGAAAGGCTGTATGCTCCAGCTGTAGTGCAGAATTGGATTTCTGTAAAGGTCTTGCTAATCAATTTGCGAATGGGATTGGAGAAGTGCAGAGCCAGAACATTGCTCTGCAAGTTATTGTTATAAACAGGAAAACATTCATGTGGTTCAACCATGAAAATAATTAATTAGCTACAATCTGAAAGAAGTTATAAAGACCGCTTATTTTGGAACATGAACCCTCAAAGAGAGAGAGAGCTAGACCCATGTTAGATATTCTGCTTACTTTTTTATGCCTAAGGTGAATAAATAGTCTTGGATTTAACATGCTAAACCACTAAAATGAGTGCATCCTGAACAGTAGTCCTCCCAGCAGAAATATTTATTAAACACTGGAGGGTTAAGTGGTTTACAATTAAATCACAAATTAGCTACTTTTGAATTACCACATGATCTCTATTTCTATATTTATTTCAACTGAATTTTGAATTCTAATACTATATCATGTTTCTTTTCCAGATGTTTTCTCTCAAATCTAATTAAGTATAAATTCCTGTAACCTGAGCATGTTCTCATTATGACTTTTGCTCAAGTACTGACTTCATGGATGATTTATTACCAATATACTCTACAATAAGCAATTTAAGGTTTCCAAAAGACTTGGCAGAGTATATATATAATATATACATATTTTTTCATATTTAACCACAAATAACAGTGTGGTTTCTCCAGTCCGTATTCAAGTATTTTGACTGCAGTCACATAGTTTATACAATGTGTCAAATGGTAAGCAGCAAGTAGAAAAAGCAAAAATATATGTTGTTCTTGCTTCTGTATCTCCTAAAGCACCAAAAGTGACACACATTTAGAAGTAGTGAGTGGGCCAGGCACGGTGGCTCACACCTGTAATCCCAGCACTTTGGGAGGCCGAGGCAGGCGGATCACCTGAGGTCAGGAGCTCGAGACCAGCCTGGCCAACATAGTGAAACCCCATCTCTACTAAAAATACAAAAATTAGCTGGGCGTGGTGGCAGGCGCCTGTAATCCCAGCTACTCGGGAGGCTGAGGCAGGAGAATCGCTTGAACCTGGGAGGCAGAGGTTGCAGTGAGTTGAGATCACGCCCATTGTACTCCAGCCTGAGGGACAAGAGCGAGACTTTATCTCAAAATAAATAAATAAATAAATAAATAAATAAAGTGATGTTTTCTTCTCTCTCTTTTTTTTTTTGGTTAGAAAGCTTTAAACAGATCCACAAACATGTACAAACACATGGATATACACACTTTAATTATAATTAGTTTAATTTTTTTGGGTTCAATTTCAGATGCAAACATGGACCAAGGCATAGATGTTGCAAACATTATGAAGATAATTGCATCTCTTATTGCATTAAAGTAAGTATATGAAAGTATGTACTTTATTAACAGTAGGGAATGGGTATAGAAATTATTTATTTATTTAGAAATAATTTAAAAATAAATGGAAAAGTTGACATTAATAAATGCTATCATTCTTTGAATTTGACTTCAAGAGTGAGAAATTTATGACAATAGGTGACGATTTAGCTTTTAGTATTCACTTACCAGATCCTTAAATAATTTAAAAAATTAGCTTGTTTAAAAATTGGCTTAATTAAAACTTATGATATAGAAGATAAGATGGGATAACAACAAGGAAACATAAAGTCATTAAAATTTGTACTTTGTAATGTATCCTCATTAGAACTACATCTTAGAACAAGACTCTGACTCCCAGACTGTGCTGTGTGCTAGCTGGATCAGCACTCACACACATACACTGTATGCACTGTGCCAAGTCTGTTACAATGGCATTTAATTTTGGACTTGTAAAACTATTACTTTTTTTTTTAAGCCATTGAGATAACTGGAGCATGTCCACAGTTGCTCTGCATTAAGAGAGCTAACTATGCCTGGCATAAATTCTTGACTCCCTAGTGGACTTGAGTACTAGTGTGTCTCTTCCTCTTCCCCTGCTGTTGTGTTGTCCCTCCTCCCTTCCCCCATCACCACCACTTCTGAGAAGAAAGTTATTTTCTTTGCAGTCAGCATGGCACAGGTGGCACCACCTGCTGCAAGTTCTTTAGTTTTTTTTTCTTTTTTTGTTAAAGACAGAGTCTCGCTCAGCCACCCAGGCTGGAGTGCAGTGGCACTATCTCAGCTCACTGCAACCACCATCTCCTAGGTTCAAGCACTTCTCCCATCTCATCCTCCTGAGTAGCTGGGATGATTGCAGGCACCCATCATCATGCCTGGCTAATTTTTGTGTTTTAGTAGAGGCAGGGTTTCACCATGTTGGCCAGGCTGGTCTTGAACTCTTGACCTTAGGGGATCTGCCTGCCTTGACCTCCCAACACTAGGATTACAGGTGTGAACCACCGCGCCCGGCCAAGTTCCTTTATTTTGAATGGTGCTCTAACAGTTCCAATGCTGTAGAAAGTTTATGTTCTTCTTGCAATTTTAGTCTCTACTCAGTTGATGATGAGAAGAACAGAGTTGTGCAGCACCCCAAAAGACAGCCCCTTGGTGGTTACTCTAGAAAGGAGGAACTGTCCCACATTAGTGCTCATGAAGGTAAACATCTATGGCCCAGTGTTGACAGTGCCGTTAGCCCAGCCCACACTTAGCTTCACAATTCCCCAAAATGACCAAGGATAAAATAGTAGGGTTTTGTTTTGTTTTGTTCCTCAGTTGTGCAATACTTTCTGACACTCTTTCCAAATTTGATTTCCTGCCTCAGTTTAAAGTGGCCAAAAAAAAAAAAAAAGTAACATTGCTGGCAGTCCAAGTCAGCTGATAACCTGGATTTATTATTCCTTCCAACTGAACATGATTGTAGTTCAAAGGAAAACTTTAGATGGGGAACTAAGAGGAGTATTTGGATTAAATCAGAGGTATTTGAGAAATTTGGCGTGGGGAAGGTGATATTAAAAAAATTGTATGAGAAAGTTAGTGAGAATTTCCAAGCAATAAAAAACTAGTGATTCTTTCAAATGTGTACCAGTACTGTAAACTTGGCAATTTATGTATACATTGGAATGCCGTATTATATCCATGAATGTAAAACTATTGGAGACCTGTGGGTGAGGAATTTAAACCATAAACATGGTAGTGAAATTTTTTGACAATGGACCTCATTATTTTACAAACTTAATTACACCATATGTTAAATCACATCCCTGAATAAATACTCATATTAATTACATTGTCCTCAACATTCTGTACTCCATTCACACTAACTTTTTCTTGGTTCCTTATACCTGCCAGCCTCTTAATTGGCTTTATGTTTTCTGTCTGAGCTGTCTGAAATGTTTTTCTCATTCTAGCTTCTTCTCTTTTGGGTCTATTTAAATGTCATATCATTTACATGTCTGCCCTTAACATTTAATCTAATATAGATTGCCCTGTTAATGTCTATCCTAGTGTCTTGATTACTTCCTTCCTAACATTTATTATAATCTTTTGTATTTGTTTACTTAGTTGTTTTCTTTTCCAGTAATGAGCATGAAAGCTCCACAAAGGCAAGAACTCTGTGCCCTCCTCATCACTGTTATCCCCAGCATCTAGTGTAATGTTTGGCAGATAACAGGCATTCAGCAAATATTTTCTAAGTACATTAATGGGTGGATGAATAGTTCTCTTGAAAATAGCATGAAAAAGATTGTAATGTAATTATAATCCCTAAATCCTTAGATTATAAGGTTATCAATGGCAAGATGAAAGTGTGACCATTTCATTCATTTAAATACTAGGCAATTTCAGTTAAGCAAATGCTTGAGAATTCACAGTAATTGATTGGACAATTTGATTTTGTGTTTTAATAAGGCATTAGGTAGTTTCAGGTAAATTAACCAGTGTTTCCTCATAGTAATTAATTTTTTTTTCTGGAAAAGAAAGCTGCAGTCCAGAAAATACAAACCTAACTTTTGGGCATACAC
Source organism: Homo sapiens (assembly GCF_000001405.40). Classification (NCBI taxonomy): domain Eukaryota; kingdom Metazoa; phylum Chordata; class Mammalia; order Primates; family Hominidae; genus Homo; species Homo sapiens. The sequence continues at coordinate 87,308,567 of NC_000011.10, forward strand.
TGCTATGAGTGTAGATATTTTCCAATTCCAGTCAGAGTTAGAGAGGAGGAGGATGGGACACCGGTTTTAACAATGTATTGGTTGAACTGTACAGAAAGTACTATTCTTTTTGTTAATGTTTTATGCTGATTGAAATTTTTCAGTTTCAATATTAATTACTTACAGTCTCTCAGACATCTAAAATTCATCTTCCTAAATACAGAAATGAAATTGACCAGTAATAGTCATCCTCTCCAAATCTCTTTTGCACTATGGACAGTTGAAGGAAATATAGAGAAATGTTGACAGCAAATATGGATTTGTAGTGGGTTTGCTTTTTCAAGTTTAGTTTAATATACTTTAAAGCTACTCCTCCCTAGAGATGTTTTAGCCCGACAGGAATGAAAACCTAGACATAATTCTGCACCCCCTGCCCCCTGGAAGTTCTTCTTACCTGACCATTGTAAAAGTTAGCACCAAAGGTCTGAAAAAATAATGAAAATATTTTTCTATGAAAATAATCCCTACTCATGCTAATCATTAAGAGCAGTTTTCTGTTAACATTTTCAAGAGCATTTGGTTTTATTAAGTAGTTTTTGGAATTTTAGTGCTTTTGTATGTAAAACTCATTTGTGGTTTAGGAATTTAAAATCCTGATTATTGTCAACAAAATGTCAAGAAATGGAATTTTGGTGCATAGGCAAGCTTGGCCAGTGCTTGTGAGACTTTTTAAGTCTTTGTAAATCAAAGAAAGTAAACTCATTCCAAGATTTCACTCTTATTTTTAAGGTAATTGTTTTAAAATTATTGTTTGAGGTTTTAAGGCTTTATTTTGCTGTGCTATAAACTTAGATTAAATTTGTTTTGTCTTGTTTCTATTTTGAGATGGTAAAATTCGTATTCTATCAAAAACTTCAAAATTTGTTTGTAAATCAGGTTTTTCTCCAAATTTCCTCTAGGGTTTCATCAGAATGTTTAGCGTGGGGTACTTGATCCAGTGCTGCCTCCGAATCCCTTCTGCATTTAGGCATCTGTTTACACAGCCATCTCGGCTACTTTCTCTCTTCTACAATAAAGAAAACTTCCAGCTTGGAGCTTTTCTTGGCTCTTTTGTTAGTATATACAAGGTAAGGCTTTTAGAAGAGGAAAGAAAAATGGGAAATAAATAACATTGCTATTGTTAGAATGAGAGATGGCCTTAGTTCACTTATTTTTTAATGCTTCTTTCTGGAATATTCATACATATCTTGACATAACCAAATCTATACAATATATTGGGAAGTGAGGGTACAGAAATTTCTTCTTTTAAAATATTATTTAATATACTCGAGTGTGTAGACATGTTTGCATTTACATATGGTATTACACATTGTCAGACTCATTTTCTTTTTCAATATATAGACACTCAGAAAATATGAATTTTTTGGATATTTCCAATATCAAAAATGATATTAATATGCCTGGCTTATTTATTTTTTTATCATATTTACTGCCTGGTTATTAATTTAAATGTATTTCAGATCTTTCTAGCTGAAATAAACACTTGATAGAATCGGTGAGGATTTTCTATTGTAACTTATATAAGCAATGACTTAGGTCCCTTCTTCCACCCACTCACAGTTCCTACTACACTGTCTCAAATAACCAGAGTTCACAGTCTTCCACCCCATTCTGTATGTTCCTATAAAAGTGTCCATACATATATAAGCCCACGCCTAAACATATATGTAGAGATCATTCTTAACCTAGTACTCTGCAACTTTAAGTGATGGCCTTTTGCATAATGGAATCACTAATATGTAAATCATATTTTATTAAACGCTTAAAAGATTCTAAATCTGAATATAATCTCTAAATGGTAAAGTGTGTTAATTAATGTTGACCTAACACATGGACATAAAGATGACAACAGAAGTCACTGGGGGCTTCTAGAGGAGGGAGGGAGGGAGCAGGGCAAGGATTGAAAAACTAGTGCCTGGGTATTGGGATCAATCATACCCCAAACCTCTGCACCACACAATATACCCCTGTAACAAACCTGCATATGTATCCCCCGAATCTAAAAAAAAAGTTGCAATTAAAAAAAAAAAAAAAGGAGATTAGAACATATACACACACAGAGGAATGACCATGTGAGGACACAGGGAGAAGGTGGCCATCTGCTAGCCATGGAGAGAGAAGGAGCGAACCTTGAGCATACCGTGATCTTTGAACTCCCAGCCTCTATGACTGTGAAAAAAATAGATTTTTTTTTAATCTACAATCACAAATTGCTCACTTTTGCCTTAATTTTACTCTATAAAAGATATGTGTTTTGAGCACAGGGATTGTGTCTCATTTTGTAGGAACATGCAGCAGGCATTCCAATATGTCTGACTAATGAATTAAGGACATTAAAGGAGTGTGCATTTTTGTAGATGAGATTTGCCTACCTTCCCTCTGTCTACAAAAAAATTATAAATATATATTTTATTCATACTTTATTTCTTTGACTGTTTTAATGTATATTTTAATAAATATATTGAAAGAAGAATATATATTCTGTGGGTATATATATATGTCTATATATATATATATACGTACACATATACACACTTTTTGTTGTTAAATGCAGAGAAAATTAATGATGGGAAAACTCAATTCTGGAATTATTTAGGGTAACATGGACAGTGTTGTTTTCTGTAAAAATTTACTCATAAAAGGTAGGTATGGATAAAATATTTTGAAATGGAAAGGAGGAATAATAAACTATAGATAATGAATCACTTGTTATGAAATATTACTAATATTAAAAACATTTTCAATATGGTTTGACTAAGAAGCATTACTAATGTATTTGAATATACAAGAGTTAAGGACAGATTATTGGTAATTGCATGTTTATATTCACATTTAAAAAAATTTCTCACGTTATAGCATTTGTATTTATTCTTAACATAAACTCTTAACTGTTTACATGTGGTTTATCACCAACATTTTTAGCCCCAGGTTGGTTATTCTCTGCCATCTAGCTTATCTCAGAGTGTGTTTTGTTTTGCTTTTTTATTTTTCATTTCTGTTACTATTTATTTACTTAGGTAATACAAACAAATGGTATTAAAGTAACAAAAATACAACCGGGTCAGAAAATCTCAGGAAATATTCACGTGGTGTGTTCAAAAATTGTATGTGATTTTTCAAAAACAAATTGCCCATGCTATAGTATCTTTATAAGAATCTTAAGAGAAGAGCAGGCAAATAAACCTTGTTTTTTCTGTTTCTTGGTTAACTGACCCTTTTTTAAAAATTTGTTAAGGTTCCTCTTTATCTCTGGTAATATTCATTGTTTTATAGTCTATGTTTAATATTAATATAGCTACTTCAACTTTTCAAAATTATTGTTTGATGTTATAATGTTTCCATTCTTTCACTTTTTCTGTCTTTGTTTGAAAAACTGGTTTCTTTTAGGCTGCAGAGAGTTGGCCCTTTCTTTCTTATAGAATCTGATCATCTCTGTCTTCTAATTGGCATGTTTATACTGTTTACATATAATGTATTATGTGTAAATATATATAGTTTATGATGTGATTGAGTTTAAACCTACTTTCATGTTAGTTTTTTTGTATTTGTTCCTTTTTTTCTTCCTCTTTTTTTTTTTTTCTTTTTCAGCCTTCTGGATTGATTGTGTATTTTACTATGGCTCCATTCTAGCTTCACTATTGCCTTATTATTTGTACTTGCTTTAATTTAGTGGCTGCCTTAACATTTTATAATATACATTTTTAATGTATCAGCCAATCTTCAAGTAATGTTATACTACTTCACATACAGTGTCAGACCTTACAACACTGTACTTTGAATTTCTCCTTCCCATCCTTTGTTATAGGATTTAACATTTATCGTTTATCTTTATATATGTTATATACTCCACGATATGTTGTTACTATTTTTGTTTTAGATCAGAGGTCAACACACTTTTTCTGTGAAGAGCCAGATCATGACTATTAGGCTTTGTGACCATATGGTCTCTGTCATAACTACCCAGCTCTGCTGTTACAGTCTGAAAGCAGCTATAGACAATATATAAATGAACAAGTGTGGCTGCGTTTCAATAAAACTTTATCACACTATAATTAGAACTTGATGTAATTTTCACATCATAAGATGTTGTCATTCTTTTGATTTATTTTTCATTTTTTAAGACTGTAAAAATGATTATTAGCTCCTGAGCCATATAAAAACAAGTAGCAGGCCAGATTTGGCTAGTGAGCCATAGTTTGCTGACCCCTATTTTAGATAGTTAATTCACTTTTAGTGCAAGTAAAGATAAGAAAAATATGTCTTCTAAGTTTACCTTCACTTTTCTATTTCCAGAACTCTGCATTTCTTTTCATAGTTCTAAATTTTTGTCTGGTGTCATATTCCTTCTACCTTTAACATTTCTGTGAACTCAGATCTGCTGGTGGTGGATTTTCTCAGCTTTTATCTGTCTGGAAAAAATCTTTGTTTCACCTTCAGTTTTAAGAAATATTTTCTCTGGGTATAGAATTGTGGCCTGACAGACTTGTAGTTTAGCCAGCTTTTTGTTCTTGTTAAAATGGGAGTGATGCTTTTCCCAGCATTCGATAGCTAGGCAAAAGTGAAATTTATGGATTTATTTTGCAAAATCAGTGCAATAAAAATATTATGTGTAATTTCTTAATAGAGTCTATAGAGTAATAACTTTATAAAATATTATTGTTCATAATTTTTCCAATCATGTATGCAGTTTGATTTAGATGAGATCACTAATTGGCCTGCAAGGTAATCTGATGAATTTATTCATTATAGTTGTTTTTGTTTTATGCTTTTATTTCTAGAAATAAAATAACTGAAGTCATTGTATTTTCTCCTTAACTAGGGTACTAGTTGCTTCCTGCGCTGGATCAGAAACTTAGATGATGAACTACATGCTATTATAGCTGGTAAAGCAATAATAAAAATGAATGGTTATTATTGTATTAATCAGTGGTAGGAATGAATTGGAAATACCATCCAATTCATCCAATTTCTATGAATCTTCCTTTCTCTATCGTAATAGAATTCCAGTTGAGGCACTTGTCCAAATACTTTGTGATGTTTAACATATCAAGGCACTGTTGCCATCTGATGTTTTGAGTTGGCAATATAATGGCTTGGGTATCTGTCCTGCTATAGGCCATAAATCCTAGCGAATGTGTCACAAAAGAATATAAAAAGCCTTATATTTATATTTGCCATATAAGTGATTAAGGGAAGTTCAAGTAGATTTCATTGAAAATTCTATTTTTACCACTGGAAAGTGACCTATATTTTCATAATAACTTTTTAAAGGAACTTAATCATTTTATTAAAAAATCTAAATATTATTTTCTATAAGTGCAATGTATGTATTAAATTAAATAGATAATTTATCAGGTATTTATTAGGAATAACCTTAGTTATTAGTATTCGACACCTCCCCTCCTCCCCTGGCCTTGGTTTTCCATTTATATAATGAAAGCAGTGCTATGGAGAGAAGTATTGTGATAGCACTAACCATCATTTGAGCTATTTAATATTAGGAGAATATATGAATAAATATTTCCACTTAAAATCGAAAAGGAACCAAGAGGCTTTGAAAAATTATTTTTTTTAAATTGTATTTGGCAAGACCACTCCTCTTTAAAGTTAAAATAGAAATGTAAAGCTTCTTGTTATACATAAATCAGAACTGTTTATTTCTAACTCTGAATATCAATTTTTTAAATTTAAAAATATGCAATAATATCTCACCCCATTTTAATGTCATCTGGTTTATTACTGTCCTTGATTGTGTTGTAACAAGAGATAGTGCTGATTCTATGTAAGTGAATTAACATTTCTGATGACATAATAACAAATAAATACTCTGCGATCTTATCAGTTATTTCTTATTTCTTGTTTCAGGATTTTTGGCAGGTATATCAATGATGTTTTATAAAAGCACAACAATTTCCATGTATTTAGCGTCCAAATTGGTAGAGGTAAGCGAAATTTTTGTGCAAGAATAGTTCCAAAGAACATAAAGCTTTTAGCTGCTGACTGTTTTAGCAGCAAATGTATATCCCAATGGCAAACATAAATTTTAATCCTCTAAAAGTATTTGCAAAGTTGATTCCCCTGTGTTTTTCTTTGTGTGTGTGTTATTTTCAAATATACATTAAGTATAGAAAGAGTAGTGTAATTAACCCTCATGCACCCATCATGCAGCTTCAACAGTTATCAGTATTTGGCCAGTCTCCTTTCATCTATACTCCTCAACCCCACAGGTATCGAGTTATTTTAAAGCCAATCCCAGACACTATATAATTTCATCCTTAAAAAAATTTCAGCATAAAGACTCCTTAAAGAATAAAGGCTAAAGGCTTTTTCAAAACAAACAAATCAACAATACCACAGTATCATTATCATACATTAAAACCCTCCCAGTAATTCCATACTAATATATCCAATTAGAGTTTATGTCTTCACTGATTATCTTATAAATATGTTTTTGCAATCATTTTATTTTAATCAAGTTCCAAACAAAGTTTCTTGTAGTTTATAATAGTTACCCCCCTACTACTGCTGCTACTGCTTTTCTTCCTCCTCCTCCTCCTCCTCCTCTTCCTTCTCCTCCTCCTCCTTCTTCCTTGACATTTATTTGTTGAAGATGTAGGTCATTAGTTCATGGAATTTCCCAAATTCTGGATTTTGCTGATTGCACCCTCACTGTTGTTGTTTAACATGTTTCTTTAACTCATAAATTTTTTTAGTTGTTAACTAGATCTTGAGACCTAAGCAAATTCAGGTTTAAATTTTTGTAGGAGGTAACAGCCATACTTCACATTTACTGTGTATGTGAACTTCCAATTGCATCATCACATGACGAGGCACAAAAATGTCTGGTTCTCTCTCTTTTTGTGATGCTAAGATTGATCAGTGGGCTTAGGTGTTGATAGAGCCAACATAAGGTTCCCCAGTAGCCCTATAGCTATTGGTTTTCGCAGCTGTTAATAATTATCACTGGGATTCATTATTTCATTAAGAGTTGCAAAATGATGAAAAATACTATTACTCTTTATTCTGTGTTTATTAGCTGAAATTGTTCTAAATGCATTTTTCCTTTTCAACTATTTGGTTACTCTGAAATACGTTGTTCTGGAAAGTCAAAATAAAATGCTTGATTAGTTCATTTTTAATTACCAGTGTTTAGAATGAGTTAGTACCTTAGCATCCTGCAAAGTTGACCCATGAGTCTTTATTTTTAAAGTATCATTATGAAGATTTGGAGTTTAACATATATGATTTATTTTCATTATGCTCAAATTGTTCCCATCTTTGGCCATGAGAGCTTCCTTAAGTTGACTCCTCCTTGTTGTAACATAACACCATTATCTTTGATAGCTTTCTTGCTGTAAGACAATATATTCCGGGCTCATCTGGGACATTTTCTGCCTCAGATGTAGAATCAGTCTTCTCTGTAATGGCTCCTAGTTTGTTTTAGTGGGAAATGGTATTTAAAGATTTCAATCCAGGTGCTAGAGGTTATTTGCTCCCAGGCTAGTTACTGATTCTTGGCTTTCGCAGTGAATGGAGCTAGAGAATCTCCCTCCCCTTGCTTTTTAGAAACAGAAAATACATTTGGAACATAGTGATATTTCTAATTCAAAGTTAAGAGTGTAGATTTTATTTAACTTAATTACTTGCTTTACCCAAATATATGTGTGTGTGTGTGTGTGTGAGAGAGAGAGAGAGAGAGACAGAGAAAGAGAGAGAGATTGAGAGAATATATACATCATGAAATCAGGAGGACAGGCAGGAGCCAGACCATCATGTAGGATTTTAAAAGCTGGGGTAAAGAATTTGTTTTTTTCTCAGTGCACTGGAAACCACTGAAGAGTTTTAAGCATGGAAATGACAGTATTTAATTCACATTTTAAGAAGAACATTTTGGCCACTATTTTAGAGGGAGGCAGGATCAAAGCTGAGAGAACAGTTAGTCTGTGTCAGGAAATGGTGGCTTGCACCAGGATGATAGCAGTAGAGATGGAGAGAACTATACAGATTTGGTGTATGTTTAAGAGTAGAATTGGCAAGACTTGCTAATGGAGAGGAAAAGGGAACTGAGAGAAAGAAAATAATCCTTAGGTGGCAAAAATATATTCTTTAACACAAGAGGAAACCAATATTGAGATCTAGTTTATTAAAGGTATTTTACAGCTAAGTGGCCAGAGTTTTTTAAGGCAAGGAATGGTATCTCTCTGTTTCTTGTGTCATCAGGCCATATCTGATCCTGGCAAAAGAAACTGGCATATAAACTATGGTGATGCAGACTTTTTTTTTTTTTTAAATAGGATATTAGAAATTTAAGCTTGCTATGTCCTTTTGTGGAATTCATTGCTCTGGTAATAGACAATCATTTTTCTGTGATTGAAGTTAATTTTATATTAAAATGTTCTATTACTGTACAGTGAAAATGATATAAAAATCAACTGTATAGACCATTGTTTTCTAGGAACCTCTGAGTCAAATGCATGTATTTATTTAGTATATATTATGTTCTCATTACTGTGCTAGGTACTGGAAAGAATATAGAAGTATAGGATATGGTTTCTGTCCTTCATTAACTTAGAATCTGGTTTATTAAATGAATTTTATAATAAATAATTAGAAACGCAGTTATTCTATCTATTGGGAAATAGCTGTTTCACTTAACATTTCTGTGACGCAGTTCTACCACATCTGAATTAAATCTTCAACATGAATACAGCACAATGTATCTCTATCTTGCAATATACTGTTACATATTTTTCTCAAAATAATGGCCAATGTATATTTATCTTGTTTCCAAAATAGATTATAACTTGGTATATATCTTACAAATTCTCATATATCCCAGTCTCTTTTACACATTATGTACATTTAATCCTCAGTATATACTTTTGGATTGATTTGTATGTAAAGTATCCACCTTATCATTTCCTTTGTTGCTTTGCTCTTTGGTTATGGTAGCTTATATAGATCTTGAGGATTCTTTTTATGGCAATTCAGTTGGGATATAATTTAAAAAGAGTCAGATTTACTTAGCAAATATTTTAATGCCATGTTCTAGGTTAGGTACTGAAGATCATGCAAAGTTGAAGAAGAGAAGGCTGTTGCCACCTGTCAGTGACTTCTTTTGAGTTCTCATCCTATTTATATTCTTTATTTTGTGGAGAATAGTGCCCGGCGTGTAGACACCATTAAATGTTTACTGAATAAATTAATAAAGGATGAACAGATCTATCAGGGAAGAGAACACATGAGCACTGTACAGAAAGCATTGAAGAGTAAATATCATTTAAAAAGCAGAAATAAAATGCTACTGAATTTACAGAAAAGTACTACTACTTGAAGCTGGGATTTGGAGCAAAACTGTGAGGGAAAGGGAAGGGCTGACCCTTAACATCATTATGAAAAATGTGACATCGTTTGAGCTCTGAAGGGAGTATTAGGATTCAGAAAGGTTGTAGGCAGGGAGCACAATGCTCAACTATGTTTTTAATGCTGAGGTTTTTTCTTTATAACTCTTGTCTTATGCTTGTTTTGCAGACAATGTATTTCAAAGGCATTGAAGCAGGGAAGGTTCCCTATTTTCCTCATGCAGATACTATCATCTATTCCATCTCTACAGCAATTTGCTTCCAGGCAGTAAGTATAACTTTTTGAAATGAGAAATTGAATGATTCCTGTTTCTAATGTACGTTAATCAAATGGGAGAGAAACAAACTCTGGGAACATTTCTATTTACAGTATTACATTTTAAGCTTCTTTTTTGTTTTGTTTTGTTTTTTTTTCAGCAAGATAGCTTACCAGCTTCTAATCATTAATGTTAACCTAATGCGCTAGGTCCTTTTTATGAGTACACCAATTTTTAGGTTTTAATAGAGTACAATTTATAAGTAAATTATTGTTCCAGTACCTTGGGAAGAATGCCCCAATTTAATTATCCTTCCCTTTGATTAAAAAAAAAAGGATAATAGGGATATGCTGATAATAGGCATAAATATAAATAATTGCATTTCTCCAATATTATTCAGAAGGAGGATGGGGAAGAACTAGTTTCATATAAGCATTGTTCAATCTCTGAATTCTGTAACCATTATTATTGACATTAACGGTGTTAGGGCTGTTGTAAAATTTTTGGGAAAACTTTTATTTGCTCTTTCTCATAAAATGCTGCCAGCTTGAAAAACTCATTAAAACTAATGAAGTATCAATATCTCAGTAAATGCTTCCTGATAATGACTATTCACTTAATTATTATTTCAAAAGTGACTTTTTTTTTTCTTTTTTTTTTTTTTGAGATGGAATTTTGCTCTTGTCCAGGCTGGAGTGCAATGGCATGATCTCAGCTCACTGCAACCTCTGCCTCCTGGGTTCAAGTGATTCTCCTGCCTCAGCCTCCCAAGTAGCTGGGATTACAGGCATGCACCACCACGCCTGGCTAATTTTTGTATTTTCAGTAGAGACGGGTTTTCTCCATGTTGGTTAGGCTGGTCTCGAGCTCCTGATCTCAGGTAATCTGCCCGCCTCGGCCTCCCCAAGTGCTGAGATTACAGGTGTGAGCCACCGTGCCCAGCCAAAAGCAACATTTTTATTTGAAGGCATATTTACAAAAATTCTTGATAGTTACCAACTTAAACATCAATACACCTTTGTGTATTTCATCACTTTCAGTTTTCATTTATATTTACTAAAAGAATTCTCAAATTTAATACTCAGGCTGTCATGGAAGTTCAGACTTTGAGACCATCTTACTGGAAGTTCCTTTTAAGACTCACCAAGGGCAAGTAAGTGACTACGTAGTTTTCTTAAAAATATTATGAGTGGTTTTATCTTTTTGAGGGAATATTCTTTCAGTGGTAAAGTAGGTATTTATATATAAATAAAATATGAGTAACTTAACTAAGAATAACATGGGGCGTTTTTTGAGTGAGCATTATTCTGACTATTCTTTTCCCTATAATATTGTAGATGTTTTAAGTGGTCTAGATTAATATCATGTTGATTTGCTAACTACTAATTAGCTGCTACATAAATACTTAAGTCTGACTGTTTGAATCACTGTCCATTTCTTTTTGATTAAAAATATTAAACAGATTCATTAAAGATCATCTCCACATAATTAACTGATTTCCATTTTGGAAATAGTCATATTGTGTTGCTTCTTGTTGTAAGTATATGTTCCTCTACCTTACATATCATTTTTGCTTTGTTTTGTTTTCTCCCCTGATCTTAATCTAATTCTTTGGGAGGCATTTTGACCTAATAGAAAGAGCATGGGCTTTGGAGTCAGACAGACCTAAGTTTGATTCCAGCTCTGCTACCTTCAGCTGTGTTGCTATGGAAAATTATTTACCCTCGTGAGCCTAAGTTTTTTTCGGTCTACAATGAAATAATAATGCATACATTGTATGGTTGTAGGAAAATTAAGATGCTTATAGTAGCGCTGGGTAAATTGCATGTATGAATTGCTATCATTATTAATAATAATAGCAAATACTAGTATAGTGCTGACAATGTCCAACATATGGTTTTAAGAGGCACACATACAATATCCATGTATACATAAATATGCATTTAATCCTTAAATCCTAACTGTAAGAGTTAGGTTCTGTTATTATCCCTGTTTTACATATGAGGAAACTAAAATGTACAAAGGGGTTAGATAGCTTGCCAGAGTCACTCAGTTAGTAAATGAAGGAGCTGGAACATAAACCAGGCAGTCTGGCTTCAGAACTTTCCCTCTTATCCATGTCACTGTAGATCCTTTACATTGTTATTGTTTAATCATTTTTTGTCATTTAGTTTTCTGCACATTAATAAGTTTTACTAATTGATTATTTTGGAAGGGAACTTACTTTGGAAAAGTACTGAAAGTCACATTTATAGGCTGTCAGAATAATGCTGGCCAGTGATTCAAAACTAATTTCATTCAGCTGTTTTCTCCAGAAAGGAAATGCTTGTGAATAAGCACAGAGACCCAGAAGGTCTATCCTGTACATTAGCTAAATTTGTGTGTTTAAAAAATGTTATATATCTTAGGTTAGGTAATGGATAACGTTAGGGTATATTTTTACTGTGTTGTGTCTATTAAACATTTGAAAACCTATATGCTGTTTGCCTTTTAGTCATTAAATGTTTGCACATTTGAATGTGTTTTCATTTGATGGTGAGACATTATGATGTCAATTATGAGAGAAATTACATTTAATGCTTTTGCCTCATTGGTAATGTTAGCTCATTTATTGTTTAGTTTCCTGTGAATTCATTCATCATAAAAATAATAATGAACCTAATTTTCTATTTGATACAGTCTAGTGGAAAGAATTCTAGAAGGGTTTAAAATAATGGTTGTAATCTCTGCGGTTTCAGATCTGGGGATTATCTCTTTAATCCTTAATCCTAACTGGATTATCTCTTTAAATAAAATATGAGACAGTGTATCTCGAAGAAGAGCCTTCATGTGACTTGAATCTGCCATTGAATTTAGATCCTTTGCCACGTTAGCCTTTTCTGTTTTCCCATCCCACATAAGATAAGTCAACTAAAATGAATTATTTTATTTTATAAACTATATTAATACTTGTTTACTGTATTCTTTGTTTTACAGATTTGCTGTCATGAACCGAAAAGTCCTTGATGTTTTTGGTACTGGTGCATCTAAACACTTTCAGGATTTCATCCCCAGGTTGGATCCAAGATACACAACTGTAACACCAGAGTTGCCCACAGAGTTTTCCTGAAGATGACTGTAACTTATTAATGTGACTAAATGTTTCATCTTGAAGAGTTAATTATGTTGAACACAAAGGAGGGGGCCCAAGCTCGAACTTCAGTGTTATTTCAGTTAGAGATACTCTTTTCATTTGTTTTGTTTTTCTTATGAATCAGAAATTCAGAAGCTTTTTAGGAAGATGTTGCTTAATAATTAAGCTTCCTCCATAGCCAGAATAAGATTCTGGATCACTGTAGTGACTGACATTATATATTATTGATCAAATTATGTCCACAAGCAATATTATATAATCTACGTAGAAGTGTAATAACAAACAAGAGTACACTTAAAATTACTTTAAAAGATGTCTTTAGTTCATTCCAATATAATTCTTGATTAAAATTAGGATTATTTCTACATTTTAGGATTTACAAAGGATCACGGGTACATGGATTTGGTCTATATATTTTTTTAAAGTTTTGAATTGGTATCTGTAGTAGTGGAATGTTATAGATTTGAAGTAACTCTCCACGGACAGTGCTGCTTTCGTGTAGAGCAATTTAATTGGAGAAGTGGCCATTCTTACTTCAGGGATGCAAAGATGGGTCTCATACCATTTGGATAAATGTCGTGGTATCCATGCTTTTTTTCAACTAATAACATCATCTCTCTTCATGACCAGTTAATTGGGCTATTTGGCAGCCCAGTGAACCTATGTACTAATGGCAAGTTAGGGGCAAATGGAAATGGACACATCCGATAAAGTTGAAATGTATGTTTTAATCTTTCACAGAAGTATTACACTTGAATATTTAAAAACAAAACTTTTAAACTTCCTATAGGTTTATGATGTTTGTTTTCATTTATATGGACATAATCCTTCATAGCTCAGTTTATATGCCATTGTTGTATTAGAAGGGATCAAAATCCTATGGAACAAAGTAGTCTTGGCAAGTTGGCAGTTTGTGTCCTCTCAGCTGTTTAACTTATGTAATGGATGTTTTGCACCTGAAAACACTATAAAAATCCAGTGGTTGTTTAAAAAGTCCATTTGTCACTAATTCCATTCAGGTTCTCCAACCTTCTTCTTGAATATCATTGTCACCATTTTTACTGTTAGAATAAAGAGGTGACACCATAAAGTCCTGCTGATAATGAGAGTAGTTCAGGACAGCTGTGATTGAAATATGGTCGCTATTTACAGTTTTTCAGGGAAAAGTTATACTTTTCTATGTTAATAAAGAGCTGAAGTGGTCTACAGTTAATGTGACATGTAGGGATGATGATATTTTTAAAATACATTTTGTTGCTAAAAAGTTTTTAGGCCAGTGCAAATTATGCAGTAGAACTTGTGTTGCAAAAGGAATTATAACCCATACTTTAAAAATGCTTAATCCCTCATATTCAATTTCATCAAGCCTTGTATACTTCTGCTTAAATGTAATTCAATCCTTGGTTGTTATGGCAAACAGAAACCCAACAAAAAGACAGACTCTGGTACTATGGTAACAGAGCCACTTTATCATTTGGTCAAAATTTGGCATTATGATTAGCTTTGTAGAACTGACCTGTTTATTTGGCAATGCTGTTAAAGGATCATTTCGGTTTCAGACTTCAAAGTTGATTAATAAATTTAATCTTAACTTTTTATTCACTGGAATCAAAACGATGGTTGGTACTGTGTTTACTGTTTAAAATGAAGTACTAAAGCCCTGAGAACTGCACCTCATTTTCTTTATCCAGAAATTGTGCTTATATATTTTCCTGTCAGGTTTAAAAAGATGTTTTAATTCATAAATTATTGTTTTCATTGACATTAAAAGACTGTGATATTGAAAGATGAATTACGAAATTTGCTGAGATTGTTTAGTAAAATTTTGCTGGTCAAAAAGGTGTATTTCTACAATTTACCTTTTCATTTTTATAAATTGCAGTCATTTTTTTAAATTTTATGTAAAATGTAAAATGAAATAGCTATCATGAAGCAGAATACAATGATGAATGTATAGGTTGAGTGAATAACCAATTTGCAGTGGTGGATTGAGAAGTCCAGTTTGATTTCATTGGGACAGACTGCAAAGTGTAGTTGTTTGAGCAAACACAAAGAAACTTTGTGTTTTTGAAGACAATCAGAATGATTACCTTTCTACCTCTAACTAATCAGGTATTGATTGACAACTTTTTGGCATTATAAATAAAGTAAAATAGATCTCTGCATTCCAAAATATGTTTTTTAGTTTATTTATATCCTGAAGAAATGGTAAGTTTTCACTGGAACTGATTACAGTAAACAATAATATGTCCCCTTAGTCTTTCTGACATTTTTATATAGATTGAGATTGAAAAACCGTGCATTTGGGGCAGTGGTATTATGGTCATTTCGTTGCTATTTTCTGTTTTAATAAAATCCTAGAACTAGTAGCAACCGAGTAAAGATTGAGTTTGCAAGATAACAGATTGTCTCAAATCTATTCAATTCTCAGCAGTTTTTCATCAAATAATTTCAGGATCCATTTTATTACTCATTTTTGAAGTAACACCTTTGGTTTAGTTTTATTTTCCCATAAATTCTGCTTTTGCTTCTGTAACTTTTTTCTTGAACTATAAGCATAGTCATCACTCAGTTGATATCTAGTTTATTTTTTGCCTTCATTCGTTGTTTAGTCAGTTGTTATTTAATTTAGAATTTTATATTTTTTTGGCTCTCAGATTTTATAATGAACTTTTATTAGACTGAACATGTATGTTTTTGATGGAATCCAAACTGAGCAAATGTCACACAGTATTTTCTTGTTGTGCTCGAGTGTTCGTCTCCTTGTAGATTGTATCTAGGCTAACATTTCATTTAGTTGTTAATGCTGACGTAATTGTTTCCTGCTTATATTTTATCATATCCCTGAGCTTCTGTGTGCTCTACATTTCATAGGTAATGAAAAGCAATGTCCTTTACTCTCAGGGAGCTTCGTCCACTTGCCTGTGTCACAACCTCTCCCTTGGTGCTAATTAGGAAGCTTCTTGTGGGACTGAAGGGAACTGACCACTGGAGCAATGGCCCAAATGTTGTTTTTGGAGCAGAGAAATTATTAGCCCAGAGATTCCTTAAATTCTCCGTGTGATTTATTTTTTTATTTTTTGAGTTGAGGTCTAGCTCTGTTGCCCGGGTTGGAGTACAGTGGTGCAATCATAGCTCATTGAAACCTCAAATTCCTTGGTTCAAGCAATTATTTCCCCTCAGTCTCTAATAGCTGGGACAACAGGCATGTGCCACCATGCCTGGCTAATATTTATTTTATTTATTTTTTTTTTGTAGAAACAAGGTGTTGCTATGTTGTCCAGGCTGGTCTTAAACTCCTGGCCTCAAGTGATCCTCTTGGGTTGGCCTCCCGGGACTCTGGGATTCCAGGTGTGAGCCACGGTACCTAGCCATATTTTTATTTGTATGAGTATTAAGTAGTTTGACACAGCAACAAAGTTGTCCTTTGTTTCCCAAAGGCAAAAGTATACATTTCTTACTAAGATATCTTATAAACATTCTCTCTCCTAACACCTCCTTCTAGTAATCATTTTCACATAGTAGAATACTTCACTCAGCTGAAAATGAGTGGCCAAGAAAAAAATACAAGAAAAGGAATAAGAAGTGATTATTTTCTTTAGGGCTGCACTTTGAATGTGATGAGTAATAAGGTTACCTTCATTGTGGAGGTGATGTTTACAATTGCCTCCAGCCCTTTACTATTGGTGCTGAAGCCACCATTGGTGCCAGCTCTATAATTTCTTCTTCTTGTGGAATTAACAAAGAAAGGAGTGTCAAGGACTGAGATGACCCTCAGATTGGGGGGCTGTCTTAGATTCTAGGGCTTTGTAGTACTATGTTTCTGTTTAAAGTAGTGGCCTCAGGTGACTTTGTAATAGCCCTGTAGTTGCAAAAAGGGTAACTACAAAGAAATGAAACTGACTCTAGTGTGTGTGACTTCTGGAAACAGAAGTGGGGCAGTAAGTTGGCCATGATATAGCTAGTGTCATAGGACTACAGCAGAGTAGTGAGTGAATGGCCTTAAGCTTACAGCTGTGGTGAATAAGAATGTGTGCTATTTTACACACAGAAGAAAATGATTGACTTTTGGTTGGAGGAAAGAATTTATATCTGGTCTTTTGGAAATTATTCTGTTGCTGTTTTATGTGGGCTCTCTCTCTCTCCCTCTCTCTCTCTCTCTGTCTGTCTCTCTTGCTGCTCCCTCTCCCTGCCACCTTGTCCATTCTCTGCTTGCTGGTGTTACTTTATGTTAACTAGTCTCCTTGGACTTCATTGCAACCTTTTAAGCCAGCCGTTCAAGTGAGAGGCTCTGGAGTGATCATAACGGTGATAACAATGGAGTAAACATTTCCAGAGACACTGATTTTTTTTTTATATGCTCTGTTTTTCTTAGGCAGGATGATGTAGAAGATAATTGCACAGATATGGAAGGAGATGTTTCTCTGTATGTGAAGCCTTTAAATCCAGAACAATTAATTTCTTCTCTTCTTAAAACCCCGTAACATCACTTGACTCTGGAATTTCCTATTTTCTTTTACTTTCTCCATTTTTTTTCCATCTGTCCCTCCTACGAATATGTTTTACATGAAATAATGTATTGGGTTTTATCTTTTGTCCCAGCAGACCTGAAAATCCCAGTATATTACCACAGACACACATACCATCTGGTCACCAACAGGGACATCAGGGCCAAGAGCAGTTTATACTTCTTTCTTTAGCTCACAAACTACTATAGCTTGCCTGTTCAGTTTTTTTTTTTTTTAATATTCAGTTTTGTGCCATACTCTCCCCCACCCCCAGCCTGCTGCCTCTGCAGAGCATAACATTCTAATCTTGTCAGACCGTGGATAATAGGATGTTCCCTGGTCTTGGCATAGAGGCCATAGGCATACAACATGCTTTATCTGCCTTGCTTAGACTCAGCATCCCTTTCTGTCTTGAGAGATTCAGGCTTCCATAAAGTAGACCTGTAGACCTATGTTGGCTGAGGTCACCCTGCATTACTACTTTCCTCCATCCCTGAACTAGGACCAGTTAATTTTCGAAGTCTAGTTCTTCAGTGTCTATTAAACTTTTTCCAGTAGTTAATCGATCTCTTAAATTAATTTTCTTTTCAGATTATTTTTGGTCACCTAAGAGGACCCTGAAGCTATAGTGCCAAAGGTTTAAAGCATGAAGTACATTCTGTGGTTGGTCATTATGGGATTGGATGCCAAAAGGAATGGGAGAGAAGAGACTATAAACATATTTTAAGCCTTATCTCTTTTCTCCTATTCTTTTCTTTACCTTTCCTGGCCCATGCTTTCCTGCCATATCTTTGCTATGTATTTCTTCATCTTGAGCTCTCAAGGGAAAAAACAGGAGTCCTTATTTTTCTATTTATTTCAGGGAAAATTGAAGGTAAATAATATCTGCAAAGCTTCAGGAAGAAATTCAGTTGCATCTGAATCTGAGTCGGCAGTTTTTGATAGCCTGTCACTGCTCAGGGATAGCACTAAGGCTCTCTTCAGAACCAAAGGGCAGGATAAATAAATCTATGAAACTAGAGGCATCATTGAATCATCTGAGGACCTTTTTTTTTTTTTTTTTTTCACTAAAACGCTTCCTATAACTTGGATTAAAATTCAAAAATGGGATTGCAGTCATTGTTAATTGCTCAACTAGTGGCAGTTTTTCCTTGCTGAGGGAACACTGATGTTGTTTAAGACAGTTACATGCCTAGCCCCAGGGATGAATCATAATTGTTCTAGGCCTTTCATGTCTTTCCTTTCTTCTTGTCCAGATACTTTTCCAACCAGCCTTTACTCGGAGGTGTTCATGTGACCCTGTTTTGGCCAATAAAATGTAATGGAAAATCTGGGAAACACTTGGGAAAAATCTTCCCTCTCTGCTTAAAGGAAAGTTCTTTTTACCTCTTTTTCTCTTGTTCAAGGTATTAGTATTAGTCAGTAGGGTCTGAATCTGTGGCAGCAATCTTGCAGACATGAAATGAAAAGTACAAACATGAAAAACCAGCATATTAAAGATGCCAGGTCAGAAAAATAGAAAGAACCTGCTTCTGTGAGCCACTGAATGGTGCCATTAACCATCTGCATTTGAGCATTTTGAGAAAATAAACCTCTATTTCTTAAAGTTCTGTATCAGTCAGGGTTTCCCAGAGAGGCAGAACAATAGGGATAGAGAGATACATAGAGAGAGATATGAGAGGGATAGAGAGAGACACAGAGAGAGATATGAGAGGGGATTAAGGGAGTTGGCTCATGTGATTGTGGAGGCTGAGAAACCCCACCACAGGCCATTCATAACCTGGAGACCTTGGGATGCTGGTGGTCTGGCTCAGTACAAGTCCAAAAGCCTTGGAACCAGGGAAACTGATGGTGTAATTCTCAGTCCAAGGCTGAATTTTCAAGTCTGAGAACCTGGGGGTGGGATGGGGGAGTGATAGTTTTAAGTCCTGGAGTCCCAAGGTTAGAGGATCTGGGGTCCTAATGTCCATGGGCAGTTGGAGAAGAGTGTATCCCTGCTGCAGGGGAGAGAGAGAAGCCAATTCTCCTTTCTTCTGTTTTTATTCTACCCAGGCCTCCAGTGGATTGGAGGTGCCTGCCCATATTGAGGGCAGATCTTCTCTGCCTAGTCCACGCTAACTCACATGCCAATCTCCTCTGGAAACACCCTCACAGACACACCCCAAAATAATGCCTTACCAGTTCTCTAGATATTCCTTAATCCAGTCAAGTTGATGCCTAAAATTAACCATCACAGGCTTTATGGCTCTATTACCCAAGAATTCTGTTACTTTCAGCTGAAAACATTTCTAATGGACATATTCCAATTCTGTATAGATCAGATCTCAGTTTCATTTCCCATTATATCCTTCTCTCTCTTGATTTAGAATTCTCTTTTTCTCCACTCTTCTGTGTATGCTAAAATACTGTCAATCTCGTCTTTGAAGGTTTTGCTCATCTTTAAAAAATCTTAGTTGATTATGTTTTATGTGTCATTTAATTAAGGAATGAATTTGCTTATTTTTATTTCAGTAGCTTTTGGGGTACAAGTGGTTTTTGGTTGCATGGATGAATTGTATATTGGTGAAGTCTGAAATTTTAGTGCACCTGTCACCAGAATAGTGTGCATTGTACCCAATATATAGCTTTTTATTCCTTCCCCTTCTGAGTCTCCATAGTCCATTATATCACTCTGTATACCCTTGTGTATCCATAGCTTAGCTCCCACTTACAGTTGAGAACATACAGAATTTGATTTTCTATTCCGGAGTTACTTTACTTAGAATAATGGCCTCCAGCTCCATCCAAGATGCTGCAAAAGACATTATTTCATCTTTTATTTTTTATGGCTGAGTAGTATTCCATGGTGCATATATACCACATTTTCTTTATCCACTCATTGGTCTATGGGCACTTTGGTTGATTCTGTATCTTTGCAATTGTGAACTGTGTTAACAATAAAAATATATATACGAGTGTCTTTTATGGTAGATCTCCTTTTAGTTCTTTAAGACACCTCCATACTGTTGTCTGTAGAGGTTGTACTAATTTACATTCTCACCAGCAGTGTATAAATGAGACAGGGTCTCACTCTGTCACCCAGGTTGGAGTGCAATGGCATGATCATGGCTCACTGTGGCCTTGACGTCCCAGGCTTAAGTAATCCTTCCACCTCAGCTTCCCTGGTAGCTGGGACTACAGGCACATGCCACCATGCCTGATTAATTTTGTTTTCGTTTTTGTTTTTTTGTAGAGACAGGGGTCTCACTGTGTTGCCTAGGCTGGTCTTGAACTCTTACACTCAAGCAATCCTCCCTCCTAAGCCTCCCAAAGTTCTCCAGTTATAGGCGTGGGCCACTGTGCCTGGCCTTATAAGTGTCATTTTTAAAACATTGGTTTTTAACCATATAGAAATAAATCTAAAAAGAGCCTGCAAAACAAAACATCCTTTAAACATGTTTAAGTAGATAGAATATCTGAAATTCTGGATTTTTCAGTCACTTCATTATTATGCCGTGGCAGCCAAGTAATCCTTAACTTCAGTTGGATGAACTAAACTTCCTAAATACAGCTTCATTGCAGATTCCAACTTCTATGTTATCTTCTGTCATTTGCCTTTTAACACTTTCCTTTAGGGTTAAGATGGCTATATGAATGGCATTTTAAATTTCAGATCTTCATTGTTTCTTCTCTCAAAGAAAGTTTTCCCAGTCACACAGTTCTTTCCCATTGCTGTGGCATTCAAAGAAAGCTCCAGATGGATCTGCCTGAGTAAATATGTCTGTCCCCCACAACCACAAATAGGTAGAAAGACTCCAAATGGACAAATACCACCAGACTCGGTGTATTCTTGCATCTCAGAAGCTAATTTCTCTACCAGCTGAGTTGTGGGAATGGGTTCTTGGTAAACAGGATAGTATTGCTCAGCTAGCTTTTGAACTCCATGCACAAGCATTCTGTAATCTGCACCCATGCCACTATACACCAAACCTGTATGTTTGGTAATTGGTTCCACTCTGTGTACACTTTGCTCATCATATAGAATAGATTTCTGCTCTTCTCAGTTGCTAATACCATGCCATTTGCTGCTTTAACTCCCACTGAAAGGGCTTTTCCAGCTAGAGCAGCCAAAGCCTATTCAATATGGACAAATTTACTAGACAGGCCCAATGTAGTCAGCGAGAAGCTGTAACTAAGTTCCTCCATCTTTATCCAGATAACCCTTTTCTCTCTGTCTTAGTGCAGCAGTTTGCTAATACCCCCAATAAAGCACATTTCATTTGATTCTGATTAGCTATGTATTCATCTGTTGCTCTTTTAGGTTGTGGTATATATTTGAAGAGCAAAGACTACAGCTTATCCTCCAACTGAGTGTATGTCAGGCCTTTATAAAGGGAGTGGAGTTAGGATGGGAGGTGGTTTTCTCAGCAGCTGCTTGTTGGATGCCTGCTAACTTTATGGAGTCTGCAGACCAAAAATTCACACTTAATTTTTCCTATAAAAGTCTGGAAAATATTATTCTTACAAATGATTTTGTAAATACTGCAGGAAATTGGCTCCTACTACTATCCCAGCAGCTATTGAAGCCAGTTTGGCTTCAGGTCCTAGACAAATGATTTGTCATCTGTTTCATTTGTTTGTTTTTTTTCCTGACAGAGCTGGAATTCTGGATTGTTCCCCACTTTAAAAACTTCAAAATCCAAACCAGAAGTAGACAGGACAGGACACGAGGCTCCCCCTTCCCACTTAGTTTCACAGAGTGAAAAATCACAGGCAGTTTTCCCAGAATTATATTTTATGTCTGGCCTTTGAATAGCATATTAAGGTAAAAAAAAATTGTTGCTGTTGTTTTTCTATAACAGATAGGGCCTTAGATATTTGAGAGAGGAAAAGGATTGGAATCACTCTTATCAATATAGGTAGGGCTCTAACAAATAGCTTCTGATACTCATTTTTAGAGGAAAGAGAAGGACACTAAAATTTAAGAGGTGTGCCTCTGATATGTGGTAAATTGTTTATATCTCACTCAATCCTCACACCTTATCAGGTAGGTATTATTAGTTCTGTTTTATCAGCTAGGGAACTGGGAATCAAAAAGTGTGGTAATTTACCCAAGGTAACAATACTGGAATTTGAACTCAGATCTCCAAGAGTTGAAATTTTAAGTAGCATCGTTACTCACTCCCCTTAAAATTAATCATTTATCACTGAAATAAAAACCCTTGCCTCCCAAAGTGGTTGATGTTTACTTTCAGCTTAACTAAAAGAATAGGAACAAGATTTACCTTTTCATCTGAAACAACTAAAAGACCTGACAATACTGTATGTAATAAAACAATAGTTTTCAGACACTAGTCATGAAGCAGTGAATGGCAACAATCCTGAAAGAAGGAACACAAATGAGTTGTGTTTTATGATTCCCCTAGCTGATATCTGGAGAGAGATTCCAGATTGCAGCCTAAGGAAAGAGAACTAAGAGAGAAACCAGAGATTTCTCTGAGTTGAGGGAACAGAGGTGGGAGTCCAGAGAGGCTAAAGTCGATGAAGTTCATAAGGCAGAGTACAAAAGAGGAGAGAGCTGCACAGAAAAAAGGCTTGCAGATCTCAAGAGCGTCCCCCTTGAGACATAAGCTGAGTACTTCGGCATGCATGGGAAAATTACCAAGGTTGGAGAAAGAACCACCCGAAAGGAGCAGAGGGAGCAATCATTGGAGTTCACGCAAGGAAGCGAGTAGTTTGTGTTCCTGCTAGCCAGAGTAGCACAATTCATTTTACAAAGGGTGCTGGATAGAGTAGTCAGGAAAATAGAGCCTCATAGGGGAGCAAAATTAACCCTAGACTAAAGGCTGGTCTCATCTTACCTATTGAAGCTTAAAAGCCTCAGTTTCCGGCTGGGCACAGTGGCTCATGCCTGTAATCCCAGCACTTTGGGAGGCTGAGGCAGGAGATGGAGACCATCCTGGCTAACATGGTGAAACCCCGTCTCTACTAAAAATACAAAAAATTGGCCGGGCGTGGTGGCTAGGTGCCTGTAGTCCCAGCTACTCAGGAGGCTGAGGCTGAGGCAGGAGAATGGCGTGAACCTGGGAGGTGGAGCTTGCAGTGAGCCGAGATCGTGCCATTGCACTCCAGCCTGGGCAACAGAGCGAAACCCCGTCTCAAAAAAAAAAAAAAAAAAAAGCCTCAGTTTCCAAATAACTGTCTCCTAGAACGAAGTACCAAAAAACAAAAACAAAAACAAAAACAAAACAAAACAAAAAAACACCCAGAAAATACATCCTGCAAGAGGAAGAAAAAAGTGATAGAAATAGAATCAGAAATGACGCAAATAATAGAATAAGTGCAAAAGAACATCACAGCTATATGCCGTATGGTCAAGAAAGTAGAGGCCAGTTTAACATATTAAGTAGAGATATAGAAGATAAAAAAGGGACCAGAAAATAACTTGTAAGAGATGAAAATACAATGTATTAATAAACTTTTTTTGTTATTTTTGAATGTATTTAAAAGATAATTGATTTCCTAAAGCAGAAATAATAACAGTTTATAGTGGAGTTTATAACACATGTCAAAATAAAACAATCACACAAAGTTCAGGATTCAGCAAATGAAATTATACCATTGTAAGTTTCTTATGTGCTATGAAGTAAGTACATTACATGAAGGAAAACTGCATTAAGTTACAGATGCATAATATAAACCCTAATTTCTTTCCCCCCACAAATAAAATTATAGTTAATAAGCCAACAAAGGAAATATAGTGGAATCATTAAAAACAATTTAGTTAATTGAAAAGAAGGAAGAAAAAGAAGGTGGTGAAGAGAGAACAAAGGGACAAAAACACATGAGACAAAAATAAAATGTCTGGAAAATCCCCAAATATGTGGAAATGACACGATTCTAATGAAGAAATGAAAATAAGTTAAGGCCAGGCGTGGTGGTTTATGCCTGTAATCCCAGCACTTTGGGAGGCCAATGAGGGTGGGTCGTTTGAGGTCAAGAAATTGACACCAGACTGGCCAACATGGTGAAACTCTGTCTCTACTAAAAATGCAAAAAAAAAGAGCCTGCTGTGGTGGTGTGCACCTGTAATCCCAGCTACTCGGGAGGCTGGGGCACGAGAATCACTTGAACCCAAGAGGCAGAGGTTGCGGTGAACTGAGATCATGCCACTGCACTGCAGCCTGGGGTGACAGAGTGAGACCCTGCCCCCCGCCCCCCCAAAAAAGGAGTTAAAAAGTAGATTGACCAGTATGAAAATAAAAATGTGATATGTTGACATTTATTTGTTACAAATAATGCAATCTTTAAGTTTTCTTAAAGGAAAACTTACAACACTAGTTGTCTATATTAGAATAGAAGAAAATTATCAAATTGGTCATCTCAACTTCTATCTTAAGAAACTAGGGAAAAAAGCAAATTAAACCCAAAATAAACAGAAGAAGAGGTAATAATGATAAAATCAGAAGTCCAAGAAATAAAAAAAGGAAAAACAATGGAGAAAAGCTAATAAAACCACAAGTTTGTTCTTTGAGAAAAATCAATAAAATTGATAAACCTCTAGCCAAACAGATTGGAGGGGAAAAAAAAAGAGAGAAGGCATAGGAATATTAGGAATAAAGACAGTGACATCACTACAGATTCTTCAGAAATTAAAAGTATAGTCAGTTACCATTAAAAACAACTTCATGCCAATAAATTTGGCAAGTTAGATGAAATGGACAGATACCTTGAAAGATACTACATGGTTTGAATGTGTCTTCCAAAGTTCATGTGTTGGAAACTTGATCCCCAATGCAGAAATGTTGGAAGGTGGCACCTTTAAGAGCTGTTTACATCATGAGAGATGTGTCTTTATAAATGGATTAATCCCATTATTGCAGAAATGGTTTTGTTATCATGGGAGGGGGTCATTATAAAAAGACAATTTTGCCAGGTGCAGTGGCTCACGCCTGTAATCCCAGCAATTTGGGAGATCGAGGCGGGTGGATCATGAGGTCAGGAGATCAAGACCATCCTGGCTAACACGGTGAAACCCCATCTCTACTAAAAAAATACAAAAAAAATTAGCTGGGCATGGTGGCAGGTGCCTGTAGTCCCAGCTACTCGGAAGGCTGAGGCAGGAGAATGGCATGAACCCGGGAGGCAGAGCTTGCAGTGAGCCGAGATTGTGCCACTGCACTCCAGCCTGGGTAATAGAGTGAGACTCCATCTAAAAAAAAAAAAAAAAGACAATTTTGGCCCCTTCTTGCTTTCTCCTGCCCTCTCTTTCCCTTCTGCCATGGAATGACACAGCAAGAAGGCCCTCACCAGGATGCTAGCATATCACTCTTGATTTCCCAGCCTCCAGAACCATAAGCCAATAAATTCTTGGTTATTATAGATTGACCGGTCTGTGTATTCTGTTATAGCAGCACAAAACAGCCTAAGACATATACAAACTAATGAGCTCATGAAGAACTAGATAATATGAGCAACACTGTATTTATTAAAGAAATGATACTTTTAGTTAAACAAAATGTGAAATTTTGTTTTGTCAAACAAAACTCCAGGCCCAGCTGGGTTCACTGATGAGTTCTACAAAACATCTAAGGAAAAAAAAATACACCAATTGTACACACTATTCCAGAAAATAATGAGGAGAGAAGACTTCTCATCTCAATATATGAAGCCATCTGATACCAAAACCAGGCAAGGACATTACAAGAAAAAACAACTAAAGCCCACCGTCCATCCTGACCATAAAGAAAAAAATTCTCAACAAAATTTTAGCAAACTGAACAATAAATAAAAAGGGTAATATAAGGTGACCAAGTGAGGTTATCTCAGGAACTCAAGGTTGAGAATCAATCAATTGAAAAATCAATCATTGCAATCCATTATATTTACAAACTAAAAAAAGGAAAACCATATGATTATCTAAATAGAACCAGGAAAAGCATATGGTGAAACTCAACATTGATTTCTCATAACTTTCAGCAAACTAGGACTAGAAGGGAATTTCCTCAAATGAGGAATATAAAGGACTTTCTAATAATCTAATAAAGAGCATCAATGAAAACTCTATAGCGAATGTCATATTTAACTGTGAAAGACCAAATGCTTTTCCTCTAAGATTATCAACAAGGCAAGAATGCCTGCTCTTAGAACTGATTAGCATTGTACTAGAGGTTCTAGTTATTGCAGTAAGGCACGAAGAAGGAATAAACCCATTCAAATTAGAAAGCAAGAAGTAATTCTCCATTAAATTTTTAAATTTTTATTTATTTATTTATTTATTTTTATTTTGAGGTGGAGTCTCACTCTGTTGCCCAGGCTGGAGTGCAGGGCACAATCTTGACTCACTGCAACCTCTGCCTCCCAGGTTCAAGCGATTCTCCTGCCTCAGCCTCCTGAGTAGCTGGGACTACAGGTGCGTGCCACCATGCCTGGCTAATTTTTTGTATTTTTAGTAGAGACGGGGTTTCACGGTGTTAGACAAGATGGTCTAAATCTTGTGACCTTGTGATCCGCCTGTCTCGGCCCCCCGAAGTGCTGCGATTACAGGCATGAGCCACCGCACCAGCCTTAATTTTTAAATTTTTATTATTAATTTTTTGAGTCTCCCTGTCATGCAGGCTGGAGTGCAGTGGTTCAATCATGGCTCACTGCAGCATCAACCTTCCAGGCTCAAGCGATCTTCCTGCCTCAGCCTCCGAAATACCAAGTAGGTGGGACTACAGGTGTGCACCACCACACCCAGCAATTTTTTTTTTTTGAGAGAGAAAGACATTCCCTCTATGTTGCCTAAGCTGGCTTTGAACTCCTGGGCTCAAGTGATCCTCCCATCTTGGCCTCCCAAAGTGCTGGAATTAAAGGTGTGAGCCACCATGCTGGCAGACAACATAATCGTCATCTGCCATTAAACAGACATCCTAAATTTGTAGGATTAGAAAATCCTATGAAATCTACAAAACTGCTAGAATTGATGAGTGAATGTTGCAAAATAATTCTAAAATGTATATAGAAATGGAAAAGTTATAAAGTAGCCAAAATTACTTCATAAAAGAACAAAGTTAAGGGATGTATGTTACCTGATTTGAAGGGTTATTATGAAGCTATCATAAGCAAGACATCCTAGTATTGGTGTAAAATTAGACAAATAGATCAATGGAACATCATAGTGACTTGAGAGATCAACTCAGACATATTTGGTTAACTGAATTTTGGCAAAGGTGCAATGGTAAATGGAGAAAGAATAATCTTTTTAACACATGCTGGAACAATTGGCTAGGGATTTTTTTAAAAAAAGAAAAATGGGAAAAAAGAACATTGACTTCTATTGCAAATTATTACAAAACTAACTTGTATCATATATATAAATTTAATTAAAAATGTATCATTTCGAGACCTAAATGTAACATGTAAAATTATAACATTTCTGGAAAAAATTGAGAAAATATTTGTTATCTTCATTTAGGTAAAGATTTTTTAGATATGACATCAAAAATACAGTCCATAAAAGAAAATTTTGATAAGTTGGAGTGCATCAAAACATAAAACTTTGGTTTCTTCCAAAGACAGGATTAACAGAATGAAAAGACAGCTTACATACTGGGAGAAAATATTTGCAAATCGCAGTCCAGTAAAGAGCTTTATCTGCAATATATAAAGAACTGTTGGAACTCAATAGGAAGATTGACTTCTGGCATAACAGCATGAGGAGTTCTGCTGACACATTCCCCGGTGAAACTAGTGAAAGTTATTATTTTTTCTGTCTCTGCTGCTTGAAGGAGAAAAACATTGTTAAAATCTCCAGCCATTTAGAGTCTCTGGAAATGGTCCTCAGGACAAAGAGCAAATGAAGAAACATCTCTTTTAGAAAATTTAGTAAGAAAGGTGAGATTCTGTGATATTTGAACCAAGACTTCTTCCACCCTCCCCACTCCCAGCTCAGCAAGGTAGTGACTCCACTCTAGATAACTGCAGCCAACAACACAAGGCTCTTTCCCTCCTTGGTTCCCAATCAAAGGCTTTTTTTTTTTTTTCCAGTAGAGATAGCACTTAACAACTCTCATCCTGCCCCTTCTTGCCTGTTGCTGAGGTTAAATCCCAGGTGAATGTGACTGAGAGGTGGAAGCTCCT
Source organism: Homo sapiens (assembly GCF_000001405.40). Lineage (NCBI taxonomy): Eukaryota > Metazoa > Chordata > Mammalia > Primates > Hominidae > Homo > Homo sapiens. Next base: position 87,336,969 of record NC_000011.10, read on the forward strand.
TTCTTCTACCGAACTCTTACTCTTGGAATGGAGGTTCTACCTTAGGTGTAGCAAACAGAAAATATTGGGTCCTTATAACCCTTCTCCCATGCAGAGAATATTGAGCCCTTATTAAGGTGGTAGGTCCATGCCAGAAGAGGCAAGCTGAGAGGACCAGACTGCAGCTACTCCCCATTCCCACTGAATTCTCAGCTCCTAGTATGTGAGAATCACTTGGAGAGAAGCTTGCCATTGTCCTTACTCTCCAGCTCCAAAGTCAGGGAAAGATGGAAAGGAGCCCTACCAGTACCACTGTCATCCCCAGTGACTGTAGGCATACCCAAAGCTGTACCATCCTGAAGAGCAACATCAGAGGCTGGACACTGTAGGGGAGAAATAGACTTCACTAAAATAATTCAACCAGTCACTAGACCAGCAGACAAGCAACAACAAAGCTCAGAGTGGGGTATTCATTATCCAGTGTTCCTACAATATATTATCTAAAATATTCAGTTTCCAACAAAAAAATTTTTGAGTCATGCAAGGAAACAGGAAAGTGTGACCCATGCAATGAAAAAAAAAAAACCAAAAACGTAAAATAAAAATAACCAGGCAACAGAAACTGCCCATGAGAGTGGCCAGATGTTGGCTTTAATAGGAAATGATTTTAAAGTAACCATTATAAATATGTTCACAGAACTGAAGGACAGCTTGACTAAAAAAGGTAAAGGAAGGTATAGTGATAATGTTTTATCAAATAGAGAATATCAATAAAGATAGATTTCTTAATGGAAATTCTGGAGTTTAAAGTACAATAACTAAAATTTAAAAATGTATTAGAAGTGCTCAACAATAGATTTGAATTGGCAGCAGAAGGAATTTCTGAGCTTAAGGATTGGTCAATAGAGATTATGCGTTCCAAAGAACAGGAAAAAAGAATGAAGGAAAGTAAACAGAACCTCAGAGAAAGGCGAGATACCATTAAGTACACTGATACACATGTAATGTGAGTATCAGGATTATCAGGAGGAGGGGAGGGGAGGGAAGAAGAGGGAAAGAGTTAGGTAAAAAAATACTGGAAGAAATAATGGCTGAAAACTTCCCAAATTTATTGACAAACAATAACCTACACATCCAGGAAACTCAATGATCTCCGAATTAGGTAAACACAAAGAGAGCCATAGATAAACATATTATAGGAAAAATGTGGAAAAAGACAAAGAGATAATTTGAAAGAAGAGAAAAATAATCTATCACTTTCAAAGGAACCTCCAAGATTAACAGCTGACTTCCTAGCAGAAACAATAAAGGCCAGAAGGCAATGGGATAACATAGTCAGTGTGCTCAAAACTCAATAATACGAAAAACAGTCTGATTTTTTTTAAATGGGCAAAAGATTTGAACACATTTTACATAAGAAGATACGTGGATGGCAGATAAGTGCATTAAAAGGTGCTCCACATCATTGCAAATTAAAACCAGTTGCAGATTAAATGTCAATTAGAACCACAATGTGACACCACTATACACTCACTGAAATGACTAACTACAAAAACTATACTAACTGCTAGCAAGGATGTGGAGAAGCTTGAACTGTCATATATTGCTAATGGGAATGTGAATTAGAGCAACCTAATTGAAACAATTTGTTCATCTCTGAAAAGCTAAACATACAGTAGCATATGACTCAGGCATTTCAATCACAGCCATAGCTACCCAAGAGAAATGAAAGTCTTATATATGAATGTTCACAGCAGCTTTATTTGTAATAGCCAAAAAGTTGAAAGAACCTAAAAGTCTTTCGGTAGGTGAATGGATAAACAAATTTTGTATATCCATATAATAAAATACTTTGCAGAAATGAGAAGAATGAGCCAGTGACATGTGCAACATGCTAATAGTTTTTAAAACCTTTTATTGTGAAATATACATATATCGTACACCAAAATCAACAAGTAGAATGTTGCCAGCACCCTCAGAAGCCTATTTTGTACCCTCTTGTAATCGTAATGCTTACCTCTCCCAGAGATAGCCACTGTTCTTTTTATAATAATCATGTCTACCTTAATGGGCATTCCCAAGCACTAGAGATTATTACATTGACAAGTTCTTGAACCTTATGTAAATGGAATTATACACAGTATATCAGGGTTTTTTTGTTTTTGTTTTTTATTTGTTTTTTTAATTTTTGAGACAGAGTCTTGATCTGTCGCCCAGGCTGGAGTGCAGTGGTGCAATCTCAGCTCACTGCAACCTCTGTCTCTCGAATTCAAGCAATTCTCATGCCTCAGCCTCCTGATTAGCTGGGACTACAGGCATGCACCACCATTCCTGGCTAATTTTTGTATTTTTAGTAGAGATGAGGTTTCACCATGTTGGCCAGGCTAGTCTTGAACTCCTGACCTCAAGTGATCCACCTGCCTCGGCCTCCCAAAGTGCTGGGATTGCAGGTGTGAGCCACTGTGCCTGGCCACAGTATATCCCTTTGTATCTGACTTCTTTCACTCAGCTTTGTATTTATTATTGTGTATAGCTACATATTTATTATGGTGTATCGCTATAATATGTTTATTTTCATTTTGTTCAGTATTCTAAATATACCATGGACATGAATTGTCCTGTTTACAGCTATTATAAAAATGCCATTGTTAGCATTCTCGTGAACGGTTCTGGATGCCTTGCATAACTTTTCTGTGAGTTATATACCTAGGAGTGGAGTCCCCAGGGGATAAGGTGTATTATATCTTTAAGTTCATTCGATGTCAGACTTTTCCAAAGTGGTTGTCCCCCAGTGTACGCTACTGCAGAGTTCTGTGATGGTCACACTTTTGTCCAGCCTCATAGTCTCTTAGCTAAAGCAACCCCAAATTTTGGGCTCACCTTTCTGAGCTTGACTTTCTTCTGGAATCTGGATCATTAATTAATTTTCTTGTTACCTCTCCAATGCCTTCAAAAAGTTGTTTCTTGTATATTTTGTCCATTTTTGATGGTTGTCTTCATTTGGAGGGTTAGTCTGAATTGCATAGTCTACCATTACTTGAAGCAGAACCTCTACTATTTATGAAAACATTTATTTTTTTTTTATTTTATTTTTTATTATACTCTAAGTTTTAGGGTACATGTGCACATTGTGCAGGTTAGTTACATATGTATACATGTGCCATGCTGGTGCGCTGCACCCACTAACGTGTCATCTAGCATTAGGTATATCTCCCAATGCTATCCCTCCCCCCTCCCCCGACCCCACCACAGTCCCCAGAGTGTGATATTCCCCTTCCTGTGTCCATGTGATCTCATTGTTCAATTCCCACCTATGAGTGAGAATATGCGGTGTTTGGTTTTTTGTTCTTGCGATAGTTTACTGAGAATGATGGTTTCCAATTTCATCCATGTCCCTACAAAGGACATGAACTCATCATTTTTTATGGCTGCATAGTATTCCATGGTGTATATGTGCCACATTTTCTGAATCCAGTCTATCATTGTTGGACATTTGGGTTGGTTCCAAGTCTTTGCTATTGTGAATAGTGCCGCAATAAACATACGTGTGCATGTGTCTTTATAGCAGCATGATTTATAGTCCTTTGGGTATATACCCAGTAATGGGATGGCTGGGTCAAATGGTATTTCTAGTTCTAGATCCCTGAGGAATCGCCACACTGACTTCCACAATGGTTGAACTAGTTTACAGTCCCACCAACAGTGTAAAAGTGTTCCTATTTCTCCACATCCTCTCTAGCACCTGTTGTTTCCTGACTTTTTAATGATTGCCATTCTAACTGGTGTGAGATGATATCTCATAGTGGTTTTGATTTGCATTTCTCTGATGGCCAGTGATGATGAGCATTTCTTCATGTGTTTTTTGGCTGCATAAATGTCTTCTTTTGAGAAGTGTCTGTTCATGTCCTTCGCCCACTTTTTGATGGGGTTGTTTGTTTTTTTCTTGTCAATTTGTTTGAGTTCATTGTAGATTCTGGATATTAGCCCTTTGTCAGATGAGTAGGTTGCGAAAATTTTCTCCCATTCTGTAGGTTGCCTGTTCACTCTGATGGTAGTTTCTTTTGCTGTGCAGAAGCTCTTTAGTTTAATTAGATCCCATTTGTCAATTTTGTCTTTTGTTGCCATTGCTTTTGGTGTTTTGGACATGAAGTCCTTGCCCACGCCTATGTCCTGAATGGTAATGCCTAGGTTTTCTTCTAGGGTTTTTATGGTTTTAGGTCTAACGTTTAAATCTTTAATCCATCTTGAATTGATTTTTGTATAAGGTGTAAGGAAGGGATCCAGTTTCAGCTTTCTACATATGGCTAGCCAGTTTTCCCAGCACCATTTATTAAATAGGGAATCCTTTCCCCATTGCTTGTTTTTCTCAGGTTTGTCAAAGATCAGATAGTTGTAGATATGTGGCATTATTTCTGAGGGCTCTGTTCTGTTCCATTGGTCTATATCTCTGTTTTGGTACCAGTACCATGCTGTTTTGGTTACTGTAGCCTTGTAGTATAATTTGAAGTCAGGTAGTGTGATGCCTCCAGCTTTGTTCTTTTGGCTTAGGATTGACTTGGCGATGCGGGCTCTTTTTTGGTTCCATATGAACTTTAAAGTAGTTTTTTCCAATTCTGTGAAGAAAGTCATTGGTAGCTTGATGGGGATGGCATTGAATCTGTAAATTACCTTGGGCAGTATGGCCATTTTCACGATATTGATTCTTCCTACCCATGAGCATGGAATGTTCTTCCATTTGTTTGTGTCCTCTTTTATTTCCTTGAGCAGTGGTTTGTAGTTCTCCTTGAAGAGGTCCTTCACATCCCTTGTAAGTTGGATTCCTAGGTATTTTATTCTCTTTGAAGCAATTGTGAATGGGAGTTCACTCATGATTTGGCTCTCTGTTTGTCTGTTGTTGGTGTATAAGAATGCTTGTGATTTTTGTACATTGATTTTGTATCCTGAGACTTTGCTGAAGTTGCTTATCAGCTTAAGGAGATTTTGGGCTGAGACGATGGGGTTTTCTAGATAAACAATCATGTCGTCTGCAAACAGGGACAATTTGACTTCCTCTTTTCCTAATTGAATACCCTTTATTTCCTTCTCCTGCCTGATTGCCCTGGCCAGAACTTCCAACACTATGTTGAATAGGAGCGGTGAGAGAGGGCATCCCTGTCTTGTGCCAGTTTTCAAAGGGAATGCTTCCAGTTTTTGCCCATTCAGTATGATATTGGCTGTGGGTTTGTCATAGATAGCTCTTATTATTTTGAAATACGTCCCATCAATACCTAATTTATTGAGAGTTTTTAGCATGAAGGGTTGTTGAATTTTGTCAAAGGCTTTTTCTGCATCGATTGAGATAATCATGTGGTTTTTGTCTTTGGCTCTGTTTATATGCTGGATTACATTTATTGATTTGCGTATGTTGAACCAGCCTTGCATCCCAGGGATGAAGCCCACTTGATCATGGTGGATAAGCTTTTTGATGTGCTGCTGGATTCGGTTTGCCAGTATTTTATTGAGGATTTTTGCATCAATGTTCATCAAGGATATTGGTCTAAAATTCTCTTTTTTGGTTGTGTCTCTGCCCGGCTTTGGTATCAGAATGATGCTGGCCTCATAAAATGAGTTAGGGAGGATTCCCTCTTTTTCTATTGATTGGAATACTTTCAGAAGGAATGGTATCAGTTCCTCCTTGTACCTCTGGTAGAAATCGGCTGTGAATCCATCTGGTCCTGGACTCTTTTTGGTTGGTAAACTATTGATTATTGCCACAATTTCAGAGCCTGTTATTGGTCTATTCAGAGATTCAACTTCTTCCTGGTTTAGTCTTGGGAGAGTGTATGTGTCGAGGAATGTATCCATTTCTTCTAGATTTTCTAGTTTATTTGCGTAGAGGTGTTTGTAGTATTCTCTGATGGTAGTTTGTATTTCTGTGGGATCGGTGGTGATATCCCCTTTATCATTTTTTATTGTGTCTATTTGATTCTTCTCTCTTTTTTTCTTAATTAGTCTTGCTAGCGGTCTATCAATTTTGTTGATCCTTTCAAAAAACCAGCTCCTGGATTCATTGATTTTTTGAAGGGTTTTTTGTGTCTCTATTTCCTTCAGTTCTGCTCTGATTTTAGTTATTTCTTGCCTTCTGCTAGCTTTTGAATGTGTTTGCTCTTGCTTTTCTAGTTCTTTTAATTGTGATGTTAGGGTGTCAATTTTGGATCTTTCCTGCTTTCTCTTGTAGGCATTTAGTGCTATAAATTTCCCTCTACACACTGCTTTGAATGCGTCCCAGAGATTCTGGTATGTGGTGTCTTTGTTCTCGTTGGTTTCAAAGAACATCTTTATTTCTGCCTTCATTTCGTTATGTACCCAGTAGTCATTCAGGAGCAGGTTGTTCAGTTTCCATGTAGTTGAGCGGCTTTGAGTGAGATTCTTAATCCTGAGTTCTAGTTTGATTGCACTGTGGTCTGAGAGATAGTTTGTTATAATTTCTGTTCTTTTACATTTGCTGAGGAGAGCTTTACTTCCAACTATGTGGTCAATTTTGGAATAGGTGTGGTGTGGTGCTGAAAAAAATGTATATTCTGTTGATTTGGGGTGGAGAGTTCTGTAGATGTCTATTAGGTCTGCTTGGTGCAGAGCTGAGTTCAATTCCTGGGTATCCTTGTTGACTTTCTGTCTCGTTGATCTGTCTAATGTTGACAGTGGGGTGTTAAAGTCTCCCATTATTAATGTGTGGGAGTCTAAGTCTCTTTGTAGGTCACTCAGGACTTGCTTTATGAATGTGGGTGCTCCTGTATTGGGTGCATAAATATTTAGGATAGTTAGCTCCTCTTGTTGAATTGATCCCTTTACCATTATGTAATGGCCTTCTTTGTCTCTTTTGATCGTTGTTGGTTTAAAGTCTGTTTTATCAGAGACTAGGATTGCAACCCCTGCCTTTTTTTGTTTTCCATTTGCTTGGTAGATCTTCCTCCATCCTTTTATTTTGAGCCTGTGTGTGTCTCTGCACGTGAGATGGGTTTCCTGAATACAGCACACTGATGGGTCTTGACTCTTTATCCAACTTGTCAGTCTGTGTCTTTTAATTGCAGAATTTAGTCCATTTATATTTAAAGTTAATATTGTTATGTGTGAATTTGATTCTGTCATTATGATGTTAGCTGGTGATTTTGCTCATTAGTTGATGCAGTTTCTTCCTAGTCTCGATGGTCTTTACATTTTGGCATGATTTTGCAGCGGCTGGTACCGGTTGTTCCTTTCCATGTTTAGCGCTTCCTTCAGGAGCTCTTTTAGGGCAGGCCTGGTGGTGACAAAATCTCTCAGCATTTGCTTGTTTATAAAGTATTTTATTTCTCCTTCACTTATGAAGCTTAGTTTGGCTGGATATGAAATTCTGGGTTGAAAATTCTTTTCTTTAAGAATGTTGAATATTGGCCCCCACTCTCTTCTGGCTTGTAGGGTTTCTGCTGAGAGATCCGCTGTTAGTCTGATGGGCTTTCCTTTGAGGGTAACCCGACCTTTCTCTCTGGCTGCCCTTAACATTTTTTCCTTCATTTCAACTTTGGTGAATCTGACAATTATGTGTCTTGGAGTTGCTCTTCTCGAGGAGTATCTTTATGGCGTTCTCTGTATTTCCTGAATCTGAACGTTGGCCTGCCTTGCTAGATTGGGGAAGTTCTCCTGGATAATATCCTGCAGAGTGTTTTCCAACTTGGTTCCATTCTCCACATCACTTTCAGGTACACCAATCAGACGTAGATTTGGTCTTTTCACATAGTCCCATATTTCTTGGAGGCTTTGCTCATTTCTTTTTATTCTTTTTTCTCTAAACTTCCCTTCTCGCTTCATTTCATTCATTTCATCTTCCATTGCTGATACCCTTTCTTCCAGTTGATCGCATCGGCTCCTGAGGCTTCTGCATTCTTCACGTAGTTCTCGAGCCTTGGTTTTCAGCTCCATCAGCTCCTTTAAGCACTTCTCTGTATTGGTTATTCTAGTTATACATTCTTCTAAATTTTTTTCAAAGTTTTCAACTTCTTTGCCTTTGGTTTGAATGTCCTCCCGTAGCTCAGAGTAATTTGATCGTCTGAAGCCTTCTTCTCTTAGCTCGTCAAAATCATTCTCCATCCAGCTTTGTTCTGTTGCTGGTGAGGAACTGCGTTCCTTTGGAGGAGGAGAGGTGCTCTGCGTTTTAGAGTTTCCAGTTTTTCTGTTCTGTTTTTTCCCCATCTTTGTGGTTTTATCTACTTTTGGTCTTTGATGATGGTGATGTACAGATGGGTTTTTGGTGTAGATGTCCTTTCTGGTTGTTAGTTTTCCTTCTAACAGACAGGACCCTCAGCTGCAGGTCTGTTGGAATACCCTGCCGTGTGAGGTGTCAGTGTGCCCCTGCTGGGGGGTGCCTCCCAGTTAGGCTGCTCGGGGGTCAGGGGTCAGGGACCCACTTGAGGAGGCAGTCTGCCCCTTCTCAGATCTCCAGCTGCGTGCTGGGAGAACCACTGCTCTCTTCAAAGCTGTCAGACAGGGACACTTAAGTCTGCAGAGGTTACTGCTATCTTTTTGTTTGACTGTGCCCTGCCCCCAGAGGTGGAGCCTACAGAGGCAGGCAGGCCTCCTTGAGCTGTGGTGGGCTCCACCCAGTTGGAGCTTCCCGGCTGCTTTGTTTACCTAAGCAAGCCTGGGCAATGGCGGGCGCCCCTCCCCCAGCCTCGTTGCCGCCTTGCAGTTTGATCTCAGACTGCTGTGCTAGCAATCAGCGAGACTCCGTGGGCGTAGGACCCTCTGAGCCAGGTGTGGGATATAGTCTCGTGGTGCGCCGTTTCTTAAGCCGGTCTGAAAAGCGCAATATTCGGGTGGGAGTGACCCGATTTTCTAGGTGTGTCCGTCACCCCTTTCTTTGACTCAGAAAGGGAACTCCCTGACCCCTTGCGCTTCCCAGGTGAGGCAATGCCTCGCCCTGCTTCGGCTCGCGCACGGTGCGCACACACACTGGCCTGCGCCCACTGTCTGGCACTCCCTAGTGAGATGAACCCGGTACCTCAGATGGAAATGCAGAAATCACCCGTCTTCTGCGTCGCTCACGCTGGGAGCTGTAGACCGGAGCTGTTCCTATTCGGCCATCTTGGCTCCTCCTCCGAAAACATTTATTGTATGCTTACTGTCTACAGACACTACTGGATACTAAGGAATCTTTTTCAATCTTAAAAGAGTAATTCTTACGATAACTGGGGACTGTAGGCCTAAGATGTTCCCAGTTATCCTGAGTGTAGGCTTTGCATTGGGATAACATGAGATTTCTTAAAGCCATGTGCCTGAACCCAGGGGTGTGGTTCCACGAAGTATAGAAAAATAGAGGGAAAACATTAAAATTTACTGAGTCTTCTTTTTGTTGCCTCAAGGCCTCCTGGGAACATCACATAGATTTATAATAAACAAGAAGATGACATCTCCAAATGATCTGAGACCCACAGATGTACCATTAGCTTCTATATCCTATTAACCTGTTATTTGGATTATACCCCTGTTTGTATAAATTCTGGGAAGATTTGTCATTTACAGTGAGAGAAACCACTGCTACTTTTTGGCAAGTGTACACAGTAGGTCATTTTGGAGTAAAATTTTAAGCACCATTTGAGAGATCCATCTTAATTGTGTACATGTAAGGCACTGAACACCTGTTGTCCTGGAGTACAGGTATAGACAGAACTTTTATGACTTTTTGAAGGTCAAGGCCACTCTCTTCAAGATTTGCTTAAATGTCACATTCTCAGTGAAGCCTTTCTTACCATCTCAGACCCCTTTAACTGCTTTATTGTTTTTGTTTGTTTGTTTGTTTGTTTTTGAGATGGAGTCTTGCTCTGTCGCCCAGGCTGGAGTGCAGTGGCACGATCTCTGCTCACTACAACCTCTGCCTCCCAGGTTCAAGCAATTCCCCTGCCTCAGCTTCCCAAGTAGCTGGGATTACAGGTGCTCACCACCACACCTGGCTAATTTTTGTATTTTTAGTAGAGACAGGATTTCACCATCTTGGCCAGGCTGGTCTTGAACTTCTTGTGATCCACCCATCTTGGCCTCCCAAAGTACTGGGATTACAGGCGTGAGCCACTGCGCCCAGCCACTTTATTTTTTTTTTTATTCTTAAAACTTAATACCTTCAGTATGCTAAATTATTTACTTATTTATTACATCTATTATTTGACCCCTGCTAGAAATTAAACTCTATGAGACTGGAGATCTTTGTTTTGTTCACTGTCATATTCCCAACACCTGAGAATTTCTGGAACATAGCAGGCATTTAGTAAGTGGTTACTGGACTTTCTGTTTATAAGAGTAATCAACTGAAAAAATATAAACAATATGACCATATTTATTCCTCACACTGCTGGCTATTTTGGGGATATATTATTACTATTATTATAAGGATTTCACTCAGAATATTTTTCAGTATTGTTTTAAATGCTTTTCTACTGATTGAACAATCTCTTCAATATGGCAGTAAGAATAAGAGTAGTGAGAAGTTAGAACTGCTAAAGATAAGAACTTAAATTCTCTTCTGTCTAAGATAAGACTCAAGTCATTTATCCTGGCCTGTCCCCGAGCCGTGCCTAAATAGTCTTCTTTGTGGGACTGACTGCCTTCTAGTTGGAGAGGCTGCACTAGTGCTTTCCTCATGGGAATGGTGTCAGTGCCACACACAAGCACATGTGAGAGTCTGACCCTCTAAAAGTCAGAGATAACTCCTGATGGTTAACTTCATGCCTGCACAGTACCACTGAAGTCCATATTTTCTTTTTCATCCTTCCAAGGAGGAAGAACAATTGTACTCCTTTTCCCTGTAGTGCTACCAGAGTGCTGACTCTTGATTTCTCTTAGGTCTGCTTTTCCTAACTTTTTGATATCTTATCTCCCTGAACTGTCACCAAGTAGGCAGGGGCCTGAAGCCTTTTCTAAGAAGATTTCAAGCAGGGTTGACCACTAAGGAGAAATGTCTGGATTTGAAGCCAAGCTAAAGAGTATCTATAGCATGCAGCTCCTACCTGGGGGGAGGGTAGGAGAAGATTCAGACCTTTCTCTTGAGGAGCTTGTGACCTTTGCACAGATAACAGGTGGCCCTGTTTCTTGTGAACTGTGTGATCTGACCTGGTTACCTCACATCTCCATGTCCTCCTCTTTACAATAGTGCATAGCCCACAAGGTAGTTGTGAGGATTTTATGGGGTAATTGGAGGAAGAATTTAGAGCAATGCTTCATTTACACTGAGAACTCAGTAAATGTTAGCAATTGCTATCTTCCATATATGGGTTCAGCAAACATTTAGTGGGCCTGGATAAGATCACTGTACAAGTTGATTGCATACTGGTTCACTGGTTCAATTTTTACAGGAATTCAGTAAGATAAATACTATTCTCTGAATTCAAAAAACAACTTCTTCAGGGCCACAAAACACTGGGGATAAAGACAAGAAGAACTACAGCAGGGGTCCCCACCTACTCGCCCCCAGCCTCAGACTGGTACCGGTCAGTGGTCTGTTAGGAACTGGGCCACATAGCAGAAGGTGAGCGGTGTGCGAGCGAGCATTCCCGCCTGAGCACCACATCCTGTCACATGAGCAGTGGCATTAGATTATTGTAGGAGTTCTAACCCTACTGTGAACTGTGCATGTGAAGGATGTAGGTTGAAATCATCCCCGCAACTCCCTCCATGGAAAAATGGTCTCCCACAAAAGCAGTCCCTGGTGCCAAAAAGGTTGGGGACCGCTGAATGAGAGGACGATATGGACCATCAAATAAACCATTTAACAGAATTTCTTCATTTCTTTCTTCCTTAATGAAAGCTGTCTCAGTACTGTGTCAGACCTTGTGGAAGATAGACAAAGTAATGTCCCTTACCTTAACTAATTTGATAGTCTGGGAGGTGAGACCGACTTTTCTGCTTATTATTACTGTGTAATAAATTATGCAAAAACTTAGCACATAAAACAGCCATTTTATCATGATTATTTTTTGGATCAGAAATTCAGAAAGGCCATAGCAAAAATTGATCTGTGCTCCATGATGTCCGAGGCCTCAGCCAGGAAGATAGCTGGGAACCAAACAACTGGGGCTGGAGGATCCCCTTCTAAGATGGTTTCTTCACTCCCAGGTTTGGTGCCTGGGCAGGTTTGACAGGAAGGCTCAGTTTAACTGTGACTGTCGACCAGAATAACTACTTGGTGGCCCTTCCCCGCAGCATGGATTTTTCTCCATGAACCCTGGGTTCAGAGAGGCAGTGTCCCAAAAGCGTGCCCCCTCAAGAGCTAGCGTTGCAAGACTAGATGGATACTTCCAGGTCTTTTCTAGCTTCAGAAGTCTCACAGTGTCACTTCTGCTGTATTCTAGTTATTGAAATAGTCAGAAGTCTGCCCAAATTCAAGAGGAGGGGAGATAGACCCCATTATCTTTATGTGGAGATGCCAAAGAATTTTAGAACTACATTTTAAAACATAGGCATAAAAATTGCTGTCACACAGACAAACACCACACTGCAGTGTTAAAGGTTCTCTGAAAGATGTGAACTCTGTACTATTGGGAACAGAGAAGGGAAGCATAATGACCAGTTTATGGTCAAGGCACAGACCAGATTGAACGGGGGCACAGCATTTGGGATGAGTTTTTATGGATCAGAAATTAGCCAAAGAAAGAGGTAAGAATGGCTGCTGGCGAAGGGTATTCTGGTCCTGCTACAGTGATGAATCACAGATTTTTTTCTAGGGGACTCTAGCTCGTTATTCATACTATTTGGATCATAATGCTGAGAGACACCATCCCAAATGCTATAATCCTGAATGTTGAAATCTCAAAAGATCAAAATCCCTGAAGGTCAAAATCTCTAAAGTCTAAAATAACGAACCTCTCAAATACTGAAAATCACAGTCACTCTGTTAGGTGGAACTGTTACCTTGTCATTGTCTTTATTTGGAAATTAAGGTGGCTTAAGGACATGCTTGTGGATGCCAAGTTGACAAGGGGTAGACTTGTGGATTTAATCTTAGGTGCCAGCTTGACTGGATGAAGGAATGCCCAGAGCCCTGGTAAAGCATTATTTGGGGTGTGTCTGTGGGGTGTGTTCCAGGGGAGATGAGTGTGAGTCTGAGTGGACTAGGTGGGGAAGATCTGTCCTCAGTGTTGGTCTATGTTATCCAATCAGCTGGGGGCCCAGAGAGAACAAATACAGAAGGCAAATTGGTCTCTTTCTGGGAGTTGAGACAGATTTTCATCTGCTGCCTTTGACATCAGAACTCCACGTTCTCCAGCCTTGGGACTCCATGACGTAACACCAGCAGACCCCTGGGTAAGTTATACCGTCAGCTTCCCTGGTTCTGAGGCCTTCACATTTGGACTGAGCCATGCTACCAGCATCCTAGGGTCTCCAGCTTGCAGACGGCCTGTTGTGGGACATTTCAGCCACTGTAATTGCATGAACCAGTTTTTCTAGTAAATCCCTGTCCTATCTGTGTACATATCCTATTGATTCTGTCTCTCTGGAGAACCCTAATGAATACAGATGTGGTATTAGGGAAGCCAGATATCATTCCTTCTTACTATATTCCTTCTGACACAATGGAAGAGATCTGTGAGATTGTTCACTCACAAAAAAGTATATGAGGCTACTTAATGGTGAAAGAAAAGTTTAAAAGTGAATTATTATTGGTGCTTCAGAAGCAGAAAATTGCTTAATTGCAATGGCCAAGCAGTAACCAGACCTTCAAATGGACAGCATATACTTACAAAATTTGTAGACCACAACCACTCAACAAATACAAGTGTAGCTAATGTTTTGAAGATCATACAAGAAGTGAAAATGCAGATGAAAAATACAAATCTCCCCTGCCAGGATATTCAATTATGTACAACTTCTGCCTCTCCACAAATATTGCCAATTCACTACGCTATGTGTTTCATTTTCACATCACTTCTAATACCAGAGGTTTAAGTTGTGTACATTCTTTTAGAGAGTTCTAATTTGTGCTTTTCTTTTTTTGCAAGTTTGACTCCATGAAAGTATATTATCACAACATCGACTTTGTGTGTAAACATTGTGCATGTATGTAAAAACATTGAAACTTCCTCAATAAGTGAAGAGATGTCCTTTTTGTACATGAGCATTTGTGAAAGATAAAATTTCTTGAGATCTCAGCTCTGTGGGTGACTGCATATGCAGTGGTGACCCATCGCGGTTTTGGATTAAACTTGTCAAAAGCCTTAGGTTGTCTGTCATGGTATTTCAGACAACTGCAGTTATAAAGCTTGGTGATATGTGTTTATGCATTTCCCTTTTTGAGCTGTTTCTTTATGAATATAATTTGTCTGTCATAACCATTATACTTCTGAGACTCTCATTAATATACCTGAATGTTTATGCTTGCACAACTATGGACTTTGTTATTACCTAGTTCATTGTGAAAAGGTGGCCTATGAAGTGTTCTATCATGTTTTTATATGTTTTTCAAATAAACCTCCCTAAAAAATATAAATATCTTTTAAAGAATTAACACATTTTTTTTTGTCAGAGTTATATTTTCTGGATTTTTATCTTTTGAGATTTCAACATTCGGGATTATGGCATTCAGGATTGTGTCTTTGGGGATTATGATCGGCTTTGTCATAGGCAGGCCATCATTCCTCTTTGGATCTTGAAAGGTTCGTTTTCTCTCCAAGAGAACGCTCCTTTTCTGTTTATAGAGATTTGTATTTGACAACTAATTCAGCACAGTTTTAACCTGTAATGGCAGTAAACCTAGTCTCAATTTTCATGGGATGGGAGAGGTGGGTCGTTGTAATGTAATGTTGATTTTGTGGACTCAGAGTTTTTGCTTTGGAGTTGCTTGTTGAATCAACTGATTACCAAAGCAGACTCATTTCCTTTCCCCACAGACCTGCCCTTTTCTTTCAGTTCCAGCATCAGGTGGCTTTACTTCTCTCTTTCTCATTTAGGTGACATCTTTTACTCCTTCCTCTTTCTTCCTCTTTGGCCATCAAAGTCCTGGAGATTCAACTTCTGCAATATCTTCCATCTGTTTCCTCTCTATCCCTCCTACCCACTCTCTCATCAAACTCCAGAATGTGGGTTTCACGAGAGAAGAGATTTTTGTATGAACAGCATCTGGCTCATAACAGGCTTGTCATTTTCTGTTGGATGTTGAGTGAATTATGTTGTAACAAATGCTGCAGCCATTTTTCCTAACCAATCTCTGCACACTGGCCTCTTAAATAGATCTTTAAGAAACAACCGATATTCTTGTTTCAAACCTTCCAGTGGCTTATCTTAGGCCTCAGAAGAAAAGTTCAAACCCAGAAACTGGCTTACATCACAGGTTATCATAACTTCAAGTTCCAACCGTTTCTGGGTCCTGGTACCCCCCTGTACCCCCCCCCCTCCACATACACAATATTTGGCAGCTACACTTGCTGTTTCCTGGACCCGTTGTTTTCACTGTCCCATTCCTTTGCTCGGAATGTTTTCCCTTTTGTCACCTACTGAAATCTTACCCATCCTTTGCACCCTTGATGACACCTAAAAACCAGCTCCTGATATTCAATGACTTGTCACCTCATCTTTGCCCCTGCAGGTTGTTGAATCTATTTTGCCACTATGTCTTAGATTTTGGTTAATTGCAAATATCTGAGCATATGGGTCCCATGAAGGAAGGGACCTTAGCTTGGTAATTTCTAATCCGTGTGCCTAGCATAGTGTATGGCACAAAGTAAGTGCCCAATACATGGTGGAGAGTCTTGTTCTTTTTGATGGAGATGCTACTCTTACTATTGTAATTAATGCGATTATGATGACAGAGGGATCAGCCTGAACAAAGGCTTAGGGCAGAGGGCAGGATGGCTGGAAAGATGCGTGGTGTTGATATAGTATTGACGTCATTACTGTCATGCAGTGGTGGCTATCGTGATCCCCGCCGCACAGGCGGTTCCTTGGGACCTCTGGGGGCCAGTCATGCCAGATCTGGCCACTAGGTGGCACCCGTGTTCCACGAGCGCTAGTCGGAGAGCAACCCGCGGGCTTGGGCTCAGGCTCAGTGCAGGATCTGGCTTGCTGACGCTTGCCTGGCCAGATTGGTGTTCAGCCCTGCCCCACGTTGGCACCCTAGAACGTTGGCACCCTAGGCTGGCAGGATCCCTCGACTGGCCACAAACCCAGCTTCTGCAGGCTCGACCCCAGTCAGGTCCCACAAACATTGATTTGTAATTACTGTTTCCTGCAGATTGGGCGATGCCCCTCTCCTAGGCAGCCCATCTGGCCATTAGTCGGGTTGGCAGGAAGTGCTGAGAAGGTCTAAGTCCCAGATCAGACGGGGCACAAGTGAATCATCAGCTCTCTCAGTCATAGAGTCAGCCCTTCAGTGGTGTATACCAAGAGTGCCAGATCTGAAAAAATGTTTTCTCTAGGCAGCCTCCTACTGTCCTGCCTCCCTGCACCCAGCCTAGCCCTCGGAAATGTCACACATCTACCTGTCTTTATAATTATGGCCCAACCACTGTCTAGCGTTTCCTCTGAGCAACAGATGACTTGCAAAAAATGGGTGTCACAATGTGTTGGAGGGAGATTGAGAGTAGCCTTCTGCAAAGAGGATGCCCGGATGTACTCAGGCAGGCGAGCTGATCCTCTTTGGGGCCTGTCCTGGCCACATGTGCCATCTTCCTTCTGTAGCTGTCTCAGGCTCATCTTCCCAGCAGAGGCTTCCTTCGTCCTCGACACCTAGGCTCTGTGGGCACCCAGACCTTGTCCCTAAACTGTCAGTGGGTAACACAGCTCTTGGCACTGTCTTTTTAAAGTCCACTTCCAAGTCAAAGGTTGTTAGGGGCTGTTAGCTCTCATTTGGGAGCCGGAGTTCTTACTGTAATTGTTCATGAGCTCATGGAAATAGAGGGGTTTAGTTTGTCTGTTTCATACTCAAGCACAAAAGGGGATATGATGAGAACCCTCATGTAGTCATGTACTTATGCATTATATGTATCACATCTGTGCAGGGTTCTGGAAGGGGTGATGTCTTTGAGGTGTTTATATGGCCTATGACACAGGACACAAGAGGCTTAATCCTTCCCCACCCCACATCCACACATGCTCTGGGGGGAATGTGTTACACAGGAAGAGCCAGGCTAGGAAGGCTTCTGCCTGGTCTGCTGTGTGGAAGCAGGGAGGGACTGGGGCGGGGAAGGCAGGGTATAGGAAGCCATTTAGAGCCTGGATCACAACCAGGAAATTACTCCTCTGCTCCAAAAAAGCTTAAAATACCTTCTCTTCCACCAAAGAAAACTCACAGGATGAAAATACATCTAAGAGAGGAACTCAACAGAGCATGAAATAGAGATAAAGCTGTATCTGCTCAAACCATTCTGGGCTTTGGGCCCCAAAGGAAGTGCACTTCCCTGGCAGGTGTGAGGACGACAGAGTGTTTGGCTCGTCAGGTAAACCCTGAGAAAGGGTATATAATCGTCAGGTAAACACTGAGTAGGGATATAATTCCTTCTGTGAATCCCACCTAGGGCCCTAGTGCTGAAGGATAGGAGAGCAGCCTGGAGCACAGGAAAGACGACTAGCAGAATTTAGGGCCTGCTGGCTGGGCACGGTGGCTCGCGCCTGTAATCCCAGCACTTTTGGAGGCAGAGGCAGGTGGATCATTTGAGGTCAGGAGTTCAGTACTAGCCTGGCCAACATGATGAAACCCCTGTCTCTACTAAAAATACAAAAATTAGCCGGGCAGTAGTGGTGCACAGCTGTAATCCCAGCTACTCGGGAGGCTGAGGCAGGAGAATTGCTGGAGCCTGGGAGGCGGAAGTTTCAGTGAGCCAAGATCGCACCACTGCACACCAGTCTGGATGAGAGAGTGAGAGTGAGAACCTGTCTCAAAAAAAAAAATAAAAATAAAAATAAAAAAATGTAGGACCTGCTGAGGAGAAGTGGAAATAAAGCAGACCTCAGGACTTTTGTCTTGGACACAGGAATGTTAGAGGCTTTCACCAGCCCTTGGAGAGGAGGAGATTGGAGCTGAGGTCAGGATGTCAGAACCTGCTGTTCACTGGAGACACTTGATCCAGGTGATACCAAAATGTATGTTGGGAAACCACAGAAGCAATGGACACATTTTTTTTTTCAAACTATGAGCAGAACAAAGCCTTTTTTTGGCACTTTAGACAAATCACCCCTCCATCCACCTTCCCCGTCTCATGGTGCTGATCTTCCAGGTTTAGCAGAACAAGCTTTCTGGTTCCTACTCCTGGTGAGCCTTCAAGGAGAATTCCATCTGCCTCAGAGAGTTCAGGCCTGAAAGGGCATGAAAAGAGAACATCTTTTTTTGCACCCGTAAAATAGGCACCAGCCTCTCCATCCAGGCTGCCTTCCAGAGGTGGTGTGAGATCAAATGAGACAATGCATGAGAAAGCACTTTGCAGAGCGTGGAGTAGTGATATTGCTCCTAGGCAGGGTTCTATCAAATTAGATTCTTGTCCCAGCACCCTTAGTGTCTTGGTTTAATTAATTGCTTTGCATTTATTTAATTCACATGTCAACACTGGCCTCCTCAAACTACAGTTCTTTTCTGCCGAAGTCCAAAGTTGTCCCAAGATTTCCGCAAGCCCAGGGGATGAGAGCAGCTTATCTTCTCAGGAACACTTCTGCCTTGTGACATTGATCCAGACAAGAAGCTCAGCCCCTTCTTCAAGCCTTAAAAGAATTCTACTCATACAGTGCTCATGAGTGTTACAGAGTTTGCTAAAATTTTGGAGGGAGATGAGTGGCTTTCTACATAACAGCAATGAACTTTCAAGAGGAACATTTGGCATCCTGGGTCTCACAATTTGCTGGCACTAAACTATCTCTCGGGTCAGGGTCTGGACTCCACCCAATGCTGGGGGCCTGCCAGTGACTTGGACTCAATCTTAACTTATAGACTTCTCTTAATCTTAATTCTCCTTCTTCCTCTCCTTTCAGTCTCCATCCCTCTGTTTCTGCTCCCTCTCTAGAGCTAAAACAAATTCCTTTCTTATATTTTAGGTTCATTATTGCCAGTGGCTTTGTGCTAAGGTTCCTGTAGGTTTCACTTTCTACCCCAAGGTCCTTGTTAAGGTATTTTCTCAAAACAAAGAGTTCTCCCTCCCTAAGGAGAACTCTGGGGCCAGCTGTTAAGATAACAACATTTTCACCCCATGGCATGTATCATAACAGAATCCAAAAATGTTTTCAACAGCTTTGATATTGGCAACAGATTTGAGCTGAGAAAAATAACATATAATTAAAAATGAAATTATAAAGGAAACTCCAAATGACCTGGAAGGAAGGGGATAAAATTCTCCCAGAAATTCAAGCAGCCCTTTCCAATTACAAATACTAAAATGGAAGTAAGTGTGCACCTTCTCAATGTTAACACCTAATTCCAAAATCCCCCCAGGGCCTTGTGGTGTGGGGTGGCCTTCTGGCTCTGAGCCTCTGCACACAAAGGCTCCTGGAGGAAATGGAGGCCAGGGCTCACCCTGGATGTTGAGGAACACTGGGAGCAGTGGGGAAGCTGGTGTTGGGACACAGCAGTGGACATACCTGGCAAAGCCCAGAATGATTCCTAGTTCCCCGGGGCAGGCTGAAGTTGAGGGGCCCTCTGCTGTATCTCCATACCTCACTGGTTATCCCGCCACACCATGACCACAGCACTGTCACTGTCGCGGGGTGACTGCCTGTCAACTTCCCTCCCTCCTCCCTCAGACTGCAGCTTTGTGCCAGCAGACAGCAGGTGGTTTATTGCTGTGTACCTGGTACACAAAGGTATATAATGAATGTGGAAAGAAGGAAGGAGAGAATGACTGAACCCCTGCCTGGAGGGTTCTGAGTCTCATTTCTCCCTCATCCACTGACTTGTTCTGAGGTCTCTAGCCAGCCTACAAACCACTCTAAAACTTCACTTTTCGAATGGAGTGGGAATAGATGCCTGTCTTGAAGGGAAGATGTACTGGTCTAATGAAGAGACATGCAACCACTTGGGAAGTCAAAAACAAGGAGCAACGCTTATCAGGTCAGAAGCTCACAGGCCTGGCACCAATGCCCACAATGTCCCCACATGCAGAGCTTGATACAGCGTTTCTCCAAATCCCTGAGGGAACAGCTGTACCTGCTTTGCTGACTTGACTTGGCATAAATGGAGTCCCAGCGGGTGAGTCTCAGCCAAAGCCACCCAGCTCTTTCCTGACAGAGCTGAAGTAGAACCAGGCCTTGTAACTCCCTGCTCCTTCCTAGCTGGAGCAGTGCTCTGGAAATGTGGGTGGTGCCTGAGAAGGGCAGGTGTTGTTAATAAGGAGAGCATGTTGCAGAAACTGCAGGGCTTTGCGTGCTAATTTTAGAAGGCATTTTAAACATAAACTCTAGGGTTCTGAAATTTAATCAGGTGGAGCCTGAATGTAAAGAAAAGAAAGCTTGGGATGTATTCGCAATTTAATTAAATTCTGCCCACTCTCTCTTTTGTAATTTCCCTTCCTTCACTCACTTCCCACTTGGGTCATTTTTGCCCTATTAGTGCCACTTCTGGGTACCCAGGCCTCTCACCTTGTTTCTCCCACACACAGTCAAGGTCAGCTGGTCTGACATGCAAGAGAGATCAAATTCATGTTTGAGACTGAATAAATGAAAATGAATGAATAAATGAATGGATGAGTGCACGAATAGGAGGCAGGAGCATGCGATGGACAAACGGACACAAATTCTTGACTTAGGTGGTGCTATCTCCCCTCCCTTTGAGAGAACTTCCATTCGCACAGCTCTCATATAGAAAGCCCAGCACTGTGACACCTTTGTGCAGGATGTTCTTTTTAGTTGGATTCTACCTGTCTGTGTCTCAGTCCCTTCATTTGAAAAATAGGAGCAACATTAGTCCCACCTTATAAACTTTTGTGAGGCCCAAATGAGCACATTGACATGAGGGTGCTTGGTCAAGGTAAACTCTCACAATATTAGATACTCCATTATGGACAGGCAGCAGTCTCTCACTACCCCACTCACTGCCTCCCTCCAAACTCTCACAGTCCACACACACAGCAGGTACCTGCATATGCATAGATGTGTGTACATGTTTACACTCTGCACACATTGCACAAACTCACCACACACACATACAGAGCATAGATACCCATGACATACTCACATATACACATACCATTACTCAGGCCCAACAAATCTGAAAACATGGCCATTTCCTGGCTGCCACCTGTTACCTGAGAGATAGATATTTCCCATATTTCATCTGGGGTCATTCCTTGATAAAATATTACTAGGTATTTTCAGCAGTAATAACTGGCTTTTCCTTTTTTTTTTTTTTTTTTTTTTTTTTTGATACAGGATCTCACCGTGTTGCCCAGGCTGGAATGCAATGGCATGATCATGGCTCATGGCTCAGTGCAGCCTTAACCTACCAGGCTCAAGTGATCCTCCTGCTTCAGCCTCTTCAGTAACTGGGACTACAGGCACGTGCCACCATGCCTGGTTAATTTTTTAATTTTTGTAGAGCCAGGGTCTTTCTTTGTTGCCCAGGCTGATCTTAAACTCCTGGGCCCAGGTGATCCTCCTGCCTCAGCCTCTCAAAGTGCAGGGATTACAGGTGTGAGCCATCCTATTCAGCCACTTTTAACATTCTCATAAAAAACACCTGGGGCTTCCTGCAAGCCGGCCTGGGCTTTCGTTACTGCCTCCCCTGCTCATAATGGGTATTTACATATCCTTAGACCCTCAGTCTGGAACAAGCTGCACCTGAAATCAGTCTCCAGTGGCGTTTTGGTCCAGGAAAGTCCCTGACCTGTGGCTGGGTGTCCTTCCTCCTTTAACTCCAAGTGGCCAGTCGTGGTACGTGTCCCTTTTCTTGAGACCCAGAGCTCATTGCTTGTCAGCTCTTTGTTCCTTATCCACCACCCCTCAAGCTGAGGAACAGACACAGTGTGGGATGTGAGGGTTGGGAGTGGGCAAAGTGATAATGAGTTTGATTTTGAGAATGTTGCCATTGAGGCAGCTGGCACATCCAGCTAGAGGATAGTTCTGGAGTTATCGGGAGAGATCTGAACTATTGATCAATGAATGTGGGAATCTTATACATATTCGTAGTATATTTGTTAGGAATTACATTTAGTTACTAGAAGAAACTTTCTTGTCAAAGACCAGAAGGAACGGTGGCTTAAACCAGATGGAAATGTATTGTGCTTCACATTAGTGGGCTGGTGCGTTGGTATCATGGTATTTTTCAGGGACCAAGGAACCGATCTATCTTTCTGCCTCACCATTTTAGTATGTATCCTCCACCTTGGATTTGTCTTATAATTGAATATCGCTGCTAGAGCACCAGGCATCATCTTTGCATTCCAGACAGAAAGCAGGAAAAAAAGGTGGAAGGTTTTTTAAAAAAGAAAAGTGCTTATGCCTACAGCTGTCTACCTTCTTTTTAAGTCCTACCTGATAACTTCTATGTACACATTGTAAGGGAAATGGCTGCACTTTAGTCAGGAATAGGCTGAGGCAGCCTTCTGGCACAGCATGATTCACTGGGTTTGGAGCACAGGTGCACTCTCAAAACACTCTCATAAAAAACACCTGGGGCTTCCTGCGAGCTGGCCTGGGCTTTCGTTACTGCCTCCCCTGCTCATGATGGGTATTTACATATCCTTAGACCCTCAGCTAGAACAAGCTGCACCTGAGATCAGTCTCCAGTGGCGTTTTGGTCCGGGAAAGGCCCTGACCTGTGGCCACACATTATGTAACCATGCCACGTGAAGTGCATTAGGTGATCACTCACATGAGTCTGTGCCTGGCTTAGAGACACTGTTGTCTACAAAAGGTATAATTACCCTGCTAGCGGCTATACATAGGGCTTGTGCCCAGAAAGAGGATAAAGCCATATCAAAACTCCCTACGATTCCTGTAGTGTTTTTCCAGCTACTCCCCCACCGACTCCCCTCGGACCTCAGTTTGGGATAGAACCTGACAATTGGTGTCATGAACAGGATCCTGAGGTGAGTGAGCCTTTGGCTTCTGCTGATTCTGGGTTGGCCATGTGGCTGTAACATGGGTTGGTGGTACCCATTGGCAGCTGTGCTGCTTGGATGGGCTCCGGTGGATACCTGGGTGGTGGTAGATGGGTCTCCTGCAAGCATGGAGAAGGTGCTGGAGCAACTGGAAGCACACAGCACTGAGAAGGAGGGAGCCTTTGCCGGCAGAGTCAGATGGGGCTCTTTGACTGTGCTACAAAAAAGTACACACCCAGTCCCTGAGGTGCAGTACAGGTAAGGGACCTCCAGGCGCAGACGGGGTGCCTGGAGACCTGGCTATACAGATCAGAAAAAGAGTTAGAGGCTGCCATAAATGGGGACTTCCAGGTGCAGGTGGGGCACCTGGAGACCTGGCTTCAGAGCTTGGAAAAAGAATTAGGGGCTGCCATGAATGCAGGCCTGGGCCCGTCGTTTCAGCCGGAGACTCCCCACTCAGTCTGATACCGAGGAGGAAGAACCCCTGTTGCAGGGTCGCCCAGTGGTCCGTCAGAAGGTAGATCATGAACAGCTGTTGGGACCCCAAGGGCGGGCTCAGGGATTGCCCACTATAACACAACACACTTCATATATTGCCTGTACCGCAACTGAGTTGCGGGAATTAGGCAAGCAGGTCCACCAGCGTCCAGGAGAACCCCTGTCTGCCTGGATGCTTCATTTGTGAAATGAGGGAGCAGATAGTATTTCTTGTTCTGCCTCTGAGATGGAAAAGCTGGCCACCATTAGACTCACCCCTCCCTCTGTCAGCGGTTCCAAGTGAGGAGGCAGTTAACGGCAGGGCAAGGTGACCACACCCTGACTGAGTGGCTATGGGCAGCCATGCGGACTGTGTGAAATGATGCCAGTGAAATACCCAAAACTGTGAGTAAACGGCAGTCATATGCTGATTTGGTGCAAGTCATCTGGGAAATGGGTATGCGGCAGGCTATGTCTGATCTGAATATCTGTGGGTATCACTGATGAACGTTTCACCTACCACATGAGAGATCTTGTGTTGGGACCTGTGCCCCTCAGTGCCTTTGGCTCCCTAGCTGCTGTCTTCACCTAGTACGTAGGGTGCCGCGCACATGAAGTGACCACTGCTATGGTGGCTCTCAGGGAAGCAGAAGGCCATCGGCGGGACTGAGGGGTCCATGCTGTAAAGAAGAGGAAGCTCCCCCACCTGCAGGGGGTTCCCCCATGGGATAAAAGGGGGCCCCAATGAGTGACACGCTCACATATGTGCATAGATTTGATTTTGGCCAGGGTTGACTGAGAGAAAATCAATAAGCAGCCCAGTGAAGTACTCTTAACTTTGTGGAGACAGTTGTCTCTGGAGCAGCAATTCCAGAAAATGTCCAAGGGGGAGAAGGACACTGCTGCACAACGCTGTCCCACCTGGGCGGCTCCAGCTTGAAGACTGCTTGCTGCAGCCAGGTGGAAATGCAGAGCCTTTTCTGTTTGATTAGGGAACTGGCCAAGGTGCCCTGCTTAGGAAGACACTGGGCGACTGGAGGCCACATGTAGAATTAGCAATCCACTGGTCCCCCAGCAATGTACAGCGGGTGCTGGTGCTGGTAGCTACTGGCACAGACTGTAGTCTTGTTTATGGGAACCCACAGGCAAAGCTGCACACATTGATGCTTACGGAGGCCGATCAGTGAGAGTGAAACCTGTATGTCTGTACCACACCACTGGCCACTTGGCTCCCCATTTATATACTGTATATGTTTCTCCCATACCAGAATACATTCTGGGGGTGTACTTTTACATGGCCTGGTGTTACAAACCATGGCTGGGGAATTCAGACTCCAGGTGCACGTGATGAAGCCAGTGCTGCATGGACATATGCATCACCAGCCTCGGGTCCTGCCACAACCCCGACAGGTTACTTCCACCTGTCAATACCATTTGCTGGGTGGGCATACAGAGATAACTGAGACAATTAAAAAGCTGGAGGAGGTGCAGATAGTGTGTGGCACCCATAGTCCCTACAATTCTCCAGTGTGGTCAGTTAGGAAGCCTGATGGAACTTCGCAGATAATGGTGGACTACTGGGAACTGAATAAAGTAACACCCCCTTTGCATGCAGCTGTGCTGTCAATCATGAATATAATGGACCATTTGTTGATGGAACTGGCACAATACCATTATGTAGTGGACTTGGCCAATGCATTTTTCTCCATCAACATCGCTCCAGAGAGCTGGGACCAGTTTGCCTTCATGTGGGAAAGGCGACAATGGACTTTCACAGTGTTGTCGCAGGGCTATGTCCATAGCCCAACCTATGTCATGGTCTCGTTGCCATGGATTTAGTCTCCTGGCAATGTGCAGAAGGGGTCTGCTTATTCCATTATATTGATGATATTATGTTAACCTCTGATTCTCTTGCAGATTTAGAAGCAGTGGCGTCCCTCTTGCGGCAACATTTAGCAGCATGTGGTTGGGCCGTCAACGAATCCAAGGTCCAAGGTCCTGGATTATCTGCCAGATTCTTGGGAGTTATCTGGTCAGGTAAGACAAAGGCCATACCAGAAGCCATCATTGACAAAATTCAGGCATGTCCCCGGCCCACCACAGTGAGATAGCTGCAAACTTTTGTGAGCCTCCTGTGATATTGACAGACATTTGTGCCCCATTTAGCTCAAATGATAAAACTATTGTGTCTGTTAACAAAGATGGGAGCTATCCGGGATTGGGCTGATGTGGCTGAGACCGCCTTCCTGGCAGCCAAGCGGTCTATTCAGCAGGCACAAGCCCTACAGGTCATGGACCGGGGTGCCCATTTGAGCTGAATGTGCATGTGACCACAGATGGTTTCTGTTGGGGCCTGCAGCAGCGCACGGAGCACCTAAGAATGCCAATAGACTTTTGGTCCCAACCATGGAAGGCATCTGAGCTCCAGTATTCCTTGATAGAGAAACAGCTAGCAGAATGTTTCCTGCCTTTCAGGCTTGTGAGAGTGTGACAGGATGGGCTACAGTCATCTTGCGGAAGACTTACCTGATAGTGGGATGGGTACGTTCATGGGTAACATCGTTGGCCATTGGTTATCAACTCAGTCGTCAGCCCTTCTGCTCTCCCCGGACGCTTGGAGGTGGGGATGAAAGTTCCAATCCTCTAATCACGAGGTTGCTTCCCTGGCAACCAGACCCATCCTGAGGCCATCCAGGAGCCCACGAAGAATCACCTCATTAGAACAAAAGATGCTCCTATCACCCGGGAGATTCCAAGGGATTTAGGAAATCTGTGTCAGGAACTGTGGTCAAAGACCAAATATTAGAACAAAAGATTCTTCTAGCACCCCTGTCTAGAAAGGTCTTAGGAGCTCTATGTCAGGAAGCAGGGGCAGATGTATATATTTCTTATTTTATCACAATATCACGACCTGCCATTACATTTGGATGTCCTTCCTGTCTAGTGACCTGAATACTTAAAGCCCAAGCCATCTTTGCACCTCCCAGCATACTCAGTATGCAGTGGTGGGGCAGGAGCAGAATGACCACTATAAACACTGTTGAAAAAGGAGAGAAGAGGAGACATGGCACAGTCACTGGTCTGAAACAACGATCAGTCCTCTTGGATAGGGTTTCTGAAGACTCCTTGATATCATTAGAGGAGTAAGTTTCTTTGTCAGCCCCCAGTTCTGCTTTCTCTAAGTATCTCCCTTATTCATTGTTTCTTGGGTTCCCAGGGCCACTGTTGGTCCATTCCTCATTTTTATATACATTAGAAAAGGGCAACCGTCTGGGTGGTCGTTGCCCTGCTGGTGCATGGCTTTGGCAAGCAGACAGTGTCTTTGTGCTTATAAGGAAACAACAGCCCTTCTCCCAGGTGCATGCAGCGCTTCAGCAGAGGGCTTGGAGAGAGGATTACAGGCCGTGTTTCAGCCTGAGCTTGCTGTTCCACTAGGTGTTCTTGTGCAGTGCTCAGCATGAACATCTGTAGGTGGCCGTGGGGCCCCTGGCTCTCCTTTCAGTGGAGTCCTTCTTTGTTCATAATCCTCTGGGGACATATTTAAAGTCTGTTCAGAGGAAAAGATTTCCTTTCTGCACTGAACAGCTTTAGCAGCCCCCATCCTATAGATATGGATTTAGGGACCCTGGGATCATATTAGGAACTTAATAGTCATGGGCTGTTGCAGAACCCATAAATGAATGACATGGCCCAAGAAAAGTGTATGGTAAGAAGACAGCCTCTGATCCCTGAGAAACATTAGCATTTAAGAGGTTGATAAGAAATGAGGTATCACTAAAGAACACTGAGAAGGTAGGAACAAGAAGTCAGGAGAGAGGAAGGAGACAGTGATAGCACTGAAACCAAGAGAAGACATATTCAGTGGGGGACTTGTCAACGTGGTAAGAGAGGGTAAAAAGTCAAGTAAGACGGAAGCAGAAATGGCCATAGAATTTGGCCTTTGACTTTCAATTACACTTTGACTCCTCTTACAGCAGTTATCCTACTCTACCTTATAGCCTTGACATGAGAAATGAGGGAAAGGGGTGTTTTCCCAATTTTCCTATAACATGGTAATTCCTTTCACTTTTCTGTGGCATTTGGCCCTGCTGAGCAATCTCTTCTTTGATGCAGTCCTCCTTCTGCCTCTTTGATGGCTCTTTCTCAGTCTTATTGCCTGGGTTCCCCTTCCTGTTCTCCTTATAGGCTTGGCTATGTACCCCACAAAGAGCAGGCCTACTGCTTTTTCATCGATGTACCCACCATTGACCGTGACATTCACTCCTGAGATTTCGATTCCCATCATGGTACCTCCAAATTTACTGATGCCTCCTGACAGTCTCTTGAGCTGCAGGAATATTTTTGGATACACCCATTGTGGTAGCACAAATGTATCTAAAATTCACTGTATTGAGACAAAGAACCCTTTGAATTTAAACAAGAAAATGAAATTATTGGTTTATGTAATCGGAAATTCCAAGATGTATAAACTCTAAATTGCAGGCATGCCTGGATCTAAGGCTTCAAGCTGTGTCCTTCAGGTGGTCTTTCTGTCTCTGTTTCTTTCTAGGTGTCTCTGTGTCTCCTTCACTTTGGCTTTGGTTGCAAACAGGCCTTCTCCACATAGTGGCAAATAGCCCTAGCAGCCTCTGCTCATATGCTGTCAATTTAGTAACCGCAGCTGAATGAAGGTTTAGAAAAAATAGATTTGGAAGAAAAGTCTCTGGGAAGATTATTGTTGGTCCACCAAGGGTAATATTCCTGCTACTGACCCACTTCCTTTGGTTGGGGTACAATGGCTGGTATTTCTGAGTTATGGATGGCATCCCCTGTGAAGCACTGAGTGGAAGGGAAAGTTTAGGACCCCTGAGCCATGTGCTCTGGGTTCTTACCACTTCCCTTTAGCCAAACAGAATCATTTGTTTTTTTCTCTGTTTCCTTAAAAGTTATTTCACATTACTATTCCTACGCATATGTTATTTTTCTATGCTTTAGTCCTGATCCTTTTCCTAGCCAATTCCTACTCATTCTTTATATTCTCATTGAGTCACCTCCTTTGGGAAGACTTCCTTCATGCCTTAATTAACTGGGCCATGGGTCCTTTTTTGTAAAATTTGAATAAGTAACATCTACACTATATAGTTGTTATCAGGATTAAATGAGAGAAGGCAAATGTAAACAGCTGGTAGAATGTCACACAGAAGCTCAACACATGTGTGACCTCTTTGCTTCTCCTTTAGATAGGTGGCTGCCCTCCTTGGTGCAGTCTTGGGTTCCAGCTCTTGCCTTGTTTTATTGTAATTACTAGGATTATATTCTTTTACTTTCAACAATGTCCTGATTGGGATGATAAATTATATTGTTAGTCTGTTAATGAGCTATCTAAACTGCTGCCAACCATGCAAACTGACTTCCGATAAAATGACAACTGGGAGCCATAATCCCAAGTTAGATGACTCAAGGTAGGGAGCAAAAGCAACTGGAAGCCACAGACTCAAGGTGGATGCATCTGTACGCAGTAGAGACCACCGCAGCCATCTTGGCACTTATGCACCTGAGGGGTAACTCCAAATGTCACCAGCCCATCGGCAGTGTGCGGAAGCTTTGCTTTCCTAAATGGGACAGAGAATGTTGTAGTTTAAAAGACAAATTATTAGAACCAATTGGCTTTAAAAGACCAATTCCATTTTCTTTTCCCCAAACCTCCTCTTTCAGAACCTCAGCTGTCTGCTGGATGTTTCCTTCCTGGAAGTAAAATTGCCTCCATTCCACACTCAACCTTTAGTCACTTGGCTTTTATTGATAGTTATATTTTTATAACAGCACTTAGGTTAAAATACTATTTGACTCTAAAAGAAGCGTCCTTCTATGATTACAATATTAGCATTTGTTGTTGCCTTAGAATAGCTGAGTTCCTCAAGGATGGGGACCATGGCTTGCTGCCATCATGTCTCTATTGCCAACCACCAGTGCTTGGCACATACTATATATTTAACACAAGTGGATTGAAAGAATGGGTAATGCATATGAATGAGATGGCCCAACCTGCCCTTGTCTTTGAGTGAATTTCCCAGACTGGATGGGCTTTGTGTGATCCTTCCATGGCCTCTGTGGTTGCTGGTGCTGGATTCATCTGGAAGGGATCACAGGAAATAGGTGTCCTGTACTGGAGTTGTCTCAATGACTTGGTAAGGATTTCCTTTAGGCTTATTGCAGGATGCTGACTACCACTGCCAGGAAACCAAACTGTTAATTTTCCCAAATGAGATCCTCCTGGGGAGAATCAATATTTATTAGCATTAGTTTTTTTTAAAAAAAAGCCAGTACATGATTTTCTTAGCTCTTCTAATGGTAAAGAGGCAGAAGCCTTTGAGAAAGAAATTTGAATGAGTGAGGAAAGAATTGAAGGGAAGCAGGAAGGAGAATTATTCCTTCACACACAAGTAACCCACTCATCTGGTTGGTTCATCTAGCTCAGAATGGACCACATGATTCAGACTTTGCCAGCACTCCTTGTAGAATACCTTGTAGAATATTCCTTGTAGAATACCAAGGTCCACTCATTCTTGCATTTCATTATGTGTAGTCCATATTAGTCAGTCAGGGTTTGGTTAGAACAGAAGCTGCTGTAGGTATTTCAAGTAGGAAGAGGCTTAATACAGGGAATTCGAGATTTCTGTGGCCACTGGAAGATGGAGATTTCTGCTTTCAGAAAATCAAAAAAGGCAGAGGTCTCGGGAAGCTGCTCCACTAATCTCAGCAGCTGCCTCTCCAAAGTGAGTAATTCTCAGGAGGCTACCCAGAGGTGATAAGGGATATAATTGGTGATTCAACATTTTTCACCACCAAAAAGGATGATTCTCAGGGTGATATTCCAAACATCTGCCTTCCACCAGTGCCCACATGCCTGCAAACAGCTGCCCCTGGGAAATAATGACTTCATTTTGGTCTTCCAAAACTCTTTCAAGTGCCTCTCCTTGACAGAACTGACCCAGAACTATACTGGAAAGAGATTCTTGGAAAAGAAGTTCCAGATGATTGCCCTAAGTAGACGGAGTGAGGATGCTGCTGAGTTGATCAGAGACAATCCTGCACATGGACCTATCTTCATTCATTCAACGGGTAGTTAAGGGAGACTTACTATACACCAGACTCTGCACTTGTGCCAATCTTATTTCTCTAAGACTTTTGAGTACAGTTGTGTATCTTCTAATTTTTTTCTATATTCCATAGTGCGTGGCACAATTCTGGGCACACAGCAGATAGATGCACACTGATTGCCCATTGGCTTAGCTGACCTCAAACATAGCTAGTCTGCCATTTTCAATGGAAGAGTGTAAAATGAGAAATATAATTTACATATCTCTTTCTATACATAGTAATTTATGTATATATGCTGAGTAGAGCTTAGTATTACACAGGTATAATAAGCTAATTAAAGACAATTTGAAAAAGCTAGTTAAAATTTTAAAATCACTTTTAATTTATCATTATTTACCAAAACAGCCTTTTACCAACATTTTTGGTTTGCCTTTACTGTTTTTTATTCTATTTTTGTCTTTTAGACAGTATTAATATATTTTTAATGGTTTTATGTCTTTTTCTCTTGATTATTATTTAATAGGTATTTTAATGTTATTATATTTGAAAAATTTTGATAGCTGAGGAACAATTGAATGGATTTATTATTGTTTATTTAATCATTCTGCTAGTATTGGATACTTAGATTGCTTCCAATATAAAGTGTTGTCTAAGCCTTTGTTTTTCCTTTGAAAATTGGTTGGTAGTTTGGGTCTTGAGTGAGTCTGGGCTTGCATTTCATCCTTTCTCCCCCTCCCAGCCCTTGATATGAACAAAAGGTCTAGAGGGTATTGTTGACTCAGGGCTGTTAGTGCACAGTACAACTCCCAGTTTGTTGGCCTGGCTGGATATCTTTGCCCCAGGGACCCTTGCTTTAGTGCAGAGGAAGGGATCCAGGCCTGGGTGGTAAAGAGGAAATCTGACTTCCAGTCCTGGCTTTGTCACTTAGGGGGTGTGTAATACTGAGCACGAGTCCTTACCTCTCTGATTGTAAGTTTTTCCTCATTTGAGAGAATGACCAGTTAGTTTATGGACCCCTCCAGCTCTGCCATTCTTTGGATTGATCTCATTCCTAACCTTCCTGGGCATGAAGAATTATCTTGTTACTCTTCGTCCAATTGTGATTTGCAAGCTGACTTTTCATTTTGGGGTTGTTGTATGGCTCAGCTCAGGTGGAGATCACCTTCCACACCTCTCTGCATTTGCCTACACTGCTTTCTCCACTTACATTGTCTTTCTTCCCAACTCAGAGATAATGTTTGTGTGATGCCAAGCTCTGAATGCCCATTTTGCCTTTTCTTCTCCTGCTATTAATTTCAGTTACTGCTCAAATGTTCCCTGTTGAAAAAGTCTCCACTATGTCTGGGCTGCTGCAGCTCAGTGTACTGCCCCTAAGGCCCTTACCACGCCACATCGTGCTGTCTCCCCTTGCCCTTGCGAATTCCTTGAGGTTCACATCATGTCTCCCTCATCTACAGCAAGGTGCCTGGCACATAGTGGGTGTTCCATGACTGTGTTGAATCAGCAAACAAAGTGCCCTGTCCAGAGCAAGCTTGCATTTCCCTGACAAGTCTGGAGCTGTCAGAGTAAGTGCAAGCCACCCTTCCTCAGTCGAAAAACAGGAAAGTGATTTGTGGAGGTTTCCTTTCTTTCCTTGTCAGAGCAGGATGCACATTTTTAGTGCAGAGCTCTGAATGGCAAGGTTTTACCTTATCAGTGATATCCATTTCCAGCATCCCTTTAAATGCTAATTAGTCTCTCCCCAGGGAGATCTGGCAGAATGATTCAGCTTCACTCTGAATGATCGTCTCCTCTTTGTGCAGACAGATGCATGTATGGAGTGAGGGTGTTACCTGCCTGCCTCTAAGTCCTCTTATCTGCACTCATATTTGTCTCATTTCACTTCCCTCCACTCACTGCCTTGGCATCTCCCCCTCTGGCTTTGAGAAAAGGCTGCTCATATGCACCTCCCTATGGGGAAGTAGAAACAGAAATAAAAGTGAATCACATTAACTCATTTAATCTCCATGACCACCTTTTCCAATAGGTTTTATTATCGCCATTTGAACATTTCAGGAAACCGAGACCCAGGGAATTTTATTAACTTTATTTACAAAGTCACAAAGACTAAGTGGTAGAGGTGAGATTCAAACCTGAGCCTGGGTCCAAATTCCCTGGCAGTCTATGGTATCGCCCAGCTAAAAAAATCAGCAACTATCCATTACTGAGAACTTCTCAGGGCCGGGTTTTCTACTAAATAATGCTTTATGCACTCTAACTCATTTACTTTAAATTAATCCTCAGAAAATCTGATAAGGCAGGTATATTAGTCCCAGTCTGCAGTAAGGTGAAGAAACTGGTGCAGAAGAGGGTAGCAGCTGTGCAAGGTCACAGGGCTCATACATGGCTTCACCTTAGTATCCGACTCGAACTCCTGTCTCCACCCATTCCTCTTCCTCCTCTGCCTACTGTCTCTTCACTGGTTCAAAGGCAAGAGCTGTGTTCAAGTCACCAGGCAGTATCTGCCCTGCCAGGAGTGATTGGAGACAGCCTGCAGCTGGTTACGCAAGCCCTAATGGGGATTCTGTGGATACTGGGTCTCACACTGAAAACCTGTCTACAGGTCACATAGCTCTGGCCTGATGGGCAGCATGCAGCTCCTCCCCCAGTAGTTCCTGAAGCTCTAGTTAACTAGATTCTAATTGAATTGAATTTTTCTTCCCACAGGTGGAAGAGTTAATTATTAGTTTTTCAAAAGATGCCAACAACTGAACAGCATTTTCCTTCGATGTCCTGGTGCTTGGGAGCACATGTAGATTATTCTCCTAGATTACAGCAATGCCTCCTAACTGGCCTCCCAGAAACCTCTCGCTTCTCTCCAGCCTATTCACTACACAATAGCCAAAATTATCATTAAAAAATACAAGGTTAGACCACGGACAGTGGCTCACGCCTGTAATCCCAACACTTTGGGAGGCGGAGGCAAGTGGATCATTTGAGGTCAGGAGTTCAAGACCAGCCTGGCCAACATGGTGAAACCCCGTCTCTACTAAAAGTACAAAAATTAGCCAGGTGTAGTGGCAAGCGCCTGTAGTCCCAGCTACTCGGGAGGCTGAGGCAGGAGAATTGCTTTAACCCGGGAGGCGGAGGTTGCAGTGAGCTGAGATCGTGACATTGTACTCCAGCCTGGGTGACAGAGCAAGACTCTGTCTCAAAAAAAAACAAAACAAAACAAAACAAAACCAAAGTTAATGATGTCGATCATTCCCTGGAAGCCCTTTCATGGTTTCCCATTGCTTTTAGGATAATGGCCCAAATCCTTAACTTCACCACTGCATGGGAGCGACTGTCTGCCCTCACTCTGCTTTAGCCACACTGATCTTTTGACTCCCCGATTTGCTCTTTTCCACCTTAGGAATACCACCTTTTGCTCATGGTATTCTTTTATTCTAAAGCATTCTCTGTGTCACTCCAGGCTAATGCCTCCTCATCTTTTAAATCCTGATTTAAATGTCTCTTCCTCAAAGAACTATCCCTGATTCCTGCAGAGCGAAACCAATTTCTCTTGTACTCCTTGTACTTTTCTTCACAATATTTACCATAATTTCTACTACATTTATTAATGTAAACAGTGTTTTAGTGTTGCTTCTTAATTGAAATATAAGCTCCCTCATGCGGCAGGGTCCTGCTTGTCCTGGGCTCCCAGCACCCAGCATGGTGCCATCGGCATAGCAGGCTTTGACTAATGTTTGTTCACTAAAAGGTATATGTTAAGGACGGAGCTACTCAGACCTCGGAAGCAATTTCCTGCCAACACCTCAATTGTTTCCAAGCCTGATTTTTCAGAAGCTCTTCTTGAAAATGTTTTCCCATCCAAATAAAGTTGTCCTTACATGCTAAACATCAAGGGGATATGGGAAACACATAACTGGAAAGAATTTCTGCCCGTAATTAAATTATAGCCAAATGAAATGACATGTTGATCTGTCTCACTGCTCGCATATCTGGGACTGCATGTTGCATACCAATTTCTGGTCTAAATCCATTAAAATCCTATGGAGAAAACTCTTTCTCTCTTTAGAACAGAAGTAAGATAATGCTTGGAGAATCATGGGAGACAGTTAGGCTCTAGGAGGGTGGAAATCTGTAGGTCCCATATCTCTGCTTTCGCTGAGCCATGACGGAAAGAAAGGCAGATGAATGAGATCTGGGTTTCAAAACCTTAATCAACTTGGACTATGGAACTCCAACTCACAATCCACTGTGATTCTTCTTAGCCCTTGGGAGAGGCAAATGACGAGAAAATAATAGAATTTCAGGGGTTTAGTCTAAACAATCAGTATCGCAGAGCTGTCCCATTGTTAATACAGCTTCAGTGCAGTTTTCCCCTCCAGCTATGTTATCAGGCAGGGAGAACTGATGTTGATAATGAGGACCTGGTGGCCTTATATCATCCTCACACACCTGAGATGGCTTGATCAGATACAGAATGCTCCACTTAGGCAGGAAAGTAAAATCTTTATCAAGATTCATAAAAATTTTACCTTTTTTTTTTTCCTGGCTAATTGCTACCTCAATTGCTATACCAGTATTTTTGGAAAGAATGATACATAAAGGAGAACCAGACACAGTGTCTGTCCTTGAGGCCTGTGTCCAGTAAATAGAGTGGGGCGTGTTCTAGACCAGGCATGATTATGGGCTTGGAGGTGCTGTTATAAACTGTACCCCAACTGCTACTATATAACTGTGTCTCTTTTGTGCTAAGTCAGCTTTATTGATTCATATCCTGAAAGGAGAAGTCAATTTAATCTATAGGAAATGGTCCAGTATGTAGGTGAGAGCTCTCCGAAGATACTCTCACTACATGTAATTCATGGAAGAGGCAGGGTTCTCAGAGGCTTTTAGCAGGAAGGATCGAGAACTCCTGTTTCTCTCAAGGCCTCTCTGGGTTCTACTTTAAGGCAGTAAGATGTCTGACTCACCTGTGGACAATTATCAGGTCTCAGGCATTCTTAATATGATATTTTCTTTAAAACTCTCAGCCCCAAATGGAAAGAGTTATTATCTCCATTTTTACAGAAGGGTAAACTGAGACTGATAGATTAAGAATTTTATAACTAGTGAGGAATGGTCCAGGGGTCCAGAGCAAGGTCTGCTTTAGCACGTAGTCTTCACTCTTAGCCTGTTAATCAGTTGGGTGAAAAGTTGACTGTTACTTAGTTAAAGGTCTCTTTCTTCTGTGTTTTCTAGAAGTCTTTACTGAAGCCCACAATGAATGCCTCTTTTTTCCCAGCTTTACAGAAAGAATTCAGGAAAAGGAGAAAGCCTCTCTTACACCAATCCCGCCAGTCTATGTTGGTGGCAGAGATGGTAAGTGAGACATCCCAAGGGAATAGGGAACCTTGGAAGATTAGGGGTTGTGACTGCTTCACCTCTCTTGAAACTCTTCTTCCATTGTCCATCTTTGATACTTTAGGGAGATGCCAAGTTTCCCCTAAAGAGGCTTTGAAAATGTTCTCTACGTAACTGAGTTCTCCCACTTTTCCATCATTGTATGTGGCCATGAAAGTCATCACTACCCTTATTTCTCCATTTCTGTCAGTTTTCCCTTTCATGTGTGATTCTTAGACTGCCTGTATCACAATCACCTGAGGTGCTTAAGGAAAATGTGTATTTCAGGCCCGGGGTCTGCATTTCACCAGTTCTTCACTTGATGATTATGCTCGATGTTTGAGAGCCTTTTTGCTAAACTACATTTTCTAAAATATCTCTAGCAGACCCAGAGGTTATAGGATGCTAATAAGCATTACGTAAAAAAGGGAACATGAAAGAGGGCTCTATGGCAGGTGGTCTGTAAAGAGCTCAAAATCAAGTTGTGGCCTGTTTCTGTATAGTCCTTAAGCCAAGAATGGTTTGGTTATTTTTAAAGTGTTGTACTAAAAGAAAAATATGCAATATCAGATTATATCTGATGATTTCTCACTAGCCACACATACCAGAGACCGTATGTAGCCAGAAAACCTAAAATATTTACTCTCTGACCCTTTACAGGAAAAGTTTGCTGACCTTCTCTCTGTGGTCAAATGAATTTCAGAAAGTGTTGAAAAAAATTGAACACTTCTGGGGTGCTGTTGCGTGATCTAAATGCTGGTTATGTTCAGTTTGTGAAAGTTAATTCAGTATAAAGTTTAAACAGTAAGGAAGTTTCCTGACTGCAGGAAGACTTGGTGCCTTTAATACACCAATGTGCACCGGAGGGTATATGCATTTCTCAATCTTGTTTGAACACAGAATTCCCCCTCTTTTTGTTTTGATTTTTTTTAATAGAGCATATTGTGGAATTAGTGCTCCGTGGATTATGTTCTGAGCAATACTTTTCTAAAGAAGTTAATTCCAATTCAGAATTGACAGTCAGTTTCCCTTGAATCATTCATCATAATATTTTCCCTCATCTTGGTTAGGAACACCATTCCTTCTCCTCTTATACTCCGTGGATTCAAATCATTCTTCCAAACTTTCTGTTCAAGCCCTCTCTCTTCCAAAATCCGCTTACCATCTCCTACATCAATTACAAGGACAGAAAACTTTGAACCATATGGAATAATTTACTGACTAATTGTAGGGACAACAATGAACTTAATTTAACCTTATTTTCATGACATGGTGTAGAGGGAAAATCATTTAATAGAAATATGAGAAAAGTTGTGTTTCTGGCTCAGGTCAACCACTAACGAAGTGGGAGGCCTGAGTAATTCACTTTTCTACCCTGGCCTTTGATAAGTTTATTGGCCTAGATATTCATTTCAAGTTTCCTTGCAGATCCAATATTCTGTAATGTTCTGGGATTGTAGAATTCCAGAAAAGGGAGTAAGATGAGGCAAGTCCATTTAAGTTGATATTTGATTTATATCTGATGATTTCTCACTAGCCACACATCCAGTTGGTATTGCTAAATTGTGGTTATGATACAGACTTTAAAAGCATTCTAATTGATAGTTAATTCTATTTGTTGAACAAAACTCATATTTTTACGCAGCAACAGATTAAAAATCAAAGATTTTCTTAATCTTGTTAAGTGGATTTTCTTCTTCATGAGTCAGTCTGGCAAGCCTTTGATCATGGACTTGGACAAAGTGTTGGTATTTTTATGCCTTCTAGAAAGCCCCAGCTGTCTGAGACACTCTGCCCCCGATGTCTCATAAATCTGATTTGATCACTCTTAATTTGTTTCCCAGATAAAACTATTAACTGTGGGAGTGAAAATAGTTGCTTTTTACTCTACAGAAAGGTCATGAACTTCAATTTTGTGGGCTTCTATTTTTTTTAATGGATACCATTGACATGAAATTTCAGCCATGTTCTTCACTGTGCTTCTAATCCTACCATCATCTC
Source organism: Homo sapiens (assembly GCF_000001405.40). NCBI lineage: Eukaryota > Metazoa > Chordata > Mammalia > Primates > Hominidae > Homo > Homo sapiens. The sequence continues at coordinate 87,374,891 of NC_000011.10, forward strand.
TAGATGAATTTCCACTGAATTTCCAATAGAGGCTGCTCCAGGCAGTTCTGTCTTCTCTTTGAGCATCAGTCCATTCAGCCCTCTTAGCCCAGCAAGGGGCCATACTTTTCCTCTTTGCTGTCTCAAAGCTCCTAAAGTATCCAATGACTTCTCCCATCCTCACTCATTATTTCATTAACATTTCACAAATGTTTAGTCTGCCAGGTACTGTGAACCAGGCACAGTTCTTTCCCTTAAGGCACTCTTACTCTGCTGGGGATTGTGAACCCTGAATATCTGAGATAGGTCTCAGTCAATTTAGAAAGTTTATTTTGCCAAGGTTGAGGACACGGACCCATGACAGCCTTAGGAGGTCCTGACATTTGCCCAAGGTGGTCAGGGCACAGCTTGGTTTCAAACATTTTAGGGAGACATGAGACGTCAGTCAATATATGTTAGATGTACATTGGTTCTGTCCAGAAAGGCGGGACAACTTGAAGCAGGCAAGGTGCTTCCAGGTTACAGGTAGGTGAGCGACAAATGGTTGCATTCTTTTGAGTTTCTGATTAGTCTTTCCAAAAGAGGCAATCAGATATGTATCTATCTCAGTGAGCACAGGGATGACTTTGAATAGAATGGGAGGCAGATTTACCCTAAGCTGTTCCCAGTTTGACTTTTCCCTTTAACTTAGTGATTTTGGGGCCCCAAAATCTGTTTTTCTTTCACAGGAGTCAGAAGGGATAAAAACACCAGTAAGCATATAATGTACAAGTCTGTGAGTACCAGAGAGGAAGCATTTACTTTGCTTAAATAGGAGAATGAAGGAAATTTCCCAGTAAAAAAGATCAATGAGTTGTGTCTGAAAAGGGTAAGTCAGAGTTTACTAGAGACAACTGGGGGACTGACACTCCAGGTGGAGGGAAAAATGTGTGCAAAACCTTGAAAGCATGAGAAAGTGTGGCATAATCAGAGAGAGTAGGAGGGGGTTAGAAGGAGAATATGTTGGGGTAGTGTTGGGAGATGAGCTGGAAAATCGGGTAGGGATGCCATCATCTGGGAGGAGGAAGGGCCTTCCCTCCCCTGGGCTCCTGGCCCCACTCTGTTCAGTCTCAACAGTATCCTTTCTGAGTTCCCCTTTTCTTCTCTTCAAACCCACAGATAGGGTTAAATCTTATCTTTAACACACATACACACACACACACACACACACACACACACCCCACTTTCACTCCACTCTGATTTAAGATTGCACCTATGGTTCTCAGTATCTAGTTTACAAAGTTCTCAAAAGAACAGTATCTCTCACTTTTTTTACTTTGTCACCTCCTATTCTTTCCATGTTATTGTAATCTGGTTTGAGAAAAAATGAGGAGTGTATTTAGGTGTATTAACTGCTGTGGTCTGAAAGTTTTTGTTCCCCCTAAATTAATAGGTTGAAACCTAATTCCTAATGTGAGGGTGTCAGGAGGTGGAGTCTTCGGGAGGTGATAAGTCATGAAGGTGAAGTCCTCATAAATGGGATTCATGCCGTTATAAAAGGGACCTCAGAGAGCTCCCTTTCCTTTTCCATCATGTGAGGTAAAATGAGAAGATGATCATCTATGAACCAGGAAATAAGCCTTCACCAGACACTGAATCTGGCAGTATCTTAATCTTGAACTTCCCAGCCTCTAGAACTGTGAGAAATAATTTCTGTTGTTTATAAATCACTCAGTCTATGGTATTCTCTTGTAACAGCCCAAATAGACCAAGAGTCCATCCAACTTTTAAACTTTTCTCTAAAACCTATGAATCAACTCTTTTTGGGTCTGTCCCACTGTGAATTTTTCTCTTCATCCTTATTTATTTTCAGCCTATGTAGATTTGATTCCTCCCTGAATATATTTTAATTTACTTAAAATGAGTCTGCCATCTATTTCTGAACAATTATATAAGGCCAATGGGTACTTTAATTCCAAGGCCATGGTGGGTGGTTACCAAAGGCCATGGAAATGCCCATTTGACACAAAGACTGAAGCAGAAATGAATTTTCCCTTATCCCCACTCCAAGAGGAAATGTGCAATACTGGGAAAGCAGAAGAAGAGAATGAGATTGAGAGAGAGAAAGGAGATTCACACTGTTAGGGAAAAATGCTATCATGGCTGTGTGTTATCTTTGCAGAGCCTGTGCTATTGTTCCAGCTAGTTACAAACATTTGATAGGTGTTACTATGTGTAGCCATTGCAATACTGAGTTGCAAACACATTTTCTGAATTCATGGGCTCACAGTCTGGCAAGACAAGCCGCAATGTTAGAAACAGAAATTTAGCAATTTTCTAGGCACCAAGATGAAGGAGTACACAGATCACCAAGTGAAAAGTGTATGTGAGGTAGGTTTGGATGGATAAGGTGTCTTGAACTGTGTCTTGAAGAACAAATAGAAGCCCAGGCAGCTGAGGGAGGGAGGATATCCAGGATGAGGAAACAGGATGTCTAAATGCACAGAAGAAATAAGAGAAGGTGGTGCATCCAGGAAACTGTAGTTAGTTTTATTGCTTGTTGTGGCAGAAGCTTAGGGTAGAGAAGTAGCCAGAGGCTGTATAATGAAGAGCTTTAGGGTCCATGCATAATAGATTGGATTTTTATCTTTTAGTAAGAAGAGCCACTGAGGGGTGTTAATTTGGGAAGTAATATTGATGCAGGATTTTTCTCAGCCCCTTTGCTGGACTCCCAGTAGGGGTGCCCTGTCTACTTGGCTCAGCCCCTTGAAGGAGGGAGCAGATGAGCAAGGGAGTGTGGAATTGGGCTGGCCGCTCTGGGTGCTGACATAGGAACAAGCTCCATGCAGGGCACGTGGCCAGACCAGGTGTATCACTTGAGAGGAACACAGTGGCGCCCAGGCAAGGGTGCCCATGACCCTGAAACCCCAGAGGGGGTGTTAGTGTGCTAATTAGCTCTTTTAGTTCTGCTGTCCACAGTCTTATGGACGGCGGTGTGTTAACAGCTCAGTTGGCCCCTGGTCCCATTGTGTAGGGTGGCTGCCCACCGCTGGCGAGGGCAAAGGGCCAGTGTGACAACCTTTCTGGTTACCCTCAGTTGGTGGATCCTGAGCTTTTGTCCGGTGTCCAAGAAGAATGAGGTCACACTGACAATTGAAGGATGGTGAGGGCAGATAATTTTACTGAGCAATGAAAACAGCTCTTAATGGAGAGGAGAGCTGGAGAGGGAATGGGACTAGCAGGTTGTCTTCCCCAAACTCAGGTCGTCTCTCTCTGTCTACCCACTGAGTCTGGGGCCTTTATAGGCACAGAATAGTGGCAGGGCGGGCCACAGGTAGTATTGGAAAAGGCAACATTCAGTTGGTTGAAAGGCATTATTCAAAAAGAACCAATTGGGAAAGAGTGGGCAAACAGGAAAGAAGTTCTCACTCTGATCTGAGGTTTTACTTGGGACTGTCTTTGGCTTGAAGGTTGGGTTACGCTGGTGACCCATCCCTGACTGCCTAGGATTTCTCTGTCTCCTGCCTCTACTAATATGATTAGAAATGTGTTTGTAACTGATCATTTTGAGTCATGTTTTCCCTACTTTACCTTTGGTATTTCTATCTAACCTTTATACAGATGCTTCTTGACTTACAAATGGGGCTACATCCCAATAAACTCATCATCAATTCAAAATATTTTAAGTCAAAAATGTATTTAATATACCTACCTAACCTACTTCCTCTGGTTAATAAGAAAAAAAAATCTAACCTTCCAAGCATCACAGCTCAGCCTAGCCTACCTTAAATGCGCTCAGAAAACTTACATTAGCCTACAGTTGGGCAAAATTATCTAACATAAGGCCTATTTTATAAAAAAGTATTGAATTTTTCATGCAATTTATTGAATACTGTATTGAAAGTGAAAAATAGCGTGGCTTGCTGCTGCTATCCAGCAGTGTGAGAGAGTCTTGTACTGCATATCACTAGCATGGGAAAAGATCAAAATTGTAAGTTTGAAGTATGCTTTCTACTGAATTCATATCACTTTTGCATCATTGTAAAGTTGAAAAATCATTAAGAATCTGTACTCAGATTGTTGTTCTTTGTTGAAATATGATATATTTATTCACTCCTGTCCTATCCCCGACGCCACCCAAACTTGCCATTCTGCTTAGTTCTTTTGTTCAGTGACTAGTTGTGTCATCTCTCTCTCTCTAGATCAGAAATCTCCATTTCTCATTCCCACATTGAATTTCGTGATTCTAATTCTTTCATAGTTCTCAAATTCATTTACATATTGTCTCCCTGGCAGATTTCCTGATTTTAAGTTTTCCTCATTTCTTTTCTGGTTAATGCAACACCCACTGAACTGTTCTCTTGGCCTTGGGTATCCTTTATACCTCTGCCAGTGTGAGCCTTATGAAGTGGAATCTGATCATTTCATGTCCCTGGTTAAAATCATCACTCTTCAGAAAGTAGATTACTGCAGCCCCTGCTGAGTGGGTAGACAGAGATCACTGTCCAGACTGTGGGGGAGAATCAAACCCCACCTTCCAGGACACTGGAAATGAACTTGAGAACCATGAGCCAGCCTCCATGGGTAACTGAACTGAGCACTAAGACAATAATAGGATCTGGCAGCTCCATTTAGCCTCTTTACATGTGGAACAACAAAATTGCTTTGCAGAGAGAAGAGGGGGTAAGAGACCATGTGGCTACAGAGAGTGAGGGACTCAGTAATGGATGAGTCTGTGGCCTCGTTTGGGTGATGTGTGTTTAGTTGCTGGAACCAGGCTTTCTGGGTACCTGTCTACACTCCCTGACTTTGAGTTTGTTTTGATATCTCTCTTCAAAAAAATCACCTTTTACTTAAAGTTGCTCAAGTAAGTTCTGTTTCTTACATACAAAGACTCTTAATGGGAGACCAGTGGAACTAACTTTGTGTTCAGGGCCCCTGTCCCTAAAATCTGTGATTTCCCTATGCCCAGTAGCTTGCACAAGATAATGCTGATTCCAGTGGTACCTTGAATTGAAGCAGATTCTGGCACACTTCTCGTTGCATACTATTGCCTCTCCAGGATTGTGGCCAAGAACTGAACCTCACAATTTGGGGCAGGCTTTTAATGCGCCTGTAGCTCATGTTCATCATAAATGGTTGGCTGTTACTGCTATGCAGAACTGGTGATGATGTCAGGTGTTTTGGATATCTCTATGGAAGTCACAATTTCACAGAACCTTGGACATTCATTTGTTTATTTAAGATTAATCTAATGCTACTATTTGAAAGAACTGTGTTTGGCATAGGAGATACAAAGAAAATAAAATACAATCTCTGACCTCAAAGGACTCTTGGGATTTTAGGGAATAAGTACAAGTAAAAAATAGAAAAAATAGAGAGAGATTATATTATCAGTAATGAAACTGAAGCCTAGAATAAGGGATGTGATTTAATCAAAGATTTAATTGTAATCTGTCTGTTCTTTCCATGCTGTATATATATCCTATTTGGGCACTAAACCATTCTAAATTCTTTGGCAAAATTGGAATAGACAATGGTGGAGAATTAGAGGTTTGGGTTATTCTCTTTTAAGAGAATATGGAATCCAGCATTTTTGGAAACTGAACAAGCGTTAAGATTGCCAGCCATTAGGCCTGCTTTGGGGAATAACCGTTGCAGTTCTACAAGGTCACCCTACTTAGTGAAAATGAAAAAAATGGATGCAAAATACCCCCTAAATTGCCTAATTAGTTGATTTCCAGTAATAGTAAAATGCAGCTAGGTCAACAGCAACATGGTATCAGTCTTGGGGAGACCACATAAGGCTACTGTTATCCTGGATTCATTGCTTTTTGTGAAATTTGGACAAAGTATATTGCAAAATGGAAGTAAAGTGTCAGCAGAGAGGTAGTAAGAGATACTGAGAGAATGATTTGAAAGTTCTGACAATAGCTAGGCTGGATAGTGAGATGACAAGGGTAGGGTGGACAGACAGGAAGGAGGCACTTTGAAAGGGCATCATCTTTGCTATGGGAACTCATGGAGAAACTGGTGGCAGGGCTACCCATGCCTTAGGACTTGGAAGGGCTGTCCTGAGGAGTTTAACCTAGGTGGAGAAATTAAATGACCCCTGAGAGGAGACAAGGTCAAAATGGAGAGAGCAACTGGGTATGTTGGACTTGAAGAAGGCAATAGCAGGTATGCATGGTGTAGAAAAAGAGGCAATAATGTTAGTAATGTCAAGAGCTACTTGGGATTATTCAGGGCTGAGTTTGGAAGTATAGTACGCATTGGGTAGATGGGACTTAAAGAAGTCTTCATGTGCTGGACACCAGGCAGGGAAACACTAAATAATCATTTGGAACCAAAGATGCAGTGCTTAAGATTTTATTTCTGAATATATGCTAAATGTATAGGAATTCCATTTTGTCTGTGTTATTTGCATAGAATCAATACAGGATTTTTTGAATTAATTGCACAGGATATTTTGAGGTGAGCTGAAATCCTGAAACATAATATTTTAGCCATCATAGCTGGACTTTCTGTTATCTTTTCTAGCCACCAGACTCCCTGTTCTCCATAGGCAATTTCATTTAATCTTGACAACAATTCTATATTGATTGGATCCTTTCAAAATATGAGCAACAGGGATATATTCAGTTTGCTGGTAAATCGGAGTTGAAATTAAATTAAACATTTAATGTAAAAAATTCACAGGCCATAGAGAGACTAATAGAATAAAACTCCTGAACCTTTAATAATTTCTACATTAATTCCCTACTGCTGTTGTTTTATCTACACCCTTTCTTACGTCTCCTATCATACAATAGGATTATTTTGAAGCAAATCCCAGATATCTTGTCTTATCAAGAATTTAAAAGATAAACCTAAACATTTATTTAATAACATGAAATATCCACTCAGGGCTCAAATTTCTCTCTCTTTCTCTCTCTGCCCCCAACCCCTTCACACACACACACACACACACACACACACACACACACACGCACACACACACACAGTTTGATTGGATCAGCATCTAAAGAAGGTTTATATATTGCATTTAGATGATATATCTATTCAATATCTTTTAATTTATAGGTTCTACTTCTTTGTATTATTTCCTTGAGATATATTTGTTGATGAAACAGTCATTTCTCCTATGAAATTTTTCTTACTCTGAGTTTTGCTGATTGCTCCCCATGGTATCATGAAATGTTCCTCTGTCTCTCCATTTCCATGTATTTCTATGAAATTAGTACTTAGCACTAAATCTTGATGTGATTCAGATTCATAATTTTTTATAAATAAAATCACCTCATAGGTGGTGGTATATATGTCCATAAAAAAAAATAGTGTCTGTTCTCTCCTTTGATATCAATGTATTAGCTTCCTTGGACTACTAAAACAGAATACCAAAGACTGAGTGGCTTAAACAACAGAAATTTATTTTCTCACAGTTCTAGAGGTTCAGAGTCTTAGACCGAGGTGCCAATAAAGTTTGTTTCTGGTAAGACCTCTTTCGGGCTTCTAGATGACTACTTTCTCATTGTTCCCTCATATGGCCTTTTCTCTGTGTGTGCGTGAAGACGGAGCTCTGGTGGTGTCGCTTCCTCTTCTCATAAGGACACTCATCCTATTGGATTAGGGTTCCATGCTTGTGACCTTATTTAATCTTAATTGCCTCCTTAAGGTAATTAAGGCCTTTGATGGTTTGAATGTCCCTTCCAAAATTCATGTTGAGATTTAACTACCGTTGTAATGGTATTAAGAGATGGAACTTTAAGAAGTGATTAGATCATGAGGAATTTGCCCTCATGAATGGATTAATTCTGTTTTCATGGGAATTTGCCCCCCTTTATCTTTTTCTGTCTTGTGCTCATGCCTCTAGCATGTGATGCTTTCCACCATGTTATGACACAGCAAGAAAGTCCTCACCAGATGTGGCTAGTTAATCTTGGACTTCTCAGCCTTCAGAACTGTGAGCCAAAAACATCTCTTGTCTTTATAAATTACTTAGTCTATAGCATCCTGTTATAGCAGCAGAAAATGGATTGAGAGAGACCCTATCTCCAAATACAGTCACATTGGGATCCAGGGCTTCAATACATAAAATATGGGGGGATGAAATTTTGTCCATAGCAATTAATAAGCCTATATCCCTATAAGGAGTTTGCAAAAAGGTAACATTCTCTCATTCCTTCTTTATTTGTAATCTGAAATACCTCTATAGAAAAAAAATTCTTCAACACCTACTTGATTGGTTTAAGGCCCCGTTCATATAAAAAAAAGACAGGTGTTTTTTTTTCCCCCAAGATGGCAGATTAGAAGCTTTTAGCATGCCTTAGCTACTTGGAAATAGCACGATAGTTCATAAAGGTCTACTCCGTGAGCTTTAATTCAAGAAGGAAAATGGGAATCCAGTGGAATTATGAAGAACATCACTGATTCCAGGGAGGAGAATGCCAGCAAACAGCTCTGGTGATGGTGTCTGGCTGATAATGGTGATTGAAGCCTAAGTATATGAGAGAGGCAGACAGCCTTCCCCTGTGACTGACCTTTCCACTGGGAATCCAAGTGTATTCTGTTCTCATACTGCTATAACAAACTCCCGTGACTGGGTAATTTATGAAGAAAAGAGGTGTAATTGACTCACAGTTCCAAAGGCTATACAGGAAGCATGGCTGGGAGGTCTCAGGAAACTTACAATCATGGCAGAAGGCAAAGAGGAAGCAAACATGTCTTATACCATGGTAGAGCAGGAGAGAGAGAGTGAAGGGGAAAGTGCTACATAGTTATTATTATTATTATTATTACTTGAGACAGAGTCTTGCTCTATTACCCAGGCTGCAGTGCAGTGGTGCAGTCTTGGCTCACTGCAACATCTGCCTTCCAGGTTCAAGCAATTCTCCTGCCTCAGCCACCCTGGTAGCTGGGACTACAGGCATGTGCCACCATGCTTGGCTAATATTTTTGTACATATAGTAGAGACAGGGTTTCACCCTGTTGGCCAGGCTGGTCTTGAACTCCTGACCTCAAGTGATCTGCCTGCCTCAGCTTCCCAAAGTGCTAGGATTACAGGCATGAGCCACCACACCCAGCCCTACTACATACTTTTAAATAACCAGATCTCATGAGAACTCACTGTCATAAGAACAAAAGAAGGGAAATCCACCTCCATGATCCAGTCACCTCCTATCAGGTTCCCTCCTCAACACGGGGAATTAAAATTCGATATGAGATTTGGGTGGGGAGGATGCAGAGCAAAACCATTTGGTGGTGATACCAAATTGCTCAGTGATACTGAGCAATTCCGGCTGAGATACAGCACTATGTTTCTCCCAAGCCCTGTAACTAACAGGGAGAGGCTTGAATATGCTGTGATGGAAAGATAGGGAAAAGCTGCAGACACAGTCCCAGAGCCAGGACTGAGATAAGGATGCCGTTTTTAACCTGGGCACATAAAAAGTCAGCCATTCTTTGGCTACCCAGCAGCATGGCCACACAAACAATATATTCTCAGGCCAGAGATTGGAGCACCCACTCTGAAGTGGAATAGGAGCTCCCACAGCCAGAACTGAGGAAGGCATTTCAGCATTAGGCATTAGAATTATGCTGTCCCTCATTGCAAGCGTAGAGGTGGCAGAGAAATACTACAGCAGCAGTTTCTCCTGAGAGGTGAGACTTGCAGCTAGGGACAGCTTGGAAACTTGGAACCGGTCTGTGTGTGCCATTGCTGGGCACCCTCAGCCTGCTCCCCTGAGATTGTGGTGCAGTAGAGCCCTCTGTGCTCCACCCCCAGGCAGAAATCCAGGCATTTGTAGCACCCACTTCCCTAGGCCAGCAGTGTAAGCTGCCTCAATCTCCATGGACATAGATCATGGTGAATTAGGGCTCTCTCTGCTCCACATCCAGGCATTCAGAGCATCTTCTCACCTAGATCAGCAGCTTGACCCACCCTACCCTTCTTGGGCAGAGTTCCTGGTGCAGGGACGCCCACTCTGCTTCATGCTTAAGCAGATCTCTAGGTATTTGGAGCATTTTGTCTATTCAGCAGCCTGAGCTACCCCACCCTTCCTGGATATAGATCATGGTGCACCTGAGCTTTCTCTGATGTATGCCCAGGCAGATCTCCAGGTATTCAGAGCACCTGCTTGCCCACCCTGTTAGTCTGAGTCACCCCACCCCTCCTGTGCAGACATCTTGGTGTAGTGGGGGCTCTCTCTGCTCCACGCTCAAATAGATCTCCAAGCATCTGGAGCACCTACTTTCCCAGATTAGGAGTTTAGGCCCTCTCCCATCCCCATGCAGAGAACTTGAAGAGCTAAGTAAGCTTCCCAGCTCCATGCCTAGGCACTCCTCTGGGTACTTGGTGGCTGCCTGCTGGATTCTCCCTTGGCACTGATGCTCATGCCTGCCATCAGGGATCTGTAGGTGGACCCCCCAGTCCAGCCCTGCCCATCGTGGCCCCCACCCACCAGTGGCTGAACATGGAGCTCAGACCACTGTGCCTTCCATGAATCAGCCCATTGACTAAGGAAACAGCTTCTGCCAGTAAACAAGGATCATGTATATACCCAGCCATGTTGGCCACAGATTACTTACTTATAAGTACCTTCTACTGGCTTGTAGGTCAAACAGCACAGCCCAATATAAAACCCACTAAAAAAGAGTGCTTACGGCTATTGAAGCAAAGCCAAAAGACTGTATCCAGCATTCTCTACAGTCACATTCCCTAGGGAATGGGGGGAAAAGAAAAAGGAAGGGAAACATAATAGGGAAAGAAAGAAAAAGAAAAAAATCTACCTATATAAAAATAACTACAAAAATTAGAAGTGCAAGTCTCTCCAGATGATAAGGAACCAGCACAGGAATTCTGGCACCATGAAAAATCTGAATGTGGAGACAACACAAAAAGATCACACTAATTGGTCCAGCAAGGGTCCCTAACCAAAATGGAAATTCAGAAACTACAGATAAAGAATTCAAAGCACGGATTGCAAGGAAGGTCTATGAGATCCAAGGCAAAGTTGAATATCAACACAAAGAAACTGCTAAGCAATCCAGGAAATGAAGAAAGAGACATCTTAAAAATAAATCAACCAGAGCTTCTGGAACTGAAAAACTCAATGAATTTTGAAATACAATTGAAAGCTTTAGCAATAGACTGAATCAATCAGAGGAAAGAATTTCAGAGCTTGAAGACCAGTCTTTCAAACTAAACCAGTCAGACCAAAAAAAAAAAAAAAAAAAGGAATTAAAACAACCAACCAAATTCTTCAAGATACATGGTATTATGTAAAGCAACCAAAAGCTATGAATTACTGGCATTCCTGAGAAAGAAGGAGGAAAAGTAAACAACTTGGAAAACATATTGAGGGAATAATTCAAGAAAAATTTTCTAATCTTGCTAGAGAGGTAGACATCCAGGTACAAGAAATCTAGAGAACACCTGGGAGAAACTATACAAAACTAACTCCACCAGGGCATATAGTCACCAGACTGTCCAAGGTCAATGCTAAAGAAAAAATCTTGAAGGCAGCTAGAGAAATAGGTCAGATCATGTGCAAAGGGAACCCTATCAGGCTAACAGTGGACTTCTCAGCAGAAACTTTACAAGCCAGAAGAAATTAGGGGCCTATTTTTAGCATTCTTAAAAAAAATAAATTTCAACCAAAAATTTCTTATCTCGGGTTGTTCCAAGATGGCCGTATAGGAACAGCTCCGGTCTGCAGCTCCCAGCAGGATTGATGCAGAAGAAGGGTGATTTCTGCATTTCCAACTGAAGTACCTGATTAATCTCATTGGGACTGGTTGGACAGTGGGTACAGCCCACAGAGGGTGAGCCGAAGCAGGGCGGGGCATCGCCTCACCTGGGAAGTGCAAGAGGTCAGGCGATTTCCCTTTCCTAGCCAAGGGAAGCCATGACAGACTACCTGGAAAAACAGGACACTCCTGCTCAAATACTGTGCTCTTCCCAAGGTCTTAGCAACTGGCAAACAAGGTGATTCTCTCCTGTGCCTGGCTTGGTGGCTCCCATGCCCACGGAGCCTTGCTCACTGCTAGTGCAACAGTCTGAGATCCATCTGCTAGATGGCAGCCTGGCTGGGGGAGGGGCTTCTGCTATTGCTGAGGCTTGAGTAGGTAAACAAAGCAGCCGGGAAGCTTGAACTGGGTGGAGCCCACTGCAGCTCAACAAGGCCTACTGCCTCTGGACTCCACCTCTGTGGGCAGGGCATAGCTGAACAAAAGGCAGCAGACAACTTCTGCAGACTTAAACATCCCTGTCTGACAGCTCTGAAGAGAGAAGTGGTTCTCCCAGCATGGCGTTTGAGCTCTGAGAATGGACAGACTGCCTCCTCAAGTGGGTCCCTGATGCCCGTGAAATGGAACTGGGAGACACCTCCCAGTAGGGGTCGACAAACACCTCATATAGGCAGCTGCCCCTCTGGGACGAAGCTTCCAGAGGAAGGATCAGGCAGCAATATTTGCTGTTCTGCAATATTTGCTGTTCTGCAGCCTCCACTGGTGATACCCAGGCAAACAGGGTCTGGAGTAGAACTCCAGCAAATTCCAACAGACCTGCAGCTGAGGGACCTGACTGTTAGAAGGAAAACTAACAAACAGAAATGAATAGCATCAACATCACCAAAAGGTCATCTACACCAAAACCCCATCTGTAGGTCACCAACATTAAAGACCAAAGGTGGATAAAACCACAAAGATGGGGAGAAACAAGAGCAGAAGCGCTGAAAATTCTAAAAATCAGAGTGCCTCTTCTTCTCCAAAGGATTGCAGCTCCTCACCAGCAACGGAACAAAGCTGGATAGAGAATGACTTTGACGAGTTGACAGAAGTAGGCTTTAGAAGATTGGTCATAACAAACTTCTCTGAGCTAAAGGAGGATGTTCGAATTCATTGCAAGGAAGTTAAAACCGTGAAAAACGGTTAGACAAATGGCTCACTAGAATAAACAGTGTAGAGAAGACCTTAAATGACCTGATGGAGCTGAAAACCATGGCACAAAAACTTCATGACGCATGCACAAGCTTCAATAGCCAATTTGATCAAGTGGAAGAAAGCATATCAGTGATTGAAGATCAAATTGATGAAATAAAGTGAGAAAACAAGGTTACAGAAAAAAGACTAAAAAGAAATGAACAATGCCTCCAAGAAATATGGGACTATATGAAAAGACCAAATCTATGTTTGATTCGTGTACCTGAAAGTGATGGGGAGAATGGAACCAAGTTGGAAAACACTTTTCAGGACATTATCTGGGAGAACTTCCCCAACCTAGCAAGGCAGGACAACAGGCAAATTCAGGAAATACAGAGAACACCACAAAGATACTCCTAAGAAGAGCAACCCCAAGACACATAATCGTCAGATTCACCAAGGTTGAAATGAAGGAAAAAATGTTAAGAGCAGCCAGAGAGAAAGGTCGAGTTACCTGCAAAGGGAAGCCCATCAGACTAACAGTGGATCTCTCAGCAGAAACCCTACAAGCCAGAAAAGAGTGGGGGCCATTAATAAATGGTACTGGGAAAACTGGCTAGCCATATGCAGAAACTGAAACTGGATCCCTTCCTTACACCTTATACAAAAATTAATTCAGGATGGGTTAAAGACTTAAATGTTAGACCTAAAACCATAAAAACCATAGAAGAAAACCTACGCAATACCATTCAGGACATAGGCATGGGCAAGGACTTCATGTCTGAAACACCAAAAGCAATGGCAACAGAAGCCAAAATAGACAAATGGGGTCTAATTAAACTAAAGAGCTTCTGCACAGCAAAAGAAACTACCATCAGAGTGAACAGGCAACCTACAGAATGGGAGAAAATTTTTGCAATCTACCCATCTGACAAAGGGCTAATATCCAGAATCTACAGAGAACTCAAACAAATATACAAGAAAAAGCAACCCCATCAAAAAGTGGGCAAAAGATATGAACAGACAATTCTCAGAAGAAGACATCTATGCAGCCAAAAGACACATGAAAAAATGCTCATCATCACTGGTCATCAGAGAAATGCAAATCAAAACCACAGTGAGATACTATCTCATGCCAGTTAGAATGGCAGTCATTAAAAAGTCAGGAAACAACAGATGCTGGAGAGGATGTGGAGAAGTAGGAACGCTTTTACACTGTTGGTGGGAGTGTAAATTAGTTCAAACATTGTGGAAGAGAGTGTGGCAATTCCTCAAGGATCTAGAACAAGAATTACCATTTGACCCAGCAATCCCATTACTGGGTATATACCCAAAGGATTATAAATCATGCTAATATAAAGGCACATTCACATGTATGTTTATTGTGGCACTATTCACAATAGCAAAGATGTGGAACCAACCCAAATGTCCATCAATGATAGACTGGATTAAGAAAATGTGGCACAAATACACCATGGAATACTATGCAGCCATAAAAAAGATGAGATTGGCCAGGCGCCATGGCTCACGCCTGTAATCCCAGCACTTTGAGAGGCTGAGGTGGGTGGATCACAAGGTCAGGAGATCGAGACCATCCTGGTCTAACTCGGTGAAACCTCGTCTCTACTAAAAATACAAAGAATTAGTCGGGCGTGGTGGTGGGCACCTGTGGTCCCAGTTACTCCAGAGGCTGAGGCAGGAGAATGGCGTGAACCCAGCAGGTGGAGCTTGCAGTGAGCTGAGATCGTGCCACTGCACTCCAGCCTGGGTGACAGAGCAAGACTCCGTCTCCAAAAAAAAAAAAAAAAAAAAAAAAAAATATATATATATATATGAGTCCATGTCGTTTGCAGGGACATGGATGAAGCTGGAAACCATCATTTTCAGCAAACTATCACAAGGACAGAAAACCAAACACCGCATGTTCTCACTCATAGGTGGGAATTGAACAATGAGATCACTTGGACACAAGGTGGGGAAGATCACACACTGGGGCATGTCAGGGGGTGGGGGACTGGGGGAGGGATAGCATTAGGAGAAATACTTAATGTAAATGATGAGTTGATGAGTGCAGCAAACCAACATGGCACATGTATACTTATGTATCAAACCTGCACGTTGAGCATATGTACCCCAGAACTTAAAGTATAAAGAAAAATTTCCTATCTCCTCAAACGAAGCTATATAAGCAAAGGAGAAATAATATCTTTTCCAGACAAGCAACTGCATAGGGAATTTGCTACCACTAGACCACCCTTACAAGATATCCATAAGGGAGTTCCATGCAACAAACGTGGAAACAAAAGAATGATACCTGCTACCACAAAAACATACTCAAGTACATAGCCCACAGATCCTATAAAGCAGCTACACAATGGAAACTACAAAGCAACCAGATAACAACTTCATGATAGGATCAAAACCTCACATATCAATATTAAACTTGAGTGTCAATGGTCTAAACACCCCACTTAAAAGGTACAGAAGGGTGAGTTGGGTAAAAAAACAAGACCAATCTGTCTACTTTCTCCAAGAGACCCATCTTGCATGTAACAATATGCATATGCTCAAAGTAAAGTGTTGGAGAAACATCTACTATGCAAACAGAAAACAAAAAAGAGCAGGAATCACTATTCTTATATCAGATAAAACATACTTTAAACCAAGTACAGTAAGATTTCAAGGACAAAGAAGGCCATTATATAACGATAAAGGGTACAATTTAAGAAGAACACATAACTGTCCTAAATATATACACACCCAACATTGGATCCCAGATTTATAATACAAGTACTTCTAGACCTACAAAAAGGCTTAGACAGCTACACAATAATAGTGGAGAACTTTAATACCATACTGACAGCATTAGACAGATCACTGAGGCAGAAAACTAACAATGACATTCTGAACTTAAACTCAACACTTGATCAATTGGACCTAATAGACATCTACAGAATACTCCACCCATCAACCAAGAAATATACATTCTTCTCATCTCCACACAGAACATACTCCAAGATTGACCACACACTTTGCCATAAACCAAGTCTCAATGAATTTAAAAAATTTGAAATCATATCAACCATACTCTCCAATTACCATGGAATAAAAATATAAAGTAACACACAGAAGCTCTCTCACAACCATACAATTACAAGGAAATTAAACAACTTTCTTCTGAATGACTTTTGGGTAAGCAATAAAATTGAGGTAGAAATAAAAAAATTATTTGAAATAAATGAAAATAGGTGCACAACATACCAAATTCTCTGGTATGTAGCAAAAGAAATGTTAAAGGAAAGGTTATAATGTTAGATGCTTCCCACAAAAAGTTAGAAAGATCTCAAATTAACAATCTGATATCATATCTAGAGGAACAAGAAAAACAAGAACAAACTAACCCCAATGCTAGTACTAGAAAAGAAATAAGTAAAATCAGATAACAGAATGAAATTGCAGAACAGAATGTAATTGAGACTCCAAAATCCATACAAAAATAAAAAAAATCAAAACTTGGTTTTTTGAAAGGATAAGCAAGATTGATTAACAACTAGCTAGATGAACAAAGAAAGAAGATCCAAATGAGCACAATCAGAAAAAAAGGTGGCGTTACAACCAATCCCACAGAAATATAAAAGATTCTCAGATATGATTATGATCACCTCTATGTATGCAAACTATATATAGAGGAAATAGATAAGTTACTTAGGAACACATCATTTCCCAATATTGAATCAGGAAGAAATTGAAACCTTGAACAAAACAATATTGAGTTCCAAAACTGAATCAGTAATAAAAATCCTATCAACAACCAAAAAAAAGCTCCAGACCGGATGGATTTGCAGCCAAATTCTACCAGACATACAAAGAACTGGTGCCAATTCTACTGAAACTATTCCAAAACATTGAGGAGGAGAGACTGCTCCCTAACTCATTCTGAAAAACCAGCGTCATAGATGTCAAAACCTTGGAAAGACACAACAAAAAGAGAAAACTGCAGGCCAATATCCCTGATGAACATAGCCACACAAATCCTCAACAAAACATTAGCAAACCAAATCCAAAAGCACGTCAAAAAGTTAATTCACCATGATCAAGTAGGCTTCATTGCCTAAAGATGGCAACAGTAGAAACTGGGGACTACTAGATGGGGGAAGGAGGGAGAGGGAAAGTGTTGAAAAACTAACTATTGTGACTGTTCTCAGTACTTGGGTGATGGGATCATTTGTATTGCAAACCTCAACATCACACAATATTCCCAGGTAGCAAACCTGCATATATACCCCTTGAATTTAAAATAAGCATTGAAAACAAAGGGTAGGAAAAATGGTTTTTTATTTTAATTAGCAATATTCAGAATAGTGGATTAGTTCCTAGCATCTTCTAAAGTGAACAATGAGATGTGTGTGTGTGTGTGTGTGTGTGTGTGTGTGAGATTATTATCTCAATTTAAATATATAATTTAAATACATTAGATGTGTGTTTTTTTTTTTTTTTGAGATGGAGTCTCGCTCTGTTGCCCAGGCTGGAGTGCAGTGGCATGATCTCAGCTCACTGCAACCTCTGACTCCCAGGTTCAAGCGATTCTCCTGCCTCAGCATCCAGCTAATTTTTGTATTTTTAGTAGAGATGGGGTTTCACCATGTTGGCCAGGATGGTTTCAATCTCCTGAGCTTGTGATCTGCCTGCCATGGCCTCCCAAAGTGCTGGGATTACAGGTGTGAGCCACTGCACCCGGCCAGATGTGTTTTTATATATTGTAGTTATTATTCTAACTGGTATGTACATCATCTCACATTTAGCCAATGGGATTCTTTTTAAATCTTCCCGAGTCCTTCTGACATGACCTTTGTTAATGTCCTTGCTTTTTAGGATGTAAAAATATTTTAGTGTTAACTTGTACATTTCTGGCCTCAGATCTAGAATTAGCCATTTCCCCAAAGAGGCCTGGCTTCTTTTAGTGAGAAATGACATTTAGAGAACATTATCTAGTTATGAGAGAGCTCAGTGTGACTGGGTTGATTATTGTGTCTAGGTCTTTTCAATGAGAAGAGCTAGGAAAGACATTTTTTAAAAGAAAGTACATGATGATGTCATAATATTTCCAATCCAAATTTAGAGATTGCCTTTAATTTCATTTTGGTTTAATTTTATTTTATAATTGTATAAAACTTACATAGTTCAAAATCAAATTATGAAACAAGGGATATGTAGAGAAGTTTACCTTCTATTTCTCTGCCTCCATCCTGTTTTTTTCTCCCAATTTTGTTTACAGGCATACATTGTTTTATTGTACTTCACTTTATTGTGTTTTTCAGATACTGTGGTTTTTTTGCAAATTAAAGGTTTGAGTCAATCCTGTGGTAAGCAAGTCTATTGGCACCATTTTTCCAACAGCATATGCTCACTTGTGTCTCTGTGTCACATTTAGAAGTCTTATAATATTTCAGGTTTATTCATTATTATTGTATCTGTTATGGTGATCTGTGATCTTTGATGTCACTATTATGTTTTTTCAGGCTGCCATGAACCAGGCTCATATAAGATAACAAACTTGACCAATAAATGTATGTGCTCTGACTGCTCCATTGACCAGCCATTCCTTCATCTCTCTTTCTTTCTTCTGTCTTCCCTATTCCTTAAGACATAATTAGGCTAATTAATAACCCTATTGTGGCCTCTTAAGTGTTCAAGTGAAAAGAAGAATCACATGTCTCTCCATTTACATCAAAAGCCAAATATGATTAAGTTTGGTAAGGAAGGCATGTCAAAAGCTGAGATAGATTAGCTATAGCTAGGCCTATTGTGCCCAACAGCCAAGTTGTAAATGCAAGGGAAAAATTCTAAAAAAAATTAAAAGTTATAGTCTAGTGAACACACAAAATGATGAGAAAGTGAAATAGCTTTATTGCTGATATGGAGAACATTTTGGTGGTTTAGAGAGAGGATCAAACCAGCCACATCATTTCCTTAATTGTAAAACCTAACCCAGAGCAAATTCCTCACTCTCTTCAATTATATGAAGGCTAAGAGAGGTGAGGAAACTGCAGAAGAAATGTTTAAAGCTAGAAGAGGTTGGTTCATGAGATTTAAGGAAATAAGATCTACCCATAATATTAAAGTGCAGGGTGAAGCAGCAAGTGCTGATGGAGAAGCTGAAGTAGGTTATTTAGAATATCTAGATAAGATCATTGATAAAGGTAGCTATACTAAACAGATTTTTAATGCAGATGAAACAGCCTTCTATTGGAAAAACATGCCATCTAGGACTTTCATAGCTAGTGAAGAGAAGTCAATGTTTGGCTTCAAAATTTCAAAGGGCAGGCTGACTCTTTTGCTAGGAGCTAATGCAGCTGGCGACTTTAAATTGAAGCCAACGTTTGTTTACCATTCTGAAAATCCTAGGGCTCTTAAGAATTACATTACTCTGCCTGTGCTCTGTAAGTGGAGCATCAAAGCCTAGATGACAGCACATCAGCTTATAGAGTAGTTTACTGACTATTTTAAGCCCACTGTTGAAACCTACTTCTCAGAAAAAGAGATTTATTTCCAAATATTACCACGCATTGACATAATGCACCTGGTAACCCAAGAGTTCTGACGGATATGTACAGGGAGTTTAATGTTGTTTTCATGCCTTCTCATACAATGTTCATTCTGTAGCCCATGAATCAGGGAGTAATTTTGACTTTTGAGTCAAAATTAAGAAATACATTTTGTAAGGCTATAGCTGCCATAGATAGTGATTCCCCTGATGGACCTGAGCAAAGTAAATTGAATACCTTCTGAAAAGGATTGACCATTCTAACTGCCATTAAGGATATTCATGACTCATAGGGAGAGCAGTAGTTTGAAAGAATATCAACATCAGCAAGAGTTTAGAAGAAAGTTGACTCCAACCCTCACTGAAGATTTTGAGGGTTTCAAGATTTCAGTGAAGGAAATATCTGCAAATGTGGTGGAATAGCAAGAGAACTAGAATTAGAACTGAAGTCTGAAGGTGTTACTGAGTTGCTGCAACGTCATGATAAAACTGGAACAGATGAGGAGTTGCTTCTTATGGATGAGCAAAGGAAGAGGTTCCTTTAGATGGAATCAACTCCTGGTGATGATGCTGTGAACACTGTTGAAATGACAAAAAAGAATTTAGAATATTACATAAACTTACTTGAGAAAGCAGCAGCAGGATATGAGAGAATTGACTCCAATTCTGAAAGAAGTTGTATTGTGGGTAAAGTGCTATCAAATAGCATAGCATGTTCCAGAGAAATCTTTTATGAAAGGAAAGGTAAATCAATGTGGCAAACTTCATTTGTTTTTCAAGAGATTGTTACAATCACCCCAGCCTTCAGCAACTACCATTCTGATTAGTCAGCAGCCATTAACATTGAGGCAAGACGCTCCAAAAACAAAAGATTACAACTTGCTCATGGCTCAGGTGATCATTAACATTTTTTTAGCTATAAAGTATTTTTTAAATTAAGCCATGTACTTTTTTGATGTAATGTTATTGCACACTTAATAAACTATAGTATAGTATAAACATAACTTTTATATGCACTGGGAAACCAAAAAATTTGTGTGACTCCCTTTCTTGCAATATTTGCTTTCTTGTGGTGGTCTGGAACTGAACCCACCATATCTCTGATGTATACCTATATTTTGTGGCTTATTCTTCAATTTAACGTTTAAAAAATTTTAAACTAATAAAAAAAATTTCAGGAACCACTCCATTTTTAAATGTAAGAAATATATACAATCAATCCTCATTAGTCACAGATTCCAGATTTGCAAATTTGTCTACATGCTAACATTTATTTGTAACCTTAAAATCAATACTTGCAGCACTTCCATGGTCATTCATGAATACATGTAAAGCACTGTAAAATCTGAATCATTCAATGTGTATATTCCTAGCTGAGTCAAATAAGGCTCTATCTTCTCACTGCAGCTCTCGTATGTAAGCTAGTGTCCTTTTTGCAGTAGATTTATTCTTTTTTTTGCACTTTTTGCTTTTTCTTGATGATTTCACAATTAACAATGGCCCCAAAGCATAGTGCTGAAGTGCTGTTTGGTGTTACTAAGCATAATAAGGTTGTTGATGTGCCTTATGAGGAAAATCCGTGTACTAGATAACCTTCATTTAGGCATGAGTTGCAGTGCTGATGGCTGTGAGATCAACATTAATGAATCAAGAACATATATTTAAATAAGATTCCTTTAAACAGAGTCAGACGTAAAACAGGGTTATATATTGATCTATTGATAAAAATATTGTGACCAGGGCTTATAGGAACCTAATCCTGTATTTCCATTAGGAGCAATGGTTCAGTTATTTGCTAATTTAGTGCTCAGTGTGACTTTAGAGAACACAACTACCACAAATAATGAGAATAATGAGAATGCACTGTGTGTGTGTGTGTGTACTTAGTACTCTTCTTTCTTAGATAAACAATAGCATACTATGTGTACTCTTCTCTGCTTTGATTTTTTTTTTGCTCAACATTAAATCCGGGAGATCATGGTAGTACACAGAAAAAAATCTTTATTCTTCAAGACAACTATACACCATTGTTTGGATGTACTTCAGTTATTCAACCTATTCCCTATTGATAGATATTTAAGTTATTTTTCAGTTATAATTTTTACTACTTTGCCTTGTGTATACATCTTAGATATTACCAAATTCCCAAATTCCCCTTCCCAGGGTTGTACTGTTTTGTTTTCCCACCAGCAGAGAAGTACCCATTTTCCCATGGCCTTGATTAAAAGGTGTCTTATCAAACTTTTGAATATTCACCAATCTGATTAGGAAAGAAATCAAATCTCAGTTTAGTTTTAATTTTCATTTCTCTTATCTTATTATGAGTGAGGGTGAATGTCTTTTTATATACTGAAGGATCATTTGTTTTTGTTGTTGTTCATGTCACTAGCACTGGAGGTTTATTTCAAGGATGGCTGGGAAAATTAGAAAGGCTGCACAGTAAGGTCTTTGGAAATCTGGAACATTGTTTGTCACCACATATAATTCAGCAGCAGCAGCAGCTACATGAGTCTGTTAGTAGCTCTGGGCCCCAGTAACAATTTGAGACGTCTTCTGAGTTCCTATCTGTGATAGTTAACTTTATATATTGACTTTTGAGTTAAGGGATAAGCAGAGAAGCTGGCACAACATTATTTCTGGTGAATCTTTGAGGGTGTTTCCAGATGATATTAGCATTTGGATCAGTAGACTGAGTAAAAACGATCCACCTTTACTTATTTGAGTGGGCACCTGAATAGAACAAAATGGTAGAGAAAGAGAAAATTCACTCTCTCTTCTTGAGCTGAGAAATCTGTCTTCTAATGCCCTTAGATGTAGGTGCTCTGGGTTCTTGGACCTTATGACCTTGGATTTACAACAGCAGCCTTCCTGATTTTCAGGCCTTACGACAAGGGCTGAATCACACTGCTGGCTTTCCTCATTCTATAGCTTGCAAATGGTATATTTTGGGACTTCTTGGCTTCCATAATCATGCGAGCCAATTCCTGTAATAAATATTTTCTTATATATCTATGTATATCCTTCACTATTGCAATGCGGCAACTTCAGTTCTATTTTTCTCTCCACCAGCTTCTTCCTATTTCATTCCTGACAATTCTTTTTTCTTTCCTCAGCCTATTTGCTTTTAGCTGACTCATGGCTTTTACTTACCCATGGTACCTCATGGCTTCTGCCTCTTGTTTCCTCTTTTCCTCTCTGCTTCTGCCAGTCCTACTCTCTGCTCACTTTTTTTTTTTTTGCACATCTGACATTAAAATTCCCCAAGAGTGGACTTAGTGGATTGAATTAGCCAGTAACCACTGAGTATAAACTGTCTTTCTGGGGCAATGCATTTGGCAGGTTGCCGGCCAATCTAACTATATTTTTGGGTCAGATACTTATCCTTAGTTCAAGAGGTCATGATTAGAGCCTGAGGTTATATGACACAAAGTGTGGAAACCACAGGGTAAGGAAGTTCTCAGAAGAAAGATGTGTGCAAGACTTCTCCTGGTTTTACTTCTCATGGATAGCCCAATATAAACACTAAGAGGAAAGGTATGAAATTAACATGTACATTTTACATATGAGGCAGTGGAGGCTGAGAGACATTAAGTAACTTTTTCAAAGTCATATGGCTTACTGGTACCAAAGCCATGTGCTTCAGAGCCAAGATTCAATCCTCAGAGTTGAATGCAGGCGTTTAAATTCTGTTGTATTGACTCTTACTTGGACTCTGTGAATGTTTTTACCTGACTGTTTTGGGCTTGAATGTACTTAATGTCCATATTAAAAAAAAAAAATCTCTACATCAAGATTATGCTTTAGTGAATGAATGTCTATGGGAAAAGCATTTTTCTTTTGGAGCATTCTATACTAATTCAGCTTAATTCCTTGATCATTTCCTATCCAGGGTAGTTATAGTTTTATTTTATGGATATTGGTCTAGATTAATTATTTCTGTGTACATTTTATAATAAACGTTAATGTAGTCATCAGTTTTTGTTATAATCATTTGTTTTATTATTGTCAAATGTCATTATGTTTTCATTTTTTTGGCCTTTATAGTTTTTAATTCAATTTTTTCAGATAAAATATTTTAGATGCAAATTTTGCAAGAAGTTTTTTTTGCTAATTTTTTTGAGTGTGGTTTTAGCTGTTGACAGTTTTATTTGGTGCTGTTGTTGATTATTTCTTCTAAATATGCTTTTTCTAAGATCATTTTTTTCTTTTTGCATTTTACTATATGCCCAGCAATGCATAATTCTTCAGTTAGTTTTTACCTATAACAAATTTTAACCTGTGGAGATTCATTATTTTCAGTTTCACTATAATATGGTAATTTTTTCTGTCAGTAATGCTTATTATAAATTAGAAAGAATATTGATAATTTGTATTACTTTCTTGGAACAAAGCAAAGAGCTCATGAAGGACAAAGACAAAAGATTTAGGTGAGTGGTGGGTTAAAGTCTTGCATATATCCAGGAGTCTAGATTCCATAGGGGGTGCTCTTTCTTCTCAACCAAAATGCCATGATACTTGGCATTTTTCCTTTCTCCTAGGAGTTGTTTGGGGTTATCAGGCTAAAGATCAGGTCCTTTGCCATACAAGGCTGCTAATGAAGAAGAGAGAAGGTCAACCTGAATTTGTGGGTAAGGACTGAAAAAAAAAAGTCTACTCAATGTAAACATAAGAGGTCCCCAGGCCCTACTTAACTCTGCTGAAGGGACAAGTTGTTCCTTTCCTGAACTTGGTTCCCCAATTCCCCACACTGTCTTGGGACTGGGGTTGGAGCTGGAAAGGAATGACCTTGCATCATCTTGTAGATCCATCCAAGTTCCTCCAGGCTTGGAAAGGCTCCCAGGCCATTCTTCAGTATCTCTACATAGCAAAGCCTCCCTGCAGGCCTATCTTGTCTGAATTCCAAGGGCCGTATGTCAATTAAAGCACTTGGAAGTCACAATCAGTTGTCTTTCTAATGCCTCTAATTTCAACCTCCAAACGACTGCATTATGTACAACCTAGTCTAGGAGTGGTTACTAAGTCATTATATCCACTGAGATTTGTATCATTATCATTTGTATCATTAGCATATACTATCATGTAGTAATATGGCCAAGAACAGGACAAAACAAATAAAAATGACCATAGAGTTGTTGTCAAAGTTCATTATAAACTGAGTGTTAAATCCCATCTGATCCCAGCTTTAGGATTCTCTGGAGATAAAGTGCTCCATGGCCTTGTCCTGAAATGACTCTCCCTGTGTCTGTTTAATTGGTCATAGTCAGTAAAAGACCAGTGTATTACAGTCTTGGTGATGTCCCACATGATCAGCCTGAAGGACTCACAGGTGGGCAGTATTTATTATATAACAAACTATCTTTTTTTGTATCATTATCCACAGAAACATGGTAGCTAATATGTTGATTTAAAAATCAGCAGAAATTTGTTGGCTGCTAACTTTCTGAAGGCAAATTTGTCAACAGCCTTCTTTCTGAGAGTTTTGACCTCCCTTTCCAACCTGCATCTGATTGCAGCTCAAGATCTTCTGCTCTGTATTTGGGCTTAATCCTAATACTGTTTCTCAGACACTGATGTAAATTGCCTTACCCTTAGCTACAACTCAGATGATCCCACTGGGTTTTGGGGATTGAGATGGCTTCTTGTAAAAGTCTGTCTTACTTCTGTCTAGCTCCTCGTATACCTTGAGGGCCATGGCCACTATTGGGTTTGCCTCGGCCTTTGAATGGGAACCAGAGAGAATGGAAGAAATGTTCCCTCCTTATCTACCTGTGTGTCTTCCTCCAGTAGTTCTCTGGTTTAGCTTTCAGGTGTAACTAGGTGAGTATCTTTCTGAATCCCTCAGTCTCAGAGAAAATAGGATCAAGGGATCATTAGGTCTAGTTGAACCCTACAGTCTTGGAATAGACTGCTTTCTATTCTTATGCTCAATACCATTGAGGAATCTGTTCGAAGTCACCCAGCAGTAGAATTTTCCATTTTTAAGGAAAGATGATAATAAATGTTATAAATCTGAATTGAAGACTGGTATTATATATGCCATTGCTGAGAAAATGTGCTAGATCAACTGAAGCAAGAATTAAGTCTTATTTATCTCTCTGACTACCACAGAACCTAGAAGGTGCTCAGTAAGTATAATTTAAATTTAACTGGATATGAATTATGATTGTAAATTAATATTTGTATGACCTCATCAATAATATATGGTTTTCCAATTCTTTTCTATCTAATATGTATCTGACAGCTCTTAATTTTTCCAGTGTCCTTTGCGGCCAGAGTATTGCAGATTGGAAAGTATGTGGACTTTGGGATCAGAAAGACGTATGTTGGAATCTCTCTACCACATACTAGCTGTGTGCTTACATGTCTATCTGCCACAGTAAAATAAAGGTAGTAAAATACATCCTGTAGGACAGTTATGAAGAGATTGAGTATAATACTGTGGGGCGTTTCTCTTCTCTGGGATAAACACTGCTATTTTATTATTTCACTGCTATTTTCTCATTTGTTCCTCACCCTGTTCGCTTCAAGGAAGTGAGAAATAAATATATCCCCCCTAAGATGAAACATGAGCGGGTAAAAGTGATTACCATCACTTAGCTTTTGAGGTCGGGAGACAAGACTAGGACCCAAACTGATTGACTTCTTTTTTTGTTTTTGAGATGGGGTCTCGCTCTGTCACCAGGCTGGAGTGAAGTGCAGTGGTGCAATCTCGGCTCACTGCAACCTCCGCCTCCTGGGTTCAAGTGATTCTCCTGCCTCAGCCTCCCGAGTAGCTGGGATTACAGGTGTGTGCCACCACGCCAGCTAATTTTTGTATTTTTATTAGAGACAGGGTTTCACAATGTGGCCAGGATGGTCTTGATCTCTAGACCTTGTGATCCACCTGCCTTGGCCTCCCAAAGTGCTAGGATAACAGGTGTGAGCCACCACACCCGGACCTAACTGACTTCTAATTGCATTCTTTATAGTAAACGCAATTCAAGCCTGAGGATAGGAGCCTGGGTTTCCAGGCAAACTACTCGGCAGCTGCGTGGTTGTGCAAACAGCTCTTCGTGTTTTTGAGTCTTGTTTTCCTAATCCTTAAAACTGGAATAGCAATAAGATAGACCTTATGAGATGGTTTTAAGAACCAACTTTAGCTCTTTAAAGCAGTGTTTCTTATTCAGGAAATACATAGGAATCATGAGATAAACTTTCTGAACATACATGGGCCCTACTCCTGGAGGTTTGGAGGTGCAAATAGGCATATACATTTTCATAAAGCTTCCTCAGGTGACTCTCATGTACCCAACCCACTCCAAACTGCTGCCTGCTTCTAACTATAAAATTCCATGCACATGTGAGTGATTATTGGTATTCCTGAAAAGTTTACATTATACTGAGACTTTAAAATGCTTGTAAAGCTGCTATGTTGTTGAGGAAAGAACAATGATCTCTTGGGTTAAAAGATATGTAACAAATCCAAGCTGTAAATTTACAGCTGTGAGGCCCTGAGCAGATTATATAACTTCTTTGAAAATCATTCTCCTCAGTAGTAAAACAGAGTGGAATAGTACTCATAATTAAATAGGGAAGCTGATGTAATGACACTTTTTAAGCCAGAAGGACTTTGTTAGCTTGAGAAATGGAAGCAAGGAGAGCTCAAGACATTTTTCCAAGATCATAAAGCTAGTAAGCGGTAGAGCTGGAGTTTGAACCCAGGTCTAGCTGACTCCAGAGCTTGGGCTCTGATATTCTGTACCACCCTTTACTCATGCATTAACTACTTATTGAGTGCCTACTATGTACTAGATACTCTTCTATAAGTTTTGAATATACTAGGAAATAAAACAAACATACAAAAATTCCTATCTTTGTGGAGCTTTTACATTAGAAGGTGGTAAGTGCTATGGAAAGAAATCACGCCCATTATCCCAGCACTTTGGGAGGCCGAGGTGGGTGAATCACCTGAAATCAGGAGTTCGAGACCAGCCTGGCCAACATAGTGAAACCCTTCTCTACTAAAAGTACAAAAATTAGCCGGGCATGGTGGCACATGCCTATAATCCCAGCTCCTCGGGAGGCTGAGGCAGGAGAATCGCTTGAACCTGGGAGGTGGAGGTTGCAGTGAGCCATGATCGCACCACTGCACTCCAGCCTGGGCAACAGAGCGAGACTCTGTCTGAAAAAAAAAAAAAGAAAAAAAGAAATTAACAAAGAAGAAAAAAGAAAAACCATAGATGGGGATCAGGAATCAGGGAGGTGAAGGTAGGGGCCAGGATGCAGTTTTAATTAAGGTGGTCTGTCTGGGTCTCATTGAGAAAGTGACTGTTAAGCAAAGACTTGAAGAAGGTGAAGGAAATAACCAGGCAGTTATCTGGAAGAAAACTTGCAAGCAGAAGGACAAGCTCGTATGATGATGGTCCTGAGTTGTGGGCAGGTTTATGGAATAGCAAAGAGGCCAGTGCGGCGAGGGTGATGTGAGCGTAGAGCAGAGAAGTAGCAGATGATGTCACGGAGGTCACAGATGCAGAGTGCAGGGCACTGCAGGGCACTCTAGGATCTTTAGTTTTTATCCTGGAGTGAAATAGGAGCCACTGGAAGATTCTGAACAGGAGATTGATTTGATGACACTTATGCTAAGTGAAATAAGCCAGTCACAGAAGGACAAAAACTTCACAAGATATTTCACTTATATAAGGAATCTAAAATAGTCTAACTCATAGAAGTAGAGAGCAGAATGGTAGTTACCAGGGCCTGGGAGAGGAAGAAATGGGGAATTTCTAATTAACAGGCATAAGTTTTAAGTTAAAGAGATGAATAAGTTCTAGAGGCCTGCTATACATTGTGTATATAATTAATAATACAGTGTTGTGCACCTAAAAATCTGTTAAGAGGGTACATTGGTAGGTCTCATGTTAAGCTTTTTTACCACAATAAAAAATATTCTGGCTGCTGTATTGAGGAAACACTGTAGTGAGACAAGATAGACTGGGTGAGGAGGTCTGTGAGGAGGTATTGCAGCAATCCAGGAAGAGTGATGGAGGTTCAATAGTGGGATTGCAGTGGTGTGAGAAGTACGTACTGACAGGAGATGACCTGAGCCTGTTGCTGATGTCTGCATTCCTTATGGGTTGTGGGGTCTATTTAGCTACAATCTGAAGTGGTCACCCTATGGAAGCCAGAGGAAAGACAACTAGCTTGGTGGTAGAGGTGAGGTTCTCCCTGAAGGAAGTAACATTTCTCTTATTCACCTGGGACAGAGGCTAGTCGTTAGCAGCAGATCAGACCTTGGAAAGCAGGCCACAGCCAGGCAAGGGAAGCTCATGGGGCTTGTTCTCTGAGTTCTGATTATGAATTGTGTAGATGTGCTCCAGGAGGCCATACCTGAATGGCTAAATGCCTGTTATACAGTTTGGCAAGTAGGGGCCCAAGCTGAAGATGGCTCAGCAAACACTGTAGTAAGAATATCCAGTTATATTTTACTCTATTTTCTCTCTTAATCCATGATCTTTAGTGCAGTATTATTTAAATGTTGCAGCCTAGCCTCAGTGGGCCTCTGGAGGGTATTAGGGGAGGGTTTTGTTCCCACTTCTGTCCTGGAGTATAGAGCAGGGTACTTTGAAGCCTGAGTTCATGATAGTAGGAATTAAGAAAAGATCCCCTTGGGAATTAGCAGTTGGGATGGGGCCAGGCCCCTTTCCTCCTTTGCTTACGTTGGAAGAGGGTTTTGGATATATTGGATAATAGGTTTCCTTACATAAGCATGCATGAAGTATTTTATTAATGTTCAGTCATCTTGTGTGGGCCTCACTTTTTACACAGCCTTGTGTGAGGCATGATGTCCCTGTTGAACATCAGCTGGACATCACCCAAGGGTCAGGTGGAGACAGTTGGAGACCACAGCAATAGGGCTTTGCATTGTGGAGGGGACAAGACCGTATAATCTTTGAATCTTGGGGTTTACCATTAGATACGCTGATATGTAAGACTGAAAGAGACCTGAGCCCCTGTGCCTGGCTTCTGAGAAAGTATTGGGAATGCAGCAGAACATGACAGCTAAGTGCCCAGACTTTGCAGCTGGACTGGGTTTGAGTTCTGGATATACTCTTTTCTGGTTGGACAACTTTTTAAACCTCTCTAATGCTTATTTATTTTATTCATAAAATATAGATGGCTATGATAGTGTCTTATTCCATTTGTGCTGTTATAAAGATAGAAAACCTGAGGCTGGGTAATTTATAAAGAAAAGAGGTTTATTTGGCTCTCGGTTCTGCAGGCTGTACAGGAAGCATGGCACCAACACCTGCTTCAGATGAGGGCCTCAGGCTGCTTCTACTTATGGTGGAATGTGAAGGGGAGCTGGAGTGTACAAATCACATAGTGAGAGAGGAAGCAAAGAAAGAGGGAAGTGCCAAGTATGGGAACTCTCACAGGAACTAACAGAGTGAGAACTCACTCGTTACCTCTAGGACAGCACCAAGCCATTAATGAGAGATCTGCCCCCATGACCGAAACACCTCCCATTAGACCCCACTTCCAACATTGGAGATCACATTTCAATATGAGATTTGGAGGGGTCAAACATCCAAACTATAACAGATAACATGTATCATGTAGGGTTGTTCTGAAGATGAAAATAAATAATATGTTTAGCTTACCACAATACCTGGCACAAAGTAAGTGCTCATTGTAGCCATTATTATGAGTAATTATGGAAGCTTGTCAAGATAGTGCCTCATTAAGGGTGTGTGATTAGAGGGTGAGATTGGAGAGCATCACAGGCAGGAATTTAGCCACTGTTCTACTCTCTGGGACACTTTCTAGACTTCCTTGGATTTTCACTTGGGCAAAAATGGAAATAATGGGAACATATTCCTGGCGATATTAGCAAGCAAATGGGAATATAATGAGACCTCATCAACATAAAAATGACAGCAAACTGTTGTGGCATCTGGGCATTTGGTGTGCATGTGTGAGTATGTGTTTAGTGTGGGTCATTGGTGTTGTATTGGTGTTGCAAAGCAGGAGGAAGTTCATACAAAACTTGGTTTAGATGTTAAGCCTGAGGACCTGCCATGTACTGAGAGAATTTGAGAGACAGTTTATTATTCACACAGAGGAGAGCTGATCAGGCACAAGCAGGTCCAGGTTGGTTTGGGCAAAGCAGATGGAGTGGGTTTGGGCCTTTACAGTGGCTGAGCAGTGGGGCTGGGAAAAGTTCCTGCATGTGCACAATTTAAATTTTCCAATGGTACCAAAGGAGGAGATGAGGTCATGGGCCTTCTTATCAGCCTGCCCAGATGCGGGGCCAAAAAGGAAGAGATGGAAAGGCCTGAAAGGAATTATTAATCCAACATCAAAAATGAAGTCTGACTCTCCGTTACAATCAATTATAAAGGGAATTAGAAATAAATAGCACAGAAAACCACTTTAAAATAGTGAATCTCTACCATAGCAAATTGTTACTAATATATGAATGAATCAACAAAGGCACAAATGTACCATAACCCCAGTGACTGGTAAAGGGGGTAGCCAGCACTTTCATACCATTGGCCTGAGGGATTTAATGTCCCATAAAGAAGACTGAAGATGTGAATGGCTCTCCACTAGGGCTTTTGAACTCGAGGTGAGAAATGGCGTTGGCCTGAACCAAGTAGTTTTGGATATGGAGGAAGGTAGGGTTCATTCATACATCACCCTAACTGAGTGCTTATGTGTGCCAGCCCTGTCCTAGGGGACCTGTGACACACACTGAATAAGAGAGAAACAGGCCCGTTTTTGCAGGATACTCAGGCAAACAACTATAATGGTGTTATATATTACATCATATGACTAAGTGTTTTTCTTGGAGAAGTACAGGAGTGTGAAAGCCCATAGCCAGGATGATGGCAAAGGAAATAAGGAGGGAGAGAAGTGGTAGTAGAAAGAACTCAACAAGGAGATAGAAGTGATAGAATTTGGTAGAGGATTAAATGTGGGAGGGGAAGACTGACAAGGGCATCTGTGTGGAGGGAGGTACCATTCTTTGAAGTAGGTAATACCCAAGGAGAAGAAGACTAATGGGGAAGGTGTGGATTTAATTTTGGATACGCTGTGTTTGAGATGCCTGTAGAACAGTCAATTTGAAATGCCCCCAAATCTGCTGCAGAGAGAGACCTGGACTAGCAATACGGTCCTGGGGGCAAGAGAAAAGGCTGTTGCAATTTGAGTCCCTGGCTGGGCATCGGGTTATCCAGGGAGGGAGTGCGGGGCATGACAATGGCCCTGAACAGCACACTGAGACTAGGGACTGGCACAGAAAGGAGCCTCTGTTGAGCAAAGGCTCTCAGCCCAGATTTTAAGCACTAGCATAGGTGGTTTGCTGAAATGGCCTCAGCAGCACAGGAGGAGGCCAGAGTTAGGAAGGAGCAATCTAAGAGCTCACACTTGTGGGTTGTCCCTGTGGAATCTCCGAAGTATTGGGACATTAGTGGCTGCCAGGCTTTGAAGGAGGCCTGGGCTCCCAGCTTTTATCTTTAGTGGGAGCAAGATCAAAGAACTACTGGGTAATGTGACCCATGAACTCCCTGTGTTGTAGTTCAAGGACACTAGGGTTATCTTTGTGATTTCGTGCCTTCTACCCTGCACATATGGCTTCGGTCTCAGCTGAGTTCAAGAGGAACCATTTTGTGTTTGTGGAGAAGTCAGTGACAGACATGGATTAAAGGCATTTGTTTGCATCTGCTTACCTTGGTTGGCAGCAGATCACGACCACCTAACTGCTAGACAGGTGTGGAACCAAGGGGCAAGGATGCCCACTGACATGGTGATCATTCACCTGATTGGAAGTGAGGTGCCTAAGTTTGTCCGAGTTCCAGTGGAAGAATCACTCCTGGAGAACTGGAGATGGATGGGCTTTGGGGCAGAGTAGATCTGGTATTGCAAGCTGTGATTGTTTCCTACTAGCTCTGTGAGATTGGGCAAATGAACTCTGAGTTTCTATTTCCTTGTCTTTGGAAAAATGAGAATTATTCATGTGAATAAAGACAAATGCAGATATGAGTGACTGGCATAACTAAGGTGCACAGAAAGACTTAGCCTGCACTTCCAGTATGCATTTCATGCCATATCTTTACCTCCTGTGGCATACTTGAGTCTGAGATTCCTTTGAGCCTAGAATTTGAGTGCCGATTGGAACTTGAATTCTTCTGTTCAAACTCAGATCCTGGAGGGAGGATATAGGAAAAGTGCTATAAACCCTGTTGAATTTCTAGAAACTTGAATTTGAATGGGTCCTCTGAGTTTTAAAAATATGCTACCACACTTTGTTTCTGCCTCCCCAAAAGAAGTGTTTAGGTTTTATCTAATGCTTTAAGGCTATCTGAGGACCACATCATGGAGGAGGAAGAATACTGGCTTTGAATCCTGGCTCTGTCACTTTCTTACACTGTAGCCTTGGCTAAGACCTTTCTTGAGAGTGTTTTGTCACCTG
Source organism: Homo sapiens (assembly GCF_000001405.40). Classification (NCBI taxonomy): domain Eukaryota; kingdom Metazoa; phylum Chordata; class Mammalia; order Primates; family Hominidae; genus Homo; species Homo sapiens. The sequence goes on from NC_000011.10 coordinate 87,407,767, forward strand.
CAAAATGGGCAAAAGCAGGGCAGGTTTCAGGTTTTGTGGGACCTGAAACTTAATGCAATTTGGGGCCCTCTTTAAGAGAAAGAACACAAAATTACTAGTATAAACTTAGGTACAAAACTTACCTTTAGAATAAGAAAATAAATCAACATAAATTATAAATTTAAAAAATACCACAAATACTATATAATTTAGAAAAATAGTTTACTTAAAAAATTATTTAACTACCTGACAGATCTCTACAATGCTTTCTCTCCTTAACTCTTTTGGCTGATTACTCTGTGATTATCTTTTCATAGGAAAATAATTTTATAATATCCTTATCTATAGAGAGTATAGAAGGATACTCTATTCTTCTTGCATGCTGATCAAAATTTATATTATTGTGAGTTTTTTTAAGCTTTATTAATTATTGTGTAAATTTTTTTTTTTTTTTTTTTTTGAGACTGAGATTTGCCATATCGCCCAGGCTGGAGTGCAGTGGTGCAATCTTGGTTCACTGCAACCTCCACCTCCCAGGTTCAAGCAATTCTCATGCCTCAGCCTCCTGAGTAGCTGGGATTACATGTGCCCACCACCATGCTCAGCTAATTTTTGTATTTTTAGTAGAGAGGGGGTTTCACCATGTTGGCCAGGCTGGTCTCAAACTCCTTACCTCAAGTGATCTGCCTGCCTCGGCCTCCCAAAGTGCTGAGATTATAGGCGCGAGCCACTGCACACGCTGTAAATTTTTAGAATTGTCTATTTTGGTAAATGTTCTATCGTTTTATGTATGTAGTAAGACATGAAGTATTCTTGTATAGTACTTGTATTAAACACTCTCTGAAATGACAGTATTCTTCGATGAGTTTGTTATCAGTGTCCTATATTGTCATTGTCAAAGTGTCAGTTAGCAGAAAGTGTTCTAATGCATTCTTGTGGCTCCTTCCTCTTCATTAATTGGATTATCAGATAATCCAGGAGCCTATCTATTACTTCTATTTGGAATTTTTCTCATCCTTTGAAGAATTAACTATACTTGTCTATGATCTGAATTTTGCTTTTGTTATAATTGCATCTCAAAGTCAGAATAATTTCTGTTGATTTCATAGCTCACTTATTTTATTAATTTATTTGAATATTCTCCCAGTTCCTTAATAAATCAGTGATCTGCATTGATCCTACTACCTAAGGGAGTTGTTGAAGTGAACAGGCTTTGTAAGTGTCAAAAGGTTATGTCTTACTAATTGATACAATTCTCTCCTATTCCTCTCTCCTGCCACTCAGCACACCCCAGGACTCTGCAGAGTGTGTCTTCCATTGTAAGTATGCAGGGAAGATCTATGAGTTGAGTTCTTGGTTCCCTTGCTAAAAGCCAGGAGGAAAGAAAAGGAAGGAAGTAGAGTAATAATTCTTTTTGGTTATTGTCAGTTTACATCATGTTTCACTCTAAGATAAACATGATGAAGTATAACACACAACTTTATATAAAAGCCTGTTTTAGAAAAAATAATCCCAGAATTTCCTAATTTCTGGTAAGGAATATTTGACCAGGGCTTCAGGAATGTACTCTGTTTCACAGCCTGGGCCATAGGCACCAAATGGAGGCTACTACTGGTTCCTAGCTTTCCCCACATCCGTTAATCCTCAGAATGTGTCCCTGATAGGATACCTGGGCTGCACAGGCATAGCTCATCCCACATTTTATCTGACTGTTATCTCCTCCTGCTAATGCTCCTGTTCCCTGAAATCTCTTCAAGAACACCTGAAGGGCAGGCTTTCTGCACAGCACCAACACTTCTGCAGCTTGGAGCTTGGATGTAAATGCCAAATCCAAAGCAAGCTACCTTTAAAGAAATATTTTCCTATTTGAAAACTCACCCCTCCCATGAAGGAAATTAATTGCACTTGATAATTCTCTTAAAATGAATAATGGAGTAGGTGTAGCCTTAAAAACGTGCTGTTGGCATTTTTGTTTGTTTTTCTAAGTGCATTTAATTAAATTCTGGTGATTCCAGTGGGCTGTCTGTGGAAAAGAGTTATTACTTCCCCCTGAATGTCTCCCTGATTTACCAGGCAGAGTTAGGAGCTTCTTCCTTTTTCTCTGGCCACCCCCCACAATGCTATGTGTTCCCTCCCATCATAAGACTCATCCTGTTATTATTATTAATCTACTTCTCTGCTTCCTGAACTAAATGTCAGTGCCTTGAGGATAAGAACTATGATTTTTTTTTTGTCATTAATTAGGGCTCACTACCTGCTAATTGAATCTTCCTACCTTGACTTCCCCTTGTAGTGGGTCCCTGGCATTTTCTGAACACAGATGGCTATGGAGGTCCTTTGTATACTTCCTTGGAAGCTCAGCTGTGCCCAGGTAGACCATCCCTAGTGTAGGCACATTTTATCCTGCCACCACAAATCTAGATCATGCCTGCTTATCCCTTCTGGCCTGGATAACAGTGGCCTTGACATGTTGGATGCAGCCCTTTGAAGAGAGGACAGTTTCCACCCATGGCAATGAAGGCAGATGAGCTGATTTTCCTTGTGAGTTCAGGCTTTTTGGTGTTGGCATGCCCCCTTGAGAATGGGCTCATCAGGATTCCCCTGGAAGGAGAGGTCTCGCCTATCACCCAACTAGTTGTTAATGCTGGGGCTCACCTTGGGGTTAAGGATGTCTTACTCTCAGAAGGCCTTGACAGACTCAACAGTAAGGCTTTCCAGGGAAAAGATTCCAAGACTTTGGCTGTGGGCTGCTCTTGGTCAGCCTGACTTCAGAAAGAAATGGCATTGAGCCGAGATGGTGATGAATGGCTCTTGAAAACATAGGAAATTGGGTTTTGTGACAAGTCATCTATTTTCTCCCCTCCCTCCCTCCCCATAGCCACAAATAAATAAATAAATAAATACATAAACAAACACCACTCGATATTTCAACCAATTGAAGAAGCAGCAAAAAATCCAATTGCAATGTAGGAAAAGATACCTACCTGTGATGTGCATGGCTCTTCCCCAATAGAAATGCTAGGCAGAGAAAGGTGGGTATTGATTTCTGATAAACTGCAACTCTGGGCAGTTGTTCAGGTGAAGATATTTGGTCTCCCAAAGTGTCTCAGGCAGTGGCCATCCCTGGATGTAGACTTCTGTTTCAGAGGGCAGAACCTCATTCAAAGACCTGGTCTTATCTCCACTGTTATCCTGCAGGCCAGGTCACCACCATCTGCCTCCTGGGCCATGGAATTTTTCTTTTCATAGATCTCTCACTTCTGCTTGTGATCCTCCAACCCATCATTCACATGACAGACAGAATGATCTTTTCAAAAATAAATTAGATCACATCACATGCAGCCACACATCCCTTTTTTCTGCTACTCGATGACGCCAATCTGTTTCTCACACAAGAGCTTTTTGCATATTTTCTTCCTTCCCCTCTCTCTTCACTGAGCTAACTTCTATGCCTCCTTCAGGCCTCAACCCAGAGATTATTTCTATACAGAGGTCACCCTCTGCCTTTCCTACCTAAAATTTGTCTTTTCCATTATTTACCCTCATAGTACCCTATGCTTTTCCTTCATGGCATGCATTAGCATTTGTAATTATAGATTTATTTGTTTACTGTTTGTTCTTTTTCATACTGTAAGCTCCATGAGGGCAGGGGAATAGTCTGTTTGGTTAATCATTGTGTATCTAATGTCTAGTACCATGTCTACTACATAGTAGGTGCTCATTAAATATTTGTTGAATGAAAGAATATGCTGTGAGTTACTTTCCATGTAATAGCTCAAATGAGCAGGGGCTAAAGCTTAGAAACTTCAGATAAAAGAATTAGGAAAGGTCCTTAATACATGATTATTTTTATCTGCTGTGTTACATAAGGGTCAAGGACTGGGACTAAGACTTAAGTTCTCTCTACCTTGGTGTTTAGACATAAAGAAATTTGCTTTATAGACAAGAATGGTTTCCATAGAGGCCAAATCAGGAGAGACAATAGGGTTCCTGAGGAATAAATCGTCCTGTGATAGGATTTCTGAGCATTAGCATTATTGATATTTTGGTCTAGACAATTCTTTGATACAGGAGGATGTCTTGTGCATTATGAGTTTAGCAGTAACCCTGGCCTCTACCCACTAAATTCCGGTAGCACTGTCCTTAGTTGAGAGAACCAAAAAATGTCTCCAGACAAGGCCAAATGTACCCTGGAGAGCAAACGTTTCCCCAGTTGAGAACTACTGCCCTAAGAGAAGAAGGGACACAGCAGATTCCAGGACACTTCTCAATGCTGGAAAGAAGAGCTGGTTCTGGGTGGATGGAGGTAGCTAATGTCAGCATTTATCCTATTCCTACCACCCTGTGGGCTTGTTTGAATCCTAGAAGGTAGGCATTAGGTCACTAATGATTATGATGCTTTGGGTTCAAACAATTTTGCTTTGGGAACTCTCTCTGCCAGCTAATCATAACATTGCAGGAGCTATTTCCTCCAGGCATTAAGGGGCAGTGGTATTGTCTTATATCAGTCATGGCATTCTGGACACAGATTCAGTGCTGTCAAAGACCCTTTGTTGAACTGTCAGGATCTTGGGTTAGTGCTGGCTGCAGAACGGGGTGGTGATCTTCACTGATACTGAGATAAGAGTATAAAGTATTCCCAGGAATTCTCCATAAATATTTTGGAAGGAGGATTTTTATAAAATGGGTATACTACCCAAAGCAATCTACGAATTCAGTTCAATCCTTATCAATATATCAATGTCATTGTTCACGGAAAAAAAAAAAATTCTAAAATTTGTATGGAACCAAAAAAGAGCCTGAATATCCAAAGCAATCCTATGCAAAAAGAATAAAGCTGGGTCAGAGGACAAGATGGCTGAACAGATGCAGCCAGGTGAAACAGCTACCACCGAGGGACTAAGTTGACTGGTGTGCTTTTAACAGATCTTCAGAGGGAATGTGCCAGGAGTGAATGGAGGGAAGACACAGAAGCTTGGCTGAAGAGAGTCTCCCAAGACTGAGCCAGGAAGAAATTGAATCCCTGAACAGACCAATAACGAGCTCTGAAATTGAGTCAGTAATGAATAACCTACCAACCAAAACAAGCCCAGGACCAGATGGATTCACAGCTGAATTCTACCAGATATAAAAGGAAGAGCTAGTACCACTCCTGCTGAAACTGTTCCAAAAAATTGAGAAGGGTGTCACCCCTAACTCATTCTGTGAGGCCAGAATCATCAGATACCAAAACCTGGCAGAGATACAACAACAACAAAGAACTTCATGCCAACATCCTCAATGAACATAGATGCAAAAATTCTCAACAAAATACTAGCAGACCAAACCCAGCAGCATATTAAAAAGCTTATTTACCATGTTCAAGTAGGCTTTGGGATGCAAGGTTGGTTAACGTATGCAAATCAATAAATGTGATTCAACACATAAACAGAAGTAAAGACAAAAACCACATGATAATTTCAATAGATGCAGAAAAGTCTTTTGATAAAATTTATCACCACTTTATGTTAAAAACTCTCAATAAACTAGGTATTGAAGGAACATACCTAAAGTAATAAGAGCATCTATGACAAACCCACAGCCAATATTATACTGAATGGGAAAAAGGTGAAAGCATTCCCCTTGAAAACTGGCAAAAGACAAAGATGCCCTCTCCCACCACTCCTATTCAACTTAGTATTAAAAGTTTTGGCCAGGGCAATCAGGCAAGAGAAAGAAATAAAGTGCATCCAAATAGGAAGAGAGGAAATAAAAGTATTTCTATTTGCAGGCAACATAATTCTGTATCTAGAAAACCCTATAGTTTTGGCCTAAAAGCTCCTTCAGCTAATAAATAACTTCAGTAAAGTCTCAGCATACAAAATCAATGAACAAAAATTACTAACATTCCTATACACCAACAACAGTCAAGCTTAGAGCCAAATTGGGAATGCAATCCATTCACAAATACCACTAAAAGAACAAAATAGTTAGGAATACAGATAACCAGGGAGGTGAAAGATCTCTACAAACAGAACTACAAAACATTGCTCAAAGAAGTCGGAGATGACACAAACAAACGGAAAAACATTCCATGCTCATGGATAAGAAGAATCAATATCATAAAAATGGCCATACCACCCAAAGCAATATAGATTCAATGTTATTCCTATTAAACAACCATTGAGATTCTTCACAGAACTAGAAAAAGCTGTTTTAAAATCCATATGGAACCGAAGCAGAGCCCAAATAGCCAAGGCATGCTTAAGCAAAAAGAAATAAGCTGGAGGCATCACGTTACCCAACTTGAAACTATACTACAGGGCTACAGTGACCAAAACAGCATGGTGTTGGTACAAAAACAGACATGTAGAACAATGGAACATAATAGAGAACCCAGAAGTAAGGCCACACATCTCCAACTATCTGATCTTCGACAAACCTGACAAAAACAAGCAATGGGGAAAGGATTCTCTATTTAATAAATGGTGCTGGGATAACTAGCTAGCACTATGCAAAAGACTGAAACTGAACCCCTTCCTTACACCATATATAAAAATTAACTCAAGATGGATAAAAGACTTAAATGTAAAGCTCAAAACTATAAAAACTCTGGAAGACAACCTAGGCAATACCATTCAGGATGTAGGCACAGGCAAAGATTTTATGATATAGATGCCAAAGCAATTTCAAGAAAAGCAAAAATTGACAAATGGGATCTAATTAAACTTAAGAACTTCTGTACAGCAAATGAAACTATCAACAAAGTAAACCAACAACATACAGAATGGGAGAAAATTTTTGCAAACTATGCATCCCACAAAGGTCTAATATCCAGTATCTATAAGGAACTTAAAGTTATGAGAAACCAAACAACTCCATTAAAAACTGGGCCAAGGACATTAACAGACACTTTTCAAAAGAAGACATGTATGTGGCCAGCAATCATATGAAAAAAAACTCAACACCATTGCTTATTAAAGAAATGCAAATCAAACCACAACAAGATACCATCTCACACCAGTCAGAATGGCTATTGGAAAAAGTCAAAAAATGACAGATGCTAGAAAGGTTGTGGAGAAAATGGAACACTTATATGGTGTTGGTGGGAGTGTAAATTAGTTCAACCATTTGGAAGACAGTGTGGCAATTCCTCAAAGACCTAAAAACAGAAATACCATTTGACACAGCAACCCCATTACTGGATTTATACCCAGTGGAATATAAATTGCTCCATTATAAAGACATATCCATGTGTGTGTTCATTGCAGCACTATTCGCAATGGCAAAGGCATGAAGTCAACCTAAATGCCCATCAATGATAGACTAGACATGTGGTACATATACACCATGGAATACTATGCAGCCATACAAAGGAATGAGATCATGCCCTTTGCAGGGACATGGATAGAGCTGGAGGCCATTATCCTTAGCAAACTAATGCAGGAACAGAAAACCAAATACCCCGTGTTCTTACTTACAACGGTGAGCTAGATGATGAGAACATGTGGACACATAGAGGAGAACAACAGACACTGGAGCCTATCAACAGGTGGCAGGGGGTGGGGAGGAGGGAGAGAACATGAAAATAACCAACGGATACTAGGCTTAATACCTGGATGATGAAACAATTTGTACAACAAACCCCCATGACACAAGTTTACCTATATAACAAATCTACACATGTACCCCTGAACATAAAAATTAAAAAAATTAAGCTAGGGGCATCACATTACATTGACTTCAAAATATATTGCAAGGCTGTAGTAACCAAAACAGCACAATATTGGTATAAAAATGGACACACAGACCAATGGAACAGAATAGAGAACCCAGAAATAAATCCACCCAGAAATAAAGCCAAGTGATTTTTGACCAAATTGTCAAGAACATACACTGGGGAAAGGACACCTGCTTCAATAAATGATGCTGGGAAAACTGGATATCTATATGCAAAAGAATAAAACTAAGCTCCTATCTCTCATCATATAAAAATGAACTCATATAAATTAATGACTAAGACTTCAAAAGCACAGGCAACAAAAATACACAAATGGGACTATATTAAACTAAAAACTTCTGCTGAGCAAAGGAAACAATCAAGAGTGAAGAGACAACCTGTTTAATGGGAAAAATACTGCAAACTATTCATCTGACAAGGTACTAATACTGAAAATATACAAGGAAGTCAACTCAGCAGTAAAATACCAAATAATCCCATTAAAAAGTGAGCAAAGGACATGAGTAGACATTTCTCGAAAGAATATATACAAATGGCTTGCCAGGTGCAGTGGTTCACGCCTGTAATCCCAGCACTTTGGGAGGCTAAGACGGGTGGATCACAAGGTCAGGATTTCGAGACCATCCTGGCTAACACGGTGAAACCCCGTCTCTACTAAAAATACAAAAAATTAGCTGGGCATGTTGGCGGGCGCCTGTAGTCCCAGCTACTTGGGGAGGCTGAGGCAGGAGAATGGCGTGAACCCGGGAGGTGGAGCTTGCAGTAAGCCGAGATTGTGCCGCTGCACTCCAGCCTGGGTGACAGATCAAGACTCTGTCTCAAAAAAAAAAAAAAAAAAAAAGAATATATACAAATGGCTAATGGGTATATGGAAAAAACCACAATATTGTTAATTATCATGGAATTGCAAATCAAAACCACAATGAGATATCATCTTACTCCAGTTAGAATGGTTGTTATTAAAAAGAAAAAATAACAGATGCTGGTGAGAACATGGAGAAAAGGGAACTCTTGTATTACACTGTTGGTGGGAATGTAAATTAGTATAGTCACTATGGAAAAATTAGTATAGTCACCACAAAACTAAAAATAGAACTACATATGATCCAGCAATCCCACTACTGAGCATCCAATGGAAGGAAAGAAAGTATATCAAAGGGACGCCTGCACTTGCATGTCTATCACTGCACTATTCACAATAGCCAAGGTATGGAATCAAACTGCGTGTCCATCAATGAAGGAATGGATAAAGAAAATGTGGTATATACACAGTGGAATACTACTCAGCCATGTAAACAAGATTAAAACCCTGTCATTTAGATAAATATGGATGAAACTGAAGGTCATTATATTAAGTGACATAAGCCAGGCACAGAAAGACAAGCATAGCACGTTCTCATTCATATATGGGAGCTAAAATAGTTGATCTCATGGAGGTAAATAGTAGAACGATAATTACCAGAGGGCTGGAAAGGGTGTGTGTGTGGAGGGGCTAAGGGGTGGGGGTAAGAGAATAAAGAGAGGTTAGTTAATAAGTACAAACATACAGTTAAATAGAAGGAATAAGTCCTAATATTCAATAGTAGAGTAGGGTAACTATAGTATTTTCAAAACAGCTAGAAGAGAGAACTTGAAATGTTTCCAACACATAGAAATTATAAATACTAAGGTGATGTATACCCTAAATACCTTGACTTGATCATTAACATTCTATGCATTTAACAATGTCATATGCACCTCACAAAAATGTACAAACATTATTATTACTAAAAAATTTTAAAAAACTACAATATGCAAATCTTTTTAAAAAGTGTTTGCCTTTGTGTCACCATGCCAGAAGCAGAACTTGCCCACCAGTAGGAATTTCTAATAAAGTTAATGAGACTATGTTGCAGCTCACAGACTGTTAAAGCCTAAGATGCTAACATTTCCTCCATGCTTTTAAATTTACAAAGCCTTCTTATCCACTTGGTGTCATTTAGTCTTTACAAAAATTCTGCAAAGTGGCATCAGTATTGTTATCAGTCCCTTTTTTATAGTTAAACCAACCACCCAGAGCACCATCATCTGGACTAGAACCAGGTTCCAGGGCTCCAATGCAAACCATGATGCTTCCTTTTAAGAAAATTCTTTATCATCTTCTGCCCCATTAGAGGGAAGTTTTATACATTCATCTGAGGTTGAACAATAGAAACATGGACTCATGTTTTTGCTAGCTCTTTTTCCAACTAATGGACAGAGAAAAGTAAGACAATGTGTGCCCATGTTTGTACATTACTATATTTTCGGTGTTCAGTTCTTTATGTATATGTTCAGGACATTGAACAAATGAATTAATGAATAAATATTATATGTGCTGAGCTGCTACTGGTCCATCCTAGTGGTGGCTTGTGGCCATAGTGCAGGGCAACCAACTGTCCTGTTTTGCCCGAGACAGATGGCTTTTCAGGGAATTGGGACTGTCAGTACTTGCCCTGGTATGAGTTGGTTGTCTGACCATAATGATCCTTTTCATGTGGCTGCCTAACCTTCCTTTTAGCTTGCAGTCTAGTTGGTAACTGATATTAGCATTGAAATATCCAATGCCAATAACAGGAGAAAGTGATGTGTTTCAGAAAAAAGTAGTTGTAATTATTGGATTGGAGATGGGGCAGGGGAGGCAAGAAGGGCAGCCAGCTAGCCTAGGATGCCTGGGTTAACTTCTGAACACTTGTTTTTTCCTCTTCTCTAAGCCTGGCTAATCCTACTTATCTTTTTATCCTGGATTAAATGTTTCTTTCCCTGGGAAACCTTCCCTGAACTCCTTAAGACTAGATTAGGCTCTCTGTTTGGTGTTCCTCTACTCTGCCTTTCAGACACCCTTCATATTTGTATTTATTGATTTGATGTCTATTCTTTGGGCTGTACACTCCAAAAAATAAAGTTGGAATTGTCTTATTCACTGCCATAGCTCTGATGGAAGCATACTGCCAGGTATATAGTAGATACTAAGTAAAAATCTATTGAATAGATTTTTTTTAACTGACTCCCGCTTCTGTAAAAGGGTAGTGTTACAACGGAAGACTTATTCAGAGAGCAAGTGTTGTACCTGGACATATGAGATATGCTTTTAGCACAGGTAGCTAGGAGCTCAGATGTGGAAAAGACTAGATGCACAAAGTGGGTAGTCCTTTCAATTAACCAAACAAAATGAAGAAGCTAAGTTGTACTAAAACTTGGAAATTAATTGACAAATATTTATTTTGCATTATCCCTTCATACTTTCATGTATTAATTCAACCAGTATGTGTTGAAGTCTTTCTCCATGCCAAGCCATGGTCAAGAGATTGGAGACACAAAGATAAACATATGGTCTCTGTCCTTGAGAACTCTATTCCTAGATATTAATTAGCGTATGTTAAGTTTTATGCTGGAGCTGGTGCTCTAACAGATGAGAAACATGCCACCTGTCTGTCATTAAAAGACAGGCTCCCCAGCACTTTGGGAGGCCGAGGCGGGCGGATCACGAGGTCAGGAGATCGAGACCATCCTGGTTAACACAGTGAAACCCCATCTCTACTAAAAAAATACAAAAAAATTAGCTGGGCGTAGTGGCGGGTGCCTGTAGTCCCAGTTACTCAGGAGGCTGAGGCAGGAGAATGGCGTGAACCCGGGAGGCGGAGCTTGCAGTGAGCCGAGATTGCGCCACTGCACTCCAGCCTGGGTAACAGAGTGAGACTCCGTCTCAAAAAAAAAAAAGAAAGACAGTCTCAGAGTTCAGAGATACACTAATACTCTCTCAACAGAGTCATGAGTTATAATAATTGCATGTACAAGGTGTGCAAGATAAGAGTCCTCAAGCTCAACTGTGGGTGTGATCAGGCAAGGCTTCCAAGAAGAGAGATGTTGAAAGTTAAAGAGGAGCTTGCCAATTAAAGAAGGAAAGGAAATGTGGCATGAGGGAGCACAGTCCATCTGGAAATGTGGATGCTTGCTGAGGTATGCCTGTAAGGAGATCCCTAGGAGCTGACCCTGAGGAGTAGCTGGGTCCCAGTGGACCCTTCTGATGAGGGTGCATGGGCCCATTCAGCTGGCGTGAGAGGCAAGCAATGAAAGTACTGGGAGCAAAAGTTGAAAAGATGGGTCAGGGCTAGGCCATGGTGGCCATAAATGCTGGACTAAGGAGTTTGGACTTTATTCCATCGGAAATGAGGCTATCTATGGAAGAATTTTGGCAGAGACAGGACACAATCACTCTCTGACTCAGAATTTATTTCTGCCTACCTTGACCTCCTTCCTCCCACACCCACAACCAAACTTTCCACAGCCAATATTAATAACATTCTGCTCAGAGTCAGAGTTATTCTTGTTGTCCCTTTACGTTTCCCTTCCTGTCTCTTGCACGTTCTACTCCTCCCGTCGCCTGTGGCATATAGTATACTATATCAGGTACCAAAGCTCCTAATAAGTTTTGGCAGAAGCAAATACTTGATAATGATTTTCTGGGAGGAAAAAAATCACTTCTTCTGCCAAAGTCTAAGGGGTCTGTATTGTGAGATTAGCATATAGATGACCTTGCTCTCTGCTCTTGATTCAGCTTTGGTGAGAACACAGAGCTTTTAAGTTCTTGTTACATTTTTAGTTTCTCAGGTCCCCCAGAGCAGTGTTCCTGAAAGAAGAGTAGGGAGAATTTCTGGAAATAAAAAGGTGCAGCCAATTCTCTGATCCTGAGAAACCTGCAGACTCATTTACCTGGAAGAAGGGAATCAGCTCCTGCAGGCTCTGCAAGGAGCACCAGGAGGCATGCATGGCTCTTCTACTGGTGGGCCCATGCCTCAGTTTCCCCTTCGGGAAAAAACCTCTTCAAAATCTGATGGTCTTGTAGTGGCTTAGCTTAGCTGGTAAGGTGAATTTTTCATTCACTCAAAATGTAATATTGTGCACCTTCAATTGTGGTCAATTTTGAGGATACAAAAAATGAAAAGTAACATCTCTGCTCCCCAGTGTCAGACAGCAAATGGTGATAGTATCTAAGAATGGAGCAGGAGCCTCATTTTCTTGCATGCAAGGTAATTGGGCCAAAATTGATTTTCATATGGTTTGTCTTTAAATAGGAAAAACCTACTTAAACTTAGTAGGCTGGCCTATTTGCCTATGCTATTCTTTTTTTCCTGGGATACTCTTTCCCAGTGATTTACCCATCAAGGCCCATGCATTTTTCAAGTCTCAGCCAAATGCTGCCACCCTTCTGTAGCTTCCCTACCTATCCAAGGCAGGCCTGATGGCTCCTTCATCTGTATACTCACAGCATGGAGTCCTTCATTTCAGTGCTTTCTCACTAGGTTAAAGTAATAGCAACATGTCTGTAATAGCACGTGGACTTGAGCATGTGAATAAGGGGAGTCGCATCCTCTCTATCTCGAGAATGGAAGTGGTGGCAGGATGGACCCCCTGGAGAAGCCTCTCTGCCTCTTCATGCCGCCTGGCACCTGTGTCCTCCTCCCTGACCACTCAGGGCCAAGTGCAATTGTTGGTTTCCCCACCTGAAGGACTGATCGGATGGTTTGCACTAAAGATACATTGCAAATGATTCTCAGTAAGGGCAATGATGGAAAGCTTGGGATGTATTAGAATCATCTGAGGGGCTCAGGAGACTGTCCCACTCTCTGCTGCCAAGACTGCCACAGTGGAAGGAACTAGGCCTTGTGTGACGGAATAGCAGCCATGTGGCTATCACTCTTGAGGACAGGGAGTACGCTTTTCTTCTTTGAGTCTTCAGCTCTTAGCATGGGGCCTGGAACATGGCAGGGTTCATTAAATTCATGACTGAATGAGAATAAATGAAAAGGGCTAGGCTCATTAGCTTGGGCAGATGTATACCTCACATTCTATGTCAGTGGTCAGGTCCAGAGAGCTGGCAGGCAGGGAAAGGAGATGGGCAGACACATTTAAATAATCGTATTGAGTCTTGGGGAAAGGGTCCAGGAAGAAAGATGCTAACTAGATCCAAGTGCCAAGAATCCAAGAGAGCTTTGAGTCACTGCTTACTCTGATGGAGAATCTAAAGAGGGATGTTTAAGGTAGAACAGTGACACCTAGTGGTGGAAGAATGACCTGCTAGATCCTTTCCCATCAAGCTCCCCATCCTGCTTCTCTGTCCTCCTGTTCCCTTGGCAGGTTGGGACCTTGGTGATACCAGTGGGTGCCTAGAGAAAGAAGTGTGCTGTCTCAGGCTCCTACAGGACGCCGTGGTTTGCTGGTCTCCAGGGTGGATGGATGAGTAGATGGTTTGACCATGAAAACACAAACATTGTGCCTGTGACTAATGACACTATATTGTATATTTAAAATTTTGTTAAAATGATAGATCTCATATTAAATGTTTTTCTACAACACACACACACCAAAACACAAAGCCAGCCAATCACATAAAAAAACTCAACAAACCCAGTCTGATTCTGTTACAGGGCCAGACTAGATGATTGTAGAGGTCCCCTGGTCAACTCTTTTCGAGCCTAGAGAGGGAAAAGGACCAGTCCAAAGACACATAACAAACTAGTTACAGAGCCAGGGCCAGAAGCCAGGTTTCCTGCTGCTCAGAAAAGAGCCCTCTCTATCAGCCTTCCTCTGCTGACTTTGACAAGGTGGAATTATGCCACAGTGAATAGAAAGGTACTGAGAGAGGAGCAAATCAAGGGGAGGGGAAGCTTGAGGATGTAAGCAAGGGGAGTCACATGCTGTCTACCTGGAGAATGGAAGTAGGGGCAGGATGGAGCCCCCTGGAGAAGTCTCTCCACCTCTTCATGCCAACCTGGCACCTGCGTCCTCCTCCCTGAGCACTCAGGGCCAAGCGTAATTGTTGGTTTCCCTGCTTGAAGGACTGATCTGATGATTCACGCTACTGATGTGTTGCAAATGATTCTCAGTAAGGGCAATGATGGAAAGCCTGGGATATATTAGAATCATCTGAGGGGCTCAGGAGACTGTCCCATTCTCTGCTGCCAAGATTGCCACAAGGGAAGGAAATGGGCCTTGTGTAACCCAGAGGAGCCTGGGTGAGGTGCTGGAGGCATTCACCATGGGGCTCTGGCTAGGAGAGCCTGTTTTCTGTCATGTTATGCTGCCCAGTGGAGTTTTCCCAGCAGAGCTGTCTCCAGTGGCCTCCTGGCTGCCTGGCATGGAGATCCAGTCTCTCTTGGAAAGTCTGGACAACTCTCCCCTCTAACTCCAGCTTTCCATGTATATTTTTCCTCTCAGCCTTGGTGCTTTGTCTGCCTGACTTTTCAATTGACTTTCCCCTGAGTCACAAATTCCCCAGCTCCTCCTTCCCCGCAGGCTATCCCAGGTTCCACCATAGCTGGGAAAGGCAGGAAGCAGCTATCTCTCCCTTGGAGCAAAATTTGTCAAACACAGAATGGAAACAGAGCTTGCTATCAACGTGCTGAAAATGCTTGTTGCTGGATACAAAATGTGATATCAAGATACTCCAGAGATACGCCCTTGCTGTTTCTCTAGAGTCCTTCTCTTCAGGTGATATTTGGTTATTTATTTTAGCAGTTAAAAAATTCTTAACTTTATTTAGTGATTTTAACATGTCTCTGAAAACATAGGTATTTCAGGGACAAATGAAGCCATGTGGAAAATGACTAAATGCAAAATGACTTGTTAGTCATTGTAATTAGCAAACAGATCTATTTTTGGCTAATTTATATAGCATTAATTACAAATACTTAGGGGATGTTTACTGGGTCTTGTGGGCTTTGCAGGCCTTGGATTGTGCTAAGCACTTCATGTGCATTTTATGGTTTAATCCCTCACAACAACACTCCAAGGGAGATAATTTTATTATCTCAATTTGCAGTTGTAAAAACAAGCTTAGTGACTTGCCCAGAATCACATAGCCGGCTGTCAGGTCCTTGATGGCAGGGACCTTGCCTTATCTCCTGATGTCCTCCATTTGCCTGCCACAGGATCCTAGAAATAATAGGGCCAAAGAGATGCTGGTGAATGATGTTGGTGAAGATGATGATAACAAATGATGACTTCCGACTAAGATGCAAGGTTTCTCCTACTCCACCATTTACTTCCTTACTCTGTTCCCAGACGTACTCTGTTCCCAGACGTAATCGGGACAAAGATACTCCCATTACAGACTGTGGAAAACATCTCACCTTCCCTCCAAGCTTGGGAATGGTGAGAATGCCTTGATTCTATTGTTGCTTCTGTTTTTCATCTGTAAAATGGGGACAAAAGTATGACTTTAGGGTAAATGAGACATAAACGTACATCATAGACGTAAAAACACTTTTTAAGTTGTTAATCATTAAACAAGAGAGATGTTACTTTGATGAATAGTCTGCTATTCAATATTAATAATAATGTACACACCAAGCTGAAAGGTGGGCTACCTTCTCCTTACTCCGTACGTAAAGCAAAATTGTGATCTCATCTTCCATGCTTGCATCTTGGTATTTCGAAGGTGGAAAGAGACAACGGGAGCTACTCATTCCTCCTCTTAGGAAGGAGGGCCTGACTTTCAAGTCTATTTTCTTGCTGTAGATGGAAAAAAAAACCTGATTTTGAATGCCAGAGCTGAATACTGTAATTTTAGTATTGCACTAACCCCAATCACCCATCACCCCACAGATAGATGCCTTGGGTTGAAGACTCTTTCATTATACATTAAACTGGTGTTAATTCAAATTTAGTGCTTGGCTGGGGGCCTGTCCACAAACTTTTTGTTACTAGCCTATAAAAAGATACATTTAGCAATTAATGGTAAACATTTAGAAATATTTCACAGCAACTTTACAGAGTTATTTTTATATCTGTTGAATTGAAGAAAAAATAGTGGCTTGCATTTTGTTTGTCCTTTTAATATTTAACAATACATTTTTATTGCCTTTTCCAAAAGTATAAGTCTGTGGTCGATTGAAATTTTTTTAAAAATGTTATTCCCTACTGGTAGTTTGAGAAGTACTGCTTTATACCTGAAAAGGAGGGAGTAGATGATTTTTAGCCTTTTATGCTAAGGATCCTTTCTAGCTCTATGAAAATGTGTTTGCCTCCCTCTCAGGGACCACACCATGTGGTATGATGAAGGACCTGACTATGACCAGCCACAGAAGGGCTCATACACCCTTCCTCCAGGGAATTAGGTGAGGACTCACTTTCTGTTGGTAAGCTCAAGAGAGCCACCGAAGTGATTATTTTCCCAACAACATCAGAATTTGCTCTTTGGCGACTCCTGCCTCTCACTGGATACAGAAGTAACTGGCAACATTTTAAATATGTGGCTCACCAAGCACATCTTTACCATAAAATGAGAAAACGGGCTCAGAGGGATGAAGTAACTTGTCCTAGGCACATAGCTAGTAGAGCTTAGAATCCAGATTTAAACCCAGGTCTGTTTTCTCCAAGAGCTCATGATCCTGCCAGTTTATCACAGTTTGTTTGGAAGGTTGAGACACACAGTCTCTGCAAAAACTGTTGAGGAGTCTGGAGAAGGGGTAAAGAGAAAGTCAGTCGGGCATACTCAGGAGGTGGAGAAGTGTGGAGAAACTGACAGAGCGGGACAGAAGTGTCAGGCATTGCTATGGGTTAGAATGAGCCCCCCACCCCAATTCATATGTTGAAGCCCTAACCTTCAGTACCTCAGAATGTGAGCTTAAGGGAGATAGGGTCTTTTCATAGGTAATCACATTAAAATGAGATCATTAGAATGGGCCCTAATCCAATATGATGGCATCCTTCTAGAAAGGGGAAAATTTGGACCAGACATATATAGAGGGAAGATCATGTGATGAGACATAGGGAGAAGGTGACCATTTACAGCCAAGGAGAGAGGCCTTAACAGATCCTTCCCTCAGAACCCTCAGAAGGAACCAAGCCTGCTGGTGCCTTGATTTGGACTTGATTTGGACTGGATTTAATGATTTGGACATCGTTAAAGATTCCAGAGATGGCTGGTTTCCGCCAGTGGGAGGGAGAGGACCTCATGCCGGCTCCATCACTGATAGTGTCTTATGCTGTTAACATGTATTTACCAGCCTGTCAGGGCAGAGGGAATGAGGATGTTCTCTGCAAGCCTGTCAACTTTCTCATCCAGTTCCACTCTCACTGTCCTGACTCCTCATGAATTTCTGGCCATGAGTCATTCTTTCAGGACTGAACTCTACAGCCCTGTTACAGAGAGATTTTCACCAGATCCAACTCTACTAGCCTTAAATGTATAGTAAGCATTGCATTGGATGGTGCACATGTTTGAAATAAGTAGCCCAGGCCCTCATTTGCTTCCTTCGGGGGCAGGCAGACGTTCTACGTCTACCACCTCAGAATTCCTCTGAGTTCTGTTGAAAAGACAGACTACTGAGAATGAGCAGGCCACCTGAGAAGGGAGCCATCTGTGTTCTATGGAGGAACAGGGCTCTTCTGGCCATGGGGAGGCCATGGGAATAGGAAGCCAAGGAAGATTCAAATGCTCTGCTTCACAAAGGAATATTTTCATAAATGCCACAGTCACTCTTGTGGGAGGGTCCCTCTGACTATATGGAGAGGCTCTCCGAGCCTTTTCTGGAGGCTTCTTGAGTACTTCCTTACTCACCTTTTGAAACAACCAATTTGCACTTTGGGGGCAGAAGGATTTCTTTGGAGGAATATTTCACATTTTTTTGCAGTGATGGAAGTGGGCATTGTCAGATGGTCTGCAAAGATGGTGAAGGTTGGTTGCCACTATTTTGTCTATGAATGGTTGTCTCATGGGTCATTGTTAAGGATTGTTGTTTCTGTGGGCTGGCTGCATTACAATCACCCAGCAGTTTAAACAGTAAACATTCCTGGGTTCCTGCTCCCTGAGATCCTTATTCAGGAGTTTAGGCACATATCTAGGAATTTGTATGTTAAAAATATCTCTGATGATTGTAATGTGCAGATAGATTTGGGAACATCAGTTCCCCATTTCTACATTGCTATTATGTACACACACACACACACACACACACACACACCCCTTTAACAAATATTCATTGGGAACTTTCCCTGTTCTAGAAAGTGAGCAGAGACCTAGGCATATAGGGACCAAAGGCACAATTTTTGTCCTCAGATAGTCAGTCTAGTGGGAAAGACAGGCTGGGATCAGATGTTGACCATACAGCATCATAAATGTTTGAGTAGAGTTAGGCCTAGGATGTCTAAGAACATTGAATCTGCTTTTGGGGGTGCATGTGGGAACGGAATTATGGCATTTGTTTTCAACTGGGGGTGATTTTGCCCTGCGGAGGTATTTGGTAAAGTCTGGAGACATTTTTGGTTGTTAAAAGTTGGGAAGGGTGCTTCTAGAATCTAGTGGGTAGAGGCCAGTGAGGGATGCTGCCAAATATCCTATATGCACAGAAAAGCACCCCACAACAAAGAATTATCTGGCCCCAAATGTCAATAGTGATGAGACTGAGAAGCCTGGGGATAGGAAAGTCTTCCTAGGGGTTGAAACTGACCAGACACACAAAATGGAGAGTTGGTAATGGGAAGCTTACTCTAATGCAGAGAAAACAGCAGAGACCTTGAGCAGGCACACCTTGGGAGCTGTGTGATGATATGCAAGTTGGCACAGGTGGTGAGGGAAGAGGCCAGAGAGGTTGAAGGGGACTTGGGTTCCCTGCATTAGAGAGTGGATTTCTTCCTTAAGGCTAGAGGAAGCCACTGAAGCCGAAGCAGTCAACTGCAAAAGTAAACTTGCATTTTAGAAATATTACTCTGATATAAGGTTGAGGGATTGAGGGATGCCTGAGATGGAAGGGCTGGGCTGGGGGCACTCGGGTTTCTCAACAAAGAGATAAAGACAAACTTTTTAAGAAATATATATATATATATTTTTATTATACTTTAAGTTCTAGGGTACGTGTGCACAACGTGCAGGTTAGTTACATATGTATACATGTGCCATGTTGGTGTGCTGCACCCATTAACTCGTCATTTACATTAGGTGTATCTCCTAATGCTATCTCTCCCCCCTCCCCCCACTGCACGACAGGCCCCAGTGTGTGATGTTCCCCTTCCTGTGTCCAAGTGTTCTCATTGTTCAATTCCCACCTATGAATGAGAACATGCGGTGTTTGGTTTTTTGTCTTTGTGATAGTTGGCTGAGAGTGATGGTTTCCAGCTTCATCCATGTCCCTACAAAGGACATGAACTCATCATTTTTTATGGCTGCATAGTATTCCATGGTGTATGTGTGCCACATTTTCTTAATCCAGTCTATCATTGATGGACATGTGGGTTGGTTCCAAGTCTTTGCTATTGTGAATAGTGCTGCAATAAACATACGTGTTCATGTGAAGAGAAACCTTTTCAAACCCAGATTGAGTCTAAGAGCCAAGGAAATGTGCCAGATAGGAAAGTTGCAGAAGATGGAGGGGGCTGTAGGAAACCCAGAGAGGTTAAGTGACTTGTGTAAGGATGGGTAGTAATTTTTGGCAGACCTGGAAATTTTGGCAGATGATCTTAAAGATAAACATATACTGTAACAATTGCTTTATATTATGGGGCTGCAGAAACAACTGCTGACATTCCCAAACCTTACCTGTAGTTGAGTTTCCTTGCTGATAGTAAGGATTGGGCTGTTATCATTCCAGGTATTAGTGTTATTTTATTGCCCAAAATAGTTCTATAAATGTGGTATTATCTTCAACATTCATAAATTTGAAAACTGAGATGCAATGAGGTTAATCTCATAGATAATGTCAGTTAGCTATTGCCGCATGAGACAATACCCACTCCCTAAATCAGTGACTTGGTACTGCTCATGAGTTTATTGGTAGCTGAATGGCTTTCTGATCTCTGCTGGGATGTCTCACAAGGCTGGAGACTTGGCAGAGGTAGTGCAGCTCTGTCTACATGGTCTTTTCAGGCTGACTTAAACATGTTCTCACAGCAATGTCAGAGAAGCAATGGAAGAAGCAGAAACATGAATACTTTTTCAAGTCTCTGCTTCAAGCTTGCTACTGCCCGATTAGTCAATGCAAATCACATTGCTGAGGCCAGAGTCAGAGTGGGAGGGGACTAAGGGTTATAGGGGAAAAGGCACAGATATAGGAGGCTATTAATAAGGGCCACTAAGTCACTCTTCTCTTCAGCAAATAGTGGCAGAGCCAGAATTTGAGCTGGATTCTTCAGATTCCAAAGTATATAATTTCTCTACCAGACTCTCCTGCTTTGATAATAAGAATGTAATAAAAAACAATATACATTAGTTCATTAGTTAGGATTTTGCATCAATAAAGACACTTTCATATGTACCTTTTTTTTTTTTTTTTTTTTTTTGAGACAGACTCTCACTCTGTTTCTCAGGCAGGAATGCAGTGGTGCCATCTTGGCTCACTGAAACTTCTGCCTCCCAGCTTCAAACAATTCTCGTGCTTCAGCCTCCTGGATAGCTGGGATTACAGATGCATGCCACCACACCCGGCTAATTGTTGTATTTTTAGTAGAGATGGGGTTTTGCCATGTTGACCAGGCTGGTCTTGAACTCCTGGCTTCAAGTGATCCACTGGCTTTGGCCTCTCAAAGTGCTGAGATTACAGGTGTGAGCCACTGCGACAAACCCATATATATTATCTTAACCAAGGCTGAGACAACCCTGTGATACTGGCAGAACTGACATCTTTGTTTAAAGAAAAAAAGCAAAAGCAATTAAATATTCAGATTCATAAACAGCTAATTTCCTTAGTAAGCAAAGAGTGCTTAGGCACAAATAAGAAAAAGATAATAGTATAGTGGGCAAAGGCCACAAACAGGTAATCAATTAAAAGAGAAATGTAAATGGACAAACATGAGAAAACACGTAATGTCCTTCCAAATAAAAGAAATGCAAAATGTAAAAATGAGATATCATTCTATCCTACTGGATTGATGAAGACTTTTAGGTTTCATGATACCCAGTGTTACTTAGGGACGGGAGTATGGGCCAGAAATAGGAAGCCTTCTATGCTGATGGTGGGAGAATGAATTGGTGTGATATATTTGGAGGGTAATTTTGGCAATAGTGATAAAAATATGCATATGAAATTTGACTTAACTATTTTTATTTTTAGGAATTTACCCTAAAGATAGACCTAAAAAGGTCTGCAAAGATATCCACAGGGATATTCATTGCAGGCTTCTTTGTGATAGCCAAAGAATGGAAACCCTCTAAGCCAATTCAGAGAATGGGTTATATAGATTTTCTTTTAACTTTGTCCAAACTAGGTGTCAAGGAGAATGAAATAGATCTTTATGTCCTGACATGGAAGGATCTCTAAGACATATTGTGAGAGAGAGGGAAAAAATGGCATGTCTGTGAACAAGATTTACAATTTTTCATTTGTTTAAAATAGAGATATTATATACATGCTTGTGTCAACATAGAAAATGTCTCAAAGGACATCTATGAAGCAGTTAATAGTAGCTAATTCTGAGGAATAATCAGAAGGGTGGAGGAAGAAAAGGACAACTCTATGTTTAACTTCATTCTCTTCCTCACTATCTGAATTCTTTCCCCATGAAAATGTACTACTTTTATCTAAGAGAACAGAATAGAACAGAGCAGAAAACAGATTGAAAAGAGGTTATTGTATTTGAGTATCATTTTTTGCTGGCATAGCTTGCTTTTATAGTTGGTCAATTTGCTCAATTAGAAATCTTTTTTTATGGTCCTCGTCTCCACCTATTAAGAAGGCTTTATTCTTGCTCAGTGTTAACGCTTAAGAATGCCTAGGAATTGTTTCCAAGGAAACCCATCTATAGCCAGATGTTAATGGTATAAGCTCCTATGGCTACAGATAGGGTCTTGTTTCTTAGCAACTCACTCAAATCTTCTCATTTTAATTAAAATCATACATTTCCTTAAAATGGAAAAAATTCTTTTCCTATTCGTAGCAAGGATATGGAAGGTGATTTATCCTTGTTCATGAAATTTGCCTCTGAAAAAAGGCTTTCGTGAATGTGAAGTGAAATCTAAAAACATCTCCTTACCTAAGGGTGCCCTCTTTGTCAAGTGCATAAATCAGTTACTACTTTCTCTTTTTAAATAAAAATACATTTATTTATTTTTAGAGACAGAGTCTCATTATGTTGTCCAGGCTGAACACAAACTCCTGGGCTTCAAGTGATCCTTCCGCGACAACCTTCTGAGTAGCTGAGGTTACAGTTACCCACCCCCACGCTTGGCTCTCTATCACTGCTTTCTACTCAACTTCAACCACCCCAATCTGGGTCTCTGCCTTTGACATCCTCAGGTATAGTGTGTGACAGTTGAACACCATTTCCTCATCTAGCTAGCCCTTAGGTTTCTTATCAAGACTGACTTACGTAGGCACAGCAGATTCATAATGCCAGTACCACCTTTCTGGTGACCTGCACTTAAGGCAGACAGTACTGGCCTCTTTCCCACCAAGTATTCACAGGGCTGCATGGTCCTGTTCATTGCCCTGCTTTGGGCAGCCACGGTGCTGTGCTGGAGCTGCCCCGTGGGAGAAGCCTGTCATCCTGCCCTGGGTGAAAAGAAGTGAAAACATATACATCATGATAAGCATAACAAGTTAAACAATTGCCAACATTGTGTATTTCCTGAAATGATCCACTGAGAAGGACAGACATCATTTCTCTGGTATTCGTGAAAAAAAGAAAGTATGTTCTAAATACAATAATGAGGAAACCTCAGGCAAACATGAACAGTCTACAAAATAACTTTAAAGTGGTCAAGGCCATGCATGACAGTAAACACTGAAGAACTGAGCATAGAGATTGATGAAAATACCATATCATATCTCTACAACTTTTCTTTCTTCATGGAAATATTCCTGGATGGCAACATTTTTGTTATCAGTTATTGGAGCCCTCCACACATTTGTTTCTTGGATTCTTGAGATTGTGAGATATGGACCTTGGGGATGCTGGGGATAGAGACCTGGGGACAGGACTGTCACCCTAAGAAAGGCCTGTGTGGGACACCTTGGGATCTCTGGACAGACAGAGGGTCCTGTTAGGACTTTGTCACTGTGGCAGAGGGAGCCAGGAGCCCTTCCATTGGATAGAAAGGTAGGCTGTGACTCAACCTCACCCACTGAGTCCTAAGTGCCAGTTTCCCTGGGTGACTTGAGCCAGTTGCTGCCAAGTCATGCAGCTAGTGTTCCCTGGGTGCCTTTCAAGTGGCAGCTGCTGTCCTAAGTGCTGGGGCTGCAGCTGTGAGCAGGACTAACAGTACCGTTCTTGGAAACTTCAAATCTAATGGCGAGGTCAGCATGCAGACAAAATGTAGAAAATTAGGGAGGTTCAGGCACTATGGGCATGCACACCAGGAGATTCCATCCTAATTTGGTGGGAGTCAAGGAAGGCATTCTGAAGGAAGTGGCAATGTCTACACTGAGATGTAAAGGTCGGATAAGGGTTCACCAAGTAATAGGAAGGAGGAGCTTCCTTGTCTGCAAAACAACAGGTTCGAGTGACAATGATCAAGCTCCCTTAGCTCTCAGTCTTTGTTGTGTGTTATACCACTCAATTCCGGGACACAAGGTGAGCAGACGGACTAGTGACAAAGACTCTGTCTTTGACCAAACTCTAGCCAGGCTCCTTTGAGCTCTCTTCTCCACTAGGCCTCAACCTTGTTCTATACAGACTTGAACAAACACTAACATCATTACTAACAGCTCAAAGTGCCTGCCGAAGAAAACTTAAGGCTGCCAAAAAAAATGTACTGTTTGTTTCAGCCAACATCTAAGGACGGGGCCTCTGTCTTCCAATTTCTGTGGGAGGATGGAATCCTAACTTTGGTAATTGCCAGCTAGCAGACACGGCTGGCCTGATCACACATAAATAAAACAGATGCGGTAAATAGGGTAGATGCAAATGCTCCCCAAATGAGTCATGAAGAAAAATAAGTATTGGCCTGGAAAAAAGGGAGAGGTGGAGAGAAGAGAAAGAAAGCAGTACACAAAGCCCCAGATCAAGAGGAAGATGGTGCATTGCGGAATCTGCAAGTACAGTAGAAGCTCTTCCACAGACCTTTGCTTAACTAACTGATTGTTCTTTGTGTTCTTCAACTGGTGCTCTTTATTCCCTGTAGAAACACACTGACTGACTTATCCTTCGTTGTAAGTTTTCGCTTCCCTAACTCCACTCAGCTCCTGCTCACCTCACTCCCCATTCTCTCATTCTTGCTTTAAAATGACCAATCAGCTCTTTATAAATTGGAGCTCAGTGCAGTTCCAGCTAGACTGTTTTCTCTGTTGGAATAGTTATTACTACTTAAAATCTGTCCTCACTTTAACTTGTGTCTGGCTTTATCTTTGACACTAGAGAGTAACCTACTAGCCCTGGGCCCATCTGAGTGCTATGGGTATCAGTCAGTTTCTACAGGGAATAAAGAGTGCTGGTTGAAGAACGCAAAGGGCAATCAGTCAGTGAAGCAAAGCTCTTTGGAAGAGCTTCTATTGTACTTGCAGATTCCACAATGCACCATCCTTCCTCTTGGTGTGGGGCTTTATGTACTGTTTTCTTTGTCATCTTTTTCCACCTCTCCCTTTTTTTCCAGGCCAATACTTACTTTTCTTCTTGACTCCTGTAGGGAGTATTTACATCTACCCTATTTATCTCTATCTTGTGTTATTCTCTGTGAATTTTTATCCTAGACCTTTGTTCCTTTCGTGTCTTTCCTACCACCCCTGTGAAGATGGCTGAGCCACAGAATGAAAGGAGCATGGGTTCCCTCGTCTCTGCCTCCCACTTTTACAAGAGCACACATTGCACTAAGTTGTTATTTTTGGTGACTTCCCTGCCCCTCCCATTATCATTTAAGCATCTTGCTGGCAGGGCCTGTGTGATATACAACTTTGTTTTCTCAGCACAAAGCCCAGTGCCTGACACATAGTCGTTTTCCACTAAAGGTTTGAAGAATGACTTGACATCATTTAGAAACTATTATGCATATGGTCTAATCTCACAGTAGGTAGCAGATAAAAGATCACAGTCCGGTAATCAAAATAGCCTGAGATACTTATTTGCATTTCTCAAATGCAGTAAATATAACCACATAGCCTAAAATCTCTCTCTTTTTCTAAGCTTTTATGCACTTAAGTTTTTTAATATCTGTTTTTCACAGACTTTAGCTTGGGGGAAAGAGTATGGAGAATCACATATGGAAGGTTTTTATGGACCAGTTCTGGAAATGGCACAAATTAGTACTTACATTCCTCAAGCCAGAACTCAGGAGTTCCTCCATCTCCCAGTCACAAAGGAGGCTGGGAAATGTACTGTAACTGTATCTCAGGCAAAGTAAATTTCTGGGTCATGGGTCTATGCATTAGGAATAAATGCCTGGAGCCTCGACAAGTGTGATATGGATAGAAGGGATGGTGAATAAGCCCAGAGGGACAGGGAGTGTCAAAGGAGGGGGCAAGAGGGCAAATGACAGATGGAGGGGACAGGTAGCCTGGGCTCAGACTGTGAAGGACTAGAAGGGCATGCAAGCAACTTGGGATTCTCTCTCTCTCACACTAACAGAGCTCCTGATAGTTCTTACGCAAAGAAGTGACCTGGTCATGTCTCCTTTAGCACGATGACTCAAGCAGGAAGGTAGAGAAAGAAATGGAGAGAAAAACCTGAAAGGAGGAAAACTATTCAGGAAGTTGTGACAATGGTCATCACTATTCCCCTCCCACTCTTCCCCCAAAAAGCCTGAAGTAAAAGCTAGGACTATAGCCTGAGGATGAAGAGAAGAGGGCTGGCTGACACAGTCTACTGTTGAGTTGATGCTTAGGAGGAGGAGGGAGGAACCTAGGATGGTCTCAGGACTGGCCTGTGTGGCCTGGTAAGCGTGTGCTTTGTTGTGAATGCAGAGGGTGAGAGACAGCTCTGATTTATGTTTGGTGAAACATTGTTGAAGGAGAAGAGAGGAGGCCCCAAGCTTCTGAAGTATGTAAAAGCTTGCTAACTTGACTGAAGTTGTGAGTCTCCTAGATTCTGACGGAATCACAGTTCCCAAGTACTGTCATATTTCTTCTGTATGAAAATGATTGAGCAAGCTTGTGATGATATCTGAAAGTCTCCCTTTCACAGCATATGACCCCACATTGTTGAAAACCCCAGTTTAGAACCATCCAGTCCATGGTTGCATCATCTTTCAGGGTGAGCATATTGTGCAGGAAGTTGAAAAATTAGCCCCATCCTCCCTGAGGGAAAATCCTACCAGAATTAACAGTTGGGTAAATTGAGGAATAGTTGTGCAAGTTCCTCAGTGATCTTGTTGTGCTATCTAAATTTCTCCCATTTGCACACTCTCTGTGAACCAGGGCCTGTGTCCCCAGATCTCATTTTTGGTGAGAAATTTTGTCCACTGCTTGAATGTTTACATCTAACACCCCTAACTCAGAGATTAAATATCACTGTGCAAAAAGTTTTCATTAATCACTGCAGATATCATGTCATGGAAGGCAATGACAAAATCTGCAGACTCCTGGGCCTTTATTTGCCATCATCATCCTTTTTTTCCCCTGCCAAATGCAAACATTTATCTTCCTATGGCTAGACTGGAATGATTCCCTGGTACCCACAAATTCATCACTGGCTATCTCACAGACAAGTATATTTCTTACATGAGATTTATTTCCACCTCCAATATTTTTGCTCTTTATCTAAACTAAGAAAACAACATATTTACTGTACTTAACAGAAATCCTTTGAAAAAGTGGTGAGATGAGAAAGAAATGAGAGGGAGCTTTCCGGATTTTTAAAACTTGGTTTTGAACCTCTCTTACTTGGGCAAATTTCTTAACACCTCAAAGCCTCAGTTTGCTAATTAGGTTAGCTAATTTATAAATTAGAGTGGTTATGATAGTAGTAATAGCCCTGCCTACTCACCCCAAGGGATAGTTGGATCAACTGCAATAACATTTGGGAAGACATTTTATAAGTTGTAAAGTGCTGTATAAATGCCATGTATCAGAATTATTCAATGACATAGTACAAATTTTAGTCCTGAAGGCCAAATGTCTATCTTTTTCTAGTCTTTCTTACTTTTTATTTTTTTTCCGAGATGCAGTCTTGCTCTGTCACCCAGGCTGGCGTGCAGTGGTGCAATCTCAGCTCACTGCAACCTCCACCTCCCAGGTTCAAATGATTCTCCTGCCTCAGCCTCCTAAGTAGCTGGGATTACAGGTGCTCATCACCACGCCTGGCTAACTTTTGTATTTTTAGTAGAGACGGGGTTTTGGCATGTTGGCCAGGCTGGTCTCGAACTCCTTACCTCAGGTGATCCACCTGCCCTGGCCTCCCAAACTGCTGGGATTACAGGCGGGAGCCATCATACCCAGCAGTATTCTTTCTGACTTTCATGCATATCTTTTCTTCACTGACTTTAAATATTTATTGAGTACCTATTTTGATGACAGTTTTGTGCTAGAAACAGGATTGACAGTAGATATAACAGACAATTGATGTCAGCTTTGAGATCAAAAACAGAGGCGAGAAAATGGCATTAACATCTCACTAGAAAATAAACATAGCTTGGTGTAGCGTATGTGGGAAGGAATGGTGTATGGTCGTAATTCCCACACTTGTTTGGACAGGAGACTCACCTGGGGAGCCCATGGAAAGTACAGATTCTAATTAAATCAGTATATTTGGGAATAGACTGAGAAACCTGTGTTTTGTTCTTGTTTTTCTTTTTTTTAGCAAGCTTTCTTGAAGAATTCTCAGACAGCCAACTGTATCAATTCCTTACTGGAACCACAGTTATAGAGCACGTGGATGTAGGAGTACAATGGAGAGTGCTCAGTGAGGGCCAAAACTACTGGGGAAGCTGGGGTTGGCTTCCTGGAGAAGGTGGGCCTTGAAGTGGGACAGGTAGGAAGGGTGACAGGAAGGGCGTGCACCCAAGACTCTCTTTTCACTTCCTTGACCTGGCTGACCCTAACTACACCTTCAGGGTGCAGCAACAATGCCACCTCCTCTGGTGAGGCTTTTTCAACCTCGTGAGTTAGGGCTGGGGGTATCTCTGGGATCCCACAACACCCTGTGCTTACTTATCATATCACTACTCATTATGCCAATTTATAATTATCTGCTCTTTTACATGCCTTTGCTCTAAGCTATAGGAGAGGAGGGAAGTGTTTTGCCAATCCTTGGCACAATGTCTGGCACACAGTAGGCATTCAAAAATGTTTGTTGAGATAATGAGAGATGAGGGCATTCCAGGCAGGAAACAGCACAAGCCGAGATTAGGAGGTGGGATCGACCTTGCTGTGTTTGAGGGCGTGGAAGCAGACTATTCAAGGATGGTCCAGTTGTAGAATAGAGAGGAATAAGGTTGGCTTTATTCCTTCACCAAACACAGCTTGAGCACCTCCAATGCACCAGGCATTTGCTGATAGGAAAAAAACCATCCTCTCTCTCTAGTGAAGAAATAGATTTGTAAACAAAAAATTATGGGCCAGCTCCTGTCAAGAAACAGCACGAGGGAAACAGTAGTGAACAGATCAGAGAGCCACAGCAACCCAGAGTGTGGATGTCGAACACTGCTGAGAAGTGTCAGGACAGGACACTTGAACCTGCTCCTGATGGAGGAGTAGGATTTCATCAGGCATCGAAAATGGGGAAAGGGCAGGCCTTACCATCTAAAGTCACACTTGCATTTTGACTCCTCTGCCTGTGATCAATCAACCTTCAATGACAGGGAACTTGATACCCCCAAGGCAGCAGCCCATTCTGTTTTGGATGATTCAAAATATTAGGGCTAAGGTTTGTCAGGCAGGCTGTGGTTGTGATATGGGGTATGTGTTGATGTATATGAGGCGGGTTCTGACCCAATACCCTCCACATTTGCATGTGAACTCTGTCAACTTTCACTAGATTCTTGACCTTAGCCTTTGTGAAGGGCTATCTATCTTTCTCACCACTGTATACTGAAGGCGGGCCCATTGCCTCACCAGAGCAGACACCCATAGAGATTTGGTGAATGTTCGAATAGATGCCAAGAAAGAAAGGCAGTGTTCCTGGATCTACTGCAACAGTAGCTGGATTGAAGCAGCCTTAAGTCATGAGCACTGAGGTTATGGTCCCACTTGTCCCCATTATCTATCTTAAAACTGCCCATTGCTTCATGCCTTGTTTTACCAGGATTGTGGGAGGATAGGTGCTGCAACACGGCAGAGATTGGCCAGAGCCTCCCCTGGGTCAGTGAGCATTTCATGGTAGCTCATTTGGCCAGAGCCTCCCCTGGGTCAGTGAGCGTTTCATGGTAGCTCATTCCAGGTCCTTATCTCTTTGTAGGTTGTGAAAGAACAATATCAAAGAAATAATCCTGTGTTCTATTTTTAACAGGTAGGGGATAGCTGAATAAGTAAATAGCTCTTGGAATTGAATGTATGTTCCAATGGGGAATTGTATACTATTGTGATTTCAAAAATAAAAACAGGAGATGGTGTTTCTGTCACCTGGGCTGGCAGTGGAAGGGGAAGTAAATTAGAAGACAGAAACCTGAGTTCTTTCAGGCTTATGCCTCACTTGATTAAAACACTTGGCCAAGTCAGGTCACCTCTCTGGAATTTAGATTACTCATTGAAAAGTGATGGAATTTATTTAGGTTCATAAAACTCTGAGTGCCTGGAAAGACATGGGGATTCACTGATGTGTTTTAAGAAGGGAAATGACATGGATCTTTCAAGCAACTGTGTGAGCTGTTCCAATGGAGTGTTTTTTTTTTTTTTTTTTTTTATGCTGAGACAAGTAATACACTTGATCAATTCCTCTGGAATTGTTAATTGCAGGGTTTTTTTTTTTTTGTCTTTTACTTACATTTTTATGTTCCTATTTTGTTTTAAAAAAATCTTCTTTGGCTTAATTAAAAAATCCACTTTAGTATTTTTATCTGCCTCATAGTCAAACTCACCAGGTATTCTACCAGTCTGTTTTTCTGTTTTTGTTTTTATTTTTCCTGGAAACCTTCTTTCTGGAATTGTCTTTCTGATACAGTCTGGACTGGTGGCTCTCCAGGACCCACTGCACAGCTGTCATCTTGGGACTTCCCTTTATCCCTTTCCTGTGTTAGCTCTCCTGTTTTCTAGACCCTATTTTAAAAAATTCTTGATGTATTTCCTCACTTTGGTGGAGAATAACATGTGGTGGTTCCCAGAAAAGGAATTTAAGGAAAGCCTTTTTTTTTTAAAAGTTGCCTATATGAAAATGCATTTTCCACATACTTACACTTAAATGACAACGTGTCTGGTTATGACTTTGGGTTAAAACCCTCAGAATTGGGAAAGCTTTGTTGCATTGATTTTTGGCTTCCAGTGTTGCCTTAAATAATACAATACTGATTCTTAGTCTCTAGTATATCACTACTGTTTTTCTTTTTTGTGGGTTTTAGAGTCTTCTCTTTATCCCCAAAGTCCTCAAATGTGACAATAATAAGCCTTTTTCCATTAATTTTTCCAAGAAATGAGTGGTAACACTCAATTTAGAAACTCAGATCTTTTTGCTGTGGAAAATTTTCTAGTGTTATTTCTAATATAATTTCCTCCCACCTCTTTTTCTTTTACTGGTTCTATAATACTATACGTTGAATCTCCTGGATTGGTCTTCTAATTGCCTTTTCTTTTTTTTTTCGTATATTCCATCACTTGGTCCACCTTCCAGAGACTATCCCCAACTTCCTCTTTCAACCATCCTATTGAATTTGTAGTTTCTGCTGTTGTACTTGTAATTGACTAGAGTTCGATCTTTTTCTATAAATGTTTTGTTACAACAATTCTTTTATAAAATTGCACTTTATTCTTTACCTTGATATATGAGGATATCAATTATAGTTTTCTGAAATTTTTTTTTCTGTATTTTTCCTTTATTTTTTTCTGGGTTGTGTTACTTTAAAAAATGTTTATTTTGGTCTCTTTCATGTTGTAGACTTTACACAAATGTCTGGTGGTCCTTAGAAGTCTACTTATGGTTAAGAATGGTATCCTAAACAGGTAATTGGAAGTCCTAAGTACCCATGGGAGGTGCATGCATTATGCTATGTATTAATTTGGTGGGAACCAGGCCTCTCTGTTGGGACACACTCAACTATCTGTGCCCATAAGGCATTTTAGCGGGTAGTTTAGTTTCTCGAGAAAACTGTTCTCTTGCCTGGAAGAACATACTGTCAAGTATTCCTGGAGCTGGTTTGATACAAGCAGAATGGGCAATCTCATATTTTGATATGTAAACTTTCACTTAATTTTCTTGTTTTCAGCATAGCCCTCTTTCATGATACCTACTAACCCCACATTAGCAGCTGCTCCATGTCAGTTTTTCACGTCATAATCCTCCAGTTTTTTCCTGAGTGGGAGAGGTAGTTGGCTTCAGGAATAGGGGTGGGACCTGGGATTACATTGCTTGCTACAGAGATTTTGATTAACCCCCCAACTCACACTCACCTGTGGTGGAAGCAGACCCCTCCATCTGCCAGCCTCTCCAGAGCTGTGCAGCATGAATGGGCTATCTCTTCTTGGCATGCTTTTCTGCAGTATCTGGTATTCAGCTTTCTCAGGCCCACGAATGCCTTCTTCTACTCTCTGTCTTCCAAAAATTTGTTGATCCCTATCTCTTGTTCTTGTCTCTTTCCCATTCATTGCCCTTGTAGATTTATACTTTTGAATTCTTGTAACATCATTTTAAAAAGTTTTGGAGGAAGGGAACAGTGACAAACATATGGTTTCAAGCCATCATTTTAAACCAGAAGCCCAGATGGACATTTTATTAAAACAATTTTATCCTGTCATGCCTGAGATATTTTCAACTACATGTCACTTTACAACAATCTAAAATATGGTGCTAAAATAGAACTGTTTCCTTTGATAACTAAATTTCTCTCTCTGCAGATTTTACATTAAAAGGCAAATCTTGAATTTGAAATAGAGTTCCCGCTGATTTAATTTGAGGTGCTGAAACTTGGCCGATCCAAAAATATTTTCTGATTCTAGGAGTCTATTGCTACTCTATTTGACTGTGACTGGAAATCTTCTTTCACCCACAACATTTTGTTCATTTGAGATGGGCCAGCTCTTCACTGATCTGTACAATGTTGCCTCCTTTTTCCAGATGTTTGTTTTAATCCCATGGCCCATTCCAGATGACTTGGGAAGTCTGCCATACTCTGTAAGTGACTGCACACCAGAGTTTGGAAACAGAATGAAAAACAGCTCGAATTATCCATGTGTTCAGAGCACATGAGTTGGAGGTGGGCTTTAAATGCCAGACTCCAGGAAAGACTTAGCTGAATTGCAGAAGGCTAGAAGCAGAATTAGAACAACTATTAGAAGGTCATCTCCTCCAGCCCTGGCCTCACTGGATGAATTCCCTAAACAATGGACATTTGTGCTGTTTCCACTACTGTAGGGGTCTGTTTGTTTGAACATTTATTCTGATTGAACTTCATTCTGTAAATACTGAATGTGTACTGAATATTGGAATATAGATAAATAATGTATTCTTTCCCTGAAGAACCTCACAGTTTTCTGCCATCTTCATATAGACAAATTCAGTGTGATCTTTGTTTCAACAAAGGCCAAGCTTATCTAGAGGATCAAGAGAGACTTCTCTATGGAGGTTAAAGGAGGCTTCCCAGGGCCTGCCTCTTACTTATAGCTTTGTCCTGTGACTCTTTGTTCCAGGCCTTGATGTAAAACAGAATCAAACTTTCTCACTCATTACAGCTCTCTAGATATTTATTTTATTTTATTTTATTTTCCTGTAACCCAGGACAGTGCTGATCTCCAGATATTTAAAGAAAACATTATGTCCTTGCTAAGTCTCTTCTTTTTTAGGCCACTCATCTCAGATCCTTTAACAACTCCTTATCTGTCATAGTTCAAGTTCCCCTAGCATCTTGGTATTCTCCATTGGCTATTCCCTCATTCACTGAAGCTGGTGCTTTCGGTGTGTTCTCTGTGGCATACAGGACTATTAATTTCCTTGATTTCTAAATACTACATTTTTATGAATGCAGCTTACCAGTGAGTTTAGAATTTTTGTTATCCAAAGTACAATATTGATTCCTGTTGAGCTTATAGGTCACAGACCTTTTCACTTATGAATTGCTATTGATTTCTGAAATTTAAGTATAGGAAATTACATTGGCATTTTCAAGGTCTATTTTGTTAGGCACATTTAGCCATTAATACCTATTTGCAACAATACTTTTTAACCCTGAATTGGTCTTCCATTATAGTGATTATCTTTCTAAACTTTTAAAAATATTAGATATTTGTTAGTATGAGAGTCAGTCAGGATAGGCTCCACTGTATTGAAAGATAATCAAGTCCTGGATCCTAGTGGTTAATAAAATCCAAAGGGTTGTTTCTTGCTTACGTCATATGTCCATTATGGATTGGCTGGGACTCTGCTTCTTGTCTCTTCCCTGCAGGGGTCAGGCCGAGTGAAATCTTCACCTGCAATGTTGTTGGTAAACATGGCAGAAGGAAGAAGACTCTGGAAGGTCTTACACTAGCAATTAGATGCTCCAGGCTGGAAGTAACACATCACTTTTTTTTGCTTAGCTGGAATTAGTTTCATGGCCTCACCAACCACATGGAGATCAGAAATTGCAATTCTATCAGGTGTTCAAGGATAGTTCATGAACAGGGCCAGTGACTATCACAGTGTGATCTTTATGTTTGTGACACAGTAATTAATAAAAATTATTGGCTAAGATAAGACTTAGTATTCCTTTAGTGTACTCCTAGAGACCTCCTTGAAATGGGTATGGACACATTAATCAGTACTCTGGGTATATTCTTTCAACAAGGTACAATTCCACTCAAGTGTACTATCATCTGGGCCACATTTCCTCTTCTTCACAGCACATTATGAGAGATAAAGGCAAAACCTTTGCTAAAGTTTGTCTGCAACAGGTTAGGTGACTTGGGGTGATGAAAAAGGCCTGATTTTTAAAAATCTGAGTTGTAGTCTTTGCCTTATCATTCTCTAGCTTTGTGAGCACTGGCAAATAAATATACCTCTCCGGCCCTTATAGCATTTTTTTAAAATTTACAAAATTAAGATAATTTTTAAAATTATAATTCCTCCTAGCTCAAAAATTCTAAGAAATCTTATCCTGCTTTTTTAAACCCAATAACTTTTCATAAAATCAATAAGGTACTTCTGCCATGATTAAGTTTTAGGGAACCCTTGCAGGTACCAGTGATCATTCATTCTGCTTCTAGACTATCTCTCCCAGATTACAAAGGGGAGGGAAAAGACCAACACACAGGACTGGGTGGGCTTCTGAGGTGGGGTAAAAATGGAGGAAATCGTGGTTTTTGGTGTTGACAACACATAAAGGAAAGAAAAGGGAGTATTGCTTTTAGGAAGCACCACAAACTCCTCAGCAGTGAATATGAGCAAGGCATTCCAAGTATAGTAAATTGTATTACTGTTTCCAATTATTTGCTATATTTCCTGTGAGAATGTTCCACTTCTGTGTCCCATCAGCATTAGGCTCGACTTTGTGATTTTCTTTGGGCAGCAAAATGTGGGTAGAAGGCATGTATGCTGAACAGAATCATTGAGAGATATCACATGTTTCTGTCATTGCTCCTTTCCCCACCACGCAAGAATGACATGTCCCAGATAGATTTTCTCCTTCAATCTAGGCTCAAGAAAGAAGAAAACATATGGAGTAGAGCTATAGCCAACCTACTGCTGAAATGTAATATGATCAAGAAATGAACTTTTGTTAGAAGCCACTGGGATAGTGGGATTGTTTACTACTACTGCATTACCTAGTGAAAGGTGACTGGTACACTAGGCTGGCCAAGAGGTGGGTGGAATTAGCCTTAGAACCCAAGTTCAGGATTACTAGAAAGCTCTAAGAGAAGAGAAATTTTAATTAAGAAGTACACTAACTGGGGGGTCATTTGGTTTGTGGTGAAAGGGTTTTCTAAATAGTAAAAGAGCTATCTAATGATAAGACATTATTATTAAAACCCTATTAAATTTTAGGAAATTAATTCATTATTGGTTACAGAAATAGCAATGTCTGTGAACTAGCAAGACAAACACCAAATCAAGGAGGTGAAGAAGAAAGCAGATGTTAAAAAATGAAGGTATCCAGATGAAGGGCTTATAGGAGAATTCTTCTCTGAGATGAATAGTTTTGTTGATGTAGGTCTTTGTGTTGAGCTTTGAAGAGGTAGGATATCTTGATTCCAGAAAAAGTCCAAAGCAGTCTCTGGCTGCTTTATCACAGAAAGTAATACTGAAATCTTGCTCTTAATAAATGGCCCTGTCATATAAAGAGTCTTTTTTAGTCACATAGGGAGAAGACAGACAGAGATGGGCCATCCAGAATTCAAGCACCATCTCCCTGATTGATTGCAAACTACTCACTGACACAGTGGCAGAATTGGCCGATAGAGCAGGGGAGCAGGCTTTCTCTTTCTGATAATAACACAAGATGATAAAATGTGTTCCGCCAAGTGTCTTGGTATTTCCCTTTATCAGAAAAAGAAATCCTTCACAGCTTTCATCACTCCTTTATCACATTT
This sequence comes from Homo sapiens, assembly GCF_000001405.40. Taxonomy (NCBI): domain Eukaryota; kingdom Metazoa; phylum Chordata; class Mammalia; order Primates; family Hominidae; genus Homo; species Homo sapiens. The sequence continues at coordinate 87,443,992 of NC_000011.10, forward strand.
TTCTGTGTAATTGGAGCCACAGGGTTGGAGTACATTAATCTCCACTCTGTTAGGCAAGACTGGGTCCTCACCAATATCTGAGAGATGGAAAATAACAGAAATCTCAAAACTGATGTTGGGAGAAATATTGTCTTAATGAATGTGTGTAGAAAGAAATAGAATGATCCAGGTTGGTAGAAAGGATTTGACACTTATCTAGAAAACAAACATCACCCTGTTACTCTCCTGTGAGGGCTCCCATATCATTTAGGATAAAGGCCAAGGTGCCCAGTTTACTTTATTGGAAGCATTCTGATCAATCTGCAGTTTCCCAAATACGCCATTCCATTTCATGCCTTATGCACGCCTTCCCTTCTCACCTTCCCAAACTCTTGCCTGTCTTCCAAAGTGCAGTCCAAGAGCTCTGCCTCAGACTTTCCTCACCTGCAGTGTGATTTCACACATCACTCTGAATGTTAATCAGTGAGTGGGTTTGTCGTTCTCCCCCACTAGCATTTAGCTGTGCCAGGACAAGGACCACATGGTATTCAACATTGCTTCCTCAGTGCCTGGTACTATGTCTGGCACTTGGCAGATGCTCAATAAATGTTGAATGAATGATTGTTCATTTGTTCTACAATCCCCTTTCCCTCTCTTTTAATTTTGGGGAAGGTTCTGGCCACAGAGTCATGTCCTCCATCTCTTATTTAGCTCTGCTGCTACCTCTAGGTGCTGTCATGGCTGTAAGATAGGAATGATAACCTCTACCATGAAATGGAGCTCAAGAGAGGGACAGCAAAGTTTTCACAGAGGGTCTGGGCCCCAAGTTCCTGTCTTAAAGGGTAAGTAGGAGTTTGTAAGGTACATGAGGTAATAGGAAAGCATGTACAAAGACATAGCGATACAATACAGAATATGAAAATATCAATTTTATCATTTACTGAGCACATATTTTATGATACTCTTGTTGGGTATTTATGTACAAAATCTGTAAGTCTGGCAACAGATTTACAGTGACATAAAACCTTCCCAGGATTCCAAAGGGAATATCATTTAAACAACAAATTGTTGCTCAGAAAAACTCAGTGATATGCCCAAGGTCACACAGCTCTCAAGGGGCAGAGCTGGAATTCCAACCCTCTTAGCTATTTTCACCACTCAGGGTTGTAGATGTGTAATAGTTTGGAATTGCTTTGTGACTTATATTCATCATTATTAAAATATGTGTGTTTGACTCTATAAATGTCTATGTTTTCTGCCAAATGTAAATTTTGTGTTTGCTGAGCTCTCCTCTCAAAAAGTCACAAGGCATCATGATTAAGACACTGGGCTCCACAGCCGGATAGTCCTGGTTCCAATCTCAGCTCTGTCACTTATTTCAGGTGTGGCCTGGGGTAGTGTTTTACAGACAGGGATGACATGACCGACATTTGTTTGGCTATTCACAGTTGATGAACACATATAGTATTCACAGTGCTACCTGCAATTGAAGGTGCTGCATGCTGATTTAGACTCAAAAAAGTGGGCTTAAAATAGTTAAATTGGTTAAATGGCAAAACCCAAGCTGGGGATGTTGGAAAATTGTGTAATACAAGGCGAATCAAATGAGTTGTCCTCTCAAAGGAACTAGCTAGTGTGGAGGTTGTTCTCTGCCCTACAGGGCACACTGTGGTCTACAATCCCATGGAGTGTTACAGCATTGCATGATGTGAGGGCAGCGAGAGAACAAAAGGAGAAGGGACTTGAGGGGGGCCATGGTAGCTGCCCGGGCATTGAGCAGAAGGCATAATGGGACGAAGGCTTTCACAGAACAGAAGGGCCCACATGGAAAAGAAGTGGCAGACTCTGGAATGTACACATACTACAATATAGCAAATGGCCAGCACTGTATTTCTACTGGGACACTGTGCTTTGGCTTGATGTAACATCACATCACAACATTACATGACTTTTCAACTGTAAATAACATATTCATCTCTAATTTGAAGGACTTTTCCACTTAGGAACTCATTTTTAATAATTTTCCATGTTACTTTAGAACAAACAAAACAAAGAAAGGAATAACAATGTGTATTGTCAATAAGTAACCAATAAATTTCAAGTAGGCCATCATGAAAAGAAATTGAATTTGGCTTTCAAATAATCTCTGAAAATGCCCACTCCTCAGACCACAGCCCCTCGTGGTACAATTTCAAAGGGATCTTTTAGCAGTATTGAACAACAATACTAGCTGCAACTTATTGATGGCCATGTGTCCTTCCCAATTTCTTATCTCACTCTTTACAATAGTAAAATTTCCATTACTGTAGATAAAGGAATGGAGTCTCATATATTTGAAATAATACCATATTATCCCCCGACTCTTAGGATAGAGCTTGGAGTCAGGCAGATCTTTGTTCATGTTCAGTTTTGCTGCATACTAGCAAAGCTCTTCATGCCTCAGTTTCCTCTTTTGTAAAATAGGTATAATAATGCTTATCTCATAGGGCTGTTGCGAAGAGTCAAAGGGATAGCATGTGTAAGAGGCTTAGCACACAGCATGTAGATTTATTGGTAGGGCTCTACAGGTGGAAGCAAGCAAGGCGTGATAGCCTGTACTCACCTCCGCACTTCCGTTGCTCCCTTTCCAAAAGCGTGCTGAAGGTTTGGAATAGAGCCAGCCCTGTGTGTTTGGTGTGTGCATCAAACACAATTGTCTTTTTGATCATGCCCCAGCTGGGATGATTGCTTTCCAGAAAGGCAGAACTTTTCTTTATTCTCGTGTACCTGGCTGAAATCCCTTGCCACCTCCCTTTGGTTTGGAGAGTGCCCCCTTCTCTAGTTAACTGCATCTGTGTTACCGTGGGCTGGGAATTTGTGGTTACAGAGGGTCCCTCTGGCTGGCTGGCTGGTCGCCTGGAGAGGTGGTTTTGTTTTCAGTTGTTTGGAAGTTGTCAATACTGGCTACTTATCAGCATCAACGGATGAATGGCTAATATATGCCCATGATTGGTAAATCTTACCTTGAGAGATTCTGCTTCAGCAGCATCCAGAATTTGTATTTTGAGAAACCTTTACTCATTGATTTGGATGCACAGCCTGTTTGAAAGTCACTGAGAGATGCATCTGGTCCAAGAAGAATTCAGTGTGTCTATCAGATACCCTCTTCAGTGTGACTCTCAGAGGGCTTTTTTTAGTCCCACATGGTCCATCTGTAAATAGTGATTTTAATAGTGATTGAACTTTTACATATGTTAGGCCATTGAACTCTCTCCACAACCCATAAGGCAGGCAATATTGTCTCCATTCTACAGATACAGAAACTAAGACCCAGAAAGATGTTGTAATTTGCACAGCCGTTCAGCAAACCTAGCGTTCTTACATAGGTTTCCCTGACTCCAAGTCCAGGACTGGGCTCTTTCTCCTACAGTTCAGGGAGGTGAAACAGGTGAAACAAGATGTCTATTCATTTCACTGAGGTCATGAGCTGAGTGAAGTTACCCCGAAAGTCATACTTTAAGGTGCCACAGTAGGGATGTTTTGATAAGTTCACATCAATGCCTTGTAAATCTGAGCAGGGTTTATGGAGGAGGTGATTTCTGGCAAGAGCTTTAAAAGGAGAACCCCATTTAAATTGGAGGTGAGGAGAGGGGTATGTGGTGCATGGGCATGAGGGGAAGTGGAATGAAAAAAGCCCCCAACACAAATGGCTAATGCTTTTGGGAAAGGGAATCCGAGACTGCAAATAACCTTTGAGAAGGTGTCAGGGAACAAGCTTACCTTTGAAATCATTTGAACCGCCCCCATTCTTGAAACAGGAAGCCCTCAAAAAGTATTCAAATAACTTCTCTGCATTCTCTGGTTGATGGGCTTATGGAAATGACATCTCCTCCAGCAATCTGACTATTAGAGCAGAAAAAATGCAAAATCAAATAGAATGATTGAATTGAATTCATCTCTGTTATATGTAGAGGGATTTCTCCCCTTGCTAAGTACACAAGTACTCAAGTACTAGTTGGATGGCAGGATATAATTAAAAGCTAATATTAACCTCTTTAAGAGAATCATCTCGATAACAAGAAAATTTAACCTAAGAGTTGAATATATATATACATATATATAAACACACATGCATATACATACACACACACACACACACTCATATATATATATATATATATATATATAAATATATATATATATATATATATATAAAACAGTCTTCAATGATATGGGGGGTAAAGTTATGAGATTTTTTAAAACAAGGTTTTAAAATATAATTTCTAAGATATTCAAACTGAAGTTTCTCAGTATATTCATCCATTTATTCATTTAGCAAACATTTCTGACTACCTGCTCTGTGTTCCAGACACTGGTTTAGTTATGGAGAAGAAAGACCATTCTTCTCTGCTCTTATTGAGTAGGAGAAGGCAGAAAAGTAAACAGAGATTTATAAAACTGTGTGTTTATTTTGCTACAGTAGAGCTGTGCTTAGAGGCTAAGCTTGCACAGAGAAGAGAATTCAGTCTAGAAAGAGCTTTATAAAAGATCAATATAATTTAGCTAAGCAGATCAATTCCCGGTATGTGCAGTGCAGATAAAAGAGAGAATGGTGAAGTCAGTGTGTCATCAACAATACCAACAATTGCAACAGCAGTATCCACAACAACCAAACACAGCTCAGTATAAATGCATCTTTGAACTTTGAATATGATCATGGAGTGTGGTGAGATGAGATGGGGATGTGGGGCAGAGGTATGCTGTCAAGGCTGAGTTTGCTTGCCTCATAAACTTGGATTTCACCTTCAAGGTAATGGGGAGTCAGTGAAGATCCAGGAATGGACATTGTTTTTTGTTTTGTGTTTGTTTTAAGTACAAAAGTAATTTACTGGCTTCTATAGTGGATAAAGATACAGGGGTAACTGTAAGGGATCAGCTCAAGGATGAGAACTAAGGATTTGACATTGTGAGGACTCTCCGTCACTCGTCCCTCCCCTTCTCTCTGAATGTCAGCCTTAGCCTCTTCTATTGCACACAGCCTTTCTCACATGGCAGAAGACATGATAAAGAGTTTATTTTCTCAGCATCTGTGGCACACTTCTAGAGAAAGACTTTGGTTGGCCTTTTTGGCCAGTCATTCTTGCCAGTGATGGAAGATACTTGACAAACTGGGTATTAAAAAGCTCATGTCAAAGGCTAGATTGGAGGGCGTCAAGAACAGAGGCAGGCAAGAGAGAGGTGATGAGTCCTGAATTGATGCAGTGACAAAGGGAATGGTGAAGAGGGGTGGGGTCAAGGATATGAAGGAGGCAGAAGTCATAGAACTTGGAGATTGCATGAAGGGGAGAGGGGAGGGAATGAGGGGTGTGAGGAGTATGATGTTGCCTCAGTTTCCTACTTGATCAACTGGGTAAATGGTTGTCCTATTTACTGAGGTATGGGAGAGAAGCAATTTACAATGGGAAAGAAAAAATTCATCCTTTCTATTTTACTTCTTATTATTGTTTAAATATTTTTCTCTGATTTTTCAAAGGCAATAATTTTCACCTTTGATTTAAAAACCCGTAATCAAATTAAAACTTCATTTGTATTATCTGAAATGGGTGAAATCTTACTAATGTGACTTTCATTAGCAGATGAACAGATGTAGCTACCTTTCAGTAATTAGGCTGGGAAAGGTAGCTGGGAGAATTTCAAGAGAAGAAGGTTATGTAATGTCTAATAAGATAGGCTAGGAATGGTTGGGGTCCATCCCCTGATGTCTATGGGCAAAAATGTTTTGCACTAAAACTAAAGAGGTAGATCTCTTCACAAGTTTTTTTTTTTTTCCAGAAATTTCGTATGTTTGTAAGCTTACTAAATATATTTAGTAACTGTATTTACTTTTGCTTTTGCTTATAAATCAACATAATTCAGATCTTTTACTAATTCAAGCTGTCTCTTCTAGTAGTTTGAGCTAGTAGGATTTATTGGATTCTGACATGAGACATTGAACAACAACATTTTATGAACATATTGTATCTTTGTACATCATCTTTCTTCTGCCTCAAATGTTCTTTACCATATTTCCTGCTGGGAAGCTTCTAACTTATCCTAAAGACTGAATTCAAATGTCACCTTTCCCCTGTGATGATATACACTAGACAAAATTAATCACTTTTTCCCTAAGCTTTACCAAGTGGTAGCCCAGTGGTTAAGAACATGGAGTTTGGCTTGACTTGTGTTCATATCCACTTCCGTGAAACATTAGGCAAATTACTTAACCTCTCTGAGCCTCAGTTTGCTTACTGTGCAATGGGATTAATACAGTACTTTTTAAGGTTATTGTGAAAACTGAATGATATGATGGATATGAAATGCTTAGCACAATGTCTGGCGGACAGAAAATGCTCAATAAATGAGGAAAGAGGAAACTAATGAAATGATAAACATATGCTAAAAGAATGGCCCAAAATGAAAGGCATCTACCTGCTCTGTTTGGTTGCTGGATGGTTATTATAATATTTGACAATGGAAATCCTGACATTCAGATGAATGTCTTCACATTTATTGAGCGTTTGAAGTCTCAAGGGAGGTACTGTTTCTCAGTACTGTACTTTTTCTTATCTTAATGTGATGATAATTCCCCTTTCCAAATAATCAAAGTATCTCGTATACCCCATAAGTATACACACCTATATATCCACAAAAATAAAAGAGAAAGAACAAAAGATTAAAGTACTTCCTGGATTGTGCTGATACAGAGATCCCATGCCCCTACCTTCAGAGTATATTTGAGGCTTGGCTTAGCTCATCCTAGTACCCTACCAGAATGGGCACAGGATCCAAGCTAGGCCAGCCAGAGTCCATTCCTGGAATCTTATATGCAGACGCTGGGCAAGAGAGGCTCTGTCTGCTAGGAGATGATCCACCTGTGTCACTTCTCACTGCTGCATGGAGGAAAGCAACCTGCAGTGGGCCAAAATGAGGTCGACACACAGAAAAAAAACAGTCTTGACAATGTTTGAGTCCCTGAGGCCTAGTGTTACCTTGATCATCCTTGTTAGGTGATCTATACGTTCTTTTTTTTTTTTCTTTTTGCTTAACATAGTTTGTGTTGGGCTTTTTGATTCAAGACTGTTGACTTGAATGAATTCTTTATGATCCCTGCCACCACCCTTTGAGGGTGCTAAAAGAGGTAGCTATTGCTCCTCTCTTTTTTCAGATGTAAAACTCGGGTGCAGAGAGGCTGCATGATCCATACAAGGATACGCAGCTAAGTGGCAAAACTGGAGTCCAAATTCAGATCTGTTTGATTTTAAAACCTTTGCTGCCTTGATTGATTCTGTTGACAAGTGGCTCTGATACCTGCCTGGGGCCTTGATCTTCCTAAATGCCAATCTGTGTGGCTGGGGAGGTGCTGTTTCTTTCCCGGGTAGCTGGTCACTCTGTCCTCCTAGATTCAAGGGTTAGAGCACATTTGTATAGTCAGCTCCTATTTTTGTCTATCTCTACAGTATTTGTAGATTTTTATATTTAAATTATTCCTCACTCCCTTTCTAAGCAACTCAGGAACCGTGAAGAGCCTCCTTGCCAGGCTGCCTCTGACCCGCCCTGCGTTGGGTCCGTTAATCTCCCAGACTGCGAGGGAGGATGTGACTGCTCTAGACAGCATTCCTTAAGAGACAGTAAAGACAGGCAGAAGGACATGACTGGAATTTAAACTGCAGTGGCCCGCTCAGGGCAGGAGGGTTTGGTCTAGGAGGAAAAGCAAGCTGGCAGCTTTATTTAGTTTATTGATTCATTATATACAGAGTTATATGTAATGGCCTGATTTGATAACTCATGAGATAAGAATGTTCATTGCCAACTATAGGAGAAATTCTAGGAACAGAAAAGAAGAGATCTAAGCATAGTGTGTGTATTTGCCTACATGTATGTTTCATATTCTTATTAATGATTTAAATTACACACAACTGTGTTTATAGGTATATCTTTACCTATTATAATTTTCTACTATTTTCCTTATCCATTGTGAAGCCTACAAATTAAAATAGTTTTCTTTAGGATTTATACTCCTAAAATAGTTTTTCAAATATTAACAATGAGCTAGAATTCTACTCTCAATAGAATCATAAGGGGTTCCCTTTTTGCAGTCTTCGGTCTTGCTCTGGAGTCTAAAACGTCATGGGCAGATTCTTCTCTGGCCTAAAACTCTGTCTTTCATGTTGCATTATCTAATCTCTTTGGCTTTTGGAGGTACCACATATTACTTTATACTGTGGAAAACACTTTAACTTTCTGTGTGTGATAATTGGTGAATCACTGGAAGGAGCTGTGGTTTTAGAGGTGGCTGGCAACAATTGTTTACAGTAAATGGTTATTACTGCATGGGACTACTTGTTTCTTTATGTGCTTAGATTTTAAAAGGTGCAGTTTAAACACTTAAAAATGTCTTTATAACAAAGTGCACTACAAAAGCATTGCAGGACCTGTTCTCATGGCATTTCGCTCTTTTTGGGAACCTGAGATTCAGTGTAAAGGTGGACTCTTTAATTTTTAAAGATCTAGATACTCTAGATACTTTGCCTTTCAACTGTACCTGCTTTTCATATATTTAAATTATTAGGCCCTAAAAACTACAAATGTTTTGTTGGCCCTTTTCCTTATTGGGCTCTGCCCTGAACTCAATGGTCCAGTTAAAAAACAGAGACTAAATTAATTAATAAGGGGTTCTATGTCTGCTTATCCATCTTCATGTATAGGTTGTATGGATTGTAATATTGGGCAGGGCCTCTTTATTTCAACTATTATGCTTTTAAGGCTCCTCACTCCCTTCTCTGAACTAACACCTATTCCATCTTGGTCTCATATGCTTCAGGAGTTTTCAGATTTTTGGCACCAACATCTCTACTTTCTGATATATAATGCACTTACAATTTTTTGTTCAATGTTGTCTTTCTGGCTAGATTGCAAACTCTATGCATCCCCTGAAACAGGGTTTTGCACATTTGGGTTTAACAGATACTTGTTGAAAGAAGCAATGAGCTATAACCTCCTATATCATGTCTTCAAGGTCACTCAGGTCATTTGGGCTTATTGGGAAGTGGGAAATGGGGCACAAGTGGCCTCCCATTTCCTCCACCATGGTAGGCTTCAATCATGCCCCTCGTGTGGTGAGCCGAACTCCTGATAGGAGTAGAAGGAATTGTAAACCGGTGCATATCTGGACTTCTAGTGTCCACCCTCTTGTATTGTGGTTATAGTTGTGATATCTGCTTCCTCCATTGAACTGCAAGCTTCTAAGTTTTGAGGGATAAGGTCTTATTCATTGCCCAGTGTCTTTATTGGCAACTAGTTATTACTAAAATTGCTAATATTTGTTGAGTGCTGACTATGTACCACATATTGTAGTAAGCATATTCCATATAATTTGTTATTCCTCACAACATCATATGAGGTAAGCATTATTACTATATCCATTTAAAGATGAGAAAACTGGAAGTAACAGGGATTTTAAGTACCTGTTAAAGAACATGCCTATAAGACCATAAATGATAAGGCAGGGATTCAAATTCAGGCTGTACAGCTCCAAAGACCACATCCTTAAACAATACTACCTCTCATTGTACGTTTTGATTAAATTCAGTTTGAGGTTAACAAGTAAGCCCTGTCTGAGATCTCAAGAGAAATAAATGCAAGTCATTTGAGACAAGGTAAGGGAGTTAGACAAGCGCACCCAGAGACAAGCCAAGTAGGCATATGTCATTTCGCCTTAGAATGCAGGCCTCCGGAAGGGTGAAGAGGAAGGTGCCAAGATCCTCCTTGATGCACGTGTTTAAACTCAAGTAGGGTGCCCTTTTGCTGGGGAAGCAATGAGTACCTAGTAGATGGTAGTGGTGGTTGGGTGACAGTCCTATGTCACATGAAGCCAGTTTATCATAATGCTTAACAGCAGGTGTTGTAAAGGCAGACAGCTTGGCTTAGCATGTTGCCTGACACATGATAAATGCTCAATGCATGACAGCTATCCATTACTACCATTTGAGAGTATTTCAAGTATTCAGAGCAAACACTCTGAATGTCCATGAAGATCAGGACACTAGTGCTTATGCATTCTCATGGAGCTGAAGTTCTACAGAGGCAGGAGCCCAACCAGAAGAGTGGTTTTGTCTCAGAGCTAACTGCTCCCCACAACCTAGGACGTATAGTTGCCACGCTTGTGGAAATATCTGGACTCCAAAAAAGAGGAGTGTAGCCTGCACAGCACTGAATCCTTCCCATACTGCTTGTGGCCATTTCTGTGAAGAAGTTATGTCTGTTTTCATTTCTCCTATCCATTAACTCACACAAGGCATTTTCCAGTTAATTGAATTCACTAGAAGACTGCCTTCTGTGATTAGGTGTCCTGCAGCCTGAGCTGAGAGGAAGAAGGGAACAGGCAGGGAGGCAAACATCTTGGTGAGTGTGATTCAATCTGCTGCTAAATTTAATCTGTACATTTCTGGTTTCTGTTCTCATTCACCACCTGCAGTGATATGTTTAAAATGCTCCTGACACATCAGCAAGGTGGGCAGTGTGCCAAGACCACGGCTGTCCATTTTCACTTCATTTTATATATATCCCTAGTAAATATCAGGTAGCATTTTTCCTCTTCTCTCCACACTTGCAATTCCACACTGGACTGCAGTATCTGCCCCAAATTCATCTCTGAAATAGGTTTTAATGACATCAGCCCTCCTCAAATTTTCCTCTGTCCAGAAGAAAATTGGTAGACCTAGGAGCTCTTAGTTTTGGAGCTATCATTTCACATTATATCAAACACATTCATACATCTAAATCTTGCACGATAGAAAATTAATTTAAAATTTCACCCAGTAAGCTGTAGTCAAGTCAAAGATTTATAGACATATAATTAAGCCTGTATTAATTTTCAGTTTTCTTTTTATATTCTGTGGTCAATATTTTTCATTGTCAGGCTTTACTTCTGTTTTGTAGGCGTCTGAAAAGCTCATAGACCCTAGGCCCGGTATCCATAGTGGCTGACAGATTACATTTGTCATTCATAGAGCACAATGGGGGCTAAAAAGATCTAGGTGTTTTTATCATCTGCCCACCATGATGAAATTTCCTAAAGTGGAAGCAAAAAATACTGCTGTGTGACAGCTCAGAGCACAGGCTTTGGCATCAGTTTGGAGTCTATATAACCAGAGCCTCAGTTTCCACCTTTGTTAAAATTTGAATAATGATAGTACATGCTCATTATTGCTGCTTGATTAGTATCTGTGGTGGCTTGCAATGTGTTGACTTGGTGAAGTTGAAGTACATTTCCCAGAATTCTCTTCCTTCTATGTTTCTGGTTTGAGTGGGTGGGCCACAGCAGGAGTTCCCATGGGAGATGTGCAAGGTGCAGGTGAAGCAGCAGCTGTTTTGTAGTTCACACACACTGTTGCCCGTCTGCTGGCTCACCTGGTCAGTGGTGGGTAGGGACCAGGCCTGCAACAGTCCTCTGTTGCCAGGGAGTTGAGTGGGACGTGGTGAAATGAGTTGAGTTATAGGACATCTATATTTAAGAATATTATTTTGAAGAAATGCAATTTATCATTTCAAATTTATAGGGCAGTCACCTAGGGCATCATCGTACACTCTAAATTTAAATAGTTGCTGAGCATGTTTATACATATATACATATATAACTCAGTTTATACAGTTAGATACTAACAAGTGTGTTCAAATACAAATAGATGTTTCTATGGTACCTGAAAATAAAACTAATCTCTTAAGGGGTTTGCACGTTCTGACGAGTTTCTCTCATCTCCTTTCTCTGATCTGGTGTCCTCTTCATCCCGAATGAGGGTTCCTTTCCCCACATGGCTCTCTTGATACCAGAGAGTTCCACTTTCATCTTCTTCAGCTACCTGTATCATCTTGGCCCTTCCCTGGCTCTTGTCTTCACCCTAAATTGGGCCATCTCTGAAAGCTTACCTCCAATTTTATAATAAACCACCCAAACCGCAATCATTTATTTTGCTCATAAATCTACAAGGTTTTCAGGATGCAGCAAGGACAACAGCAAGGATAAGGTCTCTGCCTCTGTGACATCTGGGGCCTTGGCTGGGATCATTCAAATAACTGGGCCTAGGATAGTGGAGGGCTGTCCAGGCATCTCTTTCTTCTTATAGTCCCAGGACCTCTCTTTATGGCCTCCCCACACATTATATCCAGCACTGGTGGCCTCAGAATAGCTGGACTTCTTATAAGGCTGCTCAGAGGTCTGGATGGAAGCTACAAGGCTTCTTTCCCATCCCCCAGGCTATGTAGCCCCAGATCATCATTTATATCATTTTATTGGAAAGGTAATCCTTATCCCCAGAGTAAGCTCAGATTCAAGTATATGGAAATTACATACTTGAATATAATTTCGGTGGGGGAAATAGCAAAGAATCTGTGGCCCTCTTTAAGGGACTGGCTTACAGGATTGTGGAGGCTGAGAAGTCCCATGACCTGCAAGTTGGAAGCTTGGGGAAACCCGTGTTGTAATTCAGTTTGACTCTGAAAACCTGAGAATCGGGAGCTGTTGGTGGAAATCTCAGTCTGAGGGCAAGGAGAACATGAGATGAGATGTCTCAGTGCAAACAGTGAGGCAGAAAAAAGGGATGAATTCCTCCTTCCTCTGCTTTTTGTTTTATTCAGGTCCTCAGTGGACTGAATAATGCTCATCTACATAGGGGAGGAAATCTACTTTACTGAGTCCACCAATGCAAATGTTACTCTAACCTGGAAACTCCCTCATACACACACACAGAAATAGCGTTTAACCCACTATCTGAGCATTTGGTGGCCCAGTCAAGTTCACATATAACATTAAATATCACATACATTATTTTTGATTCCTTTGGTCACCAGCTCCTTTTCTCCCATCTGTCATTCTCTTATTTCAATGTGCTTATTCATGGAGACCTAGGGTCCTTTGATGTCTCTGTTTTCTTCCTCTCCTACCTTTATGTTCTCCCTGTTCCAGTCTGGACTTCCTGGTCTGGCATTTTGCCACTTTTTTTCTTATAATTTAAAAAATGATTTTTTATTTATAATTGGCATAACTACATATTTATGGGGCACAGTGTGCTTTTTGTTTTTTTTTAATTATACTTTAAGTTCTAGGGTACATGTGCACAACGTGCAGGTTTGTTACATATGTATACGTGTGCCATGTTGGTGTGCTGCACCCATTAACTCATCATTTACATTAGGTATATCTCCTAATGCTATCCCTCCCCACTCCCCCAACCCCACGACAGGCCCCAGTGTGTGATGTTCCCCTTCCTGTGTCCAAGTGTTCTCATTGTTCATTTCCCACCTATGAGTGAGAACATGCGGTGTTTGGTTTTTTGTCCTTGTGATAGTTTGCTGAGAATGATGGTTTCCAGCTTCATCCATGTCCCTACAAAGGACATGAACTCATTCTTTTTTATGGCTGCATAGTATTCCACGGTGTATATATGCCACATTTTCTTAATCCAGTCTATCACTGATGGACATGTGGGTTGGTTCCAAGTCTTTGCTATTGTGAATAGTGCCTCAATAAACATACGTGTGCATGTGTCTTTATAGCAGCATGATTTATAATCCTTTGGGTATATACCCAGTAATGGGATGGCTGGGTCAAATGGTACTCCTAGTTCTAGATCCCTGAGGAATCGCCACACTGTCTTCTTCCACAATGGTTGAACTAGTTTACAGTCCCACCAACAGTGTAAAAGTGTTTCTATTTCTCCACATCCTCTCCAGCACCTGTTGTTTCCTGACTTTTTAATGATGGCCAATCTAACTGGTGTGAGATGGTATCTCATTGTGGTTTGATTTGCATTTCTCTGATGGCCAGTGATGATGAGCATTTTTTCACGTGTCTTTTGGCTGCATAAATGTCTTCTTTTGAGAAGTGTCTGTTCATATCCTTTGCCCACTTGTTGATGGGGTTTTTTCTTGTAAATTTGTTTGAGTTCATTGTAGATTCCGGATACTAGCCTTTTGTCAGATGAGTAGATTGCAAAATTTTTCTCCCATTCTGTAGGTTGCCTGTTCACTCTGATGGTAGTTTCTTTTGCTGTACAGAAGCTCTCTAGTTTAGTTAGATCCCATTTGTCAATTTTGGGTTTTGTTGCCATTGCTTTTGGTGTTTTAGACATGAAGTCCTTGCCCATGGCTACATCCTGAATGGTATTGCCTGGGTTTTCTTCTAGAGTTTTTATGATTTTAGTTCTAACATTTAAGTCTTTAACCCATCTTGAGTTAATTTTTGTATAAGGTATAAGGAAGGGATCCAGTTTCAGCTTTCTACATATGGCTAGCTAGTTTTCCCAGCACTATTTATTAAATAAGGAATCCTTTCCCCATTTCTTGTTTTTGTCAGGTTTGTCAAAGATCAGATGGTTGTAGATGTGTGGTATTATTTCTGAGGGCTCTGTTCTGTTCCATTGATCTATATCTCTGTTTTGGTACCAGTAACATGCTGTTTTGGTTACTGTAGCCTTGTAGTATAGTTTGAAGTTAGGTAGCGTGATGCCTCCAGCTTTGTTCTTTTGGCTTAGGATTGACTTGGCAATGCGGGCTCTTTTTGGTTCCATGTGAACTTTAAAGTAGTTTTTTCCAGTTCTGTGAAGAAAGTCATTGGTAGCTTGATGGGGATGGCATTGAATTGATAAATTACCTTGGGCAGTATGGCCATTTTCATGATATTGATTCTTCCTATCCATGAGCATGGAATGTTCTTCCATTTGTTTGTGTCCTCTTTTATTTTGTTGAGCAGTGGTTTGTAGTTCTCCTTGAAGAGGTCCTTCACATCCCTTGTAAGTTGGATTCCTAGGTATTTTATTCTCTTTGTAGTAATTGTGAATGGGAGTTCACTCATGATTTGACTCTCTGTTTGTCTGTTATTGGTGTATAAGAATGCTTGTGATTTTTGCACATTGATTTTGTATCCTGAGACTTTGCTGAAATTGCTTATCAGCTTAAGGGGATTTTGGGCTGAGAAGATGGGGTTTTCTAAATATACAATCATGTCATCTGCAAACAGGGAAAATTTGACTTCCTCTTTTTCTAATTGAATACCCTCTATTTCTTTCTCCTGCCTGATTGCCCTGGCCAGAACTTCCAATACTATGTTGAATAGGAGTGGTGAGAGAGGGCATCCCTGTCACTTTACCACTCTTGAGTTTCCTTGTCCCTTTAACTTTCTGTCACAGCTTCTCAACAAAGTCTCAACCATAGCGGCATCCAAACAAGGTCTCAGCACTCCTTCACAGGGTGTTGAGAGTGCCAAGGAAATGCATGCATTGGTGACCTAGGGATCCCAGACCCTCCCTAGAACTACTCTTCAGCCCAGGATGCTCCGTCTCCAGTCTCCATAGCAGCAATCTCAGACCTTCCCCACTCTCTGACTCTAACCCTGGTGCCATCTAATCACTTCCTTCTCCATTCTCACAGATGGCCTTTTTTCCTACTTCACAGAGAAAAATAAATGTTCTCTCAACTCCCTGTACCCGGCTTCTCTAAGACAAATCCATCTCCATCTGCACCTTCCTGGTACTTTCTTCTGACTTTCTCTCAGTGGCAGTAAGGCAGGTGGTCCCTCCTACTGGCTAAGGCTGAGCTCTCTTTCACTTCTCTGTTCTCTCTCTCTCAGCTTCCTCAGGAGCTTTGCTCCATCATGAATTCTTTATCTTTCCTGTATCTTCAGTATCTTCCTTTTAGTAGCGCTTTCCCTTGATCGAGTAGGAATATCAACAACAGGAGCAGCTAATATTTATCAAGTGTCTGTGATGGGTCAGGCACCATCTAAGCACATGACATCTCATAACTTACTTAATATTCACCACGTGTATAGTTGGTATTGTTATTATCTCCATCTTACAGATGAGAAAAATGGGATCCTGAGAAGTCAGGGAACATCCTCAAGATTACACAGCTTCTGTATGGAGTTGGGACTTGAACTCAGAGAGTCTGGCTCTAGAACTTTGAGCACTTGACTGCTGCAATATACTGCCTTACTGCTTGCTGCTTCATTTCATGTACAAATGTTCAAGGAAATAACAAAACAAAACATTTTCTTTCTACCATTAGCTACTGTCACATCTCTCCCTTGCACCAATTTCTTGAGTTACCTTCACAAAATATCATCTTCACATCCTCACTTCATCTTCAACCATTCCCACAAGTCCGCTGAAAACACCCAGGCTCCCACACTCCCACATTTAGATTTCAGTCCTTATTATTCTTGATGTCTTTGTGACACTTGATGTCCCTGACCAGTGTTTGTCCAATTCCCTTCTTTCTAGAATTTCTCATGGTTTTCTTCCTATGTCTCTTACTGCTCCTCACTCACCTTGGCCAGCTCTTCTCCCTCTGTGTTGCTTTTCTCTTAATAGTTCTTGTTCCTTAGGCTTCCATATGTGCCTGAATCTTACCCCTTACAGTCTCCTCAGGTGAATGCATCTGTTCTCAATGCTGCGGTTATACAAACTCTATGCTGATTACTCTCAGATGCATACTTCTGGCTCAGATCTCTGCTCTGAGCTCCAGCTCCATTTATGAAACTGCTAACTGGAGACTTGGCTGTCTAATAGTGTGCATCACCCCCTTGGAGGGGTTGGTGGGCCATGGAAAAGCTAAGGAAGGTAGGTAACTTGATGATGTGACAAAATCCTAGGAAAGCTAGAGAGGAACAATGGCAGTGCTGCATCAGTATGTGAGTTATCAGAAGTGGAAAGACAAAGATTTGGGATGACTGTATAAACCTGCCTGTGGCCTGTGCATGAATAAATGATGTATAATATAATATCATGGAATGGGATTGATATGGTCTTCATAGAATAAATAAAATATATACAAATATGTACAAAACCATGCTGGCCCTTTTTCTTTGCAAACCTGCTGTTCTTGTTATATTTGAATCAGTGATTGGCTCCATAACCCACCTGATCACCCAAACCAAATTCTAGATTGGTTTCTCTTTTTTTTTTTTTTTTTTTTGCTTCTCACATCAAATTAGTCCATAAGTCCTGTTGATTGTACTTCCTAATTATATTATAGGCTTCTCTCTTATCACTCTGATTGAATTAAGTCAGCCCATTACCATTGCCTGTCTGGACTCTTTCAAAAGCCTCTTGACTAATCTTCCAGCTGCCATCTCACTGTCCTTTTAGAATGACCGTATCTAAAATGCAAATATGATTATATTACCCCTTTCCACCTTTTTGCAATTGTTCAGCAGCTCCTATAGCCTATTGAATAAAACCCAAATTCCTCAGCAAGGATTGTAGGACTCTTCATTATCTAGCTCCTTCCTTCTTTCTCCAGCTCCGTTCTTTCCAATCCTGTGCATATACCCAAAGCCTCAACTAACTGGAACACTTTGCGTTTCCTCAGCGTTCCTACTCTTACCTGCTATTCTTTTTGCCTGAGAGGTCTTTTGGGTTTCATAGCTTGGTTAATTTTTCACTGTCCTCACATCCCCACTCCATGTCACCTCCTCCAGGAAGCCTTCCCTGACCTGGTATTCTGGATTAGGCTCTGCTCTTCTGTGTACCCAAAGGACACTGAACTGTAGGAGGAGATATTTCTCTCTATGGGGCTGTAAGTTCCTGAAGGGCAGGGACTGGGTTATATTTATTTGTATATAGCCACAACTGAGCATGAAGCTTTTCACTTTGCAGAGGGCAGCAAGTTTTGTCAGTTGATGGAGTCTGCTTGGCTAACCGCTTTCATTCTTTAAAATCCTGTTTAGGTATCCCTCCTTTAGGCAAGGACTTCCCTGTTCCAAGGTAAAATTAATGACTACCTTTTCTGTATTACTCCTGAACACTGTATTTACTTCATTTATATCATTTATAATAATAACAATAGTAAAAACATCAATAGAATACTTAGCTATGTGCTTGGCCTTATGATAATTGCTTTAGTGCTGACTTGGAGACATGGTCATCTTTAGTGTTTACAACACACTATGAAGTGGTTACTATGATTATTTGCATTTTATAAAGGAAAAGGCTTGGGTTTCAAGATACTGTGCTAAGTGCAGGGGATACGGCCTGAGAAAAGTGGGCAGGGCTTCTGCCTTCTTGAAGTCAATAGTCTGGTGGGAGAGATGAACATTAAATTAAACATTTCACAAATGATGGTAAAAACTAACACTTCCTGAGAGTTTACTTTTTGACAGGCACTCTTCAAGGTGCTTTACATGTGCCATTTTATGTAATCCTTATCAAAACCCTAGGAAGTTTGTATTGTCTTCCTTACTTTGCAGGAAAGGATACCACAGTTTGGTGGTGCTTGGAAATTTGCCCATGGTCCTACAGTCAGTGAGGGGAGTGCTAGGATTTGAACATTCAATCACCTGCCTCCAGTCTGGTGTTGTCCTGTGCCTGTGAGAACTGTGAAATGTGCTGTGAGAGTGTCACAGGAGGCCTGGCTTGACTAGGGTGAGGGCAGAAGTAGGGCTTCCCAGAGGAAGTGATATGAAGGTTGTGAATCGAAGGATAAGCTGAGGGAGGAAGTGTTTCAGGCAAAGAGAACAGGATTCTTTGGGTTGACAAAAAAAGTCAAACTGTAAATTATCTGAAGAGATTTATTCTGAGCCAAATATGAATGACCATGGCCTGTGACACAGCCCTCAGGAGGTCCTGAGAACATGTGCTCAAGGTGACTGGGATGCAGCTTGGTTTTGTACATTTTAAGGAGGCATGAGACTTCAATCAAGTACATTTAAGAAACACATTGGTTTGGTCCAGAAAGGTGGGATAACTTGAAGTGGGAGCTTCCAGCTTATAGGTATATTTAAAAGTTTTCTAGTTGACAACTGGTTCAGTTTATCTAAAGACCTGGGATCTATAGAAAGAATATTTGGGTTAAGATAAAGGATTGTGGAGACCAAAGTTCTTATTTGCAGAGGAAACCTTCAGGTAGTAGGCTTCAGAAAGAATAGGCTGTAAAATGTTTCTTTATCAGACTTAAAGTCGGTTGATGTTAATGCCAGAGAGGTATAATGAGGCATGTCTGACCCCCACTTCCCATCATGGCCTGAACCAGTCTTTCAGGTTAAATTTTAAGGGTGCCCTGGCTGACGAGGAAGTCCATTCAGATGGTTAGGGGACCTTAGAATTTTACTTTTGGCTTACATTTGGTTTACATGTATGTGTCTTTCTAGGTTGGAATTGTGGCTTATTCACTTTTGTATCAATACTGCTATGCATATTTATGTTCGTATGTATATGTACAGGTATATGTCTCCAGAAGTATGGTAGTTTGAGATACTTAAATGCTTGTTAAAAAACACAAAAACACGTTTGTTGCTTCAACAAGGCTCTCTCTTTTGATTCTTTACACATAAACTCTAAGGTAGACAGAACAAGGGTAACACATTCCTTTGAAAAGATAACCAACAACAAAAGTGACAGCGAAATAGAAGAAGTGATTTGTTTAATGTCTTCAGGCCACAAAGAGACACAGGCAGAACCAGAACTCAAATCTCTGCATTGGGCCATTCTCCGTGACCACTTCTTATTACAGTGGCTTGTCCTCTGGTTATTTCCATTGTCCTTCCAGACAACTGTGGTCATGGGAAACTGAATCTGGGCATGGCCATAGAACCTGAAAGGTATATAATTTCTCACTAGCAAAGAGTCTAGTCCATCTGGGAGACATTTGCATCACACTAGCACCAGGGAACTTTTTACCAAAGTGAAGCATGGGTTTTCTCCATTATGAGCCAGTAGGTGTCACAATTTACCCAAGATGAGCACAACCAGGTCTGTATGGCAGCCTCTGACATGTCCAAGGTATTCTACCTGAAGGGCTGATGTGGACTGTCCTCTCATCCTTCATTGATTATCTGGTCAACTGGCAGATGGTTGACCCCCTCCACCCATCCTGAGAGGTATGGCAGGTGGGGACAAATTATTTCAAAGCTTTGGTCAATTCAATTTCTTTCTTTTTTTTTTTTTCGTAGCTCCCGTATTTATTTATTTATTTATTTATTGCTTTTTTTTTTTCCTTTTTTTTAAATTATACTTTAAATTTTAGGGTACATGTGCGGACAAAAAACCAAACACCGCATGTTCTCACTCATAGGTGGGAATTGAACCATGAGAACACATGGACACAGGAAGGGGAATTCAATTTCTTTTCTCTTTGGCCAGGGACCTTGTGGAGCTTCTGAGGCTACCATCTGCACTGTGGTTCCTGTCTTTGTTTTCTCTATTCCCTGGATGCTTCTTCTACCCACCTCTAAGGTAGCTCCTGGGTGACCTTGGCTCTCCAGCTTTTTTGTTCTCCTGACTGCCAGGGTCAAAGTGAAGCCCTGGTGGCTGCTCTGCATCTGCCTTGCAGAGTTTTTTTTTTTTTTTTTTTTTAATATATTGATTATAAAACTCTGTATCCCTTATTTCCAAGGTTTCCCTGGACTAGACATGCTTTTCTGCCTGCCCATCACCATTGCCAAATGGGGCAACTAAATTTGTGTCACATGACTCTCTTTTCTCTCCTGGCCATTCCTGATCGCATCAGAAAAGGTATCTCAGGGAGATGGTGGGGATGCACCCAGCAAAGGAAGGATGGAAGAGATTCAGGCAGGCTGAAAGAAGGATGGGGGAAGAGAATGAGGGAAGACAGGGAATGGAGGAAAGAGTGGTTGGGGATAGGACACTTATGACTCATATGGAGTATAACCAACTGGCTGGACTCTCATTGACTGGGAGTTTAACCTCAGTGTGCAGGTGGTCGGGGTAGAAGAAACATTGCAGAGGCCTCAAAATCCAGTCTGGATGCATATTCTCAGGCCAAATCCCACTCTAAATATGAATAATTCAATGGTATAGATTAGTACTAAGTATATTTTGAGGAGAAGACACATGGGGAGGGTGGGGAGGATAGAACCAATATTTAGTAAATACTGTAGACTCCTGTAGTCCCTTTATTTACATCGCTCACACACAGCAGTTTAGGAATGCACTTGATAGCAAGGAACAGAAAACTCAACTTGAAGTGGCTTATATAAAGAGACACTATTCTTTTCACATAACAAGAAATCTGGAGTTCGATGCCTTCAGCATTGCTTCAGTGTCTTGATGATGTCAGTACAGGTGACTCTGAGAGCCTCTTGGCCACAAGAGCGCTCCTGCAGCTCCAGATAACATCTTTGGTCAAAGCAGGGAGAAAAGAGTAGGAGAACCAGTTGGCCTCATCTTTCCATTTTTTCAGGGAAGCAGAAACACTTCCAGGAAACTTTTTTCAGACTTCTGCTTATATAACATTGCCCATAGCTGAGTTAACTGGCCATCCCTGGCTGAAGGGGAGACCAGGAAAATAAGTATTAAGTTTTTCCAGCCTCTAAAGTGAAAGGTGCCACAGGATAATAAAATTGAGAATGGCAACCAACAAGGTCTGCCACAATTTCTTATTTTTTTAAAAGTCTCACACTAAAACTAGACAGATGTTAATATTATTTTACTATTACAGGTAAGAAAAGGGAGGTTTCATTAAGGAAATAAATTAATCAAGGTGAAACAACTAATATATTGGAGAGTTGGAATTTAAATCTTGGTCATTTTGATTCTAAAGTCTTTGTCCTTCATGTGAGCCCTGGGAGGCTCAACCCTGACCTTGGACATGTACATCTCCAGGCTGTGTGTGGGGAGCTGTGTCTGCCAGCCTTAAAAGCAGGCTCCTGAAAAATCCTGTAAGTGTGAGAGAGAAAATGTTGGAGCCTCAGAAAATTACTTGCTTCTATTTAGGAAGCCCGGGTTTCCTGTGGTGTTGCTGGGTGGAGGAGGTGGATAGAGAAGGTGTGGAGAGAGAAATGCAGAAAATTAAGCCCTCACTCTTTGTTCTAAATGGTTCCTAAATAGGGTTGGATATGCAGTTCTGGGAAACATATATTTTATTGGCGAGAGAACAAAGAGCCTGGAAATGTAATATGTTAGGCTGGAGGAATTGCTCTATGAAAAATACCGCAGGACACTCAGGCTCTCTGATGTTTCTCAGATGGGCAGCTGACAGGCTCCAATTTATAAAGGAGCAAATATAGGAAATAAAAGGCTTAGTTAAGTTTCACTGAATCACATTTCCCATGGAGCCGGAAATGACAAGTAGTGATTTCCTATCAATCACACCTCAGGTGACTATTTTAAAAGCAAACTGTCCCTGTTACTATTAAAAGAAAAACAAAAAAAGAAAAAAACAAAAAAAAAAAGAAGGAAAGAACATTTCTTTCTGGATGTGGGTTTTTGCCCTTAACCTAACTCTGCACATGGCTATTTGGAAGACTTTAGATGTGGAACTACCAGGTCCTGGGAGGAAAGTAGGTAGAGGAAACTTTGGCTTAAGTTCAGTTGAGCCTTCTGGCTCCTGGAGGGAGGTTGTTGGAGACGTTCAGCCTCTTGTGTTTGGCAGGGAAACAAAACAGCTCTTGGACCTCAGCTAACACAGAAATGATGACACTGGCTTAGGCAATCCCCTGTCTGTGCAGTCTTTGTAGAGATGATAGAGAACAGATTCCTTTTTCCTTGGCCCCACTCCTTCTCTGTGGAAGACAACTCTGGGATCTGACAGATCTCGGGATGATTTTCAATTCTCCTTCTCATGAGTGGCATTTGATGTAACCAGCTCCAGGCTCTCTGTCTCTATTAAGTTTCAACAGTTTTGTTGGATGAACAGTGACTTTGAGATTCCGGAGGCCTTTCACAGGCCAGGGAAGTACCAGGAAAAGTGAATTCTAGAGAAAAAGGTATTAAAGAAATTGATACCTTTATTAATAAAGGTATTAAGGAAATTAAACAAGTCAGAGAAACTCTTCAAAGACCTCTTGAACATGTTATATCTTTTAGTCTTGCACAGTTGGCCCTTTCCAGTTTGGCTCCAGTCACATATGCTGCTGCTCTTTCTACAATTGTCCTATATTACAACTGGATGAGTGTATGCTTTGTTTCCTCAGAGCCTGTTATGATTTTCATCCTTCTGGGGTTTTGCTTTTCCTTCTGCTTGGAGTTCTCTTATCCCCATGCTTTTCTTGATATACACATGTGACACTCAACTCAAATATCACTCCCTGGGGAAGTCTTTATGCCGGGAGTCAGTCTTCCTTGTGGCTACAGCATGGCCTCAATTTTGACACTTCTCATGAGATAAAGCAGTGGTTCTCAAACATTGCCCTCCTCAGATTACCTGGGGGATTGTTTACAATACATATTCCTGGGCTCCAACCCCAGAACTTCTGACCTAGCACATCTAGGGTGAGACCTAGAGGTCTGCATTTTAAGCAGGAACCTGGGAGATTCTTAGTTGCTTTTATACTCAGTCCCCTTGCTTCATCATATGATATGGGGAGTCACCTGATAATAAAATGAAAAGCTCTGTGGTAGAACAATTATTTGTTTTGATGGGTCTATTTTCCCTGCAATTATACTAGTTTCTTGGGGCACAGATTAAGTCTTTAGAGCTGAGCACAGGACATGGCAAATAGCACAATTCCATGGAGCAGGGAGAAAGGTTATCACTTTATGAATTTTACGGACCCTCTTTTTACTGATAAAGTGATGGAGGCCAATGACACGCAGCTGGCACTCAGATCTGGGGTGAGTCTGAGAGTTGTGGAGTAAGACCTGTATTTCATATGTAAAGACAAAGGAGAACAGTCATGGAAGATAAACATTTGATGGGGTATTTTAGAATTTATGTTTTCGGTTCCATTTATGATCCTATGAGGTTTTAGGCTGGAATCTGTGTTAGCTATTTCCACCCCCATATCCTTAGGCATGTAGTAGCTATATTTTAGAAGTCTGCTAAGAGCATGCTCCTTTCTTTGGAAGTGCCATAATTGACCTTGCACTGAATATCAGATTATCTCTTCAGAACTTGAACAAAGAGCTCCAGATATTGTCAGATGGTAATGGGCAGAGGAGATGTACAGTCGTGTTGCAACTACAGTCAACACTATAGCAACACAGAGCTCCATGTAAATTGATGCTATGAGGAAGGGCCTTAGAGAGAAAGTGTGTGTGTGTGTGTGTGAGACAGAGAGAGAGAGAGAGAGAGAGAGAGAGAGAGAGAGAGAGAGAGGAAATGTAGTAAATTTTCTTAGAGAGAGAAAGAGAGGAAATGCAGTAAATTTTCTAGCAGAGACAAGAAGCTATGTGGTTCCACACCCCCATGATTTAATTACCTTCTACTGAGTTCCTCCCATGACATATGGGGATTATGGGAGCTACAATTCAAGAAGAGATTTGGGTGGGGACACAGTCAAACCATATCAGTAGCCATATGAAAAAGAAAATAAAATCACATACAATTACTCAGAAAAAAAAAAAAAAGAAGCTATGTGGTTCCAGGGAAGAGACAGAGCTAGATAGGCAAAGGGGCCAGCAGTCCACAGGTTTTCCAGTTTTTACGTGGCCTATCTGTATTTCTTGTCATTGCATTCTATGAAATACACCTGATTCCTCATAATCAGCTCTCCTTATCTTATGCTAGCTTGAATCTATACCTTGAAACCCAAGACAGTGAGCGAATGAAAGACCCACACACAATCTTAGTATAAATAAGGGCACCTGCTGCCCCGGTTTCTCCTTGCCATTGAAAGGTCCCACAACAAGATGCCATCTTGCATTTAACTTTCATAACTCCTGACTTGTTTTCTAATCAACTCTGGGCTAAAATTGTTCTTTCCTCCTTTGCTGGTTTGTATGTTAACATCTAGCCTTAGTCTCTAGTGAGAATATACTGAGACAAGTTCATAATAAAAAAAACTCAAATTCATTTGCATTCCAAGGCTCACAATACCCACAGATTTTCTGCCTTTAAGCAGAATTTCTGTCTGCAGCAGCCAAGCCCAACAAGCAAGACCATCTTAACAGAGCTTCAAGTGGCATAATCCAGTGAAATACAGGTTCTGAGTACAGTTCTCTTATTGCACTAACTGGCCTAAAAGCAGAAGTCACATCAATTATAGGCAGAATTGAACCTATGGAAGTCAGCTAGGAAACTGTGGACTGACTTGGGTAAATGTTACATTGACCTCTGTCAGCACTATCAACTGATCCATCAATTAATTGGCAATCCATCAAATCTACACAAGTTCACTGACTGAGCTACACATCGGTAAAATATTATGCCTGGAAACCAGAGGTGCTAAGGGGGAAACTAGTTTTAGGGTCAGACATACCCACCTTGAAGCCTACTCTACTACTTTTTTCTGGCAGCGTTTGAGCTAATTTACTTAACTTCTCTGAGCCTCACTTTCTTGGTCTGTAAAATGAGGTCAATAGTAAATCCTCAGTATGGGTTTCCCACCCTGCACCATGCACCCATCAATATCTAAGGCTACATAAGAGAGCAAAGTTGAGTCTCTCATACTTTCTCATTTAAATTTATTTTTCTGGCCGAACGTGATGGCTCACGCCTGTAATCCCAGTACTTTGGGAGGCTGAGGTGGGCCAGTTGCCTGAGCTCAGGAGTTTGAGACCAGCCTGGGCCACATGGCAAAACTCTGTCTCTACAAAAAATTTAAAAATTAGCCAGGTGTGGTGGCACATGCTTGTGGTCTCAACTACTTGGGAGGCTGAGATGGGAGGATTCCTTGAATCCAGAAGGTCGAGGCTGAAGTGAGCTACAATCACACCATTGCCCTCCGGCCTGGGCAATAGAGTGAGACTCTGTCTAAACATATATGTATTTCCAAATAGCTGCCTACCAACAGGCCAGTTAACACTTGGACCAGGTTTGGCATACTGACACTAAGTGGTTGTACCCCTGCAGTAAGTTGATGTCTGCTAGCCTGAAGTTAGAAAATCTGGATTCTAGTGCTACATTTGAACCTCTCCTTCACCCCCTGTCAACTATGAAAGAACAGAATCATTCCTTCTCACACGTTGTTCTGAAGATTGCATGAGAAAATGATTGGGAACAAAAGATTAGGCAATGTGTAGGGCTTTCACAAGAGAAGGCTGATGGTGGAAATGACTCTGTAGTTAACCTGAAGCCAAGTGAGCTGCCGTTGCAGGGAGGTAGGGCCTGAATCTGGCAGCCATCAGCCATACTCCACTAACCTGGGGGAAGCTGAGGATGAATTAATGCAGAGTAGGGTGGCAGAATTATCTATTGAATAATTAGTACTTCCTTTCATAGTGTCTTGTAGGACCTTGCTGCTCAGAGTGTTGGTGAAACCTTGTCTGGAATTTTTGACTCACAGAATTTATTGGCGTGATAAAATGGGATATTTAAGCTTCTAAATTTTGGATTAATTTGTAGATAGCAATAGTAACTGGAACAAATAATAGGGTGCAGTGTGGACATCACCCGGGAGCTCATTAGAAATGAAGAAGCTCAGGCTTCACCCAAGACCCACTGAATATAAATCTGCATTTTAACAAGATCCCCAGGTGATGCATATGTGCACTGAAATTAGAAAAGCACTAAAATCTAGTAGAGAACATAGGAGATTGGCTTTTAGCTGGCTTCTAATTAGAATAACGATGCAAATTGCAAAACTGACCAAAGTTCCTTTTGTCAGTTGGCTAGGATGAGGAAAATAAGAAAAACCCCTTTTAAAATTTTTTTTTAGTTCTCTTTTGCAAGGCATTTCCTTCAGCTGTTTTTTATTTATACAAAAAAATTAGGTTTTGGAGGGAAGTTAATAGATTTGTTTCATTAGCTCAATTGATAGCAACTGGGTCATCAGAACTGGGACTAAGGAAGAGTGGTAGGGGAGAAAGGCAACTAACACTTATGGGAGGAGTTCTATTTTGTTGTTGATGTTATAGATTAGTCGATTCCTCACAAAAGCTCTATAAGAAGTCTTATTTTCACTGTTTTACAGATCAGAAATAGGCTCATAAAGGTTGAATAGGTTGCTAACTTCATGCAAAGGGTAGAGCTAGAATTTAAATGCAGGCCTGTTTGATTTTAAACATTATACCACACTATTTGTTTCAGTTACTGATAAGGTTTTGCTGTGTCCCCACCTAAATCTCATCTTGAATTGTAGCTCCCATAATTCTCACGTGTTGTGGGAAGGACCTGGTGGGAGATAATTGAATCACAGGGGTGGTTTCCCCAGTACTGTTCTCGTGGTGGTGAATAAGTCTCACGAGATCTGATGGTTTTATAAGGGGAAACCGCTTTCCCTTGGCCCTCATTCTCTCTCTTGCCTGTTGTCGTATAAGGTGTGTCTTTCACTTTCTGCCATGATTGTAAGGCCTTCTCCAGCCGTATGGACCTGTGCGTCCATTAAACATCTTATTCTTTATAAATTACCCAGTCTCAGGTATGTCTTTATCAGCAGCATGAAAACAGACTAATATAGTTACTAGTGCTGCTTACAAATTAATACAAAACTTAGAAGCTTAAAACAACCATTTTATTATGCCAATAAGTTCTATGGGTGAGGAATTCCAGACCAGGCACAGTGGGGAGGGCCTTGTCTTGCCTCCTAATGGATGGGGTGAGTTTATGGCTGGAGCTGGACTCATAGGAAGGCACCTTCACTTACATGTGAGTCAGTTGACACCAACCATCAGTTTGGACCTTAGCTGGTGCTTCTCCCAGAATACCTACACATGGCCTCTCCATGTGACCTGGACTTTTAGCAGCATGGCGGCCTCAAGGAAGTTGGACTTTTTCATGGTGTCTCAACGTTCTAAATGTGAGTATCCAAGTGAATAAGACAAAAACTTTATCACCTTTTCTGACTAAGCCTTAAAAGTCTTATAGTTCCTGTTCTACTACATTCTATTGGAGTTACAGGTTAAGTAACTACAAATTTGCCCAAATTCAAGGGGAGGTGACAAAGATCCCACTTCTGATGGGAGGATCATCCAAGGCCATGTAATTATTTTTCTTTAATTTCCTTAGCGTTCGATGGGATACCTTTGGGGTGTACTTTGATGGGAGATGGTAGGTCATTTGAGTCAAAATCTTCGCTTTACTGTTGCATAGGACCAGCTATATGTAGTTGTAGAGCAGCAGATGCAACCACAGGCCAGGCCACATCTGAGGGCACCAACTCATTTGTTGACATCTTCCGGTTATCTTTGTAGGCCTTGCCAAAGTAAGTAGAACTTTCAAGCTCTAGTAAGCAGGAACTGGAAATCCCAGTTAAAGCTTCTAATGGAGATTGAAAAAAGCAAGGTGGAGTCCTTGTGTCTTCTGGAGGAAAGTTTAATGTGTGGGAGGTGGACATTGGGTTGGTGATTTCTGGCACAAATGTTGAAAGGTACTCAAATTTCTCCATTATTTCCAGGGTTCTCTTGCTTTTTTCACTTTCTTGACCTGATTTACTTTGACAAGACAGACTACTGTTTTCCAAGATATTTTGTTTCTCAGTGTATTTGACTTAAATGTCAAGAGGAAATAGAGGAGATAATGTGGGAACTTTTAGGGAATCTGAGGGGAAAAAGCCCTAGATGGGTTTAAAAATCAAGTCTCCGTAGCTTGATTCTGATGGATTCCAGCTTGGAGGCTGACCCAAGCTGGGATGAAAAAGCATCTCCTAAATGGTTCAGAGTCTGGAGAGAAGTATCTCATCTAACATCATTTAATGTCGTAAAGATCATTGCTGTCCTACTCATATGAGAATAATCCATTGCTTAAGAACAGAACAGGGAAAACCACAAGCAGAGCTGACAATAATAGTTGTAAAATGATGTAAACTGGGGAGCAGCTCCTATGTGCCACTCTCTACCTGGATATTCATTCCGCAGCTACTAAGATATTTCCCACTACATGAAGAGGGTCATACAGCAGGTTGGTCAGATGACTGAATGACAATATAGAATTTGGGTTAGATGTAACGGCGTCTGTGATACAAATTGTCAAACTGCAGATATAAGTAAACGCCTAATCTCAAAATCTGTTTCTCTATCTCACTCCCACTGAAAATCATCACGCTGAAGTCAAACAATTAACAGAGTCATCCTGTTTCCATCATAGAGTTTTCTAACTTATGATGCTACGATACCCCAGGGACTGATTTTAAGCTGCCATCCAAAGGGGAGAAAGGAAAGTAAACTTTATTCCCCATATACTAGGTTCTATGGCTTTGCAGGCGGGAAAATGAGCAAGAACAGGGTGGGTACAGAATTCAGTGAGAGCTTACTGGCCCCAACGTAAGGCAGGAAGATCAAGCAGGGGGAGTGAGCTGACCCATGAATGATGAGGTTGAAAAGATAGTGGCCATCAAAGCCTGTGTCTGCCACACAATTTTGCCCCAAAGGAGCATGTTCTGAATTACAAAAGACTTGAAATATTCTGACACAGCAGCCACAGGAAACTGCAGCAGAGGCAAAATGGTCTTCTAAGCCTCCTTGATGCAGATGCTCTGCTCTGGCGAGCTGCCCATTGGCCTCTGTGCTGTTGGAGATGATTTCCCTGCATAAAGTTGCTCTAGTTGTCAAAAATGAGCAAGAGGGTGCTGCTAACTTTGAAGTGAGTGTGGCATAAGTGCTTGCTGAGGTAATGGTGAATCACAGCTTTGGATTTCAGGGACAGGGAGTGGGTGCTGTTCTTAGCATTAGCTCAAGATGAAATTGGACAAGGTCTCCAATTATCCTGGGCTCCTTATTTTTTCACTTTTCAGGATACAGAGAAGTGATGATTGGTCTGTTTTCTTCAAGTAGTGAGTAACATATTCATCTACATAGTGGTTACCCTCAAAGTGGTCAGGAACTTTTTTGGGGACATGGGGAACACAAGTTGAAAATCTTATATAGCCTTTCTGATTCTAGTTTTTTTTTTTTTTTTTTTTTCCTGTAGGTATAGCATTATAATACGTTCAGCATTTTTCTTTTTCTGGTCTCAGGTGTCCTTTTCCATGAGTTGGGACATACTAGAGGTCCTGGACTTTCTAAGTGGGATTCCAGTGAGCTATTGCATCAGGCTGAGAGGCCACGATAGAGCGTGGCATCCCCTGCCACAGATGGCTGCCAGCCTCCTAGAATTTCTTGCCATAAGGGGAAAGTGAGAGTGTTGATGGTTGAACATAGATTCCTGCCCACTCACTATGGATGGAATTTGATCTGATTACATTCAATTCAAGGTCATCAGATCCCTTCATGTGCTCTCCTGTTCCATCCCAACTCAGCCCATCCCCTTCCATTCCATCTGTCTCAAATTTTGTAAGTTCCATTTCATTTATGGAGATATAGAATCCTATTCTGCTTGAGGAGCTCCCTCTGTGGACAACACCCTGCTAGCCATCTCAGGGCAGTCATAGGAAACCCGTTGTAAAAGTGACTTAGGAGATTTATCAAGCTGCCCTCAATTTTACCCATTCCAAGGCCCTGCTGTTGCTATTCCTGGTCTTCCTCTTGAATGCACCCTCTGCACTTCTCCTCTGAGGCATGTGAGGAGGAAGGAGCATCTGGAGGAAGACTGGAATCTTGGGCCCTGACTAGTTCTTATTTATCTCTGAATCTCAATTTGTGTGCCCAATATGAGGCACATATTAGGTTGGTGCAAACTTAATCGCGGTTTTTGCCATTAAAAATAATTAAAAGTAATGGCAAAAACCACAGTTACATTTGCACCAACCTAATATATATTACACATCTTTGTTAATTGCCGTCCATATTAGTTGAATAAATAATAAGTTCTGTGGCCATGGGGCAAGACACTTGCCCTCTCTGGGTTTGTTTCCCTCTCTTGCAGAACAGGCAATTGACTAGGTCAGTGGTTCTCAGAGTCTGGTAGGAAATCTGATTCGGGAAGTCAGTCTCAGTAAAATCAGATTCTGAGAGTCAGAATAGCAGTGATTAAGAGCATTCCAGTTGCAGCTCTACCACTTACTAGCTCTGTGATCTCAGACAAGTGACTTAGCTTCTCTAATCTTAGTTTCCTCATGTGTAAAAGGGATGTAATACCAATGTCATATGGTTTCTATGGGAGTTAAATGAGTAATACATGCAAAGCGTTCCCTCCAGTGCCTGGCATATAAATGGTATCATGTGAGTGTTGGCCATTATCAATTGAGTGGGCCTCTATTGTACATCAAGAGCTGGCCATTTGGTGTGAAGAAAATAAAGTTGACTAGAATACTTTCCCTGTCATCAAGAAGTTTATAATCATCCTGGCTAACACGGTGAAACCCCATCTCTACTGAAAATACAAAAAATTGGCCAGGCGTGGTGGAGGGCACCTGTAGTTCCAGCTACTCTGGAGGCTGAGGCAGGAGAATGGAGTGAACCCGGGAGGCGGAGCTTGCAGTGAGCCGAGATTGCGCCACTGCACTCCAGCCTGGGCGACAGGTGAGACTCCGTCTTAAAGAAAAAAAAAGTTTGTAATCAGTGAAAAGATAGGTCATAAACTTTGTGAAATGTAGATATATGCATAGGAAAAAACAAAGTATAGTAATATATTATTGGGAGCCATCTGTATAGTAGCACTATTGATACAGTTTTTTAAAATTTATATTCTGAATTTTTACGTTTTCTAAAATGAGCTTCTATTAAATCTTTGCTTAAGGACAAATAAACATTCATAACAGAATGGTAGAGTTTAACATGGGAGATACTTGGAATTATCCAAAAAACTCAAGGTGACTCTTTCCTTTTGTACTATCCCCTTTCATTCAGGATAAAGCAAAGAAAAAACATTGACATGATAAAGCACTTCAGGGTCTGCTCTTCAGCTTCATTTCTTTCCATTTCCCCTCTCACACTCTGTGGTGCAGCCATTCTGAATTATTTTCTGTTCTCCAAAACAGGTTAAGTCTTAAAGTTCTGCTCAGTCGTTCAATCAACCAATATTTATTGAGGACTTACAATGACCCCTTGCGAGAAGAGCAAAATGGAGCAGGGAGCTGACTACGGGAGATTTCCTTAGAGGATAGTTTGTGATGAACTCCTTTGCCTAAGAAAAAGTAGAAGCCATATCAGATATTTGATTTATAGTATACTGTTTTCAGAATGAATAGAAATAATTTTGGTCAATGAGAATTGTACACAAAAACATGGTAATTCTCAAGTATTACATGTTGTTAGGTAAGCAAGATAAAGTTATTGAGAGTAAAATTATTCCTCCATTTTCTCTATGGCTTTTGGGATGAATTTCCTCTACTTCTATAGCTGCACAGGAGAGGGCTGGCTTCTGGTGAGTGTGCTGTTGGGAGGTGTTGAGAAGCTTCCACCTGCAGGGTAAATGCCACGACTAAAAACAGATCATTTTCTAGACTAAGGGCTGCAGAAGAAAAGAAATAGGTAGTTAGTACATTCCCCTTCTTTGTATCCTAGATTCAGCAAGCAGACTTCTTTTTCTTTTATTGACAACTAGTAAATACAGTGTATTAATTGAGAATCTGTTATATACCAGGAAGTGGTGATGAATAAAGGAGATAGAAACCCTGTCCTCAATAATAATAAATATGTATTAATATTCATTACATGATGGGCACTAAATACTTTGCATGTATTAACTCACATAATCCTTATAATAACCTCGGAAGGAAGGTACACTCATCATCTCCATTTTAGAGATATAAAAATAGAGGCATTGAGAAAACAAATACTTGCCTAAGCTGTCACAACCACTAAACAGGAATGGAGGTGTTGCTCGGATTTGAATTCAGTCTTCCTGTCTCTAGAGCCCAAGTCTTAAGCACTTATTATACTATACCATAGCACACATGCATCCTTTTGGAGAACAGCCTCTAGTGAGGCTGCTGAGATCCCCTTGTTGACATGAACAATTCAGTTAAAACACATAGGTAGGATAGAGAGGATTAAAATAGGCTACTAAGCATCCAACAGGTAATTTATAAACAACCTTGTAGCACTTTCCTTTTCTCTTCTGAGACTTTGCAAAGGCTGTCCCACTGCCTGAATAGCCTTTCTTTCTTCCCATAGATTGATACACTTAAAAATACTTATATATAATTTACATAAGATGATACACCCACATCTTAAGTATATAGTTAAATGAGCTTTGACAAATGAATATATTGGTGTAGCCACTACCCTAATCAAGAACATTTTTGTTGCCTAGAAAAGTCCTCTGTACTCACTACCCCAACCCTTGACTCTTTCTGCCCAGCTGGATCTGATTTCTGTTAACATAGCTTAGTCTTGTTTGTGTTCTAGAATTACTGAAATCATACAGTATGTACTCTTTTGTTTTGGCTTCTTTCATTCACCATAATGTTTTTGAGATTTATTCATAATGTGGTATTTCTTCTGTTTTCTTTTGGTTTTTGTTTTGTTACTGAGTCCATTGCATGAATTTACCATACTTTTAACATTGTTTTACCTGTTGAAAGAGGTATCTGGAGTGTTACCAGTTTTTGGCTAATATGAATAAAGGTTCTATAAAAATGTTTGTACTTTTTGTGAACACATGGCTTTATTCCTTTTGAGTAAATACCTGGGAGGAGAATTGCTGGGTCATCCAACGGGTGTTTACCTGTTTTCTAAAGTAGTTGCATCTTTTTGCATTCCCACCAGTGGTCTAGGAGATTTCCAGTGGCTCCATTTCATCACCAACATTTTGCATTGTTAGTGTTTAATTTTAATGGTTCTAGTGTCTGTGAAGTGATATCTCATCGTGGTTTTGATTTGCATTTCCCTGATGACTAATGGTGTTAAATATATTTTCATGTGTTTCTAGGCCATTCACATATCTTCTGAGAAATCTGTGCTTGAATCTTTTGGCTACTTTTTAATTTGTCTCACTTTAAAATATTAAGTTTTAGGAGTTCTTTATATATTCTGAATTTAAGTTTTTTTAAAAAACTTATTACTCTTGAAAAACATTTCAACATTCTAAACATACAAAAATAAATAGAATGTTGCAAATTATGTTTAAGTGCAGAAGGTTCTTGAACTTTCATTGATGCAGGGGTTCTTCACTTTGCTGACAAGAGTTCTACAGTTTGTTAAAAACAGTTTAGAAACTATTGCACTTAACTAAAAAAAAAAAATCTAAACACTGCTCATGTCAGCTGACCCCGCTTTGTCCAAAGCTAAGAATGGCAACAGAATGCTATGTCACTATATACAGAAACAAGCCAATCTGAAGCTAAATAGATGCACTGCAGAGTCAACAGGTCCAACCTCACAGTGCATGCCCTGAGCTTGGGTGCCTCCAAAAGGCACCTTTCCCCACAGCCTCAACACCAAGCAAGGAGCATCCGTAGTTTGCCTTTGTTGTTCTGTTCTTTTTAGAAACTATAAATACATACAGTTGATAACTCAGTGTTTCTCGCTCATAACCATATAATTAACACCACCTTGCAAATAAAAATGCCAGAAATATCTTTAAATGCCTTGTCACGCCAACAGCAAAGTACACAGAATGAGGAAAATACAAAAGTGCCTTTTCATTTTAAAAATACTTGGAAATATGTACAACTCTTGTGCAGTTTCACAGTGCTCCAGACACCCGTGGCCACTTCATATAAACCACTGACAATTTCTAGAGTACTTTGAGAGACTACAGTATGATTGTGATTAAATTTGTCATGGGAGGGACTTGGTGGGAGATAATGGATTATGGGAGTGGGTCTCTCCTGTGCTATTCTCATGATAGTGAATAAGTCTCATGAGATCTGATGGTTTTATCAAGGGGAATTCCCCTATACAAGCTCCCTCTTGCCTGTTGCCATGTAATATATGCCTTTCTCCTCCTTTGCCTGCCACCATGATTGTGAGGTCTCCCCAGTCATGTGAAACTGTGAGCCCATTAAACCTCTTTTACTTTATAAATTACCCAGTCCCTGGTATGTCTTTATTAGCAGCATGAGAACTAATACAGTAAATTAGTACCAGGTAGTGGGACGCTGCTGTAAAGATATCTGAAAATGTGGAAGCAACTTTGGAACTCGGTAACAGGTAGAGGTTGGAATAGTTTGGAGGGCTCAGGTGAAGATAGGAAAATGTGGGAAGTCTGAAACTTCCTAGAGACTTGGTGGGTTCAGAAGACAGGAAGATGTGGGAAAGTTTGGAACTTCCTAGAGACTTGTTAAATGGCTTTGACTAAAATGCTGATAGTGATATGGACAATAAGGTCCAGGCTGAGGTGGTCTCAGATGGAGATGATGAGCTTGTTGGGAACCAGAGTAAAGGTCACTCTTTCTATGCAAAGAGACTGGTGACATTTTGCCCCTGCCCTAGAGATGTGTGGAACTTTGAACTAGAGAGAGATGATTTAGAGTATCTGGTGGAAGAAATTTCTAAGTGGCAAAGTGTTCAAGAGGAAGCAGAGTATAAAAGTTTGAAAAATTTGCAGGCTGATGATGCAGCAGAAAAGAAAAACCCATTTTCTGGGGAGACATTCAAGCCTGCTTCAGAAATTCACATAAGTAACAAGGAGCAGAACGTTAATCGTCAAGACAATGGGGAAAATGTCTCCAGGGCATGTCAGAGACCATTGCAGCAGCCCCTCCCATTGCAGGCCTGGAAGCCTAGGAGGAAAAAATGGTTTCCTGGGCCCAGGCCACCCCTGCTGTGTGCAGCCTTAGGACTTGGTGCCCTCTGTGCCAGCCATTCCAGCTGTGGCTAAAAGGGGTTTAGGTACAGCTTGGGCCATGGCTTCAGAGAGTGTAAGCTCCAAGCCTTGGCAGCTTCCATGTGATATTGAGCCTGCAGGTGCACATAAGTCAAGAATTGAGGTTTGGGAACCTCTACCTAGATTTCAGAGGATGTATGGAAACCCCTGAATGTCCAGGGAAAAGTTTGCTGCAGTGGTGGAACCCTCATGGAGAACCTCTGCTAGGGCAGTGCCAAAGGGACATGTGGGATCAGAGTCTCCACCAGGGCACTGCCCAGTGGAGCTGAGAAGAGGGCCACCATCCTGCAGACCCCAGAATGGTGGATTCCCTAACAGCTTTTCATGCACCTGGAAAAGCCGTGGACGCTCAATGCCAGCCTCTGACAGCAGCCAGGAGGGGAGCTGTACCCTGCAAAGCCATGGGGTGGAGCAGGCCAAGTCCGTGGGAGTCCACCTTTTGCATCAGCACTCCCTTGATATGAGACATGGGCTCAAAGGAGATCGTTTTGGAGCTTTAAGATGATTTGATTGCCCCACTGGATTTTGGACTTGCATGGGGACTGTAGACCCTTTGTTTTCCCCAATTTCTCCCATTTGGAATGGCTGCATTTACTGAATGCCTGTACCCCATTGTATCTAGGAAGTAACTAACTTGCTTTTGATTTTACAGGCTCATAGGCAGAAGGGACTTGCCTTATTTTGAATGAGACTTTGGACTGTGGACTTTTGAGCTTATGCTGAAATGAGTTAAGATTTTGAGGGACTGTTGGTAAGGCATGATTGGCTTTGAAATGTGAGGACATGAGATTTGGGAGGGGTCAGGGGTGAAATAATACGGTTTGGCTGTGTCCCCACCCAAATTTCATCTTTAATTGTAGCTCCCTTAATTTCCATGTGTCATGGGAGGGACCAGGTGGGAGGTAGTTGAATCATGGGGGGGATCTTTTCTATGCTTTTCTCATGATAGTGAATAGGTCTTAGGAGATCTGATGGTTTTATAAAGGGGAGTTCTCCTGTACATGGCCTCTTACCTGCTGCCATGTAATACATACCTTTCCCCTCCTTTGCCTTCTGCCATGATTATGAGGCCTCTCTAGCCATGTGGAACTGTGAGTCTGTTAAACCTCTTTTTCTTTAAAAATTACCCAGTCTTTGATATGTCTTTATTAGCAGCTTGAGAACTGACCAATACAGAAGGCAGCAGACACCTCTCAAATAAGAGATGTGTCAATTATGGCATTCCCCTACCCTCAGGTATTCACAAGGAGACAGATAAACAATTTTTTCATTCTTGCTCCTCCTCCTCTACTTCCTTCTCTTCTTCATCTTTCTCTTCCATCTTTCCTGGGCAACTTTAGTAGGATTCTTTTCATCATCAAACTTTCCTTTAGACTTACAGTCAGCAACATCTTTCTCATGCTTCTCCCTCAGCTTCACCACCTTACTGATGCAAGGTTGCATTTCACTGTTACTTAAGTTATTCCACATCTCACCCAGCTTTTTTTTGCCACATCTCCAATAGAGATGCCAGGGTTTGTGGATTTGATCTTGGGGTAGACTTCTGAAAAGAACTGGAAGAATCCAGACGGTGGCCTTTTGAGGGCATTAGAGTCCTTCTTGCCTCCCTTAGCTGATCTATAATCCTTCATTTCCCAAACATGGAGTACTTTATCCACCTTTGCCACTTCATCAAATTTAGACTTCTCTCTCCTAGACATTGTCTGCCACTTCTCAGAGCACTGCTTGGAAAATTTTGCAAAATTGACAGGGACCTCTGGGTTTTTCTTGTTAGGTTCTTCTCTGCACATTTGCACAAAGAAGGTATTAAGCAGACCCTTTGTTTTCTTGGGATCACTTTTAGGCAACCTGACTGTATTGTTCACTAGTCTAACTTAAGTTTTTTGCTCTATCTATGTATTGTGAATTTTTTTCCCAATCTGGCTTATCTTTTATTTTCTTTATAGTGCATTTTGAAGAATAGAAGCTTTAAGTTTGGATGAAGTCCAATTTATTAATCTTCTTTTATAGCTGAGGCTTTTTTGTATTCTAAGAAACCTGGCTTACACCAGGATATGGAGATATTTTCTGTTTTCTTCTAGGAGTTTTATATTTTTAGCTTTTATCCCTACGTCTATGATCTATCTTGAATAACTTTTTGTATATTGTGTGAGGTAAGAGTAAAGAATTAATTTATACTGTCTTATAATTATGTCAAGGTTTTCCAATAGAATTTCTTAAAAACAATATTTTCCTATGAAATTACCTTGGCAGCCTTGTTAACTTTAAAGTAAATTAAAATAAATTAATTGCATATATTTGGATGTATCTCTGATCTATTTTCTTTCCATTTAACTACGTATACTTCATATATACCACACTGAATTGATTGTTCTAGGCTTATAGTAAACCTTGAAAGCATGTTGTATAATTTATTCAGCTTTGTTCTTTTTCAAAAATTTTTTTGGCTATTCAAAGTAATTTGTATTTCTAAGTAAATTTTAGAATTATCTTGCCATACCTGCAGAGATTTTGACATGATACGATTGGGTAGACATGGCAATTTTACAATACTGAATCTTCCAATCGACAAATAAAGTTTATTTTTTCCAGATTTTTAGTCTTTTTTAGTTTCTCTCTGTAATATTTTATACTTTACAGTATAGTAGTCTTATTTTTGTTACATTTGTTCCAAAGTATTTTACATTTTTAGATGCCATTATAAGTGGCATTGTTTAATTCTCCAATTATTTTTCTTATTGCACATGAATGCAATTGATTTTGTGAATAAATATAATTGATTCTGAATTTTTATCCTGTGTCTTTGCTAAATTTCCTTGTTGATAGTAGTAGGTTATTTGGGATAAATTCCTTAGTGGATACTATGTAAACAATCATATTTTTAATAATGAAGATAGTTTTACTTATTTCATTCTAATCTTGTTGTACCTGTTAGAACCTCTAGTATTAACTATTATGTTAAACATAATTGTGAAAAGTTGACTAACTTTTCCTATTCCCAATTATAAACAAAAATCATTTAATGTTTAATCATTAAGTATGATGTTAGCTATAGAATTTTTGTAGAAGCTTTTGATCAGATGGAAAAAAATCCCTCAATTTTTTATATGCTGAGAGATATTTTTAATATGACTGAAAATTAAATTCTGTCTAATACCTTTTCTACATCTAGTAATGTGGTCATATGTCTTTTGCCTTTATTCTGTTAATGTGATGAATTAAATTAATAGATTTATGAATGTTGTACCAACCCTGCATTCCTAGGATAAGCCTCATTTGCTCATGATGCGTTATTCCTTTTCTGTATTGCTAGATTTACTTTGACTTCTTTTTTTAGAATTTTTGCATCTATATTTATGAAGGACACTGGTCTGTAAGTTTCTTTTTTGTTCTTGACCTCTTAAAGATGTGCTATCAAGATTATGCTAGCCTTATAAAATGAGTTGGGTTGTGACTGTTTTTTAAAAGTGTATAAAACTGGTCTTATTTTATTCTTCCATGTTTCATAGAAGTCACCAGGAAATTATTCAGAAATGAGAGGGCCATTTAAACACCACCACCATGATGGCTCTTTGAACCTCAGGTTTTGTTTGTGAGATTTTGTTATGAGTTTAATTTTAAAATATAGATAGGGTTATTAAGATTTTTTTGTTTCTTCTTGTTATGGTAAGTTGTATGTTGAAGGAATTTTTCCATTTTATCTAAGCAGTCAAGTTATTTTGTATAAAGTTGTTCATAGTATATCCTTATTATCCTTTAATGACCATAGAATCTATAGAGATACAGATAATTTGTGTTCTTTCTTCTATCTCTCAATAGCATAGCCCTGGATTTATTTATTCTACTAACCTTGGTAAAAACAGTTCTGTTGTCTTACTGATTTTTTTCAATTGTTTGTTACTAATTGTATTGATGTCTCCTATTATCTGTATTATTTCCACTATTTTACTTTATATTTGTTCTTTTTTCCTCTAGCTTCTTAAGATTAAAGAACAGATTACTTATTTTATGCCTTTCTTCTCATCTAATATAAGCATTAAGGATATAAATTTTCCTTTGAAGACTGCTATAGCTACCTCTCACAAATTTCATTGTATATGTTGTAGTTATTCAGTTAAAAATGCTTTCTAATTTTACTTGTGATTTCTTCTTTGACCCATGGATATTAGATGTCTATTACTTAGTTTTAAAATATTTGTTTCTTTTGCTACATTAATTATTATTATTGGTTTCTAATTTAATGTAGTTGTCATCAGAGAAAATAATCTATGTAATTTCAATCCTTTGAATTTATTGAGGCTTTTTGTTAGTGACCCAGCATATGTTCCATTTTTCTGAATGTTTTACATGCACTTAAAAAGAGTATGCATTTTACAGTTGTTGAGGATAGATTTCTATAAATGCCCATTTTGTCAAATTGGTTGATAATGTTCAAATCTTCTCTATTCTTACGGATATCTTTTCTGTTTCTATCATCAGTTACTAAGATAGGGGCATTGTAATCTCTAACCATAATTATTGCTCTATTTCTCACATGTAAACGTGTCAAGTATTGATTTGTGTAATTTAAACCTATGTTATTCATTGAAAAATCATTTAGGATTGTTATGTCTCCCAGATGAATTGACCTTTCAATCAATATGAAAAATCCTTCTTTCCTTCTGGTGGTATTCTTGAAGCCAATATTGTTTGATTTAAGATAGCCACTACAGCTTTCTTAGCTTAGTGTTTGCATGGTGTATTTTTTCAAATGTTTTAATTTCAATCTGAGTGTATATTTTTATTTAATTGCAATTGCTATAAACAATATATAGTTGAGTCTTGCTTTTTTTCCCTAGTCTGACAATTTCTGGTTGGTTGTGTGATTTCATGTTGTTTGGCAGAAATGACATTTTTCACATGACTTAAGCAGGAGCAGAACTCAGATTGGCTAACTGTTAATCTTTATTTAACTCTTAACTTAGACATTTTCTTCATGAGGTCAGCAATGGTGGCTCACGCCTGTAATCCCAGCATTTCCGCAAGCCAAGGTGGGTAGATTGCCTGAGCTCAGTTTGAGCCTGAGCAATATGGTGAAACACTATCTTTACAAAAAATATAAAATCATCCAGTTACGGTGGATAATTATCCAGTTATATAGCTAGGAGTATCTCTAGTCCTAGCTACTCATGAGACTGAGGTGGAAAAATCGCTGGAGCGTGGGAGGTGGAGTTTGCAGTGAGCCAAGATGGCACCACAGCACTCCAGCCTGGGTGACAGAGTGAGATGAAATCATCTTCACATGACACCACCAATGACCCTGAGACATTGGTAGGTCTCATTTCTGTGTGTTCCAGTTTCATCCTGGACCTCTTCCAACTGTAACACTGTATCACCCTACACTATAATTGTCTGTTACACATACTAGATTATAAAAATTTTGGGAAGAAACCAAATTTTGTTTATTGCTATAACTTTGATGCCTAGCACAATTCCTGGCCCAGAGTATGGGTTCAGCTTGTATTAGTTGAGTAAATGGATGAATTTTAGAATGCCTTAAGTAAGCTAACCAAGTAACATTCAGTATATATGCACGTATCTACAAGTATATCTGTGTGTGTGTGTATATGTGTATATGTAATTTTTTGAGATCTGAGATGAATGTAGATACCCTAGGCGACATTGAAGAGGAGATGAAATATGAATATTGGGTCATGTAGTATGAATAAAATATTTAATCATAGATGAAATAAGTTGCATCAAGGCATTCAACATTTTCCCTTAAAACGCAGTAGTTTCTCAGTATGGAGATGCCTACAAATTTTCAAATAAAGCTATTTATATACCCTTATGGGGTATATCTCCAAAGATCTAAAATTAGTATATTGAGGTATGTGTATGTGTACTCCCATGCACATTGCAGCACTATTCACAATAGCCAAGATATGGAATCATCTTGTATCCATCAATTGGTTGGTTGATAAAGAAAATTAAGTATATATACACAATAAAATACCATTCAACCTTAAAAAAAATTCTGTCATTTGTGACAACATGGATGAACCTGGAGGATGTTATATTTAGTAAACTATGCCAGGCATAGAAACACAAATATGGCCTGATCTCACTTATATGTGGAATCTAAAAAAGCTAAACTTGTAGAAGTAGGGAACAAAATAGTGGTTACCATGGGCTGGGGTATGGAGGTTGGGATACAAGGGATATAAAATTTCAGTTATTTAGAAGAAATAAATTCAAGACCTCTAGTGAACAACATGGTGAATATAGTTAATAACAATATATTGTAGTCATAGATTTCAAAACACAATATATACAATAAACATGTACAACTTGTCAAACAACAAATAATTTCTTTAAAAATGCAGTTTTTCAAAAACTGTTCTAGGCTTCACGAAGGTGGAACCCAAGTCTGTGTTTATTGCTGGCCTGGCACAGTGTGGGTTTATTTTTCTCTCTGTAAGTCTGTCTGTCTGCTTAAGATACATATATGTATATATATGTATGTATAAATATATATATTTTTAAAAATGAAAACATGTTAGAGATATGAGATCTACAATTGTCTTATATTTTTCAGTAGGAAAGTGATGTTTGGAGAGGTAAGGTCACTTTCCAAGGCCACACAGCTAGTTAATAGTAGGAACGGGACTTGTAGGCTCCTAGATCAGCACTTGTCTCACTTCAGCGTATATACCTCTTGTGATTAAATTTTCTAGAGTAGTTCTGCAACCCTAATGTATTAATATTGACTTTGGGTTTCACTCATGGTTTTGATGAAGTAATAGAAACTGGATTTATCCTTCCACTTGAAACAATCAGAAAAATTGGATAAAATATATATAACAATGGCTTTTGAGGTATTGAACATCAAAGAACAGGGATCCCTGTGAAATGGGAAACA
Organism: Homo sapiens; assembly: GCF_000001405.40. Classification (NCBI taxonomy): domain Eukaryota; kingdom Metazoa; phylum Chordata; class Mammalia; order Primates; family Hominidae; genus Homo; species Homo sapiens. The sequence continues at coordinate 87,486,368 of NC_000011.10, forward strand.
AATGAGGTTTGTCCTACAATTGCCCCAGCTTACTGCTTTGAGAGTGCTTCCAGACCATAGTATAGAGATGAGGAAATCAGGCAGAGGCATGTGCAGGGTGATGCAAAGAGCTGAGAAGATAGTCTCGAGTATGAAGTACTTAAGATATCCAGAGTTCCCATGACAAAGGACTGAAGAGGGGAGAGATACATGGACAGCTCCAAAGTTCTACAGAGGATCACACTTGACCATTGAGCAGAGTACTGATCAAAATGTGTGTGAGGAAACCTGAGGTGGAGAAAGACCATCCAAAAAATTAAAGGGAAAAAAGTACCAGGTGTCCACAAAAGTACCAGAAAAAGTGCTTGTTCCCACCAGTCAGACTGGAAAACCTACAATTCATGTAGGTTTTGAGTAGAGTATACAGATGAGATATGACTCAGTGCTGGGGAAGAATCAGCTCTACGTAGTACTGCTCCAGCCTTGCCTAGTAAATCTTAAAAGCAAGACTGAAAAGGAAGATTGATTCCAAGTAACTATCACAGAATCAATATTATAAAAATCTATACGAATACAAAAATCTTCAATTAACAAGGTAAGTGTTAGGATCTGGCAGAAAATGACCATGCAATTGAAAAAGTAGGAAAATACAACCCATAAAAGGAGAAAAATCCATAAGTCAAAACTGACCTATTCCTGACACAGACGTTAGAATTAGCAGATTGGGACATTAAAACAGTTGTTATAATTGTTTTCCATACATTCAAAAATTCAGTAGAGACATGGAAGATATAAAGATTGAAATTCAATATCTAGAGATGAACATCATAATGTGTGTAGTGAAAATACACAAGAGAGAAATAGTGACAGGTTAGACATTAAAGAAGAAAAGATTAGTGAACTTGACATAGGAATAGAAACTATCCCAAATCAAAGAGTGAGGAAAATACTTTAATGAACAGAGCATCAGTAAGCTGAGATGTCCTCAAGTTTCCTAATATATGGGTAATAGCAATTCTTGAAGAAAAAAGTGAGGGAGGTATAGAAAAAATTTTGAAGAGATAGTGGCCAAAAAATCCCCCAAATTTAATGAAAACAATAAGCTGATCAATTCAAGAACTCCAAGCATAAAAAAACATAAAATCGCACAAATTCAATACATGATCAGTTTGCTCAAAACCACTGATGAGGAGAAAAATCTTAAAAGCAGGCAGAGAAAATGAGACACACACCGGGCAAAGATTAAAAAAAACAGCAGACTTCTCATAAACAATGCAAGTAAGAAGATGATAGTGGAACAACATCTTCAGAGTAATAAAAGAAAAAAACTCAATCTAGAATTCTACACTCAGAAAATATATTTAAAAAATAAAAGCGTGGCCAGGTGCAGTGGCTCATGCCTGTAATCCCAGCACTTTGAGAGGCATAGGAGGGCGGGTTGTCTGGGCTTAGGCGTTCGAGACCAGCCTGGGCAACATGGTAAAACCCCATCTTTACCAAAAAATACAAAAATTATCCAGGCATGGTTTGCGTGTGCCTGTAGTTCCAGCTACTTGGGAGGCTGAAGCAGGAGAATCTCTTGAACCCAGGAGGTGGAGGCCGTAGTGAGCCGAGATCATGCCACTGCACTCCAGCCTGGGTGTCAGTGAGACTGTCTCAAAAAAAAAAAAAAAAAAAAAAAAAAAAAAAAAAAAAAAAAGGAAGGGTAATGACTTCTTCAGCTACTTAAAAGCTAAAAATAATTTATCACCAGCCGATTTGAACTATAGGAAATATTAAAGGAAGCTCTTCAGGCAGAAAGTAAATGATAATGAAAATATGGATTTACACAAAGAAATGAACATCAGATATGATAACTACAGAGAGATATAAGACTTTTTATTTGAATCTCTTTAAAAAGTAATTAATGGTTAGAATTAAAAAATATGTAGTACGGGATTTATAATACATATCAGAGCAAAATATGTAACAATAGCACAAAGGCCTAGAGAAGAGAAATGGAAGCATACTATATATGAGGTGGTATAATATTATTTGAAGGTAGACTGTGATAAGTAAAAGATGTATGCTATTATCCTTAAAATAAATACTAACAAAAACTCTATACAAACAAAACCAAAGTTATAGCTGACAAAAAGCCAGCAATGGAGATTAAATGTAATCATAAAAATAGCCCCCAAAAGACAGAGAAAAATGTTAACAAGGAATAGATCAAACAAATAGCAAGATAACAAAATCATATCTTACCATATCGATAATCATGTTAAATATGGGTGATCTAAACATACCAATTATGTGGCAGAGATTCTCAGGAAAAACCAAGACCAAATTATATTTTGTGAATAAAAACGTGTTTTAAATATCAAGGCACAAACTGGTTAATAGTAAAAGACTGAGAAAGATAATGCACTGAGGAACAAAGCTTATAAAGATAACAAATAGATCCATAGGATAGAAGTGAGTCTAAAAACAGACTCACATATACAGAGACAATTAATTTTTGACAAATGTGCAAAATAATTTCAGTGTAGAAAGGATAGCTTTTTTAACAAATAGTGATGGAAAAATTGACTGTCAAAATGCAACAGAACGAACTTTAATTTATATTTTATACCATATGCAAAAATTAATTCAAAATGCATCATAGGCATAAATGTAAAGCCTAAAGCTATACAACTTCCAGAATAAAGTTTTATAGCTTTAGGTTAGGTAAAAGTTGCTTAGATATAATATCAAAAGCACTATTTATATAAAAAAAGATAAGTTGAACTTCCTCAACTTAAAACTTTTGCTTTTTGAAAGACACTGTTAAAAAATGAAAAGACAAGCCAGAGACTGGGGAAAGATATTTGCAAATCATATATCTTACATGAATTTGTATCCAGCATATGTTAAGTACATTGAAAACTCAATGAGAATGGTTAAAATTAAAAATACTGGCCATACCAAGTGTTGGCAAGGATGTGGAGAACTAGGACTTTCATACATTGCTGATGGTAATGTAAACCAATTTGGAAAACAGTTTGGCAGTTACTAAAAAGTTATATCCAATCTTACCTCATGATTCAGTTGTTACATTTCTAAGTATTTACTCAAGAGAAGTGAAAGCATAAATCCATACAAAGACTTCTGCATGAATGTCCAGAGCAGCTTTATTTTTATTAGCCCTAAATTGGAAACAACCTAATTGTTCATCTATAACTGAATGGATAAACAACTGGTGGCATATACATACAATGGAATGCTATTCAGAAGTTAAAAGGAATTAACTCTTTCTATGCACAACATGTAACGTGAATAAATTCCAAAATAAGTATACTGAATAAAACAAGCCAGACCAAAAAATAGTACATAATGTATGATTCCATTTGTGTAAAAATAGATAATGTAGGCCGGGCGCAGTGGCTCACGCCTGTAATTCCAGCACTTTGAGAGGCCGAGGCGGGCGGATCACCAGGTCAGGAGATTGAGACCATCCTGGCTAACATGGTGAAACACTGTCTCTACTAAAAATACAAAAAAATTAGCCGGGCGCGGTGGTGGGCACCTGTAGTCCCAGCTACTCGGGAGGCTGAGGCTGGAGAATAGCGAGAACCTGGGAGGCGGAACTTGCAGTGAGCCTAGATTGTGCCACTGCACTCCAGCCTGGGTGACAGAGCGAGACTCTGTCTCAAAAAAAAAAAAAAAAAAAAAAAAAAAGATAATAATACCAATTAATCTAGAGTGACAGAAAACAGATCAGTGGTTGCCAGGAATGAGGAATGGTAGAAGGTGAGATTACAAAGGTACACAAAGAGTTCATTGGGGGTAATGTTTATTAGTTCGATTGTGGGCATGGTTTCACAGGTATATACATCTATGATGAGATTTATCAAATTTTACACTGTAAATGTGTGTCATTTTTATATGCTAATTACATCTCAGTAAAACTTTTAAAGAAACTGTTGATATAGGGCAACCGTCATGAGACACTCATTAGTTATATCCCTGCTTAAGATGAGAGATTCACGCTAGGCAAAAGAGAAATGTAACCATGTCAATAAATATTTTCATTGTTTAAATATATACATGGAAATAAGGCTAAGTTATATTGCCCAAAGATGAAAAACAGAAAAATGTAGGTTCAAGAAGCTGAAACCTTGGGACCCATTGGCACTTTGTTAGTATGTAGAGTTGAAACCATGCATTTTCATGTTAGCGATGAACAAAATTGTGGAGTTGAATTTTAAGTCTTGAAACTAAAATAGCTATCACTGGGAGCTGTGTGGAGCTCAATTATAAAGGAATTGGACTGTAATTGTAAATTGCTGAATATGGTAATTATTGTGGCAGATGTACAGTAATTAGTTTGTAACACCAAGACTTTTATTTTGTGATTTTTGTAATATCTTCCAAAAGAGGAGAAGTAGCTATAGTTGGGGAGACTTGGAATTGGACTCTGTTGTGTTTTTAGGATTTATTTTTCTGCAGCAAGCCAGGGCTTGTATGTCAACAGGCAATGCTGGTGATAAGGCTTTGGCTCAGGAATCAAAGAGAGTGCATGGTAATGAAAGAGCTAAGATGATATAATTGGGCAATAAAATTTATGATTTTTGAGTGGAGTGTCAATACACAAAGGAACAATATTGCTGATTTACTGGTAATAGCCAACACATAAGTTACCCTTGCAATTAAGCAAAACTTTAAATCAAGTTCTCCCAGAGTGTTCATGGTCTCAAACAATAGAATATGGAGTAGTATCAAAATGAGGAATTTGGGAGTTGGGCAAATTTTAGTTGAAGTCCTTGGTTCACCACATACCAGCTATATGATCATTGGTAAGTTACTTGTATATTTTTTAACCTATAAATGAAAATGATATAATAAATACCTTTTTAGGGTAATAGAGATAACAGAGATAATATATGTGAAATTCCTAGTACTCCAGGGCATTTACTTTAAAATGGGGATTTGCTCTATGCTGTAAAAACCTTCTGAAAGGTGAATAACGCAACATTTTCAACCCCTACTCTGAATGGTTCCTGTAAGAATTAGAGATACTCTCTGTCAAGTGTTCTTGTATAATGTCTTGCACATAGTAGATGCTTGATAAATGGTAGCCAGCATGCATATTATTTAAGACACTTGGTTAAGAATCTCGAAGTAGGAGTGAGAAAACCTGGTCCTAGTTGCAGTTCTGCCACCAAATAGTTGTATGCCCTCACACAACTCATTTGTCACTTCTCCTTTCTGAGCTAATGACCATTAATGCCCCTTCTAGCTTTGCAACACTAGGACTTCCTTTTTTTCTGTTCTTAACTGTTTAATTATGATAAATAAAACAATACAGACCCAGAATAAAAATTCCAACAGTGAGTTCAGAAGGAAGTGTAGGTCTCTTTCATCTGCTCCGCTCCTTCGTTTGCTACTATGAAATATTTCTTATCTATTTCAGGAAATTTCCATGCTATCACTGTGTGTGTGTGTATGTGTGTGTGTTTACTTTTATACAATAGGATACAATATTATTGTAAACATACTCTTCTATATCTTAATAGATTTTCCCCCAAGTACCAATTTCTCTTGAAGAGCTTTCTACATCAGCACATATACATCTGCCATATTTTGGCTCATAACAATGACAATAGTAATAGCTATAGCTGTGTTATATTCCAAATAAATAAAATAGCTGTGTTATATTCCAAATAAATGAAACTAATATTTAGTTAGCCCTTTAGTAACAGACATATAAGTTATTTTTCTTTGGTTTTAGAAAAAATGCAACAAAAATTTATCTGTGCACATTCTTTTTTTTTGTATATTGGCAAGATTATCTGTAAGATGAATTTTTAGAAGTTGAATTGATAAATCAAAGGGTGTGTATAATGGCTGGGTGCAGTGGCTCATGCCTGTAATCCCAGCACTTTGGGAAGCCAAGGCAGGTGGACCACTTGAGCCTAGGGGTTTGAGACCAGTTTGGGCAAGATGGCAACGCCCTGTTTCTACAAAAATACAAATGTTAGCTGGGCATGGTAACATGGTTCTGTAGTCCCATCTACTCAGGAGGGAACACTTGAGTCCTGGAGGTGGCAGTTGCTGTGAAAAAAGAAAAAGAAGAAAAGATGTGTGTAGGAAAAGTTTGATCAAAATTCTCAAATTGTTCTCCTAAGAGGATGAACACATTAATATGGCCAGTAACTGTGTAGGTGTAATTATTTTCCCATGCACTGACACTATGGTAACTTGTTTTTTTGCAGAGAGTAATTTTTTCATTGACAGTATTCAGTTCATTCTCCATTGGTCACTTTTATTTTTTTTAATAGAAATTACTTGATTCAACAAGTATTTAATCTCATATGGCTTAATTGTGTGTGAAGTATGGTATTAGATGTTTGGAGAAGTCAAAATTCATTCGATATAGTCTCTATCCCTGACTACATACTAACACTATTGAGAGAGGTTTACATACTCTGGCCTCAGATTACCTTTCCCACCTTATCTATTTATAATAATTTTTGTGACCACTGTAGAACCAAAAATGAGAAAGTTTCATGAATATTTTAAGGGAGTCCTGAAGTTTCATGAATATGTTAAGTAGGTGTGGGAATTTCCGTGAATATATTAAGTAGGAGAATTGTTAGCATGGACACTACAACCGCAGATCACAAACCCCTGCCTTGTATGCAGTCATTTGCCACCGTCTGTATTCTTTTCACTGATATGGGCTAGTGGAAGGAAATGATATTAAAAATTTATGATGCCTCTTTCACAGCTCATCCAGAGTGGCTGACCCACTATTTCAGCTGTGTACAACTAGATTATAGCATTTCTGTGTCATTGTGGAAAGAGATCCCTATGGAAAACAACAGCATTACAATGAGGAGAAATGTGCTATAATTGGGACAATAAGGAAAATAGTAAACACAGATGAAGCTTCTGGAAGAGAGAAATGGATGACAGGAGGAGTGGACAGGAGGAGTGGGGAGGGGTGATAGGCACTGGGGGAGATGAGTTTGTTTGCTGAAAGCTGACATCCATGTGGGAGAGACAACAACAGTAATAATTATTTAAAAAACAAATATAAGACCAAGGAATGGCTACACAGAAGTTCCTATAGGTCGTGTGTTAGGTTTATAATGTTAATCTCTATTACTTTTGGCTTGAGTGTGCCTCATGAAGTGTTCTGGATGAGAAATGGATGCTTTATTAAACACCTCACAGTGAATAATAAGAGCACCAATCTCCCCTCTGCCCGAACCCTTGCCCCTAGGGTGACATGATGATAATCAGACCAACTGTCTTACACACGCAGCTGGATAACCCGTAGGTGAGGAAGGAGGAAAAAGGATTTTTCTCTTCTTATAACGGGGAAGCAAGAAGTTATCCCCCATTGCTCCTGAAAGAGTTTCCTCCTGACTCAACTCCTTTGGTATGCAAATACAGTCTCTGCAGGAGTTTGATAGCCCCTTGCCTTTAAGCTCTTCTGACTTAGAACTCTGGCTTGTTCCTCCTAGAAATGGAAATACTTAGGAATATTTCCCTCTCCAGTCACCTTCTGAGGTAATCCATGTCTTGGGAGGTAACAATTCAATTAATAAGAGAAGTTTTATTATTCAATTTATTATTCAATTAATAAGAGAAGCAAATGGCTACAGATCTAATTTTTATGGCATGTAGAAATGTTTCCAGGAGAAGTAAAAGCAAGCTTTTGTACATCTTACAGCATGCTTTTTTAGCTCAGGAGGCTATGTGTTCTTGTAGCAGGACAAGCCGTGGGCAAAACTCCTCAGACGCTGAGTTAAAGAAGGAAGGGGTTTATTCGGCTGGGGGCATCGGCAAGACTCCTGTCTCAAGAGCTGAGCTCCCTGATTGAGCAATTCCTGTGCCTTTAAAGGGCTCACAACTCTAAGGGGGTGCCCATGAGAGGGTCGTGATCTATTGAGCAAGCAGGAGGTATGTGACTGGGGGCTGCATGCACCGGTAATTAGATCTGAACAAAACAGGATAGGGATTTTCACAGTGGTTTTCTATACAATGTCTGTAATCTATAGATGACATAACCGATTAGGTCAGGGGTCAATCTTTAACTACCAGGCCCAGGGTGTGGCGCCGGGCTGTCTGCTTGTGGATTTCATTTCTGCCTTTTAGTTTTTACTTTTTCTTTCTTTGGAAGCAGAAATTGGGCATAAGACAATATGAGGGGTGGTCTCCTCCCTTATTCTTACAAGAACACTGAGAAATCCTGGGAAGTTTTATGTCTCCACACTTTGGTAGGACTGTTCCCTGACCTGCAGTGGCTGAGGAACAATTCTGCTGTCCAAGCTATCCCTTTACATAGGTTCACTGTTTCACTCTCATCCATGTGAAGAGACCACCAAACAGGCTTTTTGTGAGCCATAAAGCTTTTTAATCACCTGGGTGCAGGTGGGCTGAGTCCGAAAAGAGAGTCAGCAAAGGGAGTTAGGGGTGGGGCTGTTTTATAAGATTTGGGTAGGTAAAGGAAAATTACAGTCAAAGGGGGATTGTTCTCTGGTGGGCAGGAGTGGGGGGTCACAAGGTGCTCAGTGAGGGAGCTTTTTGAGCCAGGATGAGCCAGGAAAAGGAATTTCACAAGGTAATGTCATCAGTTAAGGAAGGGACCAGCCATTTTCACTTCTTTTGTGGTGGAATGTCATCAGTTAAGGCAGGAACAGGCCATTTTCACTTCTTTTGTGATTCTTCAGTTACTTCAGGCCATCTGGGCGTATATGTGCAGGTCACAGGGGATGCGATAGTTTAGGTTGGGCTCAGAGGCCTGACACACTGTTTTGTGGATGAGCAGGGATTGAGAGTTGGCAAGCCTACCTAAGCCTAGCACCAGTTTGTAGTCATTACATGCCTTGGGGTAAAGGAAGGAAGTCTTTCTAATTTGGAGGGATTTGGAAGGGTTTGTAGAAGAAATAGTTCTAGAACTGGCTGTTAAGAATGGGCAGGAATTGTCGAGCAGAAAGAGGGGTTGGGAAACTTTCCACCTAGAGCAGTACTTCTTAAAAATTTTCAATAGAGGCCTCCTGAGGGCCAAAAGGAGTGACAACAAACCTCTGCTGGGGGCTGCTGCTACTGGTAGCAGTGGTAGACAGAATAGTTAGAACCATGCTTACCATTTCTTTGAAGTTTCATTTGAATTTTGCATTCAACTTCAAATTTAGAAAATGAAGTTTTACCCATATATCTTTATGATCAAAGTTAAGCTATAACCTGGTATCTCCCTCTTTCTCGTGTCCTCCAGGAAGAATACTTCCTTGATTTAAGAAACTGGAACCTAGATGGATCATCAAAGCAGAGCCACGGGGATAGGAAATTTAGGACAAATTTAGAGAAATGTGACTCAGACGTTGAGTTGGGATCAAATTGGGTGTGAGGGCTTGTGTAGTTGGCAGTGATGTTGGAAAGGTAGATTGGCAGGGCAGCAACTTGGACAGGTCCTTGAATGTTTTAGTAAGGAATTGGAATTTTACTCTTTGGGCACTGAAAATCCATTAAAACTCTTGGAAAGAAAATTGTGGAATCACTTCAATCAAAGGAGGCAGAGAGTGGCTTGGAGGCAAAAGATTTCTCAGGAAGCTACCGAAGGTGAGAGAAATGTGGACATAAATTAGGACCTTGACTGTTGTGGGGAGAAAAAAGCAAGTGCAGGTCCAAGATGAATTGGGAGATAGAACCCACCTTGGATATGAGAGATCAGGGCAAACTGAGTAGAAGAGAATGTCTAGGTTTCTACCCAAAGCAGCTGAGAGGATGGTAAGTCTTCAGCAGAAACAGGCAGCAGAGTAGGTTTAGAGAGATAAAGAGGTGTATTCTGGATGTGTTAGAACTGAGAAATCGGTAGAATAAGCAAATACCTGCAAGTAACCTGTGCATGTATGGAAAGGGGCACCTGAACTCAGTGGGTAGGTTGGTAGTTTCCCATCCAAGAGGCAGTCAAATGCAATATAGTTAATGTGTATGGATTCAGAGAATGGTTTCTGTTCTTGGTATGGGGAAATGATCACCACTGACATTTATTTCATATGGCTATATGGCCACCTTCTAGTGGTGACTCTAAAATATTTATTGTGGGTGAAAAATGGCTGATGGAGCTGGCTTATAGCCAAAAAGTGTTAATTTGTCCATGTTATCACTTATAGATAGTCAACAAGTGAATAAAGAACAGAGACTATATTCCTGATGATGCTTCTCTTTCAGTAAGGACCCAAATTGAGCTGCTAGCTCCTGCCAGCTCACATGTTGGCTTCATTCCTAAGATATATCCCATCCACAGGTTATTAAAGATTTGGAAACTAGTGGGAGAAAGGGAAAACTGGAGAATACTGAAATTTTAACTTCTTGAAGACTCTTGACCTCCTACCCTTGATGGGGTATACTCCACTGCAAGAGTACTTTTTCTTTGCCCCTTTTTGCCTCCCCTCACCTTGATGTTTAAAAGTACCAAGTAGTATTACTTTAAGATCACATAAAATTATATCCATGATATATTTGCATTTCTAAATTTACCAGGTGGATCTTAAAAGATCTTAAAGGTAGAGGTAAAAATTAGCATTCCCTCCCATCCCTCTAAGATGTTTTTTCATGGGTTTGAAATCTGTAAAATATAATTTCCTTAGTAAATATTAAAAATGCCTATTCTAAAGGAATGTTATCTTTACTTTCATTTGGCATGATTGCAATAGTAAAATCTGCACCCTGTAATCTAAGTTGAAATTTTTATATTGAGAATCCCCCCATTCCTCATTAACAAATCTAGACCTTATAGGTTAAGACTTCACAGCACTTTGGTGCTTATCTCTTCAGATCTTTTATATTTACCCACATACATTGATATGGTTTGGTTCTGTGTCCCCAGCAAATCTCTTGTTGAATTGTAATTCCCAGTGTCAGAGATGGTGCTGGTGGGAGGTGATTGGATCATGAAGGTGGATCCTTTGTGAGTGGTTTAGCACCATCCCCTTGGTGCTATTCTCATGCTAGTGACTGAGTTCTTGTGAGATCTAGTTGTTTAAAAGTGTGTAGCACAGGTGGCTGGCAAGATGGCTGAATAAGAACCGCTCCACTCTGCAGCTTCTAGAGAGATCAATGCAGAAGGCAGGCGATTTCTGCATTTCCAACTGAGGTACCTGGCTCATCTCATTGGGACTGGTTAGACAGTGGGTGCAGCCCACGGAGGGTGAGCCAAAACAGGGTGGGCTGTCACCTCACCTGGGAAGCACAAGGGGTTGGGGAACTCCCTCCACTAGCCAAGGGAAGCCATGAGGGACCATGCCATGAGGAATGGTGCATTCTGGCCTAGATACTACACTTTTCCTGCAGTCTTCACAACCTGCAGACCAGGAGATTCCCTCAGGTGCCTACACTACCAGGGCCCTGGGTTTCAAGCACAAAACTGGGCAGCTGCTTGGGCAGACACTGAGGTAGCTGCAGGAGTTTTTTTTCATACCCCAGTGGCATCTGGAACACCAGAGACACAGAACCGTTCACTCCCCTGGAAAGGGGGCTGAAGCCAGGGAGCCGAAGCCAGGGAGCCAAGTGGTCTAGCTCAGCGGATCCTACCCCTATGGAGCCCAGGAAGCCAAGATCCACTGGCATGAAATTCTTGCTGCCAGCACAACAGTCTGAAGTTGACCTGGGATGCTCAAGCTTGGTGGGACGAGGGGCATTTGCCATTACTGAGGCTTGAGTAGGCAGTTTTCCCCTCACAGTGTAAACAAAGTCACCGGGAAGTTCAAACTGGGTGGAGCCTACCGCAGCTTGGCAAACCCACTGTAGCCAGACTGCCTCTCTAGATTCCTCCTCTCTGGGTAGGGCATCTCTGAAAGAAAGACTGCAGCCCCAGTCAGGAACTTATAGATAAAACTCCTATCTCCCTGGGACAGAGCACCTGGGGGAAGGGGTGACTGTGGGCACAGCTTCAGCACACTCAAATGTTCCTGCCTGCCGGCTCTGAGGAGGGCAGCGGATCTCCCAGCACAGCACTCAAGCTCTGCTAAGGGACAGACTGCCTCCTCAAGTGGGTCCCTGAACCCCATGCCTCCTGACAGGGAGACACTTCCCAGCAAGGGTTGACAGATACCTCATATAGGAGAGCTCCAGCTGGCATCTGGCAGGTGCACCTCAGGGATGAAGATTCCAGAGGCAGGAATAGGCAGCAATCTTTGCTGTTCTGCAGCCTCCACTGGTGATACCCAGGCAAGTAGGGTCTGGAGTCGATCTTCAGCAAACTCCAGCAGACCTGCAGCAGAGAGGCCTGACTGTTAGAAGGAAAACTAACAAACAGAAAGGAATAGCATCAACATCAACAAAAAGGGATGTCCACAAAAAACCCCATCTGAAGGTCACCAACATCAAAGACCAAAGATAGGTAAATCCACGAAGATGAGGAAAAACCAGTGCAAAAAGGTTGAAAATTCCAAAAACCAGAATGCCTCTTCTCCTCTGAAGGATTACGACTCCTTGCCAGCAAGGGAATAAAACTGGATGGCGAATGAGTTTGACGAATTGACAGAAGTAGGCTTCAGAAGGTGGGTAATAACAAACTTCTCTGAGCTAAAGGAGCATGTTCTAACCCAATGCAAGGAAGCTAAGAGCCTTGAAAAAAGATGAAAGGAATTGCTAACTAGAATAACCAGTTTAGAGCAGAACATAAATGACCTGATGGAGCTGAAAAATACAGTACGAGAACTTCATGAAGCATAGACAAGTATCAATGGCTGAATCGATCAAGTGGAAGAAAGGATATCAGAGATTGAAGATCAACTTAATGAAATTAAACCTGAAGATAAGAGTGGAGAAAAAAGGATGAAAAGGAATGAACAAAGCCTCCAAGAAATATGGGGCTATGTGAAAAGACAAAACCTATGTTTGTTTGGTGTACCTGAAAGTGATGGGGAGAACGGAACCAAGCTGGAAATCATTCTTCAGGATATTATCCAGGAGAACTTCTCCAACCTAGCAAGACAGGATGACATTCAAATTCAGGAAATACAGAGAACACCACAAAGATACTCCTTGAGAAGAGCAACCCCAAGACACATAATTGTCAGATTCACCAAGGTTGAAATGAAGGAAAAAATGTTAAGGGAAGCCAGAGAGAAAGGTCAGGTCACCCACAAAGGGAAGCCCATCAGATTAACAGCAGATCTAATGGCAGAAGCCCTACAAGCCAGGACAGCGTGGGGGCCAAAATTCAATATTCTTAAAAGAGTTTTCAACTCAGAATTTCATATCCAGCCAAAGTAAGCTGCATAAGCAAAGGATAAATAAAATCCTTTACAGACAAGAAAATACTGAGAGATTTTGTCACCACCTAGTCTGCCTTACAAGAGCTCCTGAAGGAAGCACTAAATATGCAAAGGAAAAACCAGTACCAGCACTGCGAAAACATACCAAATTGTAAAGACTATTGACATTATGAAGAAACTGCATTAATTAATGGGCAAAATAACCAGCCAGCATCATAATGACAGGATCAAATTCACACATAACAATATTGACCTTAAATGTAAATGGGCTAAATGCCCCAATTAAAAGATACAGACTGGCAAATTGGATACAGAGTGAAGACCCATTGGTGTGCTGTATTCAGGAGACCCATCTCATGTGCAAAGACACACATAGGCTCAAAATAAAGGGATGGAGGAATATTTACCAAGCAAATGGAAATAAAAAAAAAAGCAGGGGTTGCAATCCTAGTCTCTGATAAAACAGACTTTAAAGCAACAAAGATAAAAAAAAAAAGGGGGCATTACATAATGGTAAAGGGATCAATGCAACAAGAAGAGCTAACTATCCTAAATATACATGCACCAATACAGGAGCACCCAGATTCATAATGCAAGTTCTTCAAAGATCTAGAATCAGAAATGCCATTTGACCCAGCAATCCCATTACTGGGTGTATACCTAAAGGATTATAAATCATTCTACTATGAAGATATATGCGCACACATGATTGTTGCAGCACTATTTACAATAACAAAGACTTGGAACCAACCCAAATGCCCATCAGTGACAGACTGGATAAAAAAAATGTGGCACATATACATCATGGAATACTATGCAGCCATTAAAAAGGATGAGTTCATGTCCTTTGCAGGAACATGGATGAAGCTGGAAACTGTCATTCTCAGCAAACTAACACCAGAACAGAAAACCAAACACCACATGTTCTCATAAGTGGGAGTTGAACAGTGAGAACACATGGGCACAGGGAGGGGAACAGCACACACCAGGGCCAGTGAGGTGTTTGGGGGCTATGAGAGGGATAGCATTAGGAGAAATACCTAATGTAGATGTTGGGTTGATGGGTGCAGCAAACCACCATGGCCTATGTATGCCTATGTAACAAACTTGCATGTTCTGAACATGTATCCTAGAACTTTAATAAAAAAAAAAACTGTGTAGCAAATCCTGCTTTGCCCTCTATTGCTCCTACTCCCACCATGTGATCTATGTATTCCCCCTTTGCTTTCTGCCGTGATTGTAAGTTTCTGGGACCTCCCCAGAAGCTGAGCAGTTGCCTCCATGCTTCCTATATAGCCTGCAGAACCATGAGCCAATTAGGCCTCTTTTCTTTATAAATTACCCAGTCTCTGCTATTTCTTTATAGCAGTTTGAGAATGGACTAATACACATATATTATATGTAAAAACGCATTATTTCTAAAAAGAAACATGGATAATGTTATACGTATTTTTCTACCTCTAGCTTTAAAAAAATTAATACTCATGGATATTCTCCATATCAGAACATATAAATTTCCCTTAGTGTCTTTATTACTTATGTATTGTTCCATAGTAAAGATACACTATCATTTAATTATGCACTTTTTGATAGACATTTAGGTTGTTTACAAGTAACTGCATTTAAAACAAGCATCAGCTACTAAGATGCTAGTCATGGTGTAAATTAAGTCAGCTGGTAAGTGAAATATGAATGTATTTTACATTTCTACTTTTAAAAATTTGCTTAGCTTTTTTGTTTAAAATATTTGTGGCCAGACTCTTTGGCTCACACCTATAAGCACAGCAAAAAGAGGACAAGGTGGGAGGATAGCTTGAGCCAAGGAGTTCAAGTCCAGCCTGGGCAACATAGTGAGACTCTGTTTCTACAAAAAATACACAAATTAGCCAGGTGTGATGGTGTGCATCTGTAGTCCCAGCTACTCAGGAGGCTAAAGTGCTTGAGCCCAGGAGGTTCAGGCTGCTATGAGCTGAGATTGCACCACTGCACCCCAGCCTGGGCAGCAGAGGGAGACTCTGTCTCATTTTTTTTTTTTCTCACATCATTGTGATAGCAAAGATGAGGGGAAAACAATTACTCTTACATCCTGCTAGTAAGAGTGAAAATTAAAACACTTTTGCTAGCACGAAATTTGGCAGTATGTACCAAGAGTTTTAAAATGATTTATTTCCTTTGATCCAGGAATTCCATTTCTAGTGATTTATCCCAAAATAATAAAGTTGTAGAGAAGATTCATGGATATGGATATTTAATATTCTCTCTTATAATAGAAAACATATGGAAATAAATATTGAACAACAGAGATAAATTATGTTACATTTATATGACTGAATTATAGTTTGCAGCCAATAATGCTTTCAAAGATTTAATTGCATGAAAAATGCTTATAGTAAAATAGCAAACAAAAAAGCTGATATGTTATCTCATGAATTTTTTTTTAAGTTGGAAACTATATCATGTTTATTTTTATATAATTTTTCAACCTTCTCTCCCTTCCCCCACTCCTCCCTCTGGTAGTCCCCAGTGTCTATTGTTGCCATCTTTGTCTATGAGTACCCGATATTTAGCTCCCACTTATTAGTGAGAACATACAGTATTTGGTTTTCTTTTTCTTTTTTTTTTTTTTAAACTGTACTTTAAGTTCTAGGGTACATGTGCACAATGTGCAGGTTTGATACATAGGTATACATGGGCCATGATGGTTTGCTGCACCCATCAACTCATCATTTACATTCGGTATTTCTCCTCATGCTACCCCTCCCACAGCCCCCCACCCCGCACCCCCGACAGGCCCTGGTGTGTGATGTTCCCCTCCCTGTGTCCAAGTGTTCTCATTGCTCAGTTCCCACCTATGAGTGAGATGTGGTGTTTGGTTTTCTGTTCTTGTGATAGTTTGCTGAGAATGATGGTTTCCAGCTTCATCCATGTCCCTGCAAAGAACATGAACTCATCATTTTTTATGGCTGCATAGTATTCCATGGTGTGTATGTGCCACATTTTCTTAATCCAGTCTATCATTGATTGACATTTGGGTTGGTTCCAAGTCTTTGCTATTGTGAATAGTGCAGCAATAAACATACATGTGCATATGTCTTTACATAGCATGATTTGTAATTCTTTGGCTATATACTCAGTAATGGGATCACTGGGTCAAATGGTATTTCTAGTTTTAGATCCTTGAATTGCCACACTCTCTGCCACAATGGTTGAACTAATTTACACTCCCAGCAACAGTGTAAAAGTGTTCCTATTTCTCCACATCCTCTCCAGCACCTGTTGTTTCCTGACTTTTTAATGATTGCCATTCTAACTGGTGTGAGATGGTATCTCATTGTGGTTTTGATTTGCATTTCTCTGATGACCAGTGATGACAAGCATTTTTTCATGTGTCTGTTGGCTGCATAGATGTCTTTTTTTGAGAAGTGTCTGTTCATATCCTTTGCCCACTTTTTGATGGGGTTGTTTGTTTTTTTCTTGTAAATTTAAGTTCTTTGTAGAGTCCGGATATTAGGCCTTTGTCAGATGGATAGATTGCAAAAATATTCTCCCATTCTGTAGGTTGCCTGTTCACTCTTAAGGTAGTTTCTTTTCCTGTGCAGAAGCTCTTTAGTTTAATGAGATCCCATTTGTCTATTTTGGCTTTTGTTGCCATTGCTTTTGGTGTTTTAGTCATGCAGTCTTTGCCCATGCCTATGTCCTGAATGGTATTGCCTAGGTTTTCTACTAGGGTTTTTATGGTTTTAGCTCTAACATTTAGGTCAAGATGGTCTTTAATCCGTTTTGAATTAATTTTTGTACAAGGTGTAAGGAAGGGATCCAATTTCAGCTTTCTGCAATATAGCTAGCCAGTTTTCCCAGCACCATTTATTAAATAGGGAATCCTTTCCCCATTGCTTGTTTTTGTCAGGTTTGTCAAAGATCAGATGGTTGTAGATGTGTGGTGTTATTTCTGAGGCCTCTGTTCTGTTCCATTTGTCTATATGTCTGTTTTGGTACCAGTACCATGCTGTTTTGGTTACTGTAGATTTGTAGTATAGTTTGAAGTCAGGAAGGATGATGCCTCCAGCTTTTTTTTTTTTTTTTTGCTTAGGATTGTCTTCACAATGTGGGTTCTTTCTTGGTTCCATATGAACTTTAAGGTAGTTTTTTTTCCAATTCTGTGAAGAAAGTCGTTGGTAGCTTGATGTGGATGACATTGAATCTATAAATTACCTTCAGAAGTATGGCCATCTTCACTATATTGATTCTTCCTATCCATGAACATAGAATGTTCTTCCATTTGTTTGTGTCCTCTTTTATTTCATTGAGCAGTGGTTTGTAGTTCTCCTTGAAGAGGTCCTTCACATCCCTTGTAAGTTGGATTCCTAGGTATTTTATTCTCTTTGTAGCAATTGTGAATGGGAGTTCACTCATGATTTGGCCCTCTGTCTGTTATTGGTGTATAGGAATGCTTGTGATTTTTGCACATTGATTTTGTATCCTGAGACTTTGCTGAAGTTGCTTATCAGCTGATGGAGATTTTGGGCTGAGATGATGGGGTTTTCTAAGTATACAATCATGTCATCTGCCAACAGGGACAACCTGACTTCCTCATTTCCTAACTGAATACCCTTTATTTCTTTCTCTTGCCTGATTGCCCTGGCCAGAACTTCCAACACTATCTTGAATAGGAGTGGTGAGAGAGGGCATCCTTGTGCCCTGGCCAGAATTTCCAACACTATCTTGAATAGGAGTGGTGAGAGAGGGCATCCTTGTCTTGTGCTGGTTTTCAAAGGGAATCCTTCCAGTTTTTGCCCCTTCAGTATGATATTGGCTGTGGGTTTGTCATAAATAGATCTTATTATTTTGGGATACATTCCATTAATACCTAGTTTATTGAGAGTTTTTAGCATGAAGGGCTGTTGAATTTTGTCAAAGGTCTTTTCTGCATCTATTGAGATAATCATGTGGTTTTTGTCATTGGTTCTGTTTATGTGACGGATTACGTTTATTGATTTGCATATGTTGAACCAGCCTTGAATCCCAGGGATGAAGCCAACTTGATTGTGGTGGATAAACTTTTTGATGTGCTGCTGGATTCGGTTTGCCAGTATTTTATTGAGGATTTTTGCATCAATGTTCATCAGGGATATTGGTCTAAAATTCTCATTTTTCATTGTGTCTCTGCCAGGCTTTGGTATCAGGATGATGCTGGCCTCATATAATGAGTTATGGAGGATTCCCTCCTTTTCTATTGATTGGAATAGTTTCAGAAGGAATGGTACCAGCTCCTCTTTGTACCTCTGGTAGAATTCGGCTCTGAATCCATCTGGTCCTGGACTTATTTTGGTTTGTAGGCTATTAATTATTGCCTCAATTTCAGAACCTGCTATTGGTCTATTCAGAGATTCATCTTCTTCCTGATTTAGTCTTGGGAGGATGTACGTGTACAGGAATTTATCCATTTCTTCCAGGTTTTCTAGTTTATTTGTGTAGAGGTGTTTGTAGTATTCTCTGATGGTAATTTGTATTTCTGTGGGATTGGTGGTGATATCCCCTTTATCATTTTTTATTGCATCTATTTGATTCTTCTCTTTTCTTTATTAGCCTTGTTAGCAGTCTATCAATTTTGTTGATCTTTTCGAAAAACCAGCTCCTGGATTCATTGATTTTTTGAAGGGTTTTTTTTGTGTCTCTATCTCCTTCAGTTCTGCTCTGATCTTAGTTATTTCTTGCCTTCTGCTCTGCTAGCTTTTAAATTTGTTTGCTCTTGCTTCTCTAGTTTTTTTTAATTGTGATGTTAGGTTGACAATTTTAGATCTTTCCTGCTTTCTCTTGTGGGCAATTAATGCTGTAAATTTCTCTCTACACACTGCCTTAAATGTGTCCCAGAGATTTTGGTACATTGTGTCTTTGTTCTCATTGGTTTCAAAGAACATCTTTATTTCTGTCTTCATTTTGTTATGTACCCAGTAGTCATTCAGGAGCAGGTTGTTCAGGTTCCCTGTAGTTGTGCAGTTTTGAGTGAGTTTCTTAATCCTGAGTTGTAATTTGATTGCACTGTGGTCTGAGAGACAGTTTGTTGTGATTTCTGTTCTTTTACATTTGCTGAGGAGTGCTCTACTTCCAATTATGTGGTCAATTTTGGAATAAGTGTGATGTGGTGCTGAGAAGAACGTATATTCTGTTGTTTTGGGGTCGAGAGTTCTGTAGATGTCTATTAGGTCTGCTTGGTGCAGAGCTGAGTTCAATTCCTGGATATCCTTGTTAACCTTCTGTCGCGTTTATCTGTCTAATATTGAGAGTGGGGTGTTATAATCTCCCATTATTATTGTGTGGGAGTCTTAGTCTCTTTGTAGGTCTCTAAGGACTTGCTTTATGAATCTGGGTGCTCCTGTATTGGGTGCATATATATTTAGGATAGTTAGCTCTTCTTGTTGAATTGATCCCTTTACCATTATGTAATGACCTTCTTTGTCTCTTTTGATCTTCATTGGTTTAAAGTCTGTTTTATAAGAGACTAGAATTGCAACCCCTGCTTTTTTTTCCTTTCCATTTTTTTGGTAGATCTTCCTCCATTCCTTTATTTTGAGCCTATGTGTGTCTTTGCATGTGAAATATGTCTCCTGAATACAGCACACTGATGGGTCTTGACTCCTTATCCCATTTGCCAGTGTGTGTGTTTTAATTGGGGGCATTTAGCCCATTTACATTTAAAGTTAATATTGTTTTGTGTGAATTTGATCCTGTCATTATGATGTTAGCTGGTTATTTTGCCCATTAATTAATGCAGTTTTTTCATAGCATCAATGGTCTTTACAATTTGGCATGTTTTTGCAGTGGCTGGTAGCAGTTGTTCCTTTCCATATTCAGTGCTTCCTTCAGGATCTCTTGTAAGGCAGGCCTTGTGGTGACAAAATCTTTCAGCATTTGTCTGTAAAGGATTTTATTTCTCCTTCACTTATGAAGCTTAGTTTGGCTGGATATGAAATTCTGGATTCTGGCTTGTAGGATTTCTGCTGAAAGATCTGCTGTTAGTCAGACGGGCTTCCTTTTGTGGGTAACCCAACCTTTGTCTATGGCTGCCCTTAAAATTTTTTCCTTCATTTCAACCTTGTTGAAACTGACAATTATATGTCTTGGGGTTGCTCTTCTCGAAGACTATCTTTGTGGTGTTCTCTGTATTTCCTGAATTTGAATGTTGGCCTGCCTTGCTAGGTTGGGGAAGTTCTCCTGGATAATATTCTCAAGAGTGTTTTCCAACTTGGCTCCATTCTCCCCCTCACTTTCACGTATGCCAATCAAATGTAGATTTGGTCTTTTCACATAGTCCCATATTTCTTGGAGGCTTTGTTCATTTCTTTTTACTCTTTTTTTCTCTAACCTTGTCTTCTTGCTTTATTTCATTAATTTGATCTTCAATCACTGATACCCTTTCTTCCACTTGATCGAATTGGCTATTGAAGCTTATGCATGCATCACAAAGTTCTCATGCCATGGTTTTCAGCTCCATCAGGTCATTTAAGGTCTTCTCTACACTGTTTATTCTAGTTAACCATTAGTCTAACCGTTTTTCAAGGTTTTTAGCTTCCTTGCAGTAGGTTTGAATGTGCTCTTTTAGCTCGGAGAGTTTGTTATTACCGACCTTCTGAAACCCACTTCTGTCAACTCATCAAAGTCATTCTCCAGCCAGCTTTGTTCTGTTGTGTGCGAGAAGCTGCGATCCTTTGGAGGAGAACAGGTGCTCTGGTTTTTAGAATTTTCAGCTTTTCTCCTCTGGTTTCTCCCCATCTTTGTGATTTTTCTACCTTGGGTCTTTGATGTTCGTGACCTACAGGTGGGGTTTGGTGTAGATGTCCTTTTTTTTGATGTCTGTGCTATTCCTTTCTCTTTGTTAGTTTGCCTTCTAACAGTCAGGTACCTCAGCTGCAGGTCTGTTGGAGTTTGCTGGAGACCCTGTTTGCCTGGGTATCACAGTGGAGGCTGCAGTAGAGCAAATATTGCAGAACAGCAAGTATTGCTGCCTGATCCTTCCTCTGGAAGCTTCATCCCAGAGGGGCACCCACCTATATGAGGTGTCTGTTGGCCCCTACTGGGAGGTGTCTCTCAGGCTACACGGGGGTCAGGGACCCACTTGAGGAGGCAGTCTGTCTGTTCTCAGAGCTCAAATGCTGTGCTGGGAGAACCACTGCTCTCTTCAGAGCTGTCAGACAGGGACATTTAAGTCTGCAGAAGTTGTCTGCTGCCTTTTGTTCAGCTATGCCCTGCCCACAGATGTGGAGGCT
Organism: Homo sapiens; assembly: GCF_000001405.40. Lineage (NCBI taxonomy): Eukaryota > Metazoa > Chordata > Mammalia > Primates > Hominidae > Homo > Homo sapiens. The sequence goes on from NC_000011.10 coordinate 87,507,864, forward strand.
ATAGAAACAGTAGGCCTTGCTGAGCTGCAGGGGGGTCCACCCACTTCGAGCTTTGCAGCCTCTTTGTTTACCTACTCAAGCCTCAGCAATGGCAGATGCCCCTCCCCCAGTCAGGCTGCCACCTCGCAGTTGTATCTCAGACTGCTGCACTAGCAGTGAGCAAGGCTCAGTGGGCATGGGACCCACTGAGCCAGGCACAGGAGAGAATCCCCTTGTCTGCCAATTGGTAAGACCTTGGAAAAAGTGCTGTATTTGGGCAGGAATGTCCTGTTTTTCCAGTTACAGTCTGTCATGGCTTCCCTTGGCTAGGAAAGGGAAATCCCCACACCCCTTGTGCTTCCTGGGTGAGGTGATGCCCCACCCTGCTTCAACTCACCCTCCATGGGTGGCACCCACTGTCCAACCAGTCCCAATGAGATGAACCAGGTACCTCATTTGGAAATGCAGAAATCACCTGTCTTCTGCATCGATCACACTGGGAGCTGCAGACTGGAGATGTTCCTATTCAGCCACCTTGGAACCAAGTCTTCTATCTCATGAATTTTAATATTTTCTGTGTTTTTCAGTTTTCCTTAAGAAACATACATTTTTAATATAAAGATAAGTATTATAATGATAATTTATGCTAGAAGGGAGAACAGACAGGAATGTCTTTAGCTCCTTCCTGCTGACATAGAAGTTAATAAGATGTCTAGTGGTGTCTTCAAACAGGGGTAGGATCATTTTGTTTCAGTTTCTGTGGTGAACTGGGATAGCATACACTGTATATGCCCCCTGGGGAAGGGAGATTTCACTCTAGATAGGAAGGTGAATGACCCATTAGATGACTGTACTGCATAAGGTGATGGTCAGTGAATTGGGGTTTCTTTTCTTTTCCTTTCTTCTTTCTTTCTTTCTCTCTTTTCTCTTTCTTTTTCTCTTTCTTTCTCTCTTTTTCTCTTTCTCTTTCTTTTCTTTTCTTTTCTCAGTCTCTGTTGCCAAGGCAGGAGTGTAGTGGCACGATCTCTGCTCACTGCAAACTCTGCCTACTAGGCTCAAGCATTCCTCCCACCTCAGTCTCCTGAGTAGCTGGGATTATAGGCATGCACCACCATGGCCAGCTAATTTTTGTGTTTTTAGTAGAGATGAAGTTTCACCATGTTGGCCAGGCTGGTCTTGAACTCCTGGCCTCAAGTGATCCACCTGCCTCGGCCTCCAAAAGTGCTAGGATTACAGGTGTGACCTACCATGCCCAGCCTCTTTTGCATTTTTCAAATGCAAAGGACATCCTTCTCCAATCTCCTGACAGCATTCTCAAACAACTGGGACAGACAGAAGAGAAAGCCCCGTCCACCACTTTGAAGATGGTTTTATACATTTGTACTCTAAGTGCAAGCACATTTGAGAAAATTGCTGTTCAAACTCCAAAGTTTTGAGACTTAATAAATATGAGAGAAGCTGTTTTACTCTTTAAAATTAAAAATTCAAGGAAAGCAGAAGTCTCATAGTTGTAGCAGCTAAGAAGTAGTGAGGGGGCATAAAAGTTTACATGGGGGTTATTTTATTTGAAACATAAATTCTATATGTTATCTATATCATATTATTATTTTTTAAAGATAAGAAAATTTTGATCTGTAGTTCAAATAAAGTTGTCAATAGTTTATGTTTTTGGGCTATGCAATAAAGACACCTACCATTACTGATGGCAGCATGCTCACATATCAGTGTTAACTTTTTGTGGTGGTCAAAAAGGTCTGCAAGTTGAGTAAGCAAATCTAAACATATAAATAATGCTAGTGAATTCTGATGTTAGTTATCAATAAAGTGTAAGACTGATGAATATAGTATATGTTTTTCCAGTTTCCAACTCTTCATCTAGTGGTGCTATGTGTCCTAACCTCCTTCCCCCTCCCTTCTTCCTTTTCTTTTTTATTTCTCCTCCTCCTTTTCCTCCCCTCTTTCTTCACCCAAACTGTGATTTGCATGGAAAGTGAAAATCATAACACCTCAGTCTTGGGGCAGAGGAATGAGAATCCTTTCCTGGCATCTTTTGAGTAGAAGTTTGTCGGAAAGCTTTCTTGCTTTTCTGGTCGTTAGCTGAGGGATATAAGCCTAGAATTGCTTATGGCTGTATTCACAGGATTATAGAAAAAGCATCATATATTATAGGGAAGAACAGCCCTCCCAAAGTGCTGGGATTACAGGTGCGAGCCACCATAACACAGAGGAAAGCATAGATGACAGATGACACTCTCTCTCTCTCAATCTCTCTCTCTCAATCTCTCTCTCTCTCACATACACACACAAACACACACACACACACACACACACACACACACACACACTAGGGTAAGGGGTGGGGGCTGAATTCAATTAAACCATTCCTGAGACCTCCCCTGCCACCCTTTTTCTTTCTGTAGTTTTAGTGGATTTCTATCACTTGCAGTCAGAGTTCCATTTTGATGAACATGTTAGGTTAGCAATCAGAATCAGATACAGTGGTAAGTATATGGAGTTATCCTGAATTACATTTCATTGATTTCCAAAGTAAACATGAGTATGTAAGGAGTGAAGCAGTAGGCACTCTGCAAACAAAATGCCAAACTTCAGTTTCTTTGAAATCATTTAGCTTTGGGGAAGAGCTGGAGATGATTAGGACAGGGAGTTTGACTTATAAATAAGAAATGAGAAGGGAGTAGTGGTACCCTTTTACAGCACAGAAGCTATGTCTTGAAAAGGAATAAAAAGAATTAATTTAGAATCCTAGGCATCCCACTTTTCATCTGCTGTCAGAAACGGAAATGTGATTGAATACATTATAAAGTGATAATACAGAATTTGCCCTTTTCATATTGTAAGCAAGATGAGTTTATGGAAGGATTTCTTGTCTATCACTTTAGGTAAAGAAAAACATCTTTTTTCTGTATCTCATATCAGGAGAGTCCGTCGACACTGTGGGATACCACTCTCCTTTGCTCCACAAACATCAGTTGATTTTTTTCATCTTTCTTAACAGTGTAAGAATTTTACTATACAAATAAACTCTCATATCTTGGCATCACTTAGGTAGACTTCTATATTTTAAAACTACATTGAATGTATTGGAGATTAATATGTCTCATTTCAAAATCTAAGTGCCATCGTATTTTTGCTTTTATTATTAAGTGACACATGGGAATTATCCACATTTATTGGGTACATTGTGATATTTCAATACATGTGAGTGCTGTCAGTTTGAAAGGTCAGTAATTTGCGAGCAATCAAGACAAGTGATGGTCCTGTGTGTACTCAGTGGAATTCTGAATTTTTGGAATGATCAACATCTCAGTTTCTAGTTTGAGAGCTTGGTCTAATTTTCCCCTGACTAATGTACAAGTGGTATTTTAACCATTAACTCATCTCCTGGAGGTGTATCAGCTATACCTCCTATGCGTAACTGGTATAGAATGTGGCAGCAATATTTATTACCTAATGAGTTTTCCAGATTTTACATAGAAGGAAGCAGAGATAAGGTATTTATTTTAGAGCAAAGACACCTATAATCTTACTCTAATTCCTTAATTTGTACACTGCCCCTCTTTTTGTTGGAAAGTAGATCGATAAAAATTTTAAATAATTTTGGGTCATAATGTTGGCATATATATTTTAAAGTCCCCCTCCCCACCCCCATATGGGTATGACCTAAATGACTGCATGGAGAAAAAGCCTTTGCATAATCTGTGTCGATCAGAGGTTGGCACATTTTCAAAGCTGTGGATACCTCTTCTTCCACCAGTGTCTGTTAATACCTGCTGTTGGCAGAGAGAGTTGCCCTAAAAATGATGGTAGTGGGTGAGGAGTACTTTCTCCTACTGCACTCCTGAGATGAAGAGAAGAGCAGTTGAGTATGACCTCGAATAAAGCAAAATTGCGTTTAGAATGAATACTCACTCGCTCCTCCTGGGAGCGGACAGTGAGAGGCACCAGGAGCCGTACAGAGTGATTGCACCTGTGCTTCTCTTCAGACAAAGCAGTTGTGCATTGTGGGCTCTCTCATGTCACCTTTGGCTGACCTTGGCAGAGACTAGTGATTTCCTCCTGTATTTTTAAACAGTTTTATTAAGATGTATTTGATGTATGACAAACTATGTGTAAAGTGTAAAATTTGGTAAATTTTGATATAAGCACCTACCCTTGAAATTATCACCACAATCAGGATAATGAGCAAAAGTATAAGCCCTAGAAATGTTCTCACACAGCCCTCTCATTAGCTGTTCCCTGTTTCCCCTATCTCCATCCCTAAGCAACCACTGATCTACTTCCTGTTCTTATAAGATTAATTTTCATTTAATAGAATTTTATACAAATAGAATCATCCAGTATGTAGTCTGTTTTTGTCTGTCTTCTTTTACTTAAGGATGATTATGTTGACATCTATCCATATGTCAGCATGTATCCATAGTTCAGTCTTTTTCATTACTGATTAGTATTCCATTGTATGTATATGCCATAGTTTGTGTATCCATTCACCTATTGATGGATATTTAGGTTGTTTCCAGTTTTTGTTTATTACAGATAAAGCTGCTGTGAATAGTTGTGTACCAGCCTTTGTATGGACGTACATTTTCATTTCTCTTGAATAAATACATAGGAGTGAAGTGTTGGGTCATATGGTAGGTGCATGTCTAACTTTTTCAGAGGCTGCCAACATATTTTCCACAATTGTTGTACCATTTTACATTCTCACCAATAGCATATGAGGGTTCCAGTTCCTGCACCTCTTGCCAGCTCTTAAAATGATCAATTTTATAATTTAAGCTTTCTAATAGGTGTTTAGTGGTATCTCATTGTAGTTTTAATTTGCATTTCCCAAACGCTCCGATTAAATAACTCTTTCACACTGCATTCAAGCTGAAGGTAGCCTTTGAAAGAGGCATTAAATGCCACTCTAGGGAAGGTTCCTACCTGTGGAAACTAGAGGGGTAGAGAAAAATGGTCACAGAAAGAAAGTAGGTTAAGTAGCAGATGGCCCTTGGTTATCCTAAGTGACCCTGCGCAAGTTAATTCCTAGCTTATTTCTTCTTCGTGTAAGCTGTGCTACAACCTTCAATGGATTTATGTAGTGCTTTCTGTCTCTCTCCTTGTGCCTATCTCTCTCTCTCTCCCTCTCTTTCTTTCTCTCTTTTTGTTATAATACCAGCTTATAAAGCATATGCAATTGTGGTAGCCTCATTACTTCCCACTTCACAGAATCACAACCAGCTGATAGCTGCATGAATGAGAATTAGAATGCTAATAAAGTTGCCATTGACTCCTCTCTGGAGAAGCAATCCTCTCCTACCCTAACACTGAGGTTCTCAAAGCTGAATTCAGAGATACATAAAGGGATGTCACTAATATGAAGTTTGGGTTCAGACTCTGCTCCAATAATGCCATTTTCTGGAATATTCTCCCTGTATCAGTGCAGTATTTAGTAAGGTATTTGGGAAACACCCTGCCAGGCTGGGGTGCTGCAGCCCAGTGATGAATCCCTTGCTGTTTGTCATCTGCCCATTGTCAATTCCACATCCTAGGAAGATGAAACACATATTCTTTTTGCCAGGTTCTTGGTAATCTAGTCTAAGCAGAAGACTTTGAAAAGCTCAATAACAGTAAACCCTTATTCATGTCATCTCAGTTAATTAGGAATCAGCCATCAGGCTGACAAAGACCTAGGCTGAAATTTACTTCTGCTTTAAAAAGGCTTTCTTCATACACAGTGAAAATTAATTGGGTAAACAGAATGTCAGGTGAATGAAGGGGGGAAAAAAGCTGAAAAAAAAAGGCATTTAATTACTCTCATGATAAAAGCAGCCTTTTACAAACAAATAAGAGCAATCTCAGAGCGTTGGAGAGTGGTAAGGACTGCCTGTTTAGAGCCCTGAGTGCCCGCTTTGGCTTTTTTCTGACAAATGTGTCGTTGAAGCACACCGATTTTCCTTCCTGGGCCTCAGTTGATTCTTCCGTAAAAGCAGAAGTTGTTCTCCATAGGCTTTTATAACTTAATACAATGATAGCAATTGATGTGTTTAATTGAAATAAACCCTGGGCCTTCATTGTCAGGTAACTCATCCAAATATTGTAGTAGAAAGCCCTGTTCCCTTCTAGGATATCTCGATATAATCATTGCAACCTCAGAATGTCAGTCTGTTGGTCTCTCCCAGTTCCAGTCTGCTCTACTCACTTTGCCAGTGGTCTTTCCAAAAGTCCATTCTAACCCTGTCTCTTCCTCTTGGTAGCCCTCAGCCCGTAGGATGAAGTTCAAACATTTTAGCAAAACAAATAAGAGCTTTCACAGTATCTCCCTACTTGGCCTTGCTCATCCTCCACATAGACTGTGGGTGCCAGCCATGATGGGATATGCGGTTCCCAGGATGATTACTGCCCCATCAGACTCAGTGTGTTTGCATATGCTGTGCCTGTTTACTTGGGAACAGCTACCAATCCTGTAAATCTGAGCTCAAGACACTGATCTTCTGTAAAGCCTCCCTTGAACTCCTGAGAATTGCTGATTCCCTCATCAGTGCTTCTGCCCATTGCAGTCACGAGGTGGCATGTTTGCCTCCTCCAATAGATTGTGGATTCCCTAAGCACAGGGATTTTTGTCATGTTCATCTTTGTATTTTTGAAATCTGGTATGGGGATACAAAAGTGTTTATTGCATGGGTGAACGAAAACAGCATTTGAAAGTAACACAAAGGCAATTCTACAACTATTTCAAAATTGTGAAATTTCCTCATTTGAGATTGGCTTTCCACTGATAATTTGAATTACTGAAGGGTACAGACATTTTAGACTTTCTAAGAACTATTTTTTTTTGAATTTGCAAAATCTGGTTTAATTAAGATCTGTGAAGGAGAGCACATTGTGAAAATACATATGCACAGGAACCGAATCAATGCTAGACAAACAATGTATTAGTTTACAGTATAATAGGATAACTACAAGTTCGAAGGCTCAAATTGAGTCCATCAGCTCTAAATACAATTTTATATTTGGCTCAAGTGGCTGTTGAATATCAAGTGGTGCTGAGTTCCTCCAAAGCACCTAATGACCCCCAAGCCTTGGAAGGAGTTTCACCACAGTCTCGGAAAAAGTCCCAGTCATGCCTTTAACTCTTTTGGCCCTTGGGAGTCATTGCAATCCCAATACAAACGCCAACCAGGGATTTCCAGTGGCCACAAATTATTGCAGAGAGATGTCTGTTCTAAGCCAGACTCTTACAGCTATGGAGGTGTGAGATTAGCCCTTAAAGAGTGGTGTGGCATTAGCATGGTCTATAAAAGCATGTTAAGAAATAGCTCCTCAGTGATCATGTACCAGCTACTAGTTACTATTAATCAGGAAGAATCTGCCTTGAAAATTGCATTTAGGATAAAGAGTTTAGTTAGTGAACCTCTGAGACTGGATGTAAAGAAAAATCCTTTAGAAAATGCCATCGGCAATTTTTAAAAATTTTGTTTTTGTTGGACCATGGTAATAGAGGCTGGTTTGTTTCATGTTTTATTAAGCAGAACTACAGCCATGTTCATGTGTCCTCGTTATGAATTATAATTGAGGCTTCTAGAAGTGTATGGGCTTCTTCAGAGTCTATAAGTTTTTGGCCTCTGATGATGTTTAGGTAGAGGCTAGAGGCCATCTGATACCATGGCTGAAAAGGGAATTTATGCATTGGGTGGGGGGTCCTTTCAAGTTAAAGATGTATTTTGATCAGATGAACTTCCAGATTTATAGATGAGAAGAGTGAGGCTAAGAAGGGTACTTCATATTTATTGAATGAATTCAGGATTTCTCAGTCTAGGCACTACTGATGTTTTGGACTGGGTAATCTTTTGTTGTCACGAGTCAGCCTGTGTATTGTAGGATGGTTAGCATGATCCCTGGCCTCTACCTAGTAGATGCCAGTAGCACCCCCATCTTCCGTTGTGACAAAGGTCTCCAGATATCAACAAATATCCCCTGGGAGGCAAAATTGCCCTAGTGAGAACTACTGAATTAAATGAAAGAATTAATAAACATGTAAGGAAAGCTGAAAGACTTGATTAATTCCATGCTTGAGTTTTTATTTTTGATTTTTGGTGTTAAAATTAATTAGATTGAATAAACATACATTGCACATCTGCCTACGAAGCAACAAATGAAACAGTGTGCTACATACTGTGGAATTATGAAAACTTGAGAAGAAATCCACTGTCTCTTTAAAACTCACACAGACATCTTGGGAGAGAAAAGCAGTGTGGATAAAGTTGATGTCGCAGAGTGGTAAAGAGTATAACACTAAGGAATGGAATGTAGTTAAGATCACAGAGTCTGGAACCAGAATGCCTGGGTTTCAAATACAATCCTCCATACACTCTAGTTGTTTAACAGGGGGCTAAGTTACTTAATAGCCCCATGCCTAAGTCTTCTTATCTGTAGGATGGAAATGATAATCATGACCACATCACTGTTGTAGTGAGGATTACATGAGTTAATAGGTGGAACGTGTTTGGGAATGATGCCTGCCACATAAGATGTGCTATTATTAATAAATTTTTTGGTGAGTTAAAGATGCTGTTCAGTGAGAAATGTACCATTTTTTGTAACCCAGTAAGAAAAAATATTAACAATTGCAATTAAAAAAGACATCAATTATGACTCATCTTGATTTCAGAGATGTAAAAATATGAACAAAGTGCATCTTAGATTTGATGTAATGCAAGTGTTTAGTAGTATCATGGCTTTGTATTAAAACACTGTATTTGAATTCTTTTGGTGCCACTTTCTGAGTCACTTTGAATAAATTCTTGAACTTATTTGAGCTTGTTTTCTTATCTGTAAAATGGAAATAATAATAGCGATCTCATAGGGTTGTAGCAGATATGCAAGGAGATCATATGTATAAACTGTCTTAGCAAAAACTAAGTACTCAATCCTTGGTAGCTATCACTATGGATGTGGAGGTGTGGGAAACTGGAAACCTAGTGCTTGGCATGTGAAGTGTTTAATAGGAGGTGCTCGTAGATAAGAGAATGGTGTCTTCAAGAAAAGCGTGAGTGTCCTCTGTCAGTTCTAGACAATAGGAAAGACTTCTCTTCCTTCACCCCATTATTTGGTGAGTTCTTACTTAATTTATGTGTTACTCTCAGTACATGGTGGTGTAGCTATAAGACATGTGTCAACCAGGGTTGGCCAAGCTGAAGACTTACCTGTTACATGGGAGAAAGACATATGTGATGGCAGAGAAAGTGAGGAAAACCAACATTTATTCAGTGCCTTGACATGTCAGAAATGATACTATGTGCATTGTTTGTTCCTCACAATAATGCTGTGAGGTGAGTCTTATTTTTGCCATTGGCAGATGAGGTAACTGAGTTTCATAGAGGTCACACATGTAGCAAGAGGCAGCGCTGGATTTTCTATTCAAGTTTTTCTGACTTTTAATGCCCAAATCGTTCCATAGTGTGAGTAAAATATTTCCATAAGAATATAAGAGAGTAGCTAATTAAATGCTATGACATAACATAGGATGTGAGAAGAGAGAGAGAGAGTACTTTGAGTTGAACTGTCAGAGGATGCTACAATGAAAAGGGCACTTTGAAGAAAATATATGATTTAATTAGGCAGAAGAGAGAATCCTAACTTGTTCCCAAGCATTCCAAGTAGAGGGTGTTTTGAACAAAGGTCAAGATAAGCATGACATATTAAGTGGTAGCAAGGAGGCTAAGCTGGCTGGACCAGAGAAACTGTTAGCTTAGGGAGTCCAAGGAGCATGTATCTTATGTTCTCTGTACCTCCAGCACCTAATACAATGATTAGCACATAGTAAGAGCTCCATAGTGATTGGTTAGGAAATACTGTTAAATTAATAGTGGAAAATAAAGCTGAAGATATGATTTAGGAACTCAGAATGTCAAGCTGACAATTTTGGACCTAGCCTATTTGTACTGATAAGTCATTGCATGTTTTTGCATAAGGGAGTGGTAATAATATTTGTACTTACACAGTGCTAACTATTTATCAGGTGCTCTTCCAAGTTCCTTAACCATAGTACTTTATTTACTCTTCATAGCAAGCCTATGAGCTAGATACTGTTATATTCCACACCATTTTTCAGATGGGAAACTGAGGTATAGGGAAGTTAGAAAACTTGTCGAAGGTCGGGCCGGGTGTGGTGGTTCATGCCTGTAATCCCAGCGCTTTGGGAGGCCGAGGCGGGCGGATCACCTGAGGTCGGGAGTTTGAGACCAGCCTGACCAACATGGAGAAACCCCATCTCTACTAAAAATACAAAAAAAATTAGCCGGGCATGGTGGCGCATGCCTGTAATTTCAGCTACCTGGGAGGCTGAGCAGAAGAATTGCTTGAACCCAGGAGGCAGAGGTTGCGGTGAGCCAAGATCACACCACTGCACTCCAGCCTGCGCAACAAGAGTGAAACTCGGTCTCAAAAAAAAAAAAAAGAAAACTTGTCCAAGGTCATACAGCTAGTAGGTGACAGAGCTGGGTTTTGATAAGTGGTCTGGTTTCTGTGTTCATACTCTTAACAACACACTATACATCCTTTTAGTAAAAATGGTTTCCTTAAGCTGTCTTTCTCCAGGGTCTATTTTCCAGGTTTCCTTAGCAACCTATCAATTTAGGAGTCAGTGGCATGAGTGAGCACTTATGTAAAGACCTGTGGCTTAAAGTTAAAAAGTTCCTGTCTTCAATGTGTTTTTCCAACTCCCTATCTCTGTCATGAATTTTCCTTTTGCCTGACAAAAACAGGAAGAACACAGTAGTAATTACCATTTTCTTAAGCATGTTAGCACTTTGTTTGTTTGGTTTTATTTATTTATTTTTTGTTTTTTGTTTTTTTTTCTGTTTTTTGAAGGGAGGAAGTCTTGCTCTGTCATTCAGGCTGGAGTGCGGTGGTGCAATCTCGGCGCGCTGCAATCTCTGCCTCCCGGGTTCAAGCAATTCTCCTGCCTCAGCCTCCTGAGTCACTGGGATTAGGCACACACTACCATAGGCACACGCTACCATGCCCAGCTAATTTCTTTTTTTGTATTTTAGTAGAGATGGGGTTTCACCATGTTGCCCAGGCTGGTCTCGAACTGCAGTCTGCCCGCCTCAGCCTCCCAAAGTGCTAGGATTATAGGCGTGAGCCACTGCGCCTGGCCATGTTAGCACTTTTATTAGATAATTAGTGATCACAGATATTATCTAAAATCAGAGAAGCTTCCACCACAAATGCCAAATTATCATTTCTTATGCTGGTATTTAGATTATGCTAAATTTCTGAGTCCAAATGGAAACTCATTTCTGAAGTCACATGTCATCTTGAAGGTGTGGGAACAAGGCATTGAGGCTTTATCTGAATAAAATGATATCTTAGAAAACCCAGAGCTTCCAGAAGGTATACGATGAGCAGAGCTGTGGCTGGCACGTAGCAGGGGCTTCATCATACTCATGTGTTAGATGAATGAGTACTACCATAGTATAAAAGGAGCAGGAATTTAGACCTGGCTGTGGATTTCAAAACTGTCCCCTGAATCTATAGGCTGTGTGACCTTGGGCAAGTTATGTCATCTTTCTGAGTCTTGGTTTTCTCACTTGGTCAATGGACAGAACAATAACTACCTTACAGAGCAGTGGGGGAGGATTTAATGAATCAAAATCAGATCATTGTATACGAGTCACCCAATAAACTGGTATGGAAACATTAGAATTAATTTTTTTTTAGTTCTCTGTTAGAGCGAACCTCAGTACCTCTCTTTTTTGCTATGTAGCCAGTGCCAAAACAGTAGTTGCCACTCTGTTATTGCACCTTAGTAATCTAACATATAATATTCTACATGCCATGATAAACTGACTAGGTATGTAAGGGGTCTACACCTAATTGTTACTGCTACTGTTAGTTATTCTTTGGGAAAACATTTTATTATATCAACATATGACAGAAGTTGATGACAGAAGTTTTGTTTTTATTGGTGCATGATGAAAACAGATTCCATTTCTAATCTTTGGAAATTTTGACACATCCTGTGCTTAAACCAAAGGGAAGAGGCAGTGTGCAAAAATGGGGAATGAACAGTATTAGGAAGCAGATTCAGTCATTTCATCTATAGCTGGTAGAACCAAGACAATGGAAGAGACTGTCAAATGTAACATGGTTCAGGTGTTCAAATCCCAGCTCTGCTGTTTATTAGCCATGAAGCCCAAACTCAACCTTTTACAGAATGGATGTAAAAATTAAGCAACTAATGTAATGTTTGGCACATGGTGGGAAATTCTGAATGGCGGTTCCAGTTTTCATTTAAATCAGAACACATTTATTATTTTAATCATTTACTCAACATGGAGACTCCACAGACACCTGTTAATAAAGAGGCCAACATGTTGTATGAAAGGGGCTAGAAATATAGGCAGAGGCCAGATCATGATGACCCCTGAAAAGCATGATTTCTGGGGGTAATGGGGGTAATTGAAGGATTTTAAGGGAGAAAACGATATAAATCTATTAATTTTTCAACTTATTTTCACAATAATTACCTCTATTCCTCTCTCTCCCCTCCTGTCTTAGACTTTCTCTCTTCTCACATTTTTATAATATTCTATAAGTTTGTTAAACTTTAATTCTCATTAATTTGATCCCCAAAGCAACATAATGGTATATGTATTATTATTACCCTAATTTTACCAATTTAAAAATAAAGTCTTGTAGTTTGCCAAGACAACAGATAGGACAAACTGTGCAAGCCTATGGTTTTTGTTTTTGAAGCATGTTCTCACTCTGTTGCCCAGGCTGAAGTGCAGTGGTGCAATCTCAGTTCACTGCAACCTCTGCCTTCAAGGTTCAAGTGATTCTCCTGCCTCAGTCTCCCAAGTAGCTGGGATTACAGGCATGTGCACCACACCCGGCTAATTTTTGTGTTTTTAGTAGAGACAAGGTTTCACCATGTTGGCCAGGCTGGTCTCAAACTCCTGACATCGGGTAATACGCCTGCCTCGGCCTCCCAAAGTGCCTGCGATTATGGGCATGAGCCACAGCACCCGGCCTAGCCTATGGTTTTTAATTGGTAAAATGAGGGCAACACAGCCAGACCCTGTCTCAAAACCACCACCACCACCACCACTACCACCACCACCACCAACAAAACCCTCACAAAAAAACCGAAGATGACATAGCTAGTAAGAGGCAGAATATAGACTTGAACAAAAATCATAGTATTCCAAGTTCTGTTTTTTCTGTACTCCATCACCATGATAGGAAAATAAAAACCAATATGGAAACTGTGTCATCTACTCACCAGGGAAAAATATAGAATAGCTCTAAATGCCTTGCTTCCAGGACATAAAAAAATAACCGTTAGACTTGGAATAACCTTATTTTTGAGTTTCGTTTCACTACTATTTATTCAGTGATTATTCTCTGTCTTCCTGATGGCTATCATTTGATTTATAGACCCACTGAGAAAAGTCATTTCAAAATGTTATTATTTTGGAAAATATCACTGTGTTTTAACCTTGCCAATTTTGCCCCCAGCCCAATGCCTTTAAGAATGTGTATGTTCTAGAACTGTGTCTTTTGTAGACTGTTTCTGCTCAGGTTAGCATCACTACTAAATCCTGGTTAGTTTTTCATAGGGTTTATTGTACAGAAGTGACTTATATCTTGGTAGCTATAGTTCAGTTTCAACTCTCCATCTATGTTATTAGAACTGGATAAAAACCTCTGGAATTGTTGAGTCCATTCGCCTCATTTTACAGTTGGAGAGACTGAAGCTTAAACAGGGGAGTAGAATAACTCGGCGTGTGAGAAGAGGTTGTGGTAGAATTGAGAATCGAATGCAGATGACTTGGTCTCTGGTTGCCCTTGTTACCCTAAGTTTGGGCTCGGAGGCAGCAGCATCAGTAAAACCTGGGAGTTGTTAGAAATGCAGAATTTGAGGTCCCACTCCAGACTTCTGAATCATAATCTGAATTGTAGAACTGTAGCAAGATACCTGTTTGCACATTGAAGTTTAATAAGCACTGTTTTAAATTACATTGGGTTTTTGTTTGTGTAGGTGTTTGCAGGTGTGTGTGTGTTCCAGGCGAGGGCAAAGGACATTCAGGGAGGCAGAAGAGGAAGACAGAAGAAGGGAAAAAGAGGGAGAGAGGAGGAAGTATGGGCTGGAGGTAATGAAATGCTCATATGATCTTTAAACACTTGATAAAGGGGACTGGAATTCAGTAGTGAGCTTTAGGAGGGATAATAATCTACAGGGCATCTCTACATAGAAGATAGATAAAGCATGGAGGAGACTATCCAGAGAGTAGGAAGTAAATACTATTATCATATTTAGAAACTGGCTGATCCAGCTTAAAGAGCCATCAAGGAAAGGCTAGAAATTAACATGAGGACCTCAGGATCCCAGAAGCTAAGGAGAAGTGTCTTAAGTTCTTTGACTAATGCTGTCAGATAACAAAGAAAGGTTAGAGAGATAAAAACTGAAAATTCCCTCTTGTGTTTGATAGCCAATAGGCCACTGAATGTTTGGCTAGGAGCCCTAGCTAAAAACTGTGTCCTCTGTATTCTTGAAATTTTCACTGGGCAGCTGTGTCAAATACAAACCTCAGGCCATTTTTGATGTTGATGGTAGAACCTTGTGCCAGCAAATGCCTCATCTGCCATGCTTTGCCGCAGCCTGCTCTTGGCCCCTGTCCTGCCTATCTCGGTCTCTCAATTCTTAGCTCTTGACTTGTTTGTTGGTTGCTGGATTCTACTTTCCATCTGAGTCTTCACCTGTTCCTTTGTGCGTTCCCTCCTTCAGACCACCAGTGCCTCCTAGCTTAGGTATTGCTTGGACTAATTTCCACTACAAGATTGTTTCTATTCCTCTCAACTCCTAGCACATATGCCTAGAGGTGAAATTATTCTAGCTGTTAAATTACAACACAAAATAACTGGGGGTATCAAACTGTTTACGTCTCGGTTTAATGTTAGAACATGTCCCTAAGAGTAAGTAGATTACGGTTTAAAATAAGCCCTGGGGAGAAGATGGGCTTCTAGAAAGAAGTCCAGATTTGCCCTTGGTGACAATGCTTAGCTGATGTATCAGGAGGGAAGTATTAAAATTTAAGCCATTAACCCAGCACTTTGGGAGGCTGAGGTGGGCGGATCATGAGGTCGGGAGATAAAGACCATCCTGGCTAACAGGGTGAAACCCTGTCTCTACTAAAAAATACAAAAAATTAGCCAGGCATGGTGGTGGGTGCCTGTAGTCCCAGGTACTCAGGAGGCTCAGTCAGGAGAATGGCAGGAACCTGGGAGGTGGAGCTTGCAGTGAGCCGAGATGGCACCACTGCACTCCAGCCTGGGTGACAGAGTGAGACTCTGTCTCAAAAAAAAAAAAAAAAAAAAAAAAAAAAAAAAAAAAAAAAAAAAAAATTAAGCTATTTACTCCAACACAATTGTCTATGCAGAATTTTTAATGTGATTTTTCAGTATCAGCACAATTCTGGAAAGAAATAGAAAACATTTTGCAACTTTTAAAAACAGTTGGTAGAATTCAGACTTCTAATTACTACTTTAAAAACAGAATTATTGAAAGTTATGGTGTAAAGTTTCCAATTGCTGACTTCCTTCCCTTTTTTAGGCTAGATTGCCTGGAATTGGAGATACTAGTGATTTATTGATGTCAAAAACATTGCAGAGCTATGAAAAGTTAGGAGGGGGAAAGATATCAAAAACAGGTGATAATAACCAAATAAAGCCATATTCATTGGTGCCAGCTAAAAACAATACTTCTTTGTGCCAGGCACTTACTGGGTTCCTTTACAGGAAGGAAACCAAAATATTTCACTGAAACTACCTTTGCAAAAAGTATGACAGTGAGAGAAATCTAACATAGCTGACTCCATTTTGCTTTTAACTTCACAAGCTAACTGTCTTTGGTATCAGGTCACCTAGCTATGGGAGGAATTGAGTTTCTAGTTTAACTTTAAAGCAACGATGATAGCCCCTTCTCCAAACAAGCCCCCTCTAGGGATTGAAACTGCCTTTGTAAGACTACTGAAAGGCCTTAAGGTTAGGATTATGGGAGAGGTCTGAATTCTGCCAAGATGTAGGCATAAAGATAGCCAGCCATTGTTCCCTAGCTTGCTTTTCTATAATTCCTTACTGCTCAGGAGTCATGTACCTGGAGTTCACAAGATTTGAAACTTCTTCAATTGCTCTAATAATATCACTATGGTCAAAACCTACGATTAGTCTTTGAGATATTTTTCAGACTTTTACATTCAAGTGGACCAACTGATGCCATCCAGGCTTGGACTCATATCCAGAGGCTGAATCGGCATGCAAAAACAGTTTGGAAACTTCCATGATTTCATCCCCAACCAATCAGCAGTACCCATTTCCTAGCCCCTTCCCTGCCAAATTATCCTTAAAAGTCCTAGCCTTGGAGCTCTCAAGAAAATGGATTTGAGAAACGTGTCCTGCCCTTCTGCTCAGCTGCCTTGTAATAATTAAACTCTTTCTCTGCTGCAACATCACTGTCTCAGTGCTTTGACTATTGGTGCCCCAGGCAAGAAGAACCCAGTTTGGCAATTACATCACCCCTAAATATTTTTCTTGACATAGTTCAAGATGGCTATTAAGAAGGGCTGTAAATAAAAGGCTAGCTAAGAAGCTGCTTTTTTGTCAGGGGAGATTTGCATCTGTAGAGAAAATCTGCATTGATACAGCCAGATTTTCTCTGAGGGCCTTGTTGGATCCAGGAAAGATTAACTGAGAGTCTGACACCTTTAAATATCTGAAAGAAACATTCACCATCTATTATCTCTGAGATTTCATCTGTATAATAAGACCACCTTTGCTAGGTAGGCCTCCTTTTTTTGTCCCCTTCCATAACCTGTTTTTCCACCATAACTTGTTTTGCCCTGATACAAGCCCCATTCTTTCTGTAACCTGTTGTCCAAAACACACCCCCAGGATGGCTAAATAGCAGAAAGGAGCGATTTACTGGTGATATTAGTTTGCAAACTTGGAAAAAATAGCCTCCGGACTGAAGGTGCTCTTTCTTTGAAGAGGGGAAGGACAGGTGTAAGTTTTATGCATCACAGGGCCTGTATCACAGTAGAGTCATAAATATTCAGCATGTTTGGGGGGAATACTACACATATTTGTGGGAGGATGTCAAACACATTTGCAATGGGTAAACATATGTAACATACATCACATGTTCACTTTGAGGTCGGGAGAGGGGATAGTTTAGCATTAAAATTAGATTGAATTTGCTTATTTACATCAAAAGGTGAATTATAGAACACAAAGACAGTTTGTGCACACCCTCTGTAAGCTGACCCAAACTGGCTTAAGGTTTGCAATTGCTTATCAATAAAGAATGTTTGTAGGGCTGTCCCTCAGTTCAATCATACCTGTAGTGGTCTGGGTTGTAAATCAGGTCCGATGTGTTGTCTGATAGCTCCTATTGTTAGAGAATTTAGCAGGAATGTAGTTTTTTGTGTAGCCCTAGAAATTTAAGGAGTTGCCATGCTAGCTGCCCTGAACCCTGGATCTGTAGGTAACTTTTGTTTTCTTAACCTTAGGGTCTGTCTTAGTTGACAAAGGGGCATCTATTTTTGTTTCTCAGGTAACAAAACTCAAGATGGTACATAAGCTTCTAAATCCTATTGAAGAGTGGGCTAATTACTCTCTAGGTCTTCCTATACACACTAGTAAGTTTCTATGTCTTTCCTCCCGTTAATCTACCTTTTGTCAGTTGATTTTCAGCAAACCTTCTTCTGCCAGTGAAGGGGAAGTTTTCCCTTGGTTCCTATAACACATTAAATTACCTCTTTTAGTCCTCCTGACAGCTGTATGGAGTGGATATTATTATCTCCACTTTGGAGATAAGTCTCAGCAAAACCATTATACCTAGCTCATTTGTAGCAAGAGACAAGATACAAACTCAGTATGTATTGATTCTGCGTATAATGGGAAATTTAAAAACCTGGCTTACAGTTAGTGGAAAAAAGTATTATAAAGGAGTATTTTCATATTTCCTTTATAAAATTTTATAAAGCAGATGCCTATTATATTTCACCAGAGGTAAAGTAATTCTAAATCTGTTATTGAAAGACAAAGCTGCAAGACTGAGCCTTGAAGCTAGATAGTTCTAGGTGACAAAAGAGAATTTCTAGTTCCTGGGCCAGCTGGGTCTGCTCTCAGTTCTGTACTTTTGCTTATGCTTAAAAAGCTGTTCAGTAAACCTGAAATATTTCTCTGCCCTGCTCTCCAACTGTACATCCAGTCACCGTTTGCAATGACTGCCCTCTCAAGGTTATCTGTGAGGCCACTTAGGTGCCATAAGCCTCAGCTTCTCCATCAGTCATTTAGGAGTAATAGAACTAGCACATAAAGTCATTCAGCATTTGAATGGCATAAAGCTACAAGTTATGTAGTAATTTTGATAATGAGTGAAGGAAAAATATAAAACATTGAAGATAGTGGCTGGCCTTGAAATCCCACCAGAAAACTAGCTCATAATTTTTTAAAACCAAATATTGTTTTATTAAATGAAAACACATTTATATGTATTAGGTGAATTCAAAGATCAAAAATGAAAAGAAAGTAGCTGAAACTAAAGGAAAACTGGCTTTCTGAAAGACATACAAAAATGTGTGTTTAAAACTGTTTTACAAATGACTAACAAATTCACTGAGTTTCATAACTGTTTGTCTTATTTGTGCAGATGGCTCTTAGTATAAGTGAGGCAACTCAATAATGAGGGACATTTGAGACATTTTAGGTTATCCAGCTACACTTCAGATCTTATCATCATCTCTCTTAGCCAGTTAGCTTATGTTTCTCTTGAAGCAGTGATTATAAGCATTTTAACAGAATATCTCTCTGTGCTGCTGTAAAATATATGTTTGGTTTTTGAACCTATTTCCTGGCATACAACTCTTAAATCCTTAGAAACTCCAAAGTGATGTATTTTTGTATGCTAATGCTAGACTGATGGCTGATAGCCCATAGGTAGGTTCAGGATGGGGGCTGGTTACCTGAAAAATCAAGGCATGATTAGAGGGTTGGGACTTTTAGCCCCATCTCCCCCCACATCCATTGAGTGGAGAGAGTTTGAAGGTTGAATTGACCACCAATGACCAACAATTTAATCACTCTCACCTACATAATAAATCTTTCACAAAAAACCCAAAGGGCCTGGGTTTGGAGTGCTTCCTGACAGCTGAACACTTAGAGGATTTTGGAGGGTAGTGTACCTTGGGAGGGCATGTAAACTTCAAAACCCTTCCATCATACCTCACCGTATGTGTATCTTCATCCACCTCCTTTGTGATATCTTAATAATAAACCAGTAAATATGTTTCCTTGAGTTCTGTGAGCTTTAGCAAATTAATCATACCAGGAGAGGGGCTTGTGGTGTCAGAGATGTTCAAACCAGAGCAACTCCATCTTGAATAGGGGCTGGCAAAATAAGGCTGAGACCTACTGGGCTGCATTTGCAGGACATTAGGCATTCTAAGTCACAGGATGAGATAGGAGGTCAGCACAAAATACAGGTCATAAAGACCTTGCTGACAAAATGGGTTGTAGTTAAGCAGCAGCTAAAACCCACCAAAACAAAGATGGCTATGAAAGTGACCTTTGGTTGTCCTCACTGCTTATTATATGCTAGTTATAATACATTCCCATGCTAAAAGACCTCCCACCAGTACCATGACAGTTCACAAATGCTATGGCAATGTCAGGAAGTTACACTTTGTGGTCTAAAAGGGGGAGTGTGATAGTTAATATTGAGTGTCAACTTGACTGGATTGAAGGATGGAAAGTATTGTTACTGAGTGTGTGTCTGTGAGGGTGTTGCTGTCACAAGATCCTTGGGGTGTCTCTTCACCAGCTGAAAACCTCTGTGTACAGCAGCACCTTCTGCCTGGGTATTGCTGGTGCCTGCTAGGCTTGTTCCGCCCATTTGTTCAGGCAGGCTGCGCTCAGCTTGTGCTACTGGCCCAGATCCCACACCTTCCAAGGGTAAGCCAGGCATGGAGCAGTGAGGGGTGTGTGTATGAGCAAGCATGGGGTCTGGCCACTGTGCACAGCCAGGCATACTACCTGCTGTGGTGGAGTGGGCAGCTCCAGGCACCAGCACAGGTGCTGGCTCTGTGCAAGGTTACAGCTGGACCAGATGTACCACATGCGGCTTCCACTGTGGGTACCTGTGTCTGGACAAGGGGAATTCAGTGGCTCCCAGAAACTTGGAAACACCAGGAACCACAGAGCCCCAAAGGAGGGTGTCACAGCCCTCGCTCAGGGAGCCTCTGGGTCTGGATTCTCTGAAAGGCTGCAGCTCTTCTTTCCTTCTCATTGCCTGCAACATAGTGAGTGGTTGGGGGTGGGGGCATGTTTCAGCTCTCTTTATGTTACAGCTCTTTCAGTCCCATCATTTGGTAGGTTCCAACTTATTGTCCTGTGTCCAGGAAGAATGTGGTACTCAGACAACTGGAGGGGTGAGCAAGATGCAGGTGAGCTTCATTGAGTGACAGAAAAGCTCTGAGGAGACCTACAGTGGGTAGCTCCTTTGTGCAGGCAGGTCATCCCAATGAGTGTCCAGCTCTCAGTAGAGAAGAGACCCGCATTGGGTAGCTCTTTCCACAGGCAGGTTTTCCTGAGGAGTCAAGGAGACCTGAAGTGGGTAGCTCCTTCCCACAGCTGGTAGTCCCAGTGTCTGCTTGAGTCTGGCTGAGTCTGGGGTTTTTATGGTCTCAGAAGGGAGGAGGTGTGTGCTGATTGGTACATGGATGGCCATGGGCGGGCCTGAAAAAAGCACCATAAGTTCTTACTCCCAGCCACGAACTACACCCTGAACTGACAGCCTGGATCCCAGGCTTCAGATGGTCCTTGGTTTCACGGTGGAATTTCACCAGGCATCCACCCCTGTCTGCCTCCTGCCATCAACATGCTGTCCATGGTGCCCAGTCTGTGCTGAGAGGCACCTGTAGGCCTGTGCTCAACCACCCTCAGCCCCTCACAGCCTCCTTCCTGTGCTCTTGGGCACCCAAAGTCCAGAGGGGGCTGAGTTGTCAGGGGGCTGGCATGTCAGTGCCACCCTGAACTCACACACACGCAGCCCATGTTGTGACAGTGCGACAACTTTGCTTCATCCCAGAGCAGGCTCTGAGGGTGGGAAGAGGCCAGGGAGAAGGAGCAGGCACTTTCAAGCCTGCAGGGGCAGGGGCTTCCTGGGCCTCTGAGAGTGTAGAGATGGCAGAGTCCAGCGCCACTGCTGGGTGGCTTCAGCTGCACCTGGGAGCACAGGGCTCCTGCCCCTTTAACTAGGGACAAGACTGTTGGCTCTTCCTGGCTCCTGCAGGCCAGCAGAGCATGTAGGCTTGGCCATGCCTCCCTGGCTTAGGTGGTGTCTTCACAGAGGCCACTCCAGATGCCATCGTTGCCAAAGGAGATTAAAATTTGAGTCAGTGGACTGGGAGAGGCAGACTGGCCTACAATCTAGGCGGGCACCATCTAATCAGCTGCCAGTATGGCTAGAATAAAGCAGGCAAAAGAAGATGGAAAAAGCAGACTTGCTGAGTCGTCTGGCCTTCATTTTCTCCCATGCTGGATGTTTCCTGTCTCAAACATCATATGACAAGTTTTTCAGCTTTTCGACTCTTGGACTTACACCAGTGGTTTGCCAGGGGTGCTTGGGCCTTAAGCCATAGACTAAAGGCTGCACTGTTGGATTCCCTGGTTTTGAGGTTTTGGGACTTGGACTGGCTTCCTTGCTCCTCTTATTGCAGATGGCCTATTGTGGAACTTCACCTTGTGATCATGTGAGTCAATACTCCTAATAAACTCTAGTTCTGTCCCTCTAGAGAATCCTGACTAATATGGGGAGGAACCCTATAAGGTCTTAAGAAGGGGAATTCTAGGAATTGCCCAACCCTTTCCTGGAAAACTCAAGAATAATCCACCCCTTGTTTAGCATATAATCAAGAAATAACTGTAAGTATACTTACTTGAACAGCCTATGCTGCTCATGTTCTGCCTATGGAGTAGCCATTATTTTATTCCTTTACTTTCTTAGTAAACTTGCTCACACTTTATAGATTTGCCTTGAATTCTTTCTTGTGTATGATCCAAGAACCACCTCTTGGTGTCTGTGTTGGGACCCATTTCTGGTAACAGTGGGAACCCCAACTTGAAGCTAATATGTCAGAAGTTCCAGCAGCCTGGACTTAACAACTGATAGGGAGGGGGGTTGGTCTTATGTTACTAAGTTCTCAGCCTTTGGGATCTGAGACCATCGCCAGGTAGGTAGTGTTGGGATGGAATTGGAAGACACCTAGCTTGTGTTTGCAGAGGAATTTCTTGCTTGCTTTGTGTATGGGGACTTGTACACATTTAGTCACAGAAGTCATCTATGTTGATTGTTGTGGTGTGAGAGAAGAGAGGAAAGATTGGAGATTTTTAATCTCACTATACTTGATTCTCTATAATTACAATTTATTTAATAAATAGTTATTTAGTACTTTGTAAATATAGCACCTGATATTCAGAACTGCGTACACTGTGATAACTCACACTGCAAAATTAAATAATTCTAACTTTATTGAATAATTCAAACTTGAAGCATTTGGAACAAACATTAAATTATTCTGAGCCTTGGGAGGAATGCAGCTATACAGCCTGAGTTTTGTGGCATGAAGCTGCAACTTCTGCCTTTTTTTTCTTTGAATAATTAGGAAGACAAAATGGCACCAGAGGTAGAGCCTCCTTAAATTACTACCCCTCTTCATGGAGTAATAAAGTAATCTTTCTCGGAATGTGGTAATCTGTAACTAGTCAAATTGCTGTAAAATATTGTGGTCTCATGTAGAAAACATAATCCTGTTACAATTTCTTTGTCTATGCCCACGTAAGTGTAATTTTAACTTCTCCACTTGGGAATGCTGACCTCATTCATTTGGAGTCAATGTTTCCTGGATGGCAATTTTCAAGCTTTGTGCTTGAATAAATTCTATATGTAATCATATTTTCTGACCTTCACTATTTGAAGTTAACAACACAAAATTTGTCTTTTGCATGGGCTCAGTTTCCTATGTAAGTCTCATGAGGATAGAGACTGTGTTTTATCCAGGTTTTTCATATTTAGACAACAGAGGGAGCAGTGGCTTAAGAGGCAAAAAATAATACATGTAATTTTGGGTTTCTTAGAGACTCTGTGTTAAGTAAGACATAGATGACAAATTAGGCAAGGCCTGAGATATTTTTGTATTCTTTTCGGTACTACGTGTCAAATGGAGAAAGTTGTTAGCACATGATGGATGTTGGAGATTTAAATTTCCCTCCAGGGCCATAGTAGGCTCTGGCTTTGATTGCTGCTAAAATAGGTGCAAGTTTTTGTAGCCATCTCACTATGTAGACACACTCTTGGTTTGGTTAAAGCTTCATAACTAGGCCATAACAAGTAGGCAATGAATAATGAAGACAGCTAAAACAGGATTTGATGGAAAGGCAGAGGAGGAAGAGTTGGTATAAGAAACAGATTTGGGAAAGTAATAGGCAGGTGCAGGGGCTCAGAAACTGATGCCCCGAAGTATAGTGCTTTGACACGTGAAACTGAAGAAGTCTCAAGGTGGTCTCTGACTCCCCACCATCTCTCCCGAAGGACAGAATAAAGTTGTTCTCTGAAGTTTCTTTACCTGCCTAAAGTTCAGGTCCACCAAGGAGAACAATCATTTTTTTCTCCCCTTCCTATTATGTCATTGCCTGCCGCAGAAAGACCAAGAATGTAACCACATTTGAACAGACCCTTTCAGGAGATGGTGCCTGTCTCTCAGGATCATTCAAATTCCAAAGAAAAATATTTACAAGTTAATCTCTGTTCCCTTATCCATTTGTTTTCCCTAGTAATTATTTGTTGGTCCTCAAGAGAATTCCTCACTTTACCCCATTCCACAACCCATTTTTTCAGGATCCAAGCCCACATTCTTTCTGTAACCTTAAGAGAATTCCTCACTTTACCCCATTCCACAACCCATTTTTTCAGGATCCAAGCCCACATTCTTTCTGTAACCTTAAGAGAATTCCTCACTTTACCCCATTCCACAACCCATTTTTTCAGGATCCAAGCCCACATTCTTTCTGTAACCTTAAGATGATATATAAGCTTCTGTTCCCCCTTGGGGATTGAGTAATCACTCTGTGATTTTTCTCCTGTATACACATTAATACATTTATTTGCCTTTTCTCTCAATCTGCCTTTTGTGAGCTGATTTCTCAGCAAACCTTCAGATGGTGAAGGGAACATTTCTCTCTTAGCCCCCACAGTTTTGGTGCTGTGAGCAGGATACCAGATCTCTACTCTTTTAGAAGCTGTAATGAAGGAAACCCAGGATCTGACTAGCCCACATAGGTATAAGACTTTCTTACCAACCAGGGTCCCGACCTCTTTCTCTGTGATACCTGGTCAAGCATATGGTAAAAATCTCTCTATTTTTCCTCCACAAGTTTTAGATAATGGGAGAAAAGGATTTACGTAACCGGTCTTGGGTGTAGTGACACTGACGTGTTTTTTATTACTTTTGGTATGAATATTCATATTATTTGATAACTTTCTCCCTAGAAATACTCCTTTCCTCTGTCTTTGTGTTTCTGTGTTGTTTTGTCATGAAGAGGAATACTGAATGGGATTCCCCCTTGTCGTTTTTTATGTCCTTGAGAACTTGCCTTGTGACGAAGTGGAAGCATTCTCTCTTGGTCTCTGTCATTTGGGAAGTGTGGTTTTTATTTTTTATTTCTTATCCCTAATGGTGAGTAATTCAAGAGGTGTGATTTTTAGATCATGCCAGGTGGCCAGTCTGTAAATGCCTGGGAATCTGAGACACATAAACACACTTTTTGTTCTGAATGTATTAAGCTCTTGGGAGAGTTAGTTTTACTAAGAAGTCCCATCAGTAAAAAGTTTTTGTTGTCTCAATACTCTTGTTGTCTGATAAGTCTGTGGCAACAGGAGTCTTGCTATCTTAGCCTATTCTTGGAGATAATTGTTTTTGGGAAAGATCTTATGAGATTGTTTCTTCTATACCCTCTCCAGGAAACACTTCTAAACCTAGAAAATTATATCCTGGCCTTTCCATGAGGACGCTAATAGATTGAGTCTCTGTTGGAAGAAGCACACCATTATAAGTTCTAATTATCAATGGCCAGAAGATAGCTCATTTAAATTAAAAAATACTCCTAAACTAAGAAGAAAATAATTTAAAAAGCTGTTATTCTAAATAATTGCCTTATCTATAGTTATTAAAAAATCAAAAAAGATTATACATAACAGTGTCATGGCTAGCTTTAGAAATTCTCTTGACTAAATTAACAAAAATCTGACCTAAAACAGAGTTAAAAGTTAAAATCTTTCAGAAACTCAAGCTGCCTGCTTTCAATAGAGGTTCACGATGTGGGCTGCTCCATCTTGTACTCACTAGTTAAATCTCTGTGCATTCACAATTGTGGCCTGGGTTTGATTCACAGTCCGGAAATTAGGCTTTTTAAGTTTTACATTTGTGTAACTTCACTTTTTGGGGCACTATAATAATTAATTTACTGATCCTTTTCTCTTCCATGGGCGGTTTTTACTTTCCTGTTCCTTCTCTGTGGGGACATAAAAGGCTTTTGGTCCTTTGTGTGTAGATGGTCAACCAAGAAGATGAGACCCTAGAAAATATGGCCAGAGAGATGTGGGCCATACCCCATTTGCAGCCGTGAAACTTTCCTTTCTTCAAGCTGTCTTCAGATGGTTCCATATCTTGTGAGGACTGCCTTACACTTCTTTGGCAATGACTTGTGCATCCTTGGTTAAATCATAATCTTGGTTAAGATGTATTGGTTTCACTTGGGAGGCCACCTTAGGTAAAACGTTCAAAAGCCAGGAATACATCTTGTTTGTCCTGACTAAAATCTGATAGTAAGAGAATTAAAGGTATTTTTTTTAAAGAGGTTTGTGGTCAGAAATTAGCTTAATTAAAAGCTGATATTCAAGCTATATAGACACACACACACACACACACACACACACACACACATTTTAAACACCTTTCTGCTTTTTTCTTTTTTACCATTAAAATTTTTTTCAGTCAACTAAACTACTTCAACTTTTGAAAATTATGTGCTTGATCCCTCTATTCATTTACTTTCTTAAAAATTGTTCTCCCATTTACTTCTACTTCCTACTCTTTTTTCCTTTTTGCTGTCTTAAATATTACATGAAGGGATCTAATATTTCAGATCTTTTGCAGTGGCTCATGCCTGCAATCCTAGTGACTTAGGTGGCTGAGGCAGGAGGATTATTTGAGTCCACGAGGTCAAGAGCAGCCTGGGCAGCATAGTGAGACTGTCTCTACAAAAAAACACAAAAATTAGCCGGATGTGGTGGTGCATGCCTGTAGTCTCAGCTACTTGGGAGGCTGAGGTGGAAAAATCACTTGTAAATCACTTGCAGATTACCCAATCTCAGGTATTCTGTTATAGCAGCACAAAATGGACTAAGACAGAAGATAACAATAGAAGTTGAGGCTGTAGTGAGCTGTGATCACATCATTGCACTTAAGGCTGGGTGACAGAGTGAGATCCTATCTCCAAAAAACAAAACAAAACAAAACAAAAACAGGAACACAGAAAAGGGTTCCACTCACTCCCTTTTTGCAGTCTTCGGTCTTGCTGTGGAGTCTAAAATGTCATGGGCAGATTCTGCTCTGGCCTAAAACTCTGTCTTTCACGTTGCATTATGTAATCTCTGGCTTTTGGAGGTACCACGTATTACTTTATACTGTGGAAAACACTTTAACTTTCTGTGTGTGATAATTGGTGAATCACTGGAAAGAGCTATGGTTTTAGAGGTGGCTGGCAACAATTGTTTACAGTAAATGGTTATTACTGCATGGGACTACTTGTTTCTTTATGTGCTTAGATTTTAAAAGGTGCAGTTTAAACACTTAAAAATGTCTTTATAACAAAGTACGCTTCATAAGCATTGCAGGACCTGTTCTCATGGCATTTCCCTCTTTTTGGGAACCTGAGATTCAGTGTAAAGGTGGACTCTTTAATTTTTAAAAATCTAGATACTCTAGATACTTTGCCTTTCAACTATACCTGCTTTTCATATATTTAAATTATTAGGCCCTAAGAACTACAAATGTTTTGTTGGCCCTTTTCCTTATTGGGCTCTGCCCTGAGCTCAATGGTCCAGTTAAAAAACAGACTAAATTAAAAGCTAATTATTTAAGTAAAATTAGTATCTTTATAAAAATCTATGGTAGATTCCTATTATTTGTAAGTTACTTTAACATTCATTTTTGATCTTCCTTAACTAGCCCACCAAAGCTCCTTTAAAAAGCTGAAATCTTCTCTTTGCAGCCATGTAAGACAGATAAACTTAGCCTTTTTCATTTATGAAGACACAGTTTAACTCCCACTGTCCTTTTAAGCTAGTTAGTTTTAGTGATTACGTATCTAAAATTTTAAAATCAAAATGATGAAGTCTTTGTGTCTGTGTCTTTATGTGTACTGTATATATGTGTATATGCCTGTAATGCTAACATGGTAACAAATTAACTTATGTATAAATGAATCCACATAAATCAAATAACTAGCCCAAATACTTTTCAAGTTAATGTAGCTTTAATAATTTTTGGTAAAGACAAATAGTTTTAAACTTGTTAATAAAATAAAAACATCTTCAAACTTTAATTTAGACAGTTTCTTTGCCTAGGTCTATTGGTCAAACAGGTTTATACTATCTCTACGAGCTTTTTAAGGTCATAAAACTGTTACTTCTATAATGTTTTTGATACTTAATTTGTCTGTGAGATTACGTCATTAAACTTGAGACTTTAAATTCTGAGTTCTAGATGAGTGGCCATGGTAAGATCTGGGGATGGCATTCGGACCCTGTCTTCCCTGACCCAAATGTGCCTTCTGGCCATGCTGGGAGGGGTTGGATCTGCCAGACAGTTTCTCTGTAGCCCTGCCCTTTGTTCTATACTCTACATCTAATAAAAAATTAAAATTACTTCGTAGGTTTTCACTAAAAATTAAGGCTACAAAGAGTTAACATTATAATTAACATATAAACATTAAAACTACTAAGTATAAAAAATGCATATACAACATATATTTAAAAATTAAGATGTGTAAAAAAACTTTGTAAATTGTATGATTTTGAACTTGGTTGGAGGTATACTCTTGCTGAGTACCCTACAAGAGCAAGATGTAAGAAGGTGCTATTATTTGAATGTGTTTCCAAGAATGCATGTGTTAGAAACTTAATCCCCAATCTGATAATGTTGGGAGTTGGAGCTTACTGGGAAATGTTTAAGTCATCTGGGTGGAACCCTCATGAATAGATTAACGCCATTATGAAAAAAGCTTGTGGGAATGGGTTCATTCTTTTACACTCTTGCCTTAGCACCTTCTGCCATTTGATGATGCAGCAGGAAGACCTTTGTGAAATGCCAGTACTTCGCTCTTACCATTCACAACCTCCAGAACAGTGATCTAATATGTTTATGTTCATTGTAAATTAGCCAATCTCAGGTATTCCATTACCTGAGATTGGGTAATGTACTAAGACAGAAGATAACAGTAGAAAATATCTGCTTAGCTAACCTTTCTCATATTTGAGTTGTGATCACGCAGTTGGCATAATTCTCCTTCCTCTTGGTGCCAAAGGTCAGAAACCTGGGGAGAGGTTGCCTCAAACTCTTCTTGGTGACTGGTGGAGTCAGATGCTTGGCTTTTGTGGAATGAATGACAAAAAACATCAGTTTGAGGGACAGCGGAAAGAGAATTGCCAGAAGGTGGAAAAGAGAAAACTGATTATTAGAGGCGTGACTCTCTCATTAAGTAGCTATGTGATCTTGTGGAAATAATGCTGAGCTCAGCTTCCTAGTCACTGAAATGAAGGAATTCTTACCTGCCTAATGTAAGAATCACACAAGATGATTTCAGTGAAAGCACTCTATGAACCTAAAATCGTCCTATAAAGTTAGCCACCTCTCTTTGTGACTAGTTGGGCATCATTCTAGGGTCCGGTAGAGTGTTATTATTTCATTGCTGTTTATATTTCTTTTAAAACATGGAATTATGTCTACTAGGGATTAGACAATGGATCGTTTTTAACATTTTCAGTTAAATGACCCTATACTTTCCTGAAGTCTTGTTTCAGTGTGGTCTCCAGAAAGTTCTTCATAAACTCTGAAGGCTAATTTGTCAGAGCTGTATTATATTTTGATGTAGTATAATTTGTTTTTCTATAATCCCACATCTTTCTTGATGTTATTACGTTGGTCAACTATTAAAAATGGATACTTCTCTTGTAATATCTATTCAGAAACAGCAAAAGGGCATCATAGAGCAAACATTAGACATTGGGGTAAGATGACAATAAACCTTCTTCCCCAGATTTCTAGGTGTCTCTGGTGGGTTAATTAAAAGTTGATCACAGTGTTAATAAGTAAGAAAAATGGAGGTTTAAGATGGAGAGATGGGGATGGGTATTTAGGTAGCTCTTAATTATAAGTTGAGCTAGAACAGTCTGTTAAGTTTTGGCAATTTGCTTAACAAGGAACTTAAAATGGAGAACTTGAAGAAGTTACCTAAGAAAGAAGTTCATTGCAGTAATACAGGATGAAAATGCCTGGCCCAGTGAAGTGAGAAATTTCTGTAACAAAATGAACCCCTCAGGAAGATATAAAGAGTGAATTTGTTGTGCTTCTAGTATTATGGGAAATAACTTACTGACAAAGCAGAATTTATAATTTAAACTGATTATACAAACCAGCTCTAAAGCCAGACAAAAGTGTGCAGATTAAAAGTTAATTAGCTATACTGATCCCTGAGGTGTTGCCTGTGTCTATGAGGGGTTGTTATGAAACATTGATATTGTATAAAGTTGTGAATTTACTGGTCATTGAAGTACAGAAAGTCTTCTGTCCAATTCAGCTTTGTACTTGCAAAGGGAAAGCCAAACCACTGGAACAGGTTTTCTTCCCTATTTTGCCTCCTCTGCTTGTTTCCTGATTGGCAGATGGACAGATTTGTGAGTGTAAATGAAAACCACTCTTACAGCTACTGTAGAGAAAGAGTAGCTTATGATAGTAAAGTATTTTCTCATCTCTCTGCAGGTATAGGGATTTTACACAGCCATACCTTGTTCTGTAATGATATGAAGCCTTTTTCTGAGGTGCAGAATCTTCTGTCTCCTACAATTATTTCCTTTCCATAACCTTTCTTATACTATCCACAGAAGTTAACCATACTTTTTCATCTCATGAACATCTTTTCTTAAAAAAATCTATTTCCACTTTTGGCAACTTTATACCACAATCATACTTTTATGCCCTTTTGAGCAAAGAAATTGAGGAGGGGGATGCCTCCCTGGATGGCCAAGGGATCATATAACAAACTGTGATCCTTTAATTACTGTTTAAATATCTGTCTGAAACCGTGGCATTTCTGGAGCCAGCAACAACGACAACAACAACGAAAGAAAAGCAGAGTACCACCTAAATTAAATGGCGCAATTTCACCTTTCTGTTCTCTCCTAGTTAATTTCAAGGTGAAACTCAAAGGGACCATGAAAAGATGGAATAAAAATAAGACACTTCAAGCCCATTCTAGTTTTGTTTACTGAACTCAATATCTCTTGAAATGGAAAGGCAGAATCCAGGTGTTAGCATCATATTGTCCTGGGGAGATGTGAGAGTGGAGGTCATGCAGTAAAAGGGCATGAAAGCATGCATACTGCATGAGGGATTAATTGCCAGGAGCATATGAGAAGAATCATGGCACTTAATACCCAGAGCCTGAACAAATACCAATATGAGAAAATGGTCACATATCTGCAAACACAGGAGGGCTCTAAATCAATAAATAAAGAAGAGATTAGCTTATTTTTTCATAAATAATACAAGATGCTGTTGGAGAAGATCATCAAAGATAAACTGCCTTGTGTAGCTTGACCTAACTGTTTTCAAGTTTAAATTCTGAACAATGTTCATAGTAATTGAGACCCTGTTAAAAGAGTAGGGGAGGGGTACCTTGTGGTATTTCCAGGTTTTGCAGTATACCTTCCAGTCAAGTTTGCTTGTTTTTTGAATCTGTAGCTATAATGCTGAATATTGAAGATTTAAGTTTATTATCCAGAGCCCGAGGCTTATTAGAACCTAAGCACTAAATGGGAATTCAATTAGGTTCTCTCCATCCTATTTACTAAAGCAGAAAATTGAAATCGTTAGTCTTAGAACAGTGTTTCTCACTTGTGGGTGGGGAGGGGGCAGAGACAGCCTTTCTTCAGGAAGACATCTCACTCTCCCAGTGGGTATATGAAAATACATATTTAAAATTATAAAATTTTAAAATTGAAATACCACAAAAAGTCATTAGTTTTGTAATGAAAACTACATCAGAAAAGCTAAAGGAAAGTTCTTGGTTGATGAGAATACATAGAAAATAAACTCTTCTTTGCCTGTCAGTAATTCCATTATGGAGATGAGAACAAGACCTCTGGACATATGCAAAGGAGCAGAATCTCTGGAGAAGAGAGGAGATGTTTATGTTTATCAAGAGAGGGCATAGGTTAAAACATATTGAGAAGCATGGTCTTATAACAGGGTCCAATGCAGCAGGTTCTGTAACAAGAATGTTACGCTTATGCTTCACTTAACTGGAAAATTCAATTTAATAGAGACCCTTTAACATTTTGATTAATAGAAGATCAACTGTCACCCATTTGGGTTTTTTTTTTCCTTTTCTTCATTAACTACTTTTGGGAATGTATAGACCCTACCTTCATGCAAAGGTCTGTTTGAAACCTGAGGGATTCCTTACAACACTGCTGAATTCTTCCAGTGCCAAGGGCATTTTGCTGGTATAGAAGAAAGAGGAATTATTGAGAACAGATGGCCCTTTTGATTTGATTTTTAGCAAAATGGGGTAATAGCGTGCTCACTAATGCATGAAATCTGTTACATCTATTCTCTTGCTTTGCTTGGAGGAAGAACATAAGTAAGAAATGTCTTTTCCTTCATTTTTTTCATTTCTCACTAAGCTTGTTAGGAGAATAAATGACATTAGGAATTCTGTGCAAGTGTTACATTTGTTCCTGCTTTTTAATCTATCACTTTTTAAGGTTAAAAAACTATCAAGGGAATTTGAGAAAATGAAGTAAAGGATATAAACCATGTTATTATCAGAGAGTTTGAAGAATAGTGATTTCAACCATATTTTTCTTATCCTCAAGATCGCCTGCCAAAATAAAAATGCAGATTCCTTAATATAGGATTAATTACTCAAGAATTGTTATCAGGCAGGTTCACAGGTAAAATGCAGCATTAATTTTAATAAGCATGTTTTTCTTTTCCATTTACCTTTTTAACTTGAGGAGTATGCTTTTAATAAAAATACTTTGTAAATGCCCTTTCAATGATTGTATTTGCTGTAATTGGCAGAAATGTGGACTCTGAGGTATATGTCAACCATAGGGCATTATATATAGCAGGGACACTATACTTAGGAGGGCACTGTGCTTGTTGCTGGGTTTCCCAAGTAGAAATAATTTAGAGAAATATGGAAGAGGCCAAACATACCAATGCAGAAGTTAAGGAATCTAAATTCAAAAGCTGAGGCCAAAAAAATTATATTACACACACACTCAGGAGAGAACAAGGGGCCCAAGTTACCATATGAGAGATCTAGATCAATATTTGTCACTAGTATCTAAGGGATGCTAATAGCTCTTTTATGAAAAAGGCCACTTCTATGAAGAGTCAAGTAATTGTTAACCTTCCTGGCATAGAAATGGCTTCCAGGAATATTCCTCACACTTACTTTTTCAGCCATGATGACATGAAGATGCAGGAATAGATATCACATCACAGTATGAATGACTTCTACTGGCCCTGGAATTATATGGCAAGGCTTACTGGAAGGAACTGGAAGGTACTCTGTAGAATGTTCTTCTAATCATCAGACATGTAACACTGTAAGCAGGGGAGTCAGTTCTCATTGATGTCTATTCAAAGCCATCATAATATAAAACACCATTTTATACATCATCCTAGAAAAAGGGCTGTTACTATTTTTCTGTCAAGAATAATACTACAAAACTGTCATATGAAGAGGTAGTCAAAGAGTAAGCAGCAAAAAAAAAAAAAAAAAAAGGCATGAAGAAAGTATTATGGAAGTGGATCAGGCAGTTACTCAGTAAACATAGTGTGTTATTTCTCTGGATTTGGTGATGTTTGGGGTATCTGTCAATTTTTAAAAAATTTTCAATTTATTGTGATTTCTTTTTAAATCTAAATTTATATTGAGTTTTATGCCCAATTTTCTATTTATATATTTTTTTTATTTTTCAAAATGACCCCCCTAACTACATAAGCTTTAGGCCTCCAAAAACCTTGATTTGTAATTGTGAATATATTATCCTAGCTTATAATGACAAATCCTAGACTTTTGTCTTGCTAGATGTGTATGAAAAGGTCTGAACACACCCTGAGGAGGGCATTTCTCAAGTGTCTCTGAGGCAGTCTATTCTGTCAGCATCCTCATGGTTCTCACAATTTTTTCCACATTTCCCTGATTGTCTTCACTTATTTTAAAAGTCTTTGATTATTGTGGGTACACAGTAGGTGTATATGTTTATGACATACATGAGATATTTTGATACAGGCATACAATGCATGATAATTACCTCAGGGTAAATAAGGTATCCATAACCTTAAGCGTTTATCCTCCTTTATGTTACAAACAATCTGTTGATCAAAGAAAATAAGAAAATGACGAGACAAGTCACAATCATTTTCGGAAATTTACTTGCCAAAGTTAAGGATGCACCCAGGAGACATGTCTATGCCTTTCTCTGAAGAAGATTTTGAGGGCTCCAAATTTAAAGGGGAAAGGGTGGGATATTGAGAACCACACAGTTTTTACAGAAATGAAAGGGGGCAGAGGAAAAATGTGGGGAATCTGCATTTTAAATAAGATAACACAGACAAAATAGGGGAATAAGCAGATGTGCGTTTGTGTTTGGTGGGTGGGGTGACTGCACCTGTAAAGATAAGCTGTCAATCTGCATTGCCATGGTGAAGTTTTAACAGCTCACCAGGAATTTCCTTGTGGGCAAAATATGAGGG
The DNA here is from genome assembly GCF_000001405.40 of Homo sapiens. NCBI lineage: Eukaryota > Metazoa > Chordata > Mammalia > Primates > Hominidae > Homo > Homo sapiens. Next base: position 87,542,021 of record NC_000011.10, read on the forward strand.
AGACATGTAGCCTTTCATCCTGTAACCATCTTTTTTAGGAACCAAAAGGGGGAGGCAGGTTTGCATGACCCAGTTCCCAGCTTGAATTTTCCCTTTGGCTAAATGAGTTTGGGGTCCCCAAATTTAATTTCCTTTCACAAATCCAATTATATTCTTAGTGTATTAGTCCATTCTCACACTGCTATGAAGAAATACCTGAGACTGGGTAATTTATGAAACAGGTTTAATTGATTCACAATTCTGCATTTCTGATGAGGCCTCAGGAAACTTACAATTATGGGAGAAGGCAAAGGAGAAGCAGGCACCTTCTTCACAGGGTGGCAGGTTGGAATAAGTGCAAGCAGAGGAAATGGCAGATGCTTATAAAACCATCACATCTTGTGAGAACTCGCTCACTATTATGAGAATGGCATGGGGCAAACAGCCCCTGTGATCCAATTATCTCCACCTGATCCTACCCTTGACAGATGGGGATTATGGAGATTACAATTAGAGGTGAGATTTGGGTAGGGACACAGAGCCAAACCATATCATCCTGCCCCTGGCATTTCTCAAATCTCATGTCTTTTCACATTCCCAAACCAATCATGCCTTCCCAACAGTACCCCAAAATCTTAACTCATTTCAGCATTAACTCAAAAGTCCATAGTCCAAAGTCTCATCTGAGACAAGGCAAGTCCCTTCCGCCTATGAGCCAGTAAAATCAATAGCAAATCAGTTACTTCCTAGATACAATGGGACTACAGGCATTGGAGAAATGCTCCCATTCCAAATGGGAGAAATTGGCTCAAACAAAGGGACTACAGGCCCCATGAAAGTCCAAAATCCAATAGAGCAGTCATTAAACCTTAAAGTTCCAAAATGATCTCCTTTGACTCCATGTCTCACATCCAGGTCAGGTTGATGATGCAAGAAGTGGGCTCTCACGACCTTGGGCAGCTCTGCCTCTATGGCTTTGCAGGGTATAGTCCACTTCCTAGCTGCTTTCACAGGCTGGTGGTTGTGGCTTTTCCAGGTGCACAGTGGAAGCTGTTGGTGGATCTACCATTCTGGGGTCTGAAAAATGGTGGCCCTCTTCTCACAGCTCCACTAGGCGGTACCCCAGTGGGGACTCTATGGGGGCTCTGATACCGCATTTCCCTTCCACACTGCCCTAGCAGAGGTTCTCCCTAAGGGCTCCAGCCCCACAACAAACTTCTGCCTGGACATCCAGGCATTTTTATACATCCTCTGAAATCTAGGCGGAAGTTCCCAAACCTCAATTCTTGATCTCTGTGCACCTGCAGTCTGAACACCACATGTAAGCCACCAAGGCGTGGGGCTTGCACCCTCTGAAGCAATGGCCTGAGCTGTACCTTGATCCCTTTTAGCCATGGCTGGAGCAATTGGGATGTAGGGCACCAGGTCCCAAGGCTGCACACAGCAGAGGGGCTCTGAGTCTGGCTCACAAAACCATTTTTCCCTCCTAGGCCTCCAGGCCTGTGATGAAAGAGCTGCTATGAAGGTCTCTGACATGCCCTGGAGACATTTTTCCTATTGTCTTGGTGATTAACCTTTGGCTTCTCGTTACTCATGCAAATTTCTTCAGCCAGCTTGAATTTCTCCCCCCAAAATGGGTTTTTCTTTTCTATTGCATCTTCAGGCTGCAAATTTTCCAAACTTTTATGCTCTGTCATCTTTTGAATGCTTTGCTGCTTAGAAATATCTTACATCAGATACCTTAAATCATTTCTCTCAAGTTCAAAGGTCTACAGATCTCTATGGCAGGGGAAAAATGCCACCAGTCTCTTTGCTAAAGCATAGTGAGTGGGACCTTTACTCCAGTTCCCACCAAGTTTCTCATCTCCATTGGAGACCAGCTCAGCCTGGACTTCATTGTCCATATCACTATCAGCATTTTGGTCAAGGCCATTCAACAAGACTCTAGGAAGTTCCAAACTTTCCCACAGCTTCCTGTCTTCTTCTGAGTCTTCCAAACTGTCTTGACCCCTGTCCATTGCCTAGTTCCAAAGTCGCTTCCACATTCTCAGGTATCTTCTAACAATGCCCCACTACCTTGGCACCAATGTACTATATTAGTCTATTCTCACTGCTATGAAGAAATACCAGAGACTGGGTAATTTATAAAGAAAAGAGGTTTAATGGACTCACAGTTCCACATTGCTGGGGAGGTCTCAGGAAACTTACAATCATGGAAGAAGGCAAAGGAGAACCAGGCACCCGTTTCACAGGGTGGCAGGTCAGAGTGAGTGCCAACAGGGGAAATGCCAGATGCTTTAAAACCATCAGCTCTTGTGAGAACTCACTCTCACAAGAACAGCATGGGGGAATGGCCCCCATGATCCAATTATGTCCACCTGGTCCCACCCTTGACACATGGGGATTATGAGGATTACAATTCAAGGTGAGATTTGGGTGGGGACACAGAACCAAACCATATCACTTAGTTATTTTGAAATGTACAATAGATTATCTTTGACTATAGTCACCTTGTTGTGCTATCAAATGCTAGATCTTATTCTATCTAATTATATTTTGTACCCATTAATTATCCCCCACCACACCTCCCCCACTATCCTTCCCAGATTCAGGTAACCATCATTCTACTCTCTATCTCTGTGTTAGGCTGTTCTTGCATTGCTATAAAGAAATACCTGAGACTGGGTAATTTATAAAGGAAAGAGGTTTATTTGGCTCATGGTTCTCCAGGCTATACAGGAAACATGGCACCAACATCTGCTTGGCTTCTGGGGAAGCCTCAGGGAGCTTTTACTTATGGGGGAAGTTGAAGTGGGAACAGGCATGTCACATGGCAGGAGCACGAACAAGAGAGTGGAAAAGGATGTGGCACACACTTAAACAACCAGATCTCATGAGAACTCACTCAATATCACGAGGACAGCACCAAACCATGAGGGATCTGTCACCATGACCCAAACACCTCCCACCGGACCCCACCTCCAATGTTGGGGGTTACGGTTCACCATGATATTTGATGGGGACATATATTCAAACTATGTCAATCTCCATTAATTCAATTGTTTCACATTTTAGCTCCCACAAATAAGTGAGAATATAAAAAGTTTGTCTTTCTGTGCTTGACTTATTTCACTTAAAATAATGACCTCCAGTTCCATCCATGTTGCAAATGACAGGATCTCATTCATTTTTATTGTTGAATAGTACTAGGTTGTGTACATGTATCAAATTCTCTTTATCCATTTATCTGTTGAAGGACACTTAGGTTGCTTCTAAATCTTGACTGTCATGAATAGTACTGTAGTAAACATGAGAGTGCACATATCTCTTCAATATACTGGTTTGCTTTGTTTTGGGTATATACCTAGCAGTGGGATTGCTGGATCATATGGTGTTCTATTTTTAGCTTTCTGAGGAAGCTCCAAACTGTTCTTCATGGTGGTTGTGCTAATTTGTATTCACAGCAACAGAATGTAGGCTTCCTTTTTCCCCACATCCTCACTGGGATTTGTTATTACCTGTCTTCTGACAATTTTTTGTTAGTAAGTCTGGGATGGATTTGGGCTCTGACAAGGCTCATGATTAAGTAGCTCATCCAATATTTGGTCCTCGGTGCAGTAGAAAAGGATTAATTCAATGTAATTTATCAACAAGGAAATAAATCTGGTTAATTCAAATGAGCCTAAGTAAATCTTTCTTGTTCTTAGAGGCAATAACTGAATAAAATAAAATGGAAAAAGATATAAGGACACCCATCCATTAATAAAAGGAGTAGTCTCGTTTGCATTGGTTACTGATGTGTTTCAGCTGAGTCTAATTTTAATTATCATTTGAAATACATTTACTACAGCAACAAAATAAGAGAGTACACAAGTCATCACTCAGCTGCCACTTGCCCTCAGAACATAATGGAGCCATAGTACTTTGGTTCACAGTGAGTAATTTCTCTTTGGGGCTTGGTGAGAACTCAGATTCTCTTAGTTCAGATATCAATCTTAATTGAATGTACATAATGACAAAACACAGACAACAGAACAAAGAAGAAGGGCAGCTAAATAGCTCTGCTTGAGTGAATTATAACTCGACATTTTCTGGAGAGGAGATGCCAGTGAAACAACAATGTTAACATTGTCATGCATCCCAGGATGATGGGAGGTGCTCCACTTCTATTAATGACAGGCTCTGGAAGTCATAACTTCACATCAGCATTCTGAGTTCTCCCATGCTGGTGACTGTGCACACAAGGACTGAGCACCAATGAGCCCCACTGTGCTGTGAACACAATATTAAGGTAGCTGCCTCCGCTACACTTTTGTATTCAAAGCCTATTCAGAGCTTCCATTTAGCCTCCCATACTTATGTCTCTGCTAAACAACTCCATTCTTTTGAACCATTTTTATTTTCTTGCTTGTGTTGTATTGGTTATCACAGTGCTTGGCACTGAGTAGGTACTCAAACGTTTGAATCAATGATCATGATAATTTATATTAATGATAGCAAATGAATTAAAGCAAATGTTAAATGATAGCAAACGTTATTAAAGAAAACTATGAAAATGATATAACAAGGAGCGGCAATAGCAGCTACCATATATTAAATGCCAGAACTTTTCAAGTTGTCTTTTTTGAGTCTTCACAGAAACTTTGTAAGGTAGTTGTAATTGCTTCTATTTTACAGTTCTGAAAAATTAGAATCAAAGAATTTAAGTAATGTATCCAATATTACCCAGGTAAGATTATCTAGATATATCTTATTTTGATGGAGGAGTAGACCTAAGTACTGCTTATTTCTATATTCATTTTTTGTAGAATGAAATTATGCTTTATATATCATATAAGTAACCACATTTAATACACTATTCGTATGTGTGTGTGTATATATATATATGTATATTAATCTATTATCTGTCTCTCTTAACATATGAGCTCAAGAGGGCAGAGATGGTTCTTATTGCATATTTGTATTTCAAAATCCTTGCAGAATCTACTTAAAAATTCACCAATGGATCTTTGTTCGTTTCCTCTTTGAAAAGTCTCTCTGGGCATTTTATCTGTTGCTTGAGACTAGCAGAATGTGCAATTGCTTTGATTTAAGCCATATTAGTTCAATTGTATTTAAAGTATTTAATGTCAAGCACTTAAACTGTCCAGTACAGCTCAGAAAGAAATCAAATTAGAAATGGTAAGGCTCTTGTTTTTAATACAAAAATGGGCATACATTAACTCTGTAATTGGAAAGAAATGGGCTCATTAAATTGGCTACAGCTTTGAAATCGACTGTCAGTTCATGTGCCCAATGGTTAAGCTCTTGAAAAGTGTCTATCTTAGAGCAAGTTTCTCTGACAACACAATATGAGTTAAAATCTTAAAGGCAGTGGGTTTATTTAGGAATAATTCCTAGGAGCAGAAGTGAGGGGGGAAGGAAATGACTGGGGAAGAAGAGAAGCCAATACAATGATCCCAATGCAATGGCCACTGTAATGAGGGACTGGTTGCTTAATCCTGTGGGGAAAATATTAATATGTCTAATAACCATCAACCTGAGGGAAGAAAGGAGAAACGTTTATCCATCAGCTCCTCTTCTCTTTGGTCAGGGATGGCTTCGTATGGTGTTAAATCTTCTACACTTCTGGATTATGGATATGTGAGCAAGTTGAGGTAGGAAGAGGGACTCTGGGTAATCAAAACCTGCAGAAACCTGGTTGTTGGGGCAGTGGTTGGAATGAGAGAGGAAGCCAAGATGGCTTTCAGTGGTTTTCAAGAAGTGTTAGATACACTTGGGTAATTAAAAATGCTTTTATCAAGATAGATTTACACCTAAGAAATAAAGAAAAAAGCAGGATAAAAAGTGTTCTTTTTTTGTCATCACATTAATATGAAGGGCAAATCACCACTAGCTTTTAGGGAAGAAGTAATTACAAAAAAGTATTATGAAACAAAAATTTCTGATAATGTCCAGCCTATCCAGAAGACAATAGTGTGAATCTATTAGCTAAGCTATTCTCTTACCTTCTATATTAAAATAATTTTTGCATATAAAGTTTTTGTCATAATCAGTGAATAATCAGTGATGTTCTGAGCATAATGCTTTTGTTAATGTTGATATTATTACCTATTCTTGTTTCACCAAGACGAGCCGTTAACTTGGTTTAGGCAACATCTTTACTGTCTTCATTGAAGTAAAAGTTGACAGATATCTACTGCTTCTTTATGCTTACAATATTAGCTGTTTTCCAGTCTAGTATTTTAACTTAAAAACTAATATTTTAAACCAGTACATTAAAATAAAACATGACATACATGTGAGTTCATAGAGTGTAATTTCTGTACATTTGAACAATGCAGTGACATGAAAATTGGGGTTACTTTTGAAGGTCAGGGTATTACCTTGCATCATGCTATGTGAATGTTAAATTGTTTTTATTTCATGACCTATCAGCCTTCTTGAGCAGCACTGCTTTCTAATATAGGCTAGCGATTGAAATAATCTGTCTAGAGCTTTGACTACTGGCTGTGAGATCTCTACAATATCATCTTTGGTAGGAAGCCTGAACTACCATTGTAAGATCTTAAGTATGGTTCCCTGGAGGACTGGATGAAGCTTACCACAAAACTGTTATGCTTGGAAATGTTTTCACAGAAGGCAAGGGAAGATAAAAACCAAGAGAAAACAGTAACAAAAGAAATAGCAACCTCATATGAATGATAGAGAAGATAATTCTGAAAAATGGAAACTTGAAATTTCAGGTCACAAAATATACAATACCATGTAGAAGCAGTAAAAATACATCAACATCTAGTCACAGTAGTGAAAATTAAAAATGTCAAGGAAAATAAATAATATCAAAAGCTATCAAAGGGGAAGCAAAGATTGCCTTTAAAGAAACAGAAATTAGACAAAGGATAGATGCTAGATAAGGAAGAATGGATTTGGAAAGAAAATAGGATAATATTGTCCAAGTGCTGTGGGAAATTCATTCTTAGCCTGGAATTTTATACCTAGTTAAATTATCACACAGTGAATGAAAGTAAAGGCATTTTTAGGTGTGCAAAGACTAAACCCACAATCTCTCACTTAAATAACTATTTGAGGATAAATTTCACTAAAGAGAGGGAATACGATACGGGGGTAAGCACAGATATGTATAAAACTTAACTATTGACCATAAAAATGTTACGTACTTGAGCCTTTTTTTATGTTGAAAGATAGTTATAAAACTCTAAGCAAAAATAGACTAGGAGTGTGAAAGCATGCTATTGTTCTTGTAATATCTGGAAAGAGGATAGAAATATTGAATAACTTTACCCTTTGTTAAAAACAACTAGAGAATGTAGGTAACATATGTTATAATTGAAAGTCAGTCTTGAGGATAAGGATATTGTAGTTAAGCAAACACCAGCATATATTCACTATATATCTGTGTTTTTACTTTGTGACCATAATTAATTTGACAATGTAATTTATCATCCAAATTGGGACATTTTTGAGAATGACAGGTGGCATAGTGAATAATAAAGCTAGGAAACAGGCATGCATGAACTTGTAATATCCCAAGCACATTAAGCCATATAGTCAGTTAGGCATGGTGGCTCATGACTGTAGTCCCAGCACTTTGGGAGGCCAAGGCAGGTGGATCACCTGAGGTCAGGAGTTCGAGACCAGCCTGGCCAACATGGTGAAACCCCGTCTTTACTAATGATACAAAAATTAGCTGGGTGTGGTGGCTTATGCCTGTAATCACAGCTACTCGGGAGGTTGAGGCAGGGGAATCGCTTGAACCCTGGAGGTGGAGGTTGCCGTGAGCTGAGATCGTGCCATTGCACTCCAGCCTTGGTGAACTGTGGTAAATACAATTAGTTTTCCTCCATAAAAATCATCAAGTTTCTTGAGCCTTCATGCAAATTGATGCCCCCTCCTTCTCCATGCCCCAATCTTTCTGTAACATCTCGTCCTTTTTTTTAAAATGTTAAGTAACTTTATTAGAAAGACTGACTAGTTCTGTAGATAGACATGTGAATGACAATTTTCTTCAACTTTTATTTTAAGGCCAGGGTATATGTGCAGGTTTGTTATATAGGTAAACTCATGTTTTGGGGATTTGTTGTACAGATTATTTTATGGCCCAGGTATTAAGCCTAGTACTCATTAGTTATTTTTTTTCCTGATTCTCTCCCTTCTCCCACTGTCCACCCTCTGTTAGGCCCCAGTGTCTGTGTTCCCTTCTATGTGTCCATGTGTTTTCATCATTTAGCTCCGATTTATAAGTGAGAACATGTAGTATTTGGCTTTCTGTTCTTGTGTTAGTTTGCTAAAGATAATAGCCTTTAGCTTCAGCCATGTTCCTGCAAAGGACATATCTGTTCCTTTTTATGGCTGCATAGTATTCCACAGTGTATATGTACCACATTTTCTTTATCCATTCTACCACCAGTGGGCATTTAGATTGATTCCATGCCTTTGATACTGTGAATAGTGCTGCATTAAACATATGTGTGCATGTGTCTTTATGATAGAATGATTTATATTCCTTTGGGTATATACCCACTTTGGGATTGCTGTGTTGAATGATATTTCTGTTTTTAGGTCTTTGAGGAATCACCACACTGTTTTCTGCAATGGTTGACCTAATTTACATTTCCACCAACAGTGTATAAGCATTAACTTTTCTCTGCAACCTCACAAGCATCTGTTATTTTTTGGCTTTTTGATAATAACCATTCAGACTGGTGTGAGATGGTACCTCACTGTGGTTTTGATTTGCATTTCTCTAATGATCAGTGATGTTGAGGTTTTTTTTGTATGCTTCTTGGCTACATGTTTGCCTTCTTTTGAAAGTGTCTCTTCATTTCTTTGGCCCACTATGAGTTCCTTATACATGCTGGATATTAAACTTTTGTCAGATGCCTAGTTTTCAAAACACTTCTCCCATTCTGTAGGTTGTCTCTTTACCCTGTTGATATTTTCTTTTGCTGTGCAGAAACTCTTTAGTTTAATTAGATCCCATTTGTCATTTTTTGTTTTTGTTGCAGTTGCTTTTGGTGTCTCCATCACGAAATCTTTGTCTGTTCTTATGTCCAGAATAGTATTGCTTTGGTTGTTTCCCAAGGTTTTTATAGTTTTCAGTTTTACATTTGAGCTTTTAATCCATCTTGAATTAATTTTTGTTTATGGAGTAAGTAACGGGTCCAGTTTCAATCTTTTGCATATGGCTAGCCAGTCATCCCAGCACCATTTATTGAAAGGGTAGTCCTTTTCCACATTGCTTATTTTTGTCTGCATTGTCTAAGATCAGATGGTTGTAGGTGTGTGGTCTCATTTCTGAATTCTCTGTTCTGTTCAATTAGTCTATGTATCTGTTTTTGTGCAAGTACCATGCTGTTTTGGTTTCTGTAGTGCTGTAGTAAAGTTTGCAGTTGGATAGCATGATGCCTCCAGCTTTGTTCTTTTGGTTAGGATTGCCTTGGCTATTTGGGCTCTTTTTTGTTTCATATGACTTTTAAAATAGATTTTTCTAGTTCTGTGAAGAGTGTCATAGTTTAATAGGAATAGCATTGAATCTGTAAATTGCTTTGGGCAGTATGGCCATTTTTATGATATTGGTTCTTCTTATTCATGAGCATGGAATATTTTTCTATTTGTTTGTGCCATCTCTAATTTCTTTGACCAGTGTCTTTTAGTTCTCCTTGTAGAGATCTTTCACCTTCCTGGTTAGCTACATGCCTACGTATTTTATTCTTTTTAGTCAGTTGTGAGTGGGATTGAATTCCTGATTTGGCTCTTGGCTTGACCATTGTTTGTGTATAGGAATGCTAGTGATTTTTGTACATTGATTTTGTATCCTGAGACTTTGCAGAAGTTGTTTATCAGCTGAAGGAGCTTTTGGGCTAAGACTATGGGGTTTTCTAGGTATAGGATCCTGTCGTCTGAAAACAGGGATCATTTGACTTCCTCTTTCTATTTAGATGCCCTTTAGTACTTTCTCTTGCCTGATTGCCGTGGTCAGGACTTCCAATACTATGTTGAATAGGAGTGGTGAGAGAGGGCATCCTGGTCTTTCTCTGGTTTTCAAGGGGAATCCTTCCAGCTTTTGCCCTTTCAGTATGATGTTGGCTGTGGGCCTGGCATAGAGAGCTCTTATTATTTTGAGGTATATTCCTTCAATATCTAGTTTACTAAGAGTTTTTAACCTGAAGGGGTATTCCATTTTATTGAAGGCCTTTTCTGCATCTGTTGAGATTATCATGTGGTTTTTTTTCTTTAGTTCTGTTTATATGATGAATCACATTTATTGATTTGCATATGTTGAAGTAACCTTGCCACAGTGGTTTTCAAACATTTTCCAGGCAACAGCCTTATATATACAAATGAAAATGTGCTGTTTTGATGAACATAAGTTGATAAGGACCTCATGACATTTGTGTTCCTCATAGTTTCATTAGCCCCACTTTATCTCTTAATTCAAATAACAACAGAGAAGAGGATTGAACTGGTCACTGACAAGCAAATTAATTTATTGCTTTTAGTAGGTTCCTTCATGGTCAGTCAGCTTTGGTCAGATTGTGGATAGGGCCAAAGGCAGGAAAGTGAGGGTCATTAACACAGTTCATTCTCCATTCAGAAGTTGACTTACACATCTACAACCATCTTTCTGTAAAAGACTTAAACTTATTTTCTTTATTCCTGGACCTTGGATCTGGTTTACATGATACTAATTCAACTTGGAGTGAAATCTTAAGCTATTTTGCCTACTAAATATAGGGAGTTTGGAATCATTTCACACCTGATTTCTCATTTTGAACCATAAAAGTCTAATCACTTTGATTGACAATAGTGCTTGCAAAAGCATACCAGCTACTTGAATAATTTTTTCTTTCTTTCAGTGTGAGTTTAATAATCATCATCATCATCATCATCATCTTTATAGATAAGGATTTTAAGCCATGTGTTTTTTGTACACTGTTTTCCGCTGCTGCATAAACTGGGTTAGCCTTTCATCTTCACTTGTCTTTCTTAAGTTTCCCAAGTTTCTATGGTTTAGAGAGGAGAAACATTTCTTTGTGTGAATGCAATAAAGGCAGAATTCACTTTTATATTCTACCATGTCATCATTACATAATTTAGCTTGGCAAAACCCCCAACATTCCTAAGGACCTCCTGAGCCCAGTTGAGCACATATCTGTGATGGATAATGACTATTTTCTCAGTTCAGTTAAAGGTGTTATTATTTCACATTTCTGCTGAAGTGCTTCCCAGGAATGAATGAAGCTTCTTGACTTTGCCCCTTTTTCTTTGTCTTTAGGCTCCAGTTAGTAGTTGCTGCCTAGGAGATGAAGTGAATTTCACAAGAAAGACATAAGAAGCCAACAACTGGTAATTGTTATTAATCATTAAGGAGGTGGCAGTAAGGTATAGTTATAACGTGAGACAAAATTAATGTGGATTCATAACATCTTAAATGTATGCACAGTGCAACAAATTTTGCTTTTGATTATTCTATAAGTGGTCGTGTGCTCATTCTGGAGAAAATGAAGTGCTCCTTGGAAGGACATGAAGTAGAAATGTTCACCACTTTGTTTTGGTTGCTGTAAGGAGAGGCATCTTATAACAGACAGATTGTTTATAAATCAAGGTCTAGCATGAAGAAGATAATCAGATATTCTATACTCTGAGGAGGAAAGAAAGAGAAAGAAGTGCCTGAAGGTACCATTTTTCTTTCTTTGCAAATAACAGAGATACTGGATGGAGGGGCTAATGAAAATAGGGCACCCATCAGGTGCTGCTCCCTCCCAGGAGGTAAGAGTCAGAGATGATGGGCTGGGCCTGGCCTTTGATCTAGGGGTGGAGGCAAGAGGATCCTTTCTGGGAATTCAGCCCATCTCCTAATGACCTTTCAGCTCCAATGCTGCTGTGTTGGATCTAATAACACCTGGAAACTCTCTATCGTCAGAGAAGCTTCTAGGGGCTCTTCTTGCTCCAGGAGAAGTCCTGCCTGACTGAGCTAGAGCCAAAGGTGAGGGCAAGAGATTCTGCTTGCCTTGAAAGCTAGGAAGCAGCATCTCAAAATACAAACTCTCATTTATTAAGTGCTCGTTATCTTTTATGACTGTTTTCAGTGCTTTAGTTATATTGACTGATTGCATCCTAATGATAACTCTGTGAGTTAGTAATTTTATATCCATTGTATGGATGATAAAATTCAGGAGACTCAGAAATCTTTTATACCTTATTTATGGTTTATTAGTAGAAATAAGCCAAGCTGGAATTTGTACGTTGGTCTGGTTTTACCAATGGTACAGGTTAACCACAACTCAAAACTGTTCAACCACATGTCAACTAACAGAAGGCAGGGGAGCTAGTATATTTAGGCCCCAGGGCTTGACCCTTTGTGCTTATCTCTTCTCTGCCTATACAGTCCCTAAATTTATTTTAGTCTGTTTCATGATTTGTACTTCTGGTCTGGCCTCTTCCTGGGCTCTATATTCAAATCCCATTTCACAGAGGGGTTGAATAAATTGGTCAAATTGTTGCAGGTGTTTAGAAATGGAGCTTACACTCAAGTCTAGGTTTATCTGATATTCAAATCAGTTATGTATATATTGCTTTAAATTGCTTCCAGGGGTCAACATCACATTTTTAAAGTTGTATACAGGATCTAGCACTATGCCCAAATCTCAATTGGTAATAAAATTGTAATGGTTGAGTGAACAAAAGAAGGAGTTAAATGTAGAAATAAGCTTAAGTTTGAGGAAGCTCATTAGCCAAAAAAAGGGGGACATGAGGCATGCTTTTTTCTCATGTACTCCATTATTTTGTCCATATAGCAGCCGTATCTTATGGGTAAGCCCTTGTACATATTGAGAATAGTAGCTTCTGTGCTTTTTGGGCTGAATTCACCACCAGAGCTCTGACTACGTTTACTGAGTTCCAGCATCACCCATCTGGTTCTTGGTTGGCAATCTTCACATCTGTGTCTGGCCTGTGCAACGCAGTGTGTCCTAAACTGAATTCTTCATCTTCTCAAGCCCCTGCCTGTCACTATTTTTCTCCATTGACTTCAGTCCCCCAGCTTGAAGTCTTGCCTAATTTTGGGGACTTCTCCCTTTTCCTTGTCTTCCATATCAATCACTTGCTAAGCTCTGCTGAGTTCTTTCTGAATGATGTCTTCCTTTCACCGTTGTGTTCCTGTTGTCTCTTTTCTCACTCTGGTTTCATTATCTCTTACTTGAAGAACTCTCATTGATGAGCTCTTCCTTACGGAATAAAGAACAAACATGTAGTCTGGAACTCCAGGCCTTTCACCACTTGACTCAAACCTCTTATTGTCTGCAGTTCTATTGTACATCCTTTGCCTTAGGGCAGCACTTTATACAAACTGCATTCCAGAGAGCAATAAGAGATTGACAGATCATTCCTCCCTGCCCCCCTGCCCCCTTGCTCTGAGGGGTTGCTGTCAAGGAAAGGAAGCTGGGTAGGTGGGCCTCTGGCCTCCTATCCCTGTTCCAAACAGATGAGCTCCATTTTGCTTATTGGGATTCCACATAAGATTTTATTTAAACTAACTGTTTGTTATATATAAAGTTTCGGTGCTGCAAAAGAAATAGCACTTGAATATAAAATTTTCTTGTAATTCTCAGCAAGGCAAAGTACTTCTATAGAAGTGTGCGCCCTTACAGATGCAGCAATGATGAACACGCACTTGGACAAGGGAGGGGAAGTGGTTCTTATCCCTGACACATGTGGCCCTTGCTGCTGTGTCATTCCCCTGTTGGCTAGGGTTAGACTGCACAGGCTAAACTAATTCTGATTGGCTAATTTAAAGAGAGTGACAGGGTAAGTGGTTTGGCGGGAAAAATGGTTATGACAGAGCAGGTAATTGGAATGAGTCAGGGTGGAGCAGGTAATCGGAATGAATCAGGGTGGAGTAGGTAATCAGAATGAGTCAGGGTGGAGCAGGTAATTGAAAAAGTTTGCTTTATGAGGAAGTTAAGTTTAAAAGTAGAAGGCAAAGAATTGAGCCTACTGACATACTGATTCATTGAAAAGAAATTTAGAACTCATATCTAACAGTTTTCATGAATTTATCAAATTTGAAAACTACTGATCTCTCAGAAAAATGGAGTCTGCTGTTATTTGCAGTCCATGCTCCGCATCTTCTGATGTCTGGGTGCTTGTGTTCATGTTCCCCAGCATAGTTTCCACACATGGAGACTTTAGAACCTTTATTACTGAGGAGAAAGCAAAGCCATCAAAGCAAGGTGGGGGTGCTGTGCACAGAGGACATTGACCTAGAGAGGGATGGGGAGCATTCTGAGGGTAGAGCTGTGAAGGGCCTTCACGGCAGCCCTTGCCACCTTCTCTTAACTACTTTTCCAGCCTTATTTTTCACAACATTCTTCATGAAAACATACTTCAGCCATATAGAACTTATTTCTCTTCCAACTACATGTCCTTTCATCTCATTTATACATGTTGACTAATGTGGTGCCCTATTCCTGGAGTGCTCAGCCTTTCATCTCCACATAGCCAAAGTGTGCTCATCCTTCCTGGCCTAGCTTAAATTACCTCCCACAGAAAGCCGCCTCAAGCCACATCTGAATGTAATCTTTCTCTCCAGCCATATCTTTTTATATATCCCTCTGTTATTTTACTTAGCACTGCCCACATGGAGTTGCCTATTTAGTTATTTATGTTCAAGGCTCAGTCTCCCGACAATACTGTGACCTCTGGAAGGCATCCCCTAATTTTGAGTTTGCAGATGTGTGCCAGTTGTCATGGCCATCTTCAAATTGGCTAATTTAAATAGCCAAATTTGATAGATTCTTTCACGAGTAGCTGAACATATTGGACTGCTTACATCTATTGTGAACATAACATGGGCACAATAGCATATTTAAACCTTGTGAGAACTCCTGGAGCTGCTAATTTAATTTCCTGTGGTTATGGGAACAACATTTTGCAGTGAGCCACACAGTCGTTCAGAGGCAATAAAACTCCCTCTTCTGCCAGCTGTATTTATAGCATGGTCAGGGAAGAACATTCTTCCCTTAGTGTCTAGAAGGTTTCAAGGAAGATGTAGGCATTATTAATAAGCCTTGTCAAGGTTTATGCCAGCTCCCTTTTGGAGACAATGATTTGTACTTTATTCTAAGCATGAAGTTTCTTTCTTTTCTTTTTTTGGTAAGATTTATATCTGACTCTATCTAGTAAATTATCTTTGCCAGGCATAGATTTTTCTCACTCTGCAAAGGGTTTAGAAAATTTGTAACCTAACTCTTATTTTCCAATTTGAAAAAAACCTGATGTTCATGTTGGTGTTCTTGTCAGTATCTGTGAGACAGAGACTGTGTTAGAACCTGTTTGATGAACAAAAATGAACACAAGGTGTATGGCTGACAATAACTGAATAAAAATATTACCAGTGGAACATGGATGACATAAACTTTGAATAATAATGATAAAAATTTAACCTCCAGACTAAGAGAAAAATTAACTAGAAGGATGACTTTTCTGCTTGAAACTCTAATCATTAAAGGGGAGCTAGTAAAGATTCACTATTATAATGATTGCTTTAATGATAGATACAGGGAGGTGATTTAGTTGAGGAAAATCTATTACTTATGTTGGGCTTTTACGTCTGCTATGCTTTGAAATCAGTCAGCAGATATCAAATGCATGTCCACTAAGTGTGAAGCACTGAGCAAGCCTAGAGGGTGGACCTTCGTATGAGCAGGAAAATCATGGTGGACCTTCGTATGAACAAGCCTAGATGTTGGACCTTCGTATGAGCAGCTTGTGAGTTTCTTAATAGCAGACTATATTAATTCATGCAACAAATATTTATAAAGTATCTTCTACATGCCAAGCACTGTACAGGTGCTAGTTGGCAGGCCTTTGTAAAAGAATAAATTACTAGATTGTGTGTTTTGGGGGGAAGCCATTTTAAAATTCTTCTAATATATCTCTATGAAGTATTTACTGTGTGCTGGTGAAGGGTGGTGGGTGAAGAAGAGAAAACTGCATTCACAGTAATGCTGAGGACTGAACTCTGATCTTTTTTCCATCTTGCCCAAATTCCTATTTAAGGGTCCTGGAGAGTCACACCCTACAAACAGTAAAATATCCTTAATTTTTTTAATTAAATTTAACCTGGTATAATATGGCTTACTTTCCAAGCTGACTCTGGTATAGCATCATGTGACAAATAGCAGACCCTTTTATCTTAACTGAAGTATTTAGTATTTAGACAAAACTTAACTCTCTTAACTAGTGTCAACTAAAGGATACTTAAAATTGGCTGGGCGCAGTGGCTCATGCCTGTAATCCCAGCACTTTGGGAGGCTGAGGCAGGAGGATAACCTGAGGTCAGGAATATGAGAGCAGCCTGACCAATATGGAGAAACCCCATCTCCACTAAAAATACAAAATTAGCCGGGCGTGGTGGCACGTGCCTGTAATCCCAGCTACTTGGGAGGCTGAGGCAGGACAATAGTTTGAACCCAGGAGGCGGAGGTGAGCTGAGATCATGCCATTGCACTCTATTGCACTCCAGCCTGGGCAACAAGAGTGAAACTCCATTTCAAAAATAAAATAAAATAAAATAAAATAAATAAAATAAAATAAAATAAAATAAAATAAAATAAAATAAAATAAGAATCCCTAAAACCCACCAATGACTTGTAAGCTCTAACTTCAAAATGTCCTTTTTGGGTCAAACCAATGTATATCTTCCATGTGTTGATTTATGGTTTAACCTGCAATTCCTATCTCCCTGAAATGTATAAAACCAAACCATAGCCCAACCTCCTTGGCACACTTTCTCAGGACCTTTTGAGACTCTAACCCCTGGCCACCATCCCTCATATTGGCTCAGAATAAACTTCTTTAAATATTTTGGCAGAATTTGGCTTTTTCCATCATCAATGCTGTAGTGCTAAGTGCTCTGTTGATTTTATTTTTTAACTCCTTAGGCTTAAGTATCTAATCAGAGCAGGCCGTAGAGTAGGTACTCACCAAATGTTTGTGGGAAAAATGATAAATGAACAAACTGTTGAAAGATACTTTCCAAAAAAGAGTAAATTCTATGTGTTAAAGATTGTTGTTCAACTCATGAGGGGACCAGGCAAATGTGATAACTGATGCAAAAGAGAGTACAATCAAGGGCACACTTATATATCAGAAATATTTAAATAAATGAATGGTGGCAAAACTAATTTTTCCTCAGAATGGGAAGGAAGACAGTTGAACCTGTAATGGACAGAACAGAATTTGCACGTCTACAGACAAGAATTTATCTTGCATTGCTATCAGTTACTTAAAATTTACAGTGGCAAAATAGCTCAAAGATGAAGAGAAAGTATAATAAGGTATCTTGGAGGAGTGTCCTCTAGACAATGCATATGTTCCCTTGGAACAATAAATTTTTTTTTTCTACAGAATGGATTGAGTGGGGTGCAATTTCCATAGCTTCCAAAGTACAGGGAACCTGTGAGTAATCTGTCACAAATTGTTGAATACGAAATTGCTGTTCTCATGTAGTACTGTTACTGGTAGTTCTATATTCTTGGAGTCCCCAAGATGGTGGTGGGCCACTCCCAAGATGGTGGTGGGCGGCTCCCAAGATGGCGGCAAGCCTTTTGTTCTCTGATCTGGGGTTCTTGGCCTCAGGATTCCAAGGAATGGAACCTTGAGCCATGCGGTGAGTGTTATAGCTCTATTAGAAGCCATGGGTCATGGAAGAGAACTGTGAACCCAGAGACTAGTGTTCAGCTTGATTAGGGTGAACCTAGGCACTTAGTCATGCAGGAACAATGGCAAGCCTCTAGCCTGATTGGGAGTGGCAATTGGTGCCTCACTGGATCAGAAGTGCAGTGAACACCCTGCCGGATCTGGAGGGGTGGAAGTCAGCAGTGGGTCTGCAGTGGTGGAGATCAGCAGTGGCAGACAGTGAACAAAAGCTCAGCTTGAGCCAGAACAAACATGGACCAGAAGAGTGTGCAGTTGCAAGATTGAATAGAGTGAAAACAGAGCTCCCATACAATGGGAGGGGACCCAAAGGGCGTTGCCACAACTGGCTTGAATGCCTGGGTTTATATATCCTGACCATTGTCCTTCCTCCTGTGCTCTCAGGCAACAGATGATTGACTATTTCTTTACCTCCTGCTTTTAGCCTAATTGGTATTTTAGTGAGCTCTCTTTACTACCTGATTGGTAGGTGTGAGCTGAGTTACAAGCCCCGTGTTTAAAGGTGGGTGTGGTCACTTTCCCCAGCTAGGCTTAGGAATTCTTAGTTGGCCTAGGAAATCCAGCTAGTCCTGTCTCAGTACCATATTGGAACTTATTTTGATTCCTTTTTAAGGAATGAATTTTACTTTCCTGTGAGATAATGTCGCAAACTAATTCACATTATTTTTGTCATTATTTTGACATTATTTTAAAGCATCTCCATGTACATTATTAAATTTGTATAACAACTCTGTGAAGTAGTCATGGAGAGGATAATTATTTGTTTTGCAATGAGCATAATGAAAGAGGAAGTGGTGGTACTGGGACTCACACCCCCATTTTCTGATTACAAGCCTCTTGTTCTTTCTATCACAAAGATGACACCAGCAATAAAGTGTGAACAAATCCTTTATGTTTATTTATGTTGTAGACTTTGGCCTGGAATTTAATTGGGAACAGAAAATCATCACATCTCTTTATCTTATGGATAGGTATGCAAAAAAGTGCATTTCCTAATTTCTTTACTCCAAATCTTTCTTAAAATGACCATGGATAGAAAATGCTTGAATGTCATCATTCTTCCATAATTATTCTATGACATAAGCCAATAGTCATTGAGAACCTTCCAACACTGAGCACTAAATACCTTCTAATTTTATTTCCTAGTTCTAGGAACTAGGAAATGTATTTTCTAAATCAGGTCTCTCTCTCTAATCCTTACTATCTGGGGCTGTATTTTTCATTTTCATCACCATCATTATTAACAACATTTGTTAAGAGGCTTCTTGCCATATTTTTTCAGACACTGCATTAACTAAAATATGTTATCTCATTCTTTACAATAATCTTAAAGAAGTGTATTAGTCCATTCTCACACTGCTATAAAGAACTACCTGAGACTAGATAATTTATGAAGAAAAGAGGTTTAATTCACTCAGGATTCTGCAGGCTTAACAGGAAGCATGACTGGGAGGCCTTAGGAAACTTACAATCATGGCAGAAGGCGAAGGGGAAGTAAGCACCTTCTTTACATGGCAGGAGGAGAGACAGAGAGTGAAGGGGGAAGTCCTACACATATTGTGAGAACTCAATTCACTATCATGAGAACAGCAAGGGGGGGTCCCCATGATTCAGTCACCTTCCACCAGACCCCTCCTCCAACACATGAGGATTACAGTTTGACATGAGATTTGGGTGGGGACACAAAGCCAAACCACGTCAAGGAGACATATTTTACACCCATTTTATAGATATCAAAACTAGATCTTAGGGAGGGTTATTAATTTAGTCAAGAAGACAGAAAATGAGAGGTTAGATATTAGTTATGACTATCCTAAATTATTATGTACAATGCAAATCATTGTATGTTCTTTAGGCTATGTCCGGTGATATGCTGTTACTTTGTGAATGATTATCAATGATAAGAGATATGAAATGCTAACACAGTGATAAACATCCGTTAAACTCAAACATTCACAACAAAAGGCCAGGAGATTGATGCTTGAATCACATGAGTACCGTAGGAGAGAATGAGAGGAGACTGCATTGCATTTTAGACTCTGGGAAACATTAGTAGTAGAGCTGGATGACTTTTTTATCATAATAAACCTGTACTCAGGCAAGGCTTTTTTCCTCCTTCATGATTTTTCATGAGAAAGCTTAGGATTCTCAGATGTACATTTGTATTCTTCCTCCATCACCTCATATGTGTTCCCTATAGCATGATGTCTGTGGTTTAATTACTCAAGCAATGGGGTTCCTCTAATTTCTCCTAGAAGATAGTTTCCCAATCTAATTGTCTTCTATACTTTGCCATTTCCCTTGATGGGCAGGCTGCATTCTCCTAGGCTTAATTTTGTTTTCTTATTTTGGCTTCTTTCTGTTATAAGTATCCCCATTTGGGCAATAGCATTTTTTGCTTAAAGTTCTTTTTTTCTTTTTTCTCCCCAAACCAGGGGTTATCAAACCACACTCTGGTCTTTGTCACTTGGCTGAACAAGTGTTGTCCTCTTTAACTTAATCTCGCCCTTTGAAGTCAGTTTTCCCATTTCTCCCTTACCCTTTCCCTACTTTCCTTTTACCCACACAGGAAAGTAAAGAGCAATTGTGTTGAAGTCCATTAGAAACAACAAAGCAGGTTGGGCATGGTGGCTCATGCCTGTAATACCAGCTACTTAGGAGTGGGAGGCAGGAGGATCGGTTGAGCCCAGGAGTTTGAGACCAGACTGAGCAATGTAGTGAGAACCATGTCTCAACAAACAAATGAATAATCAAGCAGAAAGCCAACAAAACCTCCAAATTGCTAAACTTTTTGAATTATGAAGTTATGAAATAAAACTCTACTTCTCTCCATCTTTTTCTCTGGGGCCCCATTCAGAAGGCAGAAGGGTCTAATTTAAAAGTCTACTATATGCTTTGCTTTATTCTTCTTGTAAATTTTAGACTGTTAAGATGAAGACTGAAAACACTCAAAATAAGTATGTTCTGTTACCCATGTGTTCCATTCTTTGATGAGAAATAGTTCCCTAAAGCCCACTGTACCTCAGTCTTCTTATCTGAGTAATAATATGTCCTTTAACTTAACATGGAAAAACCCTGTTATCCTTGGCCTCTGGGGAGCTTCCTGTCTTCACACAAGACATATCTTTAGCCACTTTCAGATCAGAACTTTGGTTTTCTGATTGCCCTGCACATGAACTTCTGCTCCCCTACTGATTTGAAAACAGATTCCTGGATCCATGCTCAGGCTCATACTGCTTTTCGCGTAGGTTCTCCTAACCTATTCCTCTGGTGTCTATCACATTTGACCTGCTTCATCTGCTCTGGATCAATAGCAACTGGACACAAATCATCTTGTGTATGGTCCGAAATAAAATCTTTTATTAATGCGATTGCTCCTGAGGGCACTGGGAAGTTGTCTTCATTTGGAGTTGGGAGACATGGATTCAAGCTCCAGCACTGCTGTTTATGTCTTATGTTATCAAAGCAACATTCTAGTTTCTAGGAAGCTCTGTTTCTGCATAAGTAAAATGGGAGTTACAATAGCAACTGCTTAACATATTTAATTGGAGCATAATTCATGCCAAAATATTATCTATTAATGTGTTTGATATGGTTTGGCTGTGTCCCCACCAAAATTTCATCTTGAATGGTAGCTCCCATGATTCCCGCATGTTGTGGGAGATGATTGAATCATGGGAGTGGTTTCACCCATACTGTTGTCTTGGTAGTGAATTTCTCATGAGAGCTGATAGTTTTATAAGGGGAAACCCCTTTTACTTGTTTCTCATTCTCTCTCTCGCCTGCTACCAATATAAGATGTGCCTTTCACCTTCCACTGTGATGGTGAGGCCTCCCCAGACACATGGAACTGTGAGTCCATTACACCTCTTTTTCTTTATAAATTACCCAGTCTCGGGTTTGTCTTTATCAGCTGTGTGAAAACGGACTAATACAGTGTTAATTATTTGGAAGTTTATTTTCTGAGATAAAGACCATTAACCTATTCAAAATGTCATATAAATAATTCCTTATGATCTGGAACAAATTCTTAATACTAGGGGTTCTGCAGGGGCTTAGGGCCAAAATCACCTAAGTGTATATTAGTATTATGATCTTGGTACTTGCTAACTCAGGATTCTAGTTTTCTTTCTCAGATACTTTTCTAACAAAAAATGTGTTCTAACTACATTTCTTATTCCAGATATTTTGATTTTTCTTCCTGTCACATTGCTACACATTCTGAAATGAGACAGGTCTTCAATATGAAAATTTGTGGTTGCTTTGCCTCTCTGAAGATACACAGTTATGACAACTAGATTTTTTTTATTTCTTCATTAATGGGTATATAAACCAAACCATAGCAAATTTACTCCATTACTTTTCTATTAAAACATTGGCATTTGATAACTTGTTTTAGAGTAATTCATTTTTCTCAACAAATTTGCTCTAAAATGTGCAAACTGTTGGCACATGACACTGCCATATCACTTATTATTGTAGCTGACTGTCCAGCTTTTTTTTTTTTTGGCTATGGTAATTCATTTGGTGTGTATCTCAGATGGATGTCTTCTTGTCTTTACGTGTGATGCATATTTTCTCCAATATAATCTTTCAAAAGGATATTTCATCTCAGATTTATTTCTGTTAGAAATATGACACTTTATCCCAGAAATGTTGGTGTATTTGATTTTAATTGTTTTTGCTCTCTCTGTTTTGTTGCAATCACAGATGAAAGGAACTCTGGAAAGTAATTCAATCAGTTGTTCTCTCTTAGGCAAGAAGGTGCCCAGTAGAACCATTTACAGGATCTATGCAGGGAGATCTGCAAAAAGGACAATTTCACTCTTCTTTTGGGCAATCACTTTTTTAAAAGATAAAATTTGCAATTCGAATGCAGTTTTCATCCTTTTAGAAAAAAACCCAGTTTTTCCTTAAATTAAAATTAGCTGTGCCCATTGAATTGCATGTGTTGTCATAAGTGAGGTTTGGCTATCATCTAGTTTTATGTTTAAAGTGCTTTCTTACAGCTTCCACTGATTGCTCTATTTTGTTTGCTTTTATTCTGTAGTGATTTTCAAAATATCAGCCCAGTTTTAAAGTATACCTGAGGTTCTGCCTGCTTGATATCAAGAACGAAATTGTAGCTTGTGACTCTTCCCTGTGAACCATGTATAATTAATTTCATTTTTACCTTTCTTGTCCCTCCCTAGAATGTATTCTGCTTGGCCCTTGTTAATTTTATCTGGAGTTATAAACCAGTTTATTATCCCACTTTCATGATTGCTTACTTACTGTCCTGTGGAGTCAGCATACTCCCTATTTTTTCCCTACTGGTCATTCTCCCCTCTGCCTACTTAATTCCTACTAAATTTATTTTTGCCGATGTTAGAGTCATGGAATGCTCTTATCTGCAAACTTCTTGATTTGTCTGCAAGTGTCATTATTGAACACTTAACATTCTGTCTTCTGGAGGACAGACAAATCTGGATGGCCCTAGAGAATAATTTTCTCTTCCCTTCCCTAATTAGGAATTTGTCCTTTACTGAGGCAATACTCTTCTGAAGATTCTGCTTGGTGTGTCAGGTGATCAGTGTCCTCCCCTCTCCCCCACCCCCTTCATTGACTGGGGGAAACAGGAAATATTCCAAGCCATGTGTGAGCTTTCTGAATTATTCTGCCTGATATTATTTGGCATTTTGTTTGTTTGTTTTTTTCCTGGTCCCAGGTATTTTCCTCAAATGCATGTGATGATTAGTACTCAGGTGAAGTTTTGAAAGGGACCCTTTGTAAATCTCCAGAAGTTGTCCTGTAACTCTCTCCTCTCTGGTTCCCTACATTGTAAATTCTTTCCACATTGGCCTGCCTGAGTTCTGAACTCCCTGAATATCCTCTCAACTGACAGAGATGGCTGAACTCTGTTTGAGTACACTTTCCCTGAGTACACCTTCCCTGTGCTACAGTCTGAATACTCTCTCCAGGCAGTAAATTTGATGATCATAGGGTTCACCTAGCTGGTTTCCCCTTTTAGAAATTAATATCCTGCCCAACCCATTGTCCAATGTCTAAAACAGTTGTTTCATAAATTTTGCCTTTTTTTTTTTTGAGACGGAGTCTCCCTCTGTTGCCTAGGCTGGAATGCAGTGGCGTGATCTCGGCTCACTGCAAGCTCTGCCTCCCGGGTTCACGTCATTCTCCTGCCTTAGCCTCTCGAGTAGCTGGGACTACAGACGCCCGCCACCATGCCCGGCTAATGTTTTTGCATTTTTTTTTTTTTTTTTTTTTTTTTTTTTAGTAGAGAAGGGGTTTCACCACGTTAACCAGGATAGTCTCAATCTCCTGACCTCCTGATCCACACCCCCTCAGCCTCCCAAAGTGCTGGGATTACAGGCATGAGTCACCCTGCCTGGCCAAATTTTGCCTTTTTTAAGGAGGTGTGAGGATATAGTTAGTTGCTGTTACTCCATCACATTCAGATATGAACATGTCTGAGTTGTGACTGTCAATACTAATCCTACTACAGTAGGTACTAGGGGCAGAATGGTGGAGACAGCTCCAGTGTTATTCTTACCTGTGCCCCTTGAAGGTTCTATTTCCAAGTGTCTTCCTTCTGTGGACACTTAAATTTTTCCACATCATTGGTCTGGCTGTGTCTCTTCAGGCCCTCTTTCCTGGTTTCTACTTCTTACTGCCAACTCATCCATCTTTATTTGAATAGCTTAAAGGAAACTGAAATAAAAAGCAATGCTCCAAGCTTAACTTAATCATCTTTTAGGCTTACGTTGATTTCACTTTCTCTGTTCAATAAAAGTAGTATTACTATGTTACAGTCATCTTTATCTCTAGCCCTTCACTTTCTATATCCCATTATAACCAACTCAGTCATTCATTCAGCAACTATTTATTGAGCACTGACTATATATTAAATACCCCTTTAGGCTCTGAAGATGTTCAATGAACAATACAGATAAAATCCCTGATCTCTTGTAGTTGATCTTCTTATAGGGGAAGGCAGACCATGATGAAAACAAATTATGTAATATGCCTGAAGCTAATATCCACTGTGGAGAAAAATAAGCCTAAGGGAGGGATAAGAAATGGAAGGGACAGGAGGTTACACCTCAAGGAACTAGAGAAACAAGAACAAACCACACCCAAATCCAGCAGATGAAAAGAAATAACAAAGATTAAAGCAGAACTAAATGAAATTGAAACAACAACAACAAAAAAATACAAAACATAAATGAAACAAAAAGCTGGTTCTTTGGAAAGATAAACAAAATTGATAGACCGTTAGTGACATTACCAAGAGATGAAGAGAGAAGGTCCAAATAAGCTGAATTGGAAACAAAATGGGAGGCATTACAACCGATACCACAGAAATACAAAAGATCATTCAAGGCTACTATGATCACCTTTACATGCACAAGTCTAGAGGAGATGGATAAGTTCTTGAAAATATACAACTCTCACAGATTAAATGAGAAAGAAATAGAAACTCTGACCAGAGCAGTAACAAGTAGTGAGATTGAAACAGTAATAAAAAAATTTCCAACAAAAAAAAAGTCCAGGACCAGATGGATTCACAGCTGAATTCCGTCAGGCATTCAAAGAAAAATTGGGACCAATCTTACTAAACTATTCCAAAAGATAAAGAGGGAGTCTTCTCTAAATCATTCTTTGAAGCCAGTATCACAGTAATACCAAAACCAGGAAAGGATATGACAATAAAAGTAAACTACTGACCAATATTCCTGATGAACATAGATGTAAAAATCCTCAACAAAATACTAGCTAACCAAATCCAATGGCATATTAAAAAGACTACATACCATGATCAAGTGGGTTTAATACCAAGGATGCAGGGATGATTTAACATATTAAAGTCAATAAATGTGATACATCACATAAACAGAAACAAAAATCATATAATCTCAATAGATGCAGAAAACAAAAATTATATGATCATCTCAATAGATGCAGAAAAAGCATTTGACAAAAATCTAGCATCCTTTATTATTAAAACTCTCAGCAAAATCGATATAGAAGGCACATAACTTAAGGTAATAAGAATCATCTATGAGAAACCCACAGTCAACATTACACTGAAGTGGGAAAAGTTGAAAGCATTCCCCCTGAGAACTGGAAGAAGACAAGGATGCCCACTTTAGCCACTTCTATTCAACATAGTACTGGAAGTCCTGGAAAGAGCAATCAAACAAGAGAAAGAAATAAAGGACAATAAATTGGTAAAGAAGAAGTCAAACCGTTGCTGTTCACCAATGATATAATTGTATATCTAGAAAACCCTAAGACTCATCTGAAAAATTCCTAGATCTAATAATGAATTCAGTGAAGTTTCAGGATACAAAATCAATGTACACAAATTAGTAGCACTGCTATACACCAACAATGACCAAGCTGAGAATCAAATCAAGAACTTAACCCCTTCTACAACAGCTGCAAAAAAAAAAAAAAAAGAATATACCTAACCAAGGAGTACAAAACACTGCTGAAAGAAATCACAGATGACACAAACAAATGGAAACACATCCCGTGCTCATGAATGGGTAGAATCAATATTGTGAAAATGATCATACTGCCAAAAGCAATCCATAAATTCAATGCAATTCCCATCAAAATACCACCATCATTCTTCACAAAATTAGAAAACACAATCCTAAAATTCATATGGAACCAAAAAAGAGCCCACACAGCCAAAGCAAGACTAAGCAAAAAGAGCAAATCTGGAGGCATCACATTATCTGATTTCATACTACAAGGCTATAGTTATCATAACAGCATGGTATTGGTATAAAAATAGGCACATAGACCAATGCAGCAGAATGGAAAACCCAGAAATAAAGCCAAATATTTACAGCCAACTGATCTTCAACAAAACGGACACAAACATACAGTGGGGGAAGGACACCTTGTTCAACAAATGGTGCTAGAATAATTGGCAAGCCAGATGTAGAAGAATGAAGCTGGATCCTTATCTCATCTTATACAAAAATCAACTCAAGACAGATCAAAAGCTTAAATCTAAGACATGAAACAATAAACATTCTGGAAGATAACAGAAAAAACCCTTCTAGACATTGGTTTAGGCAAAGGGTTCATGACCAAGAATCCAAAAGCAAATGCGACACACAGATACATAGATAGGACCTAATTAAACTAAAAAGCTTTTGCACAGAAAAAGAAATAATCAGCAGAGTAAACAGACAACCCACAGAGTGGGAGAAAATATTTGCAAATTCTACATCTGACAAAGGACTAATATCCAGAATCTACAAGGAACTCAGATCAATCAGCAAAAAAAAAAAAAACAAAAAAAACAAAAAACAAAAAAAAAAAACCCACAATCCCATCAAAAAGTGGGCAAAGAACTGAACAGACAATTCTCAAAAGAAAATATACAAATGGCCAACAAACATAAAACAATGCTCAATATCACTAATTATCAAGGAAATTCAAATCAAAATCATAGTGAGATACCAACTTACTCCTGCAAGAATGGCCATAATTTAAACATCAAAAAATAACTGATGTTGGCATGGATGTGGTGAAAAGGAACATTTTTACACTACTGGTGGGAATGTAAACCAGTAGAATCACTATGGAAAATAGTATGGAGATTCCTTACAGAACTAAAAGTAGAACTACAATTTGATCCAGCAATCCCACTACTGGGTATCTACCCAGAGGAAAAGAAGTCATTGTATGAAAAAGACACTTGCACACACATGTTTATATCAGCACAATTCACAATTGAAAAAATATGGAACCGGTCTAGATGCCCATCAACTAACCAGTGAATAAAAACCATTATGCACACACACACACACACACACACACACACACAAACACACCATGAAATACTACTCAGCCTTAAAAAGGAATGAAATAATGGCATTTGCAGCAACCTGGGTGGAGTTGGAGACCATTATTCTAGGTGAAGTAACTCAGGAATGGAAATCCAAACATTGTATGTTCTCATTTGTAAGTGGGAGCTAAGCTGTGGGGATGCGAAGGCATAAGAATGATATAATGGACTTTGGAGACTTAGGGGGAAGGGATGGGAGATGGGTGAGGGTTAAAAGACTACACATTGAGTACAGTGTACACTGCTTGGTTGATGGGTACAACCAAATCACAGATTTCAACACTAAAGAACTTTTCCATGCAACCACTCACCTTTTTTCTCCAAACTATTGAAATTTAAAAAATATATATATAAAAAACACCAAAAACAAAAAACTAACATTGAGGCTGGGTGTGGTTGCTCAGGCTTGTAATCCCAGAATTTGGGGAGGTCAAATTGGGAGGATTGCTTGAGGCCAGAAGTTCGAGACCAGCCTGGGTAATGTACGGAGACCCCATCTCTACAAAAAATACACAAAATTAGCTGGGTGTGGTGGTGTGTGTTTGTAGTCCCAGCTACTCAGGAGGCAGAGGTGAGAGGTTTGTTTGAGCCTAGGAGTTCAAGGTTACAGTGAGCTAAGATCATACCACTGCAATCCAGCCTGGGTGACAGAGCAAGACCTTGACTCAAAAAATGAAAAACAAAAACAAAAAACCCTACAAAATCCTAACATTGATCCAGGAAGGAAAAAACAAAAATTTTCAATTTAGATATATTAGGTAAGGTCAATTTGAATCCATTTGGTTTCAAATTTTGATTGTATTATTTATAAGCTGTGTATCATAGGATAATTTTCTCATCTGAAAAATGAGGGTAAAAAATATGTGCATATAAAATAGTGTATATATACCTAAATTATATATAAGTTGTATGTGTATATATATTATAGAGTTATTAATTACAACAAAACACTTATAACAGTATGTGGCACATACTAAGCACTTGATGATGATCATGACACATGGTTGGAAGACAGGAAGATTCTTCCTTATCAAATATAAAATCAATCTAATGTTAATTTTTTTGAGAGCATCTGGCTCTTACCCAGGCTGGAATGCAGTGGTGTGATCACTACTCACTGCAGTCTCGAACTCCTGGGCTCAAGCGATTCTCCCATCTCAGCCTCCCAAATAGCTGGAACTACAGGTATGAGCCCCCACGCCTGGCTAATAATTTATTGTAGAGTTGAGGATCTTGCTATGTTGACTAGGGTGATCTTGAACTCTTGGTTTCAAGAGATCCTCCCTCTTTGGCCTCCCAAAGTGTTGAGATTTCAGGTGTGAGCCTCTGCAACTGGTCTGAAAGTGATCTGTATAAATATATTATTAAGGTCTGACCCCTTTTTAGGGGGCTAAAAAAATCAGCAAGGGAAGGGTTACCTTTTTTGGGCAAAAGATTCAGTAAGGGAAGTGCTACCAATTCAGCAAGGAAAGGGCTATTTTGAAGGTCACTGTTTCAGCTCAAAGCCTACCTATTAGGTCTAGGGCTTGGGGCTGGGGTCATGGTGAGGAATTACCATGGGCTTGCTGCTCTTTGCTTAATTGTGCCTCTAGGGTTGTCAGCTTTTTGTCATTTGGTGATTTTATGACTCCTAAGAAGCGAAAGAAAGGAAAGGAGGGATAGAATTAGGGCAGGTGAGATACAGAGCTGGTCTAAAAAACACAGAAGTGAGAGTTTTATCTGAGATTTCACTGAAGCATGAACTAAGGTAAGATAGAAAATGAGTTTAGTAATATTCATGAAATATTTATGTGGTACTGAGCCTTGCCAGCCCCCATGTTGAGCTGTAGTTACAGAGACTAATATAATGACATTCTTGTTTTCAAGAAACTCATAATCCCATAGTAAAGATAAGCACATAAACAAATAATTATAATTTGGAGGGCTGGGACTGAGCTATGGGCATGTGCACTTTGGACAAAGAACAAGGCTTGGTGTGTTCAGCTTCATTATGGTGTCAATCGAAGGTCATCAAAAGCTCTTAGCTGGAACTCTCAGGCACCATTTTCACTAATGGTTTTAGTTTTGGGGGAAAGAAACTCAAGTCAGAAATTTAAATAGTAAAATGTACTTGATACTTTTAGGCTTTTCAGAGTTGATGCCTCAAGAAACTTCTGGATTTACAATCTAGGTTTGAGCAAGCTTGAATCTGTGTATTTGGAAAATGGGACAAGAGCCAAGCCAGCTTCTGTCATACAAAAGGATCAGCCTCTTAGAACTGTGATTCTAAGAGTGTAAATCACTTTGCTATCCTACATAAGTATACTAACTTCGTAGACAAAGCAACAAGTTCTCAGTAAAACAAAGAGGCAACTCAGACACCCAGTTTGGCTTTGAGAATTGTATTCAGAAAGTCAGTAATTTATTTCATAAACATTTATTAAATTTTTCCTATGGTCCAGGCACAGGGTTAGATGGTGGGAACAGAATTCTTGTTGAGTTGTCTTGAGCTGTTTTATAGACAGTTGGGTTTTACTTTACTTACTTCATGCTTCAAGCAAATTAAGCTTTCTTTACTCCAGGTATTAAAGAAAAGGAGGCAACTAACTGTAAATGTCATAAAATCAGACAGTGGCACCAACTTCTTCCTGCCAAAACCAATACTCTTGGTGTCAAGGATGAAAATATCATGACCTAGTTCTTTCCCTTGGCACACTGGGACTAGTGACAGAAATTGTCTTTTGGTTCCTATTTAGAATATGCTGCTCCTCTGGTGGAGTTAAATATCAGGCATATGTACAAACTGGGAGCTAAATTTCCCTTACATAGCAACAAATCAACTTTTCCTATTAGGATTGCTGGCAACCCCACGTTTAGGATGAACAATTAAGAGGGCATATACTCTTTTTAATTTAGAAGCTTGAACAAGTTGGCATTTTTTGCTGATGTTCTACTGGTTTAAATTTCTGTTTGGGGAAAGATTCATTATACATAATCATTTCTTTCAAGAAAATGTGTGAATTTGAGATATGGTCAAAACTTAGTTACTCTCTAATTTGTGCCTATAATAGCCACAATCATGTCAACTAAAGCCGTGATATTTTGAAAAACCTGTATTTTGACATGACCATTGTTCTAAGGACAGTTGTACTCCTACAAAGCTACTTTCATTGAATGCTATCCTTGGGCTAGCTTTACATTATGTTAAATTGTGTCACAACCACTGTGGTTTCAAGAATGAGGGCCTCTTTTTTGTGTATAAAAAATACCAGATTACTATAATTAGTGGCAAGAAGACAATATGAATATAATACCACTTTGAAATTAATGTTTTGTTTATTATGTGTATGTCAGGCATGTGTGTGAGATATTTAAGCAGGCTATGACAATGGTTGGTGCACAGAATATGGATTATGCTGCCCCCTGCAATAATTCTGCAGCTCCTTGAAGTCCTTAGCCAGCAGGCTGGGAGCTGCAGCACCACTGCAAGACTGCTCCCCAGCTTTGTTTGACTCTCCTGTCTTTTTAGAGCTTTTTAGTAACCAACTGGACCCATAATGTGATAGTTACAGATTCTATGCCAAGAAAAGCATGCCTAGCCATTAGAGGAAATAAAAAATCCAATGAAGCAAGAAATGCAGCTTGACTGCTTTGGTACAAGCCAAAGCAATAACCATTTAATGTCCAGTAAATTTAATTGCGAAGATGACTTTTTTTTTTTCTAGTAGCAGTAAATGTGATGACACATTAGCTTGTGTTTTTGTGGCCAGCTGTGAAAAGCTATTTGTCGCCTGGCTGGCTGGGCTACCTGTTCTGTTTTGCTGTCTAAGGCACTGCTGACCAGTCCAGAAGTAAGCACACTCAATTGATCCCAGTGAAGTTCTAGCAGATCACCTTCTTTGTAATTGCCTTTTTAGGAAGAGGAGCACATAAAACTTATTTAAACTTTGGGTACTAAGGTTTCACTGATTTAGAAAATAATACCTGACTTAATTTAGTTTTAAATAATATGAAGTCTTGACTATAAAGTTTATTTTCAGGCTGGGATGCGGGTGGCCTCAAAGTAGCTGAGTTGACTAGACATTAGTCTCTACCTTCATGTTTAAAATACCAGAGTAAGGATTTTGTTTTAGACAGCCTGGAGATACAGTTTTATCAAATCGTGGATCTTGTTCTGGATTATGTATTCAGGGTAGCCATTCACTTCTCTTTTAGCTTGAAGGAGGTGCAGGGCTCTTTGCTGAGAGCTATGTTTAACTGGGGAAGGAGGCATGAGTACAGTAACTGTGGAGAGGTGTGGAGAGGGAGGGGAGGAGAAGACAAGGGAGCAGGGTTAACAAGGGGGTAGACTCAGCCAGTGACACCTGGGCATGTTACATTCCTATGGATTCTGCTTTACCACTGCCAGGGTCACTTGGAGATATTTCTGGGCATAGTGAATCTTTCTTCCTTTTTAGAGGAAGCAACAGGGATAATTACACCTAATTTTGAATACTGCTCTCCTACTTGATACATGTGTGAGATTCCACATAGGTACAATGATGACAGTGCTATTTCATGAGGGTATGAGTGTACAAATGGCCATCATTTTCTGAGTTCTGAGAACTGATTATATTTTAACATTTTCAAAATGTGGCAAGATAGAATTTTCTGTTGCTCTCATTCCCTTTTGTTCTTTCTCCTTCTTATCCCAGGTAGAGAGAAGTCCTTTTAGCATAATAGCACAGGGAGATTATGTGATTAGAGTCATTCAGTATAAGCAGGATAAAGGTATCTTTGTTTTGTAGATGCCCCATTATAAAGATGTTACAAGAGCTGAGCCTACCTGGGCAGGGAGTGTGGTAATTAAGGGATTGAATTTTTGTGTCAGGTTACCTGGGTTTGGGTCCTGGTTTTATCTCTTACTAGCAGAGTGACTTTGGGTCAGCTACTTACTCTCTCTAGATCTTAGCTTCCATAAAATGGAGATAACAATAGCATGCCTGTCTCCTTAAGTCAGGCCTATTTCCTTGATCAAGCCTGAAGCCATATGGAACTAGTCCTTGGAAAGAGAGAAGAGGGAGAAAGACCAAAGACAAAGGGACTCTGACTGGCCAGCTGTAGCTAATTTGATGGGAATAAAAAGACATGTATATACCATCTTCTAAAGTCCGTGTGGCCACAGTTGGACCTCTGTTTGGGGTGACTTGGGCAAATGTTGATGTTGCTGGTTGAGTGCTTGTGGAGTGAGAGGCTGTCCCATGTTACTCTCCCCTCACTCCAGCAATGTGTTCTTTCTGCTGTTTGAATACAGCGTGACTCCCTCAGGTATCTGCATTGTCTGCTCTCTCTTCCAGGTATATTTTTCCATCAACTCTTTAAAATAACTCTTTTTTCTCTCATCACTCACAACTTACCTTATGTTGGTCCCCCTCAGAAGACCTTCTCTGAATAACTGTTAGGGCAAAAACTAAGTTAGTTGATTTAACAATGGGATTTTGAAACACAATGTCCCTTCATAAATAGCAGTCAAGGCCTGTGGAACATTTTGGCTCCCTAAGGTCATTTAGAGACCTGGCTTCCTCCATCTTGTGTCTCTGCCATTTCTTGGACATTGTCCTCATCCACAGTCAAAGCTAGACAAGCAACTGAAGGAGAAGTTGCACTCATCACTTTCATTCACACTCCTTGGCAAGAACTTAATCACATTACCACACCCAGCTGCAGGGAGGCTCCAGCTGGACAAGTGTACTTTCATTCAGATGTTTTCACATGAGCCTCAGATGGCCATACTCCATACCAAAGGAAACTTCTGTATGTCAGAAGCATGAACTTTATCTGGTGTCTTATTTCCCCAGTTCCCCAGGAATTATGCCTTACTGGGCTTCTATATTATCTAGATTTATTTTCTAATTTTAATTAACACTCACAGGTTTCTGGCTTTGCCTTGCTGGAATACTCCTCGACACACTAGACTTCAAATTACCTTCATATTGTTAACCTGGAAATCTGGTCAGGTCTTATAAAATCCAGAGGGCCACTCACTTGCCTTTGTCTTCCAGATTTTTGTCTCTTTAGTCATAGCTAAAACCAAGGTTGCAATTCTACTGTCTGTGAGTTACTTTTCTGTGTTCCCTCCTATACACAAGCACAGAAAATGCCACACAGTCCTTCTTAATCTGCTGCTTCCAGCAGCCTTTACAGACTGATCTGAGTTGGCCGTTTGCAACCTGGCTCTAACAACTTAAGGTTTTGGTGACATTTCACCAAGAATATGTCCATTTGGGTAGGAAGATGCCTTGTTCATTCAGAAGGATTTCAGTGTCTGGAATTATAAATGTCTCTTAGGTTTGCAGGGTTTGAGATCAGCTTCAGTTATTTTAGTTAACTCACATGCAATGCACACACCACAAATAATTACATAAATACTGGCTCAGCACCTTCTATGTTGTCTGGAATACAATAGCTCTATAAATATTTGTTGAATGAATTAGTACATGAACAAGCTTCATAGACACATTCCTACCAACAATCTTTTTGACGAATGTTTATATTTTACAACTGCCTTGGTCACAATGATAGGAGAGCTCTATAGTAGTCACCTGTATAGCAAACTGGCTTGGCAAAAAAATCACCAAGCAACATTCAGGGCTATTTGGAACCATTAAATAATAGCCCTGTCTTCTGAACAGCAGGGTAAATAGTTTTCCTCACAAGAGGAGTCTATAATTTCTCTTCTTTTCTGCTCCTCTCTTTCATTAAAATTAAAACCTGAATATCTCCCAGTGGCATCCTAATGGTTATTGATATTTTGTGTGATTTCTTTGTTCAGAATAGAGGTTATTTCATGCCATGACTGGTGTGAATCCTCTTTTAAATAAAGTAGCATTTGGTTTAGAGTAGCTTTTACTATTTCATCTGTCTTTGGATGGGAACAATTGGCTCACTTGCCTCTAGTTTCAAAATAAAACCTGAACCAGTGTATGCGAAGACAGAGGCTATCTGAATCTATGATTACAATTCAAGAAATAATTGCTGAGCACTTTTAAGGGGTCACACACGAGTTACATAGTACCAGAAACTTTCACATATGCTCTCTAGTTTATGTCACAGACAATCTCAATTTCTTTCCTCTTCTATAAATTATCTAACTTTTGTACAAAATTTGTAGTATTGACCTTTTATTTTGGTGTTGTATAAACCTGTTTAAGAATATACTTATAATTCCAGTAATTACTTGATTGCTTATTTTATAATTGATTGGTTACTTTCCATGAAGAACTTGTTGAAAACAGGATGGTCTTATTCATATCATCTATTGCTTTAGGGCCTGACACAGGGCATAAACTCAAAATGTGTCTTTTGTTTCCTCTTTTTCTATTTTTTTTTCATTATATTGATGCAAAGAAGCTCTTTTAGAGAAGTCTCACTCTGTCAACCAGACTGGAGTGCAGTCACACAATCATAGCTCACTGCAGCCTTGAACTACTGGGCTGGAATGATCCTCCCACCTCAGCCTCCCAAATAGCTAGGGCTACAGGCATGTACCACCATACCTGTTTAATTATATTATATTATTTTATTTTATTTTATTTTATTTTATAGAGATGGGGTCTTACTATGTTGTCCAACCTGAAAAAATGTGTCTCTCGAAAGAATGAATGAGTGAAAAATACAAGAAAACATCCTATACTTCATGGTTTCTCTTTATTCTACTAAATTTAAGGTGTACCATGTGTTCCATTATGATGCCCTCCATTAGGATTTTACTGTACTTAAATATGTTTGACAGTGGAGAAAAGATCTAGAAGCAGGGGAACTGCATAGTTTGCAAACTAGTCTCAAACAGTTGCTTGAATGATGATAGAAAACACAAAACTCCTGGGTCAGAGACAAAGGGCTTCATTATTCACTGTGAAGTCAGTAGCAGGAGTATCAGCATAGTTGCACCAGTCCTAATAGCTCTAAATTCTACAGGGCAACATAGAGGACTAGGTAGGGCCTTTATGCTCAGTGGTATGTACCACATGAGAGGAGCCCTGAGATTAGGGAATCCACTGCTTCTATAACAAGCCGCAAGCAAACTTTTTTATTTTTTATTTTTTTATTTTTAGACAGGATCTCGCTCTGTTGCCGAGGCTGGAGTGCAGTGGCAAAATCATGGCTCACTGCAGTCTTGATCTCCTGGGCTTAGTTGATTCTCTTGCCTCAGCCTTCCAAGTAGCTGGGACTACAGATGCATAACACCAGGCCTGGTTAATTTTTGTATTTTTCATAGAGATGGAGTTTAGCTTGCTATGTTGCCCAGGCTCATCTCAAATGCCTGGGCTCAAGCAATCCACCCACCTCAACCTCCCAAAGTGCGGGGATTATAGACATGAGCTACTGCACCTGGCAAACTTTTTTTTTTTTTTTTTTTTTTGGACCGGAGGGAAAGCACATCACTGTACAGGTCCATGTACAGAATTCCTTACTTTTCAGAATTGCTGATTGCACAAAACATCCTAAGAAGTGGCACAATGCTACTTTCACAGAAGTAAAAGAATGGTCAAGACCTTGTAATTTGGCCTATGCAGCAAGACATGTAGGGATTGCAAGGTGCCTATGGCAAGTTGACTTCACCGCCAAGGAGCTGGAAGAAACTTTTCATTGGCATAGTTACATTGTAGAGAAGATTGAGGTTCTGAGAGGTAAAATGACTTGTCTAAGTTTACACTGATGGCTTGCCAAGGACAGAAACCCATTTTTTACAGACTCCAGATCTAACATTCTTTCCACAGTACCACACTTGCCTCTTTATATTACTTTTGTTAGCTATTTACTTACAGCTGTACCTCAATTTTCAACTGCTAAACAAGATTTCTTCAGTGGTTTCCTTACTTCGTACCTTAAAACATTAGTGTTATGATCCTGTGGTATACCACCTCAAAAAGCATTTGTTGAACACATGCAGCAAAAAGGCTCTATGGAAAAGTGTTTAATCCTTAGATATGTCTAGGAAATTAGTGCATACTCCACTGAAGATTCACAGTATAGGAGTTTAAGAACACAGGCTCTGGAGTCAGAAGTTTGGGTTGCAGATCTGCTTGTTGGATTTATGATCCTGGGTAAGCTATTTAAATTTTATGAGCCTCAGTTTGCTCAGAAATGTAGCTGATAATAATATCTAGTTTCAAATTAGATGAAAAAATTAAGTGAATCAACATATTTAAAGTGTTAGAAACATTGTGTGACATGTAAGCTTAATATGGTCCAATAATGTAGCCATAATTAATGCAGAGTAAAGGCTCTGATAAATCTAACATGAAGAAACTCACCTAACATTAAATCAGAAGGTTGTGACTATGGAACAGTAAATTAATTTTTTGCATTACTCATCTAACATTTCCTGCATCTATTACTCTGAAAGACATGCTTAAGAAAATTTACTAGAGAAACCAAAGGGCTCCGCATCACTTAGAGATTGTTAGCCCAAGGAATTGTATACACAGAGGAGCTAAATTTCATAAATAACTTCCCTAATATTCTTGAATTGTCATATTAAACACAAAGAAGAGTTTTGCTTTTGTGATGTCCTTAAACTTGGATCAGCTGTCTTCGCAGTTTCTGAGATGTGTTAAAACATCACCACTTATTGATTTAACTGTATTCCACCAAAGAGGTTGATTTCATTCTGCCACTGCAGGGGAAATTCTTCTGACAGCAGGTTCACTGACTCTTTATTAAAAGAGTGTGCAGCTGCTAATCTGAGCAAATATACCACTCCAGAATGCTAAATACTCTTCCCAAACACAGGTAAACATAGGTGGAGTCAACAGTCAGGCATGTCTGCCCTCAATGACAAAACAGCACTCTGAGCTTTGGTTGGTACAGATTCCCTGCCTGGAATTTAATAAATATTGTGGGCTCTGTATACCCCAACATTTTAGGAAAATCTTTTTGTTTAGAAAACTGTTAGTTGAAGGTCAAACACACAAGAAAGCCTTTGTTGGTGCTTCAGAGCTGTCCTTTACTAAGTCTAATTGCTTTCAGTATTGGCTTACAAGAGCTAATTATGCATACCTCTTCCCAAGACTGTGTTCAATGATGCCTTGTTGGTAGCTTGAAATCAGCCTTGATGGAAGTTGATATACCACAGAAATCAGCAAATGTGACAAATCATTTTGTTTCTCCCACCCTCATAGCTGGTTTATCAGCCCACCACGGCCTCATACCCTCAAATATGTTTGGGTGTTTTCATAGTACTTCTTATCACCGGATCACACTGGCATTATATCAATTGTTTGCCTTGCCCAATAGACTTGAGAGCAAAAACTTTATTTTCATTTCTGGCATATATTTTGCATCTAGCACATTAATTAAGTATTCAGAAAAGGTGCCTACATCCATAAATTAATTAATGATACTGTCAATCAGTCACTTGTATGGGTTGATTTTTCTGCGAGAAATGGAAAAAATCATGTAGGTATATGTGCTGTGTTATTAAACAATGTGGTCAGCTCAGTTAATGTACTTATTCTTGAATTGCTTTAGAGTGTCTGGAATAACTCCAAGGATAATTAGTATGCATCTTTATCCCCAGAGTAGAATTCACCTGATTGCTAAGGCATCACCCTGTGTGGCCATTTGGTGGGAGGAAATCAGAGCTAAGCCTAATTGCTTTCCCAGGTTACTAACCCCTCTTCTTCTCTCCAGGATCTGGATGGAAATGCTTCCTCCTTAGAAAGAAATTGAGGTTACAGCTTTTGGTAGAATCACAGATTGTTCATTTGGGCAGAATATCCCGTGTCAGTACAATCTAAACTAGGATCACCTATTGAAGACTTTGTGATCAATAATTACTATTTTTAAGGTTTAAAGAGGCTGCTGTTGACATTAACTATAATTAGGAATTGGCATTTTAAACTCAAATCTGAACATAAAACCCACTGTTTGCTCTATAAATACATTACATTTGTAGATTAAAAAACAAAGGTCCAAAGAAGGAAATGACTTATCCAATTATACCATTAGGATGGATGGATGACCTTATAACTGTAGGTTTATGGTCCTTTACATGCTGCATGCCAATAATTGCAGCCATTACTCTTTATGATAGTACCCTTGAAAGAAGCTTAAACAATTCTGATGACAACAGAAGAATTTCTGATAATTTACAAGTAATAAAAGCAACCTTTTATTCTGTGCTCACTGTGGTCCCAGGCCTATGCTAAGTGGTTTACATCAGCACAACAACCCTATAAGGAATAATTGCCCTTTTTTAACATGAGAAAATTGAATCCCAGATAGTTTGAATTAGATGTCCATAACTGCGTAGTTACTGAGAGGCAGATTGGTGTTTGCACCCAAGTGTATTTCCCTTCAAAGTTAAAGCTTTTAACCAATGTAGTATATGATTTTCTTTTTCACAAGATCTATGAATGACAGGTTACATATGCATATATGTGCATGTTATGTTTTTATATTATTTTATATATATGCATGATATTAGATATATATTTTATTTTTAAAAAAGATGAGGTTTAAGTTAAATAATACTAACATTATAGAGAAGTTCTTTTAGAAATTACCATTTTCTTCCAGTTTACAATTTTCCTTCTTTCTATTCTTTTTGTCAAATATCCTGAAAGTGTACATAGGTTACATAGTATACATTTTGGAGGTAATGTAGGCAATAAAGGGAGCCATAAGATCACTAAAATAAAAGTTGAGAGGTTGATGATCTTTCTTATCTCTGTGTGACTTTGGTCTTATTACAGGAAGTATAGGCCAATTTGTATGGATTTAACATGCATAGTGAGAGCAGAGCTTTTTGGACTCAGACCTAAATTCAAATCCTAGGTCTTGTATTTACTTGCTCTGTGACTTAATGCAAATTATTTAACTTCTCTGATCTATAGTTTCCTCATCTATAATAAGGAAACAATGTTATTTATCTCATAGTTCATTGTACAGATTAAATGGGATAATGTACATGAATGCCAAAAGTAACAGATTAGTGTCAGTTCAAATGAACTATTTTTCCTATAAAAAATACTTCAACATGATGTCCTTTAGGTTCATCCAGGTTGTCTCAAATGACAGGATTTCATTCTTTTTAATGGCTGAATAGTATTCTATTGTATATATATACCCAATTTTCTTTATCCATTCATCCATTGTTGAATGCTTAGGTTGATTTTACATATTGGCTAATGTGAATAGTACTCCAATAAACATCTGGATGCAAATATCTCTTCAACATACTGATTTTCATTTTCTTTGGATATGTACTGAGTAGGGGATTATTGGATGGTATGAGAGTGCTATTTTTAATTTCTTGAGGAACCTCCATACTGTTTTTCAAAATAGCTGTACTTATTTACATTCCCA
This sequence comes from Homo sapiens, assembly GCF_000001405.40. NCBI lineage: Eukaryota > Metazoa > Chordata > Mammalia > Primates > Hominidae > Homo > Homo sapiens. The sequence goes on from NC_000011.10 coordinate 87,581,940, forward strand.
CCAGCAGTGTGTAAGGGTTCCCTTTTCTCCACATCCATGCCAACGCTAGCTATCTTTTGATTTTTCAATCATTGCCAGTCTGACTAGAGCGAGGTAATATCTCCTTGTGGTTTTGATTTGCATTTCCCCAATGATGAGTGATAGGAGCACCTTTCAAATCTCTGTTGGCCATTTTTATATCTTCTTTCAAGAAATGTCTGTGCAGGTCTTTTGTCCATTTTTTAATTGGCTCTTTTGTTGTTGTTGAGTTATATGAGTTTCTTATATATTTTGGACACTAACCCCTTATCAAATACATAGTTTGCAAGTATATTCTCCCATTCTGTAAGTTGTCTGTTTGCTCTGTTGATTGTTTCCTTTGCTGTGCAGAAGTTTTTAGTTTGATATAATCTCATTTGTCTACATTTGCTTTCACTGCTCTAGATTCTGAGGTTTCATTCAAAAAATCCTCGCCTAGACTCACGTTATGGAGCTTTTCCACTATTTTTTCTTCTAGTAGTTCTGAATCTTACGTTTAAGAATGTAACCATTTTTGGCTGGGCGTGGTGGCTCACGCCTGTAATCCCAGTATTTTGGGAAGCTGAGGTGGGCGAATCACGAGGTCAGGAGATTAAGTCATCTTGGCCAACATAGTGAAACCCCATCTCTACTAAAAATACAAAAATTAGCTGGGCATGGTAGCGCGTGCCTGTAGTCCCAGCTACTTGGGAGGCTGAGGCAGGAGAATCGCTTGAACCTGGGAGGTGGAGGTTGCAGTGAGCCAAGATTCCGCCACTGCACTCCAGCCTGGCGACAGAGCGAGACTCCATCTCAAAAAAAAAAAAAAAAAAAAAAAAAAAGAAGATTTAACTATTTTTATTTGATTTTTGTAAGTGGTGAGAGGTAGGGATCTAATTTCATTCTTCTGCATAGGATATCCAGTTTTCCCAGCATCAGTTGAAGAGGCTGTCATTTCCCCATTATGTTAAGTAAAATAAGCCAGGCACAGAAAGTCAAATATTGCATGGTCTCATTCATATGTGGAGTCTAAAATTTTGTTCTCCTAGAAGTAAAGAGTAGAATAGTGGTTATCAGAGGTTGGGGAGGGTACTAAAGAGGAAGGGAGGGGGAGAGATTTTGTCACTGATTACGAAGCCACAGCAAGATAGGAGGAATAAGTTATGCTGTCCTATTGCCCAATAAGATGATTAGCATTAATAATAACATATCGTGTATTTCAAAATAACTAGAAGGGAGGTTTCTGAATGTTCTCATCACAAAGAAATGATAGATGTTTAAAGTGATGAATTAGCTAATTACTCTGATGTGATCATTACACAATTTATATGTGTATTGAAACATCACATTGTACCCTATAAATATGTTTAATAATTGTCAATCATAAAAAATCAAATTCAAAGTAATTCAGAACTACACTTCTCAAAAATAACCTCTAAGTGTTAGAGTGGTGGTGAAGTATATCCTTAGAACACAGGAAAATACCTTAAAAATCCCTTTCATTGCTGATAGTCTCAAAATCTACCACCTAACAAATAGCTGTTCCTCAAAATTCTCACTCTCTTAATACTAAAGAATTTTTTTACCTTTTTCTCCTGAGAGCTTCCTCTCTTTTTTAGTGTCATATTCCTTCCTCCTTCTCCCTTGCACATTGCTTTAGTCTGAATCCTTCTCATAACAAAACTCATTTTCCCATTATCTAGATCAGTACAACAAGGCAGCATATAGCACAGTGGTCAACAGCCTAGACTCTGGAACTGTTAAATTAATAATTTCTGGATTTAATTTCAAATCCTGTAAGTTACCAGCTATGACTCATTTGTTCCTCTGTAAAATGGATAATAGCACATACCTCATATGGCTATGGTAAAAATTCATATATTAAAAGTGACTGAGACCAAAACTTATCATACAGTAGGAACCAATTAGGTATTATTTTTGTTTTCCAAAGGCACCTACTAATAACAAATGAGAAAGAAAAAATTTCAAAACATTTGCTGTGGTATGGCAATATCAAATATAGAGGAAACCAGACACGATCTCTTTACTTCTCTGGTACCCTGTGTTAGAGTGCAAAGCTTGTGATGGAGTTTGAGTAGGGTTTCTTTCTTCTTCCCCTAATATAAGAAGTGACTAATGGCTTACGCCAAGGAGATGGAGGTCAGTCTTTTGTCCTGATTCTCTTACAGCAGGCACAGTATTTCAACAGTCTGTCCAACAATTTGGCATTCCTCACACCCTTTCCTGTATTCATTTCAATAAGCCCTGACATGTCCAAGCTCTGTAATCATAGTAGAGGAAAACCAGAAAAATTTACTTCTGCCTTCTGACAAGTTATTCAACTTATTTATTAAGACATTCCACATACATTTATTGAGTACCTACCATGTGCCAGGCATTAAAGATAACTGAAAGAGCAAATTCACCACTGTTGTTACTTTATGGAGTTGATAGGGTTTAGGACACATTTCCCCCAAATATGGTACATTGGCGTAGTGACTATTTTAAGCTGAAGGAATCTGAGAAAATGACAGAAGCAGAAAGGTCACTTAGACCTCTTCCCTGCCCTTCTTCCCAGCTGGTCATAAAACCTAGGAAGGGTTTTCTGACCCTCACCTGAAGTATGTCTTAAAATACTCACGTGAGAGGTACCCTCCCTCTTAGAATGAAGGGAGGATCCTTATCTCTGAAGACACAGGAACACAGAGTAGAATCTGAACAAACAGTCCTTGCTAAGTTTCCCCAGTTTATTACTATTAGATCATACTTTTTGCTCTACAGTATTGCTCCATGACTAGTCACTCTTCATCAACCCTACTATTAAAAACACCAAGGCTTAACAGTTTCTTCAGGTGTTCATTTCCTTATGGAGGCTCCTGGGTCAAGTAAGCCGTAAATAAAATTGAATGCTTTTGTTTTTTAAATTTATTTTTATTTTTTATTTTTCCATAGGTTATTGGGATACAGGTGGTGTTTGGTTACATGAGTAAGTTCTTTAGTGGTGACTTGTGAAATTTTGGTGCACCCATCACCTGAGCCGTATACACTGTACCTTATTTGTAGTCTTTTATCCTTCACCCCCACTTCTACCTTTCCCCCCAAGTCCCCAAAGTCCATTGTATCATTCTTATGCCTTTGTGTAGCTCCCACAAATCAGTGAGAACATACAATGTTTGGTTTTCCATTCCTGAATTACTTCACTTAGAATAATAGTCTCCAATCTCATCCAGGTCGCTGCGAATGCCATTAATTCATTCCTTTATATGGCTAAGTAGTATTCCATCGTATATCCACTCATTGATTGATGGGCATTTCGGTTGGTTTCATGATTTCTCAATTTGCAATTTGCATTTGCAAATTTTGCTGCTATAAACATGTGCAAGTATCTTTTTTGCATAATGACTTCTTTTCCTCTGGGTAGATCCCAGTAGTGGGATTGCTGTATCAAATGGTAGTTCTACTTTTAGTTCTTTGAGGAATCTCCACATTGTTTTGCATAGTGGCTGTACTAGTTCACATTCCCACCAGCAATGTAGAAGTATTCCCTGATCACTGCATCCATGCCAACATCTATTTTTTGATGTTTTTATTATGGCCATTCTTGCAGGAGTAAGGTGGTATCACAAGGTGGTTTTCTTTTGCATTTCCCTGATCATTAGTGATATTGAGCATTTTTTCATATGTTTGTTGGCCATTTGTATATCTTCTTTAGAGAATTGTCTATTCATGTTCTTAGCCCACTTTTTGATGGGATTGCTTGTTTTTTTTTTTTTTTTTCTGGCTGATTTTTTGTTTGTTGTAGATTCTGGGTATTAGTCCTTTGTCAGATGTATAGATTGTGAAGATTTTTTTTTTCCACTCTGTGTGTCATCTGTTTACTTTGCTGACTGTTCCTTTTGCCATGCAAAGCTCTTTAGTTTATTTAAGTACCAGATATTTATATTTGCTTTTATTGCATTTGCTTTTGGGTTCTTGGTCATGAAATCCTTGCCTAAGCTAATGTCTAGAAGGGTTTTTCCAACGTGATTTTCTAGAATTTTTATAGTTTCAGGTCTTAGATTTAAGTCTTTTATCCATCTTGAGTTGAATTTTTTTTTTTTTGAGATGGATGATTCTCACTCTGTCACCCAGGCTGGAGTGCAGTGGTGTGATCTAGGCTCACTGCAACCTCCACCTCCCAGGTTCAAGCAATTCTTCTGCCTCAGCCTCCTGAGTAGCTGGGATTACAGGCACCTACCACCTTGTCAGGCTAATTTTTGTATTTTTTTAGTAGAGATGGGATTTCACCATGTTGGCCAGGCTGGTCTTGAACTCCTGACTTCAGGTGATTTGCCTGCCTTGGCCTCCCAAATTTTGGGATTACAGGTGTGAGCCATGGTGCCCAACTTGAGTTGATTTTTGTATAAGGTGAGAGATGAGGATCCAGTTTCATTCTCCTACCTATGGCTAGCCAATTATCTCAGCACCATTTGCTGAAAAGGGCCTCCTTTCCCCACTTTATGCTTTTGTATGCTTTGTTGAAGATCATTTGGCTTTAAGTATTTGGATTCATTTCTGGGTTCTCTATTCTGTTCCATTGGTCTATGTGCCTGTTTTTATACAAATACCATGTTGTTTTCATGACTGTGGCCTTATAGTATAGTTTGAAATCAGGTAGTGTGATGCCTCCAGTTTTGTTCTTTTTGCTTAGTCTTGCTTTGGCTATGTGGGCTCTTTTTTTGGTTCCATATGAATGTTAGAGTTTTTTTTTTTTTTCTAATTCTGTGGATAATGGTGGTGGTATTTTGATGGGATTGCGTTGAATTTGTAGATTGCTTTTGGCAGTATGGTCATTTTCACAATATTGATTCTACCCTTCCATGAGAATGGGATGTGTTTCCATTTGTTTGTGTCATCTATGATTTCTTTCAGCAGTGTTTCATAGGTTTTCTTGTAAAGGTCTTTTGCCACCTTGGTTAGGTATATTCCAAAGTATTTTACTTTAGTTTATTGTTTTGCAGCTATTGTAAAAGGGGTTGAGTTCTCTATTTGATTCTCAGCTTGGTAGCTGTTGCTGTATAAAAAAACTACTGATTTGTCTACATTAATCTTGTATCTGGAAACTCTGCTGAATTCTTTTATCAGTTCTAAAAGCTTTCTGGAGAAGTCTTTAGGGTTTTCAAGGTAAACAATCATATATCATCTGCAAACAGCGACAATTTGACTTCCTCTTTACTGATTTGGATGCCCTACATTTCTTTCTCTTGTCTGATTGCTTTGGCTAAGACTTCTAGTACTACACTGAAGAGAAGTCATGAGAGTGGGCATCCTTGTCTTGTTCCAGTTCTCAGGGGGAATGCTTTAAACTTTTCCCCAGTATTATGTTGGCTGTGGGTTTGTCATAGACAGCTTTTATCCCATTGAGGTATATCCCTTGTATGCCGATTTTGCTAAGAGTTTTAATCATAAAGGGATGCTAAATTTTATTGAATGCTTTTTCTGCATCTGAATGCTTTTGTTTTGTATTGTTAGTCTGTCTTTTGTTGTAAGAGCCAGTTATGAGTCCAGGATAGGTAAAGGGGAAGACATTTTTTTCTCCCCTATGAGTTTATACTGTGAAGAAGGAGATAAGACATTAATTAAATTATCTCCCAAATAAATGCATATTTACAATTTTGAATAAGAGCTGATAAGAAAACTCATGATAAATGAATGTCAATATTAAGAGGACCTGAGCCACAGACATAGCAGTAGTAGAGTCTGACCTTTAAATTGAGCTGAGAAGAATGAATGGTCCTGGGTCCAAGGTGAGGTTTGGTGCTCCTTTCTGGGCTATTTTGGGGTTTCCTGCTGATGGAGCAATACTTACAAGGAACAGTAGCCACATGGTGGATGACATACCACTTCTGCTGGTCACTGGATACTTACCCAGTACTCCCCAGTGCAAGACTTCTCAGGTACACTGTGTTATAGCACAAAGCTTATGATGGAAAATCTGAGCAGAGCTTCCCTTTTCTTCCCCCAGTATAACATATGAGTTATGGCAAATGCTGTCTTCACTACCCAAGTTAGACATATATATGAGCTGCTAGAACTGGGAGCATAAATGAGGCATGAGCAGCCTCTGGAAGGCAGACCCTACCCACAACAGCTGATGCCATGAGGCTTGGTAGCAGAAACAGAAGTAGGAATGAGTCTGCTATACTTGGGTGCAGTGATTAAAAGAGGAAAATGGCAGCCTCTGCTACAGTCAAATGCAGGAAGTGAAATGGGAGACAGTATGCTCACATCATCGGTATCCCTACCTCCCTCAAAAAAATCATGGCCACTTGTACCTCATTAGCTAGATTAGACATGTCTCTGGGGTGGGGCTCTGAAGGCAATAAGTAGGAGTAGAAATGTGGGCAGTTTTCTGTACCTAAGATGACAGAATCTTTACTTCCCTTTCTAGCAACTAGAAGTTAACAAGGTAAAGCTGGAAGGGGATCGGGGAGCACTCTAGGGTGCTAGGCAGAAGAAAGAGCACATACAAAAGACTGAGATGAAGAATGTATGGACATTTAAGGAATGGAGAGAAAACCAGTGTACCTCGAGTGCAAAAGATGAGAGTGAGTGACTGTGGTGGACACGGGGCTGGAGAATAGACAGGGTTAGACCATGCAGGGCCTTCATGGCCAAGCTAAGGAGGTTAGTGTCCTATCAACAATGGGAATCTCTGCATAGATTTGATTTAGTTTTCTCACCTTATACAAGCAGACAAAAATGTCTATGATTCATTTATGCTCTTAAAGACTATTAAAAAGGCAGTAGAGGGGCAGGGCCAAGATGGCTGATTAGCAGCAGTGCTGTTCGGAGAATCCCATCATAAAAAACTATGATAAGCATGTGAATGCTTCACCGGCAACCAAGGTATCCAGGTTGTCTCATCAAAATTGACTAGAAGGCTGGCATGACCCATGGAAAGAAAGGAGAACAGTGTGGTACTATGGCCCACCTGAGAGCCACACAGGGAAGGGGAATCCCCTCCACCCAGCCAAGGGAGGTGGTGAGTGAGTGCGCTATCCAGCCAGGGAAACTGCGCTTTTTCCACAGAACTGCACAACACATGGATTGGAAGATGCCACTTGCGAACCTACGCTAGAATCTGCTTAAGCCTACCAAACTTCTAGGGGGAAGGGCAAACAGCACCAGCTGCCACTGCCTGCTGTCTAAGCCTTTTGAGCTCCTTGGGAGAGGGGCAGCAACCAGCACTGGGACTCGCAACTGCCTAACATGCTAAGCTCCATGGGCTGGGGAAGGGCAGCACCCATTTCTGTAGCTCCAGGCTGTGCTTTTCCCCTGCCAGAGCTGGGAAGGCTGGATGGCTTGGCCCCAAAGCTTGTCCCCACAGCCCAACACATCAGCTGTGGCAATCTGCGGCCAGAGTGCCTCTTCAGCCCCGACCCTGACCCATCCTTCCTCAGTGGGTGAGGCTTTCCTGCAGGATCTCCAATAATTCCAGCCATAGGCTCATGGACAGAATTTGGATCTCCCTGGGCCTGAGCCCCTAGGGAGAGGGGTGGCTGCAGTCTCTGCGGACCAGCAGTCTTAAGTTTTTCCTCCGAGTAGTTCTGAGAATCCAGGCATCCCAGACAAATGGGTTTCCCTGCAGTGAAACACACCCTCTCCACCAAGGGACAAAGTGCTTCATTAAATGGGTCCTGCTCCCCGTGCCACCCAACTGGGTGAGACCCTTCAACATGGGTTGTCAGACACCCTATATAGGAGAAATCCTACTGGCATCAGGTTGGTGCCCCTTGAGATCAGAGGTTCCGGAAGAAAGAGCAGGCATCCATCTTTGCTGCTCTGCAGCCTCCTTGAGTGACATCTCAAGGCATGGGAGTGAATCAGATGAATAAGGCCTTAAGTGAACCCCCTGCAAACTGCAGCAGTCCTACAGGAGAGGGACCTGACTACTGAAAGAAAAACAAACAAGCAGAAAGCAACAACAACAGCATTAGCAACAACAACAACAAAAAGGCCCCCTTAAAAACCCCATCCAAGGGTCAGCAGTCTCAAAGACCGAAGCTAGACAAACTCAAGAAGATGAGAAAGAATCATTGAAAATATGCTGAAAACCCAAAAGGCCAGAGTGCCTCTTTTCCTTCAAATGGTTGCAACATCTCTCTATCAAGGGTGAAGAACTGGAAGGAGGATCAGATGGAAGAATTGACAGAAGTAGGCTTCAGAAGATGGGTAGAAAAAAACTATGAGGAGCTAAAGGAGCATGTTCTAACCCAATGAAAAGAAGCTAAGAACCTTGATAAAGGGTTAGAGGGCTTGCTGACTAGAATAAACAGTTTAGAGAGGAAATAAATGACCTGATGGAGCTGAAAAACACAGCTTGAGACCTTTTGAAGCATATACACATCAATAGCCGAATTGACCAAGCTGAAGAAAGGATATCAGAGTTTGAAGAACACCTTACTGAAATAAGACATGCAGACAAGAATAGAGAGAAATGAGTGAAAAGGAATGAACAAAGCCTCCCAGAAATATGGGACTATGTGAAAAAACAACCTACAATTGATTGGTGTACCTGAAAGTGACAGGGAGAATGGAACCAAGTTGGAAAACACACTTCGGGATATTATCCAGGAGAACTTCCCCAACCTAGCAAGACAGGCCAACATGCAAATTCAGGAAATACAGAGAAAACCATTGAGATACTCCATGATAAGATAAACCCCAAGACACACAATCAACAGATTATAAGGTTGAAATGAAGGAAATACTGTTAAGGGCAGCCAGAGAAAAAAGTCAGGTCACCTACAAAGGGAAGCCCATCAGACCTACAGCAGACCTCTGAGCAGGAACTCTACAAGCCAGAAGAGATTGGGGGCCAATATTCAACATTCTACAAGCCAGAAGAGATTGGGGGCCAATATTCAACATTCTTAAAGAAAAGAATTTTCAACTCAGAATTTCTTATCCAGCTAAACTAAGCTTCATAAGTGAAGGAGAAATAAAATCCTTTCCAGGCAAGCAAATGCTGAGGGATTTCATTACCATCAGGCCTGCCCTGCAAGAGCTCCTGAAAGAAGCACTAAATATGGAAAGGAAAAACTGGTACCAGCCACAGCAAAAACACACCAAAATATAAGACTAATGACACTATGAAGAAATTGTATCAACTAGTGTGCAAAATAACCAAATAGCATCATGATGACAGGATCACATTTGTGCATAACAATATGAACCTTAAATGTAAATGGGCTAAATGCCCCCATTAAAAGACACAGTCTGGCAAATTGGATAAGGTGTCAAGACCCATCAGTGTGCCATATTCAGGAGATCCGTTGTACATGCAAAGACACACATAGGCTCAAAATAAAGGGATGGAGGAATATTTACCAAGCAAATGGAAAGCAAAAAAAAGAAAAAAAGCAGGGGTTGCAATCCTAGTCTCTGACAAATTTAAACCAACAAAGATCAAAAAAGACAAAGAAGGGCATTACATAATGGTAAAGGGAGCAATTCAACAAGAAGAGCTAACTATTCTGAAGATATATATATGCACCCAATACAGGAGCACCCAGATTCATAAAACAAGTTCTTAGGGACCTACAAAGAGACTTAGACTCCCACACAATAATAGTGGGGGGACAGTAACACCTCACTGTCAATATTAGATCAATGAGACAGAAAATTAACAAGGATATTCAGGACTTGAACTCATCTCTGGATCAAGTGGACCTAGTAGATATCTACAGAACTCTCTATCCCAAATAAACAGAATATACATTCTTCTCAGTGCCACAAGGCACTTATTTTACAATTGATCACATAGTTGAAAGGAAAACACTACTCAGCAAATGCAAAAAAACTGAAATAATGACAACCAGTCACTCAGACCACAGTGCAATCAAATTAGAACTCAGGATTAAGAAACTCACTCAAAACTACACAATTTCATGTAAATTGAACAACCTGCTCCTGAATAACTCCTGGGTAAATAATGAAATTAAGGCAGAAATAAAGAAGTTCTTTGAAACCAATGAGAAGAGACAAAGTACCATAATCTTTGGGAGACAGCTAAAGCAGTTTTAAGAGGGAAATTTATAGCACTAAATGCCCACATCAGAAAGCTAGAAAAATCAACACCCTAACCTCACAATTAAGAGAGCTAGAGAGGCAAGAGTAAACTAATCCAAAGGATAGCAGAAGACAAGAAATAACTAAGATCAGAGAAGAGTTGGAGATAGAGACATGAAAAACCCTCCAAAAAATTAATGAATCAAGGATCTGTTTTGTTTTTGAAAAATTAAAAAAATAGACCACTAGGTAGATGAATAAGGAAGAAGAGATATATAATAATCAAATAGACACAATAAAAATAATAAAGGGGATATCACCACTGACCCCACAGAAATACAGACTACCATCAGAGAATACTATAAACACCTCTATGCAAATAAACTAGAAAATCTAGAAGAAATAGATAAATTCCTGGAAACATACACCCTACCAAGACTAAACCAGGAAGAAATTGAATCCCTGAATAGACCAATGACAAGCCCTGAAATTGAGGCAGTAATTAATAGTGTACCAACAAAAAAAAAGCCCAGGACCAGATGGATTCACAGCTGAATTATACCAGAAATACAAAGAAGAGTTGATACCATCCCTTCTGAAACTATTCCAAATAATTGAAAAGGAGGAACTCCTCCCTAACCCATTTTATGAAGCTAGCATCATCCTGATACCAAAACCAAGAAGAGACACAACAAAAAAGAAAACTTCAGGCCAATATCCCTGATGAACATCGAAGTGAAAATCCTTAACAAATAAAATACTGGCAAACCAAATCCAGCAGCACATCAAAAAGCTTATCCACCACGATCAAGTCAGCTTCATCCCTGGGATGCAAGGCTGGTTCAACATATGCAAATCAATAAACATAATCCATCACATAAACAGAACCAAAGAGAAAAACCACATGATTATCTCAATAGACGCAGAAAAGGCCTTCAATAAAATTCAACATCCCTTCATGTTAAAAACTCTCAATAAACTAGATATTGATGGAATGTATCTCAAAATAATCAGAGCTATTTATGACAAACCCACAGCCAATATAATATTGAATGGGCAAAAGATGGAATCACTCCTTTTGAAAACCAGCACAAGACAAGGATGCCCTCTCTCACCACTCTTATTCAAAATAATATTGGAAGTTCTGTCCAGGGCAATCAGGCAAGAAAAAGAAAGGGTATTCAAATAGGAATACAGGAAGTCAAGTTGTCTCTATTAGCAGATGACATGATTTTATATTTAGAAAACCCCATCATCTCAGCCCAAAAACTTCCTGAACTGATAAGCTACTTCAGCAAAGACTCAGGATACAAAATTAATGTGCAAAACCCACAAGCATTCCTTTACACCAACAATGGGCAAGAAGAAAGCCAAATCATGAATGAACTCCCATTCACAATTGCTACAAAGAGAGTGAAATACCTAGGAATACAGCTAACAAGGGATGTGAAGGATCTCTTCAAGGAGAACTACAAACCACTGCTGAAGAAAGTAAGAGAGGACACAAATAAATGGAAAAACATTCCATCCTCATGGATAGGAAGAATCGATATTATGAAAACAGCCATACTTCCCAAAGTAATTTATAGATTCAATGCTATTCCCATCAAACTACCATTGACATTCTTCACAGAATTAGAAAAAAAATTTTAAATTTCATATGGAATCAAGACCCCATATAGCCAAGACAATCCTAAGTGAAAAGAACAAAGCTGGAGGCATCATGCTATCTGACTTCAAACTATACTACAAGGCTACAGTAACCAAAACAGCATGGCACTGGTACCAAAACAGACATATAGACCAACGGAGCAGAACAGAGACCTCAGAAATAGCATCACACATCTAAAACCATCTGATCTTTGGCAAACCTGACAAAAACAAGGAATGGGGAAAGGATCTCCTATTTAGTAAATGGTGCTGGGAAAACTGGCTAGCTATATGCAGAGAACAGAAACTGGACTCTTTCCTTACACCTTATATGAAAATTAAATCAAAATGGATTAAAGAGTTAAATGTAAAACCCCAAACCATAAAAACCCGAGAAGAAAACCTAGGCAATACCATTCAGGACATAGGCATGGGCAAAGACTTCATGACAAAAACTCCAAAAGCAATTGCAACAAAAGTTAAAATTGACAAATGGGATCTAATTAAACTAAAGAGCTTCTGCACAACAAAAGAAACTATCATCAGAGTGAACAGGCAGCCTACAGAATGGGAGAAAATTTTTGTAATCTGCCCATCTGACAAGGGTCTAATATCCAGAATTTACAAGGAACTTAAACATATTTACAAGAAAAAGACAGCTCCATCAAAATGTTTACTGACGCTTCTCAAAAGAAGACACTTACACACCTAACAAACATGAAAAAAAAAAGCTCAACATCATTGAGCATCAGAGAAATGTAAATTAAAACCACAATGAGATACCATCTCACACCAGTCAGAATGGCAATTATTAAAAAGCAAACAATAGATGCTGGCAAGGCTGTGGAGAAATAGGAGCACTTTTGCACTGTTGGTAGGAATGTAAATTAGTTCAACTATTGTGGAAAACAGTATGGTGATTCCTCGAGGATTTAGAACCAGAGATACCATTTGACTCAGCAATCCCATTACTGGTTATATACCCAAAGGAATATAAATCATTCTAATATAAAGACACGTGCACATGTATGTTTATTGCAGCACTATTTACAATAGTGAAGACATGCAACCGACCCAAATGCCCATCAATAATACACTGGATAAAGAAAATGTGGTACATGTACACCATGGAATGCTATTCGGCTATAAAAAGGAATGAGATCATGTTCTTTGCAGGGACATGGATGAAGCTGGAAGCCATCATTCTCAGCAAACTAACACAGGAACAGAAAACCAAACAATGCATGTTCTCACTCATAAGTGGGAATTCAACATTGAGAACACATGGACACAGAAAGGGGAGCAATACACACCAGGGCCTGTTGCAGGGTGAAGAGTGAGGGGAGGGAACTTAGAGGACGCGTCAATAGGTGCACCAAACCACCATGGCATATGTATACCTATGTAGCATGTTTTGCACATGTATCCCATTTTTTTGTTTTTAGAAGAAATGAAAAAGGCAAAAGAGCTAGGATGACCACATGTCCTGGTTTGCCTGCGAACAGTCAAAGTTTCTGCCCATTTTCCTAGCTGGAAAATATCTTGGTTTGGATGGTAAATTATGTGGCCACTACATGTGCCTCAGTGTAGTGATTGAAAAAGCCTTTTAGATTTGTGGCCTGTAGATCTGGAACTACATTGACTGAGTCAGTATCCAACTCTGACATTTCTTATTGGTGTGACCTTGGGCAATCATTCTGTTCCTTAGTTATATCATCTCTAAAATGAGTTAATACTATACCAACATTTAAATTGTATAAGAATTGAATTATTGATATATATAAAACAGTGCCTGGAACACCATAGATGTTTAATAAATGCTAACTATCATTGTTGCACATTTATTTACTTATTCTAATGGTGTTTTGAACAAGCATTTAGAAAATTATTATTGCATTCCACTGAGTTTGCATTTTATAATGGGAAGGCAGGGTTGGTTCAGATGCCCCACGGTTATAATGTGGAATGTCAATTAATAGAAGCCATCACCACTTCAGTGCATGCTGGGTGTCAGGCTCTGTGCTAAGTAGTTTACAGATGGTTTTTTCCTTACTCTTCCCCAACAATCTCTGAGGGGTATGCATCATGGGTCTGGTTTACAGATGGGAAACTGGGTTTGGGGAGGTTAAGAATTTCTCCAGTTGAACAAAGTGGTAAAGTAGAGATTTTATTCCATCTTCCAGATCCATGATCCAGTCTCGAAACCATTACATTCCATGCCCCTCTGATGCCAACCTTAGAGACAAGGCAGGTTAAGCTCTTCTTAGGAGCCAGCCAACACTTCTAATCCATTTGTCCAAACTTCCCCTCATTCAGACATATTTGTATTTTTAGTCTGTAGCATTCCCGGGGGCAAGAAGGGAGAAATACATTCTTTAAGTCTCCTATTCACTGTTTTACAGTAGGAAAGGCCTAGCTTAACTGACTTAAAACTACTTACTCTTACTTTCCTAAGGGGTTGTCTTGTCCTTTTTAATGAGAATTTTGGGTTCTGTTTATGCAGAATGGTCACAATATGATTGGTTTTGAGCATGTCCTCTGTCGACCTCTTCTTTTTCTTACTGAAGAGCTGAACCTTTTCCTTCTGTCCTTACATGTCAGTCCCAGATTCTCAGCCCTATTTCTGTTCATGTTGGGAGTATAAAGTGTGTGGTTTATAAAGTACAAGACTGAACAGATGCACTTTGTTCTATACTTGAAAGATTATGTACGTGAGACTATTAAAAGGTTATGTCTTATGAACTTAGCTGGAGAATCACAAAATCGCATTTCTTTTGCAGTGGCTCTTTAATCTATTTCCACTGAATAATGGTGTCATTGTCCTTGGATCCAAGCAGGCTTCGGGTGAATTCTTAGTTCTACCATTTACTTACTGTGTGTACTTCGGCAAGCTCTTCTACTCTCAGAGCCCTGGTTTCCCCATCTGGACACCCACAGATGGGAAAGGGATGGCTTGTACCTGTGAAGTATCATTTAAAGTCACTTCACGGCCACTCTCTCAGTAGCCCTGAGCTGTTGGGTAGGAAAACTGGGAAGCTAACTCAGAGTTTCTGTTTCCACGTCCAGAACCAGCTGGTACAAAGAGCATGGGTTTTACAAGACCAACCTAAATTTGGAACCCACCTCTAGCATATTTAGCTTTTTGTAACCACTCCAAGTCAGCTCCTCAGTGTAAAATCTCCATACAAATATATTAGTCTTCGAAATAATGTTCACCAAAATATGTCTACATCTTCATTCCTAGGACCTATGAATATGTTAACTTACATGGCAAAAGCAACTTTGCAGATGTTACTAAGGGAAGGATCTTGAGCTGGGAAGATCATTGTGAATTATTCTCTTGGGTCTGACATAATCACAAAGGTTCTTATAAGAATGGGGTAGGCAGGTCAGAGTCAGAAAAGAAGATGTGATAATGGAAGCAGAAATTGGAGGGATGCAAGGAAGGGGCATGAGCCAAAGAATGCAGGTGGAAAAGACAAGGAAACAAATCCTCCCTGGGGCTTCCTGAAGGAAAACAACTCTGCTGATACCTTAAGACTTCTGACTCCAGAGCTGTAAGATAATCAGTCTGTGCTGTTTGAAGCCACTAAGTTACGGCAACAACAGGAAACTAATACAGGACATTTATAATCATGATAATGTTGATGATGACAGTCATAACTGATAATAATACTTCACATGGTATATATGTCCCAGGAATTTTTCTAAGTTTTATAGATGTATGTTTTACATATTATACACTATATATTATATATATTTATATTTTATACATTTCTATTTTACTTTGATACGTATTTCATATGTGTATATATATGTATATATATTTATGCAATTCTCAGAACAATTTTCACAAAATAAACATTTTGCAGATGAGGAGACAGGCATAGAGAGGCTAAGTAACATTCTCAAGGCCACATAACCAGGAATGGACAAAGCTGACATTTGAATCATGTCAATTTATAAAGCACCTACAGAAGGCCTGGCACATAGTGCTTCCCAATAAATGGAGGGCACTATTATTGATATTCCTACTACATGACATTTCTTCTAAATCTGTAAGAATGCTCATATTGCAGCAATGACTGGCTATGCTAAAGCTTTCTTCTCATGCTTACAGACACAGACTCCAGAGCTATGGGCCCTTCTAATCCCAGGCTCAGGTGAAACCAGTCCTGCCCTTTCTCTGTGAGGGCTCACCCAGGATAGAGGAGATGTGGGAAGGTAGTTGTTCTCATCCTATGTCAGCTATTGCACTTGCATTCCTACCTCTGCATTCTTCCTCCTTTGGAAACCACAAATTACCCAGCAGAGTCCTAGTGACAGAATGATGGAACTGGGCTGGTGCCTGCAGCTGGGCTAAGTCAATAAAGGTGATAATGAACAGTAAGCAGAATTTGAAGAATGACTTGGAAAATTGCTGCTATTGATATTTCTGGCAGCCATCTGCTGTAAAACCAGACTCAAGTGGGTTGTTCCACAAGGCAAATCCTTTTGAGACAAATGATGGCAGTAATGATGAGAGTTCATATTTGTGCAACGTCTAAAAGTGTTTTTAGGTAATATATATATTTAGGTAATATATATTTTTAGGTAATATATATTACCTAATTTTAGTTCTCAAAAACCCAGTGACGTAGGACCCATTTCATAGATTAAAAAAAAAAAAAAAAAAAAAGGCAATCAGAGGGGTTAATTTCATTGACCCTGACTGCCTGGCTTGGTTGTGGCTGCAGAAATAATTTTTGAATTTTTAAGTAAGGACATACTTGGGGTAACCTTTGTCAATGCGCTTGACTTGGGACTGTATGGCCAGCAGATGTTCTCTTTACTAACCTCACCAGGATAGAGGTCAGGATGGCTTTGGCTCCACTTCTGACAACCCCAGGTCAGAGCAGAACAGAGCTGTGTTTGTTGGGAATTGTTCCTTCTCATAAAATGAGATACCAACATCCTACTCTGCACCTTTAACCTCCTCTCACTGCTCAGCTTACTCATGCTGGCTCCAAGTTCAAGTCCTCTGCTGCACACAGCTGTGGATGCCCTACACTCTTCACAGTTCCCCCACTGCTGCCTTTGTACCTCACCAGCTTCCAGACCTGTGTGCCACAGGTAGTGGGACACACGATAAACATTTTTTGAATGACCAAATGGTCTGGAAGAAAAAGGCTCCAGAGGCACAATTTTCTATTTATGATCCTGTTTAACATTTTTATGGAGAGCTATTTTCAAATCACTGCCCCTTTGTTTTAGTCCTGATTTGTAAGTTTTATTTCACAGTTACTAAGAAACTTGAATTAGTTATCAACCTCGTGATGCAGCCACGATGTTCATCCTTTTAAAATCATAGCTTGTTATAAGAGAAGGAAATCGTAGTACTCAGCTTAGAAAACAAGCTCAGAAAAGGCAAGTTCAAGGTCATGCAATTAGTTATTGGTAGAGCCAGGATAGGAAATAATACATATTTCTTATACAAAAAAGAAATTACCTTCACAGATCATATACACATACGTGATTTTGTTTAATCCTCAACAAGCCTGTGAAGCTTAGAAAGATTAAGTAACTTGTCTACAATACACGGTTCATAAGAGGAAGACAAAATGGGGGCTAGACTTGGGTCTTTGTGAGCTGAGTCTCATTTGTTGGGGAACAAGCTCTCCTGACTTTTCCTCATACTTTTAATTATTTATAATTTGTTCTAGTTTCTCCCTACATCTTCAGTAATCAGTCTTTAATTTACACATCCTGTTGTCACAGAACCACTCTCTTACCGTTTTGTTAAATATGATTTCTAGCTAGCTAATACGATTTTGAGCTACTTACCCCCTGCCCTGTATACTCAGAAGTTTAAAATTTGCTAAATTATTTGTCTGAGGTAATAAATAGAAAGAGTGAGGAAGATTGAGGTTTTTTTTTTTCTTGAGACAGTCTCAGCCACCCAGGCTGGAGTTCAGTGGCCTGATCTTGGCTAACTGCAACCTCCGCCTCCCAGCTTCAAGTGATTCTCCCATCTCAGCCTCCTGAGTAGCTGGGATTACAGGCACCTGCCATCATGCCCAGCTAATTTTTGTAGAGACAGGGTTTCACCATGTTGGCCAGGCTGGTCTTGAATGAAAGAGCAAGTTTTATAACCTTCTATCAGAGTGTTGCTACACTTGTTGTTACTTGCTAGTTTATCTGTCTGTTTTATAGATAACACTTTCATATATATTGCTCTCTTGGATCCTTGTAACAACCCTTAGAGGTAGGTATTGAATTATTATTCGTATTGTCCAGATAATAACACTGAGGTCCAAAGAACTTCACTGGCCAAGGTCACAGTGCCTGAGGTCATGATGTTAAGAAAGTGCAGGGCCAGGGCCTGCTATACCAGAGTTCCACTCTCCATCCTTCCTTGTAATGCCTGTGTTTCCGCATTGGCTCCTGATGCAGGTGTGTGCAAGGGAGGGCGGCAAGTGTACATTCTAGGTATGCAGAAATGGTATGTGCATGCCAAGAATATGCATCTTGGTGCCTCGATTTACCCCGATGCTGATAGAGGAGATGCTGTATTCTCTTTAAGCCTTTGGGAAACACCAAGCACAGTAATCCACAAAGGGTACTGGGTGGGTGGGTATATTCGTCACAGCTTGGATTGTCATAACAAAATTCCACAGACTGGATAACTTAAACAACAGAAATGTATTTTCTTATACTTCTGGAGGCTGGAAGTCCTAGATCAAAGTGTTGGCAAGTTTAATTTTTCCTGAGGCCTCTCTCCACTTGAAGATGACTGTCTTCTCATTGTGTCTTTACATGGTAGTTTCTCTGTGCATGCACAACACTTTTGTCTCTTCTTCTTATAAGGACATCAATGCTAGCTCCAAATACAGGAACATTCAGGGTTAGGGCTCACCATATGAATTTTGAGGGGACACAAGTCATAACAGTGGCCACACATGGTTGAAATGCATAAGGTTCAGAAAGAGTACATCCTTCTTTGTCAATGCCTGTTTAGGCTGCCAAATTTATGGGCTTGGATGAGTTGTTTTTGAAGCCTCTAAGTCACTTTGCTTTTCCTCCCCAAATATTGTGCTTAAAAGCATGCTATTTTCAAATTGAAATGAGAGAGCAAGAAGAAAGAAATGCTGCCATAAATCTCCAAGCAAAGGAAAAAAATTAGTCTATGGAGAAATGAAAATAAGTAAACTGAGAATTCTCTCAGACCTGGAAAAATCAATTGTTACCACATCGTCCCTGACAGTGATCTAGTTGAGATCGATTCAGTTAAAGTTAATAACACCTGCATGAGTTCCACTGTAGCAGATTGTCAATTTTCTTACTAGTCCTGTGAGCTATGGGTGCCAGCTTCCAAGACGAATATAAATGAATGCTGGGATTTCAACCATTACAAGGGGATTAGTTAAAAAAAAAATAATTCTCAAGTTCTTTCAACTGCTCAAGACAGTAGTCAGCTTCATGAGTCAAATTGCTCCCAGAGGCAGCTTATTAGAGTCCACATGGAATGTACTGCTTCCCCAGAGGTTAAACACACAGCACAGAAGGAGGCCGCATGGGCACTGTCTGACTTTGATGAATGATTGCAGCATGGTTTCACTGTCGTCGTCTTATTTTATTTTTGTAGTTTACTGAGGACACATTCCAAGTGGCAGAACTTTTGTTGAGCCTATTTGGGCAGGTGTTTGAGTTGTGCTCTTGTACCTAAAGTTTAAGGCCAGTGTTCCAGGTCAGGCTCCCACACATATCAGAAAAAGAAGGGTCCTAACTTTTATTCATTTCTTACTATACATAGACTGCTAGTTGCTTAAAAAAATTCTTACTCTCTTCTTCTTGGGAAACAGCTAGACTACACTTTCCACCTTCCTTTGTAGTTTAATTATATGTAGGCCTGTAATTGAGTTTTAGCCAATGGGTTGTACTTGGAGAGTTGCCAGATAAAATACAGAGTACCCAGTTAAATTTAAGTTTTAGATAAAAAACATATTTCTGGTATAAATATGTCCCAAGTACTGCATGAGGCATGCTTATATTAAAAGAAATTGTGTTGTTTATCTGGAATTCAAGTTTAACTGGACGAAGTACAGGATACCTGTACTGCATGTCTATTTGCTAAATCTGACAGTCCCAAATAGGAGTGAAAGTAACAGGCTCTACTCCCAGGCATGGCCCATGCAAACCTTCTCTATGTGCTACCCCTCGTCCTTCTCCATTTAACCTGGCTGGATGGAGACAATATTCAGGAAAACTTCATAAGTCATATATTTGAAGATGGGAGGACCACTATCAATCAGTTTGGGTTTCTTCTGGAATGGGATCCTTTAGTTTGGTGCATTCATGACTACCTGAAGGACAGGCACCCACTAACTCATTCACTCTCTCTGTTCTATTATATGAGCAAGAAAGAAACACCTACTGTATCTGAGTGATAAATGTTGGATTCTGTCTTCTTCAGCAGCTATCCTACCCAGCTGATACATTTAGTATATGACAAGAACCACATGTATAAAGCAGCAATTAATCCTCCCCACAACTTCCTCAAGCTGGTATTGTCCTTGTTTTATCCATGGGGTTAATAAGGCCCAGAGATAT
Source organism: Homo sapiens (assembly GCF_000001405.40). Taxonomy (NCBI): domain Eukaryota; kingdom Metazoa; phylum Chordata; class Mammalia; order Primates; family Hominidae; genus Homo; species Homo sapiens. The sequence continues at coordinate 87,602,229 of NC_000011.10, forward strand.
TAAGCAACTCGCCAATTTATCAATTGATTTATTATCAGTTATCAATTTATCATTGATTTATTCTAAATATAATTATAAAACAGGTTACCTTTAGAGATTATTTGTGATTATTTATGAATTTGAATAAATATTCCTTATAATCTGTAAGTCTTCACATTTAAGTGAGCCTCTAATTTTATTTTTAAATTAATTATTTGATCTTAGAGGACCATTCAAAAGACTCAAAAGGGAATACATTGAAAAATCAATCTCACTGTTACCCCTTTTCCCCAGCCAACCAACTTTCTATCTAGGAAGTGACATTTCTGGTGTGTGTGTGTGTGTGTGTCTGTGTATTTTCATAGTCTGTGCATATATAAACATTTACACACACACACACACAGACACACACACTTCTATTTCAACCCAAATGATTGCATCCTATTGTGGAAATAATGAAAAAAAAAATCCCACTACATTAGAAAAAACAGAAGCTATTTATTCAGAGCTTGGAACTCGGTCGCCATGATTGTGTTTGACAGAGGCTCAAAGGCAGGCAGGGCAGTGAGAAAACTTTATAGTGAAAAAAGGGTAAGGCTTCAGGTGTGCCCTGAATGGAGGCTGTTGACATGAGAAAGTTGGAGGTTAGCTAACTAGAGGCAGGGTATCATCTGTGATTGGTTTGGAGAGCATATTTGACCTACTCTGTTTGGTCCTAAGTTGGAAGTCAGGCTGAAAGTTTCGGAAGCTGGTAGTCACTGAGCAAGCTATGACTGTTCTAGGACTATTGCTACAGAAATTGTGGTTTGACTTCCTGGGATGAAGCTTGTAGGTAAGGGTTTTAATTGTCATATGTAGTCTGGCCATTGTCTATTTGTATATTCAGTATCTTGCTATGCATATTATCTAGATGTTGATTTTTAAAAATTAGGCAGTAATATTGACCTTGTTGGTGTATAATTCTATCAATTTTAATACAAGGATTGATTCATGTAACTATTATCTCAATCAGGATACAGAACAGTTCTGTCACCCAGAAAGACTCCCTCTTGCTAGTATAAACAAACTGTTACTGAATTTTCTAGCTCAACTACCTACTGAATCTGTTACACCATATGATGTCAGTATCAATTTATTTCAATTCAACAATGAACATATTTTTCTATCTGATTACATAGTTTGATAAATGAAAAACATATGTTACTAAATAGTACCAAATAGAGATAAAAATATTAAATGTTGTGACTCTGGAAGCTTGGGAGGGGAAGAAGCTCTCATGGTCACTATAAAGGTATAAGGAGGGATGAATGGGTGTAATCTGAAGAGAATCAAGTGCCTTCAAATATACATCTCATTGCATGAATATAAATAGATCTGTGTGATTCTGTTTATTTTGCAATGATATCAAAACTGTGTGTCATGCCTTGCGCTAATGATGGCATATGGAAGTTAAGAAAACATTTTTACCTTCTACAATTTACATTACTGGAGAAGCTTACCAACCAACCACCTAACCAACCAACCAAACAGTGTGTTCAATGCTATGACAGACACATGAAAACAGTGTACTGAATCTAGAAGATGGACACAGGTGGAGCAGGGAAGACTTTATCTAAACCAGGGGGATCCCCCTCTCTTATCTCCTCATAGCAACTATAATTTGGCAATCATCCACAGATAAAAGTGCCATTGTGGGAACTTTGAAAGTCAGATAGGAGATTGTAAAACCTCCATGGAGCCCAAGACAGAGGAGGGCTGGCCAACTGTGGTTCTGACTATCACTAGCTATGGCCTTGTTCCCCTGTAGACTCAGCTATATCCTTGTTAGGCCTTGGTCTTATCACTAGAATCATGTGGCAAAGGCTCTGGGAAAAGTCGCACCCACCTGTGCCAAGGGAAACAGACACCCTGACCTCATTCCTGGCTGTAGATCCTGAAGCAGCCCTGTAACTTGGCTTCACCTCCTCTCAGCTGTGATCTGAGAGCAATCCTGTCCCTGGGGACCTGATGAGAAACACTTCTGTTCATTGTCCCAGGAACAGGCCAGCCCACCTTGATTCCACGGTAAATCTTGAAGTGATCTTGCAACCTAGCTCCATCTTCTTCCAGCTATACTCCAGGAGCAGTCCTGCCCACTCAGTGACCCTCTGGGAGACATGCTCATCTGTGCCTCCAGAGTCAGGCCTGCTGAATTTAGTCTGACCATATATCTTGAAGCAGCCTTATTTTTCAGCTTCAGTCACACTTTGCCTCAGTCCAGGGAGAGTTCAGCCTTCCAAGGAACCTGGCAAGAGGCATGTCCATTCATGTCCCTGGAAGTAGGCCTGCCAACTCTAGTCTCAGTTGTGGACCCTGATGCAGCCCTGTGACTCAATTCCAACCCCTCTCAGTCTGGAGCCAGTCCTGCCTGCCCAGATATCTACCCAGTGACCCAGAAGGAGACCTTCCAGTGACTTGGAGGAAGTCACATTTATCCACAATAACAGCTCTTTCAGCTGTGGACCCCACTGCAGAACAGGCTAAAGTGCTACTTGATCATGATCCTAAAGGCAATCCCATCACATGAGGACCCACCAGGAGAAAGTTTTTACTTATTGAAATCAGTTCTATAAAGACTGAAGGAGATATTTGTTCCTTCAAATGTACAGGCACCAACACAAGGCTACATGTACAATCCAGAATCAGGCAAGCATGACACCACCAAAGGAAACTAATAGAGCTTGAGCAACCAACCCCAAGGAAATGGATAACTATGAGTTGGATGAAAAATAATTCAAAGTAGTCATGTTAAGGAAGCTCAATGAGATGCAAGAGAACACAGATAGAAAACAAAATCAGGGAAACAATGCATTAATAAAATGAGTAGTTCAATAAAGAAATAAAAAGTATAAAAACAACCAAATGGAAATCTTGAAGCAGAATGATAAAATGACAGAATAGAAAATACAATACAGATCTTTAGCAGCATAGTCAATCATGCAGAAGAAAGAACCAGTGAACTCAAGGCAGGACATTTGAAATTAGCCAATTAGAGAAACAAAAAGAAAAAAAAAACGAGTAAAAAAGTGAAGAAAGCATAAGAGACCTATGAGACACCATTAAGTGAATAAATTATGAGTTTTGGGAATTCGAGAAGAGAGAGAAAGGGGCAGAAATCTTATTTAAAGCTACAAACTTCCCAAATTTTGGAAGAGATATGGATATTCAGATTCATAAAGCTTAACCCAAGCCAATCAAGCTCAACCTAAAGAATAATACCCCAAGACACAGTTTAACAGTTTAATTAAATTGTCAAAAGTGAAAACCAGAAAAAGTTTGAAAGCATCAAGAGAAGAAATCATCGCACACAATGGAACCCCCATAAGTCTATCAGCGAACTTGTTAGCACAAATTTTACAGGCCAGAAGGGAGTGGGTTGATATATTCAAAGTGCCAAAAGACTCAAACTAACTGCCAAGAATAATATATCTGGCAAAAATGTCATTCAGAAATAAAGGTGAGTTAAAGATATTTCCAGATAAATAAGAGCTAAGGGATTTCATCAGTACTAGATTTGACTTAAAAAAATGATAGAGTTTTTTCATTGAAATGAAAGTTTGCTAAGTAACAACATGAAACACAAGAAAGTGGAAAATTTACTGGTAAAGGTAAATATATAGTTAAAATCAGAATATTCTGATGCTGTAATGATGATATGTAAGTCACTTTTAACTCTAGAATAAAAGTTAAAAGGCCAAAGTATTAAAAATGACTATAGTTCCAATAATTTTTAATAGATACACAGTATAAAAAGATGCAAAGTATGACATCAATAGCATAAAATATGTGAGGGAGAAGAAAAAGTGAAGGTTTAAGTGCAGTTGAATTCAAGGTGTTATCAGTTTTAAGTAGAATGTTATAAGATGTTTTATGTAAAGTCTATGCTAACTACAAAGAAAAAGAAACTCTGGTAGATACACAAAAGACAGAGGAAAGAAATGAAAGCATACCACCACAAACTGTCAACAAATCACAAGGGAAGATAACAAGAGTGAAAGAAAGAAACAAAGACATTACAAAACAATCAGAAAACAATTAAAAATGACAATAATAAATTATTTCTCTCAATAATTACATTAAATGTAAATAAATTCTTTAATCAGAAGACACAGAGTGACTACATGGATTAAAAAGCAAGCTCCAACAATATACTGCCTAGAAGCAACTCACTTTAGTCTTAAGGAGACAAATAGGATGATAGCAAAGGGATAGAAAAAAAATATTTCATACAAAAAAAAAACCAAGAGAGCAGGTGTACCTATTCTTGTATAATTCAAAATAGACTTTAAATCAAAAACTGTCATAAGAGACAAAGAAGGTCATTATATAATGATGAAGGCATCAATTTACTAAAAGGATACAATTGTAACTACATATACACCCAACATGAAAACACTTAAATATATCAGGAAAATATTAACATAACTAAAGGAAGAAATAGACAATAGTAAGAATACAATAATAGTAGCAGATGTCAACATCCCACTTTCAACAATGAATGGATCATACAGACAGAAAATCCATAAGGAAATGGCAGTGCTCATTTTGGCATCACATATATTAAAATTGAATGATACAGAGACTAGCATGGAACCTGCACAAAGATGACATGCAAACTCATGAAGCATTCCACATTTTTTTGACCATCAGAGGAATGCAAATCAAAACTACAGTGAGATATTATCTTACCCCAGTTAAAATGGCTTATATCCAAAAGATAGGCAATAACAAATGCTGTCAAGAATGTGGAGAAAAGGGAACTGCTGTACATTGTTGGTGGGAAAGTAAATTACCACAACCACTATGAAGAATATTTCAGAGGTTCCTTAAAAAACTAAAAATAGAGATATCATACTATCCAGTCATCCCACTGCTGGGTATATACTCCAAGAAAGGAAATCAAGATATCAAAGAGATATCTGCACTCCCAAATTTGTTGTAGCTCTGTTCACAATAGCCAAGAATTGGAAGCAACCTAAGTGTCCATCAACAGATGGGTGGATAAGGAAAATGTGGTACTTATACACAATGGAGTACTATTCAGCCATAAAAAGAATGATATTCACTCATTTGCAACAACACAGATAGAACTAGAGGATATTATGTTAAATGAAACAAGCCAAGGACAGAAAAATATATTCTGCATGTTCTCACTTGTTTGTGAGATCTAAAAATCAAAACAATTGAATCCATGAAGATAGATAATAGAAGGTTGATTACCAGAGGCTGAGAAGGGTAGTTGCGGGATGGTGTATATGTGGGAGGAGGGGATGGTTAATGGGTATGAAAGTTAAAATTAGTGAATAAGGCCTAGTATCATATAGCACAATAGGGTGACTATAGTCAATAATAATTTAATTGTATATTTTCAGATAACTAAAATATGCCAGGTGCAGTGGCTCACACCTGTCATCTCAGCACTTTGGGAGGCTGAGGCTGGCAGATCACTTGAGGTCAGGAGTTTGAGACCAGCCTGGCCAACATGGCAAAATCCCGTCTCTACTAAAAGTACAAAAATTAGCTGGGGTTGGTGGCACATGCCGGTAGTCACACCTGCTCGGGAGGCTGAAGCAGGCTGATCACTTGAACCCGGGAGGTGGAGGTTGCAGTGAGCTGAGATCGCACCACTGCACTCCAGCTTAGGCAACAGAGTGAGACTGTCTCAAAAAATTAATTAATTAAATAACTCAAAGAGTATAATTGGATTGTTTGTAACACAAAGAATGCTTGAGGGGATGGATGCCCCATCTTCCATGGTGTTAGTATTATGCAATGCATTAAGTGTGTATATAAAAACATTTCATTTACCCCATAAATATATACACCTACTATGTACTCATAAAAGTTAAAAGTTAAAAAACCCAAATTATGATGAAAATAAAATATAAGGAAACAGCAGACTTGAATAACAATACAGGCTAAATGGGCCTAACAGACATACACAGAACATTCCATCTAACAGCAGCAGAGTACACATTTTTTTCAAGCACACATGAAAAAATTGTCCAGGATAGAGATCATCTGTTGGGACACAAAACAAATCTTAAAAAAGATAAGAAGATTAAAATCATATCAAGTATTTTTTTCTATCCACAATGGTATGAAACTAGAAATAAATACCAAAGAATCTTAGAACATTTACCAATATGTGGAAATTAAATAATACACTCTTGAACAACCAATGGGTCAAAGAAGAAATCAAAAGGGAAACAAAAATTATCTTGAGACAAATTAAGAGGGAACCACAACATATCAAAACTTATGAGAGATGTGCAAAAATAAAATACTAGCAAGCTGTCTTCAACAGCACATTAAAAAGATCAAATGCCACAATCAAGTGGCATTCATTGCTAGGGTGTAAGGATGTTTCAATATATGCAAATTGATCAATGTGAAAGCACATAAACAGAACAAATTATAAAAATCATATAATTATCTCAATAGATGCAGAATAAGTATTTGACAAAATTCAACATCTTTTTTTATGATAAAAAAAATTAGGTATAGAAAGACTGTACTTCACATAAGAAAGGTCATATATGACAAGCCCTTAGCTAACATCATGGTCAATGGTGAAAACTGAAAAGCTTTTCCTCTAAGATCAGGAACAAGATAAGGATGCCCAGTCTCAGAACTTCTCTTCAACATAGTATTGGAAGTCTTAGCCAGAGCTAGCTTATAAAAGAAAAAAGAAATAAAAGTCATCCAAATCAGAAAGAAGCTAAATTATCTCTGTTTAAGATAACATAATTGTATATACAGAAAACCCTAAAATCTCTACCAAAGCCTGTTAGAATTGATAAACAAATTTAGTAAAGTAGCAGAATACAAAATCAACATACAAATATCAGTTGCATTTCTATACACTAACAACACACTATCCAAAAAAAGAAATTAAGAACATAATTCAATTTTCAGTAGAATTAAAAACAATAAGATACTTAGGAATAAGTTTAACCAAAGAAGTGAAATATATATAATATATATACTGAAAATATATACACTGAAAACTATGACATTGATGAAAGAAATTGAAGTCACAAATAAATGAAAAGGTATCCTGCATTCATGGAGTGGGATAAGTAATATTGTTAAAATGTGCATACTACTCAAAGCAACCCACAAATTCAATTCAAAACAATACCTATAAAAATTCTGGTGAAGTTTTTCGCAGAAATAGAAAAAAACAATTCTGAAATTCATATGGAATCACAAAAGGCCATGAATATCCAAAGTAGTCTTGAGAAAGAAGAGCAAAGCTGGAAGGCATCACACTACTTGATTTCAAAATCTACTACAAAGGCACAGTAATCAAACAGTATGGCACTGGCATGAAAATAGATACACAGAATAACGAATAAGCCCAGAAATTAACTCACACATATACAACATATATGTGAGTTATAATATAATATATGTAATATAATTTTTGACAAGGGTGACAAGAATGCACAATGGGGAAAGGATAGTTTCTTCAATAAGTCGCATTGTGAAAACTGGATATCGACATGTAAAAGAGTGAAATTGGATCCTTATCTTACACCATATACAAAAATTTACTAGAAATGGATTAAAGACTTAAACATAAGACCTGAAACTGTAAAACTTCTAGAAGAAAACATGGGAAAATCTGTTTGACATTGATCTTGGCAATGATTTTTTTTTGGATATAACACCAAAAGCACAGGCAACAAACACAAGGATACACAAATGGGAGCACATCAAACTAAAAAGCTTCTACATAGCAAATGAAATAATAAAATGAAAAGGCAATCTACAGATTGGGAGAAAATATTTGCACACTATCTGACCTATTAACCTCTTATCTGTTAAGAGATTAACATCCAAAATGTATAAAGAACTCATACAAATGAATAACAAAAAAGGTAACCTAATTAAAAAATTGCTGGCCGGGCGCGATGGCTCACTCCTGTGATCCCAGCACTTTGGGAGGTGGGTGGATAACCTGAGGTCTGGAGTTGGAGACCAGCCTGACCTACATGGCAAAACCCTGTCTCTACTACAAATCCAAAATTAGCTGGGTGTGTTGGCGGGTGCCTGTAATCCCAGCTACTGGAGAGGCTGAGGCAGGAGAATTGCTTGAGCTCAGGAGGCAGAGGTTGCAGTGAGCCAAGATCGTGCCACTGCACTCCAGCCTGGGCAACAAGAGTGAAATGTCTCGATAATAATAATAATAATAATAATAATAATAATAATAATAATAATAAATAAAATGATAAAAAATCGCCAAAGGACCAGAATAGGTGTTTTTACAAGGAAGACATACAAATGACCAAGAAGTATGTGAAAAGTGACACAATGTCACTAATCTTCAGGGAAATGCATATCTCAACCACAGCGAGATTTCACCTTACATTTGTTAGGATGTCTACTATCAAAAAAAAAAAAAAGCAAGGAGTGCTGGTGAGGGTGTGGAGAAAGGGAGCCCTTGTACACTGTTGGTGGGAATGTAAATTAGTACAGCCATTATGGAAAACAGTATTCTTCAAAAAATTAAAATGAGAACTAATCACAGGATCCAAGAATCCTTCTTTTAAGTATACATCCAAAGAAAATAAAATCAGTATCTGAAAGAGATACATACCCTCCATGTTTGTTGCAGCATTATTCATAATAGCTGAGTAATGGAAACAATTTAAGTGTTCACGAATGAATGAATGGATAAGGAAAATGTTGTATATACAATGGAACACTATTCAGCCTTAAAAAGAAGTCCTGCCATTTTGACAATATGAATCAATTTCAAGGACATTATACTAAGTGAAATAAGCCAGATACAGAAAGACTACATGATCTTACTTAAATGTAGAATCTAAAACATTTGAACTAACAGAAGCAGAAAGTAGAATGGTGGTTACCAGGAGATGCAGGGTGTGGAAAATGGGGAGATGTTTATAGAATCCAAACTTTCAGTTATAAGATGTATAAACTTTGGGGACCTAATGTATAGCATGGGGACTGTATTATTTACTTGACATTTGCTAATAGAGCAGATCTTAAGTGTCTTTTTCACCCTTCATCCACAAGTGGCAACTATGTGTGTTGAAGGATGTATTATTTGATTGTGGTAATCATTGCATAGTGTATACATATATCAAGTGTATATCTTGAATATATGCAAATTTTATCAGTTATACCTCACCAAAGCCAGAACACAATAACGCTGTAGAAAAAAATAGAATTTTGCTAAAGAGAAAAGTGGTGTGTGGAGAAAGATGTGCAAAGGATACCAGGAAAGGAAGTGTAGAATGTTCAACACAAAGCATAGAGTGAACAGGACTATCAGGCAGTATGTGAGGTGTTTTGCTAATTAATATTCTGGATTCTTTTTCCCCTTTGAAGGCCATAATGATTTCAAACAGAAGATCATCATGACCATTGTGAAGCCATCTCTGACTTAGCCAGGCAGAGTTAGGGATGCCTTTTCCTGTCCTCACTGAATGTTCTACAAATCTTTTCTACAGCAACTATCTTACAGGGTTGTCTTTGTTTGTAACCAGAAGGCAGAGGAGCACATGGGAATTGATGTCAGACAGACAAGGGCTTAAATGCCCATTCCAGCATTTAGTAGCCTTTGTTTCCTTGGGCAAACCACTTAATCTGCAGAATTTACTCGTTGCCACATTGTAAAGTCAGAGTGAAGATTAAATGACATAATTAATGCAGAGTGCTTGACACTTAGTAGGGCTTCAGTAAATAGGAGCTATTCTGGTTTGCAATCTCATCTCCCTAGCTGACTAAATTCCTTGGGGCAAGTACAGACTCATTGCATGTTAGTAGCCCACCTCTATCAAGTATCTGTCACAAAGGATGTGCTCAGTAGTATTTGTGGAATGACTCCATAAATCAGATTCAGAGTTTAGAAAGATCAGTTTTGGCTTTGGTTAATAGATTTTGGGGATGTAAGTTTAGAAGTTAGTTTACCCAGCAAAAAAAGAATCATACTTTATTTTAAGCAAAAAGACTAGTTTGTTAATTTTATGTGTCAACTTGGCTAAGCTATGATGCCCAGATACTCGGTCAAATACAAGTCTAGATGTTGCTGTGAAGAAATTTTTTAGATGTGATTAACATTTAAATCAGTAGATATTGAATAAAGCAGATTATCCTTCATAATGTGGGTGGACCTCACCCCATTAGTTGAAGGTGTTAAGAGAAAAAGACTGAGGTCCCTCAAGGAAGAAGACAATCTGCCTCTAGACCACCTTCAGACTTGAGCTGCAACATCAAGTCTTCTTTGCGTCTCCAGCCCATCTACCTGCCCTGCATATTTTAGACTTGCTAGCCCATACAATCACATGAGCCAATTCCTTAAAATATTTCTATCTGTATATATGCACATCATCTATGTACATCCTACTTGTTCTGTTCCTCTGAAGAACTCTGGCTAATGCAGATACTATTATCCCATTTATAGATGAGGAAACTGAAGCTTTGGATCCCTTTCCTAATAAAGAGTAGAGCTTATATCTCAAAATTATTTCTTTCTGATTTCAAATCTGGGTCATATCACTGATTTCTGTATGATGCTCCCTTCCCTCCTCCACTTATTTTTGGAAGAAAAAGAAAGGAGAGAGAAGCTAATAAAGGAACATTATGAAGGGAAGAGGCCGGCAAGACTCATTCTCTGGACTAGACTGAAGACAGACCAAAATCGGCAAGCAGCACTGAAGGCAGCTTCCAGTTGCCCTTGCTCCTCATCTGTGCGAGATGCTCCCACCAGTGCTGATATGGTTTGGCTCTGTGTCCCCATCCAAATCTCATCTCAAATTGTAATCCCCACGTGTTGGGGGCAGACTTCCCTCTTGCTGTTCTCGTGATAGTGGGTGAGTTCTCATAAGATCTGGTTGTTTAAAAGTGCATGGCACTTCCTCCTTCGTCCTCTCTCTCCAGCTCCACCATGGTAAGACATGGTTGCTTCACCTTGGCCTTCTACTGTGATTGAAAGTTTCCTGCAGCCTCCCAGTCATGCTTTCTGTTAAGCCTGCAGAACTGTGAGTCATTTAAACCTTTTTTATTCATAAATTACCCAGTCTCAGGTAGTTCTTTACAGCAGCATGAAAACGGATTAATACAAGCACCATGACAGTTTACAAATGTCATGGCAATGCCTAGAAATTACTACCCATTTCCATGGTAACAACCAGAAGTTACCATACATTTTCCACCAATTTCTGAATATCCTGCCCCTTGATTTGCGTGTCATCAAACATGTGTTTAAATACAACTGCCAACCACCCATAGGCTGCTACTCTCAGCACACTGCCTATGGATTAGCCCTGCTCTGCAAGGAGCAGTCACAGAGCTGTAACACTGCCACTTCAATAAAGCTGCTTTCTTCCACCACCTGCTCACTGTTGAATTATTTCCTAAACAAAGCCAAGAACTTGCCTTGCATTATTAGTAGAGAAGGGGAAAGAATCATGAGGTAAAAGAAAAAGGATAGGGAGTATAGACAGCCTTAAAATGAGCAACCTCAGTTTCATAAGATGTCAAAGTCATCTGCCTGGCTTTCTAGGGTGACTGCAATTTGACATGTCCATTGCTATAGAACCACACTACATAGAAATCCATAGGTCCTCTTTAATCCTATCAGACATATCTCCTTCCAGCCCACATTCTAGTTTTTCCCCATTATAGCACCTTGCTTGTTTTCTTTATATTGTTTATAATGACTTCTTATGATCTTACTTAATTATTTAGTTTATTGGTTTTATTGTCTTCCTCCCCACCGAAATGTACATTCCATGAAGGCAGGAATCTTTTCTATTTTCACCCACTGCTTATCTTCAGCATCTAGCACATTGCAGAAGCTGAATGAATGAATGAATGCTATGTTCATCCTTATTTTCCTATCTTCAACCCCTGTTTTTTTCCTTCCCTTCCTAATCTTACCCATTCTTCAAAACCCACCCTAAGCTCCCATATCTCTGAAAGCCTTCCTTGATTATGCTCTGTACCAGCCACACCTGCCTTCTTTTGGTGCCTGCAGCATACATTGCTCTTCATGATTCTGAACTTTTATTAACACTCTTCCCTTTACCTAGAATGCTCTCCAGCTTCTGTCCTCTCCTTGTTAATCTGAATCAACTTGAACATCCCTTCTTTTCCAGGAACCTTTTCCTGACTTCTAATATTAAGTTAATTGCCCCGGTTACACACGGTAGTAGATAGCTTCCCATCCCTTTCTATGTCTCCCTGATCCTTTCTTCTTCACAATAGCTGATACACTTAAAATAACTTTCTATTACTCATCACTTTGCAATAACTTGTTCATTGTACACCTCACCCACTATATTTTAAATTCTATAAAGTAGTTCAGTTTCTTTTCTTTTGCTGCTATATCTACAGTAACAATTCTCAGTGCTTGAAACAAAGATGACTTAAAGAAATATCTATTGGTTGAATAACTGGAAAATGTTCATTGATGTGACCATTACAGAACTCTAAGAACTGCTATGTGCTTGGTGATTCAAAGTAAAAATAGCTATCAATTATTAAGCGGTTTCCCTGTACCAGGCACTTTCTACATGTTTTTGTGTCCCAATTTATTTTATTATCACAAATATTGTTGTCATCCTTATCTCACAAAGGAGGAAACTGAGGGACAAGAAGTTGTGGAGCTTACGTTGTAAAGATGGTGAATGGCAGAGACGGGATTCCAGCATAGGCATCCGCTCCAGAACTTAACTGTAACCCCATGCACTAGTGCTTACAATCTTGCTGGGAGGCATGCAAGATATTAAGGAGATAATTTACAGTCTGAAGACTCATTATCTTAGTTCATATATTCGCTCAACAAATATTTGTTAAATGCCAAGTTCTGTGTTAAGCACCAGAGATACAGCGGTAAAACAATCTGATACGGTCCCTACCCACACCAGTATACTTCATTACCACTTGCTGTGGTTCTCAAACTTGGCTCACATTAGAACCACCTGGGGAGCTCTACTTGACTTTATTTAATTAGCTGGCCTGGAGCCTAAGTCCCTATGTTTTATAAACTTTGTGATGGATTCTAATATGCAGCCTGTGCTGAGAACCACCTCTTTAGTACTTTGTGCCAAACAAAACCAATATCATAATCATCCGGGAAAGTTTTTAAAATCCAGAATCCTGTCCTGCCCCTACCTCCTCCTACTTTCCTGACCAAATGACCCCATAGCCACTGAGATTAGGACCCAGGAATCTGTATTTTTAAAAGCTCCCTTTGTGATTCTGGTGCAGCTGGCCAGCAGACCCACATTTCAGGAGTATTAGAACAGTTGCCAACATATAAAACAAAGGTTTTTAGAAGAAAGAGCTTACAAAGGGCTATGGTGGTCAGGGCTGTATTTATAAACCATATCACTTGAACATGTCTTGAAGGGAAGGTAGGATTTAGGTATGTGGAAAGAAATAGAAGCTTTCACTCGTGGTAAATATCACACATAGAACTATCATATGGTGTTTTATTTTAAACGTTTATTTTATAGCTTTTCTACTCAAAGTATTATCTGAGGACCAGTAGCATCTGCTTTGAATTCTACCCCAGAAACTGCATTTTTAACAAGATACCCAGGTGATTTGTATGCATATTAAAATTTGAGAATCACAGTTCTCTATGTCAGCATTGGTCTTTCCCACTCACACAATAAGCTGTATGGTCCTTGAGGGCTGGAGCATGACTTATTAGAAGATTTATAGAAATAGTATCCTGTGAAGTACATTATTATTATATCCATTTTTAAGGAATGGAAACTGAGGCTTACAGAAGTCAAATGATACTTGTTGCTTCCTGGTGCTCTTTCTACTATAAGCTATGGATTTTTCTTCTTCTTCGCTATTCTCCCTAACATCCACCATTATGATAAACATAAGATTTCAGGTTCAGAAAATTCCTGAAAATCATAGATTCTTGAAATAAGTTGGAAGTAACCTTAGAAGTAACATTGCCATACCTTGTCACTTAAAATTGAAGACATTATGGACTAGAAGTTTAAGGACCCTGCTTGAGCTCACAGAGCTAGTTTGTGAATGATACAATGAAACTAGTGTTCATATCTCTGACTCTGCACCTTGGTGCCTACCATCTCATTTTTACTCCTGCTGATGCTTCGTATTTCCCGTTAAAAAGGTAGTTTTTTAGAATAGCCTGATTTTCAAACCCATTCTGACACAGAGTGAAATAAGCACTTTGGGTGGAAAACAGTTTTAAAATATACCTGGGTGGAAAATTACCTTCAATGAACTGTACTTAGAGTCACTGTATGGTTTCTAGTTATTCCACAAATGCAAAAAGAGAGGGGCCTCCCTTATATAAGTATGTCCTATTCTGAGCTTCCTTGTTAGCCCATCTGTTTGATGAGCTCAGCCACCTGGATTCTTTCTGGCCTTTTCACTTTTCATCAGAATGTCTTCCAGCCTTAAACATGTGGTGAGTCTTTGGCCTCTTGCTAGCATGTAGAAAATTGTGGTAATGACTATTTTTTTGGAGAACAGACAGTGCTGTCATTTGTGCTCACCTTTGAATCTGACCTGTCAGCATCACATATGCATCAAAGAGGGTAAATTGCCTGTTATAACAAAGGCTGCTCCAGCTGGCTCTACAAAACCAAGTGTCAGACCCAGTCTTCAAAAATGTTAAAGGAATTGTCCTTCAAATCAGAGCCTGATTCTTAGCCTGTAAGAACTCTTTCATTCCAAATTTGTTTCTCCATCTTCCTTGCTTTTCCTTAATGCGTTTTGAAAGCATGCAATCAACTTGAAAGGTCAAAGTGCTCAAATTCAAGACAGAAATGAGAGCTGTTGCTCTCTCATTTGCTTCGTACTTGTGAAATTTCCTATACAAGTCTCTTATTTGCTTTGGTGTTCCTCCACAGCCAGCAAAACTCTTTCTAGGTTTACAACGAGTAGTTTGACTCCCCACTGCTTCCCTTTAACCAAAAGTGGAAACAATTAATATTATTCTAATTGGATAAAATTTTTAAAGGGGGGAGAATATCTTCATGAGTAAACAAGGAAGAAGGTCATTACCACAATCAAGTCAGTACCCAGGCTTGATTGATCTGCTAGCAGTGCCATTCAACTGCTTGATGCCTTTGGTATCAGTCTTTTTAGAATAAAACTCCATTTATCCAAGGAAGTCTCCTCCAGTTCTCCTATTCTTCTGTATAGAACATGGAGAGAAGTAGAGTTTTGCATATATTACTGAATACCTAAAAATAGTGAAAATTAAAAAGGATGTTGAAACCCTAAGGATTAGGTCCACCATTTTGGTGGGTTTGCTGCTCAAGGGGAGGAAGGAAAATTCTTCTTAGCTGGCAAGTCCATAGAATACCAGTCTTCACAAATAAAAAAGATGGAGAAGGAGAAAAAGGAGAAAGAAAAGGAAAAAAAAAAAAAGAAGCAAAGCAGTGGGCAGAAGTGGGACGACGGTGGCTGGTCTCAGGGTACTAGAGGTCATTTGTTCTAACTTAGAAGAATCCTCTGAGGCTCACTTGGCACATGTCAGTCTGACTTGACACTCAATCCAAACAGCTTGGTTATCTAGTTTCCCAGTCTTCAGGAGATTTAAAGCAACAAATTGGAGAGCATGAAAGAGGCTGTTAGAGGCAGGAACACTGACAGTAGCCAGAAAGGACACTGCCAACTCTAAAGGCAGAAAGTGGAAATCTGTGACATGCAGGCTGAGGAATTTAAAAAGCACAGAAGTTGAAACTCAGCCAGCATTAGAAGAAAGTACAATAACTAAGGTTCCCAATAATGACCCACAGTCTTCTATAAATATTATTTCCAGTACACTTTAAGACAGAGAAAAATGTAATATCTTAAGAAATGTTTAAAAATGAAGTATTTTGATGCATAATGAAAGCTTCTTTATTGATTTGGAGACGTCACTGTCATTTTTTTTTTTATTATACTTTAAGTTTTAGGGTACATGTGCACAATGTGCAGGTTAGTTACATATGTATACATGTGCCTTGCTGGTGCGCTGCACCCACTAACTCGACATCGAGCATTAGATATATCTCCCAATGCTATCCCTCCCTCCTCCCCCCACCCCACAACAGTCCCCAGAGTGTGATGTCCCCCTTCGTGTGTTCATGTGATCTCATTGTTCAATTCCCACCTATGAGTGAGAATATGCGGTGTTTGGTTTTTTGTTCTTGCGATAGTTTACTGAGAATGATGATTTCCAATTTCATCCATGTCCCTACAAAGGACATGAACTCATCATTTTTTATGGCTGCATAGTACTCCATGGTGTATATGTGCCACATTTTCTTAATCCAGTCTATCATTGTTGGACATTTGGGTTGGTTCCAAGTCTTTGCTATCGTGAATAGTGCCGCAATAAACATACGTGTGCATGTGTCTTTATAGCAGCATGGTTTATAGCCCTTTGGGTATATACCCACTAATGGGATGGCTGGGTCAAATGGTATTTCTAGTTCTAGATCCCTGAGGAATCGTCACACTGACTTCCACAATGGTTGAACTAGTTTACAGTCCCACCAACAGTGTAAAAGTGTTCCTATTTCTCCACATCCTCTCCAGCACCTGTTGTTTCCGGACTTTTTAATGATTGCCATTCTAACTGGTGTGAGATGGTATCTCATTGCCGTTTTGATTTGCATTTCTCTGATGGCCAGTGATGATGAGCATTTTTTCACGTGTCTTTTGGCTGCATAAATGTCTTCTTTTGAGAAGTGTGTGTTCATGTCCTTCGTCCACTTTTTGATGGGGTTGTTTGTTTTTTTCTTGTAAATTTGTTTGAGTTCATTGTAGCTTCTGGATATTAGCCCTTTGTCAGATGAGTAGGTTGCGAAAACTTTCTCCCATTTTGTAGGTTGCCTATTCACTCTGATGGTAGTTTCTTTTGCTGTGCAGAAGCTCTTTAGTTTAATTAGCTCCCATTTGTCAATTTTGTCTTTTGTTGCCATTGTTTTTGGTGTTTTAGACATGAAGTCCTTGCCCATGTCTATGTCCTGAATGGTAATGCCTAGGTTTTCTTCTAGGGTTTTTATGGTTTTAGGTCTAACGTTTAAGTCTTTAATCCATCTTGAATTGATTTTTGTATAAGGTGTAAGGAAGAGATCCAGTTTCAGCTTTCTACATATGGCTAGCCAGTTTTCCCAGCACCATTTATTAAATAGGGAATCCTTTCCCCATTGCTTGTTTTTCTCAGGTTTGCCAAAGATCAGATAGTTGTAGATATGCGGCGTTATTTCTGAGGTCTCTGTTCTGTTCCATTGGTCTATATCTCTGTTTTGGTACCAGTACCATGCTGTTTTGGTTACTGTAGCCTTGTAGTATAATTTGAAGTCAGGTAGTGTGATGCCTCCAGCTTTGTTCTTTTGGCTTAGGATTGACTTGGCGATGCGGGCTCCTTTTTGGTTCCATATGAACTTTAAAGTAGTTTTTTCCAATTCTGTGAAGAAAGGCATTGGTAGCTTGAGGGGGATGGCATTGAATCTGTAAATTACCTTGGGCAGTATGGCCATTTTCATGGTATTGATTCTTCCTACCCATGAGCATGGAATGTTCTTCCATTTATTTGTATCCTCTTTTATTTTGTTGAGCAGTGGTTTGTAGTTCTCCTTGAAGAGGTCCTTCATATCCCCTGGAAGTTGGATTCCTAGGTATTTTATTCTCTTTGAAGCAATTGTGAATGGGAGTTCACTCATGATTTGGCTCTCTGTTTGTCTGTTATTGGTGTATAAGAATGCTTGTGATTTTTGCACATTGATTTTGTATCCTGAGACTTTGCTGAAGTTGCTTATCAGCTTGAGATTTTGGGCTGAGACAATGGGGTTTTCTAGATATACAATCCTGTCATCTGCAAACAGGGACAATTTGACTTCCTCTTTTCCTAATTGAATACCCTTTATTTCCTTCTCCTGCCTAATTGCCCTGGCCAGAACTTCCAACACTGTGTTCAATAGGAGTGGTGAGAAGGGGCATCACTGTTTTATGCCAGTTTTCAAAGGGAATGCTTCCAGTTTTTGCCCATGCAGTATGATATTGGCTGTGGGTTTGTCATAGATAGCTCTTATTATTTTGAAATACGTCCCATCAATACCTAATTTATTGAGAGCTTTTAGCATGAAGCGTTGTTGAATTTTGTCAAAGGCTTTTTCTGCATCTATTGAGATAATCATGTGGTTTTTGTCTTTGGCTCTGTTTATATACTGGATTACATTTATTGATTTGCGTTTATTGAACCAGCCTTGCATCCCAGGGATGAAGCCCACTTGATCATGGTGGATAAGCTTTTTGATGTGCTGCTGGATTCATTTTGCCAGTATTTTATTGAGGATTTTTGCATCAATGTTCATCAAGGATATTGGTCTAAAATTCTCTTTTTCTGTTGTGTCTCTGCCTGGCTTTGGTATCAGAATGATGCTGGCCTCATAAAATGAGTTAGGGAGGATTCCCTCTTTTTCTATTGATTGGAATAGTTTCAGAAGGAATGGTACCAGTTCCTCCTTGTACCTCTGGTAGAATTCGGCTGTGAATCCATCTGGTCCTGGACTCTTTTTGGTTGGTAAGCTATTGATTATTGCCACAATTTCAGATCCTGTTATTGGTCTATTCAGAGATTAAATTTCTTCCTGGTTTAGTCTTGGGAGAGTGTATGTGTCCAGGAATTTATCCATTTCTTCTAGATTTTCTAGTTTATTTGTGTAGAGGTGTTTGTAGTATTCTCTGATGGTAGTTTGTATTTCTGTGGGATCGGTGGTGATATCCCCTTTATCATTTTTTATTGCGTCTATTTGATTCTTCTCTCTTTTTTTCTTTATTAGTCTTGCTAGCAGGCTATCAATTTTGTTGATCCTTTCAAAAAACCAGCTCCTGGATTCATTGATTTTTTGAAGGGTTTTTGTGTCTCTATTTCCTTCAGTTCTGCTCTGATTTTAGTTATTTCTTGCCTTCTGCTAGCTTTTGAATGTGTTTGCTCTTGCTTTTCTAGTTCTTTTAATTGTGATGTTAGGGTGTCAATTTTGGATCTTTCCTGCTTTGTCTTGTGGGCATTTAGTGCTATGAATTTTCCTCTACACACTGCTTTGAATGCATCCCAGAAATTCTGGTATGTTGTGTCTTTGTTCTGGTTGGTTTCAAAGAACATCTTTATTTCTGCCTTCATTTCGTTATGTACCCAGTAGTCATTCAGGAGCAGGTTGTTCAGTTTCCATGTAGTTGAGTGGTTTTGAGTGAGATTCTTAATCCTGAGTTCTAGTCTGATTGCACTGTGGTCTGAGAGATAGTTTGTTATAATTTCTGTTCTTTTACATTTGCTGAGGAGAGCTTTACTTCCAACTATGTGGTCAATTTTGGAATAGGTGTGGTGTGGTGCTGAAAAAAATGTATATTCTGTTGATTTGGGGTGGAGAGTTCTGTAGATGTCTATTAGGTCTGCTTGGTGCAGAGCTGAGTTCAATCCCTGGGTATCCTTGTTGACTTTCTGTCTTGTTGATCTGTCTAATGTTGACAGTGGGGTAGTATTAAAGTCTCCCATTATTAATGTGTGGGAGTCTAAGTCTCTTTGTAGGTCACTCAGGACTGACTTTATGAATCTTGATGCTCCTGTATTGGGTGCATATATATTTAGGATAGTTAGCTCTTCTTGTTCAATTGATCCCTTTACCATTATGTAATGGCCTTCTTTGTCTCTTTTGATCTTTGTTGGTTTAAAGTCTGTTTCATCGGAGACTAGAATTGCAACCCCTGCCTTTTTTTGTTTTCCATTTGCTTGGTAGATCTTCCTCTATCCTTTTATTTTGAGCCTATCTGTGTCTCTGCAGGTGAGATGGGTTTCCTGAATACAGCACACTGATGGGTCTTGACTCTTTATCCAATTTGCCAGTCTGTGTCTTTTAATTGGAGCATTTAGTCCATTTACATTTAAAGTTAATATTGTTATGTGTGAATTTGATCCTGTAATTATGATGTTAGCTGGTTATTTTGCTCATTAGTTGATGCAGTTTCTTCCTAGTCTCGATGGTCTTTACATTTTTGTATGATTTTGCAGTGGCTGGTACCGGTTGTTCCTTTCCCTATGTAGCGCTTCCTTCAGGAGCTCTTTTAGGGCAGGCCTGGTGGTGACAAAATCTCTCAGCATTTGCTTGTCTGTAAAGTATTTTATTTCTCTTTCACTTATGAAGCTTAGTTTGGCTGGATATGAAATTCTGGGTTGAAAATTCTTTTCTTTAAGAATGTTGAATATTGGTCCCCACTCTCTTCTGGCTTGTAGGGTTTCTGCCGAGAGATCTGCTGTTAGTCTGATGGGCTTCCCTTTGTGGGTAACTCGACCTTTCTCTCTGGCTGCCCTTAACATTTTTTCCTTCATTTCAACTTTGGTGAATCTGACAATTATGTGTCTTGGAGTTGCTCTTCTCGGGAAGTATCTTTGTGGCGTTCTCTGTATTTCCTGAATCTGAACATTGGCCTGCCTAGCTAGATTGGGGAAGTTCTCCTGGATAATATCCTGCAGCGTGTTTTCCAACTTGGTTCCATTCTCCCCATCACTTTCAGGTACACCAATCAGATGTAGATTTGGTCTTTTCAGATAGTCCCATATTTCTTGGAGGCTTTGCTCATTTTATTCTTTTTTCTCTAAACTTCCCTTCTCGCTTCATTTCATTGATTTCGTCTTCCATTGCTGATACCCTTTCTTCCAGTTGATCGCATTGGCTCCTGAGGCTTCTGCATTCTTCACGTAGTTCTCGAGCCTTGATTTTCAGCTCCATCAGCTCCTTTAAGCACTTCTGTGTATTGGTTATTCTAGTTATACATTCTTCTAAATTTTTTTCAAAGTTTTCAACTTGTTTGCCTTTCGTTTGAATGTCCTCCCGTAGCTCAGAGTAATTTGATCATCTGAAGCCTTCTTCTCTCAGCTCGTCAAAGTCATTCTCCATCCAGCTTTGTTCCGTTGCTGGTGAGGAACTGCGTTCCTTTGGAGGAGGAGACGTGCTCTGCTTTTTAGAGTTTCCAGTTTTTCTGTTCTGTTTTTTCCCCATCTTTGTGGTTTTATCTACTTTTGGTCTTTGACAATGGTGATGTACAGATGGGTTTTTGGTGTGGATGTCCTTTCTGTTTGTTAGTTTTCCTTCTAACAGACAGGACCCTCAGCTGCAGGTCTGTTGGAATACCCTGCTGTATGAGGTGTCAGTGTGCCCCTGCTGGGGGGTGCCTCCCAGTTAGGCTGCTCGGGGGTCAGAGGTCAGAGACCCACTTGAGGCAGTCTGCCTGTTCTCACATCTCCAGCTGTGTGCTGGGAGAACCACTGCTCTCTTCAAAGCTGTCAGACAGGGACATTTAAGTCTGCAGAGGTTACTGCTGTCTTTTTGTTTGTCTGTGCCCTGCCCCCAGAGGTGGAGCCTACAGAGGCAGGCAGGCCTCCTTGAGCTGTGGTGGGCTCCACCCAGTTCCAGCTACCCGGCTGCTTTGTTTACCTAAGCAAGCCTGGGCAATGGCGGGCGCCCCTCCCCCAGCCTCGCTGCCGCCTTGCAGTTTGATCTCAGACTGCTGTGCTAGCAATCAGCGAGACTCCGTGGGCGTAGGACCCTCCGAGCTAGCTGCGGGATATAATCTCGTGGTGCACCGTTTTTTAAGGCCATCAGAAAAGCGCAGTATTTGGGTGGGAGTGACCTGATTTTCCAGGTGCTGTCTGTCACCCCTTTCTTTGACCTGGAAAGGGAACTCCCTGACCACTTGTGCTTCCCAAGTGAGGCAATGCCTCGCCCTGCTTCGGCTTGTGCACCGTGTGCTGCACCCACTGACCTGTGCCTACTGTCTGGCACTCTCTAGTGAGATGAACCCGGTACCTCAGATGGAAATGCAGAAATCACCCGTCTTCTGTGTCGCTCACGCTGGGAGCTGTAGACCGGAGCCTCATGCTGGGAGCTGTAGACCTGAGCTGTTCCTATTCGGCCATCTTGGCTCCTCCCGCTGTCATTTTTCCTTCCTGACATTTTATTTCTATATTTAACACATATTTTTTGAGCTCATAGTCTGTGCCAGGTGGTAAGCAAGTGAATGTGTAGAGAGACATTGTAATTCAAGTGAGCGATGGTAGTAATTTGTACTAGATCATGGGTAAGACTGAAAGAACTGAACAGATTTTAAGGATACCATACAAGGAAAATGTGTGATTGATTTTGTATGGGGAATAAGGGTGGGAGAGAGCCTAAGGATGACTCCTAGGTTTCAGTTCTGCCCAAGGAGGAACTCTTGGAAGACCAAGTTTGGAGATTCGAGCCTCTTGAGTTTGAGAGGTCTTTGAGACACCCTTCTCAGCCCTCAGGTCTCAGATCATTTGTCACCAGTTTGTCTTCTTTTCATTTTCAGACTTTAAGTATAACAATTTATATATATATACATATATATATTATTAAAAAATAATCTCAACTTTTAGATTCAGAGAGCAGTGACCACTTCTTGAATTCTTTCTCTAAGTGCTCATCATCCTTGTTTTGGCCCAAATGTTGCCAAGTCCCTAGACCCTTATCTCTATTTTTTACATGATGTGAGGCATATTAGACTTTTTTCTGCACAAAGTGGAGGCTTAGCAATTATGCCATGAATGCATAATGAGGAACAAATAACTCCTGGTGAGCTCTTCTAGTGATGTTTCAGAGGTGAGGTTCTGATAACCCCTCTTGAAATGGCCTTAGGATTTGAACATCAGGTCTATCAAATCAACTCTAACAGTCTTGATTCAAATTCACAGGCAGGGCTGTATCATCCGGGGTCCAAACGGGAGAGGAACACATTTAAATCAGGGTTTAAATAGGCACTATTTACAAAGATGTGGGAGAATGTAGGAAAACACAAGGGACAGTGCAGTGAAGCAGCAAACAGCAGTAGAGCTGTTTCCTCTCTCAGCTCTGAAGGGTGGTGGAGAGTCTAGCAGAGATGCTCGCCTTGAGGGGAATCCTGATCTTTGTTGGTGGGAATAACTGGCCTGAGGTGACCTTACAGCAAGGGAGCCAGGTGCCCTGCCTCACTCTTTCTTCTCCCTCTTCTCCCTCTGCTTCCCTACTGGGGCTCCCCACTTAGCTAAATCCAACAGGAAGCCAGAGGGACTTCTTGATGTAATCCCTACACATTGGCCTTCAGGGTGGAGAAGGCTGGAGAGTGACTTAGAGGTGAAATGGAGGATGTCTAGTTCAGCACAAAAGATAACATTTAGGCTTGACCTGAAGGACTGAATATAGCGTTGCCCAGTGAGTCCAGACAAGAAATAGAGTTTAATAAGCTTATATTAATAGACAATACTAGGGAGTTTTGATGAATAATTCCTAGATGAGAGACAACAAGTTGTTAAGGATAGAGCACTAGAGAAAGAAATTTTTTTTTGGTCATTCGGTGGCTACGGACTGCAATCTGTTTTCACAGCAAATGGGAATATTATTTTCTTACTTCATATGGCTGGGGAAAGGATCAAAGTAGAAAATATGCATAAAATTCTCTTCTAAGTTGTAAAGCATTAGGTACAATTCATTATGTAAAGCAGAAAAGACACTGGAAGTGCCAGTTACTAGCTGATCATGCCGACTAATTTTCTTTGCCCCAGTTTGCTTATCAGCAAAATAAGATGATAATACATATATCATGAAGCTTTTTATGAAGATTAAGTAATATACATATAACACAAACTCTAACACATAATACTCACACAATAATAGATTATTATTTTGTACCCATTTCTCTTTTTCGCCACTTCTGTCACTAAGTTCCCTGAATGTAACTGTAATATACACATCTCTGTATTTCCCCTAGAAACTATTGTAAGGCTCCCTCCACCCCATCATGGCCTTTAGAAAAAAAGTGACCTTATTTGGTACTTACAAAATGTTGGGACCTAGGGAACACTTGGATTGCACTTGTAAGCACCATAGACATCGTGGAAATATTTTATAGAAAACTTCTAGGACCTCCTATTGCTCAAGTCAACTGGGGCAAGACCATTAAGGTTTGAGATATTCCTATAAATGTCATCATGTCTGTAATTTATGAGTTATATAGCTAAGGGTAAGAATTCTTCATGCTAAGTAGATAACAAGGTAGCAGAGGAGTTTGGCAGGGGTAAAGAGGAGAGAGATCTGCATTTCTCTGATAGTCAGCGATGGTGAGCATTTTTTCATGTGTGTTTTGGCTGCATAAATGTCTTCTTTTGAGAAGTGTCTGTTCATGTCCTTCACCCACTTTTTGATAGGGTTGTTTGTTTTTTTCTTGTAAATTTGTTTGTGTTCATTGTAGATTCTGGATATTAGTCCTGTGTCAGATGAGTAGGTTGCGAAAATTTTCTCCCATTTTGTAGGTTGCCTGTTCACTCTGATGATAGTTTCTTTTACTGTGCAGAAGCTCTTTAGTTTAGTTAGATTCCATTACCATCTCACACCAGTTAGAATGGCAATCATTAAAAAGTCAGGAAACAACAGATGCTGGAGAGGATGTGGAGAAATAGGAACACTTTTACACTGTTGGTGGGACTGTAAACTAGTTCAACCATTGTGGAAGTCAGTGTAGCGATTCCTCAGGGATCGCTAGAAATACCCTAGAAATACCCTAGAAATACCATTTGACCCAGCCATCCCATTAGTGGGTATATACCCAAAGGGCTATAAATCATGCTGCTATAAAAACACATGCACACGTATGTTTATTGCGGCACTATTCACGATAGCAAAGACTTGGAACCAACCCAAATGTCCAACAATGATAGACTGGATTAAGAAAATGTGGCACACATACACCATGGAATACTATGCAGCCATAAAAAATGATGAGTTCATGTCCTTTGTAGGGACATGGATGAAATTGGAAATCATCATTCTCAGTAAACTATCGCAAGAACAAAAAACCAAACACCGCATATTCTCACTCATAGGTGGGAATTGAACAATGAGAACACATGGACACAGGAAGGGGAACATCACACTCTGGGGACTGTTGTGGGGTTGGGGGAGAGGGGAGGGATAGCATTAGGAGATATACCTAATGCTAAATGACGAGTTAATGGGTGCAGCACACCAGTATGGCACATGTATACATATGTAACTAACCTGCACATTGTGCACATGTACCCTAAAGCTTAAAGTATAATAAAATAAAATAAAATGAAATAAAATAAAATAAAAAAGAGGAGAGAGATCACATGGATTTTTCTCACTGAAATTGAAAAAGGCAAGTAATACATTTCTAAGAAATAATGAAGCAGAACCAGAACCTGGACCACATGAGGTGAGTAAGGAATTTATTTAAGGTGCAAAATTTAATGTGCCAAAAAACTAAGTAAAAAATATAAATAATATTTAATGCAATATTTTAAAGAATGAAATCAACACATTATGACCCAGTGGCTAGCTCCTGTGTTTGTAAGTAAAATTCTTCTGTAAACGGGGCCGGGATTAGGATGAGACAAGTGAGCCAGGGTTATAAAGTACAGGGCAGATTCTGCCTTTATTTAAAATTTTGATATTTTTGTCCATCATATAGCTGTTTGCATTAATTTTAATAATTTTTAAAGTATTATATTAAAGTATTATTTATCTTGATTGCTGAGTTTTTGGTGGGCCTTAAATTTTGTACCCGTGTTGAGTGCCTCCAATGCTTCACCCTAGTTCTGGTCCAGAGCAGAACAGAACTGTCCTTTATTGAGTGTCTTTTATATGCCAGGAATTTAACATGCACTATCTTATTTAGTCCTCTCTATACCCCGTGAGATAACTATTGCTATCTTAATTCTCTACATGAGAAAACAAGCCATGAGACTTCTCATGTGAGTTGCTTGCCAAAGGCCTCACAGCTAAAATGGCACGTCTGTCTCCAAAGCTCATTCTCTCCCCACTCCTAAAGCATGATTGCCTCTAACTGCTTCTCTTACATTGAAGCCACTCACACCCAAGCCTGGGTCTCTGCATAGGTGGTATCTGTAACTGACAACTTTCACTCTTTTCCATGTGTGCCTTTGCCAGACATTACCACATGGCCAGAGAAGACTTTATATGCTTTACACTGCTTCCTACTTTTCAGCAGCTAGAAGGAAAATACCAGATCCTTATAGCTGCAATATCCTGCCTGCCAAAGGGGGAAAAGCGAGGCAGCTGTTCCTGCAAGTACATGCTGTGCCTGTTATCCAAATGGGCATCAGCAGGCTGTGTGCTGGAGCTCAACAGGAATGTGGGTTTTATGGTTTGAAAGCTGATTAGACTCTGAGGAGGCCTATCTTATAGTTGGTCCATTTAACTTTTTCAGAGTTCAACGGTGCTTCAGTGCCCACGTTAGTCCCACTGGTTAGAATACGGCTGAAGGATCTGCCTTTGCCCAAGGATATACCAAACTCCCTGCAGTGGCAATAGTAAGAAAAGCATGGATGGCTTCCAGTTTAAAATTTATTTTATTATCCCCTTAAAAAAAGGCACTGGAAAAACAAAGTGTCTGAGAGAGTTAGAGACATCTTATGGCAAGAATATAGGAGCACTTTTAATTTTTACTACTTTTGAGATTGATAAACTGATTAATAATTGTCATAATTATGTGTCACCTTATAAAACAGAACAGTGCCAGTGATTTGAAAGAGGTGGAATCCAAGCTTATTTTCTGTTTCACTGTAGATCAGAGACCCAGGTCTCTATGAACCATAAAATTATGTTCTGCCCTTCTTCTGTATCTTCTATATGGGTGCTATTTTGAGATGGTACAAAGAATGTCCCCTTCTGCTCTCATTTTTTGATCACTCTTTCTAAACTAACAATATTCAAAAAACATTATCTTAGAAAATAAGAACAGACTGATGCTGAAAGCAGTGTACACATTAGGTATCCAGTAAATATTTACTGAATGAATGAATAAATGATTCCAAGAGAGGTTGTTAGCCCTGCAGTAAAGCCCAGCAGATGGAGGCAGGGACTGGCAGAACACTCATGGTAACACAAGTTGAATGTGTATATACATATATATATATATATGAATATGTACATATATATACATATATATACATATATATATATGTATTCCAAGTTATGGGTATAGAAGGAATGCAGATTTGATCCCATCTTAGTTCAGCAGAAGACTAGAATTAAGCAGACCAGAAACAAGAATTGTGATTGGATCTGTGATCCTGATGATAATGTAAGAAGTAGATTCCACTGGCACTTGGTTACGAATGAAGCCAAGCACCACTCAGGTATCTTGTCCGAAGATAAACACAAATCTGTGCAAAAAGCAACAACAAAAACCAAGCAACAAACAAGCAACCCTCCATCCATGTTTATAAAAACAGGGAAAGAGGAAATTAACCTAAATACTCAGAGGAAGAGTATACCACTGTAAATGACTTATTACAGAAATCCCTAAAACATTTGGAAAATTTGAAAAGGTCGGTGTGATGTAGTAAGACAAGACCTTTATGAAACAGAAGCAGAAAGCTGAAAGGAAGAATCTGTTAAGATGCCACATAAGATGAGAATGACTTGTAATGGCAATGGAGAGGGATTAAGAAGATAAAGAATAAAAATAAAAGTAAAATTAGGTCAAAAAATTAAAGTGCATACTGGAGGGATGTGTATTTCTTTTTTTTAATTTTATTTATTTTATCATTATTATACTTTAAGTTTTAGGGTACATGTGCACAATGTGCTGATTAGTTGCATATGTATACATGTGCCATGCTGGTGTGCTGCACCCATTAACTCATCATTTAGCATTAGGTATATCTCCTACTGCTATCCCTCCCCCCTCCCCCCACCCCACAACAGTCCCCAGAGTGTGATGTTCCCCTTCCTGTGTCCATGTGTTCTCATTGTTCAATTCCTATCTATGAGTGAGAACATGCGGTGTTTGGTTTTTTGTCCCTGTGATAGTTTACTGAGAATGATGATTTCCAATTTCATCCATGTCCCTACAAAGGACATGAACTCATCATTTTTTATGGCTGCATAGTATTCCATGGTGTATATGTGCCACATTTTCTTAATCCAGTCTATCATTGTTGGACATTTGGGTTGGTTCCAAGTCTTTGCTATCATGAATAGTGCTGCAATAAACATACGTGTGCATGTGTCTTTATAGCAGCATGATTTATAGTCCTTTGGGTATATACCCAGTAATGGGATAGCTGGGTCAAATGGTATTTCTAGTTCTAGATCCCTGAGGAATCGCCACACTGACTTCCACAATGGTTGAACTAGTTTACAGTCCCACCAACAGTGTAAAAGTGTTCCTATTTCTCCACATCCTCTCCAGCATCTGTTGTTTCCTGACTTTTTAATGACTGCCATTCTAACTGGTGTGAGATGGTATCTCATTGTGGTTTTGATTTGCATTTCTCTGATGGCCAGTGATGGTGAGCATTTTTTCATGTGTTTTTTGGCTGCATAAATGTCTTCTTTTGAGAAGTGTCTGTTCATATACTTTGCCCACTTTTTGATGGGGTTGTTTGTTTTTTTCTTGTAAATTTGTTTGAGTTCATTGTAGATTCTTGATATTAGCCCTTTGTCAGATGAGTAGGTTGCAAAATTTTTCTCCCATGTTGTAGGTTGCCTGTTCACTCTGACGGTAGTTTCTTTTGCTGTGCAGAAGCTCTTTAGTTTAATTAGATCCCATTTGTCAATTTTGGCTTTTGTTGCCATTGCTTTTGGTGTTTTAGACATGAAGTCCTTGCCCATGCCTATGTCCTGAATGGTAATGCCTAGGTTTTCTTCTAGGGTTGTTATGGTTTTAGGTCTAACGTTTAAGTCTTTAATCCATCTTGAATTAATTTTTGTATAAGGTGTAAGGAAGGGATCCAGTTTCAGCTTTCTACATATGGCTAGCCAGTTTTCCCAGCACCATTTATTAAGTAGGGAATCCTTTCCCCATTGCTTGTTTTTCTCAGGTTTGTTTAAGATCAGATAGCTGTAGATATGCGGCGTTATTTCTGAGGACTCTGTTCTGTTCCATTGATCTATATCTCTGTTTTGGTACCAGTACCATGCTGTTTTGGTTACTGTAGCCTTGTAGTATAGTTTGAAGTCAGGTAGCGTGATGCCTCCAGCTTTGTTCTTTTGGCTTAGGATTGACTTGGCAATGTGGGCTCTTTTTTGGTTCCGTATGAACTTTAAAGTAGTTTTTTCCAATTCTGTGAAGAAAGTCATTGGTAGCTTGATGGGGATGGCATTGAATCTATAAATTACCTTGGGCATTATGGCCATTTTCACGATATTGATTCTTCCTACCCATGAGCATGGAATGTTCTTCCATTTGTTTGTATCCTCTTTTATTTCATTGAGCAGTGGTTTGTAGTTCTCCTTGAAGAGGTCCTTCACGTCCCTTGTAAGTTGGATTCCTAAGTATTTTATTCTTTTTGAAGCAATTGTGAATGGGAGTTCACTCATAATTTGGCTCTCTGTTTGTCTGTTTCTTAAAGAAATATGAAAGAAAGACACAAGCAAAAATTAAGGAATTGCATAAGAGAACAGAATTGAGCCTATGAAGTATTTTTAAAATACTTAAATTTCAACTTTTCAAAGCCTGAAAAGCAAAAGCGAAAACCCAAATGGAGAAGTTTTTAATGAAAAAGACAGAAGGGTTCAAATTTTAGAAAAAAAACACTCTATGTAACTTCATGACAATAAATTGGAAAGCATCGGTGAAATGGATGAATTTTACCTGAGAAAACTGTATTGTCTTGACTCAAAAACAAGTAGAAAACTCAAGTAGATCATTAACCAAGATCTAAATGAATAAAAGTTATCAAAAAATTACATCCAAAAAGGTTTATTCAGCTTAAAACTTTGAAAAAAATACTCTTTTGCAATATACTTTTATTAGATAAACTGTTTAAAAGCTTAGAAAAATATGAGAAAATATCCAAATCATTTTATAAAGGTAGCATATGGTTATTCACAAGTCTCACAAACATAGCACATGCAAAAAAGAGAAAAACTTTTTTGAAAGAACTTTATAAAAACTAACAGGTTGAATTTGAATGCATGTTTAGCAAATAATCTGTCAGTAGCATTATCTCAAAAATACAAGATGATTTAATTGCAGATCACTTATAAGTAAATTCTTCGTATTAATATTTGATAGAACAAAGTAGGTGATAATTTCAATAAATGAAGAGATGGCACTGATAAAATTTAACATCTAAAAGTTTTAGAAAACAGAGGATATAAGAAAGCTATCAGCAATAGACAAAAATTACCTACCTTAAACCAACAATATGTTTCACTCTTTGATGATTTATTAAGCAAATATTTATTGAGCAACTACTGTTTACCAGGTACTTTTTAGCTTCTGGGGATATACCAGTGAAAATAACAGATAAACACTCTGTCTTAAATTGAAACCTAAATTGGAATGAGATGACATTGAATACAAAAGAAAAATCAGTAAAATATTTAGCATGTTTATATTTTAAGTGTAACAGTAAAAGTAAAACATGAAAGGTGAAATTGGGAATGTCTGGACACTGCAGTTATAGATTTGGTGGCTGAGGAAAACCTCATTGAAAGCTTTATTGGAGTAAAATTTACAGGAGGTGAGGGAGTGAGCCTTTTGGGCATCTGTAGAAAATGCATTTGAGGCAGAAGGAATAAAATATGTGAAAACTGGAGCTGAGCAAGCTGGGGTGAGAGCAGAATGAAATGACATCAGAAAAGTAATGGAGATAGGGAACAGATCATGTGTGGACTCGTAGACCATTGGAATGATTTTGACTCCTACTTCCAGTTAAATAGACCACTGCAGAAGGCTGAGATAGGATAACTCTGACAGCTGTGTGGAGATTAGACTAATACGGGCATGGGCAAAAACAGGGCAACTCATAGGGACTTTTGCAGAGATCCAAGCATTGTATGACATGGACTTGGACCAGGTGGTAGCAATGGTGATGGTGAGAAGCCATTAGTTTTGAGATATATTTTGAACAGAAAGCCAAAAAGAATTTCTGACGGATGGGGTATGGGGTAGGAGAAGAGACATTGATAATGATTGTAAAGTTTGTACAACTAGAGGGCTGGAATTAATTGCTGTTTTCTAAGATGAGGAAAGAAATGGGTGCAGCTTGTTTAGGGGATAATATCCAGAACTCCGTTTTGGAAACCTTAGGTATGCTATAGTTATTAGACCTCAAGAAGAGACATGTGTAGTTGATCATACACATCTGGAGTTCAGAAGAGAGGTCTGGGTTAGAGGTTAAAAATATTGAATTTTCAGCATATTGGTGTCACTTAAACAATGACATGATATAGTCAAAGTAGGATGAAACTTTAGAGAAATATTCATTTCAATTCTGGTTTTACAGAGACAAAATAAGCATGTCCTCACAACTTTATTAGTAGGATTTTGGAAGTAGTCTCAAAAGACATTAAAGGTGTAACTATCGGTTAGCAATAAAAAATTGTAAACAATACTATTTGTTTCTGTCACAGCCTATACTCTTGGACTCTTTTTTTTAAACCTCTCTGTCTCTTCAATCTCCTTTGAGACTCATCTCATCGGTCTATTGAATATATATACAAGGGTTTCTCAGGATTATCTTTCAATTTTCTTTGTTTTCAGAGATGTATAGTAGGGTTGCATTGAGGTGGTGGAGTCATCACTACTGTTTCCACACAAGGAACTATGAGCTTTAAAATTAGGCAGGTCCAGGTCAAAAGTCCGACTCTGCAATTTGTCAGTTTTGAGCTCAGTTATTCTCTTAGCCCTGTGTTCCTGATCTGAACCATAATATATCTGTAGTGGCAGTAATGCTATATATCTCTCAGGGGTGTTTTGAAGATTAAACGAGACAGTGTATGGAAAGTAAATGGGTAGGCTCTGGGTGAAAGATCTGTACATGTTTATTAAGTAAGGGTATAAATGACAAATTGTCCTAAACTTGAAGGAGATAGTCCTGTTGATATATACTTACATGTTCACTGGATGATAACAGAGTATATTACTCAAGATGTAATACGGAAAATCTCCAACCTGTGTTCTCTATTTAAAATACAGTCTTTTTTCTTTCTCCTAGAGCATCTGCCTTCCTTTTTTGAATTTTAGAGCTTACATTCTTAGTGAGGATTTCCTAGACATCTCTCTCTGCTGGGACATAGTCAAAGCCTGAAAACAAAAGAAGAAATCTCTGGAGAGAAAAGGAGCTGTCGAGCCTGCTGCCTGAGGGAAACCTTGCCTTTTTCTTGACATGTTATGGTTAACAATGCCTGTGAGTCTCATTTCATATTGTGAGTCTCCTGAGCAGTAGCAGTTTCTCCCAATGTTTCAGGATTTAAATTGGGCTGTCTGTACCACATGGTTTATAGATGAGTCCGTGGTTTATAACACAAAGGCATAATTGGAAACAGAACAATTTGAATCTTATTGGTTGGCTTTTTGCCCAGGCTCTGATAGTGTTGAGAATGAAGGGAGGTAGCAAAATCTCACTGGAAATAGAGGCTGCACATTCATTTATTCGTTCAACAAACACCATCTGGCCAAGAGCAGGTTACCAAACTATTACTCTCAATACAGCTTGTGGCTTCAAGGGCTTTAGAAGACAGATTTCCTTTGGCACATTCAACCTGAGGCTTATGGTTGGGGATAGCAGAAGTATTTGCTATTCTCTGGTTGCTGTCCCATTCCTGCCTGAGCGCTGACAATGGCATAGTTGGTGCTTGCCCCTTGCCCTCATTCCTGTAACTCTAAGTAGAGACATTAGGAAGTTCATCAGTATATAATATGCTTGCTATTCAGCCCAAATTACACATTGCATAGTGATGTCTCTTAATACTCATTCCACGTGCTAATATTAGTGACTTGGATTTGGAGCAGCAATGAATTTGCGGTGATGAATTCGAAGTAGTGACGAAGAAAAATGGGCACTTAGCTTCATGTGTATGAATCTGTGTGCATAATTTTGCTTGTTTCTTTCTTTTTAGATTTCACATATGAATGTCTGTGTAATCTCAAGTAGACAGATGCTTTTCATGAACCTGAGTCATTTCCTTAAAATTTTTGGTACTTCCTATAGTTACCTACTGTGTTTGAGTATCTTCAGCTGCATGCTTCATACATGGTATATGCAGAAATACCAATTTAATGAACATCGTCAATGTTTAAGATCAAATATTGATTAAATAAGAAAAGAGAGAAGGGAAAGAGAAGGAAATAAGATGTGTATAGGGAATTAGGTGGATAGGGTGGGAGGAAGTGATGGCAGAAACTCTCAAGTAGTCTGTGAGTGGGTAGAGAAGGAGATTGATTCTCCTAGTGTTTCTCAGTCATATCTCAGACTGCTAAGGTTATGAAACTCAGTACTATGGAAGAGAAGTATATTTCTCAAGGAGCTGAGATTCGTATACACCTATCATTTCTGCTCAAAGTTTAGGATTCTAAGATTCTTAGATATTAAGAGGCCGCGTTACATAATATTAAGATGAGACTTTCAAGAGGACATTTTCCCCATTAATGTTCCAATAATGGCGTTCTGAGCATCTAAAAAGATCTACAGCCCCTGTGGAGTTTTGAGCATCTGGAATGGTCTGTATCCCCTCATGCATAAATGATGTTCAGTAGTTCTTTTTGGATGGGTGGTCAGGGGTTCTGAAGGGGTTGTGGTAGACGTTAAAATGCTTTAAAACAACTTTAAGTGTTACATTGAATCAGGTGACTTAGGTAGTTACCAGTACTTAATGATAGCCCACCACTATTTGCTGAACACCCATCACTGTGTGCCAAACACTACCTATCACACAAGTGTTCCATGTAAGTGCTACAGCAACCTGATCAGTTAAGACAGTTTCTAGATGAAGAATATGAGGTTTAGTAAAGTTAAGTGTCCATTGTCAGAAATGCAGTAAATTATAGAGCTAGGAAGACTCTATCTTCTACATTGTGCCATCTCTTATATTTCCTTAGCCTGGGAATCACATCAAGCTGCCTCTGTGCTTGTTAATGAACCAGAATGGACTGTTGGTTAGGGGCAGATTTAAAGACATTTCCATGCACACTTCCATCGTCATTCTGCTGCATTAAACTAGCTATCATTGATGTACTAGACAGTGTGCTAAGGACTTAATATGAATTATTGCATTTTATCCTTATAAGTGCTACTTCTACATTCATTATATGGGGAAGAAAAACCTCCAACTTTATGCTGAGAGGGAAGTAAAATTTGATTTTTAATTATAGCTAAAAAGTGAACAAAAACCTGTTGGAAGACAGTTCTCCATGGAGCTTATGTTTCTGTTCATGTAGTCAGCAGAGGCATGGCTGCCTTTGTTCTGGATGATCTTGTCAAGGATGTTTGTATAGTGAACAGCTTTGGAAGACAGAGACAGTATTTACCTCTGGAGCAAAGGCAAGAATACTTAATGTTTAGGATAATAAAAGAAGATAGAGTCTTCCTTTGGAGCATAGAGCAGGCATGCTTACTATGTAAAAGATTTGGGTTCCCCAAGCTCAGATTTCCTCTCCTGTAACACAACCCACTGTATGTACAGGTGTCAAGAGACCTCAGCCCTTGAGCATTGTCACTTGGAAAACTGACAAAAGATGTTCTGTCTACTGCTATAGCTGTAAAAATCTCTACTTGGTCTCTGATACTTTGTCTTATAGATTATGCCAGCATCCATAAAACTGGCAAGCGAACTTACTAGCTTGCAAGTAGAGTAAAAATCTCAGCTCCTTTATAGCTCCTAACAGAACGTAGAATCAAATTCAAGTCAGGCTTCCAAACCCATATTATTTACCACTGTACTTTTGTGCTAGAAGTTGTGTGTTTGGAGGTAAAGTTACAGAAGTGGAATAAAGTCATCTTGCCTCCTCCCTCCTCATGGAACCATCTTTAAAGTCAAATTAGTTTTTTGGCTGCGGTTGGGGAGAAGACAGTTTAAACTTTATCTTAAAGCCATCTCTGTTTCTGTTTTTCTGTCCTTATGCCATTTTTAATTGTTTTGGACTCTGACAGTGAGCTCGCCCTTCAATAACTAGATGAGGTGTGGAGAAAGGAGTCTATGTGTCTGCTGGCTCTGTATGGATAAGATAGGGACTTTATCTGGGGTCAGGGCAGAAAAAATAATAGATAACCTTTCACTTTGTTGTCAATTTCACTTTTCTGCATAACACAAAGGGAGGGATGGGTCTAAATTAAAGTCATTGGCTTCTCATGCCCATTACTTTACAGTCTGATAAACCAGTAGTTAAAGTCTGAACTTGTCCTGTTAGCTGAATTTACCAGTGATACCTTCCATATGTATACTTTATTTTTTTACAATTTGCAAATTACAAAAAAGCAATAGTTGTCTACTTAATCATAGTAATCATTTTGAGAGATAGAAAAATTATGCTCTAAGGTTAAGTAACTTGCCCAGAGTTACACAGTGCCAGAATTAGAACTTACGTCTAAATCTACTGAATTTCTGCTCAGTGTCTTCTCTGTAACAATCTCTCTTACTGAATTCTTTAATACTAGCCCTCATGCCCTTTATAAGGTTGTCCATGCTTTACTAAGAAATCAGCCCTCAGCTAACCTCAAATGAGCAGCTATGAAGATAATTTTATTCTAAAGGGAATTGATTGAAACCTCATCTCTTCAATGGCCCAAACTAAAGGAGAGCATGGAGGTAGAACTTGGAGGTCAGGGACCCCACAGTAAGCATTGCATATATACTGATGGAACCACACATTAAATACATTTCTCTCTATAGAGTTATGTATACCATCTCTGTCTCCTATCTTTGTATTGTTAAGATTGGCACGTATTTTATTGGCAATTTTATTCCTGCCACATTAGAATGTTGTCAGATAATTTTCAGAACAAATTATCTCTAGATGTATATCTTGAGAAGCTTTCTTTTTTCATCTTTCTTTAATTTCCTCAAAAATTTACTATATATGGTGTGAAAAGTACTGTGCTAGTTGTTGAGGGAACTGTAATGATAAATAACAAGTAATCCCTTTCCTTGAGTACTTTACATTTCAAAGGCAATTTCAGATATATACTCAACTAGCAACAACTCAAAGAAGAATGAAATAGTGTTGTAGAGAAAAGTGTAAATCACTGTA
Organism: Homo sapiens; assembly: GCF_000001405.40. Taxonomy (NCBI): domain Eukaryota; kingdom Metazoa; phylum Chordata; class Mammalia; order Primates; family Hominidae; genus Homo; species Homo sapiens. Next base: position 87,638,286 of record NC_000011.10, read on the forward strand.
TCAGTGCAGAGAAATGTTAAATGATGTACAATTAGTGTTACTGGTAACAGTTTTGTGAAGCAGATGCTTCTGAACTGAGTTTTCTTGGATGAGTAGAATTTTGGTAATTACAGAAAGAAAAGAGCCTATTCCTGGCAGAAGAAACAGGATAGATGTGTGGATAGAAAATGAAAGTGAATGTTATGTTTCAGGGAAAGGCAGAAGTACAGGATTCATGGGCAAATATAATGCGTAATGAAGATGGAGGAGTAGGATAGGGCTAGAGTGAAGAGCTTTGTTGTTGTTGCTCTTTGTTTGTTTTGAGACAGAGTCTTGCTCTGTCACCCAGGTTGGAGTGCAGTGGCGTGATGATGGCTCACAGCAGCTTCAACCTCTTGGATTCAAGTGATCCTCTCACCTCAGCCTCCCAAGTAGTTGGGACTACAGGTGTGCCCTACCACACCTAACTTTTTTTTTTTTTTGTAGATGCAGGGTCTCCTTATGATGCCCAAGCAATTCTCCTGCATTGGCCTCCCAAAGTGCTGGGATTACAGGTGTGAGGCATCATGCCTGGCGTTAAAGAGTGAAGAGCTTTGAATGCTGTTTAAAGACACTAGATATTAACTTGTAGGCTATGAGGAGTCATTGAAGTTTTTTTGGGAAGAGGTATAGCATGATTCATACTCTTTATTTTATGTTCCCTGTTAACACTGTGACACTACTAATTACATGAATTGGCCTCATTTTGCAGAAGCAGAAACTAAAATTTAGAAAACATAAGTTATTTTTCTCATGTCATAATAGTGGTGACAAAGTAAAGACCTAGCCAAGTCATCTTCCTCCTACCCTGCAGTTACCCAACATAGAAAATGACAACTTTAGTAGGACTTTTCATTACTATTAAAACATAAAAACAGAGTGTTGAAATAAATTACTTAGTATAATTGCAGAAAGAATTATTAGCAGTCTCTTTTCATTTTCTAATACAGGGTTTCTCAAATTTTAGGGTTCAAATAAAACCTTGGAATTTTGATTCAGTAGGTCTGGAAAGGCACCTGAGATTCTGAATTTCTAATAAGATTCCTAGTGATCGTGATGCCTTTGATCTTTGAACCAAGTTTTTGTAGCAAAGTTTTATAAAACGTTTCTTGTCCGTTAGCCCTACTTTAAAGATACACATGAACTTAAATTCAACATGTTGTCCTCAAATACACTCAATATCCTTTCCCTTTCATGTGTTACTCCAGCTGGCTTGTGTCTCTGAATTGTGAAGGACAATCGAAGTTGAATATTTTGGAAAAGCAACTAACAGCATCTGACCCATTCTAGGGACACAGGATTTCTTATTTATGATCATTCTTTTTCTCTACAACTTATATAACCCACTCTCTTCTTTCACTGACTCTTTCCCATTGGAAATATGAGTTAAGTGTTTTAGGAATGAAAGCAGTAAAAAATTAGGATATCTTTTTCTTCAAAGAAAGTTAAAATTTAAAGAGCCTTATGAATTGCCATTTCTAAGCTAAGCTCAGTTGGTGATTTGGAAGTTCAGAAATTAAGCTATGATGCTTCAGGCAGCTTCTACCTTGTAATATCTATGCCCTCTAAAAGCAGCCCTCAGCCCTCTGCAGGTTTCTTCTCCCTGTATCATCTCTATGAATTCTGATGGGCAGGGCTGTCAGCTGACTGTGCTGACAACATCATAGCTCTCAGCCTAGTGTTCTCTTTACCACTAGCTTTCAGTTGTTTTGCATTCCCCTTTCTCCTCCTTTTTCTCTTTATGCTTTGAAGCCTGCCTCATTATTTTTCTTTGATCTCTTGTTTCCCTAACTTCTTTCTATTGCCTTTTTGTTAGTTGTCATGGGAATAGTATTAGCTGGGAGGGCTGAGTCGGTGAGGCTATAGGCAGACCTAGTTAGTATTCACAGACCTATAGAATGTCTGTTGGACCTGAAGAAATCTGAGTGATCTCTTGGTCAATCTCTCATGAGACATAGAACAAAAAATCCTGAGACTCAGAGAGAAGCAGACTTTTCCAGAGAATCCAAGCCTCCTGATTTTATTAGACACATAAACTCTTCCCTCCTCATAGCCACTTTTACTCACTGATGTGGAAAAGGGAACGAACCCATGGCCTTAGAGCCCTTATTGTGGTTCACAAAACTAGATATTTTACATTTGCCATTCTAAGCCTAACAAAAATCCTATTAATTACTGCCTCTGTTTCACAGGTGAAGAAACTAAGTTTCAGAGAGGGCAAATAAATTTTTAAAGCCCATTCAGCTAATCAGTGGAGAACCAAAATTAAATACAATATTTTTAATAGAAAAAATAAAGCCTATGAATGCAAGCATTAAAAAAAAAAAAAAAAAGAGAAAACCCATGTCCTTTCCACCATGGTGGACTATAAAGCAGGTTATAATACTATTTTCAGTAGCCTAATCTTTTTTGCTTAATATATTAAATAATTCTCTTGAATTCTGTATTCTTTTGGGAAATGGGGCCAAAGATTTTGGTGTGTTTCATTTTTGGCACCTGTCAAGATGTACGGATACTCAAATCCATAGAACATATTACTTTCATCCCTCTGTCACATTACTGCCCAAGCCAACACATTGTGGCAAGGCAAACTTATTCTGAGCCTAGCAGGAGGTGTTGTGTTGAACAAGGACTTCGTGTTTGTTAGAGAAGGCCTCTGCCCTCAAACATTATATACTCCAGTTGAGTCAAGAAAATTAAAACACAAGAAAATATATGTTGGTGTGCACTCTCCTATAACCCTTATATAATTTGATGAGGAAACTTTGTGCCTGGGAAGCAATGATATCTGTGTGTTTGGCCTATAATGATCTTCTATCTGGTCTTTCTCCTGCTCAGCATAAGACTGTGAGGTCTGACAGAGAACTAGTACTAGGGAGGCTAACAGCCAAATGAAGGTTCTGTAGATCAAACAGGGCTGGTAGGGTTCCTGCCAGGTATTCAGCTGTGACGCTACAGAAGGTACACCTTACAAATAGACTTTAAACAAGAACTACTATATATCTGCCCTAACAAAGCCTAAAAACAAGACTTTCCAGGACAAAACTGATCAGGCAGTGAAATAACTACTTTCTAAAACAAAATTCAACACTTTACAGGAAGACAAACAAACAAAGTGCAGATTCTTAGCATTGCAGTATCAATGTCCTGCAAACAACAAATTACTATCTATATGAAGAATAAGGAAATGTGTCCCAAGATTAGGAGAAAAAAGTTAATATAAAGAGACTCAGATATAACACAGACATTTAAAAGAGTAAACATAACTTTAAAATAACTATTATAAATATATTAAAGGATCCCATAGACAAAGTGTGTGAATTGTAGGACTGTCCACAGAGACATATATGGAAATTGAAAATTGAGTGAAATAGTCTGAATACTACCAAAGGATGAAAAAAAAGTATTAAAGAGCAAACTAATCCAAAATGTGTGAAGGAGGAAAATGGCAAAGATAAGAGTAGAGATTAATGAAGAAGAAAATGAATGAACTGTAGAAAATATCAACAAAAGCAAAAGTTGAGCCATTAAAAAGATCAACAAAATTGACAAGTTTCCAGCTAGCTGAATCATGAAAAAATGAGAAAACAAACAAATTTGGTAATTTAGTGCATCTAAATGAAAGTGTTGGCATCACTAGAAATTCTATACAGGCAATGAGTAGATAGTAAGGTACTAGCATAAATAGAATGAACAACTGTAGGCCAATAATTGGATAACTTGGATAAAATTGATGAATCCCTGAAAGATACAAATTCCATAACTGGCATGAAAAGAAATTTAAAACTTGCCTTACATATCATTAAATAAGTTGATTTATAGTTAATAAACTTCCCACCAAGATAATGCTAGGGTAATATAGATTCACTAGTAAACTCTATCAAATGTATTAGAAAAATTAACACCAATCTTTAATATTAATCAATTATTTAAAATATTCAGCATCCAGTAATGATAAAACTAGCAAACTAGAAACTAAAGGAAGCTTCCTTAACTAGATAAAAGTTATGTATGTAAAACCTACAGCTAATATAATATTTAATGATGAAATATATAAAACTTTGAAAATGTAAGGATGTTTACTATTTTTATTGATATACAATTATACATATTTTGATACATGCATATAATGCATAATGTTTAAATCAGGATAATTAGGATATCCATCATCTCAAACATTTATCATCTCATGTTGGGAACATTTCAAATATTCTGATCTAGCTATTTTGAAATATACACTAGATTATGGTTAACTATAGTCACCCTACTGTGCTGTCGAACACTAGAACTTACTCCTTCTAATTAACTGTATGCTTGTACCCATTAACCAATCTTCATTTCCACTCCTCTTTCTCAGCCCCTCGTAGCTATCATTCTAATCTCTACCTGCATGAGACCAAGTTTTTTATATTCCTCATGTGAGCAAGAACATGTGATATTTGTCTTTCTGTGCCTGACTTATTTCACTTAATGTAATGACCTCCAGTTCCATCCATGTTGCTGCAAATGACAGGATTTCATTCTTTATTTTGTGATTGAATAGTATTCCATTGTGCATATCTACCAAATTTTCTTTATTCATTTATCTCTTGATGGATGCTTACGTTGATTCCATATCTTGGCAAAAGTGCTATACTATAAAAAACGTGGGCATGCAAATATCTCTTTGATATATTGGTTTTCTTTCTTTTGGATATGTACCAAGCAGGGGGATTGGTAGATCATATGGTGGACCCACTTTTAGTTTTTAGAAGACTCTCCATACTGTTTTTCATAGTAGCTGTACTAATTTACATTCCTACTAGCAGTGTACTAGTGTTCCCCTTTCTTTGCATATTCACTAGCATCTGTTATTTGTCTTTTTAATGGTAGCATTTAACTGAGGTGAGATATTTCATTGTGCCTTTCATTTGTGTTTCTTTGATGATTAGTGATGTTGAACATTTTTTTCATATGACTGTTGACAATCTGTATGTCTTCTTCTGAGAAATGTCTATTCAGATACTTGCTCATTTTAAATTCAGATTATTATTATTTGCCATTGAGTTTGAATTCCTTATATATTCTGGTTATTAACTCCTTGTCAGATGGTTAGTTTACAAATATTTTCTCCCATTCTGTAGGATATCTTTTCACTCTGTTGATTGTCTCTTTTGTTGTATAGAAGATTTTTGGCTTGATATTATCTCATTTGTCTATTTTTTTGTTGTTGTTGCCTGTGCTTTTGAAGTTTTACCTCAAAAATCTTTGCCCAGATCAATATCCTGTACTATTTCTCCATTTACTTTTCAGTAGTTTCATAGTTTCAGGTGGTATGTTTTTATTTGATTTTTAGATATTGTGAAAGATAGGGACCTAGTTTCATTATTTTGTATATGGATATCCAGTTTTACCAGAACTATTTATTGAAGAGACTGTTCTTTCCCCACTGAATTTTTTTTTTTTTTGGTCAAAAATCAGTTTGCTGTAAATACATAGATTTATTTCTGGGTTCTCTATTCTGTTCTATTAGTCTATGTGTCTGTTTTTGTACCAGTATTATGCTGTTTTAGTTAGAGGGTGAGGATGTATATTTTAGGGTCAGGTAGTATAATGCCTCTAGCTTTGTCCTTTTGCTCAGGGTTGCTTTGGCTATTTGGGTCTTCTGTGGTTCTATATAAATTTAGAATTGTTTTTCTATTTCTTTGAAGAATGTCATTGGTATTCTGTTAGGGATTGCATTGGATCTGTAGATTGCTTTGGGTAGTATAATCATTTTCCCAATATCAGTTCTTTAATTTATGAATGTGGGATGTCTTTTCATTTTTTGGTGACCTCTTCAGTTTCTTTCATCAATGTTTTATAGTTTTCCTTGTAGAGATGTTTCACTTCCTTGGTTAAATTTATTTCTAGGTATTTTTTCTGTAGCTGTTGTAAATGGGATTGCTTTCTTGATTTCCTTTTCACCTAGTCATTGTTGGTGTATAGAAATGCTACTGATTTTAGCATGTTAATTTTGTATTTTGCAATGTTACTGAATTTGTTTATCAGTTCTAAGAGTTTTTTGGTGGGGCTTTCAGGGTATATATAAGATCATGTCTGGTAACAGAACAATTTAACTTATTCCTTTCCCATTTGGATGTCATTTATTTTATCCTTTTGCTTTATTGCCCTAGCTAGGACTTACCATATTATGTTCTATGTTGAATACGTGTGGTGAGAGTGGGCATTCTTATTTCATTCCATTTCTTAGAAAACAACCGTTTTCTGTTCAGTATAATGTTAGCTGTAGGTTTGTCACATATGGCCTTTATTGTGTTGATGTACACTCCTTCTATACTTAGTTTTTTGAAGATTTTTAAAATTATGAGTGCATGTGAAATTTCATCACATGCCTTTTCTGCATCTATTGAGATGATCATATGGTTTTTATTCTTTGTTTTGTTGATATGATACATTACATTTATTGATTTGCATATACCAAATTCTTGTATCCTTGGCTTAAATCCCACTTGATCATGGTGAATAATCTCTTTAATTTGCTGATAGATTCAGTTTGCTAGTATTTTGCTGAGAATTTTTAGATCTATGTTCATCTGGGATATTGGCCTATAGTTTTTTTTGTTTTGTTTTGTTTTCTTTTCTTTTCTGGTTTTGGTATCAGGGTAACATGGGCCTTTTAGAATGAGTTAGAATAATTCCCTCCTTTTCTACATTCTGGAAGAGTTTGTGAAGAATTGGTACTCATTTTCCTTTAAGTGTTTAGTAGAATTCAGTAGTGAACTCATCACGTTCCACACTTTTCTTTGATGGAAGGCTTTATTTCTTTTCTTTTTTTGTTCTTTTTCTTTTCTTTTTAAGACAGGGTCTCATTCTGTTGTCTAGGCTGGAGTTCAGTGGTGTGATCATCGTTCACTTTAACCTCAATCTCCTGGGCTAAAGCGATTCTCCTGCTCTGGCCTCCCAAAGTGCTGGGATTACATATGTGAGAAACTGCACCTGGCTGGGAGACTTCTTATTACTGATTCAATCTCATTACTCATAATTGTTTTGTTAAGATGTTCTATTACTTCTTGGTTTAATTTTGGTAGATTGTATGTGACCAGGAATTTGTCCATTTTTACTAGGCTTTCCTATCTGTTATTGTTGTCCATAGTACTCTCTAATGATCCGTTGTATATCTGTGGTATTAGTTGTAAGGTCTCTTGTTTATTTATAATTTTATTGATTTGGATACATTCTCTTTTTTTCTTGGTTAGTCTGGCTAAGCGTTTGTCAAGTTGGTTTACCTTTTCATAAAACCACCTTTTCACTTTGTTGTTATTTTGTATTTTTTTTATGTCTCACTTTTCTTTATTTCTACTCTGATCTTTATTATTTCTTTCCTACTACTAATTTTGGTTTAGGCTTGTTCTTGTTTTTCTTGCTTTTTGAGAGGAATTATTAGGTTTGTTATGTAAATCTTTTTACTTTTTTGATATAGGCATTTGTTGCTATAAACTTTCCCCTTGATACCACTTTTGCTGTATCCTACGGGTTTTGGTATGTTGTGTTTCTATTTTCTCCCTTCCCCCTTCACTTCCCCCTTCCCTTCTCCCTTCCTTTCCCCCTTCCCTTCTCCCTTCCCTTCCCCCTTCTCTTGCTTTCCCTTCCCCCTTCTCTTCCCTTCCCCCTTTGCTTCCCTTTCCCCTTCCCTTCCCCTTCCCCCTTCCCTTCCCCCTTCCTTCCTTTCCCTTCTCCCTTCCCCCTTCCTCCCCTTCCCTTCCCTTTCCCCTTCCCTTCCCCCTTCCTTCCCCTCCCCTTCCCTTCCCTTCCTTTCCCTTCCCCCTTCCCTTTCCCCCTTCCCCCTTCCCTTCCCTTCCCCCTTCCCTTCCCTTCCCCCTTCCCTTCCTTTCCCTTCCCCCTTTCCTTCCTTTCCCTTCCCCATTCACTTCCACCTTCCCTTCCCTCCCCTCCCCTCCCCCTCCTCCCCTCCGCTTCCCTTCCTCCTTCCCTTCCCTACCCTTCACTTCCCTTCCCCCTTCCCTTCCCTACACTTCGCTTCCCTTCCTCCTTCCCTTCCCTTCACGTCCCCCTTCACGTTTTTCCCCCTTCACTTCCCCTTCCCCTCCCCTCCCCTCCCCTCTGTTCTCCTCTCCTTTCCTCCTTCTTCTTTCTTCTTTGATACAGGTTCTCACTTTGTCATCCAGGCTGGAGTGTAGTGGCACAATCATGGCTCACTGTAGCCTCAACTTCCTGGGATCAAGTGATCCTCCTAGCTCAGCCTCCCTAGTAGCTAGGACTACAGGTGTGTGCCACCATGCCCAGCTACATTTTGTATTTTTTTGTAACAGGGGTTTGCCATGTTGCCCAGGCTGGTCTCAAACTCCTGGGCTTAAGCAATCTGCTCATCTTAGCCTCCCAAGGTGCTGGGATTACAGGCTTGAGCCACTGCAGTCAGTCTATTGTCATTATTTCAAGAAAATTAAAATTTTCTTCTTAATTTCTTCATTGACCAACTAATTGTTCAGGAGGCTGATGTTTAATTTCCATGTATTTGTACAGATTCCAAAGTTCATTTGTTACTGATTTCTAGTTTTATTCCATTATGGTCAGAAAAGATACTTGATATAATTTCAATTATTTTAAATTTCTTGAGATTTGTTTTGTGACCTAACACATGGTGTATCCTGGAGAATATTCCATGTGCTGAAGAGAGAAATGTATATTCTGCAGCTGTTGGATAAAATGTTCTGTAAATGTCTGTTAGATTTATTTTGTCTAAAGTGCAGTTTAAATCTAATATTTCTGTGTTGATTTTCTGTGTAAGGTATCTGTTCAATGCTGAGAAAGTGGTGTTTAGGTCCCTAACTATTACTGTATTGGAGTCTAGCCCTCTCTTTAGATCTAATAATATTTGCTTTACATATCTGGGTGCTTTGATGTTGAATATATGTTTATAATTGTTATATTATCTTGCTGAATTGATCCATTTATTTTTATATAATAACCATTTTTTGTCTCTTTTATAGTTATTGACTTAAAATCTGTTTTATCTGATATAAGTATAGCCACTCTTGCTGGCTTTTGATTTCCATTTGTGTGGAATATCTTTTCCTATCCCTTCACTTTCAGTCTATATGTCTTTAAAGGTGAAGTGAGTTTCCTGTAGGCAGCATACAGTTGGATTATTTAAAAAATGTATTCAGCCAGTCTGTATCTTTTATTGAGGAATGTAATCTGTTTATACTGTTTATTGAGGGTGAGGATGTACTCTTGTTATTTTGTTAATTGTTTTCTTGTTGTTTCTATCTTCTCGTTTATTTTTTTAATCTCATTTATCTTTTTGGTTTGCCGGTTTTCTGTAGTGACAAACTTTGATTCTTTCCTCTTTATCATTTGTGTATCTGCTCTACCAGTGAGTTTTATACTTTTGTGTGTTATTGTGATAGTGATTATCATCTTTTTGGTTCCAGATGCAGAACTTTCTTAAGCATTTTTTTATACTGCCAGTCTAGTGGTGACAATTTTCCTCAGTTTTTGCTTGCCTGAGAAAGAGTTTATTTCTTCCTCATTTTTGGAGGATAGCTTTTCTAGGTATGGTATTCTTGGCTTGCAATTGTTTTCTTTTAGTATTTTTAATATATCATCCCATTCTCTTCTTGCCTGTAAGGTTTCTACTGAGAAATCTATTGTTAGTCTAACGAGGATTCCTTTATATTGACTTAATACCTTTCTCTTGATGTTTTTTTTTTTTTTTAAATTCTCTTTGCCTTTGAGTTTTGACAGTTTGACTATAATGTGCCTCAGGGAGGATCTTTTTGGGTTGAATCTACTTGGGGCTTTTCAGCTTCCTGGATCTGGATATCCATATTTCTTCTCAGAACTGGAAAGTTTTCAGCTATTATTGCAGTAAATAGATCTTCTATGCCTTTGCCTATCTCTTTTCCTTCTGGCATTACTATTATATGAATGTTTTTTACTTAATGGTGTACCATAATTCTTGTAGGTTTTCTTTACTCTTTTTTATTTTTATTTTTTTTTCTAACTGGATAATTTTAAATGACATATCTTCAAGTTCAGAGATTCTTTCTTCTGCTTTATCAAGTCTGCTTTCGATGGTCTTGATTGCATTTTTTATTTTATTCATTGAATTCTTTAACTGCAGGATTTCTGTTTGGTTCTTCATTATGGTATCTATCTTTTTGTGGAATTTCACATTTATGTAAAAATATGGAAAGTTTTACAAATTTGCGTGTCATTCTCATGCAGGATCCATGCTAATCTGATAATCTCCTCTTTATTATTCCAGTTTTAATATATGTGCTGCTGAAGTGAGCATAAGATGTTTACTCTTATCATGACAATTCAGTATTTTACTAAAGGTAGTAGCCAGTGCAATAAGTCACAGAAAATAAATAAAAGGCATATGTAGGAAAAAGGCAAACAAAAATTTGGGCAACATGCTTGTGTGTATTAAAAATTCTAAGAGTTTAAAAAATGTGCACTAGAACTAATAAAGAAATTTAGCAAAGTCACAGTATGCAAAATAAATAGACAAAATCAATTGTTTTATAAACTATCAATAATTTGAATATGAAATTAAATAAAAATAATACAATGTGTAATAAAAATATGAAAAATTTAGTAAACGATATGTAGTAACTCTACATTTAAAACTATAGAACACTGCTTAAAAATTAAGAAAGACCTAAAAATGTGGAACAATGTGCTATACTAGGATTGGGAGACTTAGTACTGCATTGTTAATTTGGTAATTCTTCCTAAACTGATGTATAGATTCACTGTGATCACAATCAAAAGCTCATGTGGCTGTTTTGGTAGAGATTGCTGATTTTATTTTGAAATTTATAGGCAATGCAAATAATCCAGAATAGACAAAACAATTTTGAAAAAGAAGAACAAAGTTGGGTAACTTAAGTTTATTGACTTTAAGACTAATCATAGAGTTACAGTAATCAGAGTTTAGAAATATATGATTCACACTTATGTGGTTATATAATTTTTGACAAAGTTACCAAGGTAATTCAATGGGGGTAGAGGTAGTCTTTTTAACAAATGGTGCTGAAATAACTGGATATTTATATAGATAAAATAAATCTTATCTTTTACTTTGTATAGCACATAATAATTTATATAAAATTAATTATGGACTTCAATGTAAATATTAAAATTATGAAATGTCTAGAAGAAAACATAGAAAAATGTTATTATTACCTAGGAATCAGCAGACATTTCTTGTCTAGTACTCAAGAAACATAAAAAAGTAAATAATTTTAGCAAATTTTACTTTATCAAAATTAAAACTTCTATTCTTAAACAGCATGAGTAGGTAAACAAAAACACAAGTTTCAGGCAGGTGGAGTATATTCGTAGTTCATACTATTGAAAAATGATTTATCTCCAGAATGTACAAAGATTCCTATAAAAATAATAATTTAAAAATTAAAGTCAAGAAAACTGGATGAAAAACTTAAATATTTCACATAGGAATATTTTTAAATGGCAAATACACTCATGAAAATGTGTTTGACATTAATTGTCATCTGAGATATGCAAAGAGAAAATATAATGAGAAACCAGTAAACATCTACTATAATGGCTAAAATTACAAGGGATGATAGCACCAGATGTTAATGGTGATATAGAGCAACCAGAACTTTCATACATTGCTATTTGGAAGTGTATTAGTCTATTTTCATGCTGTTGGTAAAGACATACCTGAGACTGGGCACTTTACAAAAGAAAGAAGTTTAATTGCACTTACAGTTCCACATGGCTGGGGAAGCCTCAAAATCATAGCAGAAGGCAAGGAGGAGCAAGTCATGTATTATGTGGATGGTGGCAGGCACTTGTGCAGGGAAACTCCCCTTTTTATAACCATCTGATCTCATGAGACTTATTCACTATTACGAGAACAGCATGGGGAAGACCTGCCCCCATGATTCAATTAGCTCCCACTGGGTCCCTTCCACAAAACATGGGAATTCAAGATGAGATTTGGATGTGGACACAGCCAAACCATATCATTCTGCCCCTAGCCCCTCCCAAATCTCATGTCCTTATATTTCAAAATCAATCATGCCTTCCCAACAGTCCCTCAAAGTCTTAACTCATTTCAGAATAACTCAGAAGTCCACAATCCAAAGTCCCATTCGAGATGAGGCAAGTCCCTTCCACCTATGAGCCTGTAAAACCAAAAGCTGGTTCAGTTACTTCATAGGTACAATGGGGGTACAGGCATTGGGTAAATACAGCCATTCCAAATGGGAGATATTGGCCAAAACAAAGGGGCTACAGGACCCATGTGAGTGTGAAATCTTGCAGGGCAGTCAAAGCTTAAAGCTCCAAAGTGATCTTCTTTGACTCCATGTCTCACATCCAGGTCATGCTGATGCAAGAGGTGGGTTCCCATGGTCTTGGGCAGCTCTGACCCTGTGGCTTTGGAGGGTACAGCCTCCCTCCCAGCTGATTTCATGGGCTGGCATTGTCTGTGGCTTTTCCAGGCACATGGTGCATGCTGTCAGTGGATCTACCATTTTGGGGCCTGGAGGACAGCAGCCCTCTTCTCATAGCTCCCCTAGGCAGTGTCCCAGTAGGGACTCTGTATGGGGACTCTGACCCCACAATTCCCTTCTGCACTGCCCGAGCAGAAGTTCTCCATGAGAGCCCCACCCCTGCAGCAAACTTCTCTCTGGACATCCAGGCATTTCCCTACATAGTCTGAAATTTAGGTGGAGGTTCCCAAACCTCAATTCTTGACTTCTGTGCATCTGCAGGCTCAACACCACATGGAAACTGTGAAGGCTTGAGGCTCGCACCCTCCAAAGCCATGGCCCGAGCTGTACATTGGCCCCTTTTAGCTATGGCTGGAGCAGCTGGGATACAAGGCACCAAGTCCCTAGGCTGCACACAGGACTGGAACCCTGGGCCTGGCCCAAGAAACCACTTTTTCCTCCTAGAACTCTGGGCCTGTGATGGGAGGAGCTGCTGTGAAGACCTCTGACATGCCTTGAAGATATTTTCCCCATTGTCTTGGGGATTAACATTTGGCTCCTCATTACTTATGCAAATTTCTACAGCCAGCTTGAATTTCTCCTCAGAAAATGTGTTTCTCTTTTCTATTGCATTGTCAGGCTGAAAATTTTCTGAACTTTTATGCTGTGCTTCCCTTATAAAACTGAATGCCTTTAACAGCACCCAGAACATCTCTTGAATGCTTTGCTGCTTAGAAATTTCTTCTGCCAGATACCCTAAATCATCTCTCTCAAGTTTGAAGTTCCACAAATCTCTAGGGCAGGGGCAAAATGCCACCAGTCTTTTTGCTAAAACATAACAAGAGTAACTTTTACTCAATTTCCCAACAGGTTATTTGTCTTCATCTGAGAACACCTCAGCCTGGATTTCATTGTCGATATCATTATCAGTATTTTTGTCAAAGCCATTCAACAAGTCTCTAGGAAATTACAAACTTTACCACATTTTCCTGTCTTCTTCTGAGCCCCCCAAAACCTCTACTGTTACCCAGTTCCAAAGTCACTTCCACATTTTTGGGTATCTTTTCAGCAGTGCCCCACTGTACTGCTACCAATTTACTGTATTCATTTTCATGCTGTTGATGAAGACCTACCCGAGACTGGGCAATTTACAAAAGAAAGAGGTTTGGTTGGACTAACAGTTCCACATGGCTGAGGAAGCCTCACAATCACGGAAGAAGGCAAGGAGGAACAAGTCATGTCTTACATGGTTGGTGGCAGGCAAACGGAGGAGCATTTGTGCAGGGAAACTCACCTTTTTATAACCATCAGATCTTGTGAGACTTATTCAGTGTCACCAGAACAGCATGGGAAAGACGTGCTCACATGATACAGTTACCTCCCACTGGGTCCTTTCCACAACATGTGGGAATTGAAGATGAGATTTGTGTGGGGACACAGCCAAACCATATCAGGAGGGTAAAATAATTCAGTTACTTTGGAAAAGTTAGGCAAATTCTTATAAAATTAGACCTAGACATACTCTATCACTCTGCAATTCCACTCCTAGGTGTTTACCCAAGAAAAATAAAAGCACATAAGCCCCCCTCTCCCCACACAAAAGACAAAAGACTTACATACACACAAAATATTTGCATATATGTGTTAAAAATAGCTTTATTCATAATAGCTGAAACCTGAAAAGTATCTAAATGTTCATCAATAAGTGAATGGAGAAGCAAATTATGACATATTCTTTTTGTTATGTTTGTTTTTCTTTTTCTTTTTTAAATTTTTTTATTTTTTATTTTTTATTATACTTTAAGTTTTAGGGTACATGTGCTCAATGTGCAGGTTAGTTACATATGTATACATGTGCCATGCTGGTGCGCTGCACCCACTAACTCGTCGTCTAGCATTAGGTATATCTCCCAATGCTATCCCTCCCCACTCCTGCCACTCCACAACAGTCCCCAGAGTGTGATGTTCCCCTTCCTGTGTCCATGTGTTCTCATTGTTCAATTCCCACCTATGAGTGAGAATATGCGGTGTTTGGTTTTTTATTCTTGTGATAGTTTACTGAGAATGATGATTTCCAATTTCATCCCTGTCCCTATAAAGGACATGAACTCATCATTTTTTATGGCTGCATAGTATTCCATGGTGTATATGTGCCACATTTTCTTAATCCAGTCTATCATTGTTGGACATTTGGGTTGGTTCCAAGTCTTTGCTATCGTGAATAGTGCCGCAATAAATATACGTGTGCATGTGTCTTTATAGCAGCATGATTTATAGTCCTTTGGGTATATACCCAGTAATGGGATGGCTGGGTCAAATGGTATTTCTAGTTCTAGATCCCCGAGGAATCGCCACACTGACTTCCACAATGGTTGAACTAGTTTACAGTCCCACCAACAGTGTAAAAGTGTTCTATTTCTCCACATCCTCTCCAGCACCTGTTGTTTCCTGACTTTTTAATGATTGCCATTCTAACTGGGGTGAGAAAATATCTCATTGTGGTTTTCATTTGCATTTCTCTGATGGCCAGTGATAGTGAGCATTTTTTCATGTGTTTTTTGGCTGCATAAATGTCTTCTTTTGAGAAGTGTCTGTTCATATCCTTCACCCACTTTTTGATGGGGTTGTTTGTTTTTTTCTTGTAAATTTGTTTGAGTTCATTGTACATTCTGGATATTAACCCTTTGTCAGATGAGTAGGTCGTGAAAATTTTCTCTCATTTTATAGGTTGCCTGTTCACTCTGATGGTAGTTTCTTTTGCTGTGCAGTAGCTCTTTAGTTTAATTAGATCCCATTTGTCAATTTTGTCTTCTGTTGCCACTGCTTTTGGTGTTTTAGACATGAAGTCCTTGCCCATGCCTATGTCCTGAATGGTAATGCCTAGGTTTTCTTCTAGGGTTTTTATGGTTTTAGGTCTAACGTTTAAGTCTTTAATCCATCTTGAATTAATTTTTGTATAAGGTGTGAGGAAGGGATCCAGTTTCAGCTTTTTACATATGGCTAGCCAGTTTTCCCAGGACCATTTATTAAATAGAGAATGCTTTCCCCATTGCTTGTTTTTCTCAGGTTTGTCAAAGATCAGATAGTTGTAGATATGTGGTATTATTTCTGAGGGCTCTGTTCTGTTCCATTGATCTATATTTCTGTTTTGGTACCAGTACCATGCTGTTTTGGTTACTGTAGCCTTGTAGTATAGTTTGAAATCAGGTAGCATGATGCCTCCAGCTTTGTTCTTTTGCCTTAGGATTGACTTGGCGATGCGGGCTCTTTTTTGGTTCCATACGAACTTTAAAGTAGTTTTTTCCAATTCTGTGAAGAAAGTCATTGGTAGCTTGATGGGGATGGCATTGAAACTATAAATTACCTTGGGCAGTATGGTCATTTTTACGATATTAATTTTTCCTACCCATGAGCATGGAATGTTCTTCCTTTTGTTTGTATCCTCTTTTATTTTGTTGAGCAGTGGTTTGTAGTTCTCCTTGAAGAGGTCCTTCACATCCCTTGTAAGTTGGATTCCTAGGTATTTTATTCTCTTTGAAGCAATTGTGAATGGGAGTTCACTCATGATTTGGCTCTCTGTTTGTCTGTTATTGGTGTATAAGAATGCTTGTGATTTTTGTACATTGATTTTGTATCCTGAGACTTTGCTGAAGTTGCTTATCAGCCTAAGGAGATTTGGGGCTGAGACTATGGGGTTTTCTAGATATACAGTCATGTCATCTGCAAACAGGGACAATTTGACTTCCTTTTTTTCCTAATTGAATACCCTTTATTTCCTTCTCCTGCCTAATTGCCCTGGCCAGAACTTCCAACACTATGTTGAATAGGAGTGGTGAGAGAGTGCATCCCTGTCTTGTGCCAGTTTTCAAAGGGAATGCTTCCAGTTTTTGCCCATGCAGTATGATATTGGCTGTGGGTTTGTCATAGATAGCTTTTATTGTTTTGAGATACGTCCCATCAATACCTAATTTATTGAGAGTTTTTAGCATGAAGCGTTGTTGAATTTTGTCAAAGGCCTTTTCTGCATCTATTGAGATAATCATGTGGTTTTTGTCTTTGGTTCTGTTTATATGCTGAATTACATTTATTGATTTTCGTATATTGAACCAGACTTGCATCCCAGGGATGAAGCCCAATTGATCATGGTGGATAAGCTTTTTGATGTGCTGCTGGATTTGGTTTGCCAGTATTTTATTGAGGATTTTTGCGTCAATGTTCATCAAGGATATTGGTCTAAAATTCTCTTTTTTGGTTGTGTCTCTGCCTGGCTTTGGTATCATAATGATGCTGGCCTCATAAAATGAGTTAGGGAGGATTCCCTCTTTTTCTATTGATTGGAATAGTTTCAGAAGGAATGGTACCAGTTCCTCCTTGTATCTCTGGTAGAATTCGGCTGTGAATCCATCTGGTACTGGACTCTTTTTGGTTGGTAAGCTATTGATTATTGCCACAATTTCAGCTCCTGTTATTGGTCGATTCAGAGATTCAACTTCTTCCTGGTTTAGTCTTGGGAGGGTGTATGTGTCAAGGAATTTATCCATTTCTTCTAGATTTTCCAGTTTATTTGTGTAGAGGTGTTTGTAGTAATCTCTGATGGTAGTTTGTATTTCTGTGGGATCGGTGGTGATATCCCCTTTATCATTTTTTATTGCGTCTATTTGATTCTTCTCTCTTTTTTTCTTTATTAGTCTTGCTAGCGGTCTATCAATTTTGTTGATCCTTTCAAAAAACCAGCTTCTGGATTCATTAATTTTTTGAAGGGTTTTTGTGTCTCTATTTCCTTCAGTTCTGCTCTGATTTTAGTTATTTCTTGCCTTGTGCTAGCTTTTGAATGTGTTTGCTCTTGCTTTTCTAGTTCTTTTAATTGTGATGTTAGGGCATCAATTTTGGATCTTTCCTGCTTTCTCTTGTGGGCATTTAGTGCTATAAATTTCCCTCTGCGTGGTGCTTTGAATGTGTCCCAGAGATTCTGGTATGTTGTGTCTTTGTTCTCGTTGGTTTCAGAGAACATCTTTATTTCTGCCTTCATTTCATTATGTACCCAGTAGTCATTCAGGAGCAGGTTGTTCAGTTTCCATGTAGTTGAGCGGTTTTGAGTGAGTTTCTTAATCCTGAGTTCTAGTTTGATTGCACTGTGGTCTGAGAGATAGTTTGTTATAATTTCTGTTCTTTTACACTTACTGAGGAGAGCTTTACTTCCAAGTATGTGGTCGATTTTGGAATAGGTGTGGTGTGGTGTTGAAAAAAATGTATATTCTGTTGATTTGGGGTGGAGAGTTCTGTAGATGTCTATTAGGTCCACTTGGTGCAGAGCTGAGTTCTATTCCTGGATATCCTTGTTAGCTTTCTGTCTTATTGATCTGTCTAATGTTGACAGTGGGGTGTTAATGTCTCCCATTATTATTGTGTGGGAGTCCAAGTCTCTTTGTAGGTCACTCAGGACTTGCTTTATGAATCTGGGTGCTCCTGTATTGGGTGCATATATGTTTAGGGCAGTTAGCTTTTCTTGTTGAATTGATCCCTTTACCATTATGTAATGACCTTCTTTGTCTCTTTTGATCTTTGTTGGTTTAAAGTCTGTTTTATCAGAGACTAGGATTGCAACCCCTGCCTTTTTTTGTTTTCCATTTGCTTGGTAGATCTTCCTCCATCCTTTTATTTTGAGCCTATGTGTGTCTCTGCAGGTGAGATGGGTTTCCTGAATACAGCACACTGATGGGTCTTGACTCTTTATCCAATTTGCCAGTCTGTGTCTTTTAATTGGAGCATTTAGTACATTTACATTTAAAGTTAATATTGTCAGGTGTGAATTTGATCCTGTCATTATGACATTAGCTGGTTATTTTGCTCGTTAGTTGATGCAGTTTCTTCCTAGTCTCGATGGTCTTTACATTTTGGCATGATTTTGCAGTGGCTGGTACTGGTTGTTCCTTTTCATGTTTAGTGCTTCCTTCAGGAGCTCTTTTAGGGCAGGCCTGGTGGTGACAAAATCTCTCAGCATTTGCTTGTCTGTAAAGTATTTTATTTTTCCTTCACTTATGAAGCTTAGTTTGGCTGGATATGAAATTCTGGGTTGAAAATTCTTTTCTTTAAGTATCTTGAATATTGGCCCCCACTCTCTTCTGGCTTGTAGAGTTTCTGCCAAGAGATCCGCTGTTAGTCTGATGGGCTTCCCTTTGTGGGTAACCCGACCTTCCTCTCTGGCTGCCCTTAACATTTTTTCCTTCATTTCAACTTTGGTGAATCTGACAATTATGTGTCTTGGAGTTGCTCTTCTTGGGGAGTATCTTTGTGGCGTTCTCTGTATTTCCTGAATCTGAACATTGGCCTGCCTAGCTAGATTGGGGAAGTTCTCCTGGATAATATCCTGCAGCGTGTTTTCCAACTTGGTTCCATACTCCCCGTCACTTTCAGGTACACCAATCAGATGTAGATTTGGTCTTTTCACATAGTCCCATATTTCTTGGAGGCTTTGTTTATTTCTTTTTATTCTTTTTTCTCTAAACTTCCATTCTTGCTTCATTTCTTTCATTTCATCTTCCATCACTGATACCCTTTCTTCCAGTTGATTGCATGTGCTCCTGAGGCTTCTGTATTCTTCACGTAGTTCTCGAGCCTTGGCTTTCAGCTCCATCATCTCCTTTAAGCACTTCTCTGTATTGGTTATTCTAGTTATACGTTAGTCTAAATTTTTTTCAAAGTTTTTAGCTTCTTTGCCTTTGGTTTGAATTTCCTCCTGTAGCTCGTAGTTTGATCATCTGAAGCCTTCTTCTCTCAGCTTGTCAAAGTCATTCTCCGTCCAGGTTTGTTCCATTGCTGGTGAGGAACTGCGTTCCTTTGGAGGAGGAGTGGTGCTCTCCTTTTTAGAGTTTCCAGTTTTTCTGCTCTGTTTTTTCCCCCATTTTTGTGGTTTTATCTACTTTTGGTCTTTGATGATGGTGATGTACAGATGGGTTTTTGGTGTGTATGTCCTTTCTGTTTGTTAGTTTTCCTTCTAACAGACAGGACCCTCAGCTGCAGGTCTGTTGGAGTTTGCTAGAGGTCCACTCCAGACCCTGTTTGCCTGGGTATCAGCAGCGGTGTCTGCAGAAGAGTGGTTTTTCATGAACCGTGAATGCTGCTGTCTGATCGTTCCTCTGGAAGTTTTGCCTCAGAGGAGTACCGGGCCGTGTGAGGTGTCCGTCTGCCCCTACTGGGGGGTGCCTCCCAGTTAGGCTGCTCAGGGGTCAGGGGTCAGGGACCCACTTGAGGAGGCAGTCTGCCCGTTCTCACATCTCCAGCTGCGTGCTGGGAGAACCACTACTGTCTTCAAAGCTGTCAGACAGGGACATTTATGTTTGCAGAGGTTACTCCTGTCTTTTTGTTTGTCTGTGCCCTGCCCCCAGAGGTGGAGCCTACAGAGGCAGGCAGGCCTACTTGAGCTGTGGTGGGCTCCACACAGTTGGAGCTTCCCAGCTGCTTTGTTTACCTAAGCAAGCCTGGGCAATGGCGGGCGCCCCTCCTGCAGCCTCGCTGTCACTTTAAAGTTTGATCTCAGACTGCTGTGCTAGCAATCAGCAAGACTCTGTGGGCATAGGACCCTCTAAGCCAGGTGCGGGATATAATCTCGTGGTGCGCCGTTTTTTAAGGCCGTCAGAAAAGCGCAGTATTAGGGTGGGAGTGACCCGATTTTCCAGGTGCCATCTGTCACCCCTTTCTTTGACTAGGAAAGGGAACTCCCTGACCCCTTGTGCTTCCCAGGTGAGGCAATGCCTCGCCCTGCTTCGGCTCACGCACACCGTGCGCTACACCCACTGACCTGTGCCCATTCTCTGGCACTCCCTAGTGAGATGAACCTGGTACCTCAGATGGAAATGCAGAAATCACCCGTCTTCTGCGTCCCTCAAGCTGGGAGCTGTAGACCGGAGCTGTTCCTGTTTGGCCATCTTGGTTCCTCCATGGCGTAATCTTACAATGAAATACTACTCAGCAATAGAATAAAGTAAGTTTTGATAAATTAAATGATGAGTGAATCTCAAAGTATCCTGATCATGAAGAGCCAGGGAAAATATGCAAAAATTGTACATTAGTGTAAAATTCCTGAGTAGACAAAAACAATAAATGTTGATAGAAACAAGATCAGTGCTTGCTTCTGGAAAAGTTTAGTGATTTGCTTACAAGGGATCATTCTGAGGTAATGAAAATGTTCTGTCTTGATGGGTGTGTATGTCACACAAATGTATATTTCTATCAAAACCTTCTATGCATATATTTCAGATCAGTATATTTTACTATATGTAATTTATACCTCAATAAAAAAAAATCATGCTAGTGTCAGCTAAAACATCTTACTAGTTAAGCAGAAAGTTTCAAGCCTGCTAGAGAATTCTTTACTTGCTTCAGGGATGAAATATGAAATATAATCATTTTTACACCAGTCAATTGAGACTACTACTTCTAAAGTTATAAATAATGTAGATGGAATGAAAGAATTAAGGGGGTAAGGAAGAGATAGACATGGACAGAGGGAGATGAAAAGGTGGTAAATGTGGTTTAGTGAGGGTAAACACAGCTCTGGTGGAATTTAATATTCCTCCCGACATGTGTTTATTTTCTTCTCTTTAGGGATCTGTGGCCTTTCTATAAAAACAGAATGCTAAAGCGGGTGAACTTTCTGTCTCTCCCATCTATCTCATGGTGAGGAAGGAAAGGGATGATTCATGGAATGCCTCTTGCTCTTTAGGTTTGGAGGATCCTTTCCCCACATTTTGCTCAGTTGTCAATGCATATTATTTAGGAGAACATTTATTAATGTATTAGATATCTGTTGTGCTGCTGTTACAGGCATCAGCTCATTTGTTATACTAAGGATACAACAAATCAGACAAAGTCCTTGTTCTTTTGAAGCTTAAACTCCATTGCAAATCAAAGGACAACAGTGAGCAAACATGCTAATATGTACTATGTATGTGGTGTTAGTGCTTGCAGAAAATAAGCCAGAATGAGGAGAACAGGAAGTGCTGGGATGGTGCAAGTAGCTTTTTATACAAGGTGGTCGGGATGCCTTTGCTTCACATGTCTTTTGAGAAGAGGTCTTAAGTAAATGATGGAGTATGTGGTATGGCCTCTAATGGGAAGAATACCAGGCAGAGAGAACGACAAGTACAAAAACCATGAGGTGGGAATATGTTTGGTGGTTTGAAGAATACCAAAGTGATAAGTGTGGCTGGGGAAGAGTGAATAGAAGAAAGAGTGGTAGGAGATGAGGTCATTGGAAGGACTTTGGAGGAGTCTTTGTTTTGTTTTTCAGCAGATAAGATTTTACTTGGGTTTTAATGAGTAATTCTGGCTACTGTGTGAATAATATATGTTACAAAACAAGGATAGAATTAGGGAGACCAGTTAGAAGATTACTGCTTCTCTAGACGACGACGATGGTGTCTTGGGCCAGGCTGGGACTTGGGTATGTGAGGGATATCTAAAGTATACTTGCCTATATGATGGGTCATCGTCTTCTAGGCACCTTGTTGAGAGCCATCTTGCTCCAACTACTTCCCTTCCCAAAGCAATCTCTCCTTCTCATAGCTTACATCTAGCAAGAGAAATTTCCATTGCAGGTGGACTCCTGAGGACCTAGCTCAGTTTCTCCAGAGGGTTCACAATGTAATGGCCATACACAGCACAAGGATGATTCAGGAGCTGGGGAAGACAGCAAGACACCAGGACACATGCCTTCCCTGGTCTATCCCTTCTCCCACTAGCCCGGGTTTCTGCTTTGTCACTTGATGGCACTCACACTGTTCAAATTTCTTAATTTTCTGTGAAATAAGTGTAATGAACTCTCATTATGAAAGTTCAGCCTTATTTCTCTGAAGGAGGATGGTTAGCATGAAAGAAAGATAAAAAGATCCACAAAAGATTCATTGCTTCTCTGGAATGTAATAGATGAGGAGCTCCTGAGGGGGCCTGTGGGATTGAAATATAACATGAATGTTAAACAGTCCAAGCTTGATGAGATTCAAGCAGAGAATGGTTTTATGTTTCACTGCTGTCTTTAGTATACTCTGGCTCATCTTTCTCTCAAAGTTCTTGATACCATCGTTAGAGGTTATGAAGTTTCTTGATCACATTCAACTTCAAGAGTAGGCTCACTTTGGTTATTAAGCCTCATTCTGTTGTAAAGAGATCTTGCCTAGTCTAAATAAAAATTTCAGTCTCATACCCAGTTCAGATCTTCCCCTGTCGTTCTACCCCCTTCCCTTTCCCACTCCAGCTCAGGCCTGATCTGTGGCTCAGCTGTAGCAGTGTGTTGGAGATGGATCAAAGTCTCAGCAAGAGCCAACTGTTAGCATCTCTTTGCAATTCCAAGTTCAGTGTTGTCAGGTTGGTGGATTAAATCAGCCATGGTGGGAGTATTTGCACCATGGAAATTGGCAACCACTACAAACCAGGGTGTTTTCCACCAGGAGAGCCAGCAGCATACCACTGCTCAGAGGTGAGTAGTGGGGAAAGAACATTTAAAAAAATTGTCCTTTCCATCCTTCTCATCCTTTTCTGGCTCTTTCTTGTTCTGGGTAGGGGAGGGGATGAGATTTAAAACACAAAGAATATGTCGTTTAACTGGTGCTACTGCAGTCTGGCTGTTGATGCTGTCTGAGTGGCAGACATACATTGCTGGCTTTCACTTGGAGAACCAGCGTGGGCTGCTAGAAAGAACTTGCAGTATCTCCACATAAACAGTTCTCTGGCATGGGTGATGGGTTCCTTGGCTGACGTTTTGAGACTCTCCTTAGTTTTTGACCCCCTGCCGTAAAAAATGTAGCCTCTTTCTAACAGAGTTTCTTCATCTAAAAGGCCTTCTTAAGTGTATAGATTACATGTAAGATAGTCTAAATTCTACTTCCCTTTATAGCACCAGTCTGGTCTGTAAGAAACACATGCCTCCTGGTTATAAGGCAGGACAGGAGCCAAGGCTACCTCACTGCTGCCTTCTCTATTTTCTTCCTGACATCCAGGACCACCCCCACCATCTTCCTATGCTTAAGATTCTCCAGGTCACAAGTAGGTACCATCTCTATGTTCCCATATATCCCAGGTGATGGGGCTTTGTTGTGCTCCAGTGACCTTCCTCACTGTGATCCTGTCTGCTTTGATGGCAGCCCCAGGCTGAGCCCACAAATCCTGTATCTCAGCAGGCCTCTAGCCAGGCAGTGAAGGTGGTCTCCCCTCTTTAGGAACTTCTGTGTCTATAGATGATTGTCTGAGAGCTGACCTCACACTTGGCCTGGGACATATGGAATGTCACTGCTTTCACAACCCTCTAGTCCAGCATCACACACTCAAACTTCTTTTCTATTTTTATTCTTCTGCTTATATATTGGCTCTAGAAGCTTTCTGCATGTTCACCATGCAAGGACTATATTTCAAACCAAAAAACAAAAACAAAACAAATCTACCATTCCAAAAGTAAATTTAAGAGTTATCTACAGTCAGTGAAATGGGGTCTCCAGAGGTAAGTTTGGCTGACCCCAAGTGCATGCTTGCTCTTTAGGCAGCCTTGCATCTTAGTCTGACTTTGCAGCAGCTGTGCTTGAGGTGAGCAGAACAGCTTGTCATAACTTAACCCATACAGGTTTTTAGGCAACCTGGGACTTCAGGGGTCCAGGCTAGGGGAAAAGAAGAAAGGCTGAACAAGGGCAGGAGGAACACATTCCTTCTGGAGTGTGCCCAGGGATGTCTGGCAGCAGTCCCTGGTGTGCTGGCAATAGTAGCAACAGCAGATTTATCTGTCACCCACAGCTTTAGGGAATACCTTGCCATGCTTCAGGCAGTGGATTAAGCTCTTTTCTGCACTATATCATTTACCTTTCTCACAATCTCCATGAGTCAGGTACTATTACTTTCTCTGTTATACAGATGAGGAAACAAATGGGCAGAACATTTAGGTAATGTGCACAAGGTTGCACAGCTATTATGTGGCACTACTGTGGTTCAGTCCAATGTGGGCTGCCTCCACTGTTCGTGCTCTTACCCACTCCCCTTGACCGCTCCTCTGGGTTAGTGGTTAGAAACATACGTTTTGAGTTCAGGTGAGATTTGAGTTTCTGTGTGATTACAGGTGAGTTGCTTAAAGTATAAATGTTAGTAATAATTATTAACTGCACAGGGGAAAAGGGAGTGGTAACTCACCTCAGGTCCTATGCTATATTGTTCATTTATCCATTCATTTATCTATTTATCTTGGTATTTATTTACATATCAGGTTATTTACTCATTCATTAATATTTATTGAGCACTAACTGTGGCCCAGGCCCAGCACTGAGCACTTTGCATATCATCTAATTAGTAATCACACTTTTACACTACAGCATCTATTGCTCACCCAATTTTATAGCTAAGAAAATTGCAGTGGTTAAATTTTTGTCTTTGTTCAATTCCAAAGCCAATGTGCTTTTTTATGATAGTAAGATGTTCAAATGCAAAGCTTCGATTTGTTTGTTCATTTTTGTTCCTGTTATTATTCTAAGGGGTTGTGTTGGACAGAGAGCAGAAAGAGGAAGGGATCTCTAACAGATAAGGGCTCCATTAGCACACAGAAAAGATAGGAAAATACCCAGTGAGGCTGTCCAGAATACAAAAGGTGAGTATGAAAGATGACAAGCTCCCAAGCCTTTGCCAAGCACTGTTGAGAGGTGGCTGCAGAAGTCAGGGGAAGGTGAGTTCCCCAAGCCATCCCTGTCTTTGCTAAATCACTATCTGTCAGGGCCCAGCAAGAGGGAGAGAAACGCTTCAAGGAGGTCAGACTTCTCAAGGTTCCCTGATGTCTGCAGGCAGAGCTCTCAACTGGCAGGGATGCATTTTGCAAGGCTCTGTGGATGCTGAGAAGTGGGCATCAGACAGAATTATAACTCCTTTTCTACTTTCACATGAGATTTAAGTGGAAAGAAATGGGAAAAGTGTCCAGGACAATCGCCCTTCCAGCACCTAGTGTCCAGACAGGAAACTTGATTGGAGACTAGAGGTTTATGTTGCTGTGAGGACATTTCTCAAAGTCACAGGGGTTCTCAGGCAAGGTGAGGAGGCTTTATCATAGCACAGGAGAATACATCAGCTAAACCCCTCATCAGAGAAGCCGGGCCCCTCAGCCACAGTGCCACATGAGAAAACAACTCCTCTGTTGCCTTCCCACCTCCTTTCATTCAGTTTTCTCCTGCGGTGCCTGGCCCAGCCAAGGCCTTCTTAATAGGGCACTGTTTTTCCAACTGTGCTCTGGGTATTTCCCAAAGTTGTCTCCATGGCCACAGGAGTGACAGTTGAAGGCAGAGAGGAGCCAACATGGCCCAGCCAACACCTATAGCTCAACAGAGACACTCCATTCCTTTGGTTTACATATTATGGGCTTTGGTCTAAGGTTTTGTTGGAGGAAAGCCTTTTATTATCCAACATTCCCCACCAACAGTAAATCTAGACCAATAATGTGTGTTTTTTCTGCCTTTCTTAGGGCCTGATACATAGCAGATACAGTCATGCACCGCATAATGATGTTTTAGTCAAAAATGGACCACATATACAATGGTGGTCCCGTAAGATTATAATGCCGTGCTTTTACTGAATGTTTTCTATGTTTAGATACACAAATACTTACCATTGTGTTACAATTGCGTACAATATTCAATTAAGTAACATGCTTGTAGTCTAGGAGCAGTAGACTATCCCATGTAGCCTGGCTGTGTAGTAGGCTATACCATCTACATTTGTGTAAGTACAGTGTATGATGTTCACACAATGAGGAAGTCACCTAATGATGCATCTCTTGGAACGTATCCTGGTTGTTAACTGACATGACTGTACTTGCTAAATAGTAGCCATCATTAATAGTAGTGCTGCATGACATCTACCCTCAAGGAGCTTACAGATGTCAGAGGGTACAGATGTATTCCTCTTGTTCTTTCATGAGAAGCCATGCTAGGCCGTGTTTGCTCCTTGCACTCTTTATTCTCCTTCCAGAAGTTGTAATTCATCTCTGCTTGCCCTCTGTAATCTGGAATCCAAATGGAGGCTCTCCTATTCAAGTAACAGACAGCCTGTGATAAGATAATGGTGAGACCATGGATGGTAAAGTGCTTGGTGAATTGTAAAAGGCTGTAAAAATATTTGATGTTGGCCCAGCGCCATGGCTCATGCCTGTAATCCCAGCACTTTGGGAGGTGGAAGCAGGCAGATCATGAGGTCGGGAGTTCGAGACCAGACTGATCAACATGATGAAACCCTGTCTCTACTAAAAATACAAAAATTAGCCAGGCATGGTGGTGTGCACCTGTAATCCCAGCTACTCAGGAGGCTGAGGCAGGAGAATTGCTTGACCCTGGGAAGCGGAGGCTGCATTGAGCCAAAATCGCACCACTGCATTCCAGTCTGGGCAACAGGGCAAGACTCCATCTCAAAAACAAAAAAACAAAAATTGATGTCGTTACCCTTATTGTATTTTCAAGAGGAAACTGAGTCACAGTGAACACTCCTAGTGGAAATTTGGAAGAATTCCTTGGAACAGATGGACTGTAGTCCTCAAAAGCAGCACCTGTTCCTCAAGCATTTAGTCTGGGACACTGATGAGAAGTCGGTGTGGTGAGGTCTTTGCCTAAAGGGGGTGTATTAGTTTGTTCTTTCATTGCTGTAAAAAATACCTGAGACTGGATAATTAATAAAGAAAAAAGGTTTAACTGGCTCATGATACTGCAGTATCTAAAGGAAGCATAGTTGCTTCTGCTTCTGGGGAGGCTTCAGGAGGCTTCCAATCACGGCAGAAGGCAAAGGGGGAGCAAGTGTCTTACATGGCAGGAGGAGGAGCAAGAGAGAGAGAGCAGGAGGGAGGAAGTACTACACAAGTTTACATGACCAGTTCTTACAAGAACTCACTCACCATCACAGGAAGAGCACCGAGGGGATGGTGCTAAGCCATTCATGAGAATCCGCTCCCGTGATCCGGTCACCTCCCACCAGGCCCCATCTTCAACACTGGGGATTATAATTTGACATGAAATTTGGGGGGACACAGATCCAAATCATATCAGGGAGCTTGCCATGAAGCCTTAAATCACCCAACCCTACTTGCTCATGGCTTCAACTCAGTAGAATGACTTCTTTTTCTTCCCTCTCATACTTCTATGGGAAAGATAAATGGCAAAAGACAACATTGTATCAAATATTTATGTATTATTTTCATTTTTGCAAGCATTTATTTTTCAAGGGTAGTTTTAGGATATACCTCATGACAGTTCATTCAGTACACATTTATGAGATGGTGCCAGCTTCTCTCCAGGCCATAGGATGGATGCTGGAGGAAGATGAAAGGGGAAAGTCAACTCAGACCCAGGCACTGTTGTAGGAGCAACCACAAACATATAGGAAGATGACTCCAGTGCAAAGGGATGGCCAGGGACACATGGGAAGTACAGAGCTCCCAGGGAAGCTGGAGGAAGCGGCTGACTGAAACATATTTTCACTAGTAGCAGTTGCAGCCCCAGGCAAAATTGTGAGATAAGTTTTTGTTTTTTTTTTAAATCCCTTTCCCTTCCCTCTTTTTCATTTCTTACAAATGCCAGTGCCCTTGTGCTTTTTGTACATTCCCCTGTAACTCAAAGATACTCTGAGGTCCTTTGGGCACATGCCATTTATTTATTAATTAAATCAACAACCATCAAGGGCCTGCTCTGTGCTGGGTATTGGGCACTGTTCTCACCCACCATGTAGGAAACAGCAGTGAATGTGATAAACAGGTTTCTCTGCCTACTTGAAATGTATCCCCCAGGAGAGTGAGATAGAAAATAAACTAATAAAAAAAACCAAATTAAATTGCATGCTAAACATTTTTAAGTAGGAGTAAAGGCCATGCTGAGCATGACTGCAGGATGTTGTAGCATTGAGAGATGAAATGACCACCTCAGACAGAATGGTCAGGAAAGGCCTCTCTGAAGAGGGAACATTTGAGCAAACACCTGAATACAAGGATCCAGGAACCCAGTGTTCTAGAAACAGAAAGTGTATAAGGACTCCGAGGCAGAAGTGAGTTTTGTGTTTGAGGAATAGAAAAAAAGACAATGTGTTACAGAGAGAGGAAGCACAAAGGGATGAAGTTAGAGAGGCAGAGAGTAATTTGAATGTGATAAAGTGCGTGAAAAGCCATTGGAGGGTTCAATGCCCGCAGCAGTGCAGTGTTTCCCCTTTTAGGACATTTGCCTTTATGTATTTTACTTGCTAAACAAAGTGTGCCTGAGTACTTTTTGAATGCTACCGCAGATTCCCGTACAGTGCCAGGCAGATAGCAAATGCTCAGTGAATAGTTGTTCATCGATTGAGCAAGGATCAAACCAAAAACTAAAGCCACAGATGCCTGATGGTAGAATATCAGGCATTTCACCCAAGATAGAATACCTGGGGGGATTGTAGTCCTTCAGGCTTCAGTAGTACAGTAGCCTGTACTACTTCAGATTGTAGTCTCAGGGGGCACACTGTGAACGGCCATTGCCCATGGATCACAAAAGCCTGGCTCTCATTTCCTTTTTCACAGGCCTTAGGCATTCAGCCTTCTCTTTGTTCTCTTTCTAGCTTCCCCCCATCATTTGGGCCCCCCTGTCCCGGCATCCCTGGCTACAGAGTCTCCCCTGCTCCTCGTAATTCTGCTGACCCCATAGAAAGACATAGGCCTGCCTCATTGAATAGTAGAACTATTAAGAACTGAAAGGAAAACAACACAAACAGCAAAGATGGGAACATGTTGTGAGGAGTCTTTCCAAAATGTTTCTTCTCATTTCTCTTGGTAGATTTGGGGAGCCTGTCTTCATTTATTCCTTCTGCAATTGTCCTGGTTACACAAGGGTAATAAACTGGGGAAACCTTCATCTTTTTAATTCAAATGCTATTTTTCATTAAATTGTCCCTGAAGGAGATTGACAAAGGGCTTAGGCTGTTCTTGACCCTGTGTTCTGTAGACTTTGGCTAAATATGCTGCAAAAGCTTGCCTGCCATGTGATTACATGAGAACAATTCATTCTTTCCTTCCTCAAAACCAGAGAAAGCTCAACCTTCCATCTGGATTCTAAACAGTTGTCAAAAATTCACTCTTCAATTCTCCTGTTTTTGTCAGCAGGAAAATGGTGGGAAGTATTGAAGAAATATTAAAAACACAATCTGAACCCAACACAGAAAACCTTTTCACAAAAGTAGAAGATAAATAAAAGTTTTATTATTGAATAAGCATTAGCACAAAAAGTGATGCACACCAGAGGCAATCTGCTGAAGAGATTACAGAGGCAGAAAGAAATCTCACTGTTTTATACAGCCAAATGGGTACAACCATTCCATTTATGTTTTCAAGATAAATTTGCTAATTTTCTCCTATGTTTATAACTGCAGGTAGGTTGTGCGATTAGGAGTCAGTTGACAACTGAAGTTAGGTCTATCTTCTTCCAGAAAAACTGAGACATAGGGCATTTTTCTTGATGATTATATTTCAAAGAGATGGCTCTCATGTCTTTGAAGAAACTTGTCTGAGTTGTAAGATTGGCAAGAACTTTATTTAACATTTGCCTTATAATAGGCATTTGGGATCCTTTTGAGGCCAGTTTTGCTAGGTTAAAGAGTAGGTCCCTTAGACATATTCCAGAATTGGGTGCTAGCTCAAACATGTGACCTTTCTACCTTGCCAGAAGTTCAAAATTTTAGTGCTCTCACAGAGCTCTTACTACAAGTATCCCAGTCAGTCACACACAATCCCTTTTAGAACTATTTCTAGAAAATATATTGAAAAGCAATATTTGCTCAATTTGCTGAAATAAAGATGACAAAATCTCTTTCCTTATCATATCTCTCCTCCAACTTAGGAGAGTAATCCGAGGACAGTTTCTCCCAGGAAGTTTCCTTCTTCCAACTATACAGGACTAAACAGATAAACAGGACTCTGAATCTCAGCTGGGAATCCCTGAGTGCTTGGACTTCCGAGGATGAAGATCTGGATCTGAATCCCAACTCTTCCCTCACCATTAGAATAATAATTAATATGTCGGGGCTTCACTTGTATCATCTGTCAAAGGAGGATAATAATTGTTGTGCCCCTCACATGTTTTCCATCTTTGCCCAGACAATTTCCCTTCTTTGTATGGGTTTCCACTGAATGCTTTCTTTTATAATACTTTACACTTCATTTTAAGCTCATTGTGCCTATAGCTGTTAACTTGCCTGTCTTGCCATACTGTTAGGACAGGGGACTTATTTATTGCTTATTTTTCAGGGCTCCTTATAAATGGGATTTAAAGAACTTGTGAAAGCTTGAATGAATCTGCTTGTTTGTGTGATCATAAGATGGAACATTATACCCAAGTAAAGTTCCTGGCACACATGGTGCCTCCTCTGCCTTTCTTTGGAGCTAAGACCTTTTGAGCTGTGCTTCTTTCCTCTACAAAAACATCTTTGAGCATTTCCTTACCCACCACTGGTGCTCTTATTCCTTAGACTACAAATACCCTAAGATGAAGTAGGTTCTTCCAAAACAGTCATTATTGATTCAAATGCCATTTGCAGCCAGGAAATTAGCCTATCCTCTTCCAGAAGGTTTTCTTTCAGCCAGGAGCTTGAATAAATAGGTTTTCCTGCTTATTTATCTATTAACAAAACAATCAAATTAATATCTTATTTCAGGAACATTTCATTTAGTCAAAATATTAAGTTAGTTTGGAAAAGGAGAAAAAAAAAACACGAGGAAAGAGAGTTTGGGTAAGTTATTTTCTCAGTCTGCAAGCTTTCCCTGGATGGGATTTTTCCATATCACTGGCTTGCTTGGGGCAGTGGAGAGGAAGGCTCAGTGAGGTGATGCTGACACTTGCAAGGCCCAAGAGAACCATATTTCCACCATGAGATTTGCTGTTTGGAAATACAGTTACTGATCATTCTGATATTGTAAATACTGTTTGCTAGCTTCTTCCTGAACTACAGGTAAGTGCACACTTACTTTAAACATTAGTAGGAATATTTAAGAGGTTCTGGTCCCACAGGATGTTCAAGAATTCAAAGGAACAGATGAGCATTTGCATAATCTTCCATGTAGAAGACAGCAGTCAGAGTTAATTTTTAATTTATTTCCCTCCAGAGAAAATATCTCCTGATAACTCTTGATTAGCAGACAATGAGGTTCAGTAAAATCATTTAGAAGTTTGGAGCAAAAAAAAAAAAAAAAAAATCCAAAGTTTCTGATGATAAAGGGAAAGTAAACATCCAAGAAATGACCTTTTTAAAAAAATTCCAAACTTGGGTGAATGAGTGGTATAGAAATACAAGGTTTGCATTGTAGACATCACCAAATAGCGCATTTGAATTTGCGGAACTGTCTCTCCTGCTTTGGTATAACCCTGTTCTACAGCTCATTAAATTAAAAAATGCAAGAATAGGTCTTTAATTACTTGAGAAGATATTGCTGGTGATTTTTTCCTATCTCTAGTTATAGGAATTCTTTCATATTTTAAAAATAGAATAAATTAATCATAAGACTATTCCACGATTTTGGCTGCTGTGCCTGTGCAAATGACTATTTTGGAGAAAAGCAATTAAACTCTAGCCTTTTTCTTTCTTTTAAAAATATTTTTTGTGTGTATATTTGAGATTTACCAACATGATGTTACAGGATACATATAGTCAAATGGTTACTATAGAGAAGCAAATTAACTTATCCATCATCTCACATAGTTACTTTTTGTTGTGGCGAGAACAGCTAAAATCTACTTATTTAACAAAAGTTCCTAATATGATGTGATATTTATTAGCCCTCTTCCTCATGTTGTACATTAAATCTCTAGACTTGTTCATCTAAACAGAGAGAGCAGATAAATCGGTGGTTACCAGGGGTGAGGAAATGAGTGGACAGGAAATGGGAAGATGTAGTTCAAAGGAT
Source organism: Homo sapiens (assembly GCF_000001405.40). Taxonomy (NCBI): domain Eukaryota; kingdom Metazoa; phylum Chordata; class Mammalia; order Primates; family Hominidae; genus Homo; species Homo sapiens. The sequence continues at coordinate 87,670,698 of NC_000011.10, forward strand.
ATCATAGCTTTTATCCTAGAAAATTTCAGTCTCCTATTACCTCACTCCCTATAGAAGAACAAGCCTTGTCAACAGGACCATGCAAATATTAGCAACTAATACTTGCAGAATGTTTTATCATTTAGAATATATATTTATATGCTTATCTTACCTAGCCCTCTCAGCAGCACTGTAAGAAACATATTATTACATATTGAGGGATTAATAATAGTAATGATAATAACAACCAGAAGAAAATAAGAAGATAATAATTTGCCCAAAGTCACATACCCATGGGGAGAGCTGGGCTGTAAACCCCTTCTTAATGTTCTTTCCATTGTGTGTATTTTTTTTAGAGTTAAGGACAAATGGGTGAGACTAATCCAATAGGGAAACTTTCAGAATTCTGAATTTCAGAGTTGTAAGGAAATTTATAGATCACTATCCAAAACTATCTTAGAAAGCTAAAGATAAAAATAATTGCTACATCCACATAGACTGTTAATGGAATAGCCTGGCCTTTAAGCAAAAAGTCCTGTCATCTGATTTCCTGTTGTTTCTTAATATACCGATTCTCCTGCTCCAAATTTATGTGCATAGTAACATGTGGTGCATCTGTATGTGTTTAATATTTATTTATTTATTTATTTATTTATTTATTTATTTTGAGACAGAGTCTCGCTCTGTCGCTCAGGCTGGAGTGCAGTGGCGCGATCTCGGCTCACTGCAAGCTCTGCCTCCTGGGTTTGCACCATTCTCCTGCCTCAACCTCCCGAGTAGCTGAGACTACAGGCGCCCGCCACCGCGCCCGGCTAATTTTCGGTATTTTTAGTAGAGACGGGGTTTCACCGTGTTAGCCAGGATGGTCTCTATCTCCTGACCTCGTGATCCGCCCGCCTCGGCCTCCCAAAGTGTTTAATATTTATTTTTAATCTTGCAGTTGTACTTCTCCATCAGGAATATTCTAGGAAGCCAAAAGGACATTTTCCAATAGAAGAGAAAGCCTAGAAAATTTGCACCTTACCTACTTAGAATGCTACAAACTTAAGTTTTATATTGATACAGACATCATTTTCCTATTTTGGCTAAAGAAATGAGGTGCCTGGGTTCTCAATATATTATACACACACTTTTCTCCTCCATCTTTGTTCCTGCTGCATCACTTCTCAACTTTTTAACTTGATTCTGCTGATGCTTTCAGTATTTTCACATAAATTGTGCTGAGTGTCAGATGTGGGTCAGTGGATATTACTGTAAAAATAATATCTATATGAAAACTCCAATTTGTGGGGTAAACAAACAATGAAATGCTCTCATTTTTTTCCTTTTTTTTGGTGGTTGAGTCAGCTTGTATCCACTCCAGTACTGTCCCTGACCTTTTCCTAGCCAAGTGAATCCATAAATTAGTCAAGGGGGGAACACTGATTTATTGGTAGTGGATATGCTTCACAATCAGTTTGAATTTAGAAGGTGTTGCTGTCCTGTACTGTCACAAAACACACAGTATAAATTATTAAGCTGGGTCCTGCAGAGGTTTGAAAGAGGCATAAGATGAGGCAGTGGTTTCTCCTAAAGGCTGTGGACCCTTGAGGTGCTGAAGAGTGATACAAATCCTTAACATTTTCACAGACCGAAAAAAAAAAAAACAGTAGCCACACATTACAGAATGAATTCAAAATATATGCCTGCAGCTTTCCCCTACCCCAGCCTTTTCAGGTAAGAATTCTTTTATTTCAGGCAGTTGCTAACCCTGGGCCTCTGTGGTGCTGGTCAGAAAAGTGGGTAGAGCTATAGTCTGGAAGGGGGCAATTCAGAGAATGGGTGGAGGAAGGGAGACAGACAGAGACAGTGACAGTGATCCAGGGACAAAGAGAGAAACAGAAAGAGCACCTCAAGCTGAGTTTGGAGCAAGTGCAGGGGAGTTTACACAAGATTATATGTAGAGTTAAGACCACAGCAGGATATGAGGACACAAGCAGGACATGTTTTCTTCGGTGTGGAAAAAACTGAGGGGAATTTTAAGAAAGGCTTGCTGAGTGTTATCAATGACTTCTTTGACTCCACTTATGGAAATTTCATATAATATTTAAATTGTTTACAACATATTTTGGCTTTTTCCAGATATAATACTTATGTTTTGAATCTGGCATTGTTCTTAGATAGGCCACTAAATATATAGGTGATGAAACACCCAATCTGTTTTCAAAAGTATGTAGATACTTTTGAAATTAATAAAATAAAATCCATGTAAAAGTGGTATTAAAATCATCACAGTTTTACATTATTATGTATCTGCTAAATTAATATATAATGTATTTCTATCACGAGGAAAACTCAACAGTTTTTATTTTTAAAAATCTTTTTAAATTTTTATTTTAAGTCCTGGGGTACATGTGCAGGATGTGCAGGTTGGTTACATAGGTAAACGTGTGCCATGGTGGTTTGCTGCACCTATCAATCCATCATCTAGGTATTAAGCCCAACATACATTTGCTATTTTTCCTAATGCTCTCCCTCCCTCCATCACAACCTCTGACAGGCCCCAGTGTGTGTTCCCCTCCCTGTGTCCATGTGTTCTCATTGTTCAGCTCCCACTTATAAGTGAGAACATGTGGTGTTTGGTTTTCTATTCCTGTATTAGTTTGCTAAGGATAATGGCTTCCAGCTTCATTTATGTCCCTGCAAAGGATGTGATCTCTTTCCTTTTTATGGCTGCATAGTAGTCCATGGTGTATCTGTAACACATTTTCTTTATTCAGTCTATCATTAATGGGCATCTGGGTGGATTCCATGTCTTTGCTATTGTGAATAGTGCTGCTATGAGCTTACGTGTGCATGTATCTTTGTAATAGATGATTTATATTCCTTTGGGCATGTATATACCCAGTAATTGGATTGCTGGGTCAAATGTTATTTCTGGTTCTAGATCTTTGAGGAATCATCACACGGTCTTCCACAATGGTTGAACTAATTTACATTCCCACTAACAGTGTAAAAGTGTTCTTATTTCTCTGCAACCTTGCCAGCATCTGTTGCTTCTTGACTTTTTAATAATTGCAATTTTGACTGGCATGAGATGGTATCTCATTGTGGCTTTGGTTTGCATTTCTCTGATGATCATTAATGTTGAGCTTTTTTTTCATATGTTTGTTGGCCGCATGAATGTCTTCTTTTGAGAAGTGTCTGTTTATGTCCTTAGCTCAGTTTTTAATGGGGTCGTTTTTTTTTTTTCTTGTAAATTTGTTTAAGTTCTTTGTAGATTCTGGATATCAGACCTTTGTCAGATGGATAGATTGTGAAAATTTTCTCCTGCTCTGTAGGTTACCTACAGAGTGGCAGAAAATGATGATAGTTTTTTTTTTTTTTTTTTTTTTTTTGCTGTGCAGAGGTTTTTATTTATGTTTGAAAAGAGCCCTCATACTCAAAAAGGGCTAAAAGCAACTGTGATATTGATTATGAAAAAAGTCTGTAAATCTGCAAAGCCCTGTGTAAATGCAAAGGCTTCTTACTATCAGTCTTGACAACATGAGGCTTGCTTAGAGTAAATTCAAGTGACAGGATCTGTACTTAAGAAAAGTGGTCTCATTAATCCTAGAAAGCAAACAATAATTACGGAATGGGAATAGAGTCCTAAGGAAGGAAACAATATTTCTGTGAGAGGTGGTCAGGGCTGCCTTTGGAGAGGATATGAACATGGAGTTTGGTCTTCAAGTATGTGGCAGACAAAGTGGGGCAGTCTAGGAAGACAGGTGTGAGCAAAGGTGGAGAAATTTACACAGAAGGAGCATCGTTATTGCCATTTGGGTTACTTGTGCCTGAATAAAGATGCAACATCCTCAGCAGAAGTGATTGTCATAATGAGACCAACGTGGGTCTTTGCTCCTGAAAAATTGCAGCTCTCTGAAGTATAGCTTGGAGTTTTGGTGAGGATTGGAATAACTGGAACTCATTCACTTCTTGGAGAAGGCGTGAGTTGGTGAAATCACTGAAATACTCATCTGGTCATATCTAGTAAAGTGTAAACTATTCAGGTCTTGTGCTGTGTAATTCCACCCCACCTTTTCAAGAGGACATGTACAAAAATGTTTGTTGTATTGATGGTAATACTGAAAAGCTGGAAACAATTACAATGCCCATCAACAAGGAGACGAATATGTAAATTGCATTATCCTTTTTCAGTGGAATATATGCAACAGTTAATGAACAAAAGTTACTCATCAGCATGATTAATTAAATTTCAGGAACACAATGTGCAATTAAAAAAGCAAATGCAAAATGACATATACAATATGAGGCTATTTCTATAAAGTTTGAAAGTGTGGAAACAGGGCAACATTGTTTATAGAGGTAAACCTAGAAAGTCAGGGTCTAAAAGCATGCAAGTGCTTGAAACACAGCAACTTCTTTATTTTACTTTTTTTTCTTTTGAGACGGAATCTTGCTCTGTCGCCCAGGCTGGAGGGCAGTGGTGCGATCTCGGCTCACTGCAAGCTCCGCCTCCCGAGTTCACGCCATTCTCCTGCCTCAGCCTCCCGAGTAGCTGGGACTACAGGCGCCCGCCACCACGCCCAGCTAATTTTTTGCATTTTTAGTAGAGACGGGGTTTCACCGTGTTAGCCAGGATGGTCTCTATCTCCTGACCTCATGATCCGCCCGCCTCGGGAAACAGAGCAACTTCTCCAGGGACAGTAGGAATGAGATCAGGAAGGAATACCAAAAAAACTATTCTTTAAAAAAGTCTACTGCAGGTATGTGAATTTGATATATGGATTTTCTATACGTTTATGTATAGCTTAAGTAATTTGCATACAAAGTTAGAAAGTAAATAATATCAAATGATTATTAAAAATAAGTGGTCTTTTGTTTCTCAGTTTCACACATCTTTGTTTCTATTCCCTAGAGGCAACTGTGCTGAAATTATTTTGGTATTTGTGTCCATATTTTTAGATAACATGCTTTTACTACTTTTTTTTTTTTTTAATAAGTTTAGACATTGCCTATTGTCATCCTAACTTTAGCCTCCAAGAGCAGCCTCCCACCCCATGTCTGCTCTCCCCATCCTTTTAAAATAGATCTCGCAATTTGGGATTAAATAAATATTGTGTTTGCTTTATTATGACCATATAAATATGTTTTATGGCTGAGTCCAGTACTATTTCTTGTGGAATACTATCTTTTTATTTCCCTATTTTTTATTTTCCCTGTAGTTACTCATTGCATTACGTTTTCATTTACTGATTTTCTATATACCTATTGGTAATTTTCTCAGGTTTATAGAATGCCTGTTCAGAATTTTTTTTTTAAATGCTCTGACAGACAAAATAATCAGTTTCTTTATTTCCCTGGAGAGCCCCTCCTGCAAATCTATATCTTCCTGCTCCCATACAACTTACTGCCTCTTTAAGTCTGGTTTGTACTTCTCTTACGGGGGCCTTCCTCTGCCAAAAGTTTGTATTAGAACTTTTGTTTCCTGGATTCTCTGCCTTCCTTCCTCTATAATTATACTCCTGATTTGGTAGAACAAATCTTTAATAGCTTCCTGAGAAAAGACACTTTGGAAGTAAAATTGCTGAGATCTTAGTCATTTGATTGATAGGTTGGCTGGATAGAGAATTCTAGTGGGAAATCATTTCCCTTTGAGTTTTTGAACTCATAGCTCAATAATATTAAAGTTTCCATGTTTATTGCTGAAATATCTGTTGCAATTTTGATTTCTGATTTGTATCAGTATGAATTGTTTTTCTCTTCTGAAAGTTTTTAGGATCTGTTCCTTAGCCTTGGAGCTCTGAACTTTCTTAGTGATGTGAGTTAATGGGAACACTTTTCCTTTATGTGTTGGGTGCTTTGGAACTCCTTCTGTTGTAGACAAGGAAAACTTTCTTGTATTAATTTTTTTTGATAAGTTTTTTTTCTTCATTTTTCTTGCCTTACTTTCTGGAACTCCTGTTGTTTGGATATTGGACAGCCTGGATAAATGCTCTGATTTTCTTTTTATTTCTATTGTAAATTACTTTTAATTTTTTATATATTTAGTTTTTTATAAATTATTTTATATATATATTTTTTTCTATTGTATATTACTTTTACTTTTTTCTATTGTATACTACCTTTACTTGTTTCTTCCAGGAGATTGTCTCAATTTTAATCTTCCAATGCTTTTGTTGAATTGTTATTTCTAATATTATTATTATCATTTTAGTTCCATGAGGTGTCTTTTGTTCTCTGACAATTGTGGTATCTTTTACTTGAGGTAAAAGATGTAGTGTCTTATATCTCTGAGGAAAGCAATTTTTTCCATTCTTCCCATATTATTTTCTTTTCCTATGATTTCACTATATTTTTCTTTTTTCCATTTAATTTTCATTTTAATGACTGCTGGTATCAGTGTTAATGTTTCTATTTTAGTGTGAGGTGTTCAAAGGCTAACAGTTCTCTGATGGAAGACTTGTTAACCAGTAGGCTTCACAAATGCAATGGTTGGATAGCAAGGCAGCCAGCTCAGTTGGAGGTCCCCAAATATAACTCTCTAGAGATCTTTTCCTTGGGATTGCACAGTTTCTGCACTCTCTTGCTTAGATGATATAGTCTGGTTTCAAACACCTGGGATGAGGACATTGGAGGGGGCAATGTGTAGACTCTCATTTAATCCTCTGTTTCAGTCCATTGCTTCTTGCTTATGCCTGCAAGTCGAGTCACTGTGGTCCAGTTTCTCTGGACCCTAAGACCTGTTCCCCTTCTTGGTCTGGGATACTTATGTGCCTAGCTGAGTAAAGGTAGGAAGGGGTCCTATGTGTCTTGTTTTTAGGTTTATGCCCTACCACAGGCCTTTGTTGGGATTTCTGGAGGGAAGGAGAGATCAATTCACATGTTGAATAGTAGATGTGAGTAGGGGTAGAGCAAGTTACCTAACCTCTCTTTTCCTCACTTTCCTCATCTGCAGGATAGGAGTAATAATGGTACCTGCCTCATAGAGTTATTGTGAGCATTAAATTAGTTATTACGTGTAAAGTGCTTATAACAGTGTTAGACTATGGAGAGTTCTCAGTAAGTGTTCCCCATTGTTATTTATTAATATTACTGTTCAGAATGCCAACAACTTTCTACTTGGCTTTTTGTACCTCTCTTGATTAAAAAATACAAAACAAAACAATACACTTTGGATCAGAGCACTGAGCAAGAAACTAGAACCATGTAAGACACAGAGTAGGTTCTCAATAAATGTTTCCTAATTTTTAATGTGTCCTTATTTTCTTTCCCCAAGTAGATTCCAAGCACCTCTGTATACCCTGAAGTTCTGATTTAGTGCTTATACGTACTAGCTATTCTCACAAGTATATGGGTTGAACCAAACTGAATTTGTAGTGGGACTTCTTTTAGAAAACAGAGATATACTACAAATCTTGATTTAAATGTCAATAAATTCAGTTAAAATATATAATTATTGACCAAAATTTTAGCAGTGGTTCTTCAAGATAAAAATATTTTGAAGGATCTTTTCTTTTTATTACTTTTTCCCCCTTCTGTGAATGCCATAAAAGAGTTCAGTGAGCAAATATTGCATTGTGTATGCTGTGGTTCTTCAGGTTTCATGCATTTCTTGAATGCATAAAACGTAATGAATTTGTTTTAGTGGTGCCTGCTCATCAGGATGCTGAATTTTCTTTCTTATATTTAACCTCCCTAGCAAATTTGAGTCTGTGACAATGTCAGAATGTTTAAGTTTTCCCGATTTGAGATATTAAGTGAGAATTCATTCTTCACTTATTCTTAGGAAATGGATACTGTTTTCAATCCTGGCTCAGTACCTAGAAAGATGGTTATTTTGTTTTGAGTGTTTTGCAGACTAAGCCATGTAGGTATGTACGTAGAACTCAGCACTGGTAGGTAGCTTGATGCAGCCCAGGGGCAAGGTAGATCCTACTTTGAAGACTCCTACCGGGAACCCTGTGACATAAGATTAGACAGCTCAAGGATATGGGCTCTGTAGTCTCAAGAACCCACAAAGGAATGGAATCTGAGACTGTGTGCCAGTGCATGTGGGGGTCTCCCTAGGGGAATCAGGGAAAGATCCTGGACTGAACACCATGCATGATTTGCATTTTGCTTTCTCATTCCCATGTATGTAAAACATAAATCGAGAAATATAATTATATTTCTATAGTCAATTTCAAAACATTTGGACAAACTTGCACAGATAACTTTTCTCCCCTCAGCCCCCTGTTATCTTGTGGAACTGTATTTGGAGGTTATTTTAAATTACTTTAGGACATAATGTTCTTGTCTTGACTGCTTTTCAGGTCAAGTAAGGTTCAGGGCAGCTCAACTGATACTGCGAGGGCTCATATTTGGGAGAGAATTAAAGATTCTAGAGGCTAAATTTATTTAAATATCTCAATCCAGTCCTTATCCCACCATCACTTGAAAGTTTTACCAAGCTATGTGTTCTCTGCTTTGTGGATGCTCTGTTTCTGTGCTTAAATCTGCCTGAGCAAACTGTCTGCATGAAATGAGAAACCAAGCCATCCTAGATAATTTTGGAACATATCTTTACGTGAATCCCCCTTTCTTCTACTCTAAGAGTACCTTTTGGCATGGAGCAAATAAATCTTGAAATTATTTAAAACATTGATCATTAGACTCTTTGGTCTAGGCAAGCCCATTCTTAGTTTAATAAAATAACTTAGGCTGATTTTACGTTAGAGGAGCTTAATTTTTCTCACAAGTCCATAACACTTACCCACCCTGAATCGTAAACACTAGAAACTTCTTTCTTTGGCTTTGAGTTTCTGGAACCAATCTTGACTTTAGGACATGGTATCTGCTTTGTAGAGAGCTGGCAAAGAGTTAATGTGCTTGTAATTTTCTGGGCCTTTCCCTGGTGACTTGGCTGGCAACTTCAAGAAAGTAAACTAAAAACCTGAACAATGAAGCTAAATGGACGAACTCACAAAGTTATAAATGTTTATAGATGTTGGCAGTTATGCAAATGTTTGACACATACTTTTTCTACAATAGACATAAACAATAAGTCATGCCACTTCTAAAAAGCCATGCTTCCATATGACACTAACAATGGGGTGGAGATGGCACACAAGAAGACACTTCTATCCATCATGAAGGCAACTGACTATAAGTGGCAGAGCTCATATGCCCAAAGGGAAGGCTGGCCTACTTTATTTTTGCTGAGAGTGAAAGATTATTACCTTTTGCAGATGCAAGTTTGAAGGGAGTAATAGACCTAGTTATGGAGGCAGAGGCAACATTTCCCAACCTCAGTAAAGGACAAAGCCAAATGTACCCTCATTTATTTTCTGACTTTGCTTTCTCCAATGATTAGATGTCCTTAAAATTACAAATTAACTTAATAGTCTTAAACGAAGTTAAGAATTACTGGCATGCGAGACTTACATATATTTTCTTATCATCTAAAGGAGTTGAGCACTCCATGTTAAGTACAAACTACTAAAAAATAAGAGAATTATCCAAACAATATAATGTCTAAGGGGGAATATCCACTGCATTTCAGATTAAAATTGAGGTCTGTGCAACCAATTTATAGGCCTGCAATATTTTAGAGTCCCTTTCAATGCTAAGTAATTCCCCACTCTCTAGAATATCTGAACTTTCTTCTTATTTACCATGTTTTCAGTAAGAAGTACTTTATTCTTCATGCTTCAAAAAATCATTGATGGTTATGGAAAAAAAAGACATTCTTTGGATTTCTATTGATGAGAAGTTTAATCTGTAACTCAAACAAAGGCAAGCCACATTGTTCTTCCTCTGAAAAGGTTTTTTAATGCCAATGTCCAAAGATTACTCAGTGATTCCGTGGGCACTCCAAGCACTAGAAGCATATGTACATCCGCTCAATATCCCTAATCAATGTGACACTTGAATTAAGCTAATTTATTCAGTGCAAACTTGACCTTGAATTGTAGAGTACTGTTTTAAAGTTATATTAAGGAACTTTACCTACTAGGAAGAATTCTAATTAGTGTATGATGAGAAAAGGCACTTAATTTGGCTCATCGACTTGTCATTGTTCAGAAAATGATGACATTGTTTGGAAGTCACATAGAGGGTTTCACACTAAATACTCATTTGGATAAATGGATAACCAGGTATACTTTGCAGTGGAAGTATTGAGGGCTGAAATTCCTAGTTGTCTTGCTCATCCATGAATGAAATTAAACAATGCTGAAGATTTAAATGCACCCTATACTTGAAAGCACATCTCTGATAGAAGTCCAAATTATTTCCATTTTTTTTCCTCTGTCATCTGGACATTTGCCTGCCATAAGCAGCTATTTAAAAAGAAGTCCAATAGTCTCACTGTTAATTTTCATCCATCCATCTATATATTCAAAAACATTTATTTAGAATCTACCAATGGCTTGGTGGGGTTTGGTGTTTGAAACATAGAAGTTAATAGGGCATACTTCTGTTTTCTAGAGGCTCTTAGACTGACATATAAACAGGAAATTAAAATGTAGTGTTGCAACTGGGATGACAGGTAAGCCACAGTTCTCAGTGCATCCCAAATGAGGTAAAGTAGTGTATCCAAGGTTATTACAAATATCTCATTTATTGCATTTTTTATAATTGTAAAGCTATGCTTATTATAGAATATAATGTAAATATAAGAACACATTGGCACTATTGTAACTATAGATAACTTATGCAAATTCAACTGTCTATTTTTAACATTCCTATTAATAGTCACAGATATTTTCTTTGACTTCTAATCTAAGGAGGGAGAAGAAAGACCCTCTTCAAAGAGTCCCACTTGCAACACTCATGACTCTTCTTCAGAGTTCTTGTTACTAAGACAATTCCACATTAGTCTGTGAGATTATTTGATTAATGTTTGTCCCCACACTATGTTATAAACTCTTATCAGGTCGGAGACCTAGTCTCTTTCTAATTCATTTTTGCATCGAGAGCACCTTGCAGAATGCTCTTCTCACAGCAGATACTTAATACATTTTTGTTGGATGGATGGATGGATGGATGGGTAAATGAAAGGATGAATACAGAAAAACTGGAATACTAGGAGGTAGAACTCTCTTGCAGAAGTGATGTGGCCTGGATAGGGAATGACATTGGGGCTACAGAAATAAGAGATAGGAAAGTAAAGCAGGACTTGCTTTTGATGAAGTTTCTGAAGTGAGGGAGAAAAAGGTGACAAGGATGACACCCAGATATATGGTCTCAAGAATGGTAATGCCCTTCCTTGAGACAGACTGATAAATTGTATCCTAGTACAATAAAAGGACTTACAGAGGTAAAGAGCAATGGTCAGTAACTGGCAAGAAATGAAAGAGAATGAGAAAGGCTCTAAAACATGGGGATCAGATGTGTTCCGAAGAGCCTTCAGGAGAATTACTAAGAAACTGCACCTTGATTTAGTGAGGCATTTAGCAAATCCATTTGTATTAGTTTCCTATGATTGTTATAACAAATTTCCAGAAACTTAGTGGCTTAAAACAACAACTCTTTCCAACGTTCTAGAGGCTAGAAGTCTGAAATCAAGGTGTTGGCAGGACCACACTCACTCTGATGGCTCTAAGAAAGAATACTTCCTTACCTCTTCCCGCTCCTGGTGCCTCCTGGTATTCCTTGATCATGGCAGAATAATTCCAGTCTTTGCTTCCATCTTTATATACAGATAATCTTTGACTTAAAATGAAATTACTTTAAAATAATCTCATTACAAATGGAAAATATTGTCAGTTAGAATGCATTTTATACATTTAACCTACTGAATATCATAGCTTAGTCTTGCCTACCTTAAATGTGCTCAGAGTACTTATGGTGGCCTACAGTTGGGCAAAATAATCTATCAAAAACATGTATTATAGTAAAGTATTGAATGTTTCATGTAATTTGTTGAATACCATTCTGAAAGTGAAAAACAGAGTGGTTGTATGGGTACACAAAGTACAATTTCTACTGAATGTGTATTGCTTTTCCATCCCTGTAAACTTGAAAACTTGTTAAGTTGAACCATTTTGAGTCGGAGACCATCTGTAAAGTCTCCTTTTATTGCTGTGTCATCTTCTTATAAGGACACCAGTCATTGGATTTTGTGCCGATCCTAATTCAGTATGACTTTATTTTAACATAATTACATCTGCAAAGACCCTATTTCCAAATAAGGTCACATTCAGAGGTTTTGGGTCGAAATGAATTTTTTGGGGGGGACCTTGTTGAACCCACTATACTATTTACCATATTCTTGTGAACAAGATGGAAAAGTATGAGCTGAATGAAAAGCTTTACCAAAAGTTTTGACTGATGGATGCGTGTCAGGTGTTTTGTAATGAAATTTTGAAGAGCTTTTGGACCACTATTGTACATATTTCATCTTTGACTTGGATGTGGAGAAATAATTCATACAGCAGAAAGTAAGGAAACCCCTTTAGAGTCCTGACTCAGCCAGTTACTGGCTATGTGGCTTGAGCAAGACACACATCCATGTTTCAGACTAGGTAATTCTAAATCTCTGGGTTCAACTACCAAGTGATTCTGACTTAAATGTAAGATACTTCCTTTTAACTACATAGTTGAATTAATAAACAGAGTAAGTTGTGAGGGGCCAAAAATGAAGAGGGAAGTTCATAGAGGTTTAACATGTGAACTTAGGAGTCCAAGATATGACTGACTGGGGATTGAGTGAAACAGGTATCAGTCTTGGTAACTGGAGGGCTTGGAGACAAGATGAGGTACTGTGAGGCAGAGCATTGGAACTGAGTCCTTTCCCTAGCCACACACATCTCAGGCCGTCAGAGCTATTACACCTTAAGTAAAAAGATGGATCAAAAAAATCTCCCAACAGGGAAGCTGGTCTCATACCCTTAGGGAGCCCACTCCTCTGTACATATCATTCAGCCCCCACACAGCAGAGTGTAGCATGAAGGATTCAGCATGGCTCAATGCTGGAGTAGAAGTGTGACTTCTCTCACCTAAGTCTCTGGTGAGAAAGAAACCTTCCTCTGAATTCACAATAATGACCCTTAATCTTTTACAGATTTGGAATGATCTGAGAGACTGACACAAAAATGGTGAGTGATTTCTCCGAGCTACCTAGAAGAAGCAATGTAAAAACCATTCTGGAGTGACACTATTTCAACACAGGCTGTAAAAAAGACCCTGATATAAAGTCTTAGTGAAAATAAACTCATAATAAAAAATGTAAAGCTCCCCCCAAAACAATCTACTATGAACAAGAATTAATAGGCAAACATACACATACAAATGGCAGTATTAGATTCCTAAACCCTTTAGATAATGACACAATGCAATGGAAGCTATAAAATATGTATTTTATAAATAGTGTTTTTATTTAAAAACAATATTAGATTTACAAAAAAATTGTAACTATAGTACAGAGAGTTTATCTAAACCCACACTCAGTTTCTTCTATTATTAACAATTTGCTATAATTAATGAACCAATCTGTCTATATTATTACTATTAGCATTATTAAGTAAAGTTGATACTTTGTTCAGATTTTCTTAGTTTTTACCTAATGTCTTTTTGTGTTCGAGGATCTCACCCAAGATACCACATTACATTTGGTTGTCATATCTCCTTAACCTCCTCTTGGCTGTGACAGTTTCTCAGGCTTTCCTTGTTTTTGATGACCTTGACAGGTTTTTAGATATACCGGTCAGGTATTTTATAGAATGTCCCTAGGATTTGTCAGATGTTTGTCTCATGATTAGATTGGGCTCATGTTTTTGGGGAGAACACTACAGAGGTAAAGTACATTTTCATCACATCATACCAGGGGCACATATTATCGTCAACATCACTTATCAGTATTAATATTGACATTAATCACTGGGCTGAAGTAATGTTTGTCAGATTTGTACAACCTTTTTTTTTTTTTTACCCTTTTCATACTGTACTCCCTGAAGCACACCTGTATGCACAGACTGCATTAAGGAGTGGGAAGGTATATTCCACTTCCCTTAGGACAGAGTATCTATAAAAACATGTTGAGTTCATCTGCATGGAAAAATATGCCTGTTCTCCATTTATTTATTTAATCATTTATTCATATCAGCAACAATACATGGATATTTAATTTATACGATAGATTACTAACCAGTACTGCTTTATTAATTTTGTTGCTGAAATTGTTCTAGCTTAGGCAATCAAAAGCTTTTTCAGCTGGCTTCTGTGTCTCTTTCTCGTGCCCTCATCATGTAGTTTTATTTGTTTTAATTTTTCTTAGCATATTTTTACTTTTTGGCATTGCAAGATGCTCCAGGCTTATCTTGTACATTTTCTGCTCTAGTTCTAAAATCACTCATTTCTCCAAGGGGCCATGGTTCTTTCTATTACAAATGGCATTAGAAACCAAGATCTTGGCACTAGGTGTGCTCATTGCTACATGGTTATTATTGCTTCTTGTTCTTTCAGCTGACAGAGAAAAGAAATATATGTATCCACACTTACCCATGTATATAAATATTAATATAGATATTTACATATGTAACATCTATATTTATATTATCCTAAGCATGAGTTTATACTAATGTCTACAACTCTAGTCCATTACCATATAGATCATTCTAGCCACCTCCTTTTGTTTGTAAGTAATTTCCATCTTCAACAATAAGAAACCTGGCTCCCACTATCCACCATCTTTAATCTTTCAATATATGGTGATATCAGAATTGTTAGCTATGGGAAACAACTTTATCAAATAAAGTACAGTGCTTACATAGGTTCTAGTAAAATACATATTGTTAAGAGATTGCATAAATAAATGACATTAAATATAGTAAATGAACCCATTGAGTGGGCTAAAATGCATATTAAACTCAGAGAATTGGAATTTAAAAAACTGATCTCAGCAAATTTCTCAGAACATGTCTATCAGGGAGAAAGAAATGGAAAATGAAAGAAGATACATGACATCAAGGATAGAATAAGAAGGCTCAATATTTGTTTAATAGGGATTTCAGAAATAGAATAAAGTGAGAATGGGAAAGAAGAAATATTTTAAATCATGGTAAAGACTTTGTCCAGAATTTATAAAATAGGTGAATTCTCAGAAAATATAAGAAAAATTTCCAAGCAAAAGTCAGAGAAAGATATCCTCACCTTGATGTATATTGTCAAACTGACAAATACTGACAAATCCTAAATGCAATCCGAGAAAGATTGATTACCTAAGAAAGAATTAAAGTTTGTTTGTCAGCCAGCTTTTTCAACAGCAGTGTTAGAAATTAAGACTGCAAAAGATTTTCTATGTGCTGAGATAAATAACCATCAGCCTAAAACTCTACACTTTAAGTGCAAGGTCAAAATAAACACATTTTCAGATAAACACAAACTGAATTAGTTTACCACTAATAGATACTCACTGGAAATGATTCTACAGAGTTTACTTCATGTGATAAATTTACAAAAATGCATACTTTTCCTCTTTCAGGAAGGAGAAAATTAAACCCAAAATGAAAAATTGTGAAGCAAAAATATTGACAAACATGGAAATTTATAAAATAAGCATTAACTGTTTAAACAATATTAATAATGAATAAAGTTTAGAATAAGTAAGTTATAAAACATTAAACTACTGGATAACAATAAGCTGTAAGGTGGAGGGTGATTGTGGTAAAGCATTCTAAGAATCTTAAATTTAGGGGAAGTGAATTTGATTTTTTTAAAGTTGAGAATACATGTTAAACAGAAAAATAGATTATCTAACTTTCAAACAATGAGAGGACAAAAGAGGAATAAAATACATGTGATCAATAAAACAGATGAATAAGAAATAATAAGTAAAAAGGCACAAAATAAAAACCTAGAATTAAATCCAAGTACACAATGATAATACTATGATTAATCATACTTAAAATACCAATTAAAAGACATGCAGACCTTTCAGCAGAATCCCTACAAGCCAGAAGAGATTGGGGGCCAATTTTCAACATTCTTAAAAGAATTTTTAACCTAGAATTTCATATCTGGCCAAACTAAGCTTCATAAGTGAAGAAGAAATAAAATCTTTTTCAGATAAGCAAATGCTAAGGGAATTTGTAATCTCCAGGCCTTGCAAGAGCTCCTGAAGGAAGCACTAAATGTGGAAAAGAAAAAACTGTTACCAGCCACTACAAAAAACACACTGAAATATACAGATCAGTGACACTATGAAGCAAATTCATAAACAAGTCTGCAAAATAACCAACTAGCATCACGATGTCAGGATCAAATTCACACATAACAATATTAACCTTAAACGTAAATGGGCTAAATGCCCCAAGTAAAAGACACAGAGTGGCAAGCTAGATAAAGAGTCAAAATCCATTGGTGTACTGTATTCAAGAGACCTATCTCACATGCAAGGACACACATAAGATCAAAATAAAAGGATGAAGGAAATTTTACCAAGCAAATTTAAAACAGAAAAAAGTAGGGGTTGTAATCCTAGTTTCTGACAAGATAGACTTTTATTGGGAATAGGCCCCCAAAATCTGGCCGTAAACTGGCCCCCAAACTGGCCATAAACAAAATCTCTGCAGCACGGTGACATGTTCATGATGGCCATGACGCCCACACTGGAAGGTTGTGGGTTTGCCAGAATGAGGGCAAGGAACACCTGACCCACCCAGGGAGGAAGACTGCTTAAAGGCATTCTTAAACCACAAACAAAAGCATGAGCGATCTGTGCCTTAAGGACATGCTCCTGCTGCGGATAACTAGTCAAACCCATCTCTTTATTTCGGCCCATCCTTTTGTTTCCCGTAAGGAATACTTTTAGTTATACTTTTAGTTAATCTGTAATCTATAGAAACAATGCTTATCATTGGTTTGCTGTCAACAAATATGTGGGTAAATCTCTGTTCGAGGCTCTCAGCTCTGAAGGCTGTGAGACCCCTGATTTCCCACTCCACACCTAAATATTTCTGTGTGTGTGTCTTTAATTCCTCTAGTGCCACCAGGTCAGGGTCTTCTTGACCGAGCTTGTGTTGGTGGACTTTAAATCAACAAAGATAAAAAAAGACAAAGAAAGGCATTACATATTGGTAAAAGGGTCTATTCAACAAGAAGAGCTAACTATCCTAAATATATATGCATCCAATACAGGAGCACCCAGATTCATAAAACAAGTTCTTAATGACCTAAAAAGAGGCTTATACTCCCACACAATAATAGTGAGAGATTTTAACACCCCACTGTCAATATTAGATCATTGAGACAGAAAATTAACAAAGATATACAGGACTTGAACTCAGCTCTGGACCAAGCTGATCCAACAGATACCTACAGATCTTTCCACCCCCAAACAACAGAATATACATTCTTCTCAGTGCCACATGGCACTTACGCTAAAACTGATTACATAATTGGAAGTAAATCAGCCCTCAGCAAATGCAAAAGAACTGAAATCATAACAGTTTCTCAGACCACAGCACAATCAAATTAGAACTCAAGAGTAAGAAACTCACTCAAAATTACACAAATACATAGAAATTGATGAAAGTGACCCTGGGTAAATCATGAAATTAAGAGAGAAATAAGAAGTTCCTTGAAACCAGTGAAAACAGGCAGGGTACCAGAAACTCTGGGATGCAGCTAAAGTGGTGTTAAGAGCAAATTTGACAGCACTAAAATGCCCAAATTAAAAAGCTCGCAAGATCTCAAATTGACATCCCAGCATGACAACTAAAAGAACTAGAGAACCAAGAGCAAGCAAACCCCAAAGCTACAGAAGACAAGAAATAACCAAGATCAGAGCAGAACTGAAGGAGATAGAGACACAAAAAACCTTTCAAATAGCAATCCAAGAGCTGGTTTTTTGAAAAAATTAATAAAAAAGATGGACTGCTAGCTAGACTAATAAGAAAAGAGAGAAAAATAGGCAAAAATGGTCAAGGGGATATCACCACTGACTGCCCAGAATTACAAACAACCATCAGAGAATACTTTAAACAGGTCTATGCAAAAATAAACTAGAAAATCTAGAAGAAATGAATCCATCCTGGACACATACATCCCCCCAAGACTGAACCAGGAAGAAGTTAAATCCCCGAATAGACCAATGACAGCTTCTGAAATGGAGGCAGTAATAAATAGCCTACCAGCCAAAAAAAGCCCAGGACCAGATGGATTTACAACTGAATTCTACCAGAAATACAAAGAGAAGCTGATACCATTTCTTCTGAAACTATTTCAAACAATTGAAAAGGAGGGACTCCTCCCTAACTATGAGGACAGTATCATCTTGATACCAAAACCAGGCAGAGATACAACAACAACAAAAAAGAAAACTTGAGGCCAATATTCCTGATGAACATCAATGCAAAAATTCTCACTGGCAAACCAAATCCAGCTGCACATCAAAAAGCTTATCCACCACTATCAAGTTGGCTTCATTCCTGGGATGCAAAGCTGGTTCAGCATACGTAAATCAATAAACGTAATTCATCACCTAAACAGAACCAAAGACAAAAACCACATGATTATCTCAATAGATGCAGAAAAGGTCTTTGATAAAATTCAACATCACTTCATGTTAAAAACTCCCAACAAATTAGGTATTGAAGGAACATACCTCAAAATAATAAGAGACATCTATGACAAACCCACAGCCAATATCATACTGAATGGGCAAAAGCTAGAAGCAATCCCCTTGAAAACTGGCATAAGACAAGAATGCCCTCTCTCACCACTCCTATTCAACATAGTATTGGAAGTTCTGGACAGGACAATCAGGCAAGAGGAAGAAATTAAAGGTATTCAAATAGGAAGGGAGGAAGTCAAATGTCTTTTTTCGCAGATGATATGATTCTATATCTAGAAAGCCCCAGCATCTCAGCCCAAAAGCTTCTTAAGCTGATAAACAACTTCAGCAAAGTCTCATGATACAAAATCAATGTGCAGAAGTCAAAAGCACTCCTATACACTAACAGCAGGCAAGCAGAGAACCAAATCATGAATGAATTCCCATTCACAGTTGCTGCAAAGAGAATAAAAAGAGTTAACAGCTGGGGTAACAGGGATGTGAGGGACCTCTTCAAGGAGAACTACAAAACTCTTCTTAAGGGAGCCAGGGAGGAAGGACACAAACAAATGAAAACTATTCTATGCTAATGGATAAGAAGAATCAATATCCATGAAAATGGCCATGCTGCCCAAAGTAATTTATAGATTCAATGCTATTCCCATTAAACTACCATTGACATTCATCACAGAATTAGAAAAAAACAATTTTAAAATTCATACGGAACCAAAAAAGAGCCTGTATAGCCAAGACAATCCTCAGCAAAAAGAACAAAGTTGGAGGTATCACCCTACCAGTATTCAAACTATACTGTAAGGCTACAATAACCAAAACAGTATGGGACTGGTACAAAAGCAGACACACAGACCAATGGAACAGAATAGAGAACTCAGAAGTAAGATCGCACATCTACAACCATCTGATCTTTGACAAACCTGACCAAAAAAAGCAATGGGGGAAAGAATTCATTTAATTTAAATTTAAATTTAAATTTAATTTAATTTAATTTAATTTAATTTAATTTAATTTAATTTAATTTTTGTGAGATAGTCTTGCTCTGTTGCCCAGGCTGGAATGCAGTGGCTCGATCCTGGCTCACTGCAACTTTTGCCTCCCAGGTTGAAGCAATTCTGCTGCCTGAGTCTCCCAAGTAGCTGGGATTACTGGTGTCTGCCACCATCCCTGGCTATTTTTTGTATTTTTAGTAGAGAAAAGGTTTCACCATGTTGACCAAGCTGGTCTCAAACTCCTGACTTCAGGTGATCTGCCCACCTTGGCCTCCCAAAGTGCTGGAATTACAGGTGTGAACAACCATGTCTGACCAGGATTTAATAAATGGTGCTGGGAGAACTTGCTATTCATTTGCTGAAAATTGAAACTGCACCCCTTCCTCACACCTTACACAAAAATTAACTCAAGATGGATTAAAGACTTAAATGTAAAACCAAAAACTATAAAAACCCTAGAAGAAAATTTAGGTACACACAAAGATTTCATGATGAAATCACTAAAAGCAATTGTGAAAAAGGTAAAAATTGACAAACAGGATCTAATTAAAGAGCTTCTGCACAGCAAAAGAAACTAACATTAGAGTGAACAGGCAACCTACAGAGTAGGAGAAATATCTTTGCAATTTATCCATCTGACAAAGTTCTAATATCCGGAATATACAAGGAACACAAATTTACAAGAAAAAAAAACAACCCCATTAAAAAGTGGGCAAAGGACATGAACAGACACTTCTCAAAAGAAGACATTCATGTGGCCAAAAAACATATGAAAAAAAGCTCAACATCACTGATCGTTAGAGAAATGCAAATCAAAACCACAATGAGATACCATCTCATGCCAGCCAGAATGGCCATTATTAAAAAGCCAAGAAACAACAGATGATAGTGAGATTGCAGAGAAACAGGAGTGCTTTTACACTGTTGGTGAGAATGTAAATTAGTTTAACCGTTGTGGAAGATGGTATGGCGATTCCTCAAAGATCTAGAACCAGAAATAGCATTTGACCCAGCAATCCCATTACTGGTATATACCCAAAGGAATATAAATCGTTCTATTACAAAGATACATGCATGTGTATGTTCATTGTAGCATAATTCACAACTGCAAGGACACAGAATCAACCCAAATGTCCATCAGTGGTAGACTGGATAAAGAAAATGTAGTATGTGGTACATATACACCATAGAATACTATGCAGCCATGAAAAGGAATGAGATAATGTCCTTTGCAGGGACATGGATGAAGCTGGAAGCCATTATCTTCAGAAAACTAATGCAAGAACAGAAAATCAAACACTGCATGTTCTCACTTATGAGTGAGAGCTGAACAATGAGATCACATGGACACAGGGAGGCGAAAAACACACACTGGGGCCTGTTTGGGGTGGGGTGTGGGGAGGGAGAGTATCAGGAAAAATAGCTAATGCATGCTGGGCTTAATACCTAGGTGATAGGTTGATAGGTACAGCAAACCACTATGGCACACATCTACCTATGTAACAAACCTGCACATCCTGCACATGTACCCTAAAACTAAAACTAAAGATTAAAAAATACATAAATTATCAAATTGAAATTAAAATACTGCTACATGCAGATTATAAGAGATTCATGTAATTATAATGACACAGAAAAAAATTTTAAAGGATAGAAAATTATACTAGGCAAATACTATCCCAAAGAAAGCTGATACAACTATATAAATATGACACAAAGTAGTGTTTACAGCAAAAAGAGAATATTCAGGATAAGGAGTGATAATATATCCCTTATCCTGTGCATAAGGAACACATCACTGGGAAGATAAAAACATTCCGATGTTATGTGTAGCTAATTAAAAAGAGTTAAATTTAGTAAATACACTATAACATTTGTAGATTTTACTCAATTTTTAAAAACAGGTAACATTTATTGAGATTTTACTATAAGGTATACACGGTTTTAGTAGCTTAATATGCATCAACATATTTAACTGTCATAACAACTTTATAGATAGATTTTATTATAATTGCCCCTTATAAGTATCAACTACTTTAAAATAAATAACAACTTTATACAATATATTATTATTTGCTTCACTTTGCAGATAAGGAAACTGAAGTATATAAGGGCTAAAAAGATTGCTCAAGGTCTCAGCTTGCATATGGTAGAACCAGGCTTGGAATGCAGCAAGTCTATACTGTAAACTACTATAGAATAATGCCTCTCAGTAAAAAAAGCAAACAAAAAATGATAAGGTTAAGGTTATATACATTTTGAGTAACATAGTCAATAGTTTGTTCTAATGAACATTTACTAACTTTGTACTCTAAAGAAAGAAATATTATTTCCAATTACACATGGTTCATTGATAAATATTGACTGTGTGCTAGGGCATAAAGTAAAACTTAATGAAAACCAGACATCAATATCTTATAAACCATGTTTTATGATTGCAGTATGTTTAAGTTAGAAATCAATAATTAAAAGCTAACTACCCTCAATAAAATAGACTTTTCAAATACATGTTGCTAAATAATATGTTGATTAAATAATGATTATTAAATTTAAAAATACTTAGATTGTAATGAAAATAAAATACTATAAAAATGTATACAGATACATTATATTTACTATTATATTTACAATCTAATCCTCAAAACGAAATGCCATGTATACATATCACATTTTCTTTATCCACTCATTGGTTGTTGGGCTCTTAGGTTGATTTCATATCTTTGCAATTGTGAATTGTGCTGTGATAAACATGCACATGCAGGTATCTTTTTGATATAATAACTTTTTTCCTTTGGATAGATACCCAGTAGTGTGTTTCTGAATCAAATGATGAATCTATTTTTAATTCTTTGAGAAATTTCCATATTGTTTTCCATGAGATTGCACTAGTTTACATGCCCTCCAGTAGTGTGTAAGTGTTCCCTTTTGACCATATCTGTGCCAGTATCTATTTGTTTCCTGACTTTTAATTAATGACCATTCTGGCTGAGGTAAGGTGGTATCTCACTGTGGTTTTAATTTGCATTTCCCTGATGATTAGTGATGATGAGCATTTTTCATATGTTTTTTGGTCATTTGTGTATCTTCTTTTAAGAAATGTCTGTTCATGTCATTTGTCCACTTTTTAATGGGATTTGTTTTTCTTGCTCATTTGTTTGAGTTCCTTGTAGATTCTGAACACTAGTCCTTTGTCAGAGGCATGGTTTGCAAGTATTTTTTTTCCATTCTGTAGATTGTCTATTCATTGATTATTGTTTTGCTATGCAAAAGGTTTCTTTTTTTTAAATTAGGTCCCATTTACTTGTTTTTGTTACACTTGGTTTTGGGGTCTTAGTCGTAAATTTATTCCTAGGCCAATGTCTAGAGTAGTTTTTCCTAGGGTTTCTTCTGGAATTTTTATGGTTTCAGGTATTAGGCTAAATCTTTAATCCATCTTGAATTAATTTTGTGTATGGTGAAACTTATGGATCTAGTTTCATTCTTCTACATACAGCTAGCCAGTTATCCCAGTACCATTTATTGAATAGGGAGTCCTTTCCTCATGCTTGTTTTTGTCAAGAATCAGATGCTTGACAAAAATATCTGTCAAAGATCAGATAACCTGTCAAAGATCAGATGGTTATAGGTGTGCAGCTTTATTTCTTGGTTCTCTGTGCTGTTCTGTTGGTATATGGGCCTGTTTTGTACCAGTACCATGCTGTTTTGGTTACTGTAGCCTTATAGTATAGTTTGAAGTTGGATAGTGTGATGGCTTTGACTTTGTTCTTTTTGCTTAGGGTTGCTCTGGCTATTAAGGCTCATTTTTGGTTCCATATGAATTTTAGAATAGTTTTTTCTAATTCTGTGAAGAATGACACTGGTAGCTTGATAGGAATAACATTGAATCTGTAAGTTGCTTTGCACAGTATGCTTATTTTAATAATACTGATTCTTCCAATACATGAGCATGGAATATTTTTCCATTTATTTGTGTCATTTCTGATTTTTACAGCAATTTTTTGTAGTTCTCTTTATAGTGATCTTTCACTTACTTGGTTAGATGTAGTCCTACATATTTCATTTTTTGGTGTGTCTATTTTAAATGGGATTGTGTTCTTAATTTGACTTTCGGCTTGAACATTATTGGTGTATAGAAATGCTACTGATTTTCGTACATTGATTTTGTATACTGAAACTTTACTAAAGTTGTTAATAAGTTCTAGGAGCTTTTTGGAAGAGTCTTTAGGATTTTCTAAGTATAGAATCATATTGTCAGCAAAGACAGAAAGTTTGTTTTTCTTTTGTTATGTGCATGTCTTTTATTTATTTCTCTTGCTTGATTGCTCTGGGTAGGACTTCCAGTGCTATGTTGAATAAGAGTGGTGAGAGTTGCCATCTTTGTATTGTTCCAGTTCTCAAGGGGAATGGTTCCAGCTTTTGCCTATTCAGTATGATGTCAGCTGTGGGTTCTTCATAGATGGCTTTCATTGTTTTGGGGTGTATTCCCTTGGTGCTTAGTCTGTTGAGGCTTTTTATCATAAAGGGATGTTGTATTTTTATCAAAGGCTTTTTCTGCATTGAGATGATCATATAGTTTTGCTTTTAGTTCTGTTCTTGTGGTGAATCACATTTATTGACTTGCATGTGTTGAACCAGGCTTGGATCCCAGGAATGAAACCAATTTGATTGAGGTGAATTAACTTTTCTATGTGCTGCTGGATTCAGTTTGCTAGTATTTTGTTGAGGATGTTTGCCTCTATGTTCATCAGGGATATTGGACTAAAGTTTCTTTTTTTTATTGTGTCTTTGCTAGATTTTGTTATCAATCTGATTCTGGCTTCATAGAAGCTGTTAGGGAGGAGGCCCTCCTCCTCAATATTTTGGAATAGTTTCAGTAGAATTAGTACCAGTACTTCTGTATAGATCTTGTAGAATTTGGCTGTGATTCCATCTGGTTCAGAGCTTTTTTTGTTTTCTAGTTTTTTTTTTTAATTTATTACTGCTTCAGTTTTTAACTTATAATTGGTCTGTTCAAGTTTTCACTTTCTTCCTGTTCCAATATTGGGAGGTCAAATGTTTCCAGGAATTTATCCATTTCCTCTAGATTTTCTAACTTGTGTGCATACAGTTGTTCATAATGGCCTCTGATGATATTTTGTATTGTTGTGCAGTCTGTTATATCATTTTTGTAATTTCTGATTGTACTTATTTGGATATTCTCTTTTTTTTCTGTGTTAATCTAGCTAATGGTCTATCAATTTTACTTATTATTTTGAAAAACAAAATTTTTGGTTTTATTGATCTTTTGTATGTATTTTTGTGTCTCAGTTTTATTTAGTTATTTATCTAATTTTAGTTAATTATTTTCTTCTGCTAGCTTTAGGGTTTATTTGTTCTTTTTTTTTCTCTAGATTGTATAGGTGCAACATTAGCTTGTTAATTTTAGATCTTCCTAACTTCTTGATGAGGCATTTAGCATTACAAAACTTTCCTCTTAACACTGCTTTAGATGTATCCCCAATATTTTGTAAATTGTATCCTTATTTTCATTAATTTCAATTTAAAATAATTTCTGCTTAAATTTTATTGTTCACTCAGCAGCAAATTGTTTAATTTTCATGTATTTGTGTAGTTTTGAGAAAACTTTTTGATGTTGACTTTTATATTTAATATGCTGTGGTCTGAGAGTGTGCTTGGTATGATTTGAACTTTTTAGAATTTATTGAGCCTTGCTTTATGACTGAGCATATGGTCATTCTTAGACAATGTTCCATGTGCAGGTGAGAAGAATGTATACTCTGTGGTTGTTGGGTGTAGTATTCTGTAGATGTCTATTAGGTCCGATTGGTCAAGTGTTGTGTTTAATTCCAGAATCTCTTTGTTAGTTTTCTTCTTTGATGACATGTCAAATGCTGTCAGGAGGTGTTAAAGTCTTCCACTATTATTGTTTGGCTGGCTAAATGTTTTCATAGGTGAAGAGGACTTGTTTTATGAATTGGGTGCCACATTGCTTGCACATTTTTATTTAGGATAGCCAAGCCTTCTTGTGAATGGAGCCCTTTATCATTATGTCATGTTCTTCTTTGTCCCTTCTGATTGTTGTTTTAAAGGCTGTTTTTTATCTGATATACTTCCAGTTGCATTATATAGTTCTTGTAATGAAGTTTTCAGTTCCAGAAGTTCAGCTGGGTTCTTTCTTAAAATGGCTATTTTGTGTTTGGCTTCAGATCATTTTGCTAGATTTTTTGGATTGGGTTTTAACTTTCTCCCTAATCTTGATGAGCTTTCTTACCATCCAGATTCTGATTTCTATGGCTGTTATTTCAATCATTTCAGTCTCATTAAGGATCTTTGCTGGGGAGCTAGTGGGTGCATTTGAAGGTAAGGGAACACTCTGGCATTTTGAATAGCTGGGGTTCTTGTGCTGAGTCTTTCTCATCTAGGAGGGCCGGTGTTCTTTTAATTGTGGTGTAATTTGAGTACAGTCAGTTGTATTCAATTCTAGATGCTTCCAGAGGGTCAAGGGTCTGTACAGGATTTTTATTCGTTACTGGATTCTTGCCCTTGGTTATCACAGGGTGCATATTAGCAGAGTATTTTCTGGTGGTGTAGTTTGAGCTTCCTTCCAGTACATGGCACTTAGGACTAATGGCCAATAGATAGGCTCTTAGCTTCGTGACTCTTGTATTTCCTCACATTCACAGGCATGCTTTGCATTTGAGGTGGGAGTGAGTTGACCCTCTCACCAGTCTCCTGGGCCTTGGAGGAGAGCACACTGATTACTCGTGCTGCACCACATTTATTTTGTTAGGTGCTTTAGGCTGTGTGCTCCCTCAGGTGGAGGCCCTGGCAGAGAGATAGGGTACATCCTTTCTGGGCTGGCCCTGTGGATGGAGAAATGCCCACTCCCATCATGAGCCATGAACCCATTTATCTTACCCCTCTCAGTACTCTGAGAATGAGGGCTCCTCCTCTGCTCAAGTGTCAGCCGCAGATCTTGGCTTGGCACCCTTGAGCTGTACAACATAGCCCTGGGGTGCTGGGTCTGGCCTGCAGCTTGGGGTTGAGCTCCAACTGTGCTGGGGCATCTAAAGTGCTCCCAGGTCACCAGGAAAGTACTCAGATGGAGCAAAGCCTTCAGGCTGGGCAATGGAGGCTGCACTGTGCACAATGCTCCTGTGACGGCCAAGAGGGGGCCCCGGGATGGGCTGACAGGCAGAAGGGCCTATAGAACAGACATGCTTCAGTCCCATGGGGATGCTGATCCCACTGTCTCCTGGCCTGGCAGTCAGTTGGGGCTAGAGCTTCTTAGAGTGAGGGGGAAGCTCTGGGGGATGGGTGCTAATGATCGTACTTCCCCGAAGCTGTCCACATGCAAAAGTCCATGGGCTCTTTGCTGCCTGAAGCCTTGTCTCTGCCTATTCTCTGGGAAGATCTCCCTGCCAGCTCAGATGCCCATGGGGCATGTGGGGTCCCCCGTAGGTAGGATCTCAGAGGTCTGCAGTGAGAATAGGCTGTGCCTCAGTTCCTTCACTCACCCCTTCCCCAGGAGCCATTCAGCTACCCTGTGCAGGATTCCCAGCTTCCTCTCTCTCTATTTTTAGAATCTGCATCATCTCACCATCCAATAAGTATTTTCTCTCTGAAGATCCGCTCAAGTAATTTTGGTTTACCTGATATTTTGTTCTCTCTCAGTGGGAGTGGCACTTCTTGGCTGTGTGTAGTTGGCCATCTTGTCCCCCTCTTCCATATATGGCTTTCATTATTTGATGTGTTTTCCTTCTGTGCCTAGTTTGTTGAGGGTTTTTATCATAAAACGATGCTGGATTTTATCGAATGCTTATTCTGCATCTATTGAAAATGATCATATGATTTTTGTTTTTTTTTATTTTTTTTTATTTTTTTTTTTTTAATGTTTTCTTTTTTGTTATTATACTCTAAGTTTTAGGGTACATGTGCACATTGTGCAGGTTAGTTACATATGTATACATGTGCCATGCTGGTGCGCTGCACCCACTAACGTGTCATCTAGCATTAGGTATATCTCCCAATGCTATCCCTCCCCCCTCCCCCGACCCCACCACAGTCCCCAGAGTGTGATATTCCCCTTCCTGTGTCCATGTGATCTCATTGTTCAATTCCCACCTATGAGTGAGAATATGCGGTGTTTGGTTTTTTGTTCTTGCGATAGTTTACTGAGAATGATGGTTTCCAATTTCATCCATGTCCCTACAAAGGACATGAACTCATCATTTTTTATGGCTGCATAGTATTCCATGGTGTATATGTGCCACATTTTCTTAATCCAGTCTATCATTGTTGGACATTTGGGTTGGTTCCAAGTCTTTGCTATCGTGAATAGTGCCGCAATAAACATACGTGTGCATGTGTCTTTATAGCAGCATGATTTATAGTCCTTTGGGTATATACCCAGTAATGGGATGGCTGGGTCAAATGGTATTTCTAGTTCTAGATCCCTGAGGAATCGCCACACTGACTTCCACAATGGTTGAACTAGTTTACAGTCCCATCAACAGTGTAAAAGTGTTCCTATTTCTCCACATCCTCTCCAGCACCTGTTGTTTCCTGACTTTTTAATGATTGCCATTCTAACTGGTGTCAGATGGTATCTCATTGTGGTTTTGATTTGCATTTCTCTGATGGCCAGAGATGGTGAGCATTTTTTCACGTGTTTTTTGGCTGCATAAATGTCTTCTTTTGAGAAGTGTCTGTTGATGTCCTTCACCCACTTTTTGATGGGGTTGTTTGTTTTTTCCTTGTAAATTTGTTTGAGTTCATTGTAGATTCTGGATATTAGCCCTTTATCAGATGAGTAGATTGCAAAAT
Source organism: Homo sapiens (assembly GCF_000001405.40). Lineage (NCBI taxonomy): Eukaryota > Metazoa > Chordata > Mammalia > Primates > Hominidae > Homo > Homo sapiens. The sequence goes on from NC_000011.10 coordinate 87,699,030, forward strand.
TTTTCTCCCATTCTGTAGGTTGCCTGTTCACTCTGATGGTAGGTTCTTTTGCTGTGCAGAAGCTCTTTAGTTTAATTAGCTCCCATTTGTCAATTTTGTCTTTTGTTGCCATTGCTTTTGATGTTTTAGACATGAAGTCCTTGGCCATGCCTATGTCCTGAATGGTATTGCCTAGGTTTTCTTCTAGGGTTTTTATGGTTTTAGGCCTAACGTTTAAGTCTTTAATCCATCTTGAATTAATTTTAGTATAAGGTGTAAGAAGGGATCCAGTTTCAGCTTTCTACATATGGCTAGCCAGTTTTCCCAGCACCATTTATTAAATATGCAATCCTTTCCCCATTGCTTGTTTTTGTCAGGTTTGTCAAAGATCAGATGGCTGTAGATGTGTGGTATTTTTTCTGAGGGCTCTGTTCTGTTCCATTCGTGTATATCTCTGTTTTGGTGCCAGTACCATGCTGTTTTCGTTACTGTAGCCTTGTAGTATAGTTTGAAATCAGGTAGCATGATGCCTCCTGCTTTGTTCTTTTGGCTTAGGATTGACTTAGCAATGCAGGCTCTTTTTTGGTTCCGTGTGAACTTTAAAGTAGTTTTTTCCAGTTCTGTGAAGAAAGTCATTGGTAGCTTGATGGGGATGGCATTGAATCTATAAATTACCTTGGGCAGTATGGCCATTTTCATGATATTGATTCTTTCTATCCATGTGCATGGAATGTTCTTCCATTTGTTTGTATCCTCTTTTATTTCATTGAGCAGTGGTTTGTAGTTCTCCTTGAAGAGGTCCTTCACATCCCTTGTAAGTTGGATTCCTAGGTATTTTATTCTCTTTGAAACAATTGTGAATGGGAGTTCACTCATTATTTGGCTGTTTGTCTGTTATTGGTGTATAAGAATGCTTGTGATTTTTGCACATTGATTTTGTATCCTGAGACTTTCCTAAAGTTGCTTATCAGCTTAAGGAGATTTTGGGCTGAGATGATGGGGTTTTCTAGATATACAATCATGTCATCTGCAAACAGGGACAATTTGACTTCCTCTTTTCCTAATTGAATACCCTTTATTTCCTTCTCCTGCCTGATTGCCCTGGCCAGAACTTCCAACACTGTGTTGAATAGGAGTGGTGAGAGAGGGCATCCCTGTCGTGTGCCAGTTTTCCAAGAGAATGCTTCCAGTTTTTGCACATTCAGTATTATATTGGCTGTGGAATTGCAATAGATAGCTCTTATTATTTTGAGATACATCCCATCAATACCTAATTTATTGAGAGTTTTTAGCATGAAAGGCTGTTGAATTTTGTGAAAGGCCTTTTCTGCATCTATTGAGATAATCATGTGGTTTTTGTCATTGATTCTGTTTATATGCTGGATTACGTTTATTGATTTGCATATGTTGAACCAGCCTTGCATCCCAGGGATGAAGCCCACTTGATCATGGTGGATAAGCTTTTTATGTGCTGCTGGATTTGGTTTGTCAGTATTTTATTGATGATTTTTGCGTCGATGTTCATCAGGGATATTGGTCTAAAATTTTCTTCTTTTGTTGTGTCTCTGCCAGGCTTTGTATCAGGATGATGCAAGCCTCATAAAATGAGTTAGGAAGGATTCCCTCTTTTTCTATTGATTGGAATAGTTTCCGAGGGAATGGTACCAGCTCCTCCTTATACCTCTGGTAGAATTCGGCTGTGAATCCATCTGGTCCTGGACTTTTTTTGGTTGGTAAGCTATTAATTATTGTCCCAATTTCAGAGCCTGTTATTGGTCTATTCAGAGATTCAACTTCTTCCTGGTTTAGTCTTGGGAGGGTGTATGTGTCCAGGAATTTATCCATTTCTTCTAGATTTTCTAGTTTATTTGCATAGAGGTGTTTATAGTATTCTCTGATGGTAATTTGTATTTCTGTGGGATTGGTGGTGATATCCCCTTTATTATTTTTTATTGCATCTATTTGATTCTTCTCTCTTTTCTTCTGTATTAGTCTTACTAGTGGTCTAACAATTTTGATGATCTTTTCAAAAAACCAGCTCCTGGATTCATTGATTTTTTGAAGAGTTTTTTGTGTCTCTGTCTCCTTCAGTTCTGCTCTGATCTTAGTTATTTCTTGCCTTCTGCTACCTTTTCAATGTGTTTGCTCTTGCTTTTCTAGTTCTTTTAATTGTGATGTTAGGGTGTCAATTTTGGATCTCTCCTGCTTTCTGTTGTGGGCATTTAGTGCTATAAATTTACCTCTGCACACTGCTTTGAATGTGTCTCAGAGATTCTGGTATGTTGTGTCTTTGTTCTCGTTGGTTTCAAGAACATCTTTATTTCTGCCTTCATTTTGTTATGTACCCAGTAGTCATTCAGGAGCAGGTTGTTCAGTTTCCATGTGGTTGAGCGGTTTTGAGTGAGTTTCTTAATCCTGAGTTCTAGTTTGATTTCACTGTGGTCTGAGAGACAGTTTGTTATAATTTCTGTTTTTTACATTTGCTGAGGAGAGCTTTACTTCCAACTATGTGGTCAATTTTGGAATAGGTGTGGTGCTGAAAGGAATGTATATTCTGTTGATCTGGGGTGGAGAGTTTTGTAGATGTCTATTAGGTCTGCTTGGTGCAGAGCTGAGTTCAGTTTCTGGATATCCTTGTTAACTTTCTGTCTCATTGATCTGTCTAATGTTGACAGTGGGGAGTTAAAGACTCCCAGTATGATTGTGTGGGAGTCTGAGTCTCTTTGTAGGTCTCTAAGGACTTGCTTTATGAATCTGGGTGCTCCTGTATTGGGTGCATGTATATTTAGGCTAGTTAGCTCTTCCTGTTGAATTGATCCCTTTACCATTATGTAATGGCCTTCTTTGTCTCTTTTGATCTCTGTTGGTTTAAAGTCTGTTTTATCAGAGACTAGGATTGCAACCCCTGCCATTTTTTGTTTTCCATTTGCCTGGTAGATCTCCCTCCATCCCTTTATTTTGAGCCTATGTGTGTCTCTGCACATGAGATGGGTTTCCTGAATACAGGACACTGATGGGTCTTGCCTCTTTATCCAATTTGCCAGTCTGTGTCTTTTAATTGGAGCATTTAGTCCATTTACATTTAAAGTTAATATTGTTATGTGTGAATTTGATCCTGTCATTATGATGTTAGCTGGATATTTTGCTTGTTAGTTGATGCAGTTTCTTCCTAGCATGGATGGTCTTTACTATTTGGCATGTTTTTGCAGTGGCTGGTACTGGTTGTTCCTTCAGGAGCTCTTTTAGGGCAGGCCTGGTGGTGACAAAATCTCTCAGCATTTGCTTGTTCTATAAGGTATTTTATTTCTCCTTCGCTTGTGAGGCTTAGTTTGGCTGGATATGAAATTCTGGGTTGAAAATTCTTTTCTTTAGGAATGTTGAATATTGGCCCCCACTCTCTTCTTGCTTGTAGAGTTTCTGCAAAAAGATCCTCTGTTAGTCTGATGGGCTTCCCTTTGTGGGTAACCCGACCTTTCTCTCTGGCTGCCCTTAACATTTTTTCCTTCATTTCAACTTTGGTGAATCTGACAATTATGTGTCTTGGAGTTGCTCTTCTCAAAGAGTATCTTTGTGGCGTTCTCTGTATTTCCTGAATTTGAATGTTGGCCTGCCTTGCTAGACTGGGGAAGTTCTCCTGGATAATAAACTGCAGAGTGTTTTCCAGCTTGATTCCACTCTCCCTGTCACTTTCAGGTACACCAATCAGATGTAGATTTGGTCTTTTCACATAGTCCCATATTTCTTGGAGACTTTATTCATTTCTTTTTATTCTTTTTTGTCTAAACTTCTCTTCTTGCTTCATTTCATTCATTTGATCTTCCATCACTGATACCCTTTCTTCCAGTTGATCAAATCGGCTACTGAGGCTTGTGCATTCGTCACGTAGTTCTCATGCTGTGGTTTTCAGCTCCATCAGGTCCTTTAAGGACTTCTCTGCATTGGTTATTCTACTTAGCCATTCATCTAATTTTTTTCAAGGTTTTTACCTTCTTTACCATGGGTTCGAACTTCCTCCTTTAGCTCAGAGTAGTTTGATCCTCTGACGCCTTCTTCTCTTAACTTGTCAAAGTCGTCCTCCATCCAGCTTTGTTCTGTTGCTGGTGAGGAGCTGCGTTCCTTTGGAGGAGGATAGGCGCTGTGATTTTTAGAGTTTCCAGTTTTTCTGCTCTGTTTTTTCCCCAAGTTTGTGGTTTTATCTACCTTTGGTCTTTGATGATGGTGGTGTACAGACAGGGTTTTGGTGTCAATGTCCTTTCTGTTTGTTAGTTTTCCTTCTAACAGGCAGGACACTCAGCTGCAGGTCTGTTGGAGTTTGCTGGAGGTCCACTCCAGACCCTGTGTGCCTGGATATCAGCAGCGGAGGCTGCAGAATAGCAGATGTTGGTGAGCAGCAAATGTTGCTGCCTGATCGTTCCTCTGGAAGTTTTGTCTCAGAGGAGTACCCAGCCATGTGAGGTATCAGTCTGCCCCTACTGGGGAGTGCCTCCCAGTTAGGCTACTCAGGTCTCAGGGACCCACTTGAGTAGGCAGTCTGTCCATTCTCAGATCTCCAGCTGAGTGCTGGGAGAACCACTACTCTCTTCAAAGCTGTCAGACAGGGTCATTTAAGTCTGCAGAGGTTTCTGCTGCCTTTTGTTTGGCTATGCCCTGCCACCAGAGGTGGAGTCTACAGAGGCAGGCAGGCCTCCTTGAGCTGCAGTGGGCTCCACCCAGTTCGAGCTTCCCGACCGCTTTGTTTACCTACTGAAGCCTCGGAAATGGCGGGCGCCCCTCTCGCAGCCTCGCTGCCCCTTGCAGTTTGATCTCAGACTGCTGTGCTAGCAATGAGCGAGGCTCCGTGGGTGTAGAACCCTCCGAGCCATGTGTGGGATATAATCTCCTGGTGTGCCGTTTGCTAAGACCATTGGAAAAGTGCAGTATTAGGGTGGGAGTGACCCAATTTTCCAGGTGGCATCTGTCACCTCTTTCTTTGACTAGGAAAGGGAATTCCCTGACCCCTTATGCTTCCTTGGTGAGGTGGTGCCTCGCCCTGCTTCAGCTCACACTCGGTGCACTGCACCCACTGTCCTGCACCCACTGTCTGACACTCCTCTGTGAGATGAACCCAGTTCCTCAGTTGGAAATGCAGAAATCACCCATCTTCTGTGTCGCTCATGCTGGGAGCTGTAGACTGGAGCTGTTCATATTCGGCCATCTTGGCTCCACCCATAATGTTTGTCTTTCTGCACCTGGCTTATTTCACTTAGCATACTGACCTCCATTTCCCCCCATGTTGTTGCAAATGACTGAGTCTTCTTTTTAAAATATTTTTTATGGTTGATTGGTACTCTATTCTGTGTAAGTACCATGTTTTCTTTATCCATTTATCTGTTTTTGGACACATAGTTTGCTTCCAAATCTTGGCCATTGTGAACAGGGGTACAATAAACATGGGAGTGCAGATATCTCTTTGATGTACTGATTTCCTTTCTTTGGGGTGTACCCAGCAATAGGACTCCTGGATCATATGGTAGCTCTATTTTTAGCTTTTTAAGGAACCTCCAAACTGTTCTCCATAGTAGTTGTACTAACTTGCATTCCCACCAATAGTGTATGAGGGTCCCCTTTTCTCCACATTCTCACCAGCATTTGTTAAGCCATTTTAACTGGGGTGAGATTATATTTTATTGTAGTTTTGGTTTGTGTTTCTTTATTATTAATGATGTTGAGCAGATTTTTATAAGTCTATTTGCCATTTGTATGTCTTCTTTTGAGAAATGTCTATTGAAATTTTCTGTTCATTTTTTGATCAGATGATTAGATTTTTTCCTATAGAGCTATTTGAGCTCCTTATATGTTCTAGTTGTTAATCCCTTGTCAGAGGGATAGTTAGCAAATATTGTATCCTATTCTGTGGGTTGTCTCTTCACTTTTTTGGTTGTTTCCTTTTCTGTGTAGAAGCTGTTTAATTTGAGGTGATCCCGTTTGTTCATTTTTGCTTTTGTTGCCTGTGATTGTGGGGTATTACTCAAGAAATCTTTGGCCAAACCAATATCCTGGAGAGTTTCCTCAATGTTTTATTGTAGTAGTTTCATAGTTTGAAATCAGATTTATGTCTTTCATTCATTTTGATTTGATTTTTGTATATGGCAAGAGGTAGGGGTCTAGTCTCATTCTTTTTACCACTGTATGTTCTTGGTACCTTTGTTAAAAATGAGTTCATTGTAGGTGTGTGGATTTGTTTCTGGATTTTCTATTCTATTCCATTGTTCTATGTGTCTGTTTCTATGCCAGGACCAAGCTGCTTTTGTTATTATAGATTTGTAGCATAATTTGAAGTCAGGTAATGCAATTCCTCCAGTTTTGTTCTTTTTGCTTAGGATAGCTTTGGCTATTCTGGGTCTCCTGTGGTTCCATATAAATTTTAGGATAGGTTTTTCTATTTTTGTGAGGAATGTTATTGGTATTTTGATAGGGATTGCATTGAATCTGTAGATTGCTTTGGGTACTATGGGCATTTTAACAATGTGAATTATTCCAATCCATAAACATAAAATATCTATTTTTGGGTGTCATCTTCAATTTCTTTCATAGTTTTTTTTTTTTTTTTTTTTTTTTTTGAGACAGTCTCACTCTGTCACCCAGGCTGGAGTATGGTGGTGCAATCTCAGCTTACTGTAACCTCTGCCTCCTGGATTCAAGTGATTCTCCTGCCTCAACCTCCTGAGTAGCTAAGATTACAGGTGCTTGTCACCACCTCTGGCTAGTTTTTGTATTTTTAGTAGACATAGGATTTTACCATGTTGGCCAGGCTGGTCTTGAACCCCTGACCTCAAGTGATCCACCTGCCTCAGCTTCCCGAAGTGCTGGGATTACAGGCATGAGCCACCATGCCCAGCCAGTGTTTTTATTGTAGAAATTTTTAGTTTATTTATTTATAGTTTTTATTGTAGAAATTTTTAGTTTATTTATTTATAGTTTTTATTGTAGAAATTTTTTACTTCTTCAGTTAATTCCTAGATATATAATTTTATTGGTGGCTATTGTAAATGGGATTACTTTTTTTTTTTTTACTTCTGTTTCAGATTGTTCACTGCTGGCATATATTAGGTTGGTTCAAAAATAATTGTGGTTTTTGCCATTAACAGCAAAAATAGCAATTACTTTTGAAACAACCTAATAGAAATGCTAATGATTTTTGTATGCTGATTTTGTATCCTGGAACTTTACTGAGTTTATTATTAGTTCTAACAATTTATTTGTGGAGTATTTAGTTTTTCCTAAATGTAAGATTATATCATTTTAAAAATGGGTAATTTAACTTCTTCCTTTTCAGTTTGGATGCTGTTCATATCATTCTATTGTCAGTTTGCTCTAGCTAGGATTTTCAGTACTATGTTGAATAACAGTGGTGAAACTGGGCATCCTTGTCCTGTTCCACATCTTAAAGGAAAGGCTTTCAGGTCTTCTCCCTATTCAGCATGATGGCAGCTGTGGGTCTGTCATATATGGCTTTTATCATGTTGAAGTATGTTCCTTCTAGCCCCAGTTTTTTGAGAGTTGTTATTATGAAAGGATGTTGAATTTTATCAAATGACTTTTCAGCATCAATTGAAATGATCATATGGTTTTTGTCCTTCATTCTGTTGACATGATGTATTCCATTGATTGAGTTTTGTATGTTAAACCATGCTTGCATCACAGGGATGAATCCCATTTGGCCATGATGAATGATTTTTTTAATGTATTGTGGAATTTGGTTGGCTAATATTTTATGGAGAATGTTTGCATCAATATTCATCAGGGTTATTGGCTGATAGTTTTCTTTTTTTGATGTGTTTTTGCTTGGTGTTGTTATCAGGGTATTACTGGCCACATAGAATGAGTTTGGAAGTATTCACTCCTCTTTGAGTTTTTTTTTTTTTTTTTTTTTTTTTTTTTTTTTTTTTTTAGAATAGTTTGAGTAGGATTTGTATTAGTTTTTAACTGGTAGAATAATCAGCAGTGAAGCCATCAGGTCTCAGGCTTTTCTTTACTGGTAGAAGGTTTTTATTTATGGCTTCAATCTCATTACTTGTTATTAGTCTGTTCAGATTTTGTATTTCAACATGGTTCAATATTGGTACATTGTATGTATCTAGAAATTTGTCCATCTTTTCTAGATTTTCCAATTTATTGGCATATAGTTGCTCACAGTAGCCACTAATGATCATTGGAATTTTTGTGGTGTCAATTTTAATGTTTCCTTTTTTATCTCTGATTGTATTTATTTGGATTTTCTCTCTCTTTTTCTTAGTTAATATGGCTAAAAGTTTGTCTATTTAGTTTAACTTTTGAAAAAACTGACTTTGTTTCACTGACATTTTGTATTGTTTTCTTTATTTTAACTTCATTTATTTCTTCTCCAATCTTTACTATTTCTTTTCTTCTTCAAATTATGGGTTTGGTTTGCTCTTGCTTTTCTAGTTCTTTAAGATGCATTGTTAGGTTGTTTATTTGACGTTTTTCTTTTTTTTTGATGTAGGCATTTATAGCTATAAACTTTCCTGTTAGTACTGCTTTTGCTGTATCCGGTAGCTTTGGTACGTTGTGTTTCCATTATTTATTTCAAGGAATTTTTCAATTTTCTTCAACTTCAATTTTTCAAGTTTCTTTATTGACCCATTGGTCATTCAGGAGCATATTATTTAATTTCCAAATATTTGTATAGCTTCAAAAATTCCTCTTATTATTGATTTCTAGTTTTAATCAATTGTGGTCAGAGGACATGCTTGTTATTGTTATTATTGAAATTTTTTCAAGTTTTAAGACTCATTTGTGACCTAACACATAGTCTATTCTTGAGAACGATCCATATGCAAAGAAGAAAGCTGTGTATTCTGCAGCTCTTGGATGAAATTCTCCATAAATATCTATTAGATCCATTTAGTTTATAGTGCAGATTAATTCCAATGTTTCTTTGTTGATTTTCTCTCTGGGAGATCTTTCCAATGCTGAAAGTGGAATGTTGAAGTCTCCAGCTGTTATTGTATTGGAGTCTACCTCTCTCTTTAGCTCTAATAATATTTGTTTTATATATCTGAGTGCTCCATTGTTGGGTGCATATTTAAAATTGTTTTATCCTCTTGCTGAATTGACCCCTTTATAATTGTATAGTGACTTTCCTTGTCACCTCTTACGGTTTTTTGTCTTAAAGTCTATTTTGTCTAAGTGTAGCTGCTCTTGTTCTTTTTTGGTTTCCATTGGCATGGAATATCTTTTTCCATCCCTTTATTTTTCATCCCTTTATTTTCCATCTGTGTATGTTTATAGGTGAAGTGTTTCTTGTAAGCCACAGATCAATGGGCGTTTTTTTTTTTAATTTTATCTATGCAGCCACTCTGTGTCTTTTGATTGGAGAGTTCAGTTTCTAACTGATCTGTTGTAGGCAACGGATCAATGGGTCTTGTGTTTTTTTCATCCTTTTAGCCACTCTATGTCTTTTAAATGAAGAGTTCAGTCCATTTATATTCAGTGTTATTGTTGATAAGTGAAGACTTACTCCTGCCATATTGTTGTTTGTTTTCTGGTTGTTTTGTGGTCTTCTCTTCCTCCTTTCTTTCCTTCTTGTCTTCCTTTCAGTGAAGGTGATATTCTTTGGTAATATGATTTAGTTTCTTGCTTTTTATTTTTCATGTATCTGTTGTATGTTTTTTGGTTTGAAGTTACCATGAGGCTTCCAGATACTATCTTATAAGTCATTATTTTAAGCTGATAACAACTTAACACTGTTTGCATAAAAAAATAAACTAATAAAGACCCTATTTCTTTTTTTTTTTTTTTGACGGAGTCTTGCCCTGTTGCCCAGGCTGAAGTGCAGTGATGCGATCTCAGCTCACTTCAAGTTCCGCCTCCTGGGTTCATGCCATTCTCCTGCCTCAGCCTCCCAAGTAGCTGGGACTACAGGTGCCTGCCACCACACCCCACTAATTTTTTGTATTTTAATAGAGGTGGGGTTTCACAAGACTCTATTTCTTAACTTTTCCACTCCTCAATATTTTAACTATTTGTTGTTACTATTTATATCTGAATGTACTGGCTATGTCTTGAAAAGTTATAGTCATTATTTTTGTTTGGTTCATCATTTCATCTTTCTTCTTAAGTCACAGTATTATAATATTTTGTGTTTTTCTGTGTACTTACTGTTAACAGTGAGTTTTGTACCTTCACATGATTTCTTACTGCTCATTAATGTCCTTTTTTCTGATTGAAGTACTCTGTTTAGCATTTCTTGTAGGACAGGTCTGGTGCTGATGAAATCCCTCAGCTTTTGTTTGTCTAATGAAGTCTTTATTTCTCCATCATGTTTGAAGGACGATTTAGCCAGATATACCATTCTAGGGTAAAATTTTTTTTTCCCTTTAGCACTTTAAATGTGTCATGCCACTCTCTCTTGTACTTTAAGGTTTTCACTGAAAGGTCTGCTACCAGATGTTTGGGATCTCCATTATATGCTATTTATTTATTTTCTCTTGCTGCTTTTAGGATCCTTTCTTTATCCTTGACTTTTGGATGTTTGATTATTAAATGCCTTGAGGTACTCTTCTTTGGGTTACATCTGATTGGTGTTCTATAACCATTCTGTACTTGGATATTTATATCTTTCTCTATGTTTGGGAAGTCCTTTGTTATTATTCCTTTGAATAAATATTTTTACCTCTGTCTCTCTCTCTCCTCTCTCTTTAAAGGCAATAACTCTTACATTTGCCATTTTGAGGCTATTTTCTAGATCCTGTAAGCATGCTTCGTTGTTTTTTATTCTCTTTTCTTTTGTCTACTCTGACTGTGTGTTTTCAAATAGCCTGTCTTCATGCTCACTAATTCTTTCTTCTGCTTAATCAATTCTGCTATTAAGAGACTCTGATGCATCTTTCAGTATGCCAATTGCATTTCTCAACTTCAGAATTTTTGCTTGAGTATTTTTAATTATTTCAATTTCTTTGCTAAATTTATCTCATAAATTTCTGAACCCCTTCTCTCTTCTCTGAATTTCTTTGAATTTCCTCAAAACAACTAGTTTGAATTCTCTGTTTGAAGTCACATATCTCTGTTTCTCCAGGATTGGTCCCTGATGTCTTATTTAATTCATTTGGTGAAGTCATGTTTTCATGGATTATCTTGATACTTGTAGATGTTCTTCAGAATTTGGGCATTGAAGAGTTAGGTATTCATTTTAGTTTTCACAGTCTCGGTTTGTTTTTGTCTATGCTTCTTGGGAAGGCTTTCCAGATATTTGAAAGGATTTTGATGTTGTGATCTAAGCTGTATCTGCTTTAAGAGGGTCACCAAGCCCAGCAATGCTGTATTTTTTGTAGATTCTCAGAGGTACCACCTTCATGGTCTTAGACAAGATACGAAAGCATTCTCTGGATTACTAGGCAGAGATTCTTGTGCTCGTCCCTTACTTTCTTCCAAACAAATAGAGTATCTCTCTCTGTTCTAAGCAACCTAAGCTGGGGGTGAAATGATGCAAAAATTCCTGTGGCCACCACTTCTAGGACTGCACTAGATTAGATCTGGAGCCAGCACAGCTCTGGGTCTCACCAAAGGCCTGCTGTAATCACTCCCTGGCTACTGCATATGTTTGCTCAAAACCTGGGAGCTCTACAATTAGCAGATGGCAAAGCCAGCCAGGCCTATGCTTTTTCCTTTAGGGTGGCAAGTTCTCTCATGACCTGAGCAGATCCTAGTGCCCAGATGACATTTCTAAACATACCCTGGGCCAAAAGGGAACCTGCTGCCTTGAATGGAAGGATCCAGTCCTGGCAGGATTTATCACCTGCTAACTGAAGAGCCCTTGGGCCCTGAAAAACCAGCATCAATACCCAGGCATTATGTTAAGGGCCTTGGGTGAGCCTCTCAGACTTGCTGGTTTCGGGTGAGACTCAGCACATTCCCAGTTATGATGGCTATGGGACGAGACTACTTCTGCTTGAGAAAAGTGGAGGGAAAAGTAAAGGGAATTTGTCTTGCACCTTAGGTACCAGCCTGGGCACAGAAAGGTAGAGCAACAAGCAGGCTCTTGAGGTTCCCAATTCCAGGACTTGGTTCTTGCACAGCATTTTTGGACCGAGTGTAGTGTAAATGTTTCTTGTGCACACTGGGGAGTCATGAATAGCTTTGTAAATGAGGATCACAGAAAATGAACTTCAGATTCTTCAGTGCTATCCCAGGCTGGAGGGCCAAATGGGAGCCTACTGCCCTGAAGGGTATGTCCCAGGCCAGGCAGCATTCACAAGCTGACTGAAGAGCCCTTGGGCCTTAATGGAATATCAGTAGTAGTCTGACAGTACTCCCCACGAGCCTGGAGTGGCAGTGGCAATAGAGTGAGGTTCTCCTTCCTTTGGAAAGGGGAGGGAAGATTGGGAAGGGTTGCAATTTGTTGTTTGAGTGCCATCTCAGTGGCAATACAACAGAACACCGGGTAGACTTCTAAGGCTTTTGACTATAGTCCCTGACTCCCTCTGGACATGCTCAGGACATGACAGAAATTGCCACCCTGAAGGGAAGGGTGTAGGCCTGGCTGACTTTACCATCTGCTAAGAGCAATAAGCAGGCTCTTAAGGTCCCCAATTCCAGAACTTGGCTCTTGGAGAGCATTTCTAGACCGAGTCTAGTGTGAATGTTTCCTGCACACAGTGGGGAGTCATGAATACCTTTGTGAATGAGGATCAGAGAAACTGAACTATAGTTTTTCCAGTGCTGTTCCAGGGTGGCGATCAGTCTGCCATTACATGTACTCCCTAGTCTGACACCAAATATGCAGGCAGTCCTGTACAATTGCACCATTACGATCAGTAGATCCAAATAAGCAAAGCCATAGAAAGGGGCTGCCTGCAACCCTGACATTTCCTATAAAGCTGTGGCATCCTGTGGGGCCTTGGAAAGTAATCACACTGATGTTAATTGATGTCAAGTGGAGAGCATTTTTAGTGATTTTGAAGATCAAAAGAAAATCCTTTAATAGTAATTTTCAAGATCAGACCACGTGGCAGCTGTAAGGAATGAAGAAGCCAGTGCCAGTGAACTCACTTATTACTGTAGGGGTCTACTGGTCACCAAGGTCATCTCCACTTGGATGTGCCCAGTCAGCAGGCAGATATAGCTTAATCATTGTCCCTCCAAGGGCAACTCCAAGTCTGAAGCCTGTCATAGGGAGACAGAGAATCAGAGAAGGCTAGTGCTGATGAGTGCTCAGAAGCCATTATCTGTCCCTGCTTCTGGCAAATAGAGGATCAGAGCCACAGACTGCAAAGCAGAGAAGACTTAATCATGGAGCCCAGGAACCAATGAAGACAGCTGAGCACTGTAAGGGACAGAGAATTGTAGCCTAAGGCTCTACGCTCTGTCACCATATTTTCCAAATAAAAAAGCCAGGGCATGTACTCTGACAAAGGATATATTCCTACTTGTGATTAATTTTCATGGAAAGGCAAAGGGAGAAAACATTTACAGTATAAACTGTCCTGGAAAATTCACATGGAAAATGGATGCACAGTCTTACAGACAAACTGTAGGAGGACAGGGAATCAATTGGCTGCAGTGGTTTGGGAGGAAACCGTTCCAAGTTGCAGTTCTGTGTTTGAAAGGATAAAAGTGCCAGCCACAGCAGGAAAAAAGAGAGAAAGTGTGACATATCCTAAAGTACGCCTGTCATAGAGTATGCATTCAATAAATATTTATTACTGAATAAATGAATAAATAAATTGATAGCTACGAACTGCACAAGGAATATCATCTGTGCTAGAGGCAGATAAGCAATGATGTTCCCAGGCTATAGAAAGAATTGCAGCCATTCCCCAGGCCTTCCTGTTCAAAGTATGGTCACTGAGCAGCAGCAGTGGCATCACCTGGGAACTTGTCAGAAATGCAAAAATTTGGAATCCACTGTGACCTACTGAGTTAGAGCTTACATTTTAATCAGCTCTCCAGGTGATCAAGTCCACTTTAAAATTTGAGAAGCACTGCTTTAAAGGCATGCCCAGTACAGGAAGTAAGAAAGACAGATGCATAGGAACCCGCCGTGTGTGGGAACAGTCTGAGTACTGGGTAATCCGAGACCTAAACAATCATAGTTTAAGAGCTGTGAGGAAAGGTAGTTAAAAATCACAGGTTTCCTTAAGGACAAACCCACAGAATGAAGTATAAACAGAAACAACCACAAGTTGAGAGAGGTGATTATAGTCAGATGTTGTGTAAGAAACAGACCAGGCACAGGAACAGAATAAATGAGAACTGTCTAATGTAAGGGTCTACACACATCTAAATAAATCAATAAAAATTGAATTTAAAAATTTCCCTGGTGCCAAACATAAAAGAGAACTCCCTGCCACCTTTTTTTTTTTTTTTAGCATTCCTTTGGAGAACTTGGAATTATAAATGCTTTCTGTGACTGTTTGAGCTGCATGTAAATCTTTTTAAAAGCTAAATAAGCATCTTAACAGTTTTGCTTCCCAGGAATGCCTTTCTTGTGGGCATTAAAATGTGACCATCAGGGAGGGTGCTGCCCTGTCTCCCTGCCTCTGAGGGAGTTTATCTTAGGTGCCAGCTCCAAGCTGGAACTAACTGCTCACCATAAAATTAAAGTCTTATTTTTCCATGGTTAGAAACAATTAACATGTATGTAATGGATTGTATCTGTCTAGAAACATAATTGGTGAGATTTCTTTGTGTTTTGCAATCTCTTCAGTGGACTGTCTGTGACCCACATCGCAGTCTGGTTTAATGCTTGATTATTAATAAGACTTCATTCATTTTTCCATTTTGTGATGATGATCATTTTGAGTTAGCAGGATGTTTTACTTTTAATTATTTCCCCAGCAGCAATAATGGGGGTAAGAATTGGACAGTCTGTTATTGACTCTGTGTAGGTAAAATGATTCTCATTTCAACTGTTGAAGGACAGCAGAGTCAAAGAGGATGGTGGTTTGATTTGCATCTGAGAGTTCATGATATATAGTAATAGGTTTTCATTACATCTCTTAAAATGGAATTAAAACTGTTTGATGGTATAAAAGCAGGAATTGCTTTTTAGGTAGAAGAGACACAGTTCTGAGAGTCTAAATCTCTTGAGAACCTTCCCTTCTGTGGGAACAAAGGTCCTAAAGGTTTGCTGAGAAAACACTGACATGATGCAGATTGATTAATAGGAGAAAAAGCATACAAATCTATTTAATGTGTATGCATGGGAACCTTCAGAATAAAGACCAAAAGATACAGAGGAAATTGTAAATTTTTATGCTTAGGTTCAAGAAAGCACGGACAGCCATGTGGGAAGCATGGCTGGGCAAAGAGGGTGTGGTCTAATGTTAATAGACAGATTGGGGAAACTCAGCAAGGCCTGTATGTCTAGATTCTTCTTGGCCTTTCTGAGCATGCGTTCCTTCTTTCTGGGTATGGGGCAGGACCCTCTCTAGAATGGGGGCTTTATGACCTGCAGTCAAACAAGGTAGGTCAGATAATTTCCTTATGGCCAGTTTTTACACAGAAAGGCAGAAGAAAACTTAGAGCAATATTTTTAGGTTTTATGACTAGCTTTGGGAAAAAGGAGTTCCAGTTTCTATGACCTGCCTTAGGGATGACGGATTCTGGTTTCTATAGCTGCTTTAGGGGAGAATGGGACTGAGAGACAGAAGGCCAGAAGAAGGTCAGAGATAAACTTTTGCATCTGAGATTTTCATTTTGAGATTTTGTTTTCTGAGCCCCAACATCTCAAACTGGCAAGAATAGTGGTCTGTCTGGTTCTCAAAGTCATGATGATGGCCCTGTGGAAAGCAAGCCTGAGCACCCTACCCTTGCCACCACAGGAACCCTGCCTCTGAGGGCCTGGACACAATCAGATGCCCTGGCTCACTGATTTTGCCCGAAGGGGTTATAGCCCATAGCAGCAGGATTATCTATGAAGCTGGTACCTCTCCTCCAGAAGATCCCCACAAGTGTTTGTTTGTTCCCTCAAATAGTTATTAAACATCCTGTGGTACCAGGGTCAGCACTAGGTACTGGTGGTATATACTAAATAAAGCTCAGGTCTTACTCTCAAAGAGCTCCTAGTTTCTCAAGGAAGAAGAACCTATCAATGATTATGGCAGAGGGTGGTAAGTGCCATTATGAGTTCTGCACAAAAAAATGGTAAAAGTTCTGAGGGAAACTGACAGCTTGGGGAAGGGTCAGGGAAGTCTTCTAAAAGGGAAGACAGCTGATCCCTGTCTTGCAGCTGGAAATCCAATCTCTCTAGCCTTGGCTCTCACATTTCTTCTCTGTGGCCTGGCTAGTTCCTAAGATCTAAACTTTCTAAGTCTCAGCTTATGTAACCTCCACCAGGATGCCTTCAGTGGCCCTGCGAAGCTAGGATAGATGATGCTTTTGTATGCCTCATGAAGCCCTGCCAGTCAGCCTCACAATACATTGTGAGCTCCTTTAGGGCAGGGACGTTTTTGTACTCACCTCTGTATCTTCTGCGCCTAGCATGGTGCCTGGCATACAGGTAGTAAGTACTTAATACATACCTGTGAAATGACAGAATGTTAGGTGAAAAGCAGTTATTGAGGTGTGTGAAAGAGGAGGTTTGGGAGGAAAGGGGCATTATTGACATTATCAATAGAGGAAACAGCATGAACGTATGAATTCATAGAATACATGAAGTATTCTATGTAATGAATGACAAATACTTCCAAGTTGCCAGAGCATACATTGCAAGGGAGAAAGTGGCAGGAGATACAACTGGGAAATTAAGCAGACAGTGTGCTTCAGTCTAATGGTAAATGGAGTCAAGTGCCCTCCTCCATTGATCTCTGTTTCCCTTTGACAGTTTCTGGGAGGATTGTCCATTAAAATTGACATCTGCTTAATGTGTACATAGTACAGATGAGTGTCCCATGTGACCCACAGGGTTGCAGTATTTCCAGAAGTGGAATTAGAAAACAAATACGCTGGTCTTAAGTGCAGCCCATTGTGAACCGCTGGGCGACCTTCCCCAGAAAGAGAGTATTCATCTCAGAGGGGATCCTCATGCAAATTAGATTCAGGAATTTGGCACAACATGCAACCACAAATATATAATTAGCACCTAATATGTTGCAGAATGTCTGACAAGACCCTGCTTGGCTAATAGGAGTTTTCATCACAAGTGTGTTTATGGACAAGGTCCATGGTGATGGAAGATACACAGACATTAAATCATTTACAGCTTAGTGTCTTTGTATCCTGATCTAACCCAGTTTTGAGACTTAGTACAGTATAATCATTAGTGGGACAAGAGCTGACCTCAGTAGTGATATTGGGAGGAACCAAGGAAATCAGGCAGGGTGGTGCATTGAGATAGATCTGGATGAGGTGTCAGAGGATCTGAATTCTGTTCCTTGCTCTGTCTGAAATGAGTTCTGTGTTCACTGACAAGCCATATACCTGTCTGACTCCCACATGCCTTAACACGAAACAAGTTTTCACTGAGTTGTTTTGAGAATAAAATGAGATCTTGGATGTAGAACTCTAAAATAATAAACAATTGTGGCATTTTGTTACTAATAAAAAATCAGTGCTGAAACTGACGAAGCAGTCACTATGAGAGTAGCCCAATGCCAGGGGAAGTAGGGGATACAGAGAAGTAAAGCTTCCTATTCCCACCTTCAAGATTTTGTTTTGTTTTACGTTGACAGTAAAGACAAAACCAACATGTACATCTAATAGAGAGCAATTAAGCACTGACATTTAATGAAATCTGAGTTCAAATAAGAGAGTAATTATTGAGAGATGGAGTTGCTAAGGAAGGCTGCAAGCTGAATGAGTTTACCTTTTCTTTTTTCCTCCCTTATCTTTCTCTAATCTCACTTTGAGAAAAAAACTGTCACAAGTCTCCACACTTAATCGTCATAAAAACTCCCAGCAAACCAGAACTAGAAGGGAACTACCTTAATTTGACAAAATTTACTTATGGAAAAACCTACAACAAATGTAATATTTAATGATTACATTCAAGGCTGTCTGATCTCACACATTAATTTAACACTCTACTGGAGGCTCTGACAATCCAGTGAGGCATGAAAGGTTAATAAATGTCATTAAGTTCGGGAAAAAAATGTGCAGCTCTCTTATTGCAGGAAACATTACTGTCTATAGAAAATGCTAAGGAAACTACAAAGAAATTAATAGAACAATAGGTGAGTGTATCAAGGTTGCAAGATACAAAGTCAATATACAAAATTAATTGTAGTTTTGTATATTAGCAGAAAATTTCAAAAATAAAAATATTTACAGTATCTTCAAAAGATAAGCAGAGAACACTTAGGTATAAATTCAATAAAATATGCTCAATACCTGTACACTTAAAACTACTAAAGTTTGCTAAGAGAAATTAAGAAGACCTCCTGAATAAATGCAAGATACACTATGTTCATGAGTTGCAAGACTCAATGGAAAATTATCTTCAGATTATATAAAATTCTAGAGTAAGCCAAAGCAATCTAGAATTGAAAAAATTTATGACACTCCAGAGAAACAGAATTACTGATTGATCAAGGAATGAGCAGATACATGCATTTACCAAAACTCATGAAGTTTTATATCTAAGAATTTTATGTTTCATTGAATGTAAATTTTATCTAAGTAAAGAATATAAATCATATTGATCATCTATCTACGCCTCTATCTCTCCTCTCTATCTATCCATACATACATTTGTGTGGTTGTGTTTTAAATATACATATATTTTTTAGACATAATCATTGAGAGGGTCTAAAAGCTACGAGATACTAGCAGCAAAGAGCACATTTTGAGCCCAGATTTTGATTTCTAAATATCATTCTCTGGTATAAAGAACTAAATCTCCTTGGAGAAACGAATGACTCCAGAGCTGAGGCAGAGGAACTATGAGCTGATCTTGGGGCATTTTATTGTTCTAGAAAGTAAGGACTACACACACACACACACACACACACACACACACACACATTCATAATAAAGCAAATGATCAAAATGTACATAAATGGTAAATCTGGGTAAAAGTTACATAAGATTTTCTTGTACTTTTCTTGCAATTTTTGCGTAAATTTGAAATTATATTACAGTAAAAATTATCAAAAAAGTTGAGGGCTAATTAAAACAAAAGTCAGAATGATGATAACACCTTTAAGGAAGAAAAGACAGAGGCTATGGGGAAAGGGCATATAGGAGCATATGAAGACTTCTGAGGTGCTTGGAAATTTTTATTACTTAATCTCAGTATTAAATACCTGATTATCTTATAATTATTACTGACACTCTCAATTTATACCTATTTCTATAGATATGATTACTTTCATGAAACAAAAAGAGACACCAATGGGACAATAAGTTAGCATCCAAGATGACACTGTTTATTTGTGATGAAGTCAGGGCTAAAGCCCAAATCCATCAAGTCTGTTTCTCTGTCAGGTGATAATATTGGCGATGATAACAAAGTTAATATGCAGTTAGCCAGAGAACTCCAAATCCTGACCTCAACCATCCATCTTTCTCTACATAGTCCTATAGGGAAACACATGCACAGAAAAATGCCCTGTTGACTGAGAAGGCAAAACTTTAATACTGACCAGGTTCTTGATCCCTAAATGAGTAAGCTAGGCAAAGTGTAGACTTTTTCTAGACTAGAGATGGGCAGGTCTGACAAACATAGAAAGCTAAATGGACTTCTCCATCCCAGTCTCCCTAACTATACCAAATTTTTGGATTGTGTGTGATCCTAATGATGAAAAAAAATTTTCACCAGAGCTGCCCACTTGGCAAGAGAAACAAAAAGTCTCCGTCTGTCTAGGCTTATTTATATTCTGCTAAAGTTTTTTTCATTCCTTAGTAAAAGCTGCCCAATTAGGGTTCTTGCCCTCAACCAAGTAAAAATGATACTTACACTTGAGAATGGAGTAGAAAGTGAGTTGTGAGCTTGTTCTGGCCAGTAGACAGTATCATCTGTTTTTATTTATAAGCTATCCTAGGGACCAACAATGAGACCACAGAGGCAGGTATACAACTAGAGATTCACCAGTAGTGTAAATATGAAAAACTTCATATATTAGAGACTGTGGTATCTCATGAATAAGTCCAATCATAACATTTCTTTGCCTGCTTTCTTCTTATGTGACTATAAAACGATGTCAACAGTGCATTTAAATTTTCCTGCAGAGAGGAAATATGCAGATCACAATGAAGGTAAGAATATGCTCACAACCATATGTTTGTTCTCACAAAAATATGTGCCAATATAAGAAATGTTCCATTTTGAAGTTTTTGGCACCATGTGGTGGTGGTGGGTTGAAACTTCCATGGTGGGTTCTTTTGTTGTTTTTTTTCTCCTTTCATATTGTATCTTTACATTTTTCAGTCTAAAGGTTTCTTTACTACCACCTCCTCCCTTACCTCCTCCCTGCTCCCCAACCTTGATCCTTTGTATTGAGCACATTCCAAACAATGTCATATTTCATATACTTAGAGACAAAGAAAATGGTTGCTTAGCAACAAGGTCCTGGTAAAAATTTTAAGCATTCTTTTACTTTTACTTTCCATTTAGGGCAATGCTCAGGAAGCTGTTTTCAAGGAGATCCAGGACTAGGAGAAAAAGTCTTCAAAAAATATCTACCTAAAACAGAGGGAGGAGGGAGGAGGACATTAACTAAGGGCTTGTGGCCACAATGCAAGAGGCATTCTCAGTAACAATGAGAATGGAGAGAAAGGATCGGAGAGACTTGGTCTAGGGTGGGACAGAGAGCTTCATCTTTCCATTTTCCGTCTCGTTCCTTTGACTTCTCCAAAGCTTAACGTGGGATTCAAATGAATTAGCTGAGAATGAAAGGCACAAAGGGAAGCCGGCCCACACTGTATCAGCCACTCAAAGTGATTTTGTTTTGAGAGTTTTAGGTATAGACTGGGAATGGCAGAAACTGAAAGCTTATTTTGTCTGTTATGAGACCTCCTTAAAATATCTATCTCACCTCTATAGGATGACTATTACTATATTTCAACTGATTTTCTATCAGGGACATTTTCCCACATTATTAAATATTACATGAAAATGTGTTTTTTCAGAAACTTATGCTATGGGTATCACAGGACTGACTTACCTATCCCTGATTGTACGTTTAGTTTATTCTGAGAAACTTGCTTCTCTTAATGTTACTTCTATTAATGTTACTTCTATGAATTTACTCTTATACAACTCTCAGAAAATTTCCATAGAAGAGGCAGCCAATAGCAGAATTGATAGATCTGAAAAAGTCTTTTATTTCCAACTTTTAAAATATTCTTGATATATGTAGGCTAATTGCTTCCAGAAAACTTGTACTAATACACAAGTGAATATTTTCTGATTTGGTGGGAAATAACATGATGATTTATTTAGATATTATTTGGTTACTAGTAAGATTGTATATATATTTGTTTGAGTCCATTTATTTTTTAATGAAGTTTCTGATCATGTTATTGCCCATTTAGTTTCCATTTGAGTATTTTTGTTGATTTATAAAGCGATTACACAAACACACATTCACACGCACACTCAGGAAGTATTCTTTATACAATGACAAATGAAGTAAGAAGGTGGGGTCACAAGAGGAGGAGCTAATATAAAGGATATACATTTGTGGTGATATTTGTTGAAAATATTTTTCTCAATTTGTTATTTGCCTTTTACTTTATGGCTTTTATTCCATTTTATTTTTGATGTGCAGATGTTTTGTGTGTTTTTATAGCAGATTAAAGAGCACAGTAGTGAAGAACAGAGACTCTGGCCTCTATGATGCATTTGACTCTTGGCTCTGACATCTCTGTGATGTGTGATTTTCATCAAATTACTTTAACTTTTTTCTGCCTTAGTTTTCTTCTCTATAAGATGAGCATCTTAATAGCTTATGGGGGATGATGAGATTTCATCAAATTAAGACATATAGAAAGCATATAGCATGATGCCTGGCACACCACCAATGATACCTGGCACAACACACCAACCACTCAATAAGTTAAAGTAACTAGCATCATGTCGCAAATATACCAATCTATTCCATTGTGATTTCTCCCATAGCTTTTATGTTCAGAAAGTCCAAATCTCGAGAAAAACTATAAAGTGTCTGTTAATCTCTTATTTTCTTCATAATCTACTTATTTATTTAGTTTATTTCTTTAATGCACCAGAATTAATGTTGGTCTATGGTAAGAAGTGAGTTAACTTTATTTTTCCCCAAAATGTAAAAAAAAAATTTTTTGTTAATTAAACTTCCACTTATCATTTGTTTGTATAATTTCTTTATCTTTTACAAGTTTTTACATACACTTGGATCTGTTTCTGAATTATCTGTTCTATTCTGTTGTTTTGCCTTTTGATTTCTATTCTAGTGGCATATTGGAAAAAATTAGTACAAGTTTTAATATTTAGCAGGTGAATTCTGATCTCATCGTTTTTAATATTCTCTTAGCTATTTTTAACTGTGAAATAGTTCAGGTGGTTACTTGAACCATTTTAATGTACTAAAAATATTATTGAGATTTTGAATAGGATTATTCTTATCTATTAATTGATTTAGGGAGACAGTTTTAAAATATTTTTTAAAAATTTAATTTTTTAGTTGCAAAATCCTCACTTATATCTCCCAATGGATTTTTTTAGTGTTTTCACAAAGCTTCCCACACATTTCTTGATATTATTAAAAGTTAATATTTTTTGCTAATTGTAAAAATAATTTTCTTTCTTTGTATATCTAACTAGATGTAGGAGGAAACAAGTTAAAAAGTTCTCTACTCAGTCTGAGTTTTCTTCACTTACAGTGCCTTTGTGTGTTATTTTTGCAAGATGTTTGGATTCTGAATCAGGGAATACTTGCCAAATATCATTTAAACTTGAAATGAGGATACTCTTTCTAAAAAGTTATTTTTACTAATTAAACACATTTTTATTCTGTCTCAACTAAATGCTAGGCTTGCTTGTGAAGATATAAATGGTTCCTGCTCTACAGAGCTTACATTAGAGAACTGATTTAATGACAGCTGTGGTAAATATTAGGGAGAATGGCTGGTGCACAAGTTGAGGGTCTAACTAGGGATCCAACCTCATGTAAGGTTAGAGCAGGTCTTCTCTAGGAAGATTTGACATTCAAAGTGAGCTCTGAGGGATTAATAGGAATTAACTAGGCAACCTGTGGATGTTCCTGACAGTGCAGTTGTTCAGAACGCAGGATGTTGAAGGAATCAAGACAGGGCCTTTGCAGCTGTAATGCAAAAATGGGGAGTGAGGAGGGATGTGGCATTGGGTGAGACAAGTCATTGGTGGGAGGGTCGTAGTAGGGTTTTTATCCTTAAAAGGAAAACAAAAGTCACCTTGAAAAAAGTTACAAATAGAGAAACTATCAAAGTATCTAGTACCATTTATATATACGTATTTTTTTTTTTCTTGGAAACTGGGATGGTTCCCATGGTTATTTTGCCATGGTTCTTGAAGAAATAGTTCTGTGATAGCTAACTTTCTTTAGCCTAGAGGGAGGAAAGTCTAACTTCTCCAGATTTCTTGAAAGAGGAGTTTGCTGCACTAATCAAAGCCCAACCAGGCTGGTATCTGCCACGAGATGGAAAAGTATTGAAGGTACTACTGACTTACAGCCCTGTTTGCTCTTCTCTAGTCAGTACTATCGGGGGCAAATCACGGCTCCTTTTGTAAAAGTAGCTGTGAAACACAGTTCTTTCTGTAAGTTCATGGGTGATGAATCCCAAAAGGGCTTATAGAATGTCAAATCGCCAGCACAGCCCAAGGGACAGCACATTCTCTAATTGAGGCAAGAGAATTAGTTAGGGTAAGGTTTCCCAACTTTGGCTTTTCGGGCCAAGTTATTCTTTATTGCGGGAGGCTGTCCCTTGCCTTGAAGGATGTTTAGCAGCAGCAGGTCTGGCCTATACCCACTAGATGGCAGTAGCACCCTCGCCCGGTTGTGGCAATCAACTTGCCCCCCAGGGAGAAAAATCACCATAGGCTGAGAAAAGCTGAGTTACAGATATTATAAAAGTTCTTTCTTTCACAATTAAAACAATTATACTCATTTTTTGCCATAAATTCACTTACACGCTGCAACATTTAACAAATCAGATTCCTAATTATCAAGGCTAACTCTCCTACAGTGTACAAAGCACTGCCGTATGTGTCTGCTATCCATTTATTTATGTAAACATTTATTAAACACCTGTTTTATGTAGGCACTATGCTAGTTGCTAGGGTTACAATCAAATGAGACAGTATTGCAATATCTTCCCCTAAGCTACAGGGGGAGATAAAAACATGAGTATATCATAGGGGTCTGATAGAAGTCTACTGAGAGGTGAAAGGAAGAAGAATGGTTAGAATCTTAGGGGTGGAGCTCCCAGGAAGTACAAGGTCCAAGTGAAGCTTGGTGTGGAAACCTGAAACACAGCCAAGTATTTTTCAGGCTGATAGATTTGGGGAGTGGTCAGGAAGCTTAAGACTTACAACCATATATACATATGCGTATACATACACATACACATATACATATACATACGCGTATACATGTACATATACATATGCATATATATATAATTATTTTCGGGGGCAAGGGACGGAGTCTCGCTCTGTCGCTCAGGCCGGAGTGCAATGGCGCCATCTTGGCTCACTGCAACCTCCGCCTCCCAGGTTCAAGTGATTATCCTGCCTCAGCCTTTATAGTAGCTGGGATTACAGGCGTGCGCCACCACGCCCAGCTAATTTTTGTATTTTTAGTAGAGATGAGGTTTCACCATGTTGGCCAGGCTACTCTCGAACTCCTGGGCTCCAGTGATCCACCCGCCTCGGCCTCCCAAAGTGTTGGGATTACAGGCGTGAGCCACTGTGCCCGGCCACAACCCATGTATTATAATCACTGTTTCAAGGATGAGAAAATCGAAAGGTTAAACATTTAGCTTAGAGTCGCTTATCAAATACCAAAATTAACCTGTCAATTTAACTATTCCTTGGCTTAACATTGTTTGTCTTTTCCAGTGAAACTTAGTAGTAGAATAAGAAAAACTCAGGGAGTACTCTTAACAAATAATTTAAAAAGACAACCTCCAATGATAAAAAAAATTGCTTTCTTATATTTATATATTTCAAAAGGCACATTCACAGACATTCTCTCTTGTGATTCTTTTACAAACCCTATCAGGTAGAAAGGGGATGCATTAACATCTCTGCTCCATGGAGAGAAAGAGCACTCTCAGGGAGTGTGTTTAGGTACAGTGCTCACAAGACATGCCTGCCTTTCTCAGCATGGATATATAGTTCCCAGAGGGCAATGCAATGGTTCCTTGTATTTTAGCTTGTCATTGTATTTTAGCCCAGGGTACTGCCATGATTTTCGTATCCTTGAAAGCAGTTCAATTTCTGCATTTAGAACTGAAATTATAGTGTCTCAAAGCTGAATTTAAAAGAACAATTTACTGCTGTCCCCATGAAGAAACAGAACCAATCAATGTAATAAAAAAAAATTTAAGATCATTCTGTACTTTGTACAGTTGCTCTTGTAGTCATGTGACTCATAGGGAGCAGCAAACTGCCTGTCATGGAATATTTAGAAAGCAGAACAGTATTTAGTCTTAGGTAAGTATGCAAGAAATGCATGCTGGTTAGATGAATGGATAGAAAAGTGAGTGGAAGGATGGGAAGGAGGATGGAAGGTTGGTTGCCTCTAGGAATGACAGACAGTGACCTGTTTCTCAGCATCCTGCACCTTATTGCTTTCCTGTTTTCTGTCAAAAACAAGTTCCTTGTTATTGATTTCAACAGAGTTTCTAATTCCATTTATTACCTGAAAGAAGGACAAAAGCAGGTGGAAAATGCTGAAATGAACATTTTAGTTTAGAAATCTTCTTCCCGAGAGAGAGGTGCTCAAAACCCAATGTGTTTGCCATGGATACTCTTAATGATCAGAGTCACACTTGGCCTCTCCCCCTTACTCTCCACCAGATTCAGTGGGTTAATCACTAAGTCCCATCACATCTCCCTCTAGGGAGGCATTTCAAAACTGTCCCTTAATTTCCCTGTCTGTTCTTGTTGCATTTGCTCAAACTCCCATCACCTCATCTCTGGCATAAGTGTCTCAACTAGTCTATTTTCTCCATGTCTTTCCATTATATCTTGAGCAGTATATTCAAACTAAAATTTAAAAACTTATTTTGTTTTTTCTTATGTCCTCCAAAGTTTTCAGTGGCTGTTCACAATAAAGGCTAAATTTCTCATTCTACTAACTAGGCCTTCCATGACGCAGCCCTTCATATTTATTTCTGCATAAATACAACTAAAAGCTGAATGATCTCTTCACTTTACCAAGAACAGATTTTACACATCACAATATCACATCCACCACTTATTCCTATGTCCAATATTTATTGAGCACCTATTATGAAGGCTTTAAGCCAGACCGTGAGCATCAGAAAAAGACAGAATAGGAAAAGACAAACTCCTTTCCTCAGGGAGCTCAGTTTCCCAGAATCTACAGATAAGCTCTTTTACTACAGAGTAAATGTGCTGCAACTGGATAAGAAAAAGATAAGGGAGGAGCTCAACAGAGGGCACCCCCAGACTAAATTGAGTGCTTTCTTCCTTGGGTCACCTTTGTATCTCTAGCTCAGTACTACCTGTATTATAATTTTACACCTATCCTGTTTTGTAATTATTGATTAACCCTGAAGTCAGAGGTGGAGTCTTATTCAACTTTGGCTCTTAAAAGCCCAGTTCAATGCCAGACCAACACCCATCGACAGAGTGACACAGACCAACAGTGAGCAGTTGCTGGTTACTTACTGTATGAGAAGTGCCATGTTAAATGTTTATGTGCATTTTCCCAATTGATTTCCATAATGCAGTGGGCCTTATTAATGTATTATTAGTAATATCTCTATTTTACATAGTGATATAAAATACCTTGACCAACAACTATTAAGTGGAAAAGCTAGAATTAGAAATCAGGTCAGTGTGATGCCAAAAATTGAATTCCTTCTATGAACATATGAATCATTTAGTGACAAATGAATGAAGTTTCTCTTTCTCTGTGGGTGCATTCTCTTTCCCTAGAACTTCATAAAGCCTTGGAAGAAGTCAGACACATTCAAAATTTATTTTTGCTTTAAAATGACATTTGTTCAAACTGAATTGATAGAAATGAAAATTAGTTATTTCAGAGAAGCCACAAGCTCCAGGCACATGCAAGGTGTTTGGACAGATAAGTGTGATGAGTACTGTATGTTGGTGTTGAAAGGGTTGGGAAGGGAGCCCACACACCTATGTAGAGGGAATCACACTATGTGTCTGGCTTCATGTGGCTGATAAAATAATGGAGCCAGGGGAAGGAGATAGTTCCTTTTGAAAGGGCTTCACCAAATTTCCTTCCTTCCCCCACTAGCCAATCAAGCTGCTTCTCTTTGTCCTCTGCTGAGAGGTGACTTTTCATTCTTCTCCAGGTGCAAGGTGTCAAAGAAATGGAATCATAGGGGAAGAAGCTTGCCCCTGTAGAGGGAAAATGAGCTGCACTGGGTTTGGCAGGATTTGGTGGCTGTTTCATGTTGGCTATTGTAATAAGTTAAGGGAATGGGAATTATGCTAATGAACAATACTAGTCAGTTGCCTCATTCCTTTCCCCTCATCTGAATAAATTCTTGGGCTCAGTAAAGGTTTTGTAGCCTTGAGGGCTTTTTAAATCCTCTTATGATCCTGGCTCGGCTGAAGTAAACCTTGAAGATACGCTCGAGGTCAGAACTTTTCAGAAGAAGGAGCTATGATAAAGTTGAAAGAACATGGAATTTGACTACAGGAAGTTCAGGTTCTGACTGTGGCTTGGCCTCTTACCAGCTATGTGAACCTTCCTGAGATTTAGCTTATTGTTTGTAAATGGAGATAAAATACCTGCAAAGGGGTTTTGAGGATTCAAAAATATTTTACTTGTGAAGGAGTCTAAAACATGAGAGACATTTCATATGTTTTCTTGTCTAAATGTCCAAGGTGAAGACTCCTTCCACCCTCATTCCCGCCCCAGTGGATTTTAGTGAAAACTGATCTTTGCTGATTCATTGGAATAAGTGATTAGGGCTAAGACCCAAAACTAAATAGTTGTGTAAGAGAGGCCCAAACCATAAATGAGTAAATTATCTCTAGCTTCTTTCCCTGGGCACCAAAATAAATTCTGGCATTTGCTGCTCTTCTGAGATTTGCTTGGTCAAATCTCTTTATAGGTCTGCAGATCTCCTGGAAATGACCAAATATTTAACATTTTTTTCTCTTTCTCTCATAACTCTATAATTGTTATCTATTGTACTTATTTAACATACACTAAGAGCTGAAATCTTGTCTCAAACTAATAAGGGATATATAATGTATTATCAAAATACTATGAGAATAGCCTCTGTCCAAAAACTGTTGGCTTTCTGTTTGAATAGAAGAAACTTGCGCATAGAATCTGCCTCAAATCAGCCAAGACATTTGCCATCTTATTTTACCACAGTCCACCACTTGTGCCTAGGTGATATAATAAAAGACGGGGACTAAGCTTGCCTGAAGGCACATTTGTGCAGGTTACTAACTCTGGATGGAAGCAGCCTAGTGACCTGATGAGTAGAGTACAGGCCTGTACAAACAAATATCAGGGCAGAATTTTAACTTGAAGTCTTTCTCCAGTCATGTCCTCTTTTATAGAATTACGCTGCCTTAAAACATTCTATGTGTGTGATGTCAAATTCCCTTTATTCCAAGGCTTCTCACACATTACATTGTAGTTGGTCTATAGATATCCCTCTAAGGCAAATATATGGGAGATTAGGCTGTACAGCATGGTTTTAATTTGGATAACTTCTTTTTTATTTTCTTGATTTATTATATCTTTGCTTGTCAGTGAAGTTAACTGGTCAGAAAAAATAAACACTGATCCATTTGACCTATCAGCAACCATTAGGCAATGTGCCTAATAAGAAATTTATTTGTTTATTAGTTCGGTCATTCATTCAACACATAAACATTTATTGATGCCTTATTAGACTTGGCTGGGCACCATTGAAAGTTACAAAGATAAAAAATGGGACTCCAAAAAAGAATTAAGCTCAAGTGGAGGAATAAAATCAGGTAAACACATAATTATGATACTCGTCCTTCAAAACTCTGCAAAGGGGTGTTGTTATCTCTAGAATACATCTTGGGTTTTACTAGACACTCATCTTTTGTGTTACCACAGCACACCGAGCATGCTGCTTTGTTAGCATTTAGCAGTATAATATTGAAATTTTCGTGCTATTTTTCATCTTCCAAATGGAAGGTGTGCTACTCATGGGTAGAGACTTTCTTTTATCTTTATAATTCCATCCTTTATCCCATGTCTGCCAAATATTTGTGTTTACAAATATTTGGGGAATAGGTTGTGTACTACTAAAACAGAGTAATGTACCAGCTTCAATGGGAGAATAATCGATTAAGATCTGCCTAAAGAGTTGGGGAAAATTCTCAGAGGAGGAGAAAAGGATAGTCAACAAGTATCAAAATGGATAGGATAGTTGAAAATAACTATGAAGGAGAAAAAAGAAAGACAAAAGAGATGTAGTCACAGGGTACAGAATGAGCAAAGAGAGTCATGACTTATAAATGTGCCTGGTGTGCTAAGGAAATAGTGAATGATCTGAGAGCTGGGAATGAGATGTAATTAAGCACAAATAGGAAAGAGATGGCATAGTGTAGGTACACTGAGAATAGATTTTGTTAAAGGAGTTGTATAGAAGGATTAGAGTTTGAGTCATGTTGCACTGGGCAATGTGGGGCTATACAAGACTTGCTAGGAAGGGGCCTGACACACTGGATAGATATTACTATTTTTGAAAGATCTCTGAGGTTTCAGTAAACCCCTTTTATGTACATTTTCTTGTCCTTTGGATTTTCTTGATAGAATGCAAGGATGATACTAAGGAACTTAAGTGGCAAAGAGGCAGCCATGATAGTGATATTGGAAGGATCACCATCTAAGCTTACACTTTTATTCTCTCTGTTTAAGAGTATTTCTCTGCTCCCCTGACTTCCTAAATAATTTTTGGAAAAATAACAACCAAACGCACACACACAAAACCTGTCTTCATTGTACACCCAGTAGTTTGGGTTAGGCAATTCTGCCCCCTCCTCTTCCCTTGTCTCTGGACCTTGCTATATAACTCTGCACACTTATCAGATTCATTTTCCTGTGAGTTTGCTTGCTTGTGTCACATGTCAAATCACTGTATAATTATTGGGTCATATCCCCTTCTTGGCAGCATTACATTATAAAAATAGTATGGACTTGGCTTATACACAACAGACAGTTTTATGAAGTTGTGTCTATTTAACTGGAGCTGGGCACTGCTATCATTAGAGATTAGCATTAGGTACAGCAGGATAATGCTGTGCAACAAGTCTTAATGAAAGTTAGAACACCTGTATTTGAGTTCCGGCTCTACCAGTTCATCTATAAAATGGAAATTATGCTAACTTCACTTTCTGTTTCACAGTATTTCTGTGTGAAACACATGAACCGATGAAAAAGCCCTTTTAATTGCAAAGCAGCACATCATTATCTTAGCATTTAATGAGTAAGTGCATAGGCTTTGCACTCAGAAAGTGGATTCAAATCCTTGTTCTGCCATCTACTAGCTAAGTGATTTCAGGCAAGTTCCTTAATGTCTTTGTGTATGACTCTCTATATCTGTAAAACTTCTTTAGCCCATCTCACAGGGTTGTTGTCAAGATTAAATATAATAATGTGTGGTGGTTATATAACATATCTGCATATTCTTTGACATATCTGCATACTCCCCATTGTGATATATGCTCTTTGCCCCCTTACCTTGAATCTGAATGGGCTTATGACTGCTTAACCAACAGAACTTCAGCCAGTAGAGTACAGTGGAAATTATACTATGTGATTTCAGAGGCTGGGTCATAAAAGGCCATATGGAGTCTTCCTTGATCCCAGATATTAGAATTATCTGGTAAGGATTTTAAAGCAGCATCACAAAAAAAAAATCCCCAGTGAATGATTATGTATACATTTGAAACAAATAAAAGAGTAGATACTTTACATTTTCTGAAAGATTAGATTTTTAATGTTCTTACCACACACACACACACACACACACACACACACACACACATCACTAAGCTATACAAGGTGGAGGATATTTTAATTAGCTTGAGTATGCTAATTATTTCACAATGTATACATGTATCAAAACATCACATTGTACAACTTAAATATATACCATTTTTATTTGTCAATTTTATCTTAGTGATGTTGAAAGAAAAAGAAAAAATAGAAAGTTTTAGGAATGAAATAAAAGATATAAAGGATATCTAACTAGAAATTTTAGAACTGAAAAATAGAATAACTAATATAAAAAACTCAGTAGGTAAGCTCAACAGCAGAATGAAAAGGCCAGAAGAAAATAGTAGAGAATTTGAATATAGAACAATAGAAATTACCCAATCTGTAAAACAGAGACAATAGATTTTAAAAATACAGAATTTCTGGAAACTGTGGGACTACAACACAAGATTTAATGTTTGAATCATCAGAGTCATAGAGGAGAGGAGAAAGAGTGTAGAGCTGAAAAAAGTATATGAAGAAGTAATGGGCTGAAATTTTCCCAAATTTGGCAAATGACACAAATGTAAAGATTCAAGAAGTTAAATGAGTTTCACATGGGATAAATCCCCCAAAATCCATGTAAGGTACATCATAATCAAACTGTAAAAACAAAACAAAAAATATTGAGAGCAGCAGGAGAGAAATTACTACCTATAGGAAAAAATAATTCAAACTATAGCAGAAAAGTAAAGGCCAGAAGGAAATGACATACCATTTTCTAGTGCTAAAAGAAAAGAACTGTCAACCTAGAATTTTATATTTAGCAAAAATATCATTCAGAAATGAAGAAAAAATTGAGTGATTCTCAGATGAAGGAAAATTAAGAAAACCTGTCACAAGTAGTTTTGCCATAAAAGACTTGCTAACAGAAGCTCAGTGTGTAGAAAATAAATTATAGAAGAAGGACTTTTTGAACGTAAGAAAGGAAGAAAAAATGTGAAGAGTGAAAACATATGGGTAAATACAATAAGCTTTCCTTCTCTTGAATTTTTCAAATTCTACCTGATAGTTGAAGCAAAAATTATCACACCATTTAATATGATTATCAATGTATATAGAAGAAATATTTCAGAAAATAATATTATAAATATGGAAGAGTAATAAGGCATAAAGACAGGTAAGTTTTTTTTGTACTTGAATTAGTAAAATGTCAAATAGTAGACTGATAAGTTATATACGTACAATACTTAAAAGCAACCGCTAAAAAAGCTATGTGAAGTGATATACTCAAAAAACTATAGACAAGTCAAAATAAAATTTTAAAAGATGTCTAAATAACTCACAGAAAAGCAAGGAAAGGAAAAAATAAATAGAACACAAAAAAGAATGAAATGAGTTTCATTTATATAACCCCTTCTCAAAATGACAACATTATAGAGATAAACACATTAGTAGTTGACAGCATTTAGGGATGGCTGGAGGGAGTAGCATGAAGGAAGTCTTGGTGGTGTGATAGAGTAGGTCTGTATCTTGATTGAGGTGATAATTACACAAATCTACACACGTGATAAAATGGCAAAGAACTATACACAGTTGGGGGAACTGGATAAAGAATGCATGGAATCTCTTGGTAAAATCTCTGCAATTTCCTAAGAATCTATAATTATTTCAAATTTAAAAGTTTTAAAAACCAGTAAATATTAGAATGAAAATAAGACATTAGGTTTTTAGCTCTCTTTCCCTGTGTTACATGGCTAGTGAAACAGGTAGTAGTAAAATATTAAGGATATGGGGAAAGTACCATACATCTTAAATACTAATTTATTTATTTATTTTTAAATTACCTGACAATTTTGTCAGCATTCCTGTACCTATTAATATCTGTGGTTGCAACATTAGAACTCTCCTTGTTTCAACTATTCTATGAATATTTTCCTAATTCTACCAAACTCACTCTTGCATTAAGAATTTTTTTTTTTTAACTTTTATTTTAGGTTTAGGGGTTCATGTAAGGGATTGTTATATAGGTAAACTGCATGTCATGGGAACTTGGTATACAGATTATTTAGTCATCCAGGTAATAAGCATAGTACTCAATAGGTATTTTTAAAAAATTTTCTCCCCCCCCCCCACCCTCCACCCTCAAGTAGGCCCCAGTGTCTGGTGTTCCCCTCTATGTGTCCATGTGTTCTCATTGTTTAGCTCCCATTCATAAGTGAGAACATAAGATATTTGGTTTTCTGTTCCTGGATTAGTTTGCTTAGGATAATGGTCTCTAGCTTCATCCATGTTGCTGCAAAGGACGTGATCTCACTCTTTTTAATGGCTGTGTATTATTCCATAGTGGGCCATTCCATATATGTGCCACATTTTTAAAATCCATTCTACTGTTGATGGGCATTTAGGTTGATTCCATGTCTTTGCTATTGTGAATAGTGCTGCAATGAACGTATGCATACAGGGTCTTTATGGCAGAATGATTTATATTCCTTTGGGTATATACTCAGTAATGGAATTGGTGGGTCCAATAGTAGTTCTGTTTTAATTTCTTCGAAAAACTGCTACACTGCTTTTCACAATGGCTGAACAAATTTACACTCCCACCAACAGTGTAAAAGTGTTCCTTTTTTCCTGCAACCTTGCCAGCATCTGTTTTTTTTTGTTTTTTGACTTTTTAATAGGCATTCTGACTAATGTGAGATTGTATCTCATTGTGGTTTTGATTTGCATTTCTCTTATGATCTGTTATATTGAGAATTTTTTTTCATATGCTTGCGGACCACATGTATGTCTTCTTTTGAAAAGTGCCTTCATGTCTTTTGACCAGTTTTTAATGTTTTTTTTTTCTTGTAAATGTGTTTTCCTTATAGATGCTGGGTATTAAACCTTTGTCAGATGCATAGTTTGCAAATTATTTTCTCCAATTCTGTAGGTTGTCTGCTTGCTCTGCTGATAGTTTCTTTTGCTGTGCAGAATCACTTTAGTTTAACTAGGTCTCATTTGTCAGTTTTTGTTTTGTTGCAGTTGCTTTTGGCATTTTCATGATGAAATCTTTGCCAGATCCTATGTCAAGAATGGCATTTCTTAGGTTTTATTCCAGGGTTTTTACAGTTTAGGTTTTATATTTAAGTCTGTAATCCATCTTGAGTTGATTTTGTATATGATGTAAGGAAAGGGTCCAGTTTCAATCTTCTGCATATGGCTAAGGAGTTACCCTAGCACCATTTCTTGAACAGATTGTTTTTGTTGACTTTGTCAAAGATCAGATGGTTGTAGGTGTGCATCATTATTTCTGGGCTCTCTATTCTGTTCCATTGGTCTATGTGTCTGTTTTTGTACCATTACCATCCTGTTTGGGTTACTGTAATCTTGTAATATAGTTTGAAGTTGAGTAACATGAAGCCTCCATTTTTGTTCTTTTTACTTAGGATTGCCTTGGCTATTTGGTTCCATATAAATTATAAAATAGTTTTTTTCTAATTTTGTGAAGAATATAATTGGTAGTTTGATAGGAGGAAACTTGCTATCAATTCTTCCCATCCAAGAGCATGAATGTTTTTTCATTTGTGTCATCTCTGATTTCCTTGAGCAGTGTTTTGTAATTCTCATTGTGGAGATCTTTCACCTCTTAGTTATCTGTATTCCTAGATATTTTATTCTTTTTGTGGCAATTGTGAATGGGATTGCATTCCTGATTTGCCTCTCTTTTTAGATGTTGTTGGTGTGTAGGAATGTTACTAATTTTTGTACATTGATTTTTTATACTGAAACTTTGCTGAAGTTGTTTATCAGCTGAAGGAGCTTTTGGGCAAAGACTATGGGGTTTTCTAGGTATAGAATTATGTCATCTGCAAACAGAGATAGTTTTACTTCCTCTCTTCCTATTTGGATGCCTCTTTTTTCTCTTGTCTGATGGCTCTGGCTGGGACTTCCAGTATTATGTTGAATAGGAGTGGTGCGACAGGGCATCTTTGTCTTGTTCTGGTTTTCAAGGGGAATGCTTTCAGCTTTTGCCCATTCAGTATGATATTATGTGTGGGTTTGTCCTAGATCGGTCTTTTTATTTTGATGTATGTTCCTCCAATGCCCAGTTTACTGAGGGTTTTTAACATGAAGGGATATTGAATTTAATTGAAAGCCTTTTCTGCATCTATTGAAATAATCATGCGGTGTTTGTTTTTAGTTCTATTTAAGTGATCACATCTATTAATTTGCAAGTGTTGAACCAATCTTGCACCCCTGTGATGAAGCCTACTTGATAATGGTGGATCAGCTTTTTGATGTGCTGCTGAATTTGGTTTGCTAGTATTTTGCTGAGTATTTTTCCATCTATGTTCATCAATAATGTTGGCCTCAAGTTTTCTTTTTTGTTGTGTCTCTGCCAGGTTTTGATATCAAGATGATGCTGGTCTCACAGAATGAGTTAGGGAGGAGTCCCTTCTCTTCACATTTTTGGAATAGTTTCAGTAGGAATAGTACCAGCTCTTCTTTGTACATCTGGAGAATTCAGCTGTGAATTATCTGATCCTATGGTTTTTTGTTTTTTCAGTTTTTTATGTGTGTTTTTTTGGATGGTAGGCTTTTTATTACTGATTCAATTTCAGAACTTGGCATTGGTCGTGCAGTGATTCAATGTCTTTCTGTTTCAGTCTTTGGAGGTTGTATGTGTCCAGAAATTTATCTATTTCTTCTAGGTTTTCTAGTTTGTGTGTAGACCCTCAAATTTCCCCTATATCACTTAACATAATCATATAATCTGGTACTTTTCACTATATCCCATATGCTAGCCCTACTCACTTAACCAGTTTATAAGCTCCTCAAGATCAGGCATAAGTTTTATGTTTTTTCCTTCCATAGCCTGATTCAAAATTTTGTTAAATCCTTCATAGGTTGATGGAATGATAGTCAGGTGCATTCATTAGAAGGTTGTTTGCAAAGTTTTGAAAAGCAAACCCTTTTCAAAATTGACTCAAAATGGCATTTTAGAGGCATATTTCTCCAGGGTTTCAAATGTTGATCTCAAAAAGTATCTATTTCCTACTGCCAAAAGTTTAGCCACAACATTTAACATAGCTTTTTATGTTTCAAGAAAAGAAAATCCAATTCAAATTGGCTTGAACAATAAAGAGAATTCATTAGTAAATGTAACTGATAGTTTAGTGATAATTCAATACCAGCCTGATTCAGGGCCAATGGTGCCAACAAGGATCTGACTTTGCAATCTCTGCGAATGGCTGCTCCAGTTCTAGTCCTGACATATGTATGCCACACCCTCTGGAGGAAGAGAGTTTTCAAAAAGACAAACAAAAAGAGGAATCTGTGCTTTCTCAGATTACTCAGCAAAAGTCACTTTGCTTTTCTTTGAATCTGACTGGGTCCTGTGCCTGTTTCTAAAATCTATTCTTCAAGTCATGGGGATTAAATACATGAATTATTTTGGACCAGTCTGACACTACTTTGTATCTGAGGTGCATCAATAGTACTCAGAATGGCTGAGAATATGTGATTAATGATTCCCCCAATGCAAAACTTTGGGTACTGCTGATGGATAGAAGGGGATGTGGATGTTGAAAACATAACCAATAATGTCCACCAAACAAAACAAAACAAATCTGGAGAAAAGCATTTATAGACAGCAGAGACTCTGAATGAGAAAGTCTTCGGAATCTCTTTCATTTGGAACTGGGTCTAGACCCAGAAGACTAGGTTTTCAGGTTTGACTTTGTCTTTTGCAGCATTGGTCAAATTAATTAATTTTCTGTTTCAGCTTTAAAATTGTATTTAGATGGAGATAATGCTGCTTTTCTCAATGATACTGAGGATCAAATAAAATAATCATTGCAGAAATGCTTTAAAATCTGTAATTAGAGTTGCATAAAGATGACTTTGTATATCTTCCATATATATGTTTGCATGTGGTATACTTATATCTGCATTTATTCTATCACATGTTGTTTTCTATTTCCTAGAGTTTGTATATTAAAATTTTTACCTTAGAATATAGAAAATAATATTTGTATTAATAAAACGTACTATATTGTCTTCAGCTATAAATACAGAATCATTTTACTGTTTGTCAGTAAAGAAAGGTGTTTGTAGGGAGTGAATATCTGTAAGTTATTTTATATGTGCTATCTCACTAAATTTTCCCCTACGTCCCATAAAGCAAGTGCTATTAACCCACCTTTACAGATGAGGAAACTGGGTTGAAATATCTCATCATACATTAGAAAACAGCAAAGCCAAATTCAAACTTAGGTCAGCCTGACACCAAGCCAATTCACAATGGAATGTATTTGTTTTAAGGAAAACCAAAATTCCTGGAGCAAAAAATATATGAGTTTTGAACAAATATCACCCCCAAATTCAGAATTTATGAAAGGATATTTTCAGTGTCCTTAGCTGTTGGACAGGTGTTTATATTCTAGTATTTAAGATTTCAGAGTTTAGCCTAATCATCTTGCCATCTGCTATGAAATGATGAGCCCATCTGTCATAATATTCAAGACAGTATCAGATTCCATTTGTTCTATGAGAAGACAATGACTTTTGAAATACCAAATTTGAATGTGTCTGATTACAACACTGTGTTATGGAGAAATTTCAAAGCTAGTTCCACACAGTTGTGAATGATAGCTAAAGTCCTAGCATTGATACAGTGGTGATGAGGGCAGCCAAACTGGGGAAATCCAGACTCCCAAAAGCTGATTTGGAGATTTTTCAGATCTGGTATAATGGTCCCTGTCTTAATGATTCCTGCATTATGTTCAATAATACACATTATCTAGAGGTTTTGGAAGTGGTATTTTTATTCTTAATTATACAGCATTTTATAAAGTGCTTTTAATTCCATTACTAATATAGTTCTTATTTAATTATTATTCTTTATTATCATCTCACCTTTATCCTTATTCTATTTTGTTTATGCTCTTCCATTCTATGAATATTTTTCTATTTATTTTAGAAATAAGCAAGCTATGTTATAGGTGTGGTTGCCAATCATGTGTTTCTAAAAGGGAAACACGTGGACAATAGGAATGCCCAGGCTGGGGACCAAACATTAGATATTACAGAAGAAAAATAGGTGGTGGATCTTCTTTATTATTGTTGCTATTTTTGGTCAAATGTGTGTAAATAAATGGGTTCTTGGGTTTTGAGATGAGTTGACTCATTAATGTATTTTAGGCTGGATTGATAGCACCAGTCTTGCTTTATTTTAGTCAACTCTAGGGTCATCTAGGTTATAAATAAAAGTTAAAATCCCCCAAATGATACCTCCTCAGTTTTCAACATAAATTCTTCAACTCCCCAAATATGTACAAAACATCTCCCATCTCCCGGCCCTCATTTTCTTTTATTCTGTCCCGTTTTAGAAAAGTACAAAGTTCTCAATAACTATTGTCAAGTAAGTTTGACTCTGTGTTGTAGTAACTCAGGATCTCAGGGCACCAAATATATGTTAGTGTACAGGTACATGGCCTAAGTGTTGGAATTCAGACCAATTACAGGGTTATAACTGGCCTAAGTTATAAGGTTCATGGCCTAAGTATAGGAATTCGGTCCAGTTACAAGGTTTAGTTTAACAGACAAGTCTGGCTATCTTGCATTTACCTTTCTTCTACTCTTATCCCCACTCCTGCAAAGATTCCTTAGTCCAGGAAGGGCTCTTTCTTAGCCCTCAGATGCTAAACACCAAGCTGACTCACTGTGACCTATATTCCCAGACAGATCCTGGAATTCTGTGCAAGAAGCTTTATGTTTTACTCCTTTACCTGTGTGGCACCTATATTTGTGTTATCTCAATCCTTGTCTTTTTTTCCAATAGATTTTGTTAGTTCTTGCTAAAAGAGTCAACCTAAATATCTGTATTTGTACCAGCTCCCCTCTGCTCTGGCCAAAGATGATTGACCCTAATGTGGAGAATGACTCAAGTTGAACCAGATGAACTCCTCTTCCCTCCTTCCCTCCCTTCCTTTCTTCCTCTCTTCCTCTTTCCTCTCTTTTTGTCTTTATTTCCTTTTTTTCTTTCTTGTCTCACTTGCATTTAAAATAAGAGCAGGCCAGGCGTGGAGGCTCACGCTGGTAATCCCAGCACTTTGGGAGGCCGAGGTGGGTGGATCACAAGGTCAGAAGATCGAGACAATCCTGGCGAACATGATGAAACCCTGTCTCTACTAAAAATACAAAAAAAAAAAAAAAAAAAAAAAAAAAGATTTAGCCGGGCGTGTTGGCGGGCACCTGTAGTCCCAGCTACTCGGGAGTCGGGAGGCTCAGGCAGGAGAATGGTGTGAACCCAGGAGGCGGAGCTTGCAGGGAGCCAGGGAGCCGAGATCGCGCCACTGCACTCTAGCCTGGGCGACAAAGAGAAACTCCGTCTTGATAAATAAATAAGACAAATAAAAATAAATAAATAAAATAAAATAAGAGCAACAAATTGTTCCTATGTGGCTTTGGACACTAAATGAGTCAAATTCAATTAGATCCTTGGGCGAGAAAATGAGCAGAAGGGCTCTGGGTTTAACATCTTTACTCTTGTAGGAAATGCACAGCACTGATTGAGGCGAGTTTGTAGCCAAAACTTCCAGCTCCTGACAACTTTTCAAAGGTGGAAAATAATAAACTAGACATGAGCTGTAATCAGTTTTCAACCCAGAGAATTGGGCTTCCCATTCCTCTTTTGTTGTCCCTCCTTTCCTTCCTCAACTCATACGAAAAATTGAGAAGTGTCGAGGATAGAGCACAAATTAGAAAAACTTGTAGTAATAGTAGTGTTTGTGGCATAGGTGGGGAGAAGTTTGTGAGTTTTGCATCCTTCCAGAAATAAACTTTATTACAAAGGGCATCTTGTAGTTGAGCAGAAAATATGAAGCAAGAGATGATGCTATTACACCAATGATGTAACCCTAAACACTTAGTGAGGTGGACCTGGAGTTTAGAGCCAGACACTTAGGCACCATGGTCCTGTCCACACCCAGCCAGCACTTGCTGTTATAATGGACCAAGTCTTGCCCTTGGAGATCCTAGGTCGAGCATAGGTATTATGTAGTATTGGGTAGAGTCACTTGACTTGTAAAATTATCAGTTTCATTCTCTGTAAGTGTGAGTTATAACATCTGTCTCTTTTTCATGATGAAATTTGTGTCAGTAGAAATAGTGCAAAGTAAATAAAATGTCCTAATTGGTAGAGTAATGTAAACTTTTGAACTGTTAACCTTCAGAAACAAACAAACAAAAAAACAACTGGAAGGCAAAAGGAGAATATGTGAGGCTGCATTCTGAGGAAATAGGCTGCTGTGCCTAAGAACACAGGAAAACCTGACAGGAAGATGGAAAGATATTAAATGCACGCCCATGCTTTGCACCACGAATCACCACAGAGGCCATTAAAACCCCAGAGTAGTGACTGCTAAATAACTAGGGGCTGCTCTTTTGTCTTCATTTCATAGAATGAGTTTCTTTTGTAAGTCCTCAATCCAAAAGAAAGGCATGGCAACAAAACATAGGATTTTTACCTTGAATGATTCTACTGCAAATTAAAGTCTTCAGTATTTTATGCTTAAAATGCTGATTCATTTAGATATAGTTGCTTTTCAAAAAGGAAAAGAGAGGAGGGAAGAAGGGAGTGTGAGAGAGGTATATGATATATATATGAGAGAGAGAGAACTAGACTCACCCCAAAACTGAAATTTTTCTTATTCCTCCAGCACCAGTTTCAAAGGGAAGTATTATTCTTTCAAGTTTCATGTGCTAAATTCTTTTCCTTTGAGCTCAAGTACTTTTTTCATTGAGTCACTCTCCAAAGGAGATGAACGCTCTACTTCTGGATCTGATTTAAAAATCTTAAGATTGCATTTTGGATTTCCTCAAGTTTCACATTAAGGGTAAGAATCTTTGCCAAGTGCACACAATTTCATCCTTTTGTATTTCACAGTAAAAGAGCAAGGTAGTCAGAAAAAGTTTGTATGACTCATTTCTTTCTGTAACTCCAAAGTTTGAAAAAATTCTCTCTTTTAATAAATTCTTTCTGTTAACACACTTCTACCTCCAGCATCCTGATGACCTTCATCTTCAACTCTAGCTCAGAGTTGTACATTTATAGCAGTCCTGCCATGTGTCACATACTTAATAAAAATGACCTCACATAAGCCTAAGAAAAAACTTAAAATGCAAATATTTTCCCCTGTTTTACAGATGAGGAAGCTGAGGATCTAAGGAGTTTAGAATTATACATTTCCAGGTAGTAAATGACAGAGTTAGAATTTGAGCCCAAATACTTCTTCCTTGAAAAACAATTAATAATGCAATAATCTCTCTTTACCGGGTAATAAAAATAAGGGAGAGTAAATTATATTCTAACTGATGACAATGCTGGTGAGAAAGTGCTGGGAGTACAAAGATAAACACTTTACATTCCTTTCCCGTACAGCATTTTCCTAGTCTAGAAGTGAAGATAAGGCAGTAATAGACTGATAATTGCAAAATTCTATGACAAAACATTATACCATATAACATTCATTGAATGTACTCTATTTGCAAAGCACTGTTGTAAGTGCTTTACTTATGGCAATTCATATGTTACATGATAAAGGAATTTATGAGGAGCATGGTGGCCACAGAAAGGGAGGAAGCAGTTCTGTTGAGGTGATTTATGTCGTTATAAGAGGAGGATACATCAGAGCAGGCATTGAAGGGTGGGTAAGAATCCCCACCCCACAACCATCATAGGTATGTTTGGGTGGGAATATTGCAAGCAAAGTGAATTATATATGCAAAGGGAAAGAGATATGTAAAGGTTGGGCACACAGTTTGCCCAAGTATAGGGCATAGATGAGGGAGCAGGATTGGATCAGTTTGAACATATAGGCAGGGCTCAGATCCACAAAGGCCATGCAATGCCATGGTGCACTGTGGATTTTATCTTACTGGCAGTGGAAGGCCATTAAAAGGTTTTGGGTTGGTGAGTGGCGTGAAACCTCAACTCTCTAATTACACCAAAGGGGGAAGTGTCTTTTCCAACCACAAATGCAGAGGTCATAAAATGGGGCTAAAGGCCGAAGTTCTTTTCAGGTCATGTTGCTGAAACTACAAGACTTGGACTCCAGCCCTTGATTATATCCGTTTAAGAGTTGGTGCTTCTATAGTCATGCAACCTAAAAGTCCCAAGGACCAAGGGTCATGGTCTGCCTCCAAGAGTCTGTCAGGCCAGCTAGATGCCTGTGTGCTGCCCCAGATTGTGATGGGTAGCAGAAAATCCACACATTTGCAACTTTTCCTGTCTTCAGAATTTCCCCCAGTAAATGGAGGGAAAAGCGTGGCACTCACTCTTATTTGCCTATCAGGTAAATATTTGTATAAACCATTGCCTAGAAGGCTTAGTGGAACTCCTTTGCTGTAAGTTAGGCATAGCTTAACTTTCACCTGTGTTGGATTAGGTGTCATTCTTCCGGAAAGTAAGGGGCTAGAACAAAGGAGCTTTTGATAGTCCCTCTTGACCCTGTTTCTACAGTAGGCTGCTCTCTATTCTGAGGTACACTCATCACTTAATTCAAAGCAAAATTGTTTATCTGGCTCCAATTTACTCTTATCATTTTTTCCAACTTCAATCAGCATCTCTTCAGAGCTTGCAGTCTCAGGCAGATGTGGGATCCTGGTGTCATGCACAAAAGTGGCTTGATTATAATCACGTTCCTCTAATGATCTCATTCTAACTAGGCAGCAGCTTGATGCCCCTTATTCCCTTCACAGATCTGCCTTGGGAGCTCAGTTCTAACTTCATGGATGCTTCTCTATTTTTGCTTCCATGCTATTCAATAAAGCTATGGTTTCCTAGTTATTTAGCATCCACTACTTATGAAGCACCCAGCCCATCAAGGAAGAAAGTGAATCCTCCATTCCTTTCTTCTAGAAATAATGGATTGGTTAGCTCTTCTTGCCTCCAACCCAATTTGTTACTGAGCTCTCTAAGGCACAGCATGTCCTATAAGAATTCTTTCTGCCAGGCACTTTCTTTTCTCTGCACCATTGACACTGAAAATTTGTCTCCTTCATTCCTTGTGAAGCCCATCTCATGGTGTTATTTCACCAACCTTAATTTCCAAGCCAATTATGATCCCATTATCTCCACTAATTTACTATTTTATACACATGTAGATTGTTGATGAAGAGATTATGATCTTAATGTTTAATTGCTTCTTTATGATGTGGTATTTGTTTGAAAATGAAATTCTGATGTGGCATTTCTCTATTATACACTATCCAATGACAGTCACTTAACTGCAAAACAAAGCAAAACAAAATCTTCATTGTGATTTTCAGGAGGAAAGGGCATTTCTGTTTAAAGCCAGACTGCTGATATTCAGCTCCTTAAAATAAAAAGTAGAATATGAGGACCTTAAAGAGAAGCATTACCTCAGAGCAGTAATAAACAGTCTTTCTCTGTTGAGAATAAAGTGAAAGTGAGGGGAAAAATTCATTCTTATCAATATAGATATTATAGATATGTAGGTCACAATCATATATTCAGGTCACTCATTTATTGTCATTTATCCCATCCAGGCATAAATTGATTTACTCATATAGTCATCCACTAAAATATTTATTGAGCATCACACTTGTATGCTACGCACTGGAAGTTCAGGTTAAATAACACATAGCCAACTGCTCTGCCTTTAGGATCTCACATAGTAATAGAGGTAGCAGAATAATGAAGAAGGGACACTTTAGGAGAGAGCTTATCCAAAATGAGGAGGGCTGTGGTCAGAGAAAGCAATGACTAAATTGAGTGGGGTAGCTCCCCTTATCCGCAGTTTTGATTTCCACTGTTTCAGTTACCTGTGGTCAGTCATAGTCTAAAATAGGTGAGTACAGTCATATATTTGGAGAGAGAAAGAGAGAGCCCACATTCACACTTTTATTACAGTATATTGTTATAGTTGTTCTATTTTATTATTCTTGTTGTTAATTTACTGTGCCTAATTTATAAATTAAACTTTATCATGGGTATGTATGTATAGGAAAAGAACATAGTGAACATAGAGTTCTGTACTATCTGTGGCTTCAGCCATCCACTGAGGGGCTTGGAATGCATCGCTTGCAGATAGGGGGCACTACTGTATTGAAGAATTAGTTGGAATGAGTGAGACAAAGAAGAAGGGAATAGAGATACTGCTGATAGATGAAACAGTATATAGGGAGGAGCACAATCAAGGGTTATAATCTCTCTGCTTGCAATTGGAATAGTTCTTCAAAGCAGTCTGTTCGAGTTCAGCATAGTGTTTTAAATTTGAATTTAAGTGCTTTTCATGCGCTGATCTCTATTACCTTACACGTAGGATGTTATACATGCTTATGTTATCTGCTTGACCTGTAAATATATTTGAGTTTTTGAACCTTGGCATAGACATAGGAAATAGAATGAGGCATTAGAGGAGCTTTAAGTAGCTCATTATGGACA
This sequence comes from Homo sapiens, assembly GCF_000001405.40. NCBI lineage: Eukaryota > Metazoa > Chordata > Mammalia > Primates > Hominidae > Homo > Homo sapiens. The sequence goes on from NC_000011.10 coordinate 87,743,562, forward strand.
GAACAAAGGGTGAATGCAGGGAAAGAGAAGAAAGAAATCTGCAGAAGTGTATGGGAGCACAAAAATGAAAAGCCTTGCATGCAATGATAAAGAATGTAAATTTCATTCAGAAAATTAAAGGAAGCAATTAAAGTAGCTCAAGCAGAAAATGCCCGGGCCAGATTTGTCTTATAGAAAGATCATGTGGCAGTGATGTGCAGAATGGATTGGAGGAGAGAAAAAATAGAGACGAAGATAAAAGTTATAAAGGTATTGATTAAATCAGGCTGTATATTATAAAGGTCTAATCACAAATAATAAAAATAAAGGGGTGAGGCATATTTATTTGAAATTGGAAAGAGGTTAAAAGAAGATAACTTGGCAAATAATTGAGTGGGGAAATTTGAAGAGAAATGTCTTGGGTGAAGACAGTTTTTCTGTCTTAGATGGCTGGATTCATGGTGATGGCATTTGCCAAAACAGGGAAGGAAGATTAATTTGCAGGAATTTAAAATCCTCTTTTGTCTTCACTCATTATCCCTTTGCTTAGAGATGAGTGCTCTGCTTATGTCTATTGTCCTGCATTTTTAAACAGGACACCAAGGATTAGATCATAGTTTAGTGAGCAGAGCATTAGACTTATAGTCAGGAGTTCCAGTTTTGCACCATCTCTTTCTTTATGCAATCTTGGATGTATTATTTTCACTGTGCTTCAGGTATCTCATGTGTAAATAAGAGATACCAAAAATTTTCTGCTTAACTGAAGATTTGTTTGAAGAAAAACATGTGCTGTAAAAAGTGAATGTACTTTGGGAACTGCAATGTGTAAGGAAATATCTAAGTGGTTAATTAAGTCTCCTGGCACACTCATGTCAAGAGAGTCAGCATTGATCCAGAGAGTAAGGCAAGGGCAGATTAAAAAGCATTGAAAGCTCTAACAAGCTCACTGTGTCAAAACCAGAAGCAAAGGAAACTGAAATAAACAAAATGTAAACTGGTGAGATGGAATGAAACTTTCAGAGTCAGGTCAGATTGAGAGGAAAATGATCTCTCTGGGGAGTCAGGAAAGATAACAGTAAGGAGGGAAGTCCAGTTGGTTTGATAGTTCTTCCTCTGGAGACGTGCAGGCTGAGAGGCTCACTATGAAGGTCCAGCTGCCAACTCTATAACTTTTCCACACCTGGGATGTAATGTCGATGAGGATGCTTGTGAGCCATACAGGGTACCTGGGGCTGTGGTCTACCCTGTGTAGCTCTCAGAGCTGCTGCCTCATTTTGGGGCTGAAAGTTCCTTTGTGGGTGCTAAGGATTTCGTGTGACAATGACCTCTACATCAGATTTTTCTGTAATCTTCTCAGGCAGATGTTAGTGGATTCCCAAAGCAAGGTCCTACAGAAGCTGCATATGGTGGTTGTATTAATTAGGATATAGACTAGAAGACTATAACAAAAAAGACTCCCCAGATACAGTAGTGTAAATGAGAGAATTTTATTTCTTTCTCCTTTAGAAGGTTTGGTAGGTGGTCTGTGCCTGTGTTGGTGGCTTGACAGGGTAAGAACCCAATCTCCCTTTATCTTAAGGCTCCATCCTTGTCAAATCCACATGTTTGAAGTTGGGTGAACATCACATCTGCTAGGAGTACATCTTGGTCGCAGAGAAGAGAAAAGGAGAGAACAAAGCACTCTCCTTGCCTGTTAAGGATATAATCTAGAAGTTGCACACATTACTTACTGTCAGTTAGACAGAACTTAATCATATATCCACATCTAGCTTCAAGAAAGGCTGGGGAGTGTGGTCTTCAGCTGGTGGTCCATTTGCCCAGCTAAACTTGAGCGTTACAGTAACAGAGGAATGATTGGATATTGGAGAGTAATTATTACCAGTATCTGCCATAGAGGTAAAAGCAGCTGGGGCTGGAACTTTAGCAATAAAAATAATGTTAGAATTGTTTTTTATGGCTATTCATAAAACTAATCATCAATCTCAAGAGATAAAGTGAAATGCTAGTCTGACCAAAAAACTTAATTACAGCCCCTGCTCTGTTTTCTTTTTTATCGGTCGGTGTAATTTATATATAGTATAATGTACAGATTGTAACTGTTATAATTAATGAGATTTGACAATACCCATCTAACCCACACTGTATTTAAACAGCGAGCATTTCCATTACCCCAGAACATTTCTTTATGTCTCCTCTCAGTTAATCCCCTAAACTGAGGCAACCACCATTTTGAATACCATCACCATAGAACAGGTGTGCCTATTCTAGAGCTTTATGGGAATGAAACCAGAGCATATACTGTTGTACTTCTCTCACTCAGAAAAATGAGTTTTAGGATTTCCACTATACAAGTTTATCCCAGCTTGTTTAGTCCATTCTTCTAGTTATGAACGTTTGAATTGTTTGTATTTGGACTGCTATGAATAAAGTGATGATGAATATTCACACACACACATTTTTTCTGGACATTTATTTTTACTTCTTTTGGGTAAATGCCTAGAAGTGGAATTACTGGGTCACAGGATTGATAAATATTCACAAGAAATTGCTAGTTTCCCTACTAGCAATTTATGAGAGTTTCAGTTGCTCTAAATCCTCACCAATATATGCTGTTGGCAGAATTTTCCATAGAAGCTATTCTAATGGATTTGTTGGGTTTTGAAAGAAGAAAAACAAAATTTTGTCTCTGACTACTCACTTATTGTCATGTTTTTCAATAAATTCCTTGCTTAAGGTAGTAAATAAACATTAAAAATGCGTATAACATTTTGAAATATAAAATCTTATTCAGAAAAAATGAGCCTATGTCAATTTTTTAATAGGAAGGACTCTTGAGAAGAGTTTATAGTGTAATGGAATGCCTGGAATTAGAAGACCACGGTATCGCCTCTGACACCCAACATTTTTCATCTGCAAAGAGGAGATAGCAATAGCCTTTTCAAGGTTTTTGTGAAATCTATTTAGTCTATTAAAGTGCCTAACTCTAGCACAGTGCCTAACTTACAGTAAATGTACAATGTGTTTAAATGGAATTTAAGATGCGGTAGTCATTCCAATAATCATGATAGTGAACATTATAATCACCATCGTCATCATCATCACTACTATCATCATTAAGTCATATCACTAACTTTAACTGAAATCATACCATCCTTCAGGAACTGCTGAACACTTACATTTTCTAATTCTCAAAACAAGCCTTAACTTCAGTATTGATATTTAAAATTTTCATGCAACTTCTGAACCTTCTATCAACAAGTTATAGCTTGCAGCAAGAAATGCTTGCTGCACTGGGCCATTTGCTTGCTAGAGGAGTTGCTGTCAGGAGCTTGGACTAACATGGAGGCATAACCTAGGGCAGACTAGAACTCATGGGAAGAATGCCGCTGTGGAACAGGTGCTCCATTTCCTCAGCACCCTGTGGAGAGGGGACCTTCTCCCAGTGCCTAACTCCATGGTGTGTTTAGCTGTAGCTCATACCATGCATGCTGTCTGCAGTATTCTAAGGGAATTAGTGACTTGTGCATCTGCTTACTCTCTGGCTGCAGTTTTCTAGCCTATTCGAAGGGACACTGTAAATGTTTGTTTAAATACATTTCATGTACCATATAATATATGATGAACTGGGATTCAGAAAAGGTACATGATTTGCCCAAGATTGTAAAGTTAGCAAGTTGAAGAACAAAATTTAAATCTGAGCTGTGTGACTCAAAGCTTCTATTCTAAATTGCTGTGTTATATGAACTTAAGTGGAGTTTTATTCATCCTTTATTTTAAAACCTAACTCCAAGTTTCTTTTTAGTATACAATCCAAAACATCCCCCATGCTGCACAAATGAGAAATCAAACACATAATAAATTTGTACATGCAGTGACATGGCAACAGAAAATGATAACATTAATCCAGTTATGACCATTTGGCTATTCCTCTAAGTCATTTCAAAGCAAATGTCTGGAACACAATTTTGTCTCAAAGACTGTAGAGAACAAAAACCTGAGTCAGAATTTTAATTCTCCATTTAATAGCCCTGTAACTTGAGACATGTTACTTCACATTTTAAGACTGTTTCATTATGTGTAAAATAAAGATACTGGACTGGAATTAATTCAAGAGCTATATTGTACAATGTAGTGACTATAGTTAATAACAATAACAATGTATTGCATTTTTTTTTTGAGACAGGTTCTTGCTCTGTTGGCCAGGCTGGAGTGCAGTGGCACGATCTTGGCTCACTGCAACCTCTGCCCTCCCGGGTTCAAGTGATTCTCATGCCTCATGCCTCAGTCTCCCGAGTAGCTGGAATTACAGGCATGTTCCACCACACTTGGCTAATTTTTGTATTTTTCGTAGAGATGAGATTTTACCCTGTTGGCCAGGCTGGCCTTGAACTCTTGACATCAAACAATTTGCCCACCTTCGCCTCCCAAAGTGCTGGGATTTAGGTGTGGCCACCACATCCCGCCTAAATGTATTGTATTCTTGAAAATTTCTAAGAGAGTACATTGTGTTTCTAACACAAATAAATGATTACTATGTGAGGGACTGCATAAATTAATTTGCTCAACTTAGCCTTTCCACAATGTATACATATTTAAGAACAACAGGTTGTAAAACATATACAATTTTTGTTTGTCAGATAAAAAATTATATTAGAATTTCCTCACAGGTTTGTGTGAAGACTAAACAAAATTTATGTTGCATATTTTGTTGATTCTAAGAAATCATTGATTATAAATAGCATGGATTATTTTATTTTCAGTTAAGAAAAAATACAAAAAATTGTAAATTGTCATCGATTATGAGACACATCTGGATTTCAGCAGATGTATGTCTTAAACATAAATAAAATGCTTAAGTGCTGCTGCATAGGCTCCCACTAAATGATTATCTACCCTTGGGATTTTTGTTATTATCACTATTCTTATCACCATGCAAACCCATAAAAAACTGGCACAGAGAGAAGTTCCTAGAATAAGATGTCTCAAAACATAATAGAAAAATGACTCCCTGAGGCCTCCAGGTGTTCACAACTCTCTCCATTGGTATATCAATCACTGTGATACCAGGAACTCACTCATTTGCCAACTAGAATATCTGCTTTATTTTATTTAAATTGTGTTAGCTTTAAATCATTACTGGTGAGAGGGTTTTCCAGAAGGAATTCTGAAAAAGACAGGAGAAAAATTCTCCTAGTGATACAAATACAACCTAGTCCCTCTTGGTTATGTGTACTGAGCAATACAAATCTCATGTTTGAAAGTAAGGTATTTTCTTCTATTATCATCCATAAATGTGGAGAAAAAAAATCCCTGAGACAGAAAAGTATCTCTTTTTTAAAAAGGTAATATACTGATGATGGATGGATAGAGCTCCTTTTATATATTCTATAAAGAAGATAACTCCTTAGGAAAAAAGATGATTTGAATTCAAATCTGGAGATTCAGTGTTTGCTCATGTGTGATCTTAAGCAAGCTACTCACCTCTCTGAGCCTAAGTGTTCTTAGCTGTAAAATGGCACAACAACACTTGCCTTTCAGGGTTGTTTAAATGTCCTTCCCATGTGCAATTCCTTCTGTTCTTTTTGCTTTCTCCTGGTAACCTCCACTTGTACTTTACATCTTAGTTCAAGTATCTTCTCCAGAGAAAATTATAGCAGTACCCCAAGTAACTCTCTTTTTTGTACATTATAAGTTTAATTTGAAAAATTGCTTTTGACAGATATGTTTTAAATTTGTCTCTTCCACTAGATTATGGCTTCTATGTTGTTAGAAACCATGTATATCATTGTTTTATTCCAAGCCCCTACTAGAGCACCTGGCACACCGTAGGTGCTTCATCATTTTTTTTTCAAATGAATGCATGAATAAATGGATAGATAAAAAAATGAGGTAGAATGCCTAGCTTAACTCTTGGCATTGAACAAGCCCTCAAATGGTAGCTATTGTAATTTCTCCAACAGCTCAATGTCATTTTTATGAAAACCTTTGGAAATTCCATTTTATCTTCCTCCTGTGATGCTGTGTTGCAATCATTTTAGCTGCGTTAAGCCTTCCTGTCTGGGACCTAGCTCTATTTTCAGAGATTGTTTGGATCCACATGTCTGAAGGAAGGTTTCTGAACATGTTTGTCATTGCGTGGTTGGTTGCAACAATCTATATCCATCTGATCGGACTTTAGTGAAGATTTGTTTCTTTACAAATTATGGCATTTCCTCCTACTGTGGGTGAGGGCAAATCAACAGCTGCTGTAGAATTTCCAGCACCTACAGAGGCTTTCCAATTATCCATGAAGCTCAGGTGACAGAAAGAGCAACAGTCTTTGTTTGAGAAGTTGCCTTGGGGAGAAGCATAGCCATTTTCATGTGCGCTGAGCAAGTGGATTGGAAAGAATAAATGAGATCACCTGAAAAGACCCTCAGTAAGGCACAATGTTTTCATCATGATAATTTCTGCCAGGTCCAGTACATTATTCTTAGGGTACAAAGAGCCCTATTTCCACATGGCAAAGATGTACAGAATGAGTTGGGTAAATATTCTTAGAGATTGCTGAAAAATAATGCAGCTTATTTCCATGTATATAAATTGGGCATGCAGAGACCATTGACCAAAGCTGTAACATCAATCTGGTTTTAATCTAACAATGGAGTTTTTTCTCCTTCACCTGGATTCTGAAGTCAGGCTGTGTGGGTTTGAATCCCCATTCCATCACTTATTGGATGGGTCTAATGCTATGTCCATTACCGGTGTTATTTTAGTGGTTCTAATAATCATGTAATGCAACCCCACTTTAAAGAAATGTCACAGGTAGTAATGCTAAGAATAGAATTTTAACTCAGTTATACCTGGTTGGAAAGTTCATGTTCTTTCCACTATACAAGGATATTCACTCTAATAATATTATTAACTAAAGTTAATAATATTAACTTTAAGTGCCACCCATCACAAACAAAATGTCATGAGGTATTTTTGACATAGCTTTTACTATTTAAATCCACAGTATTTGGATTCTGAGGATGAGTGATTGGAAGCCCCAGGGGCTAGGGTCAGAGACCAGGCCCTAATAAATAACCCTTATTTCTCCAGTGCCCATCACAAGGCATGGTAGATAATGAGACTTACTGTATGTTATAGTGATACTGTCAGAGGAGGAAATGAGACGTCAGAAAGAAGAACAAACTGGGTGGGAAAATGGCCAATGGTCTTGAAAATCCCTAGCTGCTTTTATTGTTTTTTGATACGTTTTCCAAGTCACTAAGTATTTTTCTCATCCCCCACTTTGTGTACGCTCTATTTATCCAACACTTCAGATGTGAACACACCTTCCAGGTATTATGTGCTAATTGACACCTGATTGATGCCACATATAAAATGACTATTGTTTCTTCTGTTAATGCAACCTAAGACTAAGAGTTTTTTTGGCAATTGCATCCCATTTACCCAGGTCTATTCTAAGTTTGTTGTTAACTGAAACCTAAGAACTTTTTGACTTAAACTCCAACTCTTGCAAATATATAATTGATGTTTTTGAGCTAAAACTCAGGACTTGACAACTAGTTCTGTTGGGCTACTCATTGGAAGGTGGTTTTTCTTGAAAGAAGTAGAGTTGTAGGAATTGTTTAAATGATGGAAGTGGGTAGGTTGAATTTAAATGCAGGTAGAAAAGACTTGTCTGGTTGAGGGTATGTTCTGGAGTTGCTAAAGAGATTGACAGCTCTAAGGTCCAAGGGATGACCTGGCAGAGGAAGGAAGATGGCTTGAGAGAACATCCTGCAGCAGAGGATGAAGGATCTGGAGACAACATGTGCTGTAATGAAAAAACAATGTAAAGCCTGGTGAGGCTGTAAAGCCTGGTGAGGGCTAGGAAAATGTGAGCTTTGGGGAACTTGGAGTCTTTTGTCTTTCCCATTTCCTTGAACCCCTTCGAGAAGACTTCCTGTACTTCAAAATACCAAACAGTGGCTAAAGCAATACCTTTTCTATGCTCAGTAAATTGGAATGTCTACCTCCATTGGTTAAAATAAGGGTAAAAATAGCTTGAACAATGCAAGCTTGATTTGAGGGCAACATTTCTTCTATAAGTCCCATATACTGAGGATGATTCATAATTACAGTGGATGCTAGAAATAGGAATTCCATTGTGGCACTGCAGGATATTCGAACATTCAATTATTGCCTTTTGCATACTATGCCTAATGACTCTCAGCAGTTAATAGCTAATATGAAAAGCATAAAGCCATTTGTCACATTTTAAAAATATTCAATTTCTGGCTGCTTTTGTGGTCTTCTACTCTGAAAGCAAAGATTTATCTTCACAGCCTTTCATTCCTTTCCTTTTTACCCATTCTAAAGAACTAATTTTCTTCGTGCCCTGACATCATTTCTGCTTGAACTTCTTTCTGGAAAGAGTTTACAAAGTATTTGTTTTATAGCCTTAAGATTTGGGTAGAGACATAGTGATAAGTGAATTAAAGGTAGGAGCACAACCTAAAATGTATTTAAAAGAATAATTATGGAGCCCTTCTGGCTTCAGCCATCACAAGCAGAAGCTAGTCTTGCTTTCAATGGCTTAGAGTATTATTACTAAAAAATATAATAAAGACAAAAAATTTAGTAATTTAAGAAAGATTAAAGAAATGGAGTTCCTAGCATGCTGCCATTAACAGATCTTTGGAGAACAACAAACTTTTGGTAAAGCTACTCTGGACAACAAAAAAAATGAAAGTATTCAGATCTTGTCAATCATTGGTCTCTGCAGCAGCGGGTGAGGAGGAGGATACTGGCATACTCACGAACGGATACACCCCCCAGGGGCCACACAGGGCTTTGTCCCAGTTACCTGTAAGATTGTCTTTAGAATAGGGTTGCCTTTAGATTATAGCATTGCTCCATTAACCTCAAGAAGCCTAAGATCCTTATCTCAAAGATAATCAAAGTATATAGAATATCTTCTTGGACACCATAGCTTACTCTTTCAACAAAGGTGCCAGTTTGTGTATTATTCTCTCCTTTTGCCCTAATTTCTCCATCTCCCTAAGTTGTTGTTGTTGTTCTTTTTTTGTGAGACAGGGTCTTGATATGTTGCATAGGCTGGCAGGCTGCTCTTGAACTTCTGGGCTCATGCTATCCTCCTGCCTTGGCCTCCCAAATCATTGGGATTACAAACATGAGCCACCGTGCTAGCCTTTTCCTTCTTTCTTTCTTGCAGGAAATAACCTCCATTTTCCCATCTGCAAAACATGGTGGATAACCATTACATTACCTACTTCACAATGTAGATGGATTTTCATAGAAAGTGGTAATCACACATGACATGTGCCATTTGTACTTTCTGTATGAGTCAAGGGCAACATCTTATTTGTGTAGATGCAAAGGAGTTCCTTCTGTCACACAGCTCCTTTTTGACCATAGCAGCCCATCTCAGATTGTCTGTCACCTAGAATAAGTTTTCAGCTCTGCTGTTCTGTAACTGTACCTCTTAGCTCCAGTGACAGTGAAATTAAGATCTTTGGAGGCTGAAAATTGGCCTAGTCAAGATACTGGGCAGATTTGTACCTGTGATGAAGAAAGTAGGTTTTCTTTATATTGTCTCTTCCAGAAGTGTGAGTGTAGAGACATATAGCATCAAAAAGGCTATGCAGATGAATCCTGGGATATATGCAATATTTTAGCTAAAATCCTGCCACTAGAATTCAGCAAATTTTGGAAGAAGTTTAGGTGTTAGGAGGAAGGTACGTCTTGATCTGGTAGTTGGAGAGGGCCTGTTTTGTAATCCAACATTGGAGGCCATCCTGAGAGATTGAAGGGCCACTTGAGAAGGCTGAAAGGTCTGGAGAGGGGCAGGTAATATTTTACTTACACATGAGTTTAACTGTTCTGCTTCTCTCAAAAAGATTTTTAATAACGATGTGTGCATTAGAACACATTCTTTTCATTAGTAGAGCCATGGCTATAAATAGAAAAGATAAAGAATAAAATCCATATATCACAAACAAGGGAAGAGTAGTACATATGACTAGGTGAAGATTATTCTCAATGACATCTGGTATAAGGTCCAAAAGGAATACATTTATACTACCCAAAGAAGTTTCGGTTAGACTTAAGAAAGCATCTTTTCTGGGATAATGATATGATACTAGAAAATGTCAGTGGTTGTGGAATCTCTGGTGAAATGTCCAGTCATTTCCATTTATGTTCCTCATTTTCTTTCCCTTAAACTTTCTTTGGAGACTATTTGAACTAGAAAACTGATTTACCTTGTTTGATTTATTGTTGAGACTAACTAGACTTTGGTCAATAAGTAAAGATTCTTGATTAGTTTAATTTTAAGTTTGAGAAAGAATTAGAAAGACATTTTATTTCTATTCTTGTTAAAATCTTTTCATGGTCTCCTTGAACCCACTGCCTTTGCCTAACCAAGTCAAATGTAGTGAATATTGGTGAAACTGTTTATTTCAGATAATGACTGTAGTGACATACTTTTCACTCTAGTCAACTGAGCATTCACAAGTGGGCCCAGTGATGCACTAATGCCTGGTCACAAGTGAGATGGGTAAACAGATTATAAACATAAAGACTCAGACTCTGCCATTAGAGTTGTTACATGTTATATAATATATATTTAATATATAATACTATATATTATATATTATATTTGTATAACATGGATATATATATATATATATAAAACTTAGTGCAAACTTTTGTGAGAAGAGACAATGCCCAAATGAAAGAAGAGTGATGTCATGCTCAAAGTGGGGGAATAAGGATAACGATAAATGTAGGGCCTAGTCCTAGAAATGAAATTGTACTAACTACCAACTAACCCAAGGGAAACTGGTAGGAGTTGCTATTTAAGTGATCCTTCATTAGTTTTTCTGTTTCAAAATGAGAATAAAATGTTAACAAACAAATGCTGAAAACTACCTGTATTCTTGGGTATGTACTGCTATGGGGAAACTAGTTGAGTGCAGTTTGGATTTCATTTGGGCACATTTTATTATTTAAATTTTCAACTTATATCTGACTAGTAAAGATGAAACAATTTAGCATATTTTATATTCCTCAAGTTTTCAATTATTAAGGTTTTAAAAAATGTTCTATATCCTGCTCATTTTTTCTGTGAGAGAGCTTCATTGTTAGGATAACTGCTGATATGAATTTAAGAGTCATGAATCAGGACGCTGCTTAGAAAATTATTCTCCCTTTATGGGGTAAATTTTTATTAGTTCACATGCATTGCCAACACCTCTTCTCCATTTATTCCTTAAGGTTATATCTGGGAGATGTTGTGTCACTCTGACCTGATTCATTAAAGTAACTCACAGGAACAATTTCTTGAGGTATTGGCTTCATGCCTGATCCCTGAAAGCCTTGTGTAATCACTGAGCTACTAAAGCTCTCTTGAAGCCATGTTCAAGAGAAGCCTTCAGAAAAGAAGGTGCTGGCTTTCATTACTTTTTTCTAAGGTAATTTATTTCCTTCCTTCCTTCCTTCTTTCCTTCCTTCCCTCCCTCCTTCCCTCCCTCCTTCCTTCCCTTCCTCCCTTCCTTCTTTCTTTCCTTCCTTCCTTCCTTCCTTCCTTCCCTCCCTCCTTCCCTCCCTCCTTCCTTCCCTTCCTCCCTTCCTTCTTTCCTTCCTTCCTTCCTTCCTTCATTCCTTCCCTCCCTCCTTCCCTCCCTCCTTCCTTCCCTTCCTCCCTTCCTTCTTTCCTTCCTTCCTTCCTTCCTTCCTTCCTTCCTTCCTTCCTTCCCTCCCTCCCTCCTTCCCTCCCTCCTTCCTTCCCTTCCTCCCTTCCTTCTTTCCTTCCTTCCTTCCTTCCTTCCTTCCTTCCTTCCTTCCTTCCTTCCTCTTAGAGAAAGGCAGATAAATGGACACTGGCTAAATAAATTTAACAAAGAAAACCTAGAATGAGTTAAGTGCTGTGCATCTTATGGCTCCTGGTAACTCCTGGCATGAAAGGCAATTGAAGTGGAAGCTAAACACAGAGATCAACTAGCAGAAATTGATTTCTTTTCTCTTCCTCCTTCAGTCCGGACACACCTATCTTCTCTACTCTGCACACATATGATATCTTTTCTGAACCTTGGTGGAGAAAAAGTTGGGAGATTCTGGTTCTCAAAACCTTTTATTTCATATTAGACTTCATCCTTGTGGCTCACACCCATCATCTATCACCAGAACACTTGACAATTTTCCCCACAAGACCAGTTTGAGAGCTTCACCTTTGGTATCTTCAATGCACAGACCAATCTTATATTAAGGCTACTTTATAGAAAATAACATGTCTCATTCATATTTGTATCCCCAGTGACTAGCAGAATATCTAAACATAGTAGGTTCTCATGAACTGCAAATGAATATCTAATTCATGGATAACTGCATGGATGGATAGATGGATGGGTAGATGATGGATGGATAAATAGATGGATAGATGGATGGATGGACATCTGAGTTTTGAACTCCTATTGTCTAGAACCTTAATATTTCTCCTCTAAAAAAATGAAGATTTCATGAATACCTCTAACAATTTTCCTAACATTCTGTGACTCACTGGTTAAAGCTCCTGCTTCAAAACATGCCTTCGGATTCTGGCCTTTTTGTTTTGTTCTCCTGGTCAGAGTTCCTGAGTCCTGTTGCCTTAACTATCTGGAGTCTGAATCCTCTTCTGCCTGCTGCATTTTCCTGTTTATCCCTAGCTTTGTGACTTGACTGAGTTTGGACATCCTGTGTTTAAGCCTACTGTCTCTTCCTGGTTTCTCTCCCAGAAGAGAAAGCCCTTGTCCTGTGAAATGCTGCACTAGACCTGCTTAGTAATCCAGTATGTCACAGAGGTCCCAATGTACATGCTAGGGGAAGGCATGGTTATAGTGCTTGTATCTGTCTAGTCACTTACTTATCCACCTTTTTCATTTCATTTTTGAGTGGATATTTTTTTACTGGCTCTTTCCACAGGACTTTAGACCTCCTCATAGTATATATGTATATACAAGTGCCCATATGTTCCAGATACACTATGTGTATTTGTATGCTTAGGATAAATGGTGAATAAACTGAGTGCCTGATTTCAAGAAGCTTAACATTTACTAGAAATAGGCATGCCAATCATTAAGTATAATAAAGTGTTACAATTTGGATGTGATGATAGAAGAGGGCATAGTCAATATGGCCTAAAGGAGAAGGCAGGAAAGTTTGAGCTGAGCTGATGAGTAACTGCACATAGATCAATATGACTGGAGGTTAGAACACTAGAGAAAGGAAATAAGCTGAGGCTGATACAGGGCCCACATATCATAGCTTCACCTTCCTCTGCTCACTCCTGCTTCCTTCTTCCTTCAATTGGGGTTGACTCCAAAGGCACTCCTTAATGAACACCCTATATGCTTAATTCTTAGAGTCTGCTTTACTAAGAAGACAAACTTCTACCGAAGGAGGCTTTCTGTAAATAATGAAGGAAATAAAATGGGAGAGTCACATGATGACATCTGTGCTTTAGGAAGATCCATTTAGTAACTGTTTGTAGATCATATTTAATAGATGAGCTATTAGGCTACTGTCATAGCCCACATAAGAGCCGATAAGCACTTGAGGTTAGAAAGAACAGGCATGGAGATGCAGGAAATAGAAGAGGTGCTGTAAATACAGATTAGGGAGAAATGGGTTACAGATGTAATAAGGAGAAAGAGGTAACATAAGTCGGAAGAATAAGGCTTACTGAGCTAGGGAACTCAGAAAGAGAAAAACTTGTTTGGGGGGTGGGAGACATACACAGGGAAAAAGGGAGTCCATATTGGCTATGTTGAAGATGAGTGACTGTAGGGTATCTGGATAAAGATGACCAGGACATGCAGGGTGGGTCTGAATTTCAGCAGTGAGGTTTGGACTGGGAAAAAGGAATGTGGCTTTCAGTATCCTCTGTGTGGAAGCAAATGAAGGGAAGGAGATGAGCTCTTTCAGGGAAAATATTTAGCAAGAAGAGAAGAAGGGTACGGACAGAACTCTGGAGAACAACACTTAAGAAGTAGGCAGAAGGGAACCAATGAAAGAGACTGAGGAGGAATCCTCAGAGTTATAGCCAAAGGACAGGCATTTGCAAAGGGATGGTGCACAACAGCGTAGGATAAACTTTAAAGTTACTTGGGTTTGATATACAATGATCAACCATTTATTCATCACTTATCATGTTGCAGGCAGTCTGCAGTCTTTGTAGTACAGGATATTTAAGACAGAATAATGCTAGGTCCTGCCTTACAGTAACAGCAGTACACTCAAGGATATATACAAATAAAAAATTCCTGGGAAGTGGGATAAGAGCTTTGATGAGAGTACTTACACAATGCTAGGGAGAAACTGAGTGAGTGGGGAGAGTTGCTGAGCCAATCTAGTCTTTCTGGAGCAATAAATAGATGAAAAAGTTTGGGGAAGTGAATAGGCTTCACTAGGAGAAAAGTAGAGCTGCATTCAGCGAAGGATCAAGGGTATGAAAAGGTCTATTTCAACATCAATGGCTCATTGTTTATCTAATGGCCAAAAATGAAAGAATGACACTGAATATTTAAAGCACGTTCTAACGTTCCAGCAAGCTAGACGCAACTCCCTGCAGTTTCCCTTCATTCTCCTTTGAAGAATTACATGCAGTGCCATTTCTTTCCAAAATCAAATCACATGAGTCACGTCTCATGCAAGAGAGAGGTACAAAGAGTAGAAGGCTTTTCAAAGTTTATTGGCTGAAACTGTCACTTGCTCTGGGGCCCCATAAGTAAAGTCTTATTTCTGACAAATGTTGCCTTTAGTTTTCTGCAGCCCAGGGAACAGAATTTTGAACTTGGAAAATAATGCTCTTTCTCTGATTAGATTTTCCTTTTTTTAAAATTTTTTTTATTATACTTTAAGTTCTAGGGTACATATGCACAACGTGCAGGTTTGTTACATATGTATACATGCACCATGTTGGTATGCTGCACCCATTAACTCATCATTTACATTAGGTATATCTCCTAATGCTATCCGTCCCCCCTCCACCCACCCCATGACAGGCCCCAGTGTGTGATGTTCCCCTTCCTGTGTCCAAGTGTTTTCACTGATCAACTCCGACCTATGAGTGAGAACATGCAGTGTTTGGTTTTTTGTCCTTGCGATAGTTTGCTGAGAATGATGCTTTCCAGCTTCATCCATGTCCCTACAAAGGACATGAACTTATCATTTTTATGGCTGCATATTACTCCATGGTGTATATGTGCCAAATTTTCTTAATCCAGTCCATCACTGATGAACATTTGGGTTGGTTCCAAGTCTTTGCTATTGTGAATAGTGCCACAATAAACATACATGTGCATGTGTCTTTATAGCATGATTCATAATCCTTTGGGTATATACCCAGTAATGGGATTGCTGGGTCAAATGGTATTTCTAGTTCTAGATCCTTGAGGAATCGCCACACTGTCTTCCACAATGGTTGAACTAGTTTACATTCCCACCAACAGTGTAAAAGTGTTCCTTTTTCTCCACACCCTCTCCAGCACCTGTTGTTTCCTGACTTTTTAATGGTCACCATTCTAACTGGTGTGGGATGGTATCTCACTGTGGTTTCGATTTGCATTTCTCTGATGGCCAGTGATGATGAGCATTTTTTCATGCGTCTGTTGGCTGTATAAATGTCTTCTTTTGAGAACTGTCTGTTCATATCTTTTGCCCACTTTTTGATGGGGTTGTTTGTTTTTTTTTCTTGTAAATTAGTTTGAGTTCTTTGTAGATTCTGGATATTAGCCCTTTGTCAGATGAGTAGATTGCAAAAATTTTCTCCCATTCTGTAGGTTGCCTGTTCACTCTTGGTAGTAGTTTCTTTTGCTGTGCAGAAGCTCTTTAGTTTAATTAGATCCCATTTGTCAATTTTGGCTTTGGTTGCCATTGCTTTTGGTGTTTTAGACACGAAGTCCTTGCCCATGCCTGTGTCCTGAATGGTATTGCCTAGGTTTTCTTCTATGGTTTGAGGTCTAACATTTAAGTCTTTAATCCATCTTGAATTAATTTTAGTATAAGGTGTAAGAAGGGATCCAGTTTCAGCTTCCTACATATGGCTAGCCAGTTTTCCTAGCACCATTTATTAAATAGGGAATCCTTTCCCCATTTCTTGTTTTTGTCAGATTTGTCAAAGATCAGATGGTTGTAGATGTGTGGTATTATTTCTGAGGGCTCTGTTCTGTTCCATTGGTCTATATCTCTGTTTTGGTACCAGTACCATGCTGTTTTGGTTATTACAGCCTTGTAGTGTAGTTTGAAGTTCGGTAGCATGATGCCTCCAGCTTGTTCTTTTGGCTTAGGATTGTCTTGGCAATGGGGGCTCTTTTTTGGTTCCATCTGAACGTTAAAGTAGTTTTTTTCCAATTCTGTGAAGAAAGTGTTTGGTAGCTTGATGGGGATGGCATTGAATCTATAAATTACCTTGGGCAGTAGGGCCATTTTCACGATATTGATTCATCCTATCCATGAGCATGGAATGTTCTTCCATTTGTTTGTATTCTCTTTTATTTCATTGAGCAGTGGTTTGTAGTTCTCCTTGAAGAGGTCTTTCACATCCCTTGTAACTTGGATTCCTAGGTACTTTATTTTCTGTGAAGCAATTGTGAATGGAGGTTCACTCATGATTTGGCTCTCTGTTTGTCTGTTATTGGTGTATAAGAATGCTTGTGATTTTTGCACATTGATTTTGTATCCTGAGACTTTGCTGAAGTTGCTTATCAGCTTAAGGAAATTTTGGGCTGAGAAGATGGGGTTTTCTAAATATACAATCATGTCATCTGCAAACAGGGACAATTTGACTTCCTCTTTTCCTAATTGAATACCCTTTATTTCCTTCTCCTGCCTGATTGCCCTGACCAGAACTTCCAACACTATGTTGAATAGGAGTGGTGAGAGAGGGCATCCCTGTCTTGTGCCAGTTTTCAGAGAGAATGCTTCCAGTTTTTGCGTATTCAGTATTATATTGGCTGTGGGTTTGTCATAAATAGCTCTTATTATTTTGAGATATATCCCATCAATACCTAATTTATTGAGAGTTTTTAGCATGAAGGGCTGTTGAATTTTGTGAAAGGCCTTTTCTGCATCTATTGAGATAATCATGTGGTTTTTGTCTTTGGTTCTGTTTATATGCTGGATTATGTTTATTGATTTGTGTATGTTGAACCAGCCTTGCATCCCAGGAATGAATCCCACTTGATCATGGTGGATAAGCTTTTCAGTGTGCTGCTGGAATCAGTTTGTCAGTATTTTATTGAGGATTTTTGCATCAATGTTCATCAAGGATATTGGTCTAAAATTCTCCTTCTTTGTTATGTATCTGTCAGGCTTTGGTATCAGGATGATGCTGGCCTCATGAAATGAGTTAGGGAGGATTCCCTCTTTTTCTGTTCATTGGAATAGTTTCAGAATGAATGGTACCAACTCCTCCTTGTACCTCTGATAGAATTCGGTTGTGAATCCATCTGGTCCTGGACTTTTTTTGGTTGGTAGGCTATTCATTATTGCCTCAATTTCAGAGCTTGTTATTGGTCTATTCAAAGATTCAACTTCTTCCTGGTTTAGTCTTGGGAGGGTGTATGTGTCCAAGAATTTATCCATTTCTTCTAGATTTTCCAGTTTATTTGTGTAGAGGTGTTTATACTATGATGGTAATTTGTATTTCTGTGGGATTGGTGGTGATATCCCCTTTATCATTTTTTATTGCGTCTATTTGATTCTTCTCTCTTTTCTTCTTTATTAGTCTTGCTAGCAGTCTATCAATTTTGTTGATCTTTTCAAAAAACCAGCTTCTGGATTCATTGATTTTTTTAAGGGTTTTTTGTGTCTGCATCTCCTTCAGTTCTGCTCTGATCTTAGTTATTTCTTGCCTTCTGCTGGCTTTTCAGTGTGTCTGCTCTTGCTTCTCTAGTTCTTTTAATTGTGATGTTAAGGTGTCAATTTTAGGTCTTTCCTGCTTTCTCTTATGGGCATTTAGTGCTATAAATTTCCCTCTACGCACTGCTTTGAATATATCCCAGAAATTCTGGTATGTTGTGTCTTTGTTCTCGTTGGTTTCAAAGAGCATCTTTATTTCTGCCTTCATTTCATTATGTACCCAGTAGTCATTCAGGAGCAGGTTGTTCAGTTTCCATGTAGTTGAGTGGTTTTGAGTGAGTTTCTTAATCCTGAGTTCTAGTTTGATTGCACTGTGGTCTGAGAGACAGTTTGTTATAATTTCTGTTCTTTTACATTTGCTGAGGAGTGCTTTACTTCCAACTATGTGGTCACCACTGTGTGTGATGTGGTGCTGAGAAGAATGTATATTCTGTTGATTTGGGGTAGAGAGTTCTGTAGATGTCTATTAGTTCTACTTGGTGCAGAGCTGAGTTCAATTCCTGGATATCCTTGTTAACTTTTTGTCTTGTTGATCTGTCGAATGTTGACTGTGGTGTGTTAAAGTCTCCCATTATTACTGTGTGGGAGTCTAAGTCTCTTTGTAGGTCTCTAAGGACTTGCTTTATGAATCCGGGTCCTCCTGTATTGGGTGCATATATATTTAGGATAGTTAGCTCTTCTTGTTGAATTGATCCCTTTACCATTATGTAATGGCCTTCTTTGTCTCTTTTGATCTTTGTTGGTTTAAAGCCTGTTTTATCAGAGACTAGGATTGCAACCCCTGCCTTTTTTTTTTTTCTTCCGTTTGCTTGGTAGATCTTCCTCCATCCCTTTATTTTGAGCCTATATGTGTCTCTGCACGTGAGATGGGTCTCCTGAATACAGCACACTGATGGGACTTGACTCTTTATCCAATTTGCCAGTCTCTGTCTTTTAATTGGAGCCTTTAGCCCATTTACATTTAAGTTTAATATTGTTATATGTGAATTTAATCCTGTCATTATGATGTTAGCTGGTGATTTTGCTTGTTAGTTGATGCAGTTTCTTCCTGGCATCGATGGTTTTTACTATTTGGCATGTTTTTGCAGTAGCTGGTACCGATTGTTCCTTTACATGTTTAGTGCTTCCTTCAGGAGCTCTTGTAGGGCAGGCCTGGTGGTGACAGAATCTCTCAGCATTTGCTTGTGTGTAAAGGATTTTATCTCTCTTTCACTTATGAAGCTTAGTTTGGCTGGATATGAAATTCTAGGTTGAGAATTCTTTTCTTTAAGAATGTTGAATATTGGCCCTACTGTCTTCTGGCTTGTAGAGTTTCTGTCGAGAGATCTGCTGTTAGTCTGATGGGATTCCCTTTGTGGGTAACCCGACCTTTCTCTCTGGCTGCCCTTAACGTTTTTTCCTTCATTTCAACTTTGGTGAATCTGACAATTATGTGTCTTGGAGTTGCTCTTCTCAAGGAATATCTTTGTGGTGTTCTCTGTATTTCCTGAATTTGAATGTTGGCCTGCCTTGCTAGATTAGGGAAGTTCTCCTGGATAATATCCTGCAGAGTGTTTTCCAGCTTTGTTCTGTTCTCCCCATCACTTTCAGGTACACCAATCAGACGTAGATTTGGTCTTTTCACATAGTCCCATATTTGTTGGAGGCTTTGTTTGTTTCTTTTAATTCTTTTTTCTCTAAACTTCTCTTCTCACTTCATTTCATTCATTTGATCTTCAATCACTGATACTCTTTCTTCCAGTTGATCGAATCAGCTACTGAAGCTTGTCGATTCATCACATAGTTCTCGTACCATGGTTTTCAGCTCCATCAGGTCCTTTAAGGACTTCTCTGCATTGGTTATTCTAGTTAGCCATTCATCTAATCTTTTTTCAAGGTTTTTAGCTTCTTTGCGATGGGTTCAAACTTCCTCCTTTAGCTCAGAGAAGTTTGATCATCTGAAGCCTTCTTCTCTCAACTAATCAAAGTCATTCTCCATCCGGCTTTGTTCCGTTGCTCGCGAGGAGCTGCATTCCTTTGGAGGGGGAGAGGTGCTCTGATTTTTAGAGTTTCCAGTTTTTCTGCTCTGTTTTTTCCCCATCTTTGTGGTTTTATCTACCTTTGGTCTTTGATGATGGTGAGGTACAGATGAGGTTTTGGTGTGGATGTCCTGTCTGTTTGTTAGTTTTCCTTCTAACAGTCAGGACCCTCAGCTGCAGGTGTGTTGGAGTGTGCTGAAGGTCCACTCCAGACCCTGTTTGCCTGGGTATCAGCAGTGGAGGCTGCAGAACAGCAAATACTGCTGAACAGGGAATGTTGCTGTCTGATCGTTCCTCTGGAAGCTTTGTCTCAGAGGGGTACCCGGCCATGTGAGGTATCAGTCTTCCCCTACTGGAAGGTGCCTCCCAGTTAGGCTACTCGGGGGTCAGGGACCCACTTGTGGGGGCAGTCTGTCTATTCTCAGATCTCAAACTCCGTGCTGGGATAACCACTACTCACTTCAAAGCTGTCAGACAGGGACATTTAAGTCTGCTGAGGTTTCTGCTGTCTTTTGTTTGACTATACCCTGCCTCCAGAGGTGGAGTCTACAGAGGCAGGCAGGCCTCCTTGAGCTGTAGTGGGCTCCACCCAGTTCGAGCTTCCTGGCTGCTTTGTTTACCTACTCAAGCCTCAGCAATGGTGGGTGCCCCTCCCCCAGCCTTGCTGCCGCCTTGTAGATGGATCTCAGACTGCTTTGCTAGCTATAAGTGAGGCTCCATGGGTGTGGGATCTTCTGAACCAGGCGTGGGAGATAATCTCCTGTTGTGCTGTTTGCTAAGACCCTTGGAAAAGCTCAGTATTACGGTGGGAGTGACCCAGTTTTCCAGGTGCTGTCCGTCACTGCTTCCCTTGGCTAGGAAAGGGAATTCCCTGACCCCTTGCACTTCCCGGGTGAGGCGATGCCTCGCCCTGCTTTGGCTCACGCTGGTGGACTGCACCCACTGTCCTGCCCCCACTGTCTGACAAGCCCCAGTGAGATGAATGTGGTACCTCAGTTGGAAATGCAGAAATCACCCGTCTTCTGGTCTTCTGTGTCATTTATGCTGGGAGCTGTAGACTGGAGCTGTTCCAATTTGGCCGTCTTGGAACCACCCTCTCTGATTAGATTTTCAATGCTATTTGTCCACCTTCCTTTTAAAAAACAGCATTCCTTTCCTTTTTTTTTTTTTGTTGTTGTTGTTGTTGAGACAGGGCCTTGCTCTGTCACCCAGGCTGGAGTGCAGTGACCTCATCACAGCTCACTGCAGCCTTGACCTCCCTAGGCTCAGGTGATCATCCCACCTCAGCCTCCCAAGTAGCTAAAAGCGTGTGCCACCACACCCAGCTAATTTTTATAAAGAGAAGGTTTTGCTAGGTTGCCCAGGAGCATTTTGTTTCTGATTTTATAGTCATGCCTTTTGGCACATATAGAGGAAAAAAAACAACAACAACTGTATTTCCAGCACCTAGAGATGACTAGTTTTAACAATTTGAAGAATTCCTTCCAGTATTTATGTGTATGTTCTGTCATATTAAAATTCTGTTTACTGTTTTGTGTCTTGCTTTTTTCTTTATGGAAGCATTCTCCTGTGATATTAATCTTCTGGCTTCTCAGTAATTGACATGATTCTTCCATCCAGTGATGTCTCCACGTAGCATATACCCCTGTATTTCATCTGTTACCATTTTTTAGAAACCTTTTCTGAATGGCCTCCTTCCCTGTGGAATTGAAGGTTGCCACTTCGTGTCCTGCACTGTATTTTTTATTAGCTCTTTTCCCAGGACATTAGACCTCCTCATAGTGTATATGTTTGTTGGTGAGGTGCTGTAGGGCAAGAGTTATGTCTCATTCATTTTTGTCTCTTGATATATGGTAGACTTTTATTTTATATCTGTTGACTTAATAATGACTCTAATGATATAAAAATAAGTCACATTTTTGAAAGCTTAGGTGGAATGCATTGAACCTGGGATTTTATCTATTTTATTGCTAATTTGCATCACAGTTTTCAGTATCACAAGTAAGTATTATGCCATTTTTCAGATGAGGAACCCCATGTTAAATTTAATTGATTCTAAGTTATGAATTAGAAATCTTAATTAAGGAGAGTAACTGGAACCAGGCAAATTATATGGGAAGACCCTAGACCCACTCCTCTCACTTAATCATAAGGTTAATGCCAGTCTCCATGAAAGCTGCAAATTTAAACAAGATATGGAATTGGTCCTCTAAAAGTTAATAATCAAACAGAAAAGTTGAGAAAGACACACTTATAAGATAAATAAGTAAGGAGAAAAGGAGAGGGAGCTTTCTACTGTTTGATTAGTATGTCAACCTAAAATAATCAAAAAGATCAGAATCCAGTTTAAAAGAGTTTAATCAAACACAAAGCTGAGAAGAGTTGTTTGGGTAACGCAGATTTGAAAGGAACGGTGTCAGTGCTTTGAACTTAAAAGTTAAGGCTTTGCTTATATAGGCAGAAAACAGTGAAATTTTGTGGGATTATAACATTTTCTATACAAGGCTGCTTTATGAGTTACAACAATTTAGTTAGTTATAGTTTGTTTTCTTTTCCGTACAGCTTCTTTTTTTTTCCTACACAGTTTAAAGGATTGTAGTTAGTATTTTGTCTTAGACATGATAATCATGAAGTCTTGTGTGAGAGAAGAAAGAGGGAAGTTAATTTATAATGAAGATCAAAAAACAGTTAAGAGAGAAGGGGGTCTTCACTGGGACCCTTACAACATTTTACAAAGCAATGTAGGTAAGGAAAAGGCTAATCTATAATCAGAGAACAAAGATTATGGCTGCCAGGTTATAGCTGCCTGATTGCACGACTCAGGTTCCATAATCACATTGCCTTAAGGCTGAAAATATCTTAAAATTTCAACAGCTTAAATTTCAAATTACTTATTTTCACAAAGACTATTTTATCACTGACATTGTTTAGAATTGCCAGTATCTAGTGATAATAAAAAGCAGATCATCTTTAGTTGGTTTTAATATTTTTAAAATTGTGTACAGGCAATATACTGATTGCCTGCACCAGTACAGACTGCTCCAGCCCATCACAAACCTTAGTATACTTTGCATATATAAAAATATTATTGGTTATGATAGACTGATTTGGCAAATATCAAATGAATACAGTGAGAATGGATGACATATAGTTCATAGTTTAATCAAACATCACAATTTTCTCCTCATGTTCCATTATTTAAACATTGTCTCTTTAAGCCAAAGTTAATAAAAAGAAGAGGCTAGATCTGCAATGAGGACAAAGCAGTAGGCACTTCTAAGATTAATTTCAGATAGTGACTTTTGCAGTCAGATATCTGGAAACATGCACAGATCCTGGGGCTGCCTTCTGATTGTCTCTCAGCTGTGTCTTCTCAGGGACATTCAAAGCCTTAACAGTAACATGTCATTATATGTTTGCATTCTTGTCCCCAAATACCTTGAACACATTTATTCTTTGGTGATAATATGAATAATAGCTTCAATTTATTAAGTACTCACTTTGAGCTAGACATGAATTTGTATAAATTACTTCATTTATTCTAAGAGCAACTCTCTGAGTAAATAAAAATACTCTCCATACAATAGCTACTAAGTAGGGGGCCAAGTCATTTAATGCCAAAATCTTTTTTGAACCCCAGGCATTTAACACAAAAATCTTTGCTCTTTCTATTTTGTCAAGCCTGTTTTTTTTGATCTCCCGAGTTTTTGCTTGAGGCAAGCATTCTGCTTATTGAACATCTATTCTCATTTTTTCTACTAAAATCATCTGTTTCTTTCCATTGGAAAATTGCATTTTTCCCATTAGATACATTCATAGCAATTCTGTAAAGTGCATCATTCCTATCCCAGTTTTCCTGAAACAAGAGTGACCCAAGCTAGACTAATCAAGTGCTCTGTCTTTAGATTCTGTATTCTGAGAAGCATGTCATAGTATCTGGTCATTGATATAATTTATTCATCTCTGAGCAAAGCCCTGAGGAGATTCTTCATTAGTTTCTGCTGTCTAAATCCCAGAGTTTCCTAGGTCTGATCCTCTCTGAGCCTTGTTATTCAATTTTTTTCCTTAATTCTGTGAGTGAACCCACAGTTTTCCAATAAATTACTTTTTGCCATAAATTAACCAAAGTTGATTACTGGATGTCTGTTGCCCCCAACCCAACCAAAAAAAAAGGGTCATGTCCTGTGCTTTGTCAGTTAAAAACCAAACAAGACACAAATAAAGAATTAACAATCCCTATGGACACTTTGTTTTATGTTGTACCCTTATTCTGATTTCTTGTTTCGGAACAAGCCACTGGTGAGGACTGGAAGTTTCATTTGGTTTGTGTAGAGATAGAAAGAGAGCAGAATAACACGGGCACTCTCAGATACATTGCAGACTTACAGAAGCTCATTCTGCAGATGCAGAAACTGAGAAATAGATGAGTAAAAGATCTGATCAGTCATCTTTCAGCGTGAGTTAATGGGCAACCTAGAGCCAAGCATTACCCATCTGCCATAAGAATGACTTTTCATATATGCTTTGGCCACGTAATTATGCCATTTTAAATGTCTCTTTACAATATAAAGATTTCCAAACTTCAGCCAATTACCCAGAAAATTGTTTTATTGTCAAATCCCACTTTGAAAAGTAATTTATAAAGCTAGTAGTTTTGTTGTTGTTTTTGTTGTTTATTTTAGGAATTGGAGAGACATCTTCATTTGTGAGATTATAGAACACAGAAAAATTGGCTAAGGGAGTTTCTCTCTTTCAAGGTACCTAAGCATTAAATGACTCAGATGCCTGGTTCTAAGGAGCAGTTTATGATTCTAATCCATGTGCTGAAGGTGACTTAGTTTTCGACCAGATTCCCAGTATTGTTAAGGTGTTAGTTTGTTACCTTGAGAGTATTTCACTTATTATTGTGCAAAAGACTTCCTTTCTAATGGATTGAAAATAAAACTGCATAGAAAAATTCATTTATTCAGCTATTCAGATATGTGCATATTCATTCATTCAGGACAGAATTATTGAGTGTTTTGAAGAAGATTAAAGATGACAAAGGTAATAGCATTTATCACCTCAAGGAGCTATAATGAAGACAAGACATGTGAAACAAGTCATTTCCCAAAGTAGAATATGCTGTTTGTAGTTGAAAAAGATATCAAAAGTTCACTTCCCAACCAAAAATAGTTTTATATATCCTGATTTATTATTCGTAATACACTCTTCACTACTTTGAATTATATATTACATATTTATTATTTTTGTTATATTGACCTACACTAGAATGTAAAATAAATGAGGGTAGGAACTTTGTCTAGTTCATCTGTATTCCTGGCAGTGAGAACAATACCTGACATATAGAGGTTACTTAATAGGTATTGATGGAAAGAATGTATGAACAATGAATCTTTCCAAGAAATTCTTGAGAAGGTTTCAAAGGGAAAGAAATGATCGAATTGCATCTTAAAGCCTCAATTTAAGTTCCACAGTAATGTGAGTAGGGGAAAAAGAACATTTCGGGAGCAACATATTTCAGAGAATAACCTATGCAAATGCATGGCAGAGAGAGATGGAGTTCAATTTAATGAAGAAACACTAAATAGTAGTTCAGGTTAGTAGAAAATTAGAGTGTGTGGATGAGTGTAACAGGTGATGAGACTTGAAAGCCTTCTTGGTTCTGATTGATGAATTTCAAATTTTAATCTCTCAAAAACAGGATTGTCCATGAAAGGCATTAATATGGTTTGGCTTTGCTGTCACCCAAATCTCATCTGGAATTCCCACGTGTTGTAGAAGGGACCCAGTGAGAGGTAACTGAATCACGGGGGCAGGTCTTTCCCATGCTATTCTGGCAATAGTAAGTAAGTCTCACGAGATCTGATGGTTATAAAAAGGAGGGTTTCCCTGCACAAACGCTCCTTTCTCTGCCTGCTGCCCTCCACATAAGATGTGACTTGTTCTTCTTTGCCTTCTGCCATGATTGTGAGGCTTCCCCCGCCATGTGGAACTGTAAGTCCAATTAAACTTCTTCCTTTCGTAAACTGCCCAGTCTCTGATACGTCTTTATCAGCGGTGTGAAAACAGACTAATACACGTGTTAAGAAAGGGAGTGACAGGATTGTGTTTGTTGTGGAATCACTTCTGCGGCACTAAAAAAGTTGACTGGAAAAGCATTTGAGTTAGGTCAGAGAAACCAGTTAGGAAGCTATTGCAAACATAAAGGAAAGAGATTATAAAAGTTTAAGTCATGGCCCCTTTGAAAGTGAGGAAGAAAAAATAAAAATTAATGTTTTTGCATTCACTGAAGCTCGCTTTACATGGGCTATCTCATTTGCAGCACTTTATTCACTGAAGGCGTTAAATACTACCAGGCACACCTGCTTCTTAACTTGAGCATCACTCAAGAATAGAACTCAAGCCAAGTAAAACAATTTTCTCAGTATGGAACTTCAGCTAAAAACGAGTGAGCACAGCAGTTTCTAATTGCTAAGCTGGTGACTTTTTACCAAGGTGGGGAGATCAGTTGGAAACAACAACAACAAAACAGGATGTATTCTGTAGCAAACATCTCTCCAAAGACAATCTGGCCAAGGGGTGGTCTGCAAAATCCAAACCTCCTCCAAATAGGAAGTTCTGAAAGAAAGCTTCCAAGTGCTTAGGAATGGAACAAGAATTCATAGTATGAATGACCTTACATTTCCAATGTTTCAGAAGTTCTCTGACATGGGAATGAGATGGTAATTGCTGGCTTTTACTAAGGTCCTAAAATATATAACTGACTATATGACTCCACTGTTAGAGATACTATAAACTCCCCAGAATCAGAGTTCAATCATGATGTTGAGATGTAACAGTTTGGGGAGGGGAAGCTGTAAGGGTTATCACAATGATAAATTCCCCAGAACAGTTCAATCATGATATTGAGACATAACAGTTTGGGGAGTGGAGGCTGTAAGAGTTGTCACAGATCATTATAAAAAAAACATTGAAGTATGGAAGCTTGAGAATACTTATTTTTTCTTACTATGGCTGATTCAAGAATATGTCTAAAATAAGACCACACTCACCCACCCAATGTCATTACACCATGCTTTTTTTTTTTCTTTCTGAGACAGAGTTTTGCTCTGTCTCCTAGGCTGGAGTGCAGTGGCATGATCTCAGCTCATTGCAACCTCTGCCTCCCAGGTTCAAGGGACTCTCCTGTCTCAGCCTCCCGAGTAGCTGGGACTACAGGCGTGCACCACGACAGCTAATTTTTGTATTTTTAGTAGAGATGGGGTTTCAACATGTTAGCCAGGCTGGTCTTGAACTTCTCACCTCAAGTGATCTGCCCAGCTTGGCCTCTGAAAGTGCTGGGATTACAGGTGTTAGCCACCATGCCTGGCCCTCACACCATGCTTTCTTGACTGTAAAGGAAGGGGCTGAAATGCCATGTCATTAGGAATTTGCATTATCTTGGGTGTGCCTATGGGAGGAAGATGCAAATGTGAGATTGCAGTTTTAAAAAAAAAAAAAAGTTGATAATCACTGACTGCAAGAAGCCACTCTTTTAATGATATTCAAAATCTTTATGGCCCCAGCCTTCTCTACTTCCTCCATGATCTCTGCCTAGGACATACTTGATATTTGCCATTCTTAGAACATGTTGCCTCTCTTTACCTCTATTTCTTTTGCCTGGAGTGTTCTTCTTCTTCCACTCTCCAGTCTCTTTGAAGTACTTTCCAACTCTCCAACTGAGAGTCACACACCTCTAATTGCAGTATCTACCTTGCTTTATAAGACTGATGTGTTAATGGGCTGTCTCCCTTAAATAACTGCCAATCTTTAAGGGCAGATACTCTGTCTTAGTCAGTCTGCAACATGTTTGACTCATAGCAGTGCACAATGTTTAGGGAATGTTTAGTAAATATTGAGGCAGTAACATCAGGAAATGTTAGATTTGTAGTATTTTTCTATATCACAAGCCTAACGAAAATTTTAAAACATCTATTTTGACATGTGTCTTTTTTTTTCTGTGGGAAAGAGAATTACTTTACATCTTGGTTATGTTAATTTAGTAAATATTCCTTGAACGTTTCTGAGGCTCAATTTTGTGGCAATGTCATGATCAAAGGTTAGAAAACATTGTCCTTCCCCTTATGTTGCTCACAAGATAATGAGACACATGTTTAACTCCAGCCTTACCTTTGAATGTGTGTATGTGAACATAAATGCACATCACAATGAAAGGCAGAATAATTATAAGACATTAGGTTGCACTAAAATGAGGCCATAGGGTCAATACTATCTTCATAGAGCAGAGCTGAAGGAAGTGCACATTAATTCTGATATTATTTATGCTTACAAAGTAGAATCTGGGGGCTCTCTGATTTAAGTACCTAGTGGCTTAAACTCACTTCCTCATAGACTTGAGTCATACTCTATTACAGACTTGAAAAGATCCCCAAGTTCTCTGAAAAATAAAAAATGGAAGTCCTCAATTCTGTATAGTCTTCTCTTTCCTTCCCAATTAAATTGAAACACTTGACAGCCCAGCCTTCAGGAGACTGCTTGCAGGGCTGAGCTTTTTCATCCTGAATCTGATGCTCAATATTTGGGATTTAGTCAGCAGTAGGAGATGGGCTCTTAAGAAAGTGAGTGAATGTTATCTAATGATTGCCCTAGAGAAGTGAAATGCATGATGGAAAGGGGGAGAAATAAATGGCACAGACAAGAACATTATTTAGAGTCCCAAAGCCTTGGTCTGAGATGCTTGTCCTAAATACAGCCAGTTTCCAGATGCCCTTACAGGGTAGCAGGAGGGACAGCTGGGTCTAGTGATGCCACAGCATGAGATATGATTTCCAAATACTGGTTTGGAATACAGGCAGAAACTGGGTGCATTAATCAGAATGTTTCAAATATTCAAGCATGAAGCATATTGCAGGATTCTGAGATTTGTTCTTTGACCCTGGTCAACCTACTATGGATTCAACAGGGGAGGCTCTCTATGGAGCAAAGGGAAAAGCATTGGCTTTGGAATCTGCAGATTTGAGTTAGTTTCTAACTACACCACTGTGTACCTTTGGATGAGTCATTTAATTTCCCTGAAGCTCAATTTTCCTATCAATAAAATGGATATAATAGTAATTCATCATGTTGTTGTCTAAATACTACTTACTTTAAGCTCAATAAATGGTGATTGTTATTGTTAATATCATAGTAGTAGAGGTTAAGGTCAAGTTTTGAACCAGATACACCCAGGACCAAATCTTGGTCTTCAATCATTTAAAAAAATGTGATCTTGGAGTAGTTCTTTAATCTCTTTGTGATTCAGTTTCTTAATTTGTAAATGGGTATAATAATAATTACAAGAATTTAAGCCTCATAGGTTTATGGTGAAGATCAAATGAGATGATACACTTAACCCTCTTATAATACTTACCACCTAGAAAGTGTTCAATAAGCTATCATCATCATCATCACCAAGGGCATGCATCAGCAGCCTCATTATAATGGAAATCACATTTACTGACCAGTGTCTATGTGCCATACACTGTGTACTTCCTATGCATCATCTGATATTTTTAATATGCACTCTTGTGGGGCATAGCAGGAGGAAATGAGCAAAAAAATGGCACAGAGTCCTGGGACCTGTGAAGAAGGCCTTGATCTTGGAATATGCTCTACATTTTATCTCTTGCATGGTTTTGTTCCAGTGGTTTCTTCCTCTTTCAGGGATTCCTTCTCCACCTAGAAATATCCCAACTGTGCTTCAAGACCCCACCTACACAGCATTTTATCCATATTTTTGGTCACTAACTATCCTCAATGAGTTAGCTTCTCTCCTCTGTACAATCCAGAGGAGATGTGTTGTGCAATCCCAGCACCTACCCATGGTGTTTTCGTAGAGGTTACCACCGGTATCGTACCACAGTATTGTTCATTAAGTTGCTTACCTTCCCCACGAGCCAGAACTTCATGAGAAGAAAGGATGCCTTAGTCAGCTGATTCATGTTTGTATCCTCAGTAACCAACACAGTGCTAGGCACATAGTAAGTGCAAATAATATATTATGTTTTAAAGTAAGCAAGTTTGTCTTTGAGACATTTCTACCAACTGTATCTGTACCCTTTCCTGGTACAAAGACTCCAGTATCGCAGACTTGAGTCTCTTTGGCAAAAAACCAACTACAGTAAATCCTCACTTAATGTTATCAATAGGTTCTTGGAAACTGTCATTTTAAACAAAGCAATATATTACAAAACCAATAGGTTAATTGATGTAAACAAGAGTTAAGCTCCTATGGCATACTTTTAGTCACAAAAACATCACCAAACTTCTAAATAAAGAACCAAAACCCTTCTAATATGAAACATTGTAACAAATGTGTCCTATACATACATTTTAAAAAGATTAATAAAAACAAGTAGAATAATTATTTACCTATTTTTGGGGGAATCAGTGAGTGATGGCAGTTGTAGCAGTGGTGGATTAAATCAAGGAATAAACGTTTGCAAAGCAAAAATTATCAGAAGCACCTCCTATCACCATGCAATTGAAACACAAGCAATTAGAAATACCGTGGGCTCCCTGAGGGCTTTTGTACCACGTTGTTTATTGTTGTGCATTTGTATGATACTCTTATACTTTAAGAATTTTTATTTGGCAATCATTTGTATTTATTCATTCATTTTTCAACATGCTTATTCCAGTATATTGCCTCTGGTATCCAGAGCCTATCCCAGCAGGACAAGGCAGAAGGTGGAACTAGACAGGACACCTTAGTCCATCGCAGGGTGTACTCACACACACCCACCCTCACTCAAATGGGGACCATTTAGACACACCAATTCACCTAACGTGCACATTTTTGAGATGTGAGAGAAAGCTGGAGAACCCGACGAAAACCCACACAGACATGAGGAGAATGTGCAAACTCCACACAGACAGTGGCCCTGGCTGGGAATTGGTTTTTTTCCTCTTCAAGGTTATAACAAAACTAGGTTGAATAAAATAACATTATTCAAGGACTTACTGTCCCTTTTAAGCTGTAAAAATCCTCCCTTTGTATACAGACAAATAGCAAGAACTGCTGAGGTTTATGAAATAGTATTTTGTTGAATTATTTAAATAAAAACTGGACATGTGATTGATGGATTTGATCTGTGAGTGGGAAAGAAGTCTGATGGTTTATGATCTCTATTATCCAAACTTATTTCTTATATGAAGCTAAACTCACCTCAATGTCCATCAGATACCAGTGCCCAGCCAACAAAAACCACCACGGAGGTCCCTGGGGGAGATGGCTCTTGGTCTTGAAACTGGAGAAAAGGTTGTTTTTCTTATAACAGACTGGTAGTTTATTCTCCTTTCCCTTTTGATGTAGTGTGTCCCTCAGATCTGGCTGTTCCCCATATGACTAGCAGTGTGTTTGTAATGTAAGGAAAGGAAACTGTGAGGCAGACCAAAGACATAGAGTCAGAGGTAACTGAATTCCAAGATACCCTGTGCTGCGGCCATGCTTCCTCCATATTGTCAAAAGAAATAAACAATTATCTACAAACAAAGGGCATCACTGCAAACAAGGCTTAACTTTATTCCTGAGCACTGCAGATGTTTGCTAGAACAGATAAATAGAAGGAGTGAATACCACCTTGAAAGCTGCTCTCAGGCTCCAAGAGCATGGCACTGGCATCTGGTCAGGCTTATCCCACTTCAGAAAGTCTGAACACTGCAGTGAGCACAAAAAAGCTGGCTGCTCAAACCCAGACACTTAGAAATTGTTATCTGAAACCAAGGCAGCCAGGGCCTGTGGCTTATGGAACAATTACTATATGCTAGTGTTTATGATTCTTTATCTCATTAACCCTCGTGACAGCCCACTGAGATAAGCACTATTACTATAACTCCTTCACATGTGTGGATGAAATTTAGCCTTTCTCATATATGCTGTAGCCTTGAGTCCCCAGACTTTAGAATTTCATAGAGTGCAAAATTTCCTTAAAAGTTTTGAATATTTTAATTTTACCAAAAATTGGGTATTTAAAAGAAATCAGTAACCACCATTTATAATGAGTATTATTTAATTAAAAAGGACATTTATTACTCTCCCATAATCCAAAAATGGAATCCTTTAAATTTATTTATCTACATGGAAAACTTGCATACCCTACCATCCAGCAATCCTACCTCTAGATTTTTATTTGAGAATGACTTTTGTCAATGTACCTCAGAATACATGTACAAAAGTGTCCACAGCAGCCCCGTTCATATCAGAAGTAACCAGGAAACCGTCCAAATGGCCATCTATAGGAAGGGGGATAAATAAATGCTTGTGCTTGCCATGTTTAAATATTGAAATAATATATAGCAGTTAGGAAAGTGAATGACAGCTGCATGCAAAAATATAAATCTTAGTAAAAGACTGAATGGTAAAAATGTCCAAAAGATTACCTCGAGCAAAATATGTTCTATATCAGGTTAAAACTTAAGAATATACTTTTTAGGAACATACAGAAATATCTGCGTATATATATGTGTATGTGTGTATAATCTTTTAAAAGTTGAGAATAACACAAAATTTAAAATAAGAGATATCTCAAGTGACAGAAGTATGATAATGAGATGAATGGGAACTGCATACATAGATTTAAATTACAGTCAATGTTCTAGTTTTTGTGTTAGGTAGGCGATATACCTGTGTTGATTACAGTCTGTTGTTTCAAAGTAACAAAGAAATAACGGTTATTCATAGACCAATGACAGAAATGTGTCAAGAACCAAGAATTATTAATTCATTTTTCTTAATATCCAAATGCAAACCTAATACAATGAAAAAAAAACAATGCAACAATTCCCTCAGTGTATTGTCTTTTTTTCTCCATTTTCTCAAGAAGCAGTTTTAAAATATATTTTAGAATAGTACTATTAAGTGTAGAGATCCATGTTTTGAAACAGTGATCTAAACCAACCAACTCATTTTTTTTCAAGAACTTGAGTTGTAAAGAGTTCTAGCGCCTTAGAACTGGGCTTGGTTCTAAAACTTCTACTAGGGAGTATGAATGAGAGAGAGAGAAAGAAAAGATCAGGTAAATGCACAAAAGAAAAGGGACAGACTATTGGGTTGAGAAACGTGTAGCCAGAGTGTATGGAAGACAGACAGAGACACTAGGTAAGAAATAGATTCAGTGAAGTTGGAAAGGATATAACCATCTGTGAAAAGTGCTGCTACTATAATTGCTTGTTAACTCACATTTGCTTCCTGTCTGAAATAATAGAAAATTTACTCTGATGTAGATGGAAAACTTAATGGGGATAAATAGTTCTCACAGCATTCTCTTTAGTGGTATAGTAGGGAAAGGTGCCACGTATTCTACTAACCAGCAGAACTTGTTTTTGTATACCAGAAGATTATGATCCAGTTTACAAAAATGCTACAATAATTAATCTGCCTAACTGTTCAGTGATTAATCTCAAAATCTCACTACCCTACTTAAACTGCTTCTGTCAACCTCCATAGATTATAAAGTTTAAGCTTCTTGTAAAACATTCTATGACTTGGCCTTTTCTTTCTGGCCAGATTTATCAACCATACCTCCCTAGTGGGCACTTTACATCAGTGTCTTAGTCCATTTTATAATACTATAACAGAATACCACAGACTAGGTAATTTATAAAGAAAAGAAATGTATTCCTGACAGTTCTGGGAGCAGGAAAGTCCAAGAACATAGCACTGGCATCTGTTGAGGGTCATCTCATGGTGGAAGATGGAAGATGGAATATGGAAGCAAGCACATGAGACAGAGAGATAAATGGGATGATTTCATCCTTTTTATTAGGAATCTACTCCCACAATAATGAATCCCCTTCTACTGATATGGGTTGGATCTGTGCCCCTGCCCAAATCTCATGTTCAGTTGTAATCCCCAGTGTTGGAAGTGGGGCCTGGTGGGTGGTACTTGGATCATGGGGGTGGTTTCTCATGGTTTAACACCATCCCCCTAGTGCCGCTCTTGTGATAGAGTTCTTATGAGATCTGGTTGTTTAAAAGTGTGGATATCCCCCATCCCTCCCTTCCTCCTGCTCTGGCCACGTGAAGTGATTCTCTCACTCTTTGCCTTCCACCATGATATTATGTTTCCTGAGGCCTCCCCAGAAACTGAGCAGATGGCCAGAATCATGCTTTCTGTGCAATTTGTGGAACTGTGCAGCAATTAAACCTCTTTTCTTTATAAATTACCCAGTCTCATGTATTTCTTTGTAGCAGTGTGAGAATGGACTAATACAACTACAATAATAGCACTAATCCATTCATGAGGGTGGAGCCCATATGATCTAATTACCTCTTAAAGGCCTTACATTGTAATATTGTACACTGTAATACTTAATACTGGTAACACTGGCAAGTTTCCAACAGATGAAGTTTGGAGGACACATTCAAACCATTAGCAGCCAGTCTTCCTGGTTTGGTTGTCATTTCTTGACTGTATCCTGCATTCCCCATCTTACACATGTTGCTCTGCCTGGAAGGCTGTTTCCCCCTTTCTAGGGAATACCTATAAATCCTCCTGTACTCAACTCATGGATTTCATCTCCAGGGAGCCTTTCTAAATCACCCAGCTGAATAGGTTCTCTCTCTATGTATCTCTATCATAATATTTATAGTAACCATTCATTTACATTTGGTTCTCTACTCCATACTGAGAGTTTTTTGAAGGAGAGAGTTATGTTATTTAGTTCCATAAGGCTCAAATACTGTAAGGAATGAGGCAAGATATATATAAGCATCTAGTCATCTTTATATTCCCACTGTCTGAGACCAACATATGTTGTTTTCAATACGTATTTGTTGAATGGATAAAATATCAAAGGTAATGCTATACCCAAAAGTAATGTTCAGCAATCAAGGGAGGTTCACTTTAATTGGGACACACCAGATTCAGTATTTAATTCAGCTAGGAGGTGAGTTCAGAGAGGGCCTAGGTGTCAATGTGTCGGGAAGGCTGCGGAAGGGATTCAGGCATTAGATTTTTAATGGGGAGATTGTATTGTGCCTCATGCTTTCTAGCTGTCCTTCTGATTCAGAGCTTCCAGGACCTTTCAACAGTGGGTTCTTTTGTTCAGCTCTGAGTCACACTGGCATGCTCCTAGACCCTGGAGCAAGGCTAGCATAAGGCATGCTCCTAGACCCTGAAGCATAGGCATATCTATCACAGCTCAGTCTCTGAAGTCACTGACACAGCTTGCCACAATTCCATTCCATGTGGACCCTTTCATGTGCTGCAAAGGGGCTTGTCATTAGATAATTGATATGTTTTCAATACACAGCAGTTTTAAGCATCCTTTTCGACTTTCTTCTGGGGAACAGTTGCAACAGTGCCTTTAAAATGCCAGTGAATCATTTCTAACTACAGCCTAGAATTATATGATGAAGCCATCTGTATCACACTGGGAAAATATCATGTGGCATAATTAATTCATTGGATGTGATGATTACTTAGAATTATAGAAATACAGTATTGGAAGGACTCTCATGAGGTTTCGTAAAAAATTTTCAGACTCCTCCATAGACCTGTATTTAAACTTACCAGAAACATAATTACTCCATTCTTTGGATAATCTAGTAAAAACTTAAATATTTGCCACTAATGAGCTTGCAAAATTGGTTAAATAACTTAATCTCTCCAGGCCTCAGTGTCTCATATTTAAAAATCAGGGCAGGAATGCATCGTCTTTATTCGAACTCTACCACTGTGATACTGAAGGTCTATGTAGAGCTTCTTCAGGGTTACTGGGGAATAAAGGGCTTCCTAGAGTAGATAGCATTCCCCTTCCACATTATTGTTTTTGTAGAACAATCTGTTATCTTTTTATGTTTCTGCCTCTGATTTTACTAGGAAAAAAAAAAGAAAGAGATACGACAAACAAAAAGTCAAGGTCACTAGGACAGACAGTGTCCAAGCTCTTCCTGCATTAATAGGCAATGAATTTACCAACTTCACTGAGAAGAAATCCAGTGTAGAGAGTACAGGGTTTTGAGTCAGAAGATAAGATTAAGATGATGGCTCAGACCATCACTATCTGTGAGACTCCAGGTAAGTTACTGAGTTATTTAGCATCTGGGCTGCAGACTACAGTGCACTTAACTTGGGTTCCCTAGAAATCAGAGCCTGAAACAAAGGCTTTTATGGAACTACTTTATGTGGGAGTGTGATTCCAGTAACAGCCTTGAGCAATGGGGAGCTCAGTACAGGAGAAAGAACCAGTACAAAATGTGTTATTGACTTGTTGCTTGATCCCAAAAGATCATCTGAGAAGTGTATAATATGTTAGGGTGACAGAGGAGAAAACCTTTGTCTATTGGTTTCCATTCCCCATTGGTAAACTATTTACTCTGTGGCTGTAGCTATTTTATATTTCTAATTTGTACATGTGTGGGTATCAAGTGACTCTCACAAGTGACCTACTTCCCGATTTCAAACAAGAAACTATGGGGTGAGGCAAGAGATGAGCAGTATTAGCCTGACTTGTCTATTTATAACTGCATGAAGCTGCTTGGAACCTATGCCAAACTGGTTAAGCAACTGTGGATGGAATAAGAAGTGCATCTGAAGAAATTTTTGTTATATGTCACCCCTTGTACCACTCTGATCCACTTGTTTCCTCATTTAAGTTCCATCTATTATAGAGGTCCCTTTTAGGTGATGAATGGATTAGGTAAATCACCTATATTCCCAATGGCTGCAACAGCTCACATGGCTCTAACTAGTATTCACCATTTCCCTCTTAATCATCATTCTAAAAATTGCTCCTCTTTGGTTAGCACTTTAGTTAGTCTGCATAATTGTCTGGTGGGGTGACCCAGTTTTATATTCCCAAGTGATCTGAGTCCTTAATTGCTTTGCCTTTGTCAGGATTTGTTTGCAACAACTTCCCATTGATCACTAGGCACAGAAGATAAATAAGCACCTCAGTAAACCCCCTGGACTCTCCATTGTCATTCCTGCTCCATTTTATTTTGTGGCAGCAGCTCCAGTTCATCGTGGTAATCAGCCTTGGTTATCCCTAACATGAGTAATTTTATTTGCCTGCGAGTTCTTGGATATTAAGAGACCAAAGTGACCACATTGTAGTCATAGCTTCAAGTTCAGAGAAGCCATTACTGTCTCTCTAGTAGAATCATTTAGTTATTGGGAACAGTGCCTCTAATCTAGCAGACCTAATATTTGGGAAATAGCAAATTTTGGCAAGTGGATCACTTGAAATGATGGTGACCAAAGCCAATGCCACTTTCACTCCTTGATTCCTGGAACCATGTATCCTAGCCATTAGAGACATAGCATCATGGTTATAGGTTTACTGTATGCACTGTATCCTAAAGTACAATCTCCAATCCTGAGATGACACATTAACTGGGAATTAACAGACTATCTACTTATGGGTTTAGTCTACATGATAAAAGGAGCAGATGCTATGGTCAGACACCAATTGTTTCACATCCTTTGCTTACTACGATGATATATAAAACCCTCAGATAGTCATTCTGGCAGAGGTACTGTGGGCAAGAAAAGATAATACATAGCCAGAGGTTTCCATGTTGGTAAGATTAAATCACTTACCAGGTCTCAATTCAGGTAAAGTTAAATTAAAGTTGAAAAAGTTTGATGTACTTAATCTTCCACTTGACTGGCTGGTCTCTTCAAGAAACTGTTCCATAAGTGAAGGAGAAATGAAATCCTTTACAGACAAGTAAATGCTGAGATACTTTGTCACCACCAGACCTGCCTTAGAAGAGCTCCTGAAGGAAGCACTAAACATGGAAAGGGACAACCGGTACCAGCCACTGCAAAAACATGCCAAATGGTAAAGACTGTCAATGCTATGAAGAAACTGCATCAATTAACGGGCAAAATAACCAGCTAACATCATAATGGCAGGATCAAATTCAAACACTAATAATATTAACCTTAAAAGTAAATGGGCCAAATGCCCCAATTAAAAGTTATAGACTGGCAAATTGGATAAAGAGTCAAGACCTATCGATGTGCTGTTGTATTCAGGAGACCCACTCATGTGCAAAGACGCACATAGGCTCAAAATAAAGAAATGGAGGAAGATTTACCAAGCAAATGGAAAGCAAAAAAAAAGCAGG
The DNA here is from genome assembly GCF_000001405.40 of Homo sapiens. NCBI lineage: Eukaryota > Metazoa > Chordata > Mammalia > Primates > Hominidae > Homo > Homo sapiens. The sequence continues at coordinate 87,781,569 of NC_000011.10, forward strand.
GGTTGCAATCTAGTCTCTGATAAAACAGACTTTAAACCAACAAAGATCAAAAGAGACAAAGAAGGCCACTACATAATGGTAAAGGAATCAATTCACCAAGAAGAACTAACTATTCTAAATATACATGCACAACACAGGAGCACCCAGATTCATAAAGTAAGTCCTTGGAGACGTAAAAAGAGACTTAGACTCCCACACAATAATAATGGGAGACTTTAACACCCCACTGTCAATATTAGATCAGTGAGACAGAAGGTTAACAACTTCTTGAAGTTGTTGGACTTGAACTTTTTGGACTTGAACTCAGCTCTGGACCAAACAGACCTAACAGACATCTGCAGAACTCTCCACCCCAGATCAATAGAATATACATTCTTCTCAGCACCACATTGCACTTGTTCTAAAATTAACCACATAATTGGAAGTAAAACACTCCTCAGAAAATGTAAAAGAAGAGAAATCACAATAAACTGTGTCTCAAACCACAGTGCAATCAAATTAGAACTCAGGATTAAGAACTTTCTCAAAACCACACAACTACATGGAAACTGAACAACCTGCTCCTGAATGACTACTGGGTAAATAACAAAATGAAGGAAGAAATAAAGATGTTCTTTGAAATCAATGAGCACAAAGACACAACATACCAGAATCTCTGGGCCACATTTAAAGCAGTGTGTAGAGGGAAATTTATAGCACTAAATGCCCACAGGAGAAAGCAGGAAAGATCTGAAATTGACACCCTAACATCATAATTAAAATAACTAGAGAAGCAAGAGAAAAAAAATTCAAAAGCTAGCAGAAGGCAAGAAATAACTAAGAACAGAGCAGAACTGAAGGAGATAGAGACACAAAAAAAAACCCTTCAAAAAATCAATGAATCCGGGAGCTGGTTTTTTGAAAATATCAACAAAATAGACTGCTAGCCAGATTAATAAAGAAGAAAAGAGAGAAGAATCAAATAGATACAATACAAAATTATTAAGGGGATCACCACCAATCCCACAGAAATACAAACTACCATCAGAGAATACTATTACTATAAACACCTCTACACAAATAAACTAGAAAATCTAGAAGAAAAGGATAAATTTCAGGACACATACACCCTCCCAAGACTAAACCAGGAAGAAGTTGAATCTCTGAATAGACTAATAACAGGTTCTGAAATTGAAGCAATAATTATTAGCCTACCAACAAAAAAAAAGTCCAGGACCAGATGGATTCAGAGCTGAATTCTACAAGAGGCATAAAGAGGAGCTGGTACCATCCTTCTGAAACTATTCCAATCAATAGAAAAAGAGGGAGTCCTCCCTAACTCATTTTATGACGCTTGCATCATCCTGATACCAAAGCCTGGTAGAGACACAACAAAAAAAGAGAATTTTAGACCAATATCCCTGATGAACATCAATGCAAAAATCCTCAATAAAATACTGGCAAACTGATTCCAGCAGCACATAAAAGAGCTTATCCTCCACAATCAAGTCGGCTTCATCCCTGGGATGCAAGGCTGGTTCAACATATGCAAATCAATAAATGTAATCCATCACATAAACGGAACCAAAGACAAAAACCACATGATTATCTCAATAGATGCAGAAAAGGCCTTTGACAAAATTCAAAAGCGCTTCATGCTAAAAACTCTCAATAAACTAGGTATTGATGGGACGTATCTCAAAATAATAAGAGCTATTTGTGACAAACCCACAGCCAATATCACACTGAATGGCCAAAATCTGGAAGCATTCTCTTTGAAAACTGGCACAAGACAAGGATGCCCTCTCTCACCACTCCTATTCAACATAGTGTTGGAAGTTCTGGCTAGGGCAATCAGGCAAGAGAAAGAATAAAGGGTATTCAATTAGTAAAAGAGGAAGTCAAATTGTCCCTGTTTGCAGATGACATGGTTGTATATTTAGAAAACCCCATCATCTCAGCCCAAAATCTCCTTAAGCTGATAGGCAACTTCAGTAAAGTCTCAGGATACAAAATCAATGTGCAAAAATCACAAGCATTCTTATACACCAATAACAGACAAACAGAGAGCCAAATCATGAGTGAACTCCCATTCGCAATTGCTTCAAAGAGAATAAAATACCTAGGAATCCAACTTACAAGGGATGTGAAGGACCTCTTCAAGGAGAACTACAAACCACTGCTCAACGAAATAAAAGAGGACACAAACAAATAGAAGAACATTCCATGCTCATGGATAGGAAGACTCAATATCGTGAAAATGGCCATACTGGCCAAGATAATTTATAGATCCAATGCTATCCCCATAAGGCTACCAATGACTTTCTTCACAAAATTGGAAAAACTACTTTAAAGTTCATATGGAACGAAAAAAGAGCCCACCTAGCCAAGACAGTCATGAGCCAAAAGAACAAAGCTGGAGGCATTATGCTACCTGACTTCAAACTATACTACAAGGCTACAGTAACCAAAACAGCATGGTACTGGTACCAAAACAGAGATATAGGCCAATGGAATAGAACAGAGGCCTCAGAAATAACACCACACATCTACAACCATGTGATCTTTGACAAACCTGACAAAAACAAGCAATGGGGAAAGGATTCCCTGTTTAGTAAATGGTGTTGGCAAAACTGGCTAGCCATATGTAGAAAGCTGAAACTGGATCCCTTCCTTACACTGTATACAACAATTAACTCAAAATGGATTAAAGATTTAAATGTAAGATGTAACACCATAAAACCCCTAGAAGAAAACCTAGGCAATATCATTCAGGACATAGGCATGGGCAAAAACTTCATGACTAAAATACCAAAAGCAATGGCAACAAAAACCAAAATTGACAAATGGGATCTAATTAAACTAAAGAGCTTCTTCACAGTAAACAAAACTATCAGAGTGAACAGGCAACCTACATAATGGAGAAAATCTTTGCAATCTATCTATCTGACAAAGGGCTAATATCCAGAGTCTACAAAGAACTTAAAGAAATTTACAAGAAAAAACCACCCCATCAAAAAGTAGGCAAAGGATATGAACAGACACTTCTCAAAAGAAGACATTTATAAGGCCAACAAACATATGAAAAAATGTTCACCATCACTGGTCATCAGGGAAATGCAAATCAAAACCACAATGAGATACCATGTTGCGCCAGTTAGAATGGTGATCATTAAAAAGTCAGGAAACAAAAGATGCTGGAGGGGATGTGGAGAAATAGGAACACTTTTACACTATTGGTAGGAGTGTAAATTAGTTCAACTATTGTGGAAGACAGTGTAGTGATTCCTCAAGGATCTAGAACTAGAAATACTATCTGACCCAGCAATCCCATTACTGGGTATATACCCAAAGGATTATAAATCATGCTGCTATAAAGACACATGCACACGTATGTTTATTGTGGCACTATTCACAATAGCGAAGACTTGGAACCAACCCAAATATCCATCGATGATAGACTGGCTTAAAGAAATATGGCACATATACACCACGGAATACTATGCAGCCATGAAAAAGGATGAGTTCATGTTCTTTGCAGGGCCATGGATGAAGCTGGAAATCATCATTCTAAGCAAACTATTACAAGGACAGAAAACCGAACACCACATGTTCTCACTCATAGGTGGGAGTTGAACAATGAGAACACATGGACACAGGGTGGGGAATATCACACACCGAGGCCTGTCAGGGGGTGGGGGGCTGGCGGAGGGATAGCATTAGGAGAAATACGTAATGTGAATGACTAGTTGATGGGTGCTGCAAACCAACATGGCATGTGTATGCCTATGTAACAAACCTGCACGTTGTGCGCATGTACCCTAGAACTTAAAGTATGTGTATATATATTATATATATATAAAGAAACTGTTCCATAATAAGATTTAACATTGGCCTCTGCTCTGGTATGTTTCTCATTTCCTGGTGACAGAAGCTAAATGAGTCTCCTTCCTGCTGATGGAGATTCAAGATGAGCACATTTGCCATATAAATAGGTGCGCGTCAAGTGCCAGAGGCTGTGTTACTCTGTGTTAGTACACAGACCACATCTCGTCAGCAGTTGAGACTGGCCTGCTACTTGTTTAAGTTTATAGTAGCCCTCCATCATCACTGTATGACCCCTGAGTTTCAGGGGTCATACAAGTCAACTAAATAGAGACGGCCACCTCTTCAAGTCTTTGATGATGTTGGTAATCTCTGCTATTTCTTCTTGAATAAAGTATTGTTTCTAACTTCCTATCTTAGTTGGTGACAGGTGAACAGTTTCAGAGGTTTTCACGTGACCCTTCTTACAATAATAATTTTTGTTCCACAGGTAAGTAGATCAAAGAGATAATTATGTGAGCCCTTCTACTAACTATTAATTGAGGGACTGGGTTAATAACTAAAGGGTAGAACCTTGGGCTCATTGGATCCACTGTGAGTTAGAACTGTGCAAGAATTCTAGCTAATACAAACCACCAATGTAACAAAGCTTCCTGAATTCACCCAATTTCTGATCTTTGGCATATTTCTGTTTCTAAATTCCTGCATCTCACAGCTTACCAAACTGAGAAACTGACTGCTTTCTGGATCAGATAGTCTGAAATTAAATCTTACAATGATTTTATCTAAATGTTTTTATATCTCTTGTCTTCAGCCTAAAAATGTTTTGGAGAGTTACTGATAATGAACACTTTCTGTTCTTATTTGCCTACCCACCAGGAGTAATGTATTTTACTCACATTTTTCACACTAACAATGGGTATAGGTGAGCCCCCCTTGTATTAAGTCTTTATTGTAATACTATATTTTTTCTTTTCAATATCTATTTTAAAGAGAACATTGGGAAGGGGAAACATAATGATCTAGGGTTTGTTTGACAAATATAATAGCTCATGCTGGAGATGATATACACACAAATGTTCTTTCCAGCTGAAAAATCAGAATCACCTGCAGGGAGGAAAGATTTCTTTTCCTTACCCGTTGCTAGATTCATGACTGAAGCAACTACAGCAAAAGACAGATTACTAAGAGAAAAGCATGCACATTTATTTTATATAAGTTTTATGTAATGGGAGGCTTCAGAAATGAATAAACAGGTACACTTGTATATTTTTCTGCTTAGGTTTGATAAAGAATGGATAGCTGTGGGGAAGTATGATTGGAAAAAAGGAGTATTATGTAATGGTGATAAATTGGGAGGAAGGGGTCAACTAAGTAATGCCTGTTTGTGCAGATTCTTCTTGGCATCTCTGGGTCTTTGGATTATTTTCCCCAGGTATAGGAATAGTAACTCTCAACTGAGGAAACTACGACCTACTTCAGAAGAATGCCAGAAAATTCTTCCTAGGTTTTGTGACTTGCTTCAGGGAAGAAGGGCAAGGGGAAAGTGAGAGCGAGCATCCTGCTTCTGCTGTTTTCTCACTGCCAGGGTTTTATACTTTGGGGTGGCATGATCTGAACTCCATCACACCTTAAGCCAGCTAGAGTTGTTGAGTATTGGTCTTGGGAAATTAAGTGAGTTTCTGGCCTTGAGCAAATCATTTTATTCTAAGTGTTTCTTCACCTTTCTCTATGTGACTACAATAATAATTGGCATTTACATAGTAAATTAGAATTAACAATAAACTTTGATACATACGGTCACATTTCATCTTTTCCAAAAAACTGCTAGGAAGATTGTCTGCACTTTAGTTATAAGAGCTAATATTAAAAATTGGTATCTCTCTTCCGCTCACGAAGCCATCAAGTGCCATCCATACATAAACCTACATCTTTTTCCTCCATCTCCAATTATTTTTATATTTTCCCATACTATCTTCTTTGAACTCTTATGGTGGATGTATTAATACAACAGTATAGTGAATAAAAATAACATTGAGAGTCAAGAGAGTCACTTAAGTACATACAGGTGTTGTGAGACGCAATTAAGAAATGTGTGGGCTTTAAAGACATTACAGGGGTATAAGAAAATGTTATTAAAAAGGTTAAGTGAAGGTGGCTGTGAGAATGGAGGTAGACTGATTTAAGTTAAATAATATTTCTAGGTTGCGATTGTAAATACCTGGCACCTTGAAATACTTAAAACAACACAGAGATGTCAGATTATACATGCTCTATAACTGAGAAATATTTATTAAATAGATGTATACATGATTTAATTTTTCTATAATGTCAGAAATTTCCAACTTGAGATTATATCTAGTTGGCATTAAGAAATACAAATCTCTCATGCAAATTCCGCAAACATTTATTGAATATTATTTATGTATCTGGTGTTATGCTAGGTTATGCTAGATCCAATTGCTATCTTCTTGGATCTAGCAGTTCAGTGGTGTAGATGGACATTGATTAAATCATCACCAGGAAGTATAAATCTCCAACTGCAGGAATACTGTGAAAGAGATATACATGGTGATATAAGTGTTTGAAATCAAAATTTGACCTCATCAGTGAGTCAGAGTATTACAAGGAAAAGGACAAAAGATTTGATATGTAGAGGAGAGAATAAGACTTACCCAGATGAAGAAGGAAGAGTAGCTAAGGCCAAAAAGGAGCCCATTAAAGATAACCTATTGCAAAATTTAGGATTGCAAACAGGAAGGCTGAAAGAAAGAAAATGTGGCTCAAGTACAGTGTATAAGGGTATCAAGTTTGAGAGAATGCTACAGATAGTAGTGGTTACACTGTGCCAGGCCTTGCAGGCCATGTAAATGAGTTTTACTTTTATCTTAGGGCAATGGTCAGTTACTGAAGATTTTTAAGAGGGATAGGGAGTGACTTGAGCAGTTTTTTGTTTCAATAAGACTGATTTGGCTGCAGTTTTCGGTGAGCCAGGTAAGAGCAGATTTGGATAGATCAGTCAGTAGGTTATTCTAGCAAACCAGTGATAGATGATACTAATGAGACTGGTGGTGAGAATGAAGAGGAGGGAAGCAAAATTGTGAGGCATTAAAGTAATTAGGTCAATAGGACTGTAACTTGCATAATAAGGCTATGTCATTCACCCAAGGAGGGAGCTGTACAAGAAGACCATGTTTTGAAAGGCAGATCATTAACTTAGCTTTGAAAATATTGTGTGGGATGAATATTTGATCCTCAAGATCAGAGGAAAGAACTGTGCTGAAGATATAAGTTTGGAAATTATAACAACATGGTGATTGAAGTCTTGGGTATTAAATAGATTGCTTATGGGGGGAGTATAGGGTGAAAGAAGAGGGTCTTGTAATGAGTCTTAGAAAACTCTAATAATTAAGGGCAAGAACTATCCTGTAAAGAAGACGAACAAAACCAGACCGAAAATAAAAAAGGACTGGACAAATATATCTAACAATGAATCCCCAAAATGCTGAAGAAAAACAGGCATAACCGAAAGGAGAAACAAATAATTCAACACAAATTATTGCTAAGGTTAATATGCTACTCTGAATAATTGATAAAATAACTAGATATAAAATCAGCAAGAGTGTAGAAGACTTGAAAAACAATAATTTAGACTTAAAAAGTAAACAATTGAGAAATCTCTAAATATTTTAAATTAATTATTACATGTATAAATAATCCATGTGTCAAAGAAAAAACCACAGGGGAAATTAGAAAATATTTTAAAACAAAGAAAAGCAAATAAAAAAACCCCACATATCAAAGAATATAGTATTTGTTAAAACAGTGGTTAGAGGAAAATTGATAGCTTTAATAGCTGTATTAGAAAAAGAAGAAATGTCTTAAAACAATAATGTGAATTTATACTTTAAGGAATTAGAAAAATAGTATATGATAGCACAACAGGGTGATAATAGACAGTAATACAAAAAATCTAAGAGGCTCGGCATGGTAGCTCACGCCTGTAATCCTAGCACTTTGGGTGGCTGAGGCTGGTGGATTGCCTGAGCTCAGGAATTCCAGACCAGCCTGGGCAACACGGTGAGACCCTGTCTCTACTAAAATACAAAAGAAATTAGCGGGGCATGGTGGGACGTGCCTGTAGTCCCAGCTACTCAGGAGGCTGAGACAGGAGAATTGCTTGAACCTTGGAGGCAGAGGTTGCAGTGAGCCGAGATGACACTACTGCACTCCAGCCTGGGCAACAAAGTGAGACTCTGACTCTAAAAAAAGAAAGGAAAACAAAAGAAAATCTAAGCAATCCACACCCAAAAAATTCTAGAATTAATAAGTTTAGCAAGATTGCAGAGTAACAGATAATTAACAGAGCAACAAATAATTCAAAAATGGAATCAAGGCAGTGACTCCACTTAAAATAACATCAAAAGAAATAAAATACTGGGAATAATTTTTTAAAAAGAAATGCAAAATGTATATGCTTCATATTATAAAATACTGCTGAGAGAAATTTAAAAAGGTCTAAATCAGAAAGGTAAATAAAGAATACTCAATAGAATCAACTGAAACATAAATAAGAAAAAAACAGACTTTAACAAGATCTATGGATACAGTATAAAAACAGAAAACCAAATTTTTTCTCATATTCCAGAAATAAGTAATTCAGAAATACAAAAGAAAATATTTGATTGACTATAGCAAAACCAAATAGTACCAAAAATAAGCTTTCTTCTACAAAGTTTAAAGAAGGCCAAAAATAAGATTTAACTAGATGGAGGAAAAATCTTTTTTAAACTACTTAAAACAGCAGTTTTTCAAAATTAATTTGCAATTTTGATGTAAGTTAATCAACATTTAAAGAATTTTGGGTGAGATTGTCAAAGCAATTCTAAAACTCCTGGAAAAATGAATAAATGAAAAGTACTAAACTATTTCAAAAAGTGAGGAGAGGAGCTATTGCTTTACCAGATATAAATGTTTCCTGTAACATCTCAATAATTGAACTAAAATAGTAAACAATAGTCAACAGGTAGATCAGTGGGGCAGAAAATGTAGTTCCAAAATGGATTATGAATATATATAATAATTACCAATATTATTTGTGATAATTTAAGCAGGGTTATAATGGTTGCACACTAGGCAAACAATTTTAGATATGCATTCTATAGAACAAAGTCCATTTCAGATGAAACAAAGAGTTGAATGTCAAAAACATCCCCAAACCAAAACAAGCCAAATGAAAAAACATAAAACCATACAAATAGAAGGAATATGAGTGAATATTTATCTGATATGGAGGGAAAAGAACTTTATGACAAATAGTGAAAGATATCTTCAAGGAAGAAGTGAAATTAAGCTCATTAGTTAACAATAAAAGAATTCTTCAAAAATCTTAGACAAAAATAAAACAGAGGAGACTGATAAAATGTTCGCTGGAAATACGACAAATGAAACTTGACACAAGCACATAAACTCAATTGAGGGAAAAAAACAACAACAACCCAGAATCTGTCACCCTGCCAAAAAGAGTATGTATGAACAAATAACAGCATAAGAATATTAAACAAAAATTAAGATGAATATAGTTGATGAATGTAGTTGTACTTAGGAATACATCTAACTAGGGCCATCAACGATCTCTACAAGGAGAATTACAACATTCTGTTGAAAAAAAAATCAAATGCCTGATACAAAGAAATGGAAAAACTTCCCACGTTCATGAATCTGAAGCAGCAATATCACTAAAATGACCATACTACCCAAAGCAGTCTACAGATTCAATGCTATTTCTATTAAACTGTAAATGTCATTTTTTACAGAATTAAAATAATGTATTCTAAAATTCATAGGGAAATAAAAAGGAGCCCAATAGCCAAACCAAATCTAAGCAAAAAGAAAAAAGTCAGAGGCATCACACTATCTAACTTAAACTATACTGCAAGGCTATAGTAACCAAAAGAGCACACTACGGGTACAAAAACAGACACACAGCCCAATCGAAAAGGATAGAAAACTCAGAAATAGAACCACACACCTACATACTCAACAAAGTTGACAAGCAATGCAGAAAGGATTCCTTATTTAATAAATGGTGCTGGGATCTTCAACAAAGTTGAGGTGCTGATCCTCAACAAAGTTGACAAGCAATGTGGAAAGGACTCCTTATTTAATAAATGGTGCTGGGATACTTGGCTAACCATATGCTAGCCATATATAGAAGAAGGAAATTGGACTCCTACCTTTCACCATGTACACAAATTAACTCAAGATGGCTTAAGGAATTAAATGTAAGATGTAAAACTAAAAGTCCTAGCAGAAAACCTGGGAATCACAATTCTGGACATTGATCTTGGTAAAGACGTTATAACTATGTCCCCAAAATTAACTGTAATGAAACAAAAATTGACAAGTCAGACCTAATTAAGCTAAAGAGCTTCTCCACAGCAAAAGAAACTATCAACAAAGTAAATATATAATCCACAGAATGGGAGAAAATATTCTCTTTTTCAAAAAAATTATACTTTAAGGTCTGGGATACATGGGTAGAATATGCAGGTTTATTACATAGGTATACACATGCCATGGTTTTTTGCTGCACCCATCCACCCATCATCTACATTAGGTATTTCTCCTATTGCTCTCCCTCTTCTAGCCCCCCATCTCTTGACAGGCCCCTGGTGTGTGATGTTCCCCTCCCTGTGTCCATGTGTTCTCATTGTTCAACTCCCATTTATGAGTGAGAACGTGCGGTGTTTGGTTTTCTGTTCCTGTGTTAGTTTGCTGAGAATGATGGTTTCCACCTTCATCCATGTCTCTGCAAAGGACATGAACTCATCCTTTTTTATGGCTGCATATAATTCCATGGTGTATATGTGCCACATTTTCTTTATCCAGTCTATCATTGATGGGCATTTGGTTTGGTTCCAAGTCTTGGCTATTGTGAATAGTGCTGCAATAAACATACGTGTGCATGTGTCTTTACAGTAGAATGATTTATAATCCTTTGGGTATATACCCAGTAATGGGATTGATGGGACAAATGGTATTTCTGGTTCTAGATCCTTGAGGAATCACTACACTGTCTTCCACAATAGTTGAACTAATTTACACTCCCACCGACGGTGTAAAAGTGTTCCTATTTCTCCACATTCTCTCCAGTATCTGTTGTTTCCTGACTTTTTAATGATCGCCATTCTAACTGGTGTGAGATGGTATCTCACTGTGGTTTTGATTTGCATTTCTCTAATGAGCAGTGATGATGAGCTTTTTTTAAATATGTTTGTTGGCCTTATAAATGTCTTCTTTTGAGAAGTGTCTGCTCATATCCTTCACCCATTTTTTAGTTGTTTTTTTCTTGTAAATTTGTTTAAGTTCTTCATAGATTCTGGATATTAGCCCTTTGTCAGATGGATAGATTGCAAAAATTTTCTCCCATTCTGTAGGTCGCCTGTTCACTCTGATGATAGTTTCTTTTGCTGTGCAGAAGATCTTTAGTTTAATTAGATCCCATTTGTCAATTGTGGCTTTTGTGACCATTGTTTTTGGTGTTTTAGTCATGAAGTCCTTGCCCATGCCTATGTCCTGAATGGTATTGCCTAGGTTTTCTTCTTGGGGTTTTATTGTTTTAGGTCTTACATTTAAGTCTTTAATCCATCTTGAGTTATTTTTTGTATAAGGTGTAAGGAAGGGGTTCAGTTTCAGTTTCCTGCCCATGGCTAGCCAGTTTTCCCAACACCATTTATTGAATAGGGAATCCTTTCTCCATTGCTTGTTTTTGTCAGGTTTGTAAAGATCTGATGGTTGTAGATGTGTAGTGTTATTTATGAGATCTCTGTTCTGTTCCATTGGTCTATACATGTGTTTTGGTACCAGTACCATGCTGTTTTGGTCACTGTAGCCTTGTACTATAGTTTGAAGACAGATAGCTTGGTGCCTCCAGCTTTGTTCTTTTTGCTTAGAATTGTCTTGGCTGCATGGGCTCTTCTTTGGTTTCATATGAAATTTAAAGTAGTTTTTTCTAATTCTGTGAAGAAAGTCAATGGTAGCTTGATGGGAATAGCATTGAATCTGTAAATTACTTTGGGCAGTATGACCATTTTCACCATATTGATTCTTTCTATTCATGGGCATGGAATGTTTTTCCATTTGTTTGTGTCCTCTCTTGTTTCCTTGAGCAGTGGTTTGCAGTTATCCTTGAAAAGTTTCTTTATGTCCCTTGTAAGTTGTCTTTCAAGATATTTTATTCTCTTTGTAGCAATTGTGAATGGGAGTTCACTTACGATTTGGCTCTTTGTTAGTCTATTATTGGTGTATAGGAATGCTTGTGATTTTTGCACATTGACTGTATCCTGAGACTTTGCTGAAGTTGCTTAACAGCTTAAGGAGATTTTGGGAAGAGACGATGAGGTTTTCTAAATATACAATCATGTCATCTGCAACCAGAGACAATTTGACTTCCTCTCTTCCTATTTGAATAACCTTTATATTTCTCTCTCTTGCCAGGTTGCCCTGACCAGAATTTCCAATACTGTGTTGAGTAGGAGTGGTGAGAGAGGACATCCTTGTCTTGTGCCAGTTTTCAAAGGAAGTGCATCCAGCTTTTGACCATTCTGTATGATATTGGCTGTGGGTTTGTCATAAATAGCTCTTATTATTTTGAGATACATTCCATCAATACCTATTTTATTGAGATTTTTTAACATGAATGGTTTTAAATTTTATTGAAGGCCTTTTCTGCATCTGTTGAGATAATCATGTGGTTTCTGTCTTTGGTTCTGTTTATTTGATGGATTACATTTATTGGTTTTCATATGTTGAACCAGCCTTGCATCCCAGGGATGAAGCAGATTTGATCATGGTGGATAAGCTTTTTTATGTGCTGCTGGATTCAGTTTGCCAGTATTTTATTGAGGATTTTCACATTGATGTTCAACAGGGATATTGGCCTGACATTTTCTTCTTTTGTTTTCTATGCCAGGTTTTTAATATCAGGATGATGCTGGTCTCATAAACAGAGTTACGGAGGAGTCCCTCTTTTTCTGTTGTTTGGAATAGTTTCAGAAGGAACGATACTAGCTCCTCTTTGGTTTTGGTTTTGTTTTTTCTCTTTTATTCTTTGTTTCTTTTAAATTATACTTTAAGTTCTAGGGTACATGTGCACAACGTGCAGGTTTGTTACATATGTATACGTGTGCCATGTTGGTGTGCTGCACCCATTAACTCCTCATTTACATTAGGTATATCTCCCGATGCTATCCCTCCCCTCTGCTACCACCCCACATCTGCCCCAGTGTGTGATGTTCCCCCTCCTGTGTACAAGTCTTCTCATTGTTCAACTCCCACCTATGAGTGAAAACATGCAGTGTTTGGTTTTCTGTCCCTGCAATAGTTTGATGAGAATGATGGTTTCCAGCTTCATCCATGTCCCTACAAAGGACATGAACTCATTCTTTTTTATGGCTGCATAGTATTCCATGGTGTATATGTACCACATTTTCTTAATCCAGTCTATCATTGTTGGACATTTGGGTTGGTTCCAAGTCTTTGCTGTTGTGAATAGTGCCACAATAAACATAAGTGCGCATGTGTCTTTACAGCAGCATGATTTATAATCCTTTGGGTATATACCCACTAATGTGATGGCTGGGTCAAATAGTATTTCTAGGTCCAGATCCTTGAGAATCACCACACTGTCCTTCACAATGGTTGAACCAGTTTACAGTCCCACCAACAGTGTAAAAGTGTTCCTATTTCTCCACATCCTCTCCAGCACCTGTTGTTTCCTGACTTTTTAATGATCGCCATTCTAACTGGTGTGAGATGGTATCTCACTGTGGTTTTGATTTGCATTTCTCTGATGGCCAGTGATGATGAGCATTTTTTCATGTGTCTTTTGGCTGCATAAATGTCTTTTGAGAAGTGTCTGTTCATATCCATTGCCCACTTTTTGATGGGATTGTTTGTTTTTTTCTTGTAAATTTGTGTTCTTTGTAGATTCTGGATATTAGCCCTTTGTCACATGAGTAGATTGCAAAAATTTTCTCCCATTCTGTAGGTTGCCTGTTCACTCTGATAGTAGTTTCTTTTGCTGTGCAGAAGCTCTTTAGTTTAATTAGATCAAATTTGTCAATTTTGGCTTTTGTTGCCATTGCTTTTGGTGTTTTAGACATGACATCCTTGCCCATGCCTATGTCCTGAATGGTATTGCCTAGGTTTTCTTCTAGGGTTTTTATGGTTTTAGGTCTAACATTTAAGTCTTTAATCCATCTTGAATTAATTTTTGTATAAGATGTAAGGAAGGGATCCAGTTTCAGCTTTCTATATATGGCTAGCCAGTTTTCCCAGTACCATTTATTAAATAGGGAATCATTTCCCTATTGCTTGTTTTTCTCAGGTTTGTCAAAGATCAGATGGTTGTAGATGTGTGGTACTTTTTCTGAGGGCTCTGTTCTGTTCTATTGGTCTATATCTCTGTTTTGGTAGCAGTACCATGCTGTTTTGGTTACTGTAGCCTTGTAGTATAGTTCAAAGTCAGGTAGCGTCATGTTTGCAGCTTTGTTCTTTTTGCTTAGGATTGTCTTGGCAATGCGGGCTCTTTTTTGGTTCCATATGAACTTTAAAGTATTTTTTCCAATTCTGTGCAGAAAGTCATTGGTAGCTTGATGAGGATGGCGTTAAATCTATAAATTACCTTGGGCAGTATGGCCATTTTCATGATATTGATTCTTCCTGTCCATGAGCATGTAATGTTCTTCCATTTGTTTGTATCCTCTTTTATTTCATTGAGCAGTGGTTTGTAGTTCTCCTTGAAGAGGTCCTTCACATCCCTTGTAAGTTGGATTCCTAAGTATTTTATTCTCTTTGAAGCAATTGTGAATGGGAGTTCACTCATGATTTGGCTCTCTGTTTGTCTGTTATTGGTGTATAAGAATGCTTGTGATTTTTGCACATTGATTTTGTATCCTGAGACTTTGCTGAAGTTGCTTATCAGCTTAAGGAGATTTGGGGCTGAGAAGATGGGTTTTTGTAAATATACAATCATGTCATCTGCAAACAGAGACAATTTGACTTCCTCTTTTCTTAATTGAATACCCTCTATTTCTTTTTCCTGCCTGATTGCCCTGGCCAGAACTTCCAACACTATGTTGAATAGGAGTGGTGAGAGAGGGCATCCCTGTCTTGTGCCAGTTTTCAAAGGGAATGCTTCTAGTTTTTGCGCATTCAGTATTATATTGGTTGTGGGTCTGTCATAAATAGCTCTTATTATTTTGAGATACGTCCCATCAATGCCGAATTTATTGAGAGTTTTTTAGCATGAAGGGCTGTTGAATATTGTCAAAGGCCTTTTCTGCAACCCTCTCCTGAATGACTACTTGGTACATAATTAAAAGAAGGCAGAAATAAAGATGTTCTTTGAAACAAACGAGAACAAAGACACCATATACCAGAATCTCTGGGACACATTTAGAGCATTGCGTAGAGGGAAATTTATAGCAGTAAATGCCCACAAGAGAAAGCAAAAGAGATCTAAAATTGACACCCTTACATCACAATTGAAAGAACTAGAGAAGCAAGAGCAAACACATTCAAAAGGTAGCAGAAAGCAAGAAGTAACTAAGATCAGAGCAGAATTGAAGGAGATAGAGACACAAAAAACCCTTCAAAAAATCAATGAATCCAGGAGCTGGTTTTTTAAAAAGATCAACAAAATTGATAAACTGCTAGCAAGACTAATAAAGAACAAAAGAGAGAAGAATCAAATACATGGAATAAAAAATGATGAAGGGGATATCACCACCGGTCTCACAGAAATACAAACTACCATCAGAGAATACTATAAACACCTCTACACAAACAAACTGGAAAATCTAGAAGAAATGGATAAATTCCTGGACACATACTCCCTCCCAAGACTAAACCAGAAAAAAGTTGAATCCCTGAATAGACCAATAACAGGCTTTGAAATTGAGGCAATAATCAATAGCCTACCAACCAAAAAAAGTCCAGGACCAGACGGATTCACAGCCGAATTCTACCAGAGCTACAAGGAGGAGCTGGTACCATTCTTCTGAAACTATTCCAATCAATAGAAAAAGAGGGAAATCTTCCTAACTCATTTTATGAGGCCAGCATCATCCTGATACCAAAGCCTGGCAGAGACACAACAAATAAAGAGAATTTTAGACCAGTATCCCTCATGAACACCAATGCAAAAATCCTCAATAAAATACTGGCAAACCGAACCCAGCAGCACATCAAAAAGTGTATCCACCAAGATCAAGTGGGCTTCATCCGTGGGATGCAAGGCTTGTTCAACATAAGCAAATCAGTAAACATAATCCAGCATATAAACAGAACCAAAGACAAAAACCACATGATTATCTCAATAGATGCAGGTACCAGCTCCTCTTTGTACCTCTGATAGAATTCAGCTGTGAATCTATCTGGTCCTGGGTATTTTTTGCTCAGGAGGCTATTAATTACTGTCTCAATTTCAGAACCTGTTATTGGTGTTCTCAGGGATTTGATTTCTTCCTGGCTTAGTCTTGGGAGGGTGTATGTGTCCAGGAATTTATCCATTTCTTCTAGATTTTCCAGTTTATTTGTGTAGTGGTGTTTACAGTATTCTCTTATGGTAATTTGTATTTCTGTGGGATCAGTGGTGATATTGCCTTTATCATTTTTATTGTGTCTATTTGATTCTGCTCTCTTTTCTTTATTAGTCTGGCTAGTGGTCTGTTTTGTTAATCTTTTCTAAAAAACACCTTCTGGATTCATTGATGTTTTGAAAGGTTTTACGTGTCTCTATTTCCTTTGGTTCTTCTCTGATTTCAGTTTTTTCTTATTTTCTGCTGGCTTTTGAATTCGTTTGCTCTTCCTTCTCTAGTTCTTTTAATTGTGATGTTAGGGTGTAGATTTTAGATCTTTCCCACTTTATCCTGTGGTCATTTAGTGCCATAAATTTCCCTCTAAAGACTTCTTTAGCTGTGTCCCAGAGATGCTGCTATATTGTATCTTTGTTTTCATTGGTTTCAAAGAACTTACTTATTTCTGCCCTAATTTCTTTATTTACCCAGTAGTCATTCAGAAGTAGGTGGTTCCGTTTCCATGTAGTTGTGCAGCTTCGAGAAAGTTTCTTAATCCTGAGTTCTAATTTGATTGCACTGTGGTCTGAGAGACAGTTTGTTGTAATTTGTTTTTTTTTGCATTTGCTGAGGAGTCTTTTACTTCCAATTATGTGGTCAATTTTAGAATAAGTGCACTGTAGTGCTGAGAAGAATGTATATTCAGTTGATTTGAGGTGGAGAGTTCTGTAGATGTCTATTAAGTTCACTTGGTCCAGAGCTGAGTTCAAGTCCTGAATATCCTTGTTAATTTTCTGTCTCATTGATCTGTCCAATATTGAGAGTGGGGTGTTAAAGTCTCCCACTATTATTGTGTGGGAGTCTAAGTCTCTTTGTTGGACTCTAAGAACTTCCTTTATGAATCTGGGTGCTCCTGTATTGGGTGCATATATATTTAGGATAGTTAGTTCTTGTTGCATTGATTCCTTTACCGTTAGGTAATGCCCTTCTTTGTCTCTTTTGATCTTTGTTGGTTTAAAGTCTGTTTTATCAGAGACTAGGATTGCAACCCTTGCTTTTTTTTGCTTCCCATTTTCTTGGTAAATATTTCTCCATCCCTTTATTTTTGAGTCTATGTGTGTCTTTGCACATGAGATGGGTCTCCTGAATACAGCACAGTAATGGGTCTTGACTCTTTATCCAATTTGCCAGTCTGTGTCTTTTAATTGGGGGCATTTAGCCCATTTACATTTAAGGTTAATATTGTTATGTGTGAATTTGATCCTGTCATTATGATGCTAGCTGGTTATTTTACCCATTAGTTGATTCAGTTTCTTCATAGCGTCAATGATCTTTACAATTTGATACGTTTTTGCAGTGGCTGGTACCAGTTTTCTCTTTCCATGTTTAGTGCTTCCTTCAGGAGCTCTTGTAAGGCGGGCCTGGTGGTGACAAAATCTCTCAGCATTTGTTTGTCTGTAAAGGATTTTATTTCTCCTTCGCTTATGAAGCTTAGTTTGGCTGGATATGAAATTCTGGTTTGAAAATTCTTTCCTTTAAGAATGTTGAATATTGGCCCCCACTCTCTTCTGGCTTGTAGGGTTTCTGCAGGGAGATCCACTGTTAGTCTGATGGGCTTCCCTTTGTGGGAAACCTGACCTTTCTCTTTGGTTGCCCTTAAGATTTTTTCCTTCATTTCAGCCTTGGTGAATCTGATGATTATGTGTCTTGGGGTTGCTCTTCTTGAGGATTATCTTTGAGGTGTTCTCTGTATTTCCTGAATTTGAATGTTGGCCTGTCTTGCTAGGTTGGGGAAGTTCTCCTGGATTATATCCTGAAGAGTGTTTTCCAACTTGGTTCCATTCTCCCCAGCACTTTCAGGTACACCAATCATATGTAGGTTTGGTCTTTTCACATAGTGCCATATTTCTTGGAGGCTTTGTTCACTCCTTTTCATTGTTTTCTCTAATCTTGTCTTCATGCTTTATTTCATTAAGTTGATCTTCAGTCTCTGATATCTTTCTTCCACTTGATTGATTCAGCTATTGATACTTGTGAATGCTTCACGAATTTCTCGTGCTCTGCTTTTCAGCTCCATCAGGTCATTTGTGTTCTTCTCTAAACTGATTATTGCAGTTAGCAATCCCTGTAACCTTTTTTCAAGGCTCTTAGCTGCCTTGCATTAGATTAAAACATGCTCCGTTAGCTTGGAGGAGTTTGTTATTACCCACCTTCTGAAGCCTACTTCTGTCAATTCATCAAACTCATTCTCTGTCCAGTTTTGTTCCCTTGCTGGAGAGGAGTTATGATCCTTTGGAGGAGAAGAGTCATCTGGTTTTTGGAATTTTCAGCCTTTTTGGGTTGGTTTTTTCTCATCTTTGTGGATTCATCTACCTTTGGTCTTTGATGTTGGTGACTTCGGATGGGGTTTTTTTGTGGACGTCCCTTTTTATTGATGTTGATGCTATTCTTTTCTGCTTGTTAGTTTTCTTTCTAACAGTCAGTCCCCTCTGCTGCAGGTCTGCTGGAGTTTGCTGGAGGTTCACTCCAGACCCTGTCTGCCTGGGTATCACCAGTGGAGGCAGCAGAACAGCGAAAATTGCCGCCTGTTCCTTCCTCTGGAAGCTTTGTCCCAGAGGGGCACCCACCAGATGCCAGGTGGAGCTCTCCTTTATGAGGTTTCTGTCGATCCTGCTGGGAGATGTCTCCAAGTCAGGAAGCATGGGTCTCAGGGACCCACTTGAAGAGGCAGTCTGTCCCTTAGCAGAGCTCGAGCGCTGTTCTGGGGGATCCATTGCTGTCTTCAGAGCTGGCAGGCAGGAATGTTTAAGTCGGCTGAAGCTGTGCCCACAGCCACCCCTTCCCCCAGGTGCTCTGTCTCAGGGAGATAGGATTTTTATCCATAAGCCCCTGACCGAGGCTGCTGTCTTTCTTTAAGAGATGCTCTGCCTAGAGGGGAGGAAGGTAGAGAGGCAGTCTGGCTACAGCGGCTTTGCCAAGCTGTGGTAGGCCCCACCAAGTTCGAACTTCCCAGTGGCTTTGTTTATACTGTGAGGGGAAAACCACCTACTCAAGCTTCAGTAATGGTGCATGGCCCTCCCCCCACCAAGCTCGAGCATCCCAGGTCAGCTTCAGACTGCTGTTCTGGCAGTGAGAATTTCAAGCCGGTGGATCTTAGCTGGCTGGGTTCCATGCGAATGGGATCTGCTGAGCTAGACCACTTGGCTCCCTGGCTTCAGCCCACTTTCCAGGGGAGTGAATGGTTCTGGCTTGCTGGCATTCAAGGTGCCACTGGGATATGAAAAGAAAATATCCTGCAGCTAGCTCAGTGTCTGCCAAAGTGGCCTCCCAGTTTTGTGCTTGAAACCCAGGGCCCTGTTGGTGTAGGCATCCGAGGGTATCTACTGGTGTGCAGGTTGTGAAGACCACAGGAAAAGTGTAGTATCTGGGCCAGAATGCACTGTTTGTTATGGCACAGTCCCTCACAACTTCCCCTGCATAGGGGAGGGAGTTCCCCGACCCCTTACACTTCCCAGGTCAGGTGACGCCCCACCCTGCTTCAGTTTCCTTTCCATGTGCTGCGCCCTCTAACCATTCCCAATGAGATGAGCTGGGTACCTCAGCTGGAAATGCAGAAATTACCCACTTTCTGTGTTGATCTCGCTGGGAGCTGTAGACTGGAGTTGTTCCTATTTGGCCATCTTGCCAGCCACTCTGGAGAACATATTCTTAAACTATGCATCTGACAAAGGTCTAATATCCAGAATCCATAAGGATCTTAAATCAACATGTAAAAAACAACCCCATTAAAAAATGGACATAAAACAAGAACAGACACTTCTCAAAAGAAGACATACATGCAGCCAAAAAATATAGAAACAATTTTCCTAATCACTAATCGTCAGCAAAACATAAATCAAAACCACAATGGGATACCATCTCATACCAGTCAGAATGGCTAGTATTGAAAAAGTAAAAACTAACAGATGTTAATGGGACTGTGGAGAAAAGTAAATGCTTACACACTGTTGGTGGGAATGTAAATTAATTTAGTCGCTGTGGAAAATAGTTTTGAGATTTCTCAAAGAATATAAAACAGAACTATCATTTGATCCAGCTATCCCATTACTGGGTATATGCTCAAAGGAAAATAAATCTTTCTGGTAAAAAGTCACATGCAGTCATGTGTTCATTACAGATGTATTCATAATAGCAAAGACATGGATTTAACCTAAATGCCCATCAACAGTGAACTGGAAAAAGAAAATGTGGCACAGATACACCATGGAATACTATGCAGCCATAAAAAAGAAATAAATCCTGTTCTTTGCAGCAACATGGATGCAGCTGGAAGCCATTATCCTAAGTAAATCAACACAGAAACAGAAAACCAAATACTGCATATTCTAATTTGTTAGTGGGAGCTAAACATTGAGTACATATGGTCATAAATATGGGAACAATATATACTGGGGATTACTAGAGGGAAGAGAGATGGAGGAGGACAAAGTTTGAAAAACTATGTCCTGGGCACTATGCTCACTGCTTGACAGGATCATTCGTACACCAAAACTTAGCAACACCCAATTTACCCATGTAGTAATCCTCTACATGTACTCCCTGAGCCAAAAACGGAAAACAACAACAATAAAAAACCTGAAAAATAGAAGAAAACAGGAAAGATAAAATACATTAAATTTAAAAAGAAATACTTAAAAATCTGTATTAAGAAGACAACCTAATTTTAAAGAAATGAAAATATTTCATTAAACACTTCACCAATGAAGATATACAAATATAAAATAAGACATAAAAGATGCTCAATATCATTAGTAATCACAGAGATGCAAATTAAAATCGCAATGGAATATCAGTACATATCCATTTAAATGGCTAAAATTAAAATGACTAAAATAAGAAGTGTTGGAAATGAAGAGGAGAAATTGAGACTCACACACAAAGCTGGTATTGGTGATGTAAAAGTGTATCATCTCTTGGAAAAATAGTACCGTTTTTCTTAAAGTTAAATATACACATAAAATATAACAATAATTCCAGAATTAAGTATATACCCCAGAATAGCAAAAACTGTGTTCATACAAAAACCTGTATACATTTAGTAGTTGTATCAGTTTCCTAAGGCTGCATGGTAAATAAAAAATTTGGTGTCTTAAAACAACAGACATTTATTATATTACATTCTAACCTTGAAATCAAGGTGTCAGCAAAGTTGAAGGCTCTAGGGAAGAATCCTTCCCTGCTTCTTCCTAGCTGCTGGTGGTTGCCAGCAATCCCTGGCTTTCCTTTGCTTTCAGCTGCATCTTTCCAATTTTTGCCTTTGCCTTCACACATCCATCTTCCCTCTGAGTATGTGTGTCAGTGTTTCTGCCTCTCCTCCTTTTTATAGGGGCACCAATCACATTGGATTTAGGGCCATCCTATCCCAGTATGACCCCCTCTTAACTTGTCACATCCATAAAGACTTTATTTCCAAATAAAGTCACATTCTGAAGTTCTAGATGGGCATAAGATTTTGTGGGACACTATTTGACACACTGCAGTTTACCATCTGTCCCCCAGATTCTCATTCATCCCACATGCAAGTTATATTCACCCCAGTCCTATGTCATCCAAAGTATGGATCCATTCTAGTATTAATGGTAAGTTTCAAATTTTCTGTAAATATCAGCTCAAAAAGTTTCAATTTAATTATCTCAATTATTAGAATCAGAAATGAGTGAAACTCAGGATATGGTCCATTATGAGGCAAAATTGCTCTTCATTCACAGACCTGTGAAACTACAAAACAAGTATCTGCTTCCAAGATACAGTGGTAGGGCAGGCATAGGATAGACACTGACATCGTGAAAAGGAGAAGATGGAAGGAATAAAGGGTCATTTGTCCCAAGCAAGTTCAAAACTCAGCAAAGCAAATTCCGTTAGGCCCCAAGGCCTGAGAATAACTTTCTGTGGCCCATGCCCTGCCCTTGAGAGCCATACTTTCTCTTTCTCTTTGATCTGATAGTTACTTTGCACACTGTGACTGAGTGAATGTGTGTACTTCCACATATGCATATGCCAGGTCTGAATTTTTCACTCTGATGCAACTTGGGTGACCAAAACCGTGATTTTATTGTTTTGTAACTGAACCAACTAGGTTTAACTCTTCCTTTTGGTAAATAGCAAATTTCTTGGTATATTTACATCCAGGTAAATTGAGTCATTTGCAGACATTTATTTGTCTTCTTTAGGAAAATAGTCTAATTGAGGGGTTTCCCCTTTGTTTTTACTTTCTTTACTTTCTACCTCTCTCCAATGAGTAATCTAAATGCTGAGTTGGGTAGAGGCAGTGGGTGTATGCATTGTCCTAGCATTAACTAGATCAAGGTATCTGGCCCATCATTGTCCTCTGTTCTCTGTGGGTGTCTTCAGCACTAGTCTTAGGGCATTTGCCTGCATACACTGACACCTGCTGAGGTATCTTGTTTTCACCATGATCACTGGTCAACAGCCCACATTCTGCCTCTTCAGCCTTTGTGCTTCTCCCTGGGACATAGGACAGGAAGATTTTATACAACCCTGTGAGGACTTAAATTTTGCTGATGGTCTTAGGCCCATCTGCCTAGGTATTCCACTCAGATTTTTTTTTTTAATCTTATTGTGCATAACCTCACCAGACAGTTAGCTTCTCTACAGGGTTTTCAGTCTCGGAAGTAAGGCAAGAAATACCTTTCTTATGGTGCCCTCCAAAACTTATCTGGGAATTCCATCATCTCCTTCTGCTGGGATATCTGCTGTATACTTCAAAGTTGAAGGCCATGAATTATTTCTATATAATCCATAAGTCACTTACTATATTGCTCCATTTTCTGTTTACATGATAAAAATACTCCTCTAATGATGAAATGATTTTATTTCTTCATTCCATGTAAACAAAACTGTTACAATTGTCATGATTTTTCTCAGTGTTATCATTTTTAGCTTAAACTTTCCGCCTTTGAATTTGAATTCAAAAAAAGTCGTTTGTCTCTCAATATCTCAGCCTTGTGAAAACCTCTGCTTTCAAGGTTGTTGCTTCTTCAATGAATTTTAAAAGCCTGTTTTGGAACTTAATGCCAACATTTTGACTCTGTGTTCTAAGCAATATATGCCCTCCCTCAGAGGGCACTGAAAAGCTACTTTTCACTTTCTGCCTAAATGGTGTTAAAAGGGTAGTACAAAGAAGCATTGGTGTATCTGGAGTGTGAAAGAGCCTGCTTGGTAACATTTTAAAAATCTTCCTTTTTATTTAATAATATCCTTTTCTTTTGTTCTTACTTCCATCCATATGTGCAACTATCTATGGACATCTATGTTTATACACACACACAAACACCTATGCATATACACATATTCACAGGTACACACACACATATTATATTTTTATTCTCTTTATCATTTTCATGTTAGAAGATATTATCTATGTCATTTTTTTTCCTGATGGCTAAATGCTCAGGCATCTTAATAGCTATCCTTTGTTAATTTGCTTGACAAATATTATTGAGCTCTCTCTAGATGTCAGAATTGTAGCAGACACTGGAGAAGATATAATCTCTGCTCACAAAAGAACCATAGGATAGAGGGAGGGAGTGATTGGCAAGCATTTTAGTCAGGGTTCCACAGAGAAAACACTACACACACACACACACACGCACACACACACACACACACATATACACATTTATGTATGTGTATATATACATGCATGTGTGTATATACATATACACATACATATATGTGTATACACACACATATATACACACACATACATATATACACATACATATATGTGTGTATATATATACAGATATACACATGCAGGTTGGAAACCCAGGATAGAGACCAGGAAAGAGTTGATGCTGCAGTTCAGGTCAAAAGGCAGCCTAGAGGTAGAATTTCTTCTTTCTTAGGGACCTCAGTCTTTTTCTCTTAAAGCCTTCAACTGGTTTAGTGGGCCTCCCCACGTTATTGGAGATAATTTACTTCACTCAAAGTCTACTAATTTAAATGTTATTCAGATCTAAAAAAATAACCCTCACAGTAACATCTAGACTGAAGTTTGACCAAAAACTGGCTACTGTAGCCTAGTCAGGTTGATACATAAAATTAGCCATCAGAGCAAGTAAACAGAAAATTAAAGTGTGATAACTGATAAATTTGTAGAGAGTTATGAATATGTTTTTTTGACAGAAAGGATCTTCTCTTAAAAGATAGAGACTTCATGATATGCAGCTTAGTCCATTCAGGCTGCTCTAAAAAATGCCATAAACTTCATGGCTTGTAAATGGGAGAAATTTAATCTCTTACAGTTCTAGAGGCTAAGCAATCCAAGATCAGGGCACCAGCAGATTCAGTGTCTGGTGAGGGTCTGTTTTTGCTTCATAGGTGGCACCTTCTTACCACATCCTCATACGATGAAAGAGCTCCCTGAGGTCTCTTTTATAAGGGCATTACTCTTATTAATGAGGGCAGAGTTCCTGTGACCTAATCATCTCTCAAAGGCTCCATTCTCTAATACTGTTACATTGGGAATATCTGGTTCAACATATGAATTTTGGGGGCCTACAAACATTCAGAGTATAGAAGCATGCTATTATATCAATGCCAGAAATTAGGGAAAAAAATTCCTAAGCATTTATATCCTGTTTCATTTGTATTCTTAATTTTTTTATTTGTTTTCCTTTTTGAAATATTTTAAAATACTACCAGATATAACTGAAAAAAATATTTATGACAGTGGCAGAGTAAGGTAAAATATTTAAATCAAGACAAGTATTTTATTGTTTATTAATCAATGTTGCACTGAGCTTATCAAAGATTTAAAGAGAAAACAAGTGAGTGAAGAATGTACTGCTAACAATGAAATGTTTTTAGTCCTGAAATCTTACAAGGCATTTAGTCAGGTATTCCATTTTCCCTGATGGCTGGCTAGATATTTGAGACAAATGAAATTCTGGATCTGGACTGGTACAAGACTATAGCCTGTTAGGAACCAGGCTGCACACCAGGAGGTGAGTGGCAAGTGAGTGAGCACCACTGCCTGAGCTCCACCTCCTGTCAGATCAGTGGGGTATTAGATTCTCATAGGAGCGCGAACTCTATTGTGAGCTGTGTATGCAAGAGATCTAGACTGCATAGTCCGTTTGAGAATCTAATGCCTGATGATCTCAGGTGGAACAATTTCATCCCAAGACCATCCCCCACAAAAATCTGTGGAAAAATTGTCTTCCATGAAACCAGTCTCTGGTGCCGAAAAGGTTGGGGACTGCTGATGCATAGAAAATATTTTCTTCAAAACTCCAAAATGCTAATACAAACAAAGTTTGAGATTTAAAGTTTTCCACATGACACAGATGACCTAATACAAGGAGTAACTTACTTACAGGACATCCCTAAGTCCCAGATTAAAGTGGATTATTTTACCAGAGTTCGAAAGTTTGACAGGCCTATGGCTTTGTTCTTTATGGCTGGAAAAAGCATAGCACAGCTACGCTGTCTTCACTGGATCTATAAATATCTCAAGGGTAAAAGTAGTTCTGTTTCAGTCAGGGACCATTCAAGACATAAACCATGCTGACTATTTTAACACATAAAATTTAATATAAAAATTGTTTTTGTTAACTAGGTAGACAGAACACAAAAAGCAAAAGGGACATGAATATCATAATGGTAGGTGGTAGGACATAAATATCTACCAGTCCTAGTCCTGAGGGAAAAATGAATGAGAATGGAATTATTAAATCTTAGAGACTTGAAAAAGAGGAATCACAAAGGTGTGACGAAGACCTTTGGGAAGGAGTAATGTATGGCTGGTGCTGTTATCTCTGAGGAGAGTAGTTCTGATAGTATAGAAAAGCTGCAATGTGGACCAAACAGCTGCTCTCACTAGGGTCAAGAACAAAGTCACTGCTATGATTACACCAGTAGGAACAGGAAGAAAAATAACAGGAAGAAACAAGTCTGTTTTTCCTATCTATCTATCTCCCTCTGGCATGTCCTATTGGCAGAGCCAGTTGACAGAGAGGAACTGTGTGTTGCAGAGTCTCAGCTACAGAGTGTACATATACCTCCCCAGTCTCTCATCCTTTCATGGACAAACCTTAATTTGGTATTTTCACACTTGCACATTATTGGTAGGAATATAAAGTAGTACAGTTATTACAGAAAAAGTATGAAGATTCCTAAAAATAAGTAAATATAGAACTACCATATGATCGAGGAATCTCACTATTGGGTATATATCCAAAGGAAATGAAGCTAGAATATTGAAGAGATATCTAAGCTCCCATGTTTAGTGCAGTGTTTTTCACAATAGCCATGATATGAAATCAACCTAAGTGTCCACTAACAGATGAAAGGATAAAGAAAATGTGATGTATATATACAATGAAATACTATTCCACCATAAAAAAGAAAATATCCTGTTATTTGTGACAAAATGGATGAACCTCAAGGATATTATGTTAGGCTTAGGAAGACAAATACCTCATGATCTCACTCATATGTGACATGTAAAAATGTTGATCTCATAGAAGAAGGAAGAAGAATGATGGTCACCAGGAGTGGACGTGATGGTCATTAAGGGAGTTGGGAAGATGTTACTCAAAGATTACAAAATTTGAGTTTGCTAGGAGGAATAATTTCAAGAGATCTGAGGTAGAACACGGTGTCTAAGAGAGTAGATTTTAAGTGTTTTCATTGCATGAAATAAAGCATATGTTAATTAGCTTACTTTAGCCATAATACAATGTAATGTATATTTCAGTAAACTGTATATTTCAAACATCATGTTTTACTTGATAAATACATACAATTTTGTCTATAAAGTTAAAAAGATAAAAAATAAAATACAAAAATACATATATCAGGAGGGATGATAAAGTATTCTAATTCCTTTGCATTTTCATGGGTAAAAATAAAGGTATCAATTAATATTCGATTTTCATAAATTAAACATGCATGTTAAAAAGTAACCATGAAAATATTAGAAATAGAGCACATAGCCTCTAAATTGGTAGAGGGGAAAGAATTGGAATTGCCAAAAGTCAGTTTAATAGAAGGAAATATGAGAGAGAAAAAGGAACATAGAGTTGGCATGACAAACAGAAAGCACATAATAAGATCCTAGGTTTAAATCCACATATATAAGTAATTTCATTTAACGTAAATGAAGAAAGTGATCTAATTTAAAGAAAAACATTGCCAGCTTGGATAAAACAATGACAAAATTCAGCTATATGTTGTTCACAAGAGCCACATCTAAAATATAAGGATATAGAAGTTTTGAAAGAAAGGATACAAAAGATTTGCCAAGAAATCCTAACAAAAGATGGCACAACTACTGATTTGTCCAGACTACAAAAGAATCTACATGCCCAGTCCTAGATGTGAAAAAAGACTTTCAAATGTGATAGACAGGAAACTTTTGCTTGATCTTGCCAGGGCTGCAACCTGTGGCTCTGCCAACTTGCGCTTCCAGCAACACAAGGCCAAGTCACGGTCTCTGACTTCTGCTTATCACCACTTTGTGTAGCCTGAGGAAAAATTGATATGAATCAGGACTTTTGATACTAAATCAAGACATACATTCACATGGGAAAAGACAGAAAATCTTATTCAACCTGGGCAATCTTTCCATTTCCTGAATCTCAAAGACAGTAGTTCTATTTTTAAAAGAATAATCAGAGGAAGCAGAAATTACCTACAGTTGAAAGCTCTGAAAAAAAAATAAGTTTTGGGAAGATAAATGGTTTATTCACAAAGCTAGTTTTATTTTTCTGTCATTTTATCCTCAATTTGTTTTTTGCTTAACAATTTGGAGGCCATTAAATCCAGAAAATAAAATAACTTCAATTATAATGTTGATAGTTTCTTTTTTCAAGTTCTTTCCTATTCTTTATAACCTAGAAAAGATTGACATTAGATTTATCCAGTTTCAAAATATTATATCTCTTTTGAATTTAAAAGTAATAAAAAGCAGATATTAATTGAAATTGCTGTCTGAATAAGCTACTCTTAAATTCTATGAATTTCATTATCTGTCAGTTCTCAAACATGTAAAATAACTAAGGGAAACATTTTTCCAATAATACTTCAAAATTTCTGAAAAAAATTGGATTGTCTATTATCATACAGACACAGAGGAGATAGGAGATATAAGGGGAAAGTAGACTTTACTTTTTCTTTTTTTACTTCTATTTTCCTATTTTTTGTTGAAAATATCCCCAGACACCTACTGTCACTCTTTCTATCACTATAAACTTGCTTCAATTATCTAGATTTTTATTATTTTTCTTTTGAGATGGGGTCTTACTATGTTGCCCAGGCTTGACTTGAACTCCTGGGCATAAGTGATCTTCTCACCTCAGCTTCCTGAGTAGCGGGGACTATAGGCATGCACCACCATGTCTAGCTCTAGAGCTTTTATAAAATGGAATCATACAGTGTGAACTTGTCTTTGGCATCTTTCATTAAGGATAATTATTTCGAGATTCATCTATGTTGTATGTACCAATAATCCCTATTATTTTGTGTTATTCAACATGTCATATACATGGTATCATGCAGTAAAAAAATAAGGAAGAATATGTACCATATATTTTAAGTTAGCCAGTAATCAAAAAGTGGAGGAAAACTGGTCCTAACGGTGTGACTTTGTTGTTAATAATTCTATGAGCCAATGGTTACATTCTTTCCACTGTGGTAGGGGCAAAGTTCTATTAGCATACATGTAGATAGCAAATAGAGTCTACTCATAAATCTTTCTTTCTGAAATGTAAATAGGGTCATACACCTACTTGCTTGAAATTTTCAACAGCACAATGAATAGAAGGAAAAAAAAAAAAACCTTTTTACCGGTGGATACAGCAGTGTATCCGTACATGTCTGCAGCAACTTCAATTCTTGCGTCCTCAGAAGAAAGAATTCAGCTGAGGGGCATAAGGCAGAAGAGATTGAGGCGAGTTTCAGACCAGGAGTGGAAGTTTATTTTAAAAAGGCTTTAGAACAGGAAAGAAAGGAAAAGTTGCCTGAAGAGACACAAGTGGGCACCTGAATGTCAAAAAGAGGGCGTTTAACTCTGATCCTAAGACTTTGTAGGCTCTCCTCTTTCCCAAGATTCTCCCTTAGGCTGGGTTTCCTGCATGTGCAGTGCCCTCCTTACCCCTGGGAACTGAGCACACGCAGCGTGTCTACGAAATTGTACACATGCCCATCTGAGGCTTTTTCTAGTGGAGTGTCCCTGGAAGTCACACTTCACCATTTTTCCTCTTAGAGCACATGCCCAGGAATTTTCTTCTCCCTGGCCTCTGCATTCAGTTAACACTAAAATGTCAGTAGCTGTGGATCATCAAGAGAGTGTCTCTCCCAGGTGCCCTGGTGCCAGCTGCCGAATTATCATTGTTAGAAAGGCAGTGTCATAATTGGGGAACCACGCTCATGCCTATCTAACTACCTGTAACAAATTCATGAATATAAAATACCTACACAATTGGCCTCTTCTTACCTCTTCAGGCCTGATTTCCATCCCTATTTTTAAGAACCACGTTATGGTCTGTACCTCTTTTGCTTGCAGGGCCCTCTATTTGGAATATTTACTCCTTTACCCACTTTCTTTGCTGTAGAATCTTTCAGGGGCTGCTGCTCTCAGTTGTACGGTGAACATTTATTTTTCCTCTTTTCTCTTCATAATTGTTCCCTCATTGTGGTTGTCTTAAACCTTTTATTGTGTTGCTTTTTAAATTCCAGGGGAAAGAAAAAGTCACCAGGGATTATATTTATTATTTGAAAAATTCTAAAAACTTCCCTTAAATACATATTACTCATATTTTATATATTAAGTACATAAGAGTTATAAAAATGTAAGAAATTTCCTGGTGATCTTTTATGGTTGAAAAGTGATTGAAATTGGGGAGAAAATGAAATGTGTACAATTTCAAATAGTAGCTTTTTCAGGTAGTAATTTTAGTGAGCCATCTGAATTTCTGTTGTTTATTTCACTTACATAATGAATACATTTTGTATCCTTGTGGAAATTCAGATCAATCTGGCTCCAAAAAGCTTTGCCAGAGGTCATACTATGAGCCTGGAGGTTTCTAGAGAATTTCAAATAGGTTAAGATGCTGTTAACTATGAAGCAGAGAAAAACTCAACATTTAGGAATTAGTATCTCAACTTTACCACCATTGACCTTGGGCAAATAACTTCATTTCATAATTTGTAAAATGAATAGATATGACCTGATTAGTGTCATTCTTTTTTTCAAGCCTCTTTTTGTTTTGCTAAATACAAAACCTTCCTTGTCATTCTTGGGGATGCTCTGATTGCCCTTAGGCCAACTTTACTCTTCTGTTACTGATGATTAAATCACTTCTGAAGCCATGTTGGACACTGGGCTGAGTCCACTTTCATCTTATTGGCTCTATAAATATACAAAATTTGAGGCTAGGAAAAAAAGTCAACACATTCAGTTTCTAAGGCTGAAGGAGACATGTAGTCGTATGTTTTGGTTGGAGAAATAGGGTTTGTATACATATTGTTGATATTCAATCTGAATATTATGAAGAGTCTTTTGGGATTTCTTAGTAAATGGGGCCCTGTGTGATGGTTTCCCAATGGAGACAAGCACGGTCCTGACTGCAGGCGCAGGCTGTATGCTTGACTCTTAAGCAGATTTACTGGTCTTGCAGAGGTCCCACACTGCTCATCATGTATCTTCTATTCAACTGATCAGCAGAATAGACTTCTTGGCTTTTGTGTAAAACGCCGAAAGATTGAATCCTCACGTCAGTAATTTCTGGTTGCTTGGAAACAATTCTCCTTTTGCCACTGTGAAGGAATTTAGGTCAGCAGTGAATTAATCCCTTACAAATTAGAGAAATATAGCCTATCATAAATTCTAAATTGGCCTGTTGAAGATGGGAACTATAACACTGATTCCACCTTTTTTAATGAATGAGAAACAAATTGAAAGGCAACATTCCAAAGAAATTCTCCGAGAATGAATAGTGTTATTTTACAGCAAGAAATGCCTGTTTTTATCAAGAAAGATCCAGTGATTCTTATGACCCACAGCCAAACAGGATTTTTTACCACTTCACATTAGTAGTATATAGCAATGAGGAGACAGAGGGAATAAAATGAAATGCGTCTCTGGGAGGGACCCTAATTCTAAGAGAATGCAGATGGTATTTTATATCCTTCAGTCTGATAAGAACCACAGAAATAACCATTTGAGAAACCTCACAGGATTTATTTCAAGTGATGAATTTTGGAAGGCGGTAAGGAGGAAGAAGATTCCCCAGCTCTTTTCATATTGTACCCAGGCGTTAAGATAATACAGTGTGTTGATAAAGAACTGTTCCAGGGCGAAATCAATTGGGCATGTTCAAGGTTAAGATTACTTTCTCTCCTTTCAGGAGGTAGATAACCAAGACAGGGAAAGTAGAGAAAAATAAGCAGATAAAAAGCCCTAGTTCATCTTCTGTGACTCAGAAAATAAAGGCATGCACACATATACATCATACACATCACACACACACACACACACACACACACACACACACATCTCTGTCAGATGTTTTATGCTGTTGCTTATAGTATTCTGGTGAATGATTTTGTTAATTTATTAGAGTTTAGGACTAAGCATAGTGGGGTATCTAACCCCAGTTTGGGTCTTACCTATTGTCTCTTCAGGGTATTAAAGCAACTTTCGTACCATATTTTATTTCAGCTGGAGTTTTTTTACAACTTAGACAGAGTTTAGCTTTATTGAGGGTAGATCTTAAACACTCTTTATGCCAAGTTCTGTTAGCTTGGGTTAATCGTATGACGGTGGTGGCTGGCACAAAATTAACCAATGCTAAATATTAGTATAGCTTAGTTAAACTTTCGTTTATTGCTAAAGATTTATCACTGCTGTTTCCCGTGGGGGTGTGGTTGAACAAAGTGTTTTGAGCTGCATTTGTGCATGCTTGGTACTTGCTCCTTTTGATTCAGGTGATCTAGAGGGCATTTCCACTGGGCAGGGATGCTTGCATGTGTAATCTTACTAAGAGTCAATAGAAAGGCCAGGAGCAAACCTATTTGTTTATGGGGTTGTGCAGACCCATCTAGACATTTTCAGGGTCTTGCTTTGAATAATTGACAACACCCCCAAGTGTTATGGGCCCAGAGCAAGGAGGGTAGTACTCCCGAGTGGGATGATGATTTCACAGAGAATGGTAGGTTAAGAGACTAAAGCTTGGTAGGGGATATCCATGTTGATGAGGATTAACTTGTCTATAATGTGCTATGTCCGACGAATGATTTTATGTACTATGTAATACTAGGGATTTTTAGTATGAGTCAATGTCCATGTTAGCTAGGTTTGTTATATGGATGTTCATCATGAATGTATTATAGCTGATCAAGAGATTTTCAGTACGTGCTTATATGCATGTGGATTAAGCTTTTAATGCACTTTTATATGTAAATATACTATGTACAATTAAGCAATTACAGTACAACTAGCAGTAATGCATGAAGTACATAAAAGCACTAATGTATAAGTGCTAGTTGGTTAATACTGACATGGTAAAGTGTGTGCTGAAGAAAGTACAGGGAATAGTTTAAATAGAATTTCAGCTTTGGGTGTTGATGGTGAAGCAGGAATGCTTTTTCCCTGAGTTGTCCTGGGGAGGAATTCTTCATTTCTGGTTTACAAGACCAGAGCATTGAATTATACTACAAGGGCAGTTTCATTTAAGTAGCTTATTTTCTTTTTCTTTTTCTTTTTTTTTTTGAGACAGAGTCTCGCTCTTTCACTGAAGCCTGACTGCAGTGGCACTATCTCGGCTCACCGCAAGCTCTGCCTCCGGGGTTCACGCCATTCTCCTGCCTCAGCCTCCCGAGTAGCTGGGACTACAGGCACCCACCACAGCGCCCGGCTAATTTTTTGTATTTTTAGTAGAGACAGGGTTTCACCATATTAGCCAGGATGTTCTGGATCTCCTGACCTCGTGATCCGCCCGCCTCGGCCTCTGAAAGTGCTGGGATTACAGGCGTGAGCCACCGTGCCTGGCCTTAAGTAGCTTATTTTCAATTAGGGCAGTGAGTGGTATAGGGTGAGGATGGTAGAGAAGTTCATAATGGATGCTGTCTGTCAAATAGTAACAAAAGGTTATTTGACAGGCTATCCTCCAATTCATGTGAGTGTGACAGGTCAGCCACTAAGATCCAGAAAAGGCACTGACTTCATGGATAGAATATTATGCTTTGTTGTTGAGACATGTAGAGTACAGAGATAACTGTTAAGATGAGAATGGGAGATCAAAGGGCTAGTATACCTCCTAGTTTGTTAGGGATGGATTGTAAGATTGCGTATGCAAACAAAAAGTATCACTCTGGCTTAATGTGGGGTGGGGTATTGAGGGGGCTGGCTAAACTGTAATTATCTCGGTCATTCAGGAGATCAGGCGAAAATAGTACTAAAATTATTAAGAGGAGGAGGAGAAAAATTAAGCCTAGAATATCTTTGGATTGTATAATGGGGTGGAAAGTGATTTTGTCCGAGATCCGTGAAGGATTGTTAGATCATGTTTCATGTAAGAATAAAAGCTGAATAGTTGCTAGAGCTGTGATGATGAAGGGTAAAATGAAATGGAAGGCGTAAAAATCATGTAACGGTGACTTTATCAACTGAGAATCCACCTCAGATTCATTGTACAAGGTCAGTTCCAATATATGGGATGGGTGATAGTAGGTTTGTAATTACTGTAGCACCTCAGGATAATATTTGGCCTCATGGGAGCATGTAGCCTATGAATGTGGTTCCTATAGTTGTGAGTAGGAGGATAATGCCAGTGTTTCAGGTTTCTAGGAATATAAATGACCTGTAGTATAAGCCTTGGCCAAATGTGTAGGAAGAGGCAGATGAAGAATATTGAAGCACCGTTAGCATGAAAATAGCGGACTATTCAGTCATAGTTTACATCTCGGCTAATATGAGTGACTGAAGAGAAGGCAGTTGAGGTATCTGATATATAGTGTATGGCCAGGAATAGTCCTGTAATGATTTGGAGAATTAAGCAGGCACCAAGAAGTGAGCCAAAGCTTCATCATGTAGAGATGTTAGATGGTGTGGGAAGATCAATAAATGAGTAGTTGATCATTTTTATTAGCGGATGCGTTTTGCATATTTTGGTCATTAGTGTTCTTGAAGTACAATGATGGTTTTTCATACCATTAGTCATGGTTATAGTCCATGTAGCAATAATGGCATATCCTTTATTTTTATTAAGTATTCTTTTCGTTATAAGGTTTGTAGGTTTTTCTTCAAAACCTTCTATTTGTGGGGGTCTAGTGTTAACTGTGGTGCTGTGGGTTGTGGTATTGTGTTAAATTTTGGTGGGGCTTTTGTGGGGCTAATAGTCTTTTTAATTTATTTGGGAGGTATAATGGTTGATTGGCTATACTGTGGCAATGGCTATTAAGGAATATCCTGAAACATGAGGATCAAGTGTTGACATTTGAGGGGCTTTATTATTAGGATTATTAATAGAGCTGGTGTTAATTTGGTGAATAATTGAATATGATCAGGTGGTAATATATATGATCTATAGGATCTCTCTCTCTCCTCATTGTTATATGCTACTAATGCGAGGTGGTAAAAAACTCTCTCTATATATATCATTCTCCTTTTGCCACTGTGAAATAATTCGGTCTAGATATATACATACGTGTGTGTGTATAGAGAGAGAAAGAGAGAGAGAGGGAGATCCTGTATCCTATAGACTTTATTTTTCTGAAGAACCCTTAATAATACATAAAATATGCTGTATTTTAAATATCCTGGGAGCTTGTAAAAATGCAGATATGGGTGACCCACTTTATTTCTGGGATGGAAGCTAAGAATCTATATTTTTACCAGGTACCCCTTCCAGATGATTCTAATACATACAAAGTTTGAAGACCACTGTGCTAGAACAATAACAGCATTTTGTGGAGCTCATTCTATATGAATCAATTATTAGGTTTATTATCATTCATAAGCTTATGTCATCCTTAGATTAATTTTATGAGGTAGGCAATATTAATAGACCTTAAATCACATGAAGATATTTAGGTAGATAAGCTAACACCTTCAACCTAATTAGGATTTTCCAACTGTTCAAATCAGGAGCTTCTACATAACTGCTAAATGTCAGAGCTTCCTGGAACTGCTATAAGGTATACAAATCGGTAGTGTTCCCACAAGACCTTGCTGAAAACTTTTAAACTTTTACCTAGTCAGAGCTGGTTCCACTCCAGAAAGACTCCTGAAGGATTTAAACATTTTATTACTCAATGTAAATGATAATTTTCAATGTATTCATTGTACCATATTTTTTTCTTACAGTTAGAAGAATCTTAAGAGATCAATTGAAACAATCCTGTAGTTTTATAGATTAAAGAAAGACTTAGGTTAAAACTCATTTAAGTCATTTAAGCAGCATCATTTGTTTAAAATATTGATAAATCGATACTAACTTAATTTTTTTGTCTTGAAATAGTTTAACATACATTCTTATGAGCTTGCTTCCTGGATTGAAGCTGCCTTATCTGAAAGCTTGGTAGTATGTCATTTTCTATTTATGAACCTTAATAAACATTGTAAAACTTAGGATAAATAAAGCCTTTAAAAGTTGGTTCACATATTCCTCAATTGGAAAAACTTCATTAATTGTTATTATTTTTATGCAAAATAGAGACTAGTCTGCTTTTAGGGACACTTTAAATATTCTGTCTGCATCAACTCTGAAAAATTCCAGTAGTATCTTCTAATGGCTGTGATAATCACAGTGTTTCATGTCATTCCACACAAGAGGAAATTATTATGAAGTAATTGATCATCTCAAATGCAGTCGAGGCAAAAAGATGAACTATTAATCAAGAATCTTAGTGATTAGATGGGCTCAAAGGAACAAAGTGATTGCAACATCCATTCGAAGTGTGAGAAGTGATACTAGAAAAATCATAGCACCCCAGGATTGGTTCTAAAAGCATCCCTTGGGCACAGCTGGCCTTGTGTAAAACTAGGAAAGATACAAAATCTTTTGTCCCATACTATTTCTCAAGCTTTGCATTTGTCAGAATCACCTGAAGGTCTTGTTAAAATACAGATAGCCGGGAGCTCCATTTCCAGAGTTTCTTTCTTAGTAGATCTGGGATAAGGCTTGATAATTTGCTTTTCTAAAAAATTCCTAGCTGGTGATGCTGCTACTAGTTTGGGAACTACTGCCCTAGTAAACATGCTGCCCTAAAAGAAAGGGAAAACAATTCATAATTTTTATATTCCTCAAACTAGTATGCCATATTTTAAAACAAATGAATGAACACGATGATAATAACACTATTGAGATTTACTTGGCACTTATTCCTGGTCCTGTGCAATAGGTCATTTAATTTTCTCAAGAATCCTCCCAGGTAAGTATTTTTATTACCTCCATTTTAGAGGTGAGAAAACTGAACAGAAGAGTGGTTAAGTAAGTACCCTGAAGTTACATGGATAATCAAAGACAGAGCTAAAATTTGGATACAGGCACTCTGACTCCAGAGCATAGGCTTGACACATGATCTATGCATACACCTCTCAAATAGAAATTTTTAATTGTGGCAATAAAATAAGCATTAGGGTCAGATAGACTTGAATGAAACCCAAATTTCACAACACTTACAAACTATAAGTGACAGACTTACTAGTTTTTTTAAAAAAATTTATTTTCTTGATCAGTCAAATGGGGCTAATAACACTTATTTTTGTAGGAATGTTAAAAAATAAAATCAAATAATGTATATAAACACTTAGATAAAGGTATAGCATATATGGGTGGTCTACAAATTGGAACCATTATCTGCTCATATCAACTGTAACTCCAGACCCATCAAGAATTAACTTCTCAATTTGTGATTTACCATTCATCCATTCAATTTTCACAAGTT
The DNA here is from genome assembly GCF_000001405.40 of Homo sapiens. Classification (NCBI taxonomy): domain Eukaryota; kingdom Metazoa; phylum Chordata; class Mammalia; order Primates; family Hominidae; genus Homo; species Homo sapiens. The sequence continues at coordinate 87,818,930 of NC_000011.10, forward strand.
AAATAATTCTTATGAAACAAGCCTTCATATTTTTCAAGAGCTAAAGGAAAAAATTATAAATTTATAAACTAGTAGCATTCTATAACACTGGTGATGAACTGGATTCAAATGAAGACCAGACGACTCTGATAGGTAGACTGTGTTTGCCAATTCAGGTTTGCGGATTTCTGTTGGAGTTCTATTTACAGCAGCCCCTTTGCCTACCCACTTCAAGTGACAGCTCAGGACCTGTGTATCTAGTCTTTTAGGACAAATGCCTTTTTGAATTTTGGTATTGCTGAGAAATAGGCAGTGTAACCTATTGAACAGTTGCCTCAACCTTTGAAGTGCTGAATCCATCTGTGGAGAGAGTTTTTACTTGACTCCTTTGGCTGCAGTAAATTCTCCATATGGTTCACTGCAGCACTGCAGATGTAGTGCTACCAAGTGTGTGATTCATATCTGCAGATAGTGTGGAGAGATTTCCATAGCAACAGGCCACTGAAAAACGAGAAAATGAGGAGTCAAAGTTACATAACAGGATTTTTTTTTATTGTTTTTTGTTCATTTGCTGAAAGGGCAACTGCTTTGTATTTCTCAAGAATTTCAATAAGGTAATATACTGGATTTAATAATTACATTAAAAATTAATTTCCCCTGTAGATTATGCCACAAAAAAGGAACACAGACTCTCAAAAGTACCTGAACTTTTGTCTCTCAGTTAATTGAATTACAAGTTAGGATCTCTTGGATATATATATATATATGTGTATATATATATATGTGTGTGTGTGTATATATATATATACGTGTATGTATATATATGTGTATATATATATATACGTGTATGTATATATATGTGTATATATATATATGTATATATGTGTGTGTGTATATATATATATATCCATCCATATTAGAATCCAGGCACTGAAATGAAAAACAGTCTCTATCTTCGAGAAGCTCTAAGCCTATTAAGGAAGAAAGAAACACAAGCAAATATATTCAACATTGATAGATACTGTGTTATGGGCAGCAGCAGGACTGCTCCTATTGGTTGGTTATACAGGAGGCCAATTTTATGGATCAACCCTCCTGCTGAAATATCCTAAAAAATTCTGGATAAGATATTAAAAATAAGTTTACATTATTAATAAGCTCTCAGGGAAGTAAGCAGTTCTCAGATCAGGCACTGATAAAGAATGGAAACTCAAAGAACTAATTGCTATTCTTAGTGCTCTGCAGCTGGCGTTCACTCTAAGGACAATTGCCAAACCATGTAAGCTTGCATTTCGGTTTTCATGGACTGATGGAGTGAAAGAGACAGGAAACCAAGCCTGATGTCTGCCAAAGGCAGGAAACCAAGTAGATTTCTCTGGCAAAACTAGGTCCTCGGGAGTGTAAGGACCTCTTCAATATAAGGATGAGCCAAAACAAACCAATAAAATCTTTCTTAGTGTCCTGAAGAAACAATTGTCTTTTAATAACAATAAAATGAGCTCCAAATGAAAAATGACAGTGTGAAAATTGAGAAACCTAACATAGTACTTGCCCAGATTTTCAATCTATAATCTCACCATCTGGTTCAAAAGAAACAAAGCCACATATTTAAATCAGAGTGGTCAAGAATTGGCAACATTTGGCAAATCAAAGGCAAATCAAACTCGGCAGTCTTCACCTTTTCCCAGGTCTCAAATGATTTTCATGCATGAAACTCTAAGGAAAATAAGCTTATGAAAATGAACTAAATTCACTAGGAAATGAGGTACTGTGAATAAGAACCAGCATTAAAGAACAGCAAACAAAATTTTATAAAATCATCACATAATAAAATAATCAGATCCAAATTATAAAATAACTCTCTAATATGCTTAAAGAAAAAAAGTTTAAAAACATGTATAGTGAATAAGGAATAGAATCAGTGACCATACTGGGAATAGTTTAAATAGCACAGGTAGCTTTGTAGCATATTAGAGAGAGAAGAATAAAAATTTAGTAAAGTAGAATATGGTTCTAAAGAAATTATCTGAAACTAGTATGAAGCAATGAGATGGAATATTTAAAAGGGAAGCAAGGATACATGGATGTTGGAGTAAGACAATCCAACATACATATCATCAGGGTTCCAAGAGGAGAAAAGGGAGGAACAGAAGCAATATTGGAATGAGTTTAGGCTGAGAATTTTCCAGCAGAAATAAAAGTCCAATCCACATTTTTTTTAAGTCCAATAAATCACAAGTAGGACTTTTAAAAAGCCGGGCACATTATATTTAAACCAAGGGAAATAAAGAACAAAGCACATTTTAAAAGCAGGCAGGCAGAAATGATAGACTACTTCGAAAGTAGTAATACAAGAAGAGTTGATTTTGCAGAAGCAACCACAGATGCTAGAATAATATGTTCAATGTATTGAGAGAAAATAACTGTTGGCCTAGAATTCTACACTCATTAGAAGTATGTCTGAAAAACAAGAGTGGAACAAAGGAATTTTCAGACGAACAAAACTTAAGTTTACCAGCAATGACTCTCTATAAAAAAATTCTTAAGGATATTTTTAAGGCAGAAGAAAATTCTTCTCAAATGTAACTGCAAGAAGCCAAAGCAAAGTAGTAAATTTGTGACTAAGTCTAAACAAGCACTGCTTATAAAGTATAATGAAGGCTGGGCACAGTGGCTCAGGCCTGTAATCCTAGCACTTTGGGAGGCCGAGGCGGGTAGATCACCTGAGGTCAGGAGTTTGAGACCAGCCTGGCCAACATGACAAAACCCCATCTCTACTCAAAATACAAAAAATTATCTGGGCATGGTGGTGGGTACCTGTAATCTCAGCTACTTGGGAGACTAAGGCAGGAGAATCGCTTGCACCCGGTGGGCAGAGATTGCAGTGAGCCGAGATCCCGCCACTTCACTCCACCCTGGGCGAAAGAGCGACACTCCGTCTTAAAAAAAAAAAAAAAGGATAATACAGTATTGGGGATTCAAAAATAAAGGTGAAATACATTATAATAATATTATATAAGCTGGAGAAATTGTGAATGGAATTAAGGTGTTTTATGGCTTTTGTATTTCTTAGCAGGTGAAAAAAACTGATTAATTTTAAACTTTGAGAAGTATGCCTCTTCTAATTACTGCAGTAACCATTTCAAACACAAAGTTGAAATAAAACACATTACTTCCAAATTAAAACAGGGACTAAAATAAGAAAAAAATACCAGAACAATTCAAGAGAAACCAAAAAGTGTAAGAAAAAAAAAATGTCATCCAGGTGAGATAAGTAGAAAGCACAAAATACAATAGTAGAAATAAATCCAAAATACATAAAAAATTGTTATTCTCTATAATTTAACAAAATATTACAGTTCAAAGCAAAAAATTGTCAGAGTGGATTAAAACAATCCAAGTACAAGCATGTATTAGATAATGATTGCTACATAAAAACTGCCCAAAAACGTAGTGTCTAAAAGCAACATACATTTTTACTTTACAGTTTCTGTGGGCCAAGAATCTGGGAATGTCTTTGCAGATGGTTCTTGGTCAGGGTCTCTCACAAGACTTCAAACCATGTGTTGACAGGTATAGTCATCTCAATGCTCAACTGTGAATGAATCCTTTTTGAAGGACCTCAGAAGGACTTACTAGCCTCAGAAGATTTTCCAGCTTACTCAAGTGAAACTCTCACAGTGCTATCTTACCATAGACAGCTGGCTTTCCCCAGGGCAAGCAATCCAAAAGAGAGTAAGAGAGAACACTTAAAGCACAAGCCACAGTCTTTTTATAACCTAATCACTTCCTTCATATTTAGTTCATTAGAAGTGAGTCAGTTTAAGTCCAGTCTATATACAAGGGAAGGATATTACATAAGAGAAGTAAATCAGGAGGCAGAGATCATTGGAGGTTGCCTACCCACATGATTTTTTAACAGGACACATCTAAAACATAAGGAAATAGAAAGAATGAAAAATGACAAACCAGAAAGGAAACTAATGCAATTATAGTAGAATCAGGTAAAATAGACATTAATACAAAAAGCATTACCAAAATTAGGGAATTACTTTATAATGATAAAAAGTTAATTATAACAGGGAGATGAAAAATATTAAAGTCTTGTTAAATGACATCACAGCCTCAAAGTATATAATCCAAAACTTGACGAACCTACAAAGAAAAACAGACAAATCTCCAATCATTATAGACAAAAGAGTTAATAGATAGATTTGAGTCATGTAATTAAGAAACTTGATTAGCAGACATACATAAAAACTGTAAATAGCTGCCTTAAACTCATGTGAAAGATTTACAAAATATGTGATACTTGTATACTGAAAACCAGAAAACATTGGTCAATTAAATTTTTGAAAAATCTAATTAAATGGAGGGATATACCAGGTTCGTAGATTAAAAAACTGAATATTGTTAAAATAATAATTCTCCCCAAATTCAGCTATAGATTAAATATAAGCCCAGTTAAAATCCCAGCATTTTTTTTTTTTGGTAAAAGTTGAGTTGTTTCTAAAATATATATGAAAATTCAATGGATGTAGAACTGCTAAAACACATTTTTAAAAGAAAAAATTTCCTTTTACACTAATCTATTTCAAGGATTAGTAGAAAGCTTCAGTAATTGAGATAGTGTGGCATTATCTAACATAAGAATAGAAATATGGATCAATGGAACAGAATAGAAAGTTCAGAAATATATCCACATGTCAATTGATTTTTGACAAAGTTGCTAATGTCATTCAATTTGGAAAGTAAAGTTTTTTTTCAACAAATGGAACGCAAATGGTCGTAGCAATTTTATTCATAGTAGCCAAATTAAACACTGAAAACCACCCAAATGCTCATCAATAGATGAACCGACAAATAAAATATGATATGTTCATACAATGGAATACTATTCAGCAATAAAAAGGAACACAGATGATTTTTAAGAAGAATATACAGAGTGAAAGAGGCTAGACTCAGATAAGTACATATTATATAATATCATAGAAAGCTAGTACACAATGTCTGTGAAGATATGCCAACAAGACACATTCAATTTCACATTGCTATATTTAAACAGCTCATGAAATTAAAGGCTTTAGTTTTTGTTTTATTTTGGAAAAAATATTGAAGTTTTTGTTGAAAGATGAGGATTAGTTAAAAGCATGTAAAAAGAGCAATTTGCCTCCAAAATCCTCCTCCCCATCTCTGTGCAGACAGATTGCCATCCCTTCCCCAGCATGGTGGGAGGGATGTTTATAACTGCATAGGTGAAGATGAATCACTGCACTAGGATTAAGAGAAAAGTCTACATGTTGAGCAGTGAGACTATCAACTGCCTTCCCTCTGAACAGTAAGAGAAATTGGCCCACTAGAAAATATCTACAGATGCTAATATTTGGAGGCTTTCCAGAAAACATTTGGGTCTCTGCCTTATTACCCCACATATCACATACCCCAAGGTGCAAATCAATTATATAAGGCCTCCTTCTAAATCTAAATCAATGATCAAGAAACCCTATACATGTGTATAATTACAGGTACTAAAATAAAAGTCAGAAAAATGAACATAAAATGTACTTGGAGGAAACATACAAAGTTAGAAGAACAAGAAAGCTTAAAATAAAAAACTGTAATTGACAGTTCGGAGACAGAAGGAAGCTATCGAATCCACTAAAAAATCATATCAGTATCCAAAAAGACACTAAGAGATTAAGAGAGAGCTTCTGGAAATTTAAAATGAAGCAAATAAAATAATTACATAGAAGAATTGAAAGAGAAAGCTGAATAAATGTCCAAGAAAGAATTAACAAATAGATGGAAAACAGGTGGAAAAAATAGAAGTAAATTGGAGGATCATTCCAGGAGGTCCAAAATGCAGGAGATTTCTATGCAGAAGCCTAGAGACACTAGAGGTGAGGACTGTGAAAAAAGAAAGTTAAACTTTCCCAGTAATCAAGAACATGTATTTCCAGATTAAAAGAGCCTATCAAGTACCTAACACTGCAAAAGATGAAGGACCACCAGTAAGGCACATACATCATTGTGAAATTTCAGAACACCTGGAATGAAGAACACTTTTGAAAGAGAGAGAGAGAGAGTGAGTGTGTGTGTGTGTATGTGTGTGTGTGTGAGAGAGAGAGAGAGAATGAATCAAGAATAGCATCGAACTTCCCAACACCAACAACTCTGGAAGCTAGAAGGCAATGGAGCCTTCTGGAAGACCAATTATTTCCATCAAGAATCCTACATCTAGTCATTCAGTTAAATTATATAGTAAAATAAAGGAATTATCAGACATGCATTATCTCCTGTGCACCTGTTATAAAACAATCAGAATATTAGTGAAAATGAAGGAACAAATTAAGAAAGGAAGGAGTTCAGAAAAAAGAGTCCTCATTGACTATTAGGGATGCTGTGTTAGTTTGCTAGGGCTGCCATAACAAAATAACACACACTGGGTAACTTAAACAACAGAAATATCTTTTCTCACAGTATTGGAGGTGGGAAGTCCTTAAGGTGCCAGCAGGGTTGGCTTCCTCGAAGTCCCTCTTCTTGTCTCTTCACTTGGCTGTCCCTTTAAGCACACATAGCCCTGGTGTCTGCTTGTATGTGGTTATCTCCTTCTCTTGGAAGGAAACCAGTGCAGTTGGACTAGGGCCACCCTTATGGCCTCATTTTAATTTAACTACCTCTGGAAAGATGCTATCTCAAAATAATGTCATATATTGAAGAATCTGGGGTTAGGGCTTCAACATATGAATTTTTGGTGAACACAACTCAGTCTATAACAAAGGCCTAAAGAGGGAAGCAGTCCTGGGTAAGGCTGGAGGACAAGGAGTTTGGAAGGATGTAGAGAAAAAGTGGAGAGATTATTGATTGTATATGCTGTCAAGAGGTGATTGACTCTTTCATGGGAGATTTTGAGAAAAAGCAGTAATAGGGACATCATTTTTAAACAAATCATTAAACAGTTAACTTCAGAGGACTAAATGTGTACAAAATAGTCATACTAAACTACATAGTTTAGCTATAAATTATATTTACATTGTTACAATAATAAAAAATAAATGGTGGTTTAATTAAAAATTGTATAATATAACTGTTTTGGGAAGATGAAGAAAAATATTGGGAAATTGGGTAGTAGTGCAAGAATGAAGTCTCTATCCTCCATAGTAGAAAGACAATAGATGTTTAAAATGGTAAAAGTGAGTGATAACATAGTCATGTTATTTAGAAATATAAAGGTATATAATACGAGAATCAATGAAAAGTTTTGAAAATGATATCCCCTAGGGATGAGGATTCAGTGGTAGGAGTAACAGGAAATAGGACTATGTACATATCTTTGTTTGATAAAATGAATTTAATGTGGATGGTCAGAACAATATTACATTGCTTTCTTTATTTTAGATTATAAGATTATGCATATTTATTGTAAAAAATTTGAAAAATAAAGGTGCCAAAAGAAAATATTTCATCATTAATGTAGTTAATGCACACACATGCTGCACTTGCTATTTTATAATCTTTTATTACTTAAAAGCATATGGTGATTTTACTGTGACATTGCTTTTTATATATTTTTTTAAAAAATAAAAATGCAAAGAAATCCAAAGAAGAAAAATACTAACTCTCCTTGGAAAAGACAGGAAGTGACATTTAACTGGGTCTTAACATATAATAATAAAATGATTGAGCTCTTTCTGAGTCAGTCAATTTGCTAACTGCTTTACATACATCATATTATTTAGTTCTCCTAATAACTCTTAAATTTCCATTATAAATCTCAATTATACAGAGTAGGAAACTACGGCTTGGCAAGAATTTTGTTCAAGTTCATTTGGCTAATAAATGACAGTGCTAGAACTTTAAATACCACAACCACCAGGTAAAAAGTGCTGTGGGTGTTGGTCTAGAACACACCCAGATAACCAGCCTCCCTGACTCCAAGGCCTGGGTCATTAACCTCTTCACCATACTCAGTAGCTGGGTAAGTGAAGGAAGAGGGGAGGACACTGTTGACAGAATAAATTATATATAGAATAGAAGAGTGAGGACTTCAGGCCTGGTTTGAGCCTGACATTTCTTTTTCCTGTGTGGATATCATGGTATTTGTGGACAGGGATTTGGCTGAAAAGTTTAATTGAGGTAACAATAAGGAGTACCTTGCCTAACATGGACTTCTATCAACAAGCCTCTGGTCGTCAAACAGGGACATCCATACCAGTGATGAACATCAATGTGAAAGGAGTCATCAGTCTTAACTGGTTAGTAAGTAATTTAAAACATTAATTCTATATGATAACAAATATAAATATATCATGGAGTAGAATGGAAAACTTATGAATTTTTAAGTTGAAGCTGAAGACTTCAAAGTTTTTATTTTTATTTTTATTATTTTTTTTTCTTTTGGCTGGCTTTTATGACAATCTTGTGGATCTCAAGGGTCTAGGTTTGATTCTCTCTCATTAGGAGCTCTTTATTGGAAAGTTTTAAAGTAGTACTCTATGAACAATAAGAATCTGATTGAGAATAACATGATTGATCAGATTTGTTTAAAATGTTATTTCCCCCTAAGGAAATATCATAATGCATAACCATAGTAACAACAAAAATGCAATCATGGCTTTTCTTTTACTGAACCTAGACTGAAAATATATTAATTTTCACTGATAGTGTTGATTTAGGAAGAATATTAATGAGTGAGAGCCATAGAAATAAAAAAATCTCCAAATCCATATTACTATAATATAAACTGACCTGTCTCAGAATATTTCTTGACACGGTTAGCCTGTTTTCCCAATGCTAAAATAATCAGTTCACCTGGAGACCAGAATTACATGGAGAACTTCAGACAAAACTCATCAGCACACTGAATTTATCTCTTCTCAAACAGAGATTCTGGCAACCTATAGAAGCTGCTCTAAACTGTACCTTACGAAATAGCGAAGGAAGTTGTCTGTTGTAGTTAGATTTCTAGAGGGAAAAAGATAAGATTAAAAACTGACAGCTTCTAAATGCAGTGTAGTATTCTGGATTGGATCTTAGAACACAAAAAGAACATTAGTGGAAAACTGGTGAAATTCAAATACAGCCAGGAGTTTAACTAATAGTAATTTACCAGTGTTGGTTTCTTAGTTTTGACAAATGTATATGGTAATATTAGTGTTAGCTGAAAGTGGGTGAAAGGTATATGGAAACTCTGTGCTCTATCTTTGCAACATTTTTGTGAATAAAATTATTCCAAAATAAAACATTTATTAAAAATATTTAAAAACCATTGACTTCAATGTTATGAAAACAGAAATATTTGTTGATTTGATACCAAATCCTCAAATAATTTTTAAAACTATTGCGTTATGTTTAAAATTTCAAAAATTTTCACCTTCTTGCTTAGACTATCAAGAATGCCTTGTTCCTTCAACATTAAGAACTTTGTCATGTTTACTAGATAGATGATCTATTTCCATCAAGATATTTTAAGTTTGATACTCATTTTTAAATCCCCATTCTACTACATTTGGCAGTTAAGAATGTTTAAAAGGTATGAGTATCTCTAATCTGTACTGCAGACAATGGGTTTGCATCCTTTCCTCCTGCCATGAAACACATGCAATTATGATAGGAAAGCAGTGGTGAGAAGAGGTGTTTTCTGCCTGTTGCATATAGCCAGTGAGTAAGGATGCTAGGGAAGGTAACTAGGTTCTTCTTGCTCAGAGGGCAAGTGCTGGACAGTGACACTGCAGAGGCTCATCCTGTGCACAAAGGTATGGTCTCCATGCTGTACTTTCTAATCTACCTTTTTTGGGTAATTTATTCTTCAGTAATTGCTTATTCACTGACTTTTTCTGTAATTACTTTTTTTCAATTTGTTCATCAGCTTTTCTGATTGCCAAACAATGTGCTTTAAATTTGGTGAGCTGACTCTGTGATGAATGATTATAAATGCACATATTATTTTTTCTTAAACATTTTTAAAAGCTAATTTATCCACAACTTCCTGTTTGAATATTGCAGTCATTTAAATAGATTTAGGAAAAGGCAAACTCTATAACAATCTTTAGTGAAAGATACATTTGGGACTTAAAAACTCGAAGGGAATTAATCTCTGATTCACCTTGAAAGTACTCTGACAAATATCCTCTCTTTTGCTTCCATGACTACAAAATTCTGATGTTTTCAGATTAACCTAGGATAAAATTATTGTATGCTTTATACATTTTAGAACACTCCTGCAAAGGAGTTGGTATTTCTTAAGATGAGGAAATGGAGGATTAGAAAGGCAAGTAACTACACACATAGAAAATTTAGGGAAGATCATTAACTATTGGGTAGTATGATCACCACCTGGGTGATGGGATTAATCGTACTCCAAACCTTAGCATTAAGCAATATACCCATGAAACAAACCTGCACATGTACCCTGTTGTATCAGTTCATTTTCTCACTGCTAGAAAGACATTTCTAGCTATAAATTACCTGAGACTGGGTAATTTATAAAGAAAAGAGGTTTAATTGATTCACAGTTCCCCATGGCTGGAGAGGGCTCAGGAACCTTACAATCATGGCAGAAGGGGAAGAGGCAAGTCTTACATGGTGGCAGGGGAGAGAGAGTGACCAAGAGCAGGGAGAACTGCCTCATAAAACCATCGGATCTTGTGAGAACTCACTCACTATCACGAGAACAGCATGGGGGAAAATGCTCCCAGGATCCAATCACCTCAACACCTAGGGATTACAATTCAGTATGAGATTTGGGTGGAGACACAGGCTTAACTGTATCGCCTCTGAATCTAAAATAAAATACAAGTTTAAATTATTTTAAAAAACAAATAAATTTAGGGAAGATCAGGCAAGAAACTGTGCATAGGAGGTAACTCTCAGCAGTGTGGATAGTGAGGTATAAGGACAGAGGTGATATTATCTCTCCCTACTTCTGAAATTTCAACTTTACTAATAGCACATATTAATTTAACAATCAAATATCTTCATGAAGCAAAATTACCTAATGATTGCGAATTTCTTGTTTCTTATGATGTTTGATCTATATACAATGGAATAATTTGTGGGTGTCTTTGCTTCCCAAATTATTTCCTGATTTCTGTCAATTGAATAGTCAGTTCAGTCAGTACTCCTTTGAATCAATTTTCTGATTTTCCTCTACCAGATTAGCCATCTAATATATTATTATTTTTCAATAATATTCAGACAAGAATACTTATTAAATACTTACTCTGTGCCCAGAATTATATTAGACATTGTGGAAGGTGCAGGATGGTGGTAGAAATAAAAACTAACAATCGGCCAGGTGAAGTGACTCATGCCTATAATCCCAGAACTTAGGAGGCTGAGGCAGGAGGATCTCTTGAGCTCAGGAGTTTGAGACCAGTCTGGGCAACATAGTGTAACCCCCCATCTCTACAAAAAATTAAAAATTAGCTGGACATGGTGCCGTGTACCTGTGGTCCCAGCTACTTGGGAGGCTGAGGTGGAAGAATAGTTTGAACTCCAGAGGTTGAGGCTGTAGTGAGCCATGATTGTGCCACTGCACTGCAGCCTGGGTGACAGACCAAGGCACTGTCTCAAAAAAAAAAAAACTGCTCGAAGCCTAATAATGGATAATGTTTATTGAGTCCTTGTATGCTAGAGAGCATTTTTAAAGCCTTACATGAATTACCTTATTTTATTTCCCACAACAACCCAATGAAGTAAACTATTATAACCCACCATTATATATTATACATTGTACACTATTTATTATATTGTAATATGATGTAGCATAAAATTTAATATAGGATTGATAGATTATAATGATATGCTCTAATATCAAATATATTAGATATTACCCATCATTTTATAGATAAGGAAATTAAATTTTAATAAATTAAATAAAATTTAATTTCCTTATCTATGAAATTTTGAGACAGGGTCTCTCTCTGTTGCCCAGGCTGGGGTGCAGTGGTGTGGTCTCGGCTCACTGCAACCTCCATCTCCATGGCTCAAGTGATCTTCCCACCTCAGCCTCCCAAGTAGCTGGGACTATAGGCATGTGCCAATCTGCCTGGCTAATTTTTGTATGTACATATTTTTGATAGAGATGGGCCTTTGCCATGTTACCCAGGCTGGTCTCAAACTCCTGGTCTCAAGTGATCCACCAGCCTTGACCTCCCAAAGTGCTGGGACTACAGGTGTGAGCTACCGTGCCTAGCTGGAAATTACGTTTTAGAGAAATTAAGGAAATTGCCCAAGGTCAAATTGCTGATAAATGACAGGATTTGAATCCAGCACATCAGACGCCAGAGCTTAACTGCTTAATTTTTTAGATGGCTTTTTGAGGGGTTTACTACATAGCTGGAGAGAGACAAGATGCACACACCGTACCCCAAAACCCCATCAAAAGCCATACAAAATAGTATTAGACAAAAGCCATAGTTTATGCTTAGCCCCATGTCTGTCACTTCAGAGGCATGCATTTTAGGGTTGTGGAATAGACTAAATAAGTGCCAAAGAGCATGGATCAGGGCCTCAGTGCTGCAGGAATTCAGATGAGATCAATGAGATGTAGTGTCGCTAAGAAAGGCTTTGTGAAAAAGGTGGACTTTCAAGTTGGGGCATGGCATTGTTTAGATAGGAAAGCCCAAAAAAGCATGAGCAAAGCCCAAAGGTAACAGTGAGTTGTGGATGTATCTCCATCAGATAGGAGACCATTTGGCTTACACAATGAGTACATGCTGAGAAAGGTGAGAAATAAGTCAGAGAGGACAGGGAAGCCCTGAGACTGGTACCTTGGAAGCTTGGCTCAGCAGTCTAGATTTAATGTGAGTGATGGTAATAATGGTGACAATAACAATAAATAATAAACAAGCTTTACAGTTGGCCCTATGCTTTCAAAGACATAATCTTAATGTATGTGTTTGTAGAATATTAATGTGGCAGAAAATGGATTGCAGTAGAGAATGCTTAGATTCAGTGAGGCTCATTAGGACATTACTATTAGCCAGAAGTGCAAAAAGGAGTTTGAGCTAGGTTCAGGGTAATTAAGGGGACCTGGAGGATGTAATAGCTATTAAATGTCTACTATGTGCCAAAGACATTAAATATGCTGTGTTAATGTTCAAAAGAAATGTTATATATGACATCTGACATGAGCTGAAGGCCTGGTTCCAACACTTACTAATTGTGTGATATTAGGTAAGCTATTTAAATGTTCACTGCCTCATTTTTGCAGTAAAATACTTGTTGAGCATCTATCAAATGCCAGCATTGGACTAAGTCTAGGAAAAGAATGGTGAAATAAACAGACACTGTCCTTGTGCTTATGAAGCTTACACTCTATGAGGAAGACTGATATTAATATGTAAATATATTAGTTTTCTATTGCTGCATTAAAAGTTATCACCAATTTAGTGGCTTAAAACAATCAATCAGTCACTTAAAAAAATCCCACTAGTTTATTTCTCACAGTTGTGTAGTTCTGAAGTCCGGACCGGCTCAACTGGTTTCTGTGCTCCTGGTTTCACAAGACAGAAATCAAGGTATCTGTTACCTGGGCTCTTATTGGACGGCTTTGGGAAGACTTGGCTTCTGAGCTCATTGAGATTATTGGCAGAATCTAGTTCCTTGTAGTTGTGGGACTGAAGCCCCTGTTTTCTTATTCGCTGTCCACTGGGGGCCTCCCTTAACTCTCGCAGAACTCTCTCCAGTCCAAGCACCCAGGCCCCTATATCTCAGAGGCAGCACGGCGTGCCAAATCCTTCTCACACTTGGAATCTCTGACTTCTCTTTGTTCCCCAGCTCTCTGACATCCTCTTTTACTTCCATGTGGAGAGTGTACTCTCCTTTTAAGAACTCCTGACTAGATTGGATCCACCTAGATCACTCAGGTGGATCACTCAGGCTTTGTATTTTAAAGTCCCTAACCTTAATTCCAACTACTAAGTCCCTTTTACCATGTAACGTAACGTATCACAAGTTCCAGAGATTAGAACATCTCACAGTGGGGGGTGGGGGGACGGAGGACATTATTCAGCTTAGCAAAACTTCCAAAACATATCACAATTATGCTTAGTTCTCTTTATTTCCACAGCCCCAAACCAGTCTTTCACACGGACTGTTACCATAGACCCAATTAGTCTTCCATTTAGACTGTTCCCGTGGACTTCTAAACAGTTTATCTGCTTTTGTTCTTGCTCCTTTCTAATCCCTTCTCACAGGGCAGCCAGAGTGATCCTCTAAAATGTGTTGCTCAGTTCCTATCTCTCTACAACTTCCATTGTTCTGACAGCCAAGTTCCTCATTCTGACCACACAGACCTGTGGCACTGACATCTTTTTTCTTCTTTAGCCTTTTTTTGTTTCACTCTACCTTCACTTCATCAGGCTGAAGTAACAATAACCTACTTGTAGTTTCTTGTATAGAACGGTATTTTCTCACTCCTGAGTCTTTTCCCATCTAGAATTCTATGTCCATGGTGCTTCCTCCACTATCCTACCTCCTCCCAACAACCTGGTTTTAGCTTTCTCCTTCCTTTTTCCATGAGTTCTGATCTTAAAAATCTTTCTGTTGACATCTCATTAGAAACTGGTCCCCATGTGTTTCACATAACAGAGTCTCCCCCTTCATAATGTCGATTTGTAATGATAACAGATAATTAAACACAGCACTTACTTTATACCAGGCATTGTTCTAAAAACTTGAAATATAGTAACTTATTTAATTTTCTCAAAAATCTTGTAAGTACTGTTATCACCTTCATTTTACAGGTGAAGAAACTGAAGTACAGAGTTGTTAAATAACTTGTCCTAAATGATAGCTAACAGGTAGAAGAACCCAAGGAATCCAGCTTCATAGTCTACCCTTCTAACTAATAAGTAACATTGCTATTATCTCTAATGAGGTATGCATGTGTTTTCTTATTGTGGTTGATAGAATAATGTCCTCCCAAAGAAGTCCATGCTCCAATCCCAAAACCTGTGAATATGTCACAAAGCATGACAAAATGAATTTTGCAGTTGCAATTAAGGTTATTACTCAGCTGGCTTTAAGGAAAAGTATAATTAATTATCCAGGCAAGTCCAGTCTAATTACATAGGCCCTTAAAAAGCAGAGAACTGTGTCCAGCTGGAAGCTAAGAGATGCAAGGGAAAAGGAAATCAGAGAGATTCAAGGCTTGAGGGAGATTGGAGTTGTGGTTGTTGGAAAGCATATGGTCCATTTGGACCGTATGGAAAGCATATGGAAAGTCGTGGTCCATTTGGAAAGCATATGAAGAAGGAATGCTGTGGTCAGGAGCAAAGACCAGCCACCAAAGCTAACAAGGAAACTGTGACTTCAGTCCTACAACCACAAGGAACTGAACTCAGCCAGCACTTTAAATGAACTTAGAAAAGGATTCATCCCCAAAGCCTCCAGAAGAAAACACATCCCTGCCAACACCTTCATTTTAGTCTTATGAGACTCTAAGCTGAGAACTAGCAGAGTCGTGTTGTATCCGGACTTCTGACCTTCAAAACTGGGAGGTAATAATTGGGTATTGTTTTAAGCTACAGCGTTTGTTTTGATTTGCTGTATTAGCCATAGAAAACTAATACAGAGATTAAGTAATCAGGGCTTAGTTATGACTGGAAGTGGCAGAGATGAAGAAATGGGGAGTGCTAATAATAAAGGGTTTAGGATTGAGAAACTTGGATGTCATTATTTAGTCAACAGAATTTGGGGCGAAATTCAGTTGAGGGAAGGATTTAGAGCTCAAAAGTTCTTTGTTAAATATATTGTTTGAAATATGTAAACCTGGTAGTCAGATAATATCAGTTTAGAGCTCATTGACAGGTCCTGAGTTTAGAACATGCATTTAGGAGTCATTGACATGCAGCATCATTGCTTAATCTATAAACTTGACAGTAGAACTAGTTGTGGTGAAGGGTTGCTATGAGACACAAATGGCATAATACTAGAGCAGTGCCTGGAATTTGATAAATGCCCAATAAATGTTTTGTATTATGATTTCAAATTTATGAGGAAACTGATGCTCAGCAAGTTCCAGAAACTTGTCAATGTGTCTGGAAAATGGAGGAGCCAAGGCTTCAACCTAGATCTGCCCATTATGCAGTTTGTTCTCTTTCTCCTGTGCCATAGGAGGTAGTAAAAAGTCTTAATTCAATCATGTAGAAGCATCCCTAGGTGTTTTCTTTAGTTGTCAGGTTTAGAAACATGAGAAACCAAATCTGACTAATAGAATTGGAGAAACGAATGTATTGGGTGACTTACAGAATCCTAGAAAAGCTGGGGAACTACACTAAGTAAATGAGCAGAAACCAAGGGAAGCCAAGGGGCAGGAACCAGCCAGAACTATTGGATGAGTACACCTCTGCCACCAACTGGAACTAGGCTGTGTGGTGGGTACTGTCACCACCAAAGGCACCAGATGCTGGCTATACTTGTGGTCACTGCCAGTCTGGATCTCGGATGTTGTAGCAATCATCTCTGAAGTGTTTGGAATAAACTCCCTACTGTCTCTATTTCTTTTTTCTCCATATTAAGCCCCGGCTTAGGGCATTTTAGCAGATATTCTGTTATGGGCCAAATTGTGTGTCCTCGCTTCCCCCCACTGAAGTTCTAACCCCTAGTACGTCATAATGTGACCTGTTTTAGACATAGGGTCTTTAAAGAAGTAATTAAGTTAAAGTTGTTAGGGTTGGTCTTAATTCAGTATGACTGCTACCCTTATAAGAAATAAAATTTTGTCATAGTCATATACAGAGGGAATACCATGTGAAGACAGAGGGAGATGTCCATCTACAAGCTGAAGAAACAGACCTGGAGCTGGTCCTTCCCTCACAGCCTCAGAAGGAACCAAAACCTCTGCCAACACCTTTATCTTAGACTTCCATTTTCTACAACTGTGGGAAAATAAATTTCTGCTGTTTAAGCCACCCAGTCTATGGTATTCATTATGACAGCTCCCAGCAAACTAATACAAATATGAAGGAGATTCACATAGTAATCCCTTGCTTTGCCTGATTCTTCAATTTTACCCATTGACATCCAGGACATCTTTTCTTCTCAGCATTAGAATCAGGTCCAGGACACCAAATACAGCTTTTAACCTATACTTTTTCTTCAACAAGTCTCAAAATATCTACATAATATACAGCCATAATAATGTGGGGGAAGCTTTCTAGAATAATGCAATTTCCCCTATGTAAGGAATGCTAATGAGCAGATTCTTCATACTAGAAAACTGACTATAAAACTGATAATTGTACTAGTTATGGTAAAGAGTTGTCATGCTAAAGTCTTTATGAAAGACTTGAGCCCTTCAGACAATTTCACCTCTGAAACACTCCACTGAAAACTAACTTTGGGTTTTGTAAAAACAACTGTGCAGTTAGATGACTAAATATATTTCTCTTTAATCTGTCCTTTCTCTGGCATTCCTTTTTCTGGCAAATAAAAGTTCTATCTACCTGATTTCTCAGTCCAGAAACCTGAGTATTTTTTTTTAATAATTTCTGATTCACCTTCCCCGTTCAATTAATCATGGTGTGCTGTTGACTCAAATACCTAAAGCAGTAGTCTACCCCATCCATTTTTCTCATGCCCTTTGCTACTATCTGAGCTCAGCATACCATCATCTCTCCCCAAAGTTACCACCACAAAATCTCAATTGTTTTCCTTGATTCCAGGGATCATTCCTCCAATCTCTTCTGCATACTCTAGCTAGAGTCTTCTATGTGCAGGTTGGTTCTGGAGAGCATTTAAATCCTTCACTGGTTTTCCATGGCCTTCAGGATAAAGCACAGGGATTTTGTGGCATAGTTTACTCAGTTCTTGACTATCTCTCTAGTCTTTGCCTCCTTCTGTGATCTTACCTCTTCTCTTTCCCCCAGTCCTACGCTCTGCTCTGGCCATAACACCAACATTAAATTTCTTTTTGTACTCATTGTCTCCAGGATTTTGTACTTTAAATTCCCACTGTCTGGAAGTTGTCACCCACTCTTTCTTCCTAGAACCCCCATTTTAATGAAAGGTTTTTATTTAGATGTCAGATCTCAGTGCCTCACTTACTAGGTGAATCACACTATGCAAATTACTTAGTCTTATGCTTCAGCTTTCTCATCTGTAAAATGGAGATATCAAGTAATCCTCTTCAGTGAGCCATTGTGCAGAATAACAGAGTTAAGTTTTATAAAATGCTTATAATAGCCAAGTGACCACTGTGAGCACTCAATAAATGGTAGTTATTACTATTTTGTAACGCCATTCTCTTTAAGATTTCCTTATTATACCACTCCTGAACTCAAAACTGAGTTTGGAATGCTTCCTATATACTTACATAGCTCCCTACATTTTCCCCATGTTAGCACATATATGTTGTTTAAAGTGTTGGGTGCTTGTGTGTGAGCTCCATGAGGGTACATCTGTATTCCTTATGTAAAGAACAATGTGGATACCTAATGCATTTTTTTAAATGAATGAGTTTCTTCTATTATCAGTTCTTCCAGAAGAGGCATCAAGTTTGATCTGTAATCTACTCTGGTAGGCAACATCTAGAGCTCTCGAATGTTTTTCTAAGCTTCTAGACCTTCATAAGCCATAAGTATTAAGCAAAAGATTAGAGAGATACAGCAGTGGTATGGTATAAGTGTCATAAACAATGGCTTAACTACTGGGCAAAATTAAACTAATGTTTACTGAGAATCAGTTTGGTGCTAGTCAATTATTATCACTCAGTCTTCACAAATATCAAATGAGTCAAGCATCATTTTGCTTATTTTATACATAGGCTATCTATGTAACTGATCTATGTAACTAAGGATCAAGCAAACTAAGGGACTTTTGCTCCAAGTCACACAGATAGTGTTCCTTTGCAGCTAATTCTTGACTAAAGTCTTTGCATTTTCCATCTTACCAGGATGGGTAGCCATTCACCTAAGGGAAAGGCAGTGATGACAAAATGAAATATTAAACATATATATAATAATATTTGAAGATTTTGTTGACATATAAGATTCCAAATTATTAGTTTCTTGTCTTCTTGTGAATTGATCTTTCTGAAAATTACCTGCTCTTAAGCAATCAGAGTTTAACTCTTAATAAGTTTTTAATAAATACTTGGTTACTCTTTCATGTGTGAATGTTGCTTAATACCTTGTGATACGTGTGCAGCACTTCCCAATAATACAGGAAGAAAGGCTTACATTCTTTTTTTATTTTTATTTTTATTTTTTTTTTTTTGAGATGGAGTCTCGCTCTGTCTCCCAGGTTGGAGTGCAGTGGCATGATCTCGGCTCACTGCAAGCTCTGACTCCTGGGTTCATGCCATTCTCCTGCCTCAACCTCCCGAGTAGCTGGGACTACAGGCGCCTGCCACCACGCCCAGCTAATTTTTTGTATTTTTAGTAGAGACGGAGTTTCACCGTGTTAGCCAGGATGGTCTCGATCTCCTGACCTCATGATCCGCCCACCTTGGCCTCCCAAAGTGCTGGGATTATAGGCGTGAGTCACTGTGCCTGGTCTACTTACATTCATTTTTATGCAACAACCAGCCTCAGGAATTAGCAGCTACTTTTTAACAGAAATCATTCTTAACTAATGAGTTCAGTCTTTCTCCAGTTGGTATTGAGGTGGTTTTGTGAGATCTGTCTCTTTTGGAGAGGGAATTATACCTAACAGTAATTGAGCTCTCTGGAGAAAGCTGGGTGGTCTTGTTGCCTTTATCAAGGAGAAGCATTCAGCTTGCACAAATCTTTTCTGGGATAAATAAAACGCCAGTGATGTGGGTGTATCTGAACCCCATGGTGGGCATTCGTCACTTCATATTTCTATGTTTTAATTCAAATCCTACACTGTGGAAACAACATATGACATCCTGAAATAGTTTTGCCAGCTCATCCTCTGTTAACTTTAAAAATATCTAACATTTACTGAATGCTTACTATGTGCTGACACTGTGTAAAACTCATTACTGTCATCATCTTACTTAATGCTCATAACAACCCTGGTGAATTTGAATGTATTCTCCATTTCACAGGTAACTTGTTCAAACTTCCTCAGCCAGTAAGAGGCATGGCTGAGAATCTAATCCAGGCTGTATCCCGCAAAGCCCATGTTCCTAATGACTATGCTATGTTACTTTAGTAAAGTGTGCTACTATCCATCGGACACAAGAGAAATGTTAGACTGGAGTAATTTTATCCTAGTCAGGAGCCTAGCGAAAGATCCTTTATTTAATGGTTTTTATACATTTTGCTGTTAGAAAGTAAACTCCTAGTGCTTTTATTGTCTCTACCTGTTGCTTATAAATGTGTTAATAGATTTTAGTCTTGTGTTCTTTGATCAGGGACCATCTTTTATACTTTATGGGTATCTCCAACTATGTAATACATTGCTTTGAAGTTGAAAACATACAATAATACTTTGTTAATTAAAGTAAATGACCAGAGATGTTGCAGAAAGTCAAGACTCAGACAGATAGTGGTCTACATGTGTCTGGGCTTTGACCTGTGTTTATCAAATGCACAGGAGTATACATAGGCTATATTTGGCTGCTTTCTAATTATAGGTCACCTGACTTTTCAGTTGTTCTTTTTCAGTGACATAGGATCAACAAATCAATCAAGCTGTGCTTCTTTAATTACAGTGTACCAAGACCAACTTGGGTAGAGTGAGCAAAATTACACGATTTAAGTTACTTTGTAACACATCAAAGAAAAAACCATCTATATTACATTTTTAACTGTCAATCTTATCAGCAGAAGTAGAAGTATTTTTATGTACTTGAGAAATAGCTGAAGAAACTCTCTTAATATGGTGTATTGGAAAAGCAATGAAGTAGAAGATAGAGATTTATCTGACTTGGATGCTAAGAAATTTAGAGAAAATTTCTCCAGCACCATCCATTCATATTAACTTACTGACAATTTGGATACCATAAACTGGACCAAACTCTGAGTATAATAAGAATTAACCTTCATTTGGCCAGTAAAGAGAAATCTTTGTCCTGCATATCAGTAGGTTTCTCTCAGGTTGATTGTGGCAATGTATGTGCTACTGGCCTCAAAAGTACAGAGGATGAAAACAAAAGAACAAGACTAGATCTCATTATGTAAACCAGTGAGCCCATGTAATGTCATTAGTGAAACTGGGCCTTAGGCAACAGGAAAATAATGCAAATTCTCTTACACAAAGAAGGCTCTATTTGTGGCTACTATTTGGTGGAAAGGAGAGAGAAAGGAGACATAGAAAAAGAAGAGAGGGAAGAGAAGTGATAACAAATGAAAGGAAGAGTTGGGAAGGTGTTGAAGTTACAAATGAAAATTAATGTCACTGCCAGATGGCTTACTGAAGTTTTTTGGCATTTGAGCTAGAGAAGAGAAATAAATCCCCTATTTGCTTCATGAAATTAAGAAACATGGGAAGTCATGATGGGTCTTGGATTTCAGAGTAAGCAAATAGTATAAAACTAAGGTGGCCAAGTGGTAACTAATTTGGCCTCTGGTTCTCTGAAAGTTGGCGATTGGATTTCGCTAAGTGATCATTCAAGAAAATGACCTCTCTACAAAGTCCAGTGGAATGTCGGACTACCTTTTCATCCAGGGTAACACAGGTCCTACACACATGGAATCAATAGCTCAGCATCCTAGTAGGAAAGTTTTTTTGCAACATTTTATTCTAATGCTAAACCAAGGTAGTATTTGTTATACTTTAACCCAGTGATATAAGTCTATTTTAAGAGTTTCTGTCTCATACTACTGAACTTTGTAAGAGTTCCCAAAGACAGAAATGTGTTGAAATGACATTACCATAAAAAGTAATGTAAAATTACTGATGAATATGGATGTTTCTAATTTGTAAGACATATAGAAATCTGACTTTTAGCTTTATAGACACACCTCTATATAGGGTGGTTCAAATTAAAGCACTACTCTTTGTATACATTTTCATTTTATTACACTTTATTATTTTTTTAACCCATATTAATAACATCTTTTGCCTGCTCACCAAGGAACAGCTGTAGAGCATAGTGATTAAAGTTCTCGTTACAGGTATTAAGCATGACAACTCTTGAAACCAGCCTGTCTAGGTCAAATCCAAATTCCATCATTCCTGGCCCCTTAGTCACTCTGAGCCTCATGTTCATTGCCTGTGAAATAGTAACAAAACAGTTGATTATCTTTTTGTTGTTCCTGTGAGGACTAAATGAGTTAATATTAAGTATTTAGAATAGTGCCTGGTACATATATTTTAAAAGTATCAGTGCTATGGTTTGGCTGTGTCCCCACCCAAATCTCACCTTGAATTGTAGTTCCCATAATTCTCATGTGTCATGAGAGGGACCCAGTGAGAAGTAATTTAATCATGAGGCGGTTACCCACATGCTGTTCTTATGATAGTGAGGGAGCTTTCACGAGATCTGATGGTTTCATGAGAGACTTTTTCCCCTTTGCTTGACACTTCATCTTCCTGCTGACATGTGAAGAAGGACATGTTTGCTTCCCCTTCTACCATGACTTAGCATGAGAATGGACTAATACAATCAGCTATCTTTACTATTGTGCTCAAGTGATTATATTTCATACTTAATCACTATAATTTCTGAAAGGTTCAGATTTTTGTCTCAATTTTATTTGCCTACCACTTATCTGCTGGTATCCCTTCCAGCAGAAGAGTGTGTATTCTCTGTTTATTACACATTTTCTTAATGAATTTTTCTGAGTTTGGATGTTTGTCTGAAGACCAGTCCACCCACACACCAGAAACAGTCTTGAGTTTCAGATATCTGTGCCTGTTTCTCAGAATGTACAACCTGATCTGGACGTGAAAAAACTCATTGTTTATAGGTGAACACATCTAGATACTTTGGAGGATAAAAAGGGGTGCTAACTGATTGGATATAAAGACAAGAAGTATAAACCAGAATATCTGGGCAACATGGGGTGTATAGTCACTCCACCTGTAGTTTACTCCTGTTTTCTGTTAAGGGACATTTGGAGAATATGAACATTTTGGAGTAGTTTTATATTCTCTGAGATTCACTTGGCTGAGTGTTATCTTTTTCTTCCTTTCTTTTATTTTCCTCTTCTTCTTGCTATTTTTTCTTCTATTTTTCTTCAAAACACTTTGTCACAGAAAGGGAAGGGTGTAAGATTCCGAGACTGAAAATGCAATTATCTTTGTATAACCTGACATTTTTGCCATCAAAGTAGAATTTGAGAAGTGTTATGGATGAATAAAGAAGAACATGTCAGAGAGGCTGCTTAGAAAAAGAAAAGGAAATTTTAGCAGCTTACTAGACCAGAATAAATAATGTGAAGGGAGAAGATGACATGGAAGGCCACAACACTAGTGAAGGTCAAGAATTTCCCTAGGGAAGAGACAATGGAGCATCATTAAGCTGTGTCACTGAGAGACAAAAGGATAAAGAAGAAAAAATAAGATTTTAAAATGTATGTGCTGAGTTTGGGAGGGGGGTTTCAGGAGACAAGTTGAAATTCTGGAGTCCAAGTAAAGTTCTGCAAATGGCTCCAAGGCCTACCTCATTTGATATCATCAAAAGCCTGAAGGTGCCTCTTGCGCAGTCGGAGAGGGGCCTTCGTTGTACTTGAGCATCTCAACAACTATTAATTAGTATCTGGGAAATTAATTTGTGCCATAAATACTTTTAAAATTGTGCTTATCCGGAATCTCTAATGATCTGTGAACTACACAAATAAATGTGCTCTTTAATCACCGCTTAACAAAAATTAACTTGTTTGTTATTTTCTACTTGATGTTTGCGTATTATCTCTATTTTAACCTGACTTTCCTGGAAAGACTACCTCAGAATACACAAGTGCACCTCACTAGCCAAAATAAATCCCCACCCCATGCGCACACATACACACATGCATGCGCATGCACACACACACACACGCGCGCGCACACACACACACACACACACACACACACAAATCCCTTTTTATAAAAAATGTTTGAGAAACAAAAAACATTTTTTATAAAAGATGTGAAATTTGTCTCAATGAGAAGTGCAGAATTGGCCAGGTTGGGCTTTGCAGCCATGGAAACAAGCTGTAGGGGAAAGCGTTGGCTGAAATAAGCAGAATGGGGACTCTAGTGAGGGGCTATATTAATTCAATCCCTCCCACAGGGTCTAGACATATTTTATTTTCTCAGCTCCCAGACTCATTCTTTAGACAGTTCTTTGGGCCCTGTTGAGAAGCACTGAGAGGTGGGCGCACAAACCATGTGTTGATGCACACGTTTTGTTTGCATCCGCTTATGTCTACCTCTCTGAATACCATGCTGGTCAGAGGTGAGATGAGCGTCTTTCAGTAGAAGCCTAGTCTACATATGTTCCAAACAGCCACAGCCTGCCACTTTTATCCTTATATAGACTTTTACTGGCTAATCTTCTGACAGAATTACTTTGGTTCCTTTTTTCTTCAGTTTTTCTTGTTGGAGGTTATGATGTGCAGGTTAAGTACTAAGAAGTTTTACATATCTGCCCAGATAATCAGGAACCATGTGTTAGTGTTGCTGCAGAGTTACCTATAAATTACTCAGAAGTTGAACATTCACTGTCTCTGCTACCTCACCAAGGCCAGGGGGTTGCACCTTAAGTGCTTCTAATTGACTAATATGTACATCAATACTTCATGCTAAGAAAAAGGAAGCACTATTCTTGGAATCAAAAGACCCGATTTGAAATCTCAGCTCCATAGCTTACTTATGAGATAATTTTGTATGTGTTACTTAAACACTTGAAGCCTAAATTTGCTTGTACAAGTAAAGTAACCTCTGTACTACTTTGCAAGGCTGTTGTGAGGATTAAATGAGAAAATATTTTAGTAACTGCAAAACATGATATGAAAATGAAGTATAGTTCTAAGCAAGGGTTCTAAGTCAAAGATTTATATGACTGAAAAAGAAAATCTATTATAGGGTTCTGGGTAATGTAAATTCTCTGTCTTTTCTCTCGTGAAATGTTCAATTTGTTATAAGTGACTCCTTCATTGCACTCACTGCCTTTTAACTTAAAAAACTAGACAATCCTGGAGATACTATCATGTTTTCAATTCATGTAGACTTTTGATAACATATTTCCTCATCTCTTAGTTTTAATCTACCTTGGATGCTTTAATTAACTATATTTTCTATTTTCTGCTCATGACCTTCATATAACGTCTCATCAGATTCAAAGCTACAGCTACTCCTTTGCGTTTTGCATTATGCTCTGTAGTTTAAAAAAACCAAACCTTTTCCCATGGGTTATTGTATTGGATCCCCAAAATAATCCTATGAAATAAATAGAGATTACTCTTTTTAAAATCTGCTTGTGTGAAAACTGAAACATACAAGGATAGTAATTCATTTAGAACTCAAGGTTTTTGTTTAACCCACGAGAATGCCATTATTTCAAGTTGTTTCAGGCATGCCTTAAGTATCTTCTTCGTATATATTGAAATCTCAGTATATGCCAGGCCTTATGCTAAGCAGTTGGCGCCATTACATAGAATTATTACAAGAACTTTATGACAGAGGAATCATTTTTCCTGCTGCAGTTGAGTAAATTGAGGCACAGATAGATTAATTTCCCTGAAGGTACTGAGCTAGATAGTAGGAGGTCTAAAACTTGCTTCTGGTTTGGTCTGATTCCAAAGTCTATACTACTAACCACTATGTTCTATTCCCTGTCTAATTTATCTCAGGTTTCTTACTTTTCTCAAAGTAGGCCTTATTAACTTTCTTTGGCCACTCTTGTCAATGAGCCTGCTACAACTCTGCATCTATAATGACTAATTTATAACCAAGTCCGAAGTAATAGTTCACTTTCACCCTAATCAATCTGACTTGTACATATGGGAAAACTTGAAGTTAATAGGCAAGCCTTAACATAAACCCCGAGCAAATATGCATGGGACAGACCCAAACCAACATTGTACAGGCCTACAAGACTGAACTGAGATTTGAATCACTAGCACAAGATTGAGCCTAACCTCTGAGACACACATGTGTGGGCACATTCAAACTAGCATAGCAAAGGTTTAGAAAACTAAAATCAGATCTGAATTACCTGTATATATCTCAACATAATTTCCAAATCATGCATATTTATAATAGTCATTATCAAGAATAACAATAATTTAGAGAACTGAACTGAAATTTGAACCATCATCCACAGAAAGTAAAATAGAATTTGTTGATTTCTTGCTAATACAAAAGTAACAACATCCTGCAGATTGTAATAGATAACAAAGTTTAAGATACAACCCAAAATTACTTGACATACAAAGAACCAGGCAAATGTAGCCCAACTCAAAGAAAATAAAAGCAAAAGATAGTAACACTAGGATGACACAGATGGAATAGGTCTTTCAAAAACTTTAAGGAAGCTATATTTAATTAGCTCCTTTATAAATTGTAAAAAATAAAACATCAAAAACAAAAGCCTCACACATGTGAGGTGAATTAGAAGATAAGAAAAACTCAACAAGAAATAAAAACAATAAAGAACTAAATTACAATTTTAGAACTGAAAATGCAACATCCAAAACAAAGAATGCACTGGATAGACTCAAAAGCAAAATGGATATGATAGTGAAAATAACAGGAGAGATATAAAAAATGACCAGCCTCTGGTACGTAGGGGATGATATCAAAGATTGAATACATGTGTATCTGAAGCTCCAAAAAAGGGGTGGGGTGGGAGAGATTGCTGTAGGAAAAAAATTCAACGTATATGGCTGAATGCTTTCAAGCTTTCATAAAAGTCTTACATTTATAAATTCAGAATGCTTGGTGAATCCTAAAAATAATAAACTCAAAGACAGCAACACTAGACACAGACAAACTGCTCAATTCAAACATAAAAAAAGGTCTTGAAAGCATTTAGAGAAAATGACATATTACTTATGGGAAGAAAACAATTAGACTGTTGATTTCTCATCAGAAACTGCCAAAGCCAAAGACTACATCTTTAAAGTACCGAAAGTCAAAAAATTCTTGCAAACCGTAATTCTATATCCAATGCAAATATCCTTCAGTATTGAAGGTGAGATAAAGAAATTTTGACATGATATAAAACTGAGAGCATGTGTCACTAACAGATATTTACTATAGGAACGATAAAAGAAATTCTAAGTAGACTGTGAAAAGTTAGGTGTATATATTGTAACCCCTAAAGAACCACTTAAATCAAATCAAAACACAAAGCCCTAAAAAGCCAGATAATAAATCAAAATGGAATACTAAAAGTATTCAAAGGAAAATCAGGAAGGGGAGGATATGCAAACAAAAACCAAAGAAGAGAAACAGAAAACAAGAGAATGGTAGGTCTAGATCCAACTATACCAATAATTACATAAAACGTTATTGGTTTCGTTACTCCAATTTACAGACAGAAATGAACAAAGTGGATAAAAACAAGACTTAACTATATGCTGCTACAAGAGCTAAACTTAATATATAAAGACACAAATAAGTTTAAAGTAAATGAATGGGGAGAATCGATATGAAAGACAAATAGTAAGCATAAGAAGGCTATTAGTGGCTATGCTAATATCACAGAAAATAAGCTTTAAGAAAAGTAAGATTACAAAGAATGCATTTTATAATAACAATAGAAATAATTCATTAGGAAAAGCTTTGCTATGCAGTACATAAATAAAAAATGTACAGAATTAAAGAAATACAATTTTTTTGTCATAGGAGATTTCAACAACTCTCAGTAATTGATAGACCAATGAGACAAAAAGTCAGTAAAGACAAAGAAGATCTCAATAATTATAATGAACTGCTTTAATTATATTTGTAGAGCAGTCTATCTAATGACTGAAGAATATATATTGGTCTCAAGTACATGAAATACATACACTGAGACTACAATCTGGAGTACAAAACAATGCAGTTAATTTTTTAAAATCTGAGTAAGACAAAGTGCATTCTCTCATCAGGGGAATTACATTAGAACCAAATAGCAGTAACTATAGAGTTAAACTTCATTTAAATAAAAATTGTACACATAAATAATTCATGGGTCAACGCCCAATTACAAGAAAATCTATAGAATATTTTAAACGAATAATTAAAATACAATATATCAAAATTTTTCTGAGTAGCTAAAGCACAGGTAAGTAGAAAACATAACTTCAAATGCATATATCAGGAAAAAAGAAAGATCTAAAGTTCATAATTTAAGGCCTATCCTAAGAAACTAGAAAAAGAATAACAAAGTAAGTAGAAGAAAGATTTTATAAAGAAAACCCAGAAATCATTGATATTGAAAAGAACAGATGGTAGAAGAAAGTAAGTAAAAATCTGTTTTTTAAAAAAATGAAAATTGGCAAACCTATGGCTAGAATATCATGAGTAAAAGAGAATACAAATCAACAGTATCAGTAATGAATGCTTAATGTGTAGGATTTGTTACAATAGACTCTATACATTAAAAGAACAAAGAATATTATAAACAACTTTGGACTAACAAATTTGATCCTTTACATGAAACAGATTTCTTAAGACATAACTTATAAAAATTTATACAAAATGAAAGAAAAAGCTGAATAGTCTTATGTAAATTAAATAAACTGAATCTGTTACCAAAATTCTCCCTCTCTTTCAAAACAAAACAAAATAACTCCTCTAGGCCTTGGGTTTCACTGTGGGGTTGGCATTGACTTCTATGAATATGCTTCCCTTGGGGACATCACTGCATGCTCCCTGTGTGGAGTGAGTAGGGGTGAGATGGTGGGAAGGTACACAGGAGACTGCAGCAGAACAAGACTCATGCACAGGATGCTTTGGTTTCATGACCAAAGACATTCTTCTTTCTTGTTATGACGATCAATTTAACGTCAGCAGCCACAAATCAAGCGGGAGAAAGGAAGAATCAAAGGACAGAAAGACGGGACATGTCCTTTCACCGACCCTCAATAAATAATGTCAGTGTCCTGGGCCAAACATGTCTATAGACCTTCCTGTAAGGAATATAATATGGGGCAGAATAAAAGAGCTAAGAGAATACAAACCTTGAAATTCTTAACTACAGGCCAACAATTACCAATTAAATAACTTTCCAAACATCAAGGTATACAATGAAAGTCTACTAGTAGAGTTTTATTCTATTAAACCATTCCCTAGTTGTGCCATATTATTTCTACATTTTTTAAAAGGGTAGCCAATTAATTCTCATTTACACCTACCTCTAGTTCTAATCTAACTTTGCTCCATTACCTTCCTACCTCATCCCTGATTTGCAGCTTTCAGAAAATTCTTTTACCATACAGGGAAATAAATCATCATCTATTAGCAAGCTCTTCAGAGAAACAGGTAGAGGATGTTCCAAAGGACAGCCAGCATCCAGTTTCCTCTGCCAGAAGTTTCTTAGTAACTCACAGCTTTGGACATTAAGCATATCCTTTCATGCTGGCTTGCAGTCTGTCTTTAACCCTTTCCCCCACCTTCCAGGTCTAATGATTTATAGTAAGAATGAAAGCATATTGTTCCTCCTCCTAAAATACTGGAAGTTGACATTCTGTCTTTCTTTGAGCAAATTAAGCTTAAGCCTAATTAAGTGATGTCTCAAAATAATCTGTTTGATAATTTATGATTTTATTTTTAACTTATTCTATTTCGCTCTCATTGGAAGTAACAAAATATGTTCACATGCCTGTATATTCCACAACAAAATCCAGCCAGTAAAAAGACCCAGTAAACACCAAATTTAAAGATGTCTTTCTTCTGTATTCTAGTAATGCCCAATACATAATAACATTTTGTGTTCATACAGCTTTGAAGTTCCTTATCTCTCTGAGCTGTCAGATAAACAGTAAAGCTTTCCAAAAGCACCAGCCCATCAGGTCCACACCTGAAAATTTTAAAAAGCTGAGACTTAATTAACAAATTAACTACCGGAAAATCAGTACATACATGAGGGAGAAAATTAGTTATTAATTTATTGCATTATAACATGTAATTATTAATTCTTTATTCACATAGTCACATATTAATGCCAACCCCAATGTGGCCACATTTTTAGTGTTTAGGTCCCATTTTATGCTAATAAAAATGGCCTTTTGTCCATAGCCTGCTTGTTACAAGACACATATTTTTCCCTCCCCAGGCTTAGTAATAAGTTCCAGATTCTCACAGGACTTACTTCAGTTGAAACAGTACTATGGATTCCTCCCAGCAAACCAAAGGGCCCTGATAAACATGACTTTCGCCACCATAGAGCGTTGTTTCTGAAATCAGAAGTTGGTACATTGGTACAAAACTTTGCACCACAGGAAGTGCTATAGCAGTAAGGGCACAATACCCCACTCATCTGACCCAAGTTTCTTGGGGTTTGTACCCAAGTTTGCCCAGGACAATGCTAGTTTATGCCTCTTTTTCTGGTTTCATTATTAATAGTCACCTTCCCTCATCCTTCTACTTTTAAACTGCTCTTCATCTGGGCTATGAGTTATGTGGTCGCCATATATAGAATTGGCAGCTGAGATCTGTTTGCTCAGCGCTGACTGCTCCATTCACAAGTACTCTGTATAAAAAGAGATTAGAGCTTTTGGTGGGTATCTTGTCACACAGACAGAACTGTTCCCTCAGGTCATGCCAATAGTGTCAGTGTGGCAGCATCAGAGAGACAGTTTCAGCATCAGTCACACCCTCTGTACCTCCCTAAAATAATACAGGTTTTGATGTTGAGCCTAGATATCTCACCCCTCCTTCCTGTGAATATCTTTGGGTGTTGTCCTTTTCTGCCAGCTGGACATAGTGTTTAATAACTTTAATCTTCAAAGGGAAATAATCATTGTTTTGCCATCTTTTCATCCAGAAACTTCCCTGAATAAAATTAATGAGTCAAGTAATAGGTAAGTGTCATAGAACTTGACTTGCAAACAAAATTTAACCTTGGGCTCCCACAGAGCAAAACAATGATCTTGTTTCTTGCCTTCTTGAACAATATATAGGTATTTTCTTTGACTTTTATAATTGAGGGATCATTATGATGAGCTCAAACTAGTTGTATTCTGGTTCAAGGAGGCTTGATCATATTTTAATCAGCAACAAAATTAGCAAGCAGCTTTTAAATGGCTGTTCTGTTAGCCTAATAATAATAATAATAAAAGTTATACCTTATGGGGCACTTCACTATAAGTACACATACTCTCTCACACGTGTCCACATACATACACACTCTACATTAAAATCTTGAAAAGTTAGCACAAAGACTCACTCAACCTATCAGTTTAGTTGTTTTGTCTGTAGAGGTACCAAGTCTTCATAAAATAACCATTACTAAAGTACCAAAACATTGATTCAACAAAATAATATCAGTTCTTCTGCAGCCTCTTCCCCAGGAACATCATTTTTTTCTAGAAATGAAAAAGGTCGTTCTTCTCTCTTCTTCTCCTTTTAACATACACACATATGTACACTTCATAACCTTAGAGGTTACAATTTGAAAACTAATCTTTCACTCCCTCATTCCCCTATAACTGACAGTGTTGCTTTTTGTAATACTTCCCACCTCCACAAATAATCAAAATCATTTTCCTTGTAAAGCAGAGAGCGTGTGTGTGTGTGTGCACGCGCATGCACTCTTATGTTTTGAGAGGTGGTGATGGGTACACAAAACC
This sequence comes from Homo sapiens, assembly GCF_000001405.40. NCBI lineage: Eukaryota > Metazoa > Chordata > Mammalia > Primates > Hominidae > Homo > Homo sapiens. The sequence continues at coordinate 87,850,534 of NC_000011.10, forward strand.
CTTTTGGGAACTACTCTCTTGTGTTGGCTCATGGTTTTATTCAGTTTTTTAGTCTTTATGTTGCTACTCAATATATTTTCGGCACAATATCTATACCTTCTTCGTCTTTTCTTCCCAAGTATATACACCCAAGACTGATTGAAGAATTAGCTTTTGGGGGGATCCAATCCCACAACACTGCCACACACACACACACACACACACACACACACATACACACACACCAGTATACATACAAAGAATGCCTCAGTCTGAGACCCATCAAAGTGTTAGAAGTTCTTTATATTTAATCTGAGGAATTTTAGCTTAGTGCTACACCTTTCTTTAACTCACTTACTTAGCAGATCCCATTGAATGGAAAATCAAAGTGCATGTCCTTTTCATTGACCAGTGTGGCAATTTATCAGTATTGTAAAATTCCAACATACACACAAAGACTGATTCAGCTATGACAGCCTGCATTTCATGGTTATGCCAATTAGCTTCAAGCCTGGGGGCGGTCCCCCGTTCCCCTCAGGGAGAGAGGCATTCACACAGAATGCTGTCCCTTGGCCTTCCCTTTGAAAAAAAGTATAGACAGTCTTTTACAGGAGTTACCTACACCTCCTTCAAATGAGTATAATAATTAGACACCTCTTACTGAGCCTGACTTTAGCATTTGTTACCCCAAAGGACATTTATTTGATAGCCTTTCTTCCCTGACCCCTTCCCCAACTAACTTGTAGACCCCTTAAAAACAGAAGCTGTGTCTGGTTCACTTCAGTATCTTCAGCATGTGACATGGCAGTTAATAAAAATGGATTGAACTGATTTCCACATCATAGAAGTCATACCACTTAAAATAAAAATGAGTCACAAGTTATTTTTTCCCCACCATTTTCAGAGCCTTTAGACTACTTAAAGGCAGTATTTAGAATGGCATTTCATGCCTAAACGAGTGGGAATGTTGAAAGATAAACTGTTTTCATTGCTGTTTGTTTGGTCTGAATCATCTGGGAAACATGCTAATTCTACTTTTTCCCCAGCTATTACCCCTGTATGCACACAAGTTGAACCTAACGGCATTAAAAGAAAAGGTAAGAAAAACAGATAGTATATAGCTGGGGAGGGAGGGTAGTTTCCACTTACTGAATTTTAAAAACTCATATGAGGTTGAAGTTGTTGTATCTCTTTGATCCTAAGATTAAACCCTGCCATGTGTAGCTTTGCAGAGAGCCTGGGTCTTTCTGGGAACTCTGCTACCTGGAAGTGGTTGGCTGAGCTCTGAAATTCACTGAAGTACCCTTGTAGGGGAGAAGAGGTTTTCCTAGACACTTTTAGGGTCTCTAGCTGGGTCTGAAAATCAAACTAACAAAAACAGATTAACAGGAGAAAAACATACAAATTTATTTAATAAGTCTTAGATGAGACAGGAAACTTCATAAGGAAATGAAGACCTAAAGAAACAGTTAAACTATATTTTTTATGCTAAGTTTGATGAAAAAGTGCACAGTCATGGAGAATTATAATTGGATAAAAATGTACAATGGAATGGTAATAAACTGGAGAGAACTTAGTAGGGTCTTTTTGTTCAGCTTCTTCTCTGTGTCCGTGTGTCTTTAGAGACAAGGATATTCCTTTCCTCTGGGTATAGAGAGAGCACCTGTCACATGAAGGTTTTATGACCTACTTCAGGGAAAGGTCAGAAAATTATTCTGAGGTTGTATGACCTACTCTATGGGAGAAGGTCAGAGGAAAGGTGAAAAGGATCTTTCTGCTTCGGCTGCTTCTCCAAATGCCAAGCTGTCAAGATTTTGGAGTAGTAAGTAGTACGTAAGTCCTGAACCCCATCAACCTTCTAGTCATTTCATTGTTCTTCCCGCTTCACAACTGACTGTTGAAAACATTATCAAAGTCACATTTCTTGCTGCAAAGACATTCTGTTTGAAAATATTGTGAGCAAAATATTCTTAAGAAAATGGTGTTTGTTTCTGGCCATAATGTATCTTTCTCGATACTGATCTAGTAAAAGGCCCCGAATTGAGAAATTAATGGCACACCACGGTTCAAATGCTAGGCAACAGATTCAAGTTTTAATAGTAAGTTTCAACATAACAATAAAATGTTATTTTCTCATCTCTGCATTAAGTATCATTTATATCTTCATCACAGGATTAAAACTGAATGACGCTAGAAATACGATGGTTTACATATCGAGACAGTAACCACTGAGGGCTAAGAGAACTAGTATACAACAACACAGAACACAATCTTGCTTTGCTTCCCTCTCCTTCTCCTGCCCTCATCTTTTCTCACCTCTTTTCAAATTCCCATGGGTGTCTCAGAATTGTTTCCTACATTATGAAAATAAGCCTTTTCTTTTGTCTAAAATCTTGACACTAGCTGAAACCCAGATCCTGGTGGCTTAACATCTATCTTGCATATGACTAAGCAAGACATATTTCACTACAAAATGGGATGCCTCCTAACAAAAATATATGTGATAATTGCTAGGGAAAATTTTAAAGTCTGAATCCTATTATAAATTATGTGTTATAGTTGTGATATCACAGATGGAGTAGAATGTCTATTTGGGTTAAAAGAGAGGATATGGTCAGCGACGTCTGGAAAGGTTTATGAAGTCCCTACAAAGCACGTGGCATTTCATTCAAGGCAGAAAGAACATGGGCCAATGAGTGAGTTATAGACAGAATGTTTGTATCCTCCAAATTTCAGCCCTAACTCCTAATATTATGGTATGTAGAGGTGGAGCCTTTGGGAGGCAATTAGGTTTAGATGAGTTCATGAGGGTGAGGCCTCCATGTTAAGATTAGTATTTTTATGAGAATAGGAAGAGGTAAGAGCTCTCTGTTTCTCCACCATGGGAGAACACAGTGAGAAGGTGGCTATCTGAAAGCCAGGAGGAAGGTCTTCAAAAGGAACTAAATGTGCTGGCGCCTTGGTCTTGAGGTTCCCAGTCCCTAGAACTGTGAGAAATGTCTATTGTTTAGGCTACACAGTCTATGGTACTTTGTTATGGGACAGCCCAAGCTGACAAATACAAGGTAGAAGCAGTGGAAAAAAATACTATGTTCTGGGAAGTGAAAGCTTAACTGGAGCAGATGTTTGTGATATGGCAGTAGTGGAAGATTGGGCTAAAGAGAAAACCAAAATTCTAATCTTCAGTTCAGAAAAGTCTTGAATTTGATAGAAATTCTGATGTATTCATTTTCTGTTGCCACTATGACAAATCACCATAAACTTAATAGTTTTAAATTACACAACTTTCTCTTACAGTTTTGTAGGCCAGAAATCTGACATGTTTCACCAGCTCATAATCAAGGTGTTGGCAAGGCTATATGTTTTTCTGGAGGGGCTAAAGGAAGATTTAATTCTGATTATTCAGCTACTGACCATCAGCTGAGGGTCTTTCCAGTTTCTAGAGGCCATCTGGGATTCATGTCCCTCTCCTCTATCTTCATAGCCAGCAATGACAGGTCTCGTTCTTCTATTGCATCTATCTAAAGGTTTATTTGTTAGATTGGGCCCACCTGGATGATCTAGGCTAAATATCCTATCTCCAAGTCCTCAACCTTAATCAATCACACCTGCAAAGGTTTTTGTTTTGTTTTGGTTTTTTTGCCATATAAGGTGATATATTCATAGGTTCTATGAGTAGGGCATGGACATCTTTAGACCACCATTCTGCCTGCCAAAGCTGGTAAATGAAGAATTTCTAGTGATGTGATATCAGATAAATTAGCTAATATTCTATACAATTTAACTAGAAATGTGGTATTCTATTAATATTTGAGCCTATTTTGTTAATTGTGCACACAAAGAATGAAGACTATGAGACTCTCCAAAAGTGTATAGATCTTTTTATTTCTCTTCTCATGTTCTCTTACATTCTCTTTTCCTTAGAACAAACTTAACATTTGGTAGTGAATAGGAAAATGATCCACTCTTAACACATAAAGATTTAGAATGTGGATTTTGAGAGAACTAAATATCTAGTAGGAAGTCATTTATGTTTCCTTTTAACCACAAGTAAAGACATGATAAATGAAATGTTTTCCTCCTAGAAACCAAAATTTAGAATTGGAGCTCTGTTCATAAAAATACATTTTTCTACCATGAAAAACACCAGAATTAATAAAAATGTTTAAAATAAAACATCTTTAAGAAAACATTTCTTAATTATGTAAAAACCAGACAGTGCAGAAAGCTATAGGGTAAATTTTATTCCGAAGACATTTCATGCATTTGGGGAAATATTTATGATTCCTTTTTCTTTTTTGAGATGGAGTCTGGCTCTGTGGCCCAGGCTGGAGTGCAGTGGTGTGATCTTGGCTCATTGCAAGCTCTGCCTCCCAGGTTCATGCCATTCTCCTGCCTCAGCCTCCCGAGTAGCTGGGACTACAGGTGCCCACCACCATGCCTGGCTAATTTTTTGTATTTTTTAGTAGAGATCGGGTTTCACTGTGTTAGCCAGGATGGTCTCGATCTCCTGACGTCGTGATCCACGTGCCTCGGCCTCCCAAAGTGCTGGGATTACAGGCATGAGCCACCGCGCCTGGCCTATTTATGATTCCTTAATACATGAGCCTATTGAAGTTGTGATGAAAGTTTCCCTCATTTTTTTCTAAGAAAATTTGTTTATTAGTAAGCTAAGGAAATTTATTTTCCTGCATTTCTCTGAGCAGTCAGATTTCTTAAGAATTAAAGTCAATGCTTTTCAAACTTTTCATGATTTGTTCAGTGTATATAAATGCTTCCATAGAGTCTTCAGATATCATACCCAGGAAAAAACATAGTTTCCATGGTGATCTCCTTTTCTTCAATAATCTCTTGCTCTTCCATTTCAACCAGACCCCTGTGGACCTCTATTGGCTTACTGAGGTTGTATATCAACTCAGAACAGTGGCGATGTAAGAATTATGGACAGTTGCAGGGGAATAAAAGACATTTTTTGGTCATTATATTGGAAGTTTTATTTAATCTAAATCATTGTTTCAAGTTGATCATTCTATTATTAAAGTTAGGTTGGAGAATAGAAAAAATACAGTGAAGTATAAAATCTAAAATATACTTTGCAAATAATGTTTCATAATTATTTTTAAGGATGATAAGATAAAAGAAATTACGTAAAGCTGTCTTATAGAATAAACACCTAATCTATGGCATACAAATCAGAATGAAAGGGTTAGAATTTAGTCTTTTCCTACATAAAAATATCCTATGCCTTCCAATTGTAAAATATTTTTGTATCATTTTTATATTAATCCTTTAAATAAACATAAATAATTCTGACAGTTCTCTCAGTTGATTAGGATAGCCTTGGTATTTTTTAAAAAGCTCTCTCTTTGTATTTGTTTGTGTATCTTTTTATGCTCCCTATACGGCAACATGTAATCTTGGGGGTACAACACTCACAGAACTTTCCAACATTTAGTTCGGTGTTCCTTAAACTTTTTTAAACTAATGGATTTCTTAAAAGTCACAATAATTTTGGAACACACCACAATTTACTAATTTCAAACTTAAAACAATTAAAGGTACATGTTGTGGTAAGGGATCATCTGTGGTAGAGACGGTGCTACAAATTCTCCAAATTTATATCATTTTCCTCCTGGACATATGGGAGGGTTATACGTCCTGATCTTTACAGATAAATTTGGAGCAATGAACTGCATTCTGACCAATGTAATTGAGTGGAAGCAGTGTGGTCCACTTCCATGACTGGCACATAAAACCATTTGAGTGATTCTCATATACTCTCTTCATACACTCTTACAAACTCTCTGTCCTATAGGAATCTTTTTTTAAAGATGGAGGCAACACAAGATGGAAAGATTCTGAGTCTCTGAGTAACTGTGTGGAGCACAATCCCAGCTAACGCACATTGGATTGTGACATGAGAAAAAGATAAATATTTATTAACGTAAGCCACAAAAATCTGTTCCTTATTGCAGCAACCAACCCTACTTATCTCAATACAATATTTTATATAGATTTTAGTATGTGAACATAACAAACACCAACAGTTTTAGATAAATGTATTATTAAAAAAAATTTCTTATCATTTCCCATCAAACCTGAGAATAGCAGAAATAATTCAAATTTATCATCAAGGTGCCTTGGTCCCACTAGAGCGTAGCTTGAGAACCACTGCTTCTTCTTCTTCTCCTCCTCCTTCTTCTTCTTTTTAATTTTAATTTTACTTTAAGTTCTGGGATACATGCGCAGAATGTGAACCAGTACTTGTAAATGAAATAAAGTATGTCATGAAACCTAGATCATCAAGGCTTATCTGTACTTGATTGAGGCAGGTGACTTCTTTAAAATTTTCTTTTTTTTAAAAATTATACTTTAAGTTCTAGAGTACATGTGCACAATGTGCAGGTTTGTTACATATGTATACATGTGCCATGTTGGTGTGCTGCACCCATTAACTCATCATTTACATTAGGTATATCTCCTAATGCTATCCCTCCCCGCTCCCCCCACCCCACGACAGGCCCCATTGTGTAATGTTCCCCTTCCCGTGTCCAAGTGTTCTCATTGTTCAATTCCCACCTATGAGTGAGAACATGTGGTGTTTGGTTTTTTGTCCTTGTGATAGTTTGCTGAGAATGATGGTTTCCAGCTTCATCCATGTCCCTACAAAGGACAGGAACTCATCATTTTTTATGGCTGCATAGTATTCTGTGATGCATATATGCCACATTTTCTTAATCCAGTCTATCACTGATGGACATTTGGGTTGGTTCCAAGTCTTTGCTATTGTGAATAGTGCCGCAGTGAACATTTGTGTGCATGTGTCTTTATAGCAGCATGATTTATAATCCTTTGGATATATACCCAGTAATGGGATGGCTGGGTCAAATGGTATTTCTAGTTCTAGATCCCTGAGGAATCGCCACACTGTCTTCCACAATCATTGAACTAGTTTACAGTCCCACCAACAGTGTAAAAGTGTTCCTATTTCTCCACATCCTCTCTAGCACCTGTTGTTTCCTGACTTTTTAATGGTCACCATTCTAACTGGTGTGAGATGGTATCTCATTGTGGTTTTGATTTGCATTTCTCTGATGGCCAGTGATGATGAGAATTTTTTCATGTGTCTTTTGGCTGCATAAATGTCTTCTTTTGAGAAGTGTCTGTTCATATCCTTCACCTACTTTTTGATGGGGTTGTTTGTTTTTTTCTTGTAAGTTTGTTTGAGTTCTTTGTAGATTCTGGATATTAGCCTTTTTCAGATGAGTAGATTGCAAAAATTTTCTCCCATTCTGTAGGTTGCCTGTTCACTCTGATGGTGGTTTCTTTTGCTGTGCAGAAGCTCTTTAGTTTAATTAGATCCCATTTGTCAATTTTGGCTTTTGTTGCCACTGCTTTTGGTGTTTTAGACATGAAGTCCTTGTCCATGCCTATGTCCTGAATGCTATTGCCTAGGTTTTCTTCTAGGGTTTTTATGGTTTTAGGTTTAACATTTAAGTCTTTAATCCACCTTGAATTATTTTTTGTATACGGTGTAAGGAAGGGATCCAGTTTCAGCTTTCTACATATGGCTAGCCAGTTTTCCCAGCACCATTTATTAAACAGGGAATCCTTTCCCCATTTCTTGTTTTTGTCAGGTTTGTCAAAGATCAGATGGTTGTAGGTGTGTCATATTATTTCTGAGGGTCCTGTTCTGTTCCATTGGTCTATATCTCTCTTTTGGTACCAGTATGCCTGGAATCAGCATTGGCCTACAATGCCGGGTGGAGCTCTCTGATCCCAGACCAGAACCTTTGGACTCACGTTGTCATTTCTTTTCTTTGGGGCTCTCTTTAATCCTCTACTCTGTGGTAGAGTTAACCAAATGCTCCAAGGAACTCTGGACTCATGCCTGTGTGTTCTTCCAAGAACCCAGTGGTTCCAGGAGGGTAGCCTGTCAAGCAGATTGTTCCTGAAGACCAGAAAGATATTTCATTCATGGGATCACATTAAATTAGAAAGCCATTACGGTTCTAGCATCCTTATTTGGGATAACTCAAATTATTTACAGACAGGTGCTCCACACAAAAAATTTATTCAAGACCCTAAAAACCTTAAGGAAATCTCAAATGCCATTGTATTAAGGTTAACAAATGAAATATAAAATATTTAATTTTGGGAAGACGCATAGAATTTACAAGGGATATATAGTATTTATAAAGAAAACAGGAAATGATGGACTGGTAACAATGGCATAGGAAGAAGGGATGTTGTTATATGTAGGTCATTGTCAAGGTCCTAACTTTAGTTTGCAGTGACGGATTTGCAGGTATTTATTAAACTGTGAAAAAAAATGACAATTCATTCATAAACCAATGGTGACAGTATACCATAAACAAGAAATATGATTAATAAAATTGTGTCCACCTGAGTCCAAAAAACAAAAATAAAAAGTAAAAAAAAAAAATAAGCAAAACAGAATAAAGCCAAGCAACAGACTTAGAATAAATAAAAATATAAAGAAGAACATAACAAATAATAAAAATAGCCTTTTGAATTACTGGAAAAGAATAGACTCTTTAATAAATAGCTTTAGCACAATTAACTATTCATCACAATACCTCACAATATACACTTGAATAAATTCTAAATGTTTTAAAAGAAAATAGTAAAATAAAATTTTAAAAATAGGAAAAATAAAAATTTAAGAATGTTTATACGCCATTGAGAAGACAAAAAATTAATCTGTCAATTACAAAGAAATAATTAGCAGATGTCCCTAGATTTTAACAATTTAAAATTTGACTTAAAACCTTGGTATGACTAGTTATAAATAATGTTTCAAGAAAAAGGGTGGTTTGTAAAAAAATGTATGCACTCTAATATAATGAAGGGAAAATTTATAGGATATATGAAGATAATCAGAAAAATCATAAATGACCTAATAGAAAAATAGGAGAAATGTATGCACAGTTAAGACACCTTGATGGTTGGAGGTTTGTGATTGTTTAAATTGGTAGCATTGATGGAAGCGCAATTTGCCAATATATATAATAATTTTAATCGCACATACCTTTAAATGGCCTGGCAATTATATTCCTATCAGCATTAGTAAGATATCTTTTGGTTGTGATTGAGAGAAAAGCTAACAAAGTGGCTTAGGCAGCAAAAGGAAATTTACTGGCTCGCATCATTGTAAAGTCCAGAGCTAGTTCTTGTTGGCATCAGAAACATCTTGTTTCAGGGATTAACAATAGGTCAACAGGGCTTACTTCTTTTTCTGCTTCTTGGCTCTGCTTCCACTATTTTGGCTCCATTCCCAGACAGGTTCATTCATGGTAGTGGCAGAAAGATTTTAGTGCTTTCAACATTGTATTGTAACAAGCTTACAGTCAGCAGAAAATATTGTTTCTCTTTCTTCCAAATTAAGAGAAAGCCATGGTGCTTATGGGCCAGATGTGTCATGTGCCCATCTGCAAACCAAACTATGTGTCTGTGGTATAGAATACTTAAAGTGGCATCAGCCTAAAGCTCATGCTCCTCCCTAACTGGGTAGGATCTTCCCTGAATTACTTAGCAGGGCGATGGAGGAGATTCTAACAAAGGTGATTTAGATTCCATTACTAAAAAATAGATGCTTGATGGGCCAGTGTCTTAAAGTGCTCACTATACTAGAGAAAGGAATCATAAGGATGTTCATCATATAATTATAGTAACTATAAATAAGAGCAATACTAAATATGCATCAATAAAGCAACATGACTTTAGTTTAACCCAGTGAAATCTAATTGTATTGGCTTAGGAAAAAAATCTCTTAACTTACAGAATTAAGTGAAATGATAATATTGCCAAATAACATAAACAGAATGGCCCTATTTCTGTAAAAATTAAATTATAACTTGTAAAGTTACATTTATATGCAATGTATACAAAGTTTACAGAATAATTGATATCAAACTTCAACACTAATGACTTTTAGAGAAGAGAGTGGACAATTGAAAGGATAAGATAAAGTGAGATATTTACTTTCATTGCGAATACGTTTTTATTGTATCTAATTTTATAAGGAAGTATATAAATAAAATTCATACATAAATATTAAAATGAATTGAAACCTTTGTAAATAGAAAGAATATGGAGTTATCTGCTGAGTGACCGATTGTTTCACTAAGCTGATTTAAAATAATGCTAGGGAAATAATACAAATGAAAAAAACTTCAAATTGTTTTGATAGAGATAATAAAATAAGTAACATCTGGACTTTTTATTTTCAGGGTCAAATGTGAAAGCTAATTTTTTTTTATTTTTATTTTACAAGTCAGAGCTGTTTCCATAATGAGTTGGAGATTTTTGGAGAAAGGAGCTGTATGTTATAATTTAAAGTAAGGATTCCACTTTATATGTCATATATGTTTTATAAGGCCGAGATATCAGTTCAAAAGAAGCCCCCATCTCAGCAACATAAATTCTGCTAAAATTAAAGCTAGAACAAAAATCAAATTTATGGTGAAACTTTGCTGGAAGAAAGGTGAAATTATTCACGCTTTATAAAATCTTTAGGAGAACAACGTCCCAAAGAAATCAGCAGTTTACAAATGGATAACTTGTTGTAAGAAGGGACAAGACAATATTGAAAATAAAGCCCACAGCTGCAGACTGTCCACGTTAATTTGCATGGAAAAAGGCCATCTTATTCATGCCCTAATTGAAGAAGATGGATGCTTAACAGCACAAACAATAGCCAACACCATACACATCTCAGTTGGTTCAGGTTACACAGTTCCGACTGAAAAATTAAAGTTGAACAATGGGTGCCAAAATGGTTTCACTCAGATCAGCTGCAGACAAAAGCAGAGCTTTCAGTGGAAGTTTTAAACATGTGAAAAATCAAGATACAGAAGCATTTTTTTCAAAGACTTATAATCAGGGATGAAACAAAGCTTTACCAGCACAATCCTGAAGACAAATCACAATCAAAGCAATGGCTACCAACAGGTGAAAGTGGGCTAGTCAAAGCAAACAAAAGCCAGTCAAGAGCAAAGGTCAGGGCAACAGTTTTTTGAGATGCTCAGGGCATTTTGCTTGTTGACTTTCTAGAGGGCCAAAAAGTGATACTATCTGATTATTATAAGAGTGTTTTGAGAAAGCCAAAATTTTAGCAGAAAAGGACCCAGGACACCCTCATAGCGAGTCCTCCACCGCAACAATGCTGCTGCTTATTCCTTTCATCAAACATGGGACATTTTGCAAAAATTTCAATGGGAAATCATTAGACACCCAACTTACATTCCTGATTTGGCTCCTTTTAACTTATTTTGTGTTTCCTAGTCTTAAAAAAGCATCAATTTTTCCTCAGTTAATAACGTACAACAGACTGCATTTATATGGTTATATTCCCAGGACCCTCATCATATGAAAACAAGCTCAACATCACTAATCATTAGAGAAATGCAAATCAAAACCACAGTGAGATACCATCTCACACCAGTCAGGATGGCTACTACTAAAAAGTCAAAAAATAACAGTGGCTGGCAAGGTTGTGGAGAAAAAGGAATGCTTACACACTGTTGATGGGAATGTAAATCAGTTAAACTATTGTGGAAGACAGTGTGGCAATTCCTCAAAGACCTAAAGACAAATACCATTTGACCCAGCAATACCATTACTGGGTATGTTCAGAAAGGAATATCAATTGTCTATATACAGACACATGCACGGATATGTTCATTGCAGCCCTATTCACAATAGCAAAGACATAGAATCAACCTAAATGCCCATGAACAATAGACTGGATAAAGAAAATGTGGTACGTATACACCATGGAATACTATGCAGTCATAAAAAGGAAGGAGATCATGTCCTTTGCTGGGGCATGGATGGGGGTGGAGGCCGTTATCCTTAGCAAATTAACACAGCACAGCAAACCAGATATGGAATGTTCTCACTTACAAGTGGAAGCTAAATTATGAGAACACATGGACACATAGAAAGGAACAACACACACTGGGGCCTATCAGAGGGTAGAGGGTGGGAGGAGGGAGAGGATCAGGAAAAACAACTAATAGGTACTGGGCTTAATATCTGGGTGATGAAATAATCTGTACAACAAACCCCCACAACACAAGTTTACCTATGTAACAAACCTGCACTTGTACCCCTGAACTTAAACAAAAGTTAAATAAAAACTAAAAAATAAGATTAATAATGCTGATCTTTAAATAAATGTGCAAGGATTCAGTATATCACATATAAACCTTGACCCAATATACTAAGTAAATGTTTACAATTTTTTTAAAAAAGATAGACTAAATGGCCGGTATTATCACTTACAAAAGTGTCTTGAACTTGAAGGAACTAATGTTGATAAATAAAGTTTACATTAAAATAAATAAATAAAGCCTTTAACTTGATTAATGAATAAACCATTACCTGTAAAGCACATATTTTTAAATAGCAGTCACTCTAATTTAGTAATTCATTTATATGCAGTCCATCTGCACTAATCACTGAGCTTCTCTAGGACACAGGCTGAATGTTATTTAATATACTTCTCTAGTGTCTTGAACATAGCCTGGTGTATAGAAAATGTTTAATGTTGATGGGTGGATGAATGAATAGGAAGAAGTGAGAAAAGAATGAATAGTAGATGAGCGGGACTAGAATGGTCTTCCAATGTTAAAAAGATCTGAATTCAAATATCAGTTCTGCAAAATAAAAGCTTTGTGACTTTAGGTAAATTATTTCTCTGATTCTTATTTCCTCATCTTTAAAATAGAAAATAATCTTGCTTTTATAAGGGGGAGAGAAGGATTAAAGATAATAACATACTGAAAGTGTCAAGTACCCCAAAAGTACCCAACTTATGGCAAATGACAATAGCTGTTAGTTTTCTTTCTTCCTTCTGTACTCTTTTCATAAGACAACCACAGAGTATTGTGTCTCACACTTCACCAGCAAGCATGAAGTGGGTAGTGGGCTGGAGAGGGAGGTTACAACCACTGGGTGGTGAAAAGTCCCAGTTTCAGACCTAGGACAGAATTTGCAGAAATACATGAAAACAGAAACAGAAGGCAGGACTCTGTTTGGCGCATGATAGTGTAAATAAGACAGTGCTCTAAATAAAAACCTGGAGACCTAAAGCTAGACTTTTAGGCCTCCTCAAAGTTTATCATTCATTGCTTGATAGAATCACTTTCTGCTTGATCCCGTATTTTTAAACCATCTTTCTATCTATATTAAAGACACTCGTAATAAAGTGTATAGCTCTTAAATCTTTAGATGAGCATAGTTTACTATGCAACCTAGCCTCACTGACTTCACTCGCCTAAAATCCTTGTAGAATTTACTAAAAATGTCTAAGCATAATGTGAAAACCCTTTAAATTAAATAATACAGTGCTTTTTCCTATAAATGAGTGCTGCCCCATGGGCTAATATGTATCTTCCTATTCAGTGCAAAGCGGTTACCACCCCCTCTACTACCAAGGCTGAGCAGATGAACCTAGTAGAGCTTTGCTGGGTGTGGTGGTCGTGATCACGGTAAAAATCTACCCTTTATCTTTCCCACATGCCACAATACATGTGGGCTTTGAGAGAGTAACTCTTGCTCCAAAGATGAAGCTAATTATTCTTAACCAGGGCTTCTACAAAAGTCCCTCATAGGTAGATATGTGGACATTTTGGAAATGACACCCTACGAGAAAACATTACCAAAACTTCTTTCTTAGTTGTGTCAGTCCCCTCATTATTCCACTCTCAAGGCTGGTGAAATCACAATGCTCATATAATTAATAAACTATACTATACTATGCTGTACTATATTATAATTATTTATATTAATATGTTATATATTATATCATATAATGTTGATACAATTCTCCCTCTACTGGGCCTACTCAATACATGTACATTATTACTAATATTATTAGCAGTAGTAGTAGCAGTATTTTACCTCATAATTTACATACATCATTTAATTTAGCCTTTGCAACTATCTTGTCAGAAAGCCTCAAACATAATATTCTTGTTTCATGTTTTCTTGGAATATCATGGTTTTCAGGTATAATATGAATTATCTTACTTTTTTGACAGCAAATGTAATATTTTATCCTTTAATTAGGTGAGGGGACTGAGGCTCAAAAAAATAAAATAATTTTCCCAAAGCCACATAGCTAGTGAGTGTCAGACTAGAATATGATACCAGTTATTTGGAATTCTAATTTATATTCTTCCCTCAACACTACATGGGTGAAAGAATAATGGAAGACTTTCAAATATTGAAAGAAACGAGTTAGACAAAGTATAAAATATTGTTAGATGGTGGTAAGAGAAAAATAGAGTTTAACTTAATATCGCAGACGAGCAGTTCTCAGTGAGGTTGCTCATCACCTAAACAAACTTCCAGAGATAACTTAGCAGAACATCTATCCAGCTTCTGTATTTGAAAGGTTAGATTTTCTACCTTATAATTTGATTGAGTAAACAGGACCATTCTCTTGTCATCTACGCTTTGCGATTTGTTTGACAAAATGAGAGTCACTTATTTTTACTGCACGTAATATGAGGAGAGACTGATGTGTTCCTGTAAGAGGGTCACCAGAAAGGAAGACCAAGAACAGGGAAGGATGGAGGAAATGGGGGAAAAGGGAAGATGAACTTGAAGAAATGGGGTATAATGGACTGAATAACATCCCCCGAAGATGTCCATATACTCATGCCTGGAACCTGTGAATGTGCTACTTAATGAAAGGATTTTGTAAATATGATTAAAGTAAGGATCTTGAAGTGTCAAATTATGCTGGATTATCCAGGTGGTCTCCAGGTAATCACAAGGGTCTTTATAAAAGGGAAGCAGAAAAATCAGAAGGAAAAAATAAAAGGAAATAAACAAAGGTCATAGAGGAGAGAAGATGCTATACTCCTGGCTTTGAAGATGGAGGAAGTGGTCACAATCAAAGAATTCTGGCTCATGCGTACCTAGAAGTTTGAAAAGGTGAAGTAAGGGTGTCTCCCTCCCTAGAGTCTCCCATAGGAACCCAGACGCTTAATTTTAGCCCAGTGAAACTGATTTTGGACTTCTGACTTCAAAACCGTGAGATGAAATATGTTGCCTGAAGCCACTAACTTTGTGGTGATTTGTTAGATCAGCAATGGGAAGCTAATACATGATCAAGAAAGGAGGACATGAAGAAAAGAGAAGGTAGAGAAGAAAAGAAGGAAAAGAGAAGGAAGGAAGAAAAGAAGAGAGAGATTGAGAAATTGTGAGAGTCCGCAGACTTGGAAAACCAGTCAGGGTAAATATATGACAGAAAGAGGAAGGGGATTTGTAGTCACTAGAATTTCTCTCAGGAGAATATTGCATGTGTCAGGTTATATCTCAGGGACTATGTTGGTGCAACAGCAGATGGCCCCTAATCTTTATCTTTTTAGTCTTGGAAAGAAGGAAACAGAGAGGCAGTTACAGATACACTGAATAAATATTCACAATAAATTATTTGTTAGCCTTTGCAATAGAAAATATTATCAATTTTATAGAAGAGAATTCGGAGTCTCAGAAAGTATGAATGAACAATGGAGTCAGTATTCCAAACCAGATTGATCTTCCTCTAGAATGAGGAGTTAAAGTAACTGAAAAGGAGAAAAGTAGGAAGGACAAGGATAACCAGAGCAGGGAGAGTGTGGGGCATAGGGGATCAGGGTGGGAAGACAGATAGAGAATAAATGGCTTAGAGTTACTGATGTGCTTGCTAGAATTTTGAGGACAGAGATAAGCAGCAAACAAATATCAAGATTTCTGGGCCTCTATATGTACATTAATTTGTGGCAAGTTCTCTGGCAAGCACTAATACTACTCCATGGGCAATATCTTTCCAATAGAGACTCTTCCGGTACCATTGCTTTCCATGGCATTGCTTTATTCTTCATTCACTTCTCTTTATAAACATGTTTATCAGGCACAAATAAGTCAATCCTACTTTGACTCTATTTTTACCTTTCTATCATAACTGAAATGAGCTGAATTCTATTATTGATTTTAGCTGCTTTCTGGAGTCTTGGCTCTGCCTCTGTGATGTATACTTATCGACAGAACTACCTTTTACCAAACCTGCTTTTCATTTTTTCTTGTCTCTGTTCATTCCATTTCAGTAAATGTATATTGAACTCCTACCGTGTGCCATATAGTGGGCAAGGTGGTGGAACTTAAACTAATTGGGATAATAGGTAGTTAGTTATGGAAGCTCCTCTGATCCCCAAGCCAAAATATGAAGAGCTGATTTGTGCTCACAGAATGACTTCGACATGCCCAGAATGGAAGAGGGTCACAGCAAGGAGCATTCAACTGAACATAGAGAGTCAGGAAAGCTTCTGGCATGGGCTGGATTTTGCTGTGGAGACTTGGTCAAGTTGGAGGCTATGTTTTACCAAACACCTTTCCCTATAGAGTTCTAGGGTAGAGTTGGATAAATGAGAAACATGCAAAATATTTGGGAGGCAGAAGTAAATCTGTGGCCATTGCCTTGGAAGGTATTTGAAATCAGTTATGATGATGGTTGAATACAGACATAACTGGGTGGAGCCAACCTGTTCTTGCTCTTCTCTGGTTTGCATCCAGCTCAGCTTTCTGAATGCTGGTTGTCCAGATGAACAGAAATCCAGGCCCACTACCACATGCTTGGCAGCAGACCAGAAGATATTTTAGCTCTGTAGCTAATTGGGATAATACCTCTCAGGGTAAATTTTAGAGTTCAGTGGGCACCATAGTAGCCAAACAGTGATCCAAATTGTTATTTCATCTTTAAAGACTAACATTTTGTCTCCACGAGGCAGTTTTAATCTCAGTGTTTAGATCTTGGGGGACATTAGATACAAGACAGAAAAATTAAAATGCCATAAAGAAGGAAAGAATCCATTGTAATGGGAGAGTCTTCTAGGCAAAACTTAATCTAAAAGTCATTTAACCTTTAGCTAAAAACCAAATCTACTTTAGGATAGTCACAACAACTATTCATAGGCTTTTCTGGAAATTGTAAGTAGAAGACATTGGTGGAGCTTCCTGACATTCAAGAATTGGACTTTATGATTATCTCAAAATTGCACAGATGTGGGTAATAAATAACAATTGGGAGATTTGGTAATAACCAGAGAACTAGAACCATAATTGAAAGTCTGAAATTGAGAAAGACAGCCTCTGCATTTTATGACTATGAACACTTAATATTTAACTAGTGCTTACCCTGTATCAGATACTATTCTGTGTGTTTTAAATGTATCAATTAATTGAATTACCATGGACTCTTAACAGGTAAGTGAAATTTTTACGTTTATACCACAGATGAAGAAACTAAGATCCAGAGAGTTAAATCACTTACCTCAACTCAGTGAGCTAGTAAACGGCAGAGATAAGATCCAAACCCAAGTCACCTGGCCCTAATCTGAGTGACACTATGTATTGTCTCACACTTTATGAAACAGAATACTTAAGAGTTATGAACAAAGATGCTGAAACCCTTCACAGTTGATATGTCAAGATTGATACATGGAAATGATCAGTATCACATAGAATATCTTGAAATGTGGAACATTATGTTCTATAGCTTGGATATGAGTGTCCCTGAAAATCTCATGTTGGAGTTTGATCCCCAGTGCTGGAGTTGAAGCCTAATGGGAGGTGTTTGGGTCATGGGGGCAAATCCTTCATGAATGACTTGATTCCATCTTTGAGGTAGTGAGTGAGTTCTCATTCTATTGGTTCCCACAAGAGCTGTTGTTAAAATGAGCCTGGCACCTCTTTCCTCTTTCTCTTGCTTCCTCTCTCACCATGTGATCTGTGCACGTCAGCTCCTGTTCACCTTCCAGCATGAGTGGAAGCAGCCTGAAGCCCTCAACAGAAGCAGATGTTAGTGCTATGCTTCTTGTCAAGCCTGAAAAACCATGAGCCAATAAACTTCTTTTCTTTATGAATTACCCAGCTTCAAGTATTCTTTTACAGCAACACAAATGGACTAAGACATTATGTGACAAAGAATGTGGCAACAGAAATGAAAATGAAAGGTGATCCAGATCAGGGCTAAAATGATAAGGAGTGAGGGAGAGAGAGAGAGAGAGAGAGAGAGAGAGAGAGAGAGAGAGAGAGAATGAGAATAAACAAAAAAGGGATAATTTAATTTGGAGGATAGACACACAACTAGGCCATATACTCCTAGCACAGGATTTCCCTGCTACTGAATAGATCCAACTGAGGAAGGATGCTAGTTGTTGGGGACATAATTGTTGGTACCCTGCCCCCATCCTCTCTTCTGGCTGGTGTACCATCCCAGCTGCTTTGAGTGTTGCCTCCTTCTCAGGAGAATTACCTCCCACAAGACAGGAAGGCCTGTTTCATTCCTACCTTCTTCAGGTCTGTATGCTGTCACCAATGTCTAACTGCCTAGATGGTAACAAAGGCCACTCCCTGGCCCAAAGGTGAAACCAAGACTGGAACTGTTTGTGCTCCAGAGATTCCCACAAAAAACAGACTGCCGTGACTTTCTAGCTGAGAACTTGCTCTTGATTCACTTTTTCTACTGCCTTATCCTGTTATCTTATTCTGGTATCAGAATCTAGGGAGCAAAACCATAAAACAAACCATTTTAAATGTCACTATCATCATCACTTATATTTTTGTGGCAAACTGTCCTTTACTGCTGTCTGCTGAATGATCATCTGCTCTCTCATCAACCAAATCACAAGGTCAGCTACTACTTTTCAGATGACTTATTATACTCCAGGCACTGGGATAAGCGTTTAACATCTATCTCATTTAATCTTCCTAACACTCATGTGGTGAGTATTATTATCCTAAACTTAAATATTAGAAAACTGAGATTCAGAGAAATTAAATGAGCACTCATAGTTTCTTGGTCAGTATTCCTTGAGAGCCTGAATAAGAACCCGGCTCACTCACCCCAAATTACTGCTCTGCTTACTCTACTATAGTGCATCTGTATCCTGTAAACAGGTCTGCATTAACACAAGTATCAAATCATTTTGGAAAATGCAATAATTTTATAGTTATTGGATAAATCACAGCAGCAGGTGGAGTGCTATTGTTGAAAAAGTATATTTTAGGTCTGTAGTCCTCGTTTTTACTATATTCAAGTATTTGTGAAGTTTTGAACTGAAAAAAATAACTTTAGGGTTCTTTCAAGAGTATCCCAATAATAACATTGTAATTGTTTGTTTGTATTCCCTTATGTTTTCTTCAGTTGGAGACATCCCATCTACACAACACAGCCCAAATGATCAGCTGCATTCCTGCAGAGCCATCTCTTCAGTATATACAAATGAAGGAGATGAGCAGTATTATTTTATTACCACATTCACAAAAGGGTATGCCTGTTGCCAATCAAAGCAACTCAACTAAGCTAACACTTACAAAAGTTCTATAGATATGTTAAAAGTCAGAAAATTCTAAAATTCATTATAATGTGTCTAATTTATAAAACCCATTATAACTCTTACAATAAAATAAATTATATTCATACTTATGCTTAAATTATGTAATATTGTTCATCTTAATATTACCTGTAGAATAGAAGTCTGGAAACATATAAGATGTTTTTAAAATTAATACTATTTAGTTTAGTCATAATATTATCTAGCCTTTTAAAGTAAATACTTAGTTGGGACTGATTTTATTATTCACATGCTCACAACAAATCTTTTTTATGAGCACCTCATTAAAGAGAAAATATTTTTGTGGGGCTGTTTACTGTACTTCCTTTCAAAAGCTTTCACAGTTCTGTGAAAATATCTGTATATGCCCACAATGTCAGACACACGGATATCATCCACTGTGACTCATCGTGAAAATGGCTCAGAATCACTGGAACAGACTTAAACAAAACTAATATAGGTCTTATGTTTGTGATGCAGATATTCATGTCCATTTTCATTCTTAATTCAAATTTTAAGAAATTCTTTTTGTCAAATAAAAAAAAAATCATTTCAGAGTCTACACACATTTCTCATCAGGGGTCCGTGACTTTTCCTTACTGTGGCCTTTGGCTTTTCTGGCCATACTAAATTTGTTTCTTTATTCTTGTTTTTAGTTCGGTGTTTCTAAGCTAAAATAGCTCCTATTTGTATTATCAACTAATGTGTGACATTAAGAAGATGCCCACATAAATTGGAGCAGGAAAGTGATAACTCAAGCAAGGATAGAACACAATTGCTTCTGTCCTCTGCCCAAGCGAATTTTTAATAGAAATAGACTTATATTCTGGGATTGGAAGAGGAAAGAGGGGGTTGAAAGTGACAACCTTATCATCATATGGGACTTAGTCTGGTGTTTGTGTATGGAATAACTATCATTGTACATTTGTGCATTATGTTCAGACCAAATGAAAACCATATTTTTTCATTTGCAGTGCAATATTTAATCCTGCATCTTATGCAATTGAATTTTTTATATCACACATAGCATTATGTTGTGTTTTAGTATGTCATGCAAAATGTTAAAATATTTTTATAGCCATATTTTATGTACAAACTATTCCATTTGTTTCAAACTTTAATCTGGATGCAAACACTGGGTTTAATATGTAATATGTAAAAATTAAAGCAAACAAATTTGAGAAAATTATTTTTATGTTTAGTTGATTTCACCTGAGGGTCTAAACATGATTCAAGTTTGTTGTTAGTCTGTTTGTCAAAGCATGTCATTGTATATTCTGATTGCCTCCAGGACAAGCTGTGAAATGCCTAGATTCCAGAGCAACAGACTGTGATCCATTCCCAACAACCCCTCCCTACCGTCTGCCACCAGTTCCCTTAAAGCAGGAATCAGAGCTAGACTGACTCAACTAAGGTAAGAAGTGAGGCTTCATGTGAAAAAGACTACAGCTACAAAACAAATTCTCAAATATATGTTACGTGATAAGATTTTGAACTTGACCCAGAAGTTTGTGGTGTACACACAAATACAAATACACATGCACACAGTCATATACCTATGTTTAAAATTCTTTTTAGTGCTTTCCAGTTAAAAGCATAAATTAGTCCATAAAAAGCTTGCATATTTTAAAGTATAATTTTATAAAAATATAAATATAGAAAAGTAGTGTGTCATAAGTATGTAGATAAATGATTTTCCACAAAATATAATGGAACATTATCAATATCCTGGAAAAATGCTTTATTCTCTCTCCTAGCTACTACATTTTCCCTGTGGCTAACAAATATTCTAACTGCTAACACCATGAATTAGGGTTGACTGTTTTTGAAATTTATATAAGTAGAAGCATATAATATATGCTGCATTTTTGTTGCCTAACATTCTGTGAATTTTTTCCATGACTTCTGCGTAGCAATGGTTTACCTATTTTCATTACATTCCACTGAATGAACATACCCCATATTAACCATTCTATTACTGATACTGATTATTGTTTCCACCGTTGACTATTACAAATAATGCTACCTGTATTTTAGTGAATATATGTACATATTTTTGTTGGATATATATACATCAAAGAACAGAACTCCAGAGTCATAGGCTCAGCTTTATAATATAGTGGTTAATACTTTACCAAATTGGTTGTATGAATTTACATTTCTACCAACAGTATCTGAGAGTTCTATTTACCTGCTGTCTTCACTGACACTTGTTTGTCATTCATTTTTGCCATTCTGGTGTGCATTTAGTAGTAAGCCATTGAATACATTATCATATGCATATTGGCCATTGAAATACCCTTTTCCGTTTCCCATGAAGAGACTATTCAGCTTTTTGTCCATTTTTAAATTGGATTTT
This sequence comes from Homo sapiens, assembly GCF_000001405.40. Classification (NCBI taxonomy): domain Eukaryota; kingdom Metazoa; phylum Chordata; class Mammalia; order Primates; family Hominidae; genus Homo; species Homo sapiens. Next base: position 87,872,284 of record NC_000011.10, read on the forward strand.
TTCCTATAGACTATATTTTTAGAGCAATTTTAGGTACACAACAATTGAGTGGAAAGTATGAATAGTTCCCATATGCTTTCTCGTCTCACATACGCACAGCCTCCCCCACCATCAACATCCTGCACCTGGGTAGTACATTTGTTACAACTGATACCAACACTGACATGTCATTATAAATTAAAGTCCAAAGTTTACATTAGCGTTCACTCTTAATTTACGTTCTATGGGTTTTGACAAATGTGTAGTGATATATATCCACTATTATGGTATCAGAAAAGTTTCACTGCCCTAAAAATCCCCTGTGCTATACCTATTCATTCCTCCCTGCCCTCTAACCCTGGAAATCACTGATTACTGTCTCCATAGTTTTACCTTTTCTAGGATATCATATGGTTGGAATCTTTTATTTCATTTTACTTAATAGTATTTAGCCTTTTCAGATTTGCTTCTTTCATTTAGTAATATGCATTTAAGGTTGTTTCACAACTCTTTGTGGTTTGATAGCTCAGAACTTTTAATGCTAGATAATATTCTGTTGCATGAATGTGTCCCAGATTATTTATCCATTCACCCTCTAAAGGACGTATTGTTTACTTCCAAGTTTTGGCAATTATGAATGAGGCTGCTATAAACATTTATGTGTGACTTGTGTATGGATGTAAGTTTTCAACTCATTTCCACAAATAATTTGAACACAATTACTGAATCGCATAGTAAAAATATGATTAGTTTTGTAAGAACCTCCAGATTGTCTTCCATCATAGTTGTGCAACTTTGTATTCCCACAAAAAATGAGAGTTCCTGTTCCTCCACATTCTCATTAGCACCTGGTGTCAATGTTTTCAATTTTTGACAGTCTAACAGGTACGTAATAATATCTCATGGTTGTGTCAATTTGCAATCCCTTAGTAATATATGATGTTGAGCATCTTTTCATATGCTTACTTGTTATCTGTATATCTTCTTTGATAAGGTATCTATTCAGATATTTTACCCAGTTTTAATATTTGTTTTCTTATTATTGGGTTAAAACTTAAGGCTTCTTTGCATATTTTGGATAACAGTCCCTCATCAAATATGTCTTTTGCAAATATTTTCTTTCAGTCTCTGGCTTGTTTTCTCATTCTCTTGACAGTATTTTTTGCAGAGCAGAAGTTGTTATTATTTAGTGATGAGGTTCAACTTATCAATTATTTCATTCATGGATTATGCCACTGGTGTTGTATCTAAAAAGTAATCACCAAACCCAACCCAAAGTCATCTAGATTTTCTCCTATGTTATGTTCTGGGAGTTTCATAACTTTGCATTTACATTTAAGACTATAATCCATTTTGAATTAATTTTCTGCAATGGGAATAAAGTCTGTGTCTAGATTTTGTTTTGCATGTGGACATCCAGTTGTCCTGGCACCATTTATGGAAAAAAATATCCTTTTTCCATTGAATTGTTTTTGCTTCTTTGTCAAAGATCAGTTGACTCAATTTGTATTATATTTCTTTCTTAACTCTCTGTTATAAATTTGGTTTAAAATTGAATATGTTTACTTTTCTTTCTTATTGATTTGCCAGTGTATAGGGGTGTGTGTGTGTGTGTATATATATGTGTGTGTATATATATATATATATGTGTGTGTGTGTGTATATATATATATATATATATATATATACTCTGCATAATAGTTCTTTGTCAGGTCTACATATGACAGATATCTCAATCTGTGGTTTCCCTTTTTATTTTCTTTGTGTTACTTTTTGATGAACAGAAGTTACAAATATAATTAAGTCCAATTCGACAATATTCTTTATGTGAATGCTTCTTGGTCCTGTTAAATGAATCTTTCCCTACTCCTTGTTCATAGAGAAATTTTTTTATGTTTACTTCTATTTTTTCACCATTTGCATTATGATCTATGACCTATCTAGAATCAGTTATTGCACATTGTTCATATTGTGTGAAGTACCATTGTTTCACTTATTAAAATACTGATATCAACAACAAAGGAAACAATAAAGTGAAGAGAAAATCACAGAATGGGAGAAAATATTTGCAAGCCATACATCTGATAATACCCCAAATATATAAAGCACCGAAACAATTCAGTATCAAGAAAACAAATAACTCAATTAAAAAATGGGCAAAGGACCTGAACAGATACCTTTTAAAGACATAGAAATGGCTTACAGGAAGGGGAACATCACACACCGGGGCCTGTTGTGGGGTCGGGGGAGAGGGGAGGGATAGCATTAGGAGGTATACCTAATGTAAATGATGAGTTAATGGGTGCAGCACACCAACATGGCATATGTATACATATGTAACAAACCTGCACGTTGTGCACATGTACCCTAGAACTTAAAGTATAATAAAATATATATATAAAATAATAAAATAAAATAAAATAAATTAAAAAATGCTCAGCATCCATAATCGTTAGGGAAATGCAAATTAAATCCACAAAGAGATATCACCTTACATCTGTTAAAAATACCTTTTATCAAAAAGATAAAAGATAAGCATTAGTGAAGATGAGGAGAAAAGGGGGAACCCTTGCAGGTTGCTGGTGGGAATGTAAATTAATACAACCATTGTGGGAAATGGTATGGGGGTTCCTCAAAAAATTAAAAATAGAACTACCATATGGTCCAGTCATCCCACTTCTGGGTATATATTCAAAGGAGTTGAAATCAATATGTTGAAGGGATACTTATACTGCCATACTTATTTCAGCATTATTCACAATAACCAAGATATGGATCTGTTGTTGATCAAAGATTACAAAGTTTCAGATAGACAGGAGGAATAATCTTTTAGATCTTGTGCACTGTAGGGTGACTCTAGTCAATAATAATGTATATTTTAAAATAATTCAGAGAGTAAATTTTAAATGTCTTAGAATAAAAAATGATAGGTAAGTTAAGTGGTGGATTGGTTAATTAGCTTGATTCAATCATTCCACATTATATACATATATACAATATATAAAACATTATATTGCAGTCCACAAATGTATGCAATTATGATTTATCAATTAAAAATAAAATTAATTATAAGTAAAGGTGAGAAAAATAAAATAAAATATTGATATCCAATCAACCAAACACCATTTATTGAAAAAAATATTTTCTCCATTGCACTTTAATGTCATAAATAAAGAGACTGTAGATGTTGATTATTTATCTGGGGTATGTCCATACACATTTTAGATTTAGGGTATCAATTCACCCAAAATTGCTACTGGAGTTTTGATTCAGACTTAGTGAAATCTATAGGTCAATTGGGGATAATTTATATCTTTGTAGTACTGAGTATTATAGTTGATGAATATAGCATTTTTCATTATATTTTCTTAAATTTTTCTAGTAATTTAATAATTTTCATTGCAGTTTTAAGTTTTAATTTCCTTAGTTAGATTTTTTCTCTAGAAATGTAATGTTTTTGATATTACCTTAAGCATTAGCTCAATAACATTTTATTTTTAAAATTTTTGTTGTTGGCTATAGTAGTACAGTACAGTTGATTTTTTGCATATTGACCTTCTATTCAACAACCTTGCTAAAATTTACAGATTAGTTCTAATAATTTGTGGATTCTTTTAGATGTTCTATATCTACAATCCTGTTATTTGTGAATTATAACAGATTTTACTTTTTCCTCCCCATTCTTTACATTTATTTTCTATATTGCTTTTGCCAAGGTCTTCAATACACTGTTGAATAGTGATATCAGGAATCTTTGTCTTTATCCAGCCAAGTGATGAAGTTAAGAATTGAACTTAGGAAGTTTGTCTCCAAACTCTACGTTTAATTATTACTCTATAATTTCCTCTAATATTTCAATATAGATCTCTGGGGATAGAATTCGAAACTGTCGTGAAAACATGCTGCTAAGATCTCTAGCTGCAGGTAGCAGAATTGAGTGATGATCTTAGCTGATGCCCTTCTGATCAACTACGACATTCATGCCAATGACTGAACAAAGTGGGTCTAATCTAGAGATAGAAACCTTCTCTAGTGGGTATCTGGGCATGATGATGACTCCTTACCAGCAATTTTTCTACCATAGTCCTTTTTCCTTCTCTTCTTTCACAGATGTTGGACAAGTGTCGTGGTCCAAAAGCTCTCTCTATCTCCTCTTTCTTTCTCCCCCAATAAATTTTTGTATATCTAGTTCTGTCTTGGCTTCTCCTCAGCAAATCCAAACTAACACAGCTTTGAAAGAGTAACAAATATTAATTCTCACCTAATAAAAATGTTAGAATGAAGGGATTATGAAGACAGGAGACTTTAGAAAGCTTCTAGGACTTTGGAGTTGGTGGGAGCCTAGTTTGAGTCTATGTCTCTTCTTGATAGGTGGTTTCTTTAGGGCTCATGCACATCTTTGACTTTCCATTGTCTTTAAGTTTGAAAATTTTTTCTTAGAAGTCACTCTGGATTATGAAATTCTAGTGAGGCCTGTATGAGACTACTCTTCAAACAAGACTTTGGTGAAAGAGAGAAGGAAACGGTGTTCTTCAATGCTATTTAGACCTGCTCACCTGGTAGCAGATGAGCAGTGATACCGGGCACAATTTTCTCCTTTGCCATTCAGCTGAAGTGTTCTTATAGTATCTCTCAGGAAATTAAACACATAATATAGTTTCAGTAGAGAATCCCAAAACAGCAAATGGGCATTAGAAGAAATCTTAAATCAACTGTGAAATCAGTGTGCATTTTCACCATCAACAAAAGTGAAATACTCATCAACAGTAAATATCATGAGAATATTCATGAGTGGTCTTGTGTATAAAGAGTATAAACAGGACAGATAGGTGTCATCTTTTTATACCTAAAGAAAACAATATCATGCATGGAAGTACCATACGTGCTGAGGACCTCCTCCATGGAACCAGGACCTCTTTATACACTGCTTCTTTTGCACTGATTCTGTAAAGCCATAGTGGAAAGGGCCTAGAATTTGGAAAGTACATAAAATTGTTTGAATCCTAGCTTCTTTATGTTCTGATGGGTGTCATTAAGTGTCATTAACAAGATACTTACTTTTCTGGGACCCAATTTTCTCATCTCAAATATGGGAATAATAAAGTATACATTGCAGAATTATTGTGAGGAATAAAGGAAAATTATTTCTATTAGTTGATGCCAAGTAACTATGAATTTCCTCCCTCCCCCCACACCCATGCTATCTCCTTTGTTTGCTAATTCTGACTCCTGTTCATCCATGGAATATGCCCTCTATCATCCTTCCAACATATCCAGAATCCAATTTTCTTTCCTTTGTGTCCTGTATCCAATCTATTACAAAATTATTCATATTCAACCTCCACCATGACTGTTGACTGTGTCTACCTTCCTCTTAGTAATGGTGCCTCCATAGTTACGCCCACCTTACATTTCATCCCCAGGTATAACACTAGCCCTCCTAGCTATTGTTTCTTTTTCCAGTCTCTGTCCCCTTAATTGAATGGTCTCCACTTGGTTACTAAAGCAGTATCATTTTCATGGCTGAAATTCTCATTTAAGCCTACTTTACTATCTGGTTTTCTACAATAGCCATCAAATCAATCCCTCCTTGTGTTACATAATTGCCAGATTCCCCACTTGCCTTATCTTCTTGTAGAGTGCATGACTAATTTATATTATAATAGCTTCATACCATGGTGTCTTCTCTGTTTTAGGCACTAAGCGTGCCTGACTTATCCTTGTAACATGAAGCAAATAAGTATTAATATTCCTATTTTGTATGTAGGGAAACTGAGCCTTGAGCCAGAGAGAATTTAAATTATCTACAGTCTTACAACTGAAAATGTTGGTGGGGCTAGGATCAGAACTCATTTTGCCTAACTGTAAAATCTATGCTTTGACCATTTACTGCTTTTTTAAAAAACTGCTCTTTTATCTTGGATGCCTAATATGTGCTAAACATATATATATATATATATACACACATATATATACACACACACCTATCATCTATCTATCTATCTATCTATCTATCTATCTATCTATCTATCTATCTACCTATCATCTATCTATCATCTATCAATCTATCATCTATCTATCTATCATCTGTCTATCTATCATCTATCTATCGAGAGAGAATTAAATGAACTCAGTATTTTACTTGTGAACACCCTGGTTATGCAGCTCAGAAAACAGCAGAGGGCAGTGCAAGAGCTTCACAACATTAAATGAAAGTAGACAATAAAATGCTATAAAACTGCAAAATAAAGAGGGAGTGTTCTATGGTTTCTGGAAGAATTCATCCCAAGGCAATGTTGAGAATGTCGGAGGATGTTTTTATCAAAGCTACTCCCAGTTTTAAAAAAGCAATTTCCATTGCTGACAGTGAGGCTGTGCTAAAAATTGCATTTCCCCTCCCTAGTTTCAGCTTCTCTTTATTTCATGTAATACCACATATGGGTAAGCAAATCATAGCTTTTAAAGCCAGCTGTGTGCCACTTACATCTGCAAAAGCAATGTGCTCACCAGGTGAATTTCTTGCTCAATCCACCTCTTTAATTCATCCTGTGGAGAGAAAAATGTGACTTTGGCTCAAGGATGGAATTTTTATCCTACCTCATTATACCATTCTTATGCATTCTGTTATTTCCATGTTATCACAGTGGAAAATATCCAAGTTAAGTACTCTATCCTAGCTGGCTTCTCTAATTTTCAGAGCAATTACTGATTTTTTTTTTTTTTTTTTGCCTCAGTGGAAAATATGTATTGCCTAGGAATTTGAATTCTGACAGAAATGTTGAGGAGAGGAGTAAATCATATTAAAGGTAGGCAACACTCTGGTCGTTTGCTTTGCTTTTTCATTGTGGAAATATAATTACTTTTATATTAGGCATATCATAAATATAAATTTCATTGTTTACCAATTCCTACATCAATTACCAAAACAATAAATGGCTTAAGTTGAGCATAAAAATTTTCATTTTCATGGATACGGACTGTATACACTCATAAATATTTTCTTATGTGTTTATATGAATATGTAACCACATTGCGAGAACATGATTCATCTTAGCACCAGGCATAAGGGACAAATTTGGAAGGGACCGCCTACTTTTCAACATGTGGGGCATGGGGGTGGGGAGAGTATTCCAGTAAGTGAGAAGACTTTTTTTTTTCAGTTGGGACTATGAAAAGACAACAACAACAAAAATATTTAAAAAGGCAAGACCCACCCTCTGGAATGGGAACTCGGAGCTTTACTCTAAGAGCTTATGCAGTGGACTAGGGTTGTGGAGTGGTTCTGCTGTCACCTCTGGTTTTTCTTCCCTAGGAATCTAGTGAGAACCTCTGTGTGCTCGTGGAGCAACCTCTATGCTCATCTCATGTGGGCTTTCTTCTGGAGATTTTACATTCTTTTCATTCTACATTATCTCATCTGGGGTAAAACTACCAGTTCTTGTTTTAGTAACTTTCATGAACAACGTTAATCATTGCTTATTCAGGTACTTAAAGTGCATTAATTATTGTGAGACCTTGAGCGAGTGGCTGTTTTAACCATAAACAACAATAGTAATGGTATCTCCTCACATTGTAAAGAAATAAATGCAATAATATCTATAAAGTACCTAATGCTCAAAATATTAGTAATTATATTTCAAATATTATTATAGATCTCCTATAATATGCTGTACTTTATCAAAGCACTCATCTTCATTTAATGGTTCATTTGTCCTCCTGTCTAGACTGTAAGCTCTAAGAGACTGAGAATAGTGGTACATAGTAATAAGTTCAGATATAAAATGAATGAATGAATGAATATCTGATTCTTAGATATTTATTGAGGGATTTCCATAGATTATTTTGCTTCCTATCCGTATTTTCTATACTTGTTGACTATTACTAGAAATAGTATTTTTATTTTAAACCTAATGTTGAAAGTGTAACATTGAGACAATGCCATGTGTTCACCAAACCGCTTCATTTTCTTTCTTGGCATACAAAATGACTATGTTTTGTAGCCCTCTTACAACTCAGTGAGACTGCAAATGGAATATGGGTGGAAATAATGTATATCCCTTCGAGTCCTGGCCACAACATGCTCCAGATATCTTTCCTGCTCTTCTATCCCAATTTTAAAGCCTTGAAAACAAAAAGTTCAAGATGGTAGAGCCACAGTATGGTAACAGCCTAGATCTCCAAGTTACAGCTTATAGAAGAGCCACTCAAAGGACAGTAATATGAAAAAGAAATCACATTGTGCTATGTTACTGAAATTGTGGGGTTTGTTTTTTTGCCACATTCAGCCTAGAATACACTGACTAATACACTGTTTCCAGTTGAGGCAGTTTATATTCAGTTTTGGGGAGAAGAGTCACTTTGTATTTTCAGTGAGAGCAGAAAGAATATATAGGGTCCCACAACATTGCTTTTTCTACATTATACACTTGAAAAAGTATACCTTCCAAGATAATAGTTCAAAAGAAACTACTTTTCTGTTTAATCATTTAATGGCCAATATTATTCACTCAGTCAATTATTAATTCATTTATTCATTTATTCCACAAATAGTTAATGAGTGGGGCCTATAAAGGGCATTGGGCATAGAGTGGTGACAAGGACAAGCCCTTTACTTCATGAACTATGTTCATATGTGGAATAAATATTACAGAACTTTAAAAATAAATTTGTAATTAAGTATCAACTAGTGCTGAGTGCTATGGTGAAAAATAAAGAAGGTACTTTGTTTTGTTTTAGCAACAGGATCTTGCTCTGTCACCCAGGCTGAAGTGAAGTGGCGTGATCATAACCCACTGTAGCCTTGAGCTCCTGGGCTCAAGCAATCCTCCCACCTTGGACTCTCAAATTGCTGGGATTAAGTCATGAGACATCATGCCCAGACTGCTTTGCTTTGTTGTAATAGCATCTCCAGTGCCTAACAGCACCTGGCACATAGAAGATACTAAAGAGAATGGAATAACGTAGGTTGTTTGGATAATACACTGCCCCTGCTGCCCTCATGTTCAGAGCCCAGGATATTTGTTGATTCATGTTTTATCCGTGGGTTATTAACTTAAAAGAAAGATTCTAGATTAGGCACTAGGGTATTGAATGCCTATCCAGTTGTTAATAAAGCAGTTCTGACTCTTCCTTTGTCTTCTCTTTTCTTTCTACTTTTATTTTTTATTAGGTTCACATGATTTTAATTTTTACCCATATCTTCTGGGTATGAACTCATAAATGTGGAGACTGCATCATGTCACATAGTGATCTGTTATTTTCTCTACATTCATTTGTTATTCTCAGTGTTTCATTATTATAAAACTAATGTATTATTTGCCACACTACACTAGTCTGTGAGTAAGCATAGGACTGTAATGACAATATGATCTTTCTCTAGTTCCAGCTACTTAAGATTATTATGGGTTTGTCTAATATGAGCTTCATAATTTAGTTCTTTTTAGCCACTAAGTATTTTTTTTTCCTCAGGTTTCCCTCACTTTCTGCTGTGGCTTTATAGTCACATTCTTATACCTTCAAAACCAAAAGTTAGAGCCATATTCTTTATCCTGCTAAAAGCACAACAGAAAAACCTGTGAACCATGTTGCTGGCCATGCCTCAGTGTCCATGCCAAGACCACTGATGCTCAATGAGCAAAGGGCTGGTTGGTGTCTGGCAGAGAGTCCTGTATTCAGTAGTAACCAGTGCCATTCTTCCTTTCCTGCCACAGTTATACATTGTCCTTGATGCAAATTAATGCCACTCTAATCTCCCCCCTTTAGCACAGTTATTGTCAGAAGCTGCCTTAGCTCCTTACCGGTCCCCCAAACTATCCCAGACCAACCTGAATCTTAAAAATATCCTTGGTTTTCTAATAGAATTTTACATTTTATGGGGATAAAACTCCTCATTCTTATATCCTTGATTGCCTCTGGCCCAGATTTGGCCACATTAATAGGCCCATCATTAGCAAAATAAGTTCTTTCTATGCTTTTGCATAGAGGGGTGTTAATTCAAGGTTGGCTTTTGGCAAATGTGAATCTAGCATATTGCCTGTAAATTTGTATATAAGGCTAGGTAGTGGTTCTAAACTTTGGTGTATATCAGAAGCCCCTAAAGGGCTTTAAAGAAATGCAAATATCTGCGCCCCATCAGTTCTTATACTTGACAATCTCTATGATATAGAGAACCTATATTTTCATTTCTCCTCAGATGATTCTAGGACTATCAATCTGCAGATTGTTTGAGAACCACTCTAGTAGGTAATGTAATATTCAATTTTATCTACCAATTTTTATGAATCATTTGCTTCCTGCTAGACACTGTGTTAAATAATGTGGATACAAACTGAATAAGTTAGTTCCTGTCCTCAAAATATAATAGGGAGTGATGTCTGACATGTAAAGAAACAATTAGAATAGGGTGTGATAATGAAACAAGCAGTCTCTATAGCTACACTCATTTTGGTCTCTCTGTCATTGTCACTTTTTGTTGTCGGCAGTAAAATTTTGGCATTAGAAACCATTCCCATGGAAACTGAGGTAACCTATTTTCTTAAGGAGAATTTCAGTTATTTTTCAGGAAATGGCTTATGAGGCATGGTCTTTGTGAGCTTTCTCCTCTCTCCCCAAGAAAAAAAATAAGTTTGGCTGAGATTAAAATAGAATGTACCATGTTTTCCCCATTTTTATTGCTCTAAAAGACAGCTCTGAGTTCCAACACAGCTATGTTCCAGAGGATTCATTGAATTTTCACTGATTTATTTTTACATTTTTTTAGTCCTGTATGTTACTTGTGATTGTGGTCGACAAGGCTTGGTGGAATCAGCCTAGCTAAAGTATAGAAATACTCTTTGTAGATTTTTCTCTGGTTACTGCAGGAGGTCACTGTTGACAGCACATGCCACGCAGAGCAAATTTGATTTGCATCATCAACTCTAGATCACTCGATATTTCTCCAAATAAACCTCCATCCATCACCACTACAGCAAGCCAACTGTTGCCTTGGAAATTTTCTGTTAAACCAAGGAATTGGCTCACAGAATCCTTGATAAGGGAAATAGCAGAAGGAGGTGAATATGGACATAGGCTTGAGAATTATAGGACTTCAGTTCAAACCTCACGTTTGAAATTTCCTAGCTAGGTCACCTTACCAAATTCATTTTGCTGAGCCACAGTTTCTTTATCTGCAAAATGCAGATAAGAATCTCTACATAATGATGTTGTTGAGAAAATGAAGTAATGCATGAAAAGGATTATAAATGGCAGCCCGTTGTGTATTTGGATAATACACAAATCATCTGCAAAAGATGGGACCTGTGAATATGTTGCCTTACATGGCAAAGGGAACTTTGCAGAAGTGATTCAAGTTAAGGACCTTGAGATGGGAAATAGTTGCCTGGATTTTCTAGGTGTGCCCAACTTAATCACTTGTATTCTTAACAACAGAGACCCTTTCCAGGTTATGAAGAGAGGTGTGCCAGTGGAAGACAGGTCAGAGAGATGCATTGTTGCTGGCTTTGAAGCTATTAGAAGGTGTCATGACCTAAGAAATGTAGATGGCTTACAGACGCTGAGAAAGTCAAGAGAACTGTTTCTTTCTTAGATCTTCCAGAAAAGAACTCTTCATTTTAAAGAACTGACACCTTAATTTCAGACCAGTGAAACTCATTTTAGACTTCTAATATTCCAAGCTGTAGGATAATAATTTTATGTTGTTTTAAGCCACTGAGTGTGTGGTGATCGGTTATGGCAGAAATAGAAAACTCATATGCTACTCTTATTATTAGGCATGAAGGCCACACTTGAAAAAGGAATGCTTTACTCTCTTAGATGATTGAGCTAAAGATGATGACCTTGAATTTCTGACATAAATGGTCTCTATAAACCATCATCTATCCTTATCTTTAGATTAGATACCTGTAGGTCACCTATAAATAAAATGGTAATAACTAATGGGACAAAACCCCTAGAATTAACATCTGATGACATTATTTGTGGTTGCTTCTGCTCGTAAGAGTGGGGATATGTGTCAGAATGAAGAAAAGAAATGCTCCCTGAAGTAAAGGAAGGCAGGATTCCTTGGGGAGGAAGATAATAGTTATTTCCTTGAAGTGGGGCAAATTAACAAAGGAAAGATCAACTGTTAGTCAAATGGCCTGGCCTCAGCCTGGGAGATGGGGAAATGCCTCACCTGGAGCAGCACCATGAAAATGACAAGATGGTTTGTAGCAGAGAAAGATGTGCCCTGTCCTGAAGAAAGAATGCTCTGGGCCTTCACATAGCAATGGGATGGGACTGGTACATTACTTCCTTAGTAAGCAGGAAAACACTGTGTTCACAGGTTAACAACAGAGAGATAATTTGGGAGGTTGTGAGTTATTACTGTAGGAAACTGAGCACTAAAATAAATGGAAGCCAAAGACAATGTCCCTGATACTCCTACTTTAGTCTCTATGACTAGATGGGCAAAAAAGGGATATCAAAATCAGTTGAGGGACTCCTCTTTTAATTCCCACAACTAAGGCCCTGCACTTCCATTTTATCATGACATTACCTGGATGTCATTCGGAATGCAGATTTTCCTACCTCTGACCTACTGTATCAAGAATCTACAGTTCGGCAAAATCCCCAGATGATTCCAATGTTGATTATCTGATCATTATGGCCCTGGATCAGGTAGAACATTTAACTGTGGGTTTGCTGTAAGTCAGTGGTTCCCAAACCTACCTTTACATTAGATACATCTGAAAAACTTCAAAAAATAGAGACCCACAGGTCCCATGTCAGAACAATCAAATCATCTGCAGGCAAGTGTGTTTTCAAAATTTCTTCATGATGATTTCAACATGTAATCAGAATTGGGAACTACTAATTTAAGAGAAGACATTCAACCTGCTACGTAATCAAAATGATACTTGATACTTCAGATGTACTGGGTGTGTCAGGTGTGATCCTTAGTTGCTCTGTTGCTACACTTACCACCCTGAATATTCCTGCTTCTGCTCTCTCTGCTTTGGATTCAGTTGTACTGGGTGTGTCAGGTGTGATCCTTAGTTGCTCTGTTGCTACACTTACCACCCTGAATATTCCTGCTTCTGCTCTCTCTGCTTTGGATTCAGATGTACTGGGTGTGTCAGGTGTGATCCTTAGTTGCTCTGTTGCTACACTTACCACCCTGAATATTCCTGCTTCTGCTCTCTCTGCTTTGGAGTTATCCTATCTGACAAATGAACCATGTAGCCTAGGCACGAAATGAGAGACAAGACTGGCAGTGTACTGCGGGTAAACACATGCAATGCCTGACACTGGAACCCTGCCCATTCCTGTGTAAAATTCAGGGCTATAAGTTCTGCTGTACTGAAGTTACTCTTCAAAATACTTCTGTACCTCACCTTGATATTGGCTGATGTGAGCAGATGTCATGATTATCCCTCTAATCATCAGGAAATGAGTTTGGGGTAATGAACCTCATTTTTGTTTCTTCTTAAAGCAGTGTTACCTAAAAGGTAAAACTGGGGACCAGTTGCCTTGTGGCCTTGGCCTCTAGCATGGGAATTTTTTAAAAAATGAGGTACCAGCAATTTGCAATTACTTATATCAATCAAAGAATAAATAGGGATGGGGGCAAAAATTACACTAAAATTTATAAACATCTATTGAAGTATTGTCTCATAGTTCTTTTCTTTCTTTTCTGGTATTCTGTTGGGAGAAATGCTGAGTGTTGGGAGAGAAGCTGAGGCAGGGCTTGCATGTCTGCTAGACTTGCTGGCTCCTTGCTTCTAGCACTCCCATTATCTCAAGTAGCCATATGTTTCTCATTCACTTGATACACCGTTTCAACTCCCACATCCTCACCACCTGTTTCTTTGTTCGATCACCAATAAATAGCGTGGGCTCCCAGATCTAAGGGCCTTTACAGCCTCCACACTCGCGGTGGCCCTCTGGCTGGTCCCACTTTCTCTCAAACTTTTTCTCATTCCTTTGACTCCGCCGGACTTTGTCGTCCCCATGACCTGGTGTTGGGTTTGATCACCCCAACAGTATTCAGGGGGAAAAAACGGACTATGTTGTGAGTGTGTGTGTGTGTGTGTGCATGCACATGTGCAGGAGAGAGAGAGATCTAACTTTCCAGATGATTCCAGTCTCTCCCCTGGTGAGCCTGCACGTTGTTAGAGTAAGAAAAATAGCTACCAGGGTTGGGCTTGAATTTCTTGGAAGAATTTACACCATGGAAATCATCAAGTGCTGCAAACGGGATTGTTTTCCCCCAGAAAACCTGTGGTTAAGGATTTACCAGCACACTAGCAGTTGGTTGGTTAATTTGCAACTAATCAAGTATCCTGATTCTACCCGTGGCTATCAAGGTCAGGGGAAATTGCTATTACATTAACTCCATCTTAGTACAAACACTTTTATTTAAATTATCTCCTCTAATCATCACAGCTGCCCTGGAAAAGAGATACTATTATTCACTTTCAATAAACAAAGTAAGGTTGAGAAAGAAAGATGAGCTGATTATCCAAGTTGATACCACTTGATCGAGCCGGGTTTCATGAAGATGTCCTGATGCTGAAGCACTTGTTTTTTTTTTTTTTTTCTTTTACACTGATGCCAGCCCATCTTCTGATACATCACTATCTATGTTCAATGGATATATATTGCATCAATGAAAGGTTATATCTGTCACTCAAACAGAAAACCATTTTCATCAGCCAGCATAACTTTAATGAAGTAAAAGCCCGAGAGTAAAATGAGACTGATATATTCGGCCCCAAACCCCATGAAATGGGAAAACAACTCTCTTCCCATGGGGGCCTTTGTGCTAGGTGGTGTGCTAAGTGTGACAAAATCACCTTCATTATTTCCTTTAAGGCAACCAAAAGCCGAGCAGGCTTGAGACTATCATCCTCTTACATGAAAATGAGTCTCTGAGAGGCTAAGTAACTTTTCCAATTATTGCAGTGAGTGGTTTATTTGAAACTAAAACTCAGTTATGTTTTACTCCAAAGTCTGCCTGACCTCACTGTGCTGTAGCAAGAAAAGGCTAGACGTCTTTAGCAACTTACTGCTGCCCTGAGCATCCTTGCCCTCTTCTTCCTTCAGTGGCCAAAACAGGAATTTGTTACTTAATTTTCCAGAAACTGACTAATACTTAGCATATGCTCCGCAGAGTGCTGGATCTCTGGTGTGAAGTGCAGAAAATATTTGAAAAGCAATACAATATGATATTCCACACCAAGATGGTAAAGTCTGAGCACCCTGGGTTAAAACCCTCTCTTTCTAGTAGTATGAATTAGGGCAAATTATTTAATGTCTTTAAGCCTCATTTCCTTATCTATAAGATGAGAAAAGTAATAGCTACTTGACAAAATTGTTGTTTGAAATAAAAGATATATGTCATAACATAAAATTTGGAAGATGATAGGATCTCAAAAACATGATGTTATTCATGTCATGGCCAGACCTTGCTCTTTGAAACATACATCTAGCTAAAGGAAAAAGGCAAATTCATGAATAATCCCAGGATTATGTGGGACATTTTAAACTTGGATTTTTAAAATCACCTATCAATCTTACATAAAAATAAAATGTAAACAGAATTAATACAGCAAAATGTAATAACAATATAAGAAAAACCAGTTTGACTATTCTGAGTAAGCTTTGCTATAAGAATCTTCTAGTTGGTGCATTTTTTATACAACATTCTCCCCTGTACCATCAAGGGCATTAGTGATGCAGCATTTCTGAAAAGTGTTCTACTCTTTTCCTGAAGATTTTTTTTTCCAAGCCCCAGACTCTTGTTCTGTATATTTTAGTGGTGGTGCTTTCTTGATCTTACTATGTACCAAAGGAAGATTTTTCAGAAGACTACTAGGACACATAATCCTCTTCAAATGTTTCCTAAGTGGTTTGCTGACAAAGACATCGAGTGACTGCAGTTATCAAATCATGACTTCAAGAATAACACCCAAGTTTATGCACACAGAGGCAATGACTAGTAGTTACAATTCTGTCTTGGCTAATAGCAGTTGTAAAATACTATGTATTTCCATTTCAGATATGCTCACAATGTGGAAAAAAATGTGTCTTGGAATTGATGCAATGCAGTATAGTTGTGAACAGCCAGAAAAAGTGAAAGCATGTGATAATGAAAAGAGCACCAGCTTTTGAGTTAGACAAACATGGGTCTAAATCCTAGTTCTATCACTCTTTATCTGTAAGATCTGGAACATTCATACTTTCCTCTGAGCCTCAGTTCTCTCATTCTAGGATAAAGATAATCCGTGCCTTGAAAGAATGCTGGAAATCAGATTATACATGTACAAGCATCATTTATGTACTAATCTGTACCTTTCCTTCTTCTTCAGCTGCTCTTCTGGTAAACGTTCAAGAACAAGGGGATTAGAAGGGACCTCCCTGCCTGCTCCTTCCACACTGCTGGAAACATGCAAGAAACCAGGTTTAGCGCTGCTCTTAGGGGATGAGGAGCAATAAGCTGTGGTTTACATCAAGGATTATTTTATCTTTCTTGTAATATATTAGAGCCAATTTCTCACACACGTAGCCCAATGGATTGGTTGTCTAAAAGGTGAAATGAAGTACTGCACTGTTGAACTCCAAAGGGACAATGGAGGCATAGGCTACTTCCAAGGAGACACCACTAGCAATTGGTGCTGTCTGCAAGTGGTTCATTGTGATGCTTAGACAAAACATTTAATACTGCTTCAAGGAAAAGATTTTTCCCTAATTAGTGCTCATGTGACTCTAAAGGGAAAAACACACAGAACAGAACACTCACTAATAACTTTGTTTTCCTCTTATCAGCAATAGTTTTTAAAGTTTGAAAATATGAGTGTGAAAAAAGTATGACCTTATGTTTTTCTCCAAATGGAAGAACTCCTTGATTATTAGGCCAGGAAACTGCTGATGTGCCTGCCCAGGAAGTACAGACAAAGGAAAGAA
The DNA here is from genome assembly GCF_000001405.40 of Homo sapiens. Classification (NCBI taxonomy): domain Eukaryota; kingdom Metazoa; phylum Chordata; class Mammalia; order Primates; family Hominidae; genus Homo; species Homo sapiens. The sequence goes on from NC_000011.10 coordinate 87,889,207, forward strand.
GGTGGGAGCAGAGGGCCCCTTACTTCCCACCCTTCTCCACCTCCCTCTGACTGATTCTACAGCAGAGTTTGCTGGGGCCAAACAAGAATGCTTGCAATGAGCACACATGACCTCCCAAATCCAAACCACATGTGCTGTTCTTCCCTGTGCCCAGGATGGGGCCTAGTTTATTTCTTCTCATCTTTCAAGAATCTGCTCAAGATCACCTCATTGAAAAAGCCTTTCCTAACTTGTTGGCTGGACTACTTTTTCCTGTGTGTATGCAGTAATAATTATTATAGTTATCAATAATAATGATAATAATTATGATCAGTAATAATAATGATAGTTATAATTTTTGAGTAGCTACTATATGTGAGGTTGTTTACGTATATTATGTATTATAATCCTCTTAACATCTCTACAACAAAGGCATTTTCTCCAATTTTGTAAAAGAAGCACACAGAAGCCAAGTTAGCTTCCCAAACTGACAGAGTAGCTAAATAGAAGTGTCAGGTTTGAATCCAGAGTTTTTCTGACTTCAAAGCCCATATTCTTTCTCTTACATCACACTTTCCTTATACATGACACTTACTGTTCTATATAACATGTAGATGTGTGTGTGTTTCTGTGTGGTTTTTTTTTGTTGTTGTTATTTTTGCAACTAGAATGTGTCCTTAAGGGCAGATACCGTACCTCTCCTCTGTATTCTCTGTATCTAATAGAACTTCATTATATTAGAGACACACTAAATGTTCGTTGATGATATTAACAGTATAAAAATTATATACATTATAAATGATAGAATATTGTATGTATTATTTATTTAATATTTGTGAAAAACCTTCTATGTACAGGACACTACTCCAGTAATTAGATATAAAGAGGTGAAGAAGAAAAAGTATCTGCTTTCTAGGAGCACCAATCTAGTGAAGTTATAGAGTTACCTCTGTGTATTTTTATAAAACTAATAAAATCTGAAAAACTATAAAATCTCACAAATTTTAAGGCGGGAAAACAATTCAGTGATCATGTGATCCAGACTATTTATAATATGTATAAAGAAGTATGTCTGGGGAGATTAAGTATGTTGCCTAAGATTAAAAGTATTTTAAAGTTCAAACACATTCACTTTGCTATTACTTTCAACCTCTGTTTCCTTCCAGAAGAGACATGTCTTCCCTCCTCCCAGCAGCCAGCTCCTCCTATGTTCTTCTGCTGCTTAAGTATCCCATGACCCATACCAAGCCCTTGGTTCATCCCTCACCTGCCAGAGTGACCATCTAAAATTCATATCCGATCCTTGTTACTTTCATGTTTCATGGACTTCTATGGATTTCTTTATGCTATGGAATAAAGCCTAAGCTGTTTAGAATGGCATCTAAAGCTTTCAAAATTTTTATCAACTGTTGTATTTTTTTTCCCAATTTCATCTCTCCCATAACTGACTTCAAACAGGCCGGTCTCTAGCCATAATCGAAACTTCCTGCCACTCCCTGAATCATAGAGGTTCTCTTCATCCTCTGTGTTTTTGCATAAGTTTCTCTTGTACTAATTCTTTCCCACTTCAACTTGGAAATCTCTAACTTATTTTTCAAGAAAAATTTGATTCATTTATGAATTCATTCACTTACTGAGTAGTCATTATGTGCTAGATATTGCACTAGTGTATCCATTTCAGGAGGACTAGCCTAGTGCAAACTGAAAACATGGGAACCCTTGTTAAAAAAAATATTCGTAAGAATGTCAAGATAGCAACAGCAGAGCATTAAACCAAGAGTAAGACCCTTCTAAGTATAAGGCCATGTGTACCTGCATAGGTCACACTCTCATGAAACCAGCTCTGACCCACCCTCTCTCATCTAGATTAGGTTGGTTCACAATACATTCCATGAGAAAGAGCAAAACCCCTCAACTTTTACTATCCTTAAAGAAAAATAATTACACAGGAATGCGAAGAGTATTAGTAAAGACAAGTCTTCATTTGGGTTGACCTTAGCAAGTCTGCTTTTCATTTGTTCCTCCATTTTCTTGCTTGTCATCATTGCTAAAACACCAGACATCGAACAGACACCCTAAAGAATGTGACAAAAAAGGAACTTTACAATCTTCTGCTTTAGTATCAAGGAAAAAAATATAGATATAATCCCTGACCCTGAATCTAATGTTTTGTGTATGTCATATTTATCATTACACACAGAGGAAGAATGACTACCACTTAATGAGATTGCTTACCACTCGTTCATTGATCAGTCAGATTTTGTGATTGGATTGTGTTTCCAGTGGTGGGCAGGCTGAAATGGGTTTTGCTCTTTCCTCCATTTACTGGCAGAAAGTAGGTGAGATTTAAGGATCATCTAAAGAACCGAGTTTCTGGGCATCAGAATGACCTTTTTCATTAGAAATATATTTAAACTATGAGTTCGAAACATTTTTCTGGCTACAAAATTCTTCTCATCCCAGTGAATAGGCTGCCCAGTAGTTCAAATGAATTACACCAAGATTTGGAATATGTATTTTGAATATGTTATGTGTATCAAGAATTTGAAATGTGTTGTAGAACACTATAGATAGGCCACTAGGAATCAGGAGTAAACAGAAAGAATACAGGTCTTGCCCTCCAGGAGCTTTGAATGTAGGTGATCAAATATCCTTTCATTTCCATGGCCTTTATAAGACAATAATGCATTTAGTTTCTCTTTTGTTTTTTCTCCTCCCACAGCCCTGTGTACACAACTGAATGAAACCCTGCATCATGTGATATAGTAATTGTTTGACTGCCTGTTTACCTTACTTGAGCCTTTTAATGATAAGAGGCATAATTTATATATCTTTTATCCCTGGTACCTAGCACAATACCTGTTCAATGTCTCTTTGATGAGGAATGTGTGAGTGAAGGAAAAGCAGTAGAAATGGGCATGGAAGAGATGCTCAAACTGCCATGTGCAGTCTGACAGCCCTATTAGCCCATGTGCAGTCTGACAGCCTGGAAATAAAAAGACTCAAGTTCTGGTCCAAGCTCACTCACCAAGGAGGTAGCAGAATCTTTGCTAAAACTTGGCAACATCTTGAACGTTACTTTTCTATTTCCTTGGTATTTACTCCCCAAACACATCTAACTAATTACTGAGTCCTAAAAAATTTTGCCTGAAAAATATAGATCCTTTCAATCTCCACTATCACTGTGTTATTTACAGGGCTGTCCATCTTTCTCCTGGGTGGTTGTAATAGCTGTATAACTGGATTTCCTTTCCATTTCCTTCAGATTCATCCTCCACAATGATGCTAGTGTAATCTAGTTAAAATGCAAATCCAACATGTCATTCTCCTGCTCAAAGCTTTTCAGGGATTGCGGTTACTAGCAGGATGTAGGCAGAGCATAGCCAATCAAGCTCTAGCTGACTAGCCCTTTTCTACTTCAGCTCCTACTACTGTCACTCCCCACTGCAATTTCTACTCATCTTAAACACCTGAGGAATTGATTTTTGACTTCTTACTTTGTCTACTGGCATGATATATCCCCATTTCTTTGGTTAGCTCAATTCTACCCAGTCTTTAAGATTCCGCTCAGGTACTGTTTCTTTCAAGAAAGTCTTGTGTATTCTCTTCACTGGGATTAGCCCAATATTTCTCATTTTTGATCAGTATTATACAGCTTACATTCAAAGTATTCAATTATTGGAATTGTTAGACTTTATTCATTATTAAAATTATCATATTACCTTTTTCATATTGTTGAAATTGTCTGTTTGTGTACTTGATCATCCTGGTAGACTATATGCTTTACAGATGTTAGAGACCCTGGTATAAGATTTGTAAACTTACAACATAAGACAATAAATATAAAACATTTAGTATGTTGCTCCACAGATACTCCATGTATAAATTGTTGTTTCCACGATGTTGATGGTAATATTAGGGGCTTAGTTACAGCTAACACTTAGATGCTGGGATACTTTCTCTTCGTCTTTCATTGGTACTTTTCTCTCACCAAAGACCAGTTCTCTCATAAGGCAGGAAATATCACACTGGCAGCTTCCAAACTTTGTAACTCAGAGTTTTAGTTATCAAAGATGACTTGTGTCCTTTTTTTCCAGATTTTGTGTGTGTGTGTGTGTATATATATACACACACATACATATATATATTTTACACACACACACATATATATACCTATATATTTTACATATATATATATATATATATTTTTTTTTTACATAGCTATTTGACTGGCTGAGCTTAGGTCAAGAGCCCACTGCTGGACCAATCAACTATGGTCAGGAGGAAGGAAGATGCTTTGTTTTCTTTATTTTTCCTTTTTAAAAAATTGTAGTAAAAAAGCAAAACATTAAATTTACCATTTTAACTATTTTTAAGCATATGGTTCAGTAGTGTTAAGTATATTTGCATTGTTGTGCAATAGAGCTCTAAAACTTTTTCATCTTATAAAACTCAAGCTATATATCCACTAAAAACTAATTTTTCCAATCCTCTTCCTCTCGTGATCTCACCACCTCTAGCCACCAACTTCCTACTTATTTTCTCTATGATTTTGGCTACTTTAGCTACTTTGCCTGAGTGGAATCATACAGTATTTGTCCTTTCGTGACCAGTTTATTTGCTTAGAAAAACTTTGGGGTAGTATATGAAATCAAGAAGTGTGAAGTCTGCAACTTGTTCTTTTTATTCAGGGTTGTTTTGGCTATCCAGTGGTCCCTTGAGATTCCATATGAATCTTAGGATTTTTTTGCTATTTGTGAAAATAAAATGCCATTGGGATCTTGATAGCGACTGCATTGAACCTGCAGATAACTTTGGGTAGTAGGGACATTTTAACAACATTGAGTCTTCCAATCCATAAACATGGAATGTTTTACCATTTATTTCTATCTTATTTGATTTCTTTCAGCAACATTTCATAGTTGTCAATGTGTAAATCTTTCATTTCTTTAGTTAGATTCATTCCTAAGTATTTTATCCTGTTTGATGCTATCGTAAATGGGATTGTTTTCTTTAGGAGGTAGAATTTTGATAATAGGACAGCCCCAGAACTAAATAAGAGGGCCAATCAGTAATTGAGAGGCAAGGTATGAGGGAGGAATAAATAATTCTACAGAGAAAGGATATGCTATTCCCCAGTGTAAAAGAGTTTTGTTAGACAGCCAGAAACAATATATATTTACTATAGTAGCCTTTTTAAGGATAATGATGATTGATGAGGATAATCATGTTAATAATATATCACATGCCACAGATTCCCTGGGAGCAGTTCCGACATACTTTGGACTAATGGCAAAAATGTGACACTAAATGTGCTTCCTTTTAGAGAGATCATTTTGAGATAGTTGTATTAAAATCATCTGAACATATGTAATCCTCTGTGTTATTAAAGAAAACACATTTGGCATTTTATAGTCTTAGCTGATAGTGATGATATTCATTCCTAAATTTGAGACAATAGAATTGAAATAACGTCAAGTATGCCTACTGGTGTGTGGGACATATGCTGAGTGCATTACGTATGAAATAATATGTACACATTATATATATATAAAAAATATATGTATACATTATATATCATATATATGTACACATTATATATCATATATATATATGAAACTAACATACCATAATATCTCTATGACATGAGGTGATAATATAGGCAAAATGTATAGTATTGTGGGGGAACTAGAACTACAGATATATTGAATTTATTTTCACTGGGAAGAAGAAAGGATTAAGTAGCTCTGATTACAGCTGAGACTCCTGGAACAGCTACAAGCTATCAAAGTATTAAGTCATTTCAATTTCTGTAAAAGAAATGTGCTGTTGTTCCAGTACCCTCTGGTCCCATTTTGTAGGGTTGATGGAGTTCAACTGAAATGCTTACTTGAAGATCAGCTTGAATTTGTTTAAAAGGAAGCAGAAAAGCACCCCCAGGTGTGAAATGAGGGTGAATTGCTCTAGCGGGGCCTCTGGAAAGAAAGCAGCTTGTCTGGCTGATGAGGGTGTTTGCTAAGTTGAATGCCATTAAACATTCTTGCCCATATCATTATGTGAGTCAAACACAGCACAGATGATGGGGAAAATAAACACTTAAAAATAGCTTTTCTCTTGGTGTCAAATACAGTACATAAATTGGAAAAATGAACAAGAGTTGTAGGAATAGAGGATTGAGATCCTTGTGTCGGGTACTGAGGGAGGGCGATTTGGCTCACTAACAGCCAGGCTCCTTAAGCCTTTGCTTTGGAGAGCAAGAGAAGAAAGAATAGCAGAGTCCTGAAATTTGTTTCATTTCAAGCATGGGATGGGCAACTTAACTAAGCATTTTAATTTAGTTCTCTTATCCTCCCAACTAAGTATTATTAGCCTCATTTTACAGATGAGCAACTAAGGCAAATTTATAGTTAATTAAGCTAGACAATGGAGAGTCTCTTTGGCTCCAAAGATTATACTACTTCCACTGCACCGGCTGATTTAAGGGGAGGAGAAGCTGCACTATCTCTGCTTTGGGATATGTTTATAATTCCATGCCAATAAGTAAGCAAAATTTGAAAACCCACTTTGTGCTGGCCACTGAGCCACAAAAAATGAGACATAGGCTATGTCTCATTGACAGAGTTAATGTAGCTGAGAAGATAGACATATTATTCTAAATGCAAAGCTGATTGTGATGAGTGCTATAGAGGAGGATAAAAACCAAGTCTTCAAAAGGAACATTTCCTGAAACTATTTCTTCACATATACTTGTGCCTTTGTACATGTCATTTTCTTCCCCTATTTCTTCTAAATTATTTAAGCCTGCGTATTATTCTGAATCAGTTAATAATTGAGATGCTCTTTAAAATGTTATTTATTTGGATAGATATCATGTAATCAAAACTGTACCAGGTACTGATGAAGATACAGCAATGTATAAGAGTGAACTCTACTCATTAGTAACGTAAAAGGGAATGATAGACAGAAGTCAGACAGAGCTGAATTAAAATTCTTCAGTTGTTCAGCAGCTGTCTGACCATAGCCAAATTGCAAGCCCCCGACCTTCCATTTCCACTCATACATTTAGAAGGAGACCATGCCAAGGGGCCATTCAACCCTTCCCCAGCCATCTGTGGTAAGAATCTCCCACATTCTAGACAACAAGATGTCTGTACCAAAAGTGGTACATTATAGGGAGGTGAACCATCCAATTTGAAATCTGGAGGGACCATGCTTGCTGGAATCTAGGGCAACACATCTAGGAGAAAGAAAACTGTTTCGAATTTGGGTGCAGACACATCACAACAAATACATTGCTCTCTGCTGAGATTTATGAGAGAAAGTCAGAAACTCCAACTCTCCATTAATTTCAAAACATGACTGCTGAAAATTTTCCAAAGTAACCATCTCCTGTAGTTGTTGGGCTAGGGAACAGAAAAAAGAAAAATAAAAAAACAGAGAATTGGTTGTCTTTTAGACCAACATTTCCAGGCAGAGGAAAACAGAGGAGGCATCTCTGAGTCAGACATGGGTTCAGGTCCCGAATGTGCTTGTTGTGCAAGTTACTAATCGTATTGACCCTCAATTTCCTCCTTTGTAATCCTGGCTGGTCTTACCTATGATAAGTTTCGTTGTGAATATTACAGGGCCTCATATGTGTGAAGTGTGTAGAAAGGAGCCCAGCACATATTAGGCACTCAAAAGAGCTAGTATCTTCTTCCACTCTGCATTCAGATTAGTTTTATCCTATTCTAATTTCTTCAGGCACTGGAGTGTTTCATTAATAGTTTACTTGTTTGTAGAAAGATTCCTTATACATTTTTCACTAAAGCCAATCTTACTGATCTTTTTGCCTTTTAAGTGTAGACATCTGAGAAACTCTATAGCTTAGAAGTCTACATTTTTTTCTCATTAATTGGGAAGTTAGGTACTTTTAAAGTGAATAGAATAAGAACATGTAAACATGAGTTTAAAATAATTCTTCAGATTTAACCCCCCCCAAACCAATGTGAACCATAAATGAAAATCTGCATCCTTCCTGGTAACCTCTCCTATATTCCTAAAATCATGAATCAGCCAGTATGTTTACAGAGTTGGTGCCAAAGTCCTACCTGCTGATACTTTTATTAACATTCCTATTTGAAAAATTGTAAATATTTAACTATTGTAGGTTTTGCAAACACTGGTATTTTTATACCTCCAGCAATCCCTAGCTTCTAAATATTTTATCTTGGGTAGCATGCAGTATGTGAAATGACATTCTTGGGAAATACCCTATTTCCCAGATCTTAAAAACCTAAAGGTCTTGAAGTTAATATTGAACAGTGTTAAGAGGGGTATTTTTAAATTTCTTTCGTAGATTTGTTGTTGTTCTTTTTTAATAAAACTGAAAAGCAGCAGAAATATTTGTAAATGGAAGGATTTTCCCCAAAATTTCTAGAGCAGATACACATATTTGCCTAAATTTTGCTTGGATTTAAAAAACACCAGCCCATACGAAATTGTGTTTAAGAACTGAGAAAGAAAGAATGGCTTTAGAATCCATTTAAAGGCAAAACCACCATTACAGGATAAATGAGATGAATAGTTTCCTCTTCCACTTTTAATGCTCAATGTACTTTTCAGCTCCAGGATAAAATAGCTTTTCTTACTTTCTGAGACAAAGACAGGCAAGTGGAATGACCAGAACACTCGAATTGAGCTAAAGACTAACCACAGGAGAAGGAGCAGATGGGCTTAAGCAAAGACATGACTCAGAATCCTTGTCATCATATAATTATAGGCAGCTATCATGAATCTGTAAGAATCTGTAAGGATGGGCTCTATAAATATCTATTTTTCATCTCAAGATTGGAAGTCTTTACCTTATTTAATGGATCTATGCTATATTTCCCAAAAATAAAAAGAGAAATATCCCAACTCTTCAGGTGAATAAACTAATAACCTCCAAAAGTTGCCTACTCAGCACATCATAGGGACAGTAAAAATTGCAACATGATAAAATGAATACCTGACCTTCACCAGGGAAAGTCATTATTAGGCAGCATGATCTCCAGTCTCTGTTCTTCAAAGGCATTACTCTTCTATCATTCCCCAAATGTAACATGTCCTCACCAACCACAGAGCGTGGGTAAAACCTTTCCCTCAACCTCTGCACTCTACTTTTTCCCTAGTATGCTGTAGCCTTCCTCAGATCCCAAACCAATCATCTCCTCAGAGCCACTTTCCATGAATCTTCTCAATGTATATGAAATCACTCAGAGAGTGTAAATCTCAGGTGCAATTTCACATTTGCTTTTGCTTTTTAAAATTAGTATCTGCTCCCCTCCTAGACTGTGGATTCCACAACAGCAGGAGCATGTCTGGTTTTGTTCATCATTGTATTCTCAGTGCTGAGCCTAACACCTGGCACATACTAGGTGCCTAATAAATATGTGTTGAAGGACTACATTAATGAATACAACATTGTGCATTATTTCTAGGGTTCCAAAAATGAACATTGTCAGAATCTCAATGCTTATTAAAAAATTTAATTGAGATGGGAATGGGGAAGAACATCAGTTTCTCACTGGTTCCCAACTGTGCTTTCAGGTTTTTAAAGGGCCCTTATCATACTTCCAGTTACTGTAATCCACCACAGCAAGAGTGTAACTAAGACAACATGGCAGGAACAGGTGCCAAAAATGTGTCCATAAGACAAACTAGGATTCCCCCATGTAGGAAGGACCAAGATGCCTGTTATCACACTTTTAGAGCTTCACTGCTTCTTGTTAAGGTATTTTGTCTTCTGACAGCCTGTTTCTTAATGCAAATACTCTCAGGAGTAGTGCCATTGTCAACAACACTTAGGCAGGACTTTTGTTACTGGTGCACAATCGCTAATAGTAGACTTCCTATGGAGACAGATAATAATTAGAGCCCTCAATAGTGGAATGGGCTGCCTAAGGAAACAATAAAATGTCCATTACTGTGGATATTCAAGTAAAGCTGTGTATCTACTTATGAAGAATGCAGTCCAGAGGTTTACTGCACCGGGTGCAAAGACGGAAGGTGTGGCTCCCAAGGTTCTTTCTGCCTGTAAGATGCTATGAGCTAGTGCTCAGTTTCTAATGAACTGGAAGGAAATGGCTTTCAAATGCAGATGAAAGGCACAGGGGCAACGGCACTGTCTGGTACTAGTCTAAAAAATGTCATTTATTAGCTAAGTGATTTTGGCAAAAACTTAACTCCTCTAAGCTGTTTTTATTTCTTTATAATGGCTATTTGAATGGTTTTGGAACAATGAAAGGAGAGAGAAGCTGTACTTTTTAAATGTAAGCTATACAGTGCTAAGCACATTTTTTGGCCATTGTTATATCAAGAAAAGCTCCTTTTACCTTAATTACTAAATAGGTCCCACAGTTGGGAAGAAAGTTTCTAGACAAAAAGAATCAGGGAAGGGGCACCATTATTCCTCTCTACCCCAATGTCCTAAAGATAGAAATATGATTAAATTGTCCAGGGAACTTAGATTCCCCTATAAGCTCAGGAATGGCAACTTTCTTGGGACATCAGAGCATATAATCTCTCCATCCTAACCATTTATGGGCTAAAAAAATAAACAGTTCTTTAAGTGTAAATAAGATACAACTGCCAGAAGTCATGGAATTACCTGGATGGTTTGTTCAGGCTTTCTTCTTATAGAAACAGTGATTATTTGAAAACAGTGCCAAAGCAAAACTGTCTTACCCTTGGAAAATCTTATTTGCTTTACCTCTGCAACAGGTAGCCAGCTTGTCTCTCTCTACTCCTTCCGTTTTTTTTTTCCCCATAGTCATTCCATCATTCATTCATTCAACAAATATTTACTGACTTATCTCTGAACGAGACACTGACGGGCATGCTGGAGATATGATGAAAAACTCAAGTGGTCCTTACACCAAGGAGCTTACATCCTATGCAGAAAGATATGTAACTATAAGAAACTCTTTAAAAAATTGAAATACACAAGTGAGTAAAATATGAAGGAGGGGTTTACAGGAGATTGACACTACATAATAGAATAATTTATCTTATCAGGAAGATCAGAGATGGCCTAACTGAAGATAAGAAAACTGAGCCAAGATCTGAGAGAAAAACTAAATTGAGAGTATCAGCTAACAAACACTCCCATAGTATAGAAATCAACAGAGATGAGGTGAAACTCCACAGGCTTTCCAATACCTCTCAGGTGGATAGGGAAGTGAATTGTAAGAACATTTATTGTTTGGTGAGATCCTAATGCATGAAGTCCATAAATCTGTGCAAAAAGCAGATGCAACAAATTAACAAAGTATTTGGCAAGCAAATGTCTGAAGATAGCACTGTTTCTTCTTTAAATACTTATATTCACCAGCTAGACACTTGTTCCCAAGTTTACCTCCCAACTGACACACCAACTGGAACTCAATGTTCCCAATATTAATCTAATGTTCATCTCTCCTTATGTCCTCAGACCCTCTGTCACAGAAAGAAAGGTAGGAAGGAAGGAAGGAAGGAAGGAAGGAAGGAAGGAAGGAAGGAAAAAGGAAGAGAGGTAGGGAAGAAGGAAGAGGGAGGGAGGGAAGAAGGAAGATGGAGGGAGGGAGGAAGAGAGAGAAAAAGAATACAAAAAGATAAGAAATAAAGCAAAAAAGGAAAGAAATGAAGGAAGGAAAGGAAGGAAGCAAGGAAGAAAGGGTGGAAAAAAAGGCACCTAGTGTTTCCTTTTCTCACCCATTCATCATCTTTTCTCATGCATGTTTTACTCTTGTTTTTTAATATATATGTTTATTCCAATCCAAAGTCTTTCAGCTATGCTCTCTGGAACTCTCATTCCATTTTTAACTCCTCAAACTTTATGCAGAATTTTTCTTTACATCCAGCATCAGCTAAATCATCACATTTTTGGGAGGGACCCAGTTCTGCTTTCTCTGGCTGCACATTGGAATCAATGGAAGTGATGTTAAAATTATAGATACTAGTTGTCCTGGTGTATGCCTCCTTTATAAACATTTATTAAAGGCTTCCCAAGTGATAAATAGGCATTGAGGGTTGAAAAATCCCTGCAGACTAGTTCCAGAGCAAGGCTTTTATCTTCTGTATCTGTGTTTCCCTTATCCTTACATAGGGCAGGCGTATAATATGATAACAATAATGGACTGAATTAAACTACATGCCAAACCTATTTTATTCACTGACTCCATAAAAAATCACAGGACTCTCATTTTCTTTTCCAGAATTGTTTTGGAGAACTTGGAACTCAACATTCCATAAAGTAAGTGTAATATTTTTTCTAAAGAATTTTATCCTCCTTTCACTAACGTCATTCAAGTTTTATCACCAATAGCTCTATAAACATCAGCCTGAAGGCACATGGAAGCATATTTCCTAAGGCTGCTAAAGCATTCATTCTCAACCCTAACTGAACAGTAGTATATGCTGCCTTGCAATGAGGTTGATAAACAGGGCATAGAAGGTCAAGGATTCTAAGCCAGGAGCAAATCCCACACCGGTTCAACTTAAGCAGTACATTATTCCAGAATAATGCAATCACCGGAGCTGTGCTTACACTACAAATCTTAAAAGTGTCATTCCATTATAAAAAGGGCTTTGAGAGCATTAATAATCATAGTCCATCAGGAAAGTCCTTCATTCAACTCATGGTCCAATCAAAACTGCCTTAATGTTATAGACTTTGGTATGGCCTATGTAGCATCTAAAATTATTTGCTACATTGAATTTATTACTGTGTTTGGCTGACTTTTTTTTTTTTTTTTAACTCAAGACACGCTGATAACTTTTATGCTAAGGAAGGAGAAGGCAAAACAAAAGCATGACAGAAAGTGTAAAGATTGGACTGCAGGAGAAGATATGTGAATACTTTGATTATCCTGTTTGATATTGTCTTACTTTTGGGAGAAGAAAAGGATGAGTATTAATAAGTCCATCTTACAGAGAAAGAAATGAAGGGTTGAAAAAGAGCTCATACGGCTAGTAAGTGGTGGAGTGAAACCCAAATGCCAGTGTTTTAAAAGGATATAGCCAATATTCCAGAGAAAAGGAAATTTCTATAATAAGGCCACCAAACTTTTAGTATATTAAGTAAGGCACTGCTATATTTTCTAGAAATTATCCTTTTACAAATACTTTTCATATAGATATCTAATTATTGTATCCGCAATTGTCGAAAAGACTCAACTCTCTCCCATTGAATTGTTTTGGTGCCAAAGTAGAAATAGATCAACTGTATGTGGGGGGTCTATTTCTGGACTCTTTTTTGATATATTGATTTTTTGTTCTTATTTTGTCAGTACTGTTTTGGTCATTCCAGGTTATTTGCATTACCACACAAACACATAAAGCTTATTCATTTCTACAAGAAAAGTCTGTTGGGGTTTTGATTAGTATTGTTTGGAATCTAAACATGAGTTTGAGTAGAAGTCACTTATCAACAATACCTGTGTTGAATAATTCTAAATTATGAATGCAGCGTATCTTACTATTTATTTAGGTTCTCTTTAAATTCTCTCAGCAATATGTTATTGTTTTCAGTGTACTTGTATCTATGCGTTTTGCTAAATTTATGTCTAAGCGTTTTGCATATTGTGATGCTTTCAAATGATATTTTAAAAATTTTATAACAGCTCACTGACAATATATATTTAGATAGATTTATATGTATATTTTATATATTTTAAATTGATCATATATATGTATGTGCATATATATGCATATATATATAATGCTTGTATCTTTTAGTCTTTCTAAATTTATTTAATAATTTTGATGGAAATTTTTTGCAGATTGCTTAGACTGTTCTACATACATAATGATGCTGTCCGTGAATAGAAATTTTTACTCATCCTTTCCTATCATTAAATTGATGTATTCCCATTATTTATTTCTTTTTTTGCCTAATTACATTAACTAGAATGTCTAATATGATGTTTAATGAACGTGGTGAGAATAGACATTCTTGCTTTGTTCCCAGGCTTAAAAGAAAAGCATTCAGTCTTTCAACATTAAGAAATGATGTTAGCTCTGTGTTTTTGGTAGATGCCTTTTATTAGTTTATGAGTCTACTTTCTACTCCTATTGTTCTAGGCATATTTTTATAAATAAATACAAATTTTTTTCTTCTTTTCCCTTTTTGAAATGGTTATATAATTATTTTATTCACTTGATAAGTTGAATTATATTGATGGATTTTTTTAGTAAGAATCAAACTTTCAATATTGGGGAAAACCTGATTTCTTCATAAGATATTATCTTTCTATGTATCTTTGCGTTTGACTTATTCATGTTTTGTAAAGAACTTCTGAACCTTCACTCTTGAAGGATATTGGTCTCTTGTGTGTTTGTATTGTAAATGTTTTGTTTGGTTTTGGCATTAGGCAATGCAGCCTCATAAAATGAGATAGAAAATATTTCTTCATCTTGCATTTTCTGAAATATTTTGTGTAAGCTTATTTTATTTCTTTCTTAATTGTTTGTTAGCATTCTCCAGTGAATCCATCTGGGCCTATACGTTTCTTGGTGGGACGTTTATTCATAACTATGAAATCATTTCTTTAGTAGATAAAAGCTCTTTAATTTTTCTATTCCATTTGGGTTGAATGAAAGAGCTTTTTTCCATTTCCCTTATTAAGTTTATTCATATTAAGTTGTGTATTAATTTTATTATTTTCCTTTTATTGTCAGTAGCATATAGAAGGAAGTACTTTGTATTATTCCTGATATTGGTATTTCATTTTCTTTTTCTTTATTTGTCTGGGAGTTTATTATTTCACTAATATTTTCAAAAAATTATCTCTTGGTTTTGTGAATTCTATGTATTATTTGTTTTCTATTTATTTTATGGAATTGTGGTTTTATTTTTATTATATCCTTTTTCTTGTTAAAATGCTTTTTAAAGTTATTGGTTTACAGTTTTAAATTTCAACTTTGGTTTTATATTCAGGAGGTACACATGCCAGTTTGTTATTGGGTATACTGTATGATGCTGATGTTTGGGGTATAATTGGTCTCATCACCCAGTCACTAAGCATAGTACCCAACAGGTAGTTTTCAACCACTGCTATCCTCTCCCCCTCAGTAGTTCCCAGTTTCTGTTATTGGCATCTTTATGTCTATGAGTACCCAATGTTTAGCAGCCACTTAAAGTGAGAGCATGTGGTATTTGGTTTTCTATTCCAGCATTAATATGCTTAGGATAATGGCCTCCAGCTGCATCCATGTTGCTGCAAAGGACATGATTTTGTTATTTTTTAATGGCTGCATAGTATTCTATTGTGTATTTTTACCGCGTTTTCCTTATCCAATACACCACTGATGGGTGCCTTGGTTGTTTCCATGCCTTTGCCACTATGAATAGTATTATAATGAATATATGAGTGCATGTATCTCTTTGGTAAAATGATTTTTTTTAATATCCAGTAATGAGATTCCTGGGTCAAATGATAGTTCTGTTTTAAATTCTTTGAGAATTCTCCAAACTGCTTTCCACAGTGGCTGAACTAATTTACATTCCCTCCAACAGTGTATAAGTGTTCCCTTTTGTCTGCAACATGCCAGCATCTGTTGTTTTTTTGACTTTTTAATAACAGCCATTCTGACTAGTGTGAAATGGTGTCTCACTGTAGTTTTGATAAGGTTGTAACATTTTGATTATGATGTATATTGGTGTGATTTTCTTTGCGTTTTTACTACTCAGAGCTTATTAAACTTCTTGGGTTTATACGATTATATTTTCCATGAGTTTGAAAACTTTTTACCATTATTTCTTTACATATTTTTCCACCATCCCTCTCCCATCCCTAAGTCTCTTTTGGCCTCTTCTGGGACTCCAATTTTAGGTATATTTTACTAGTTGATATCGTTTCACAGTTTATTGAGAGTCTCTTCATTTTTTTCCTCCTATTTCAGTTTGAGTAGCTTCTATTTCCCCGTATTCAAAGTTACTGATGCTTTTCTGTAGTTTATAATATACTGAAAAGCCAACTGATGAATTTGTTATTTTAGATATTATATTTTCAATATAAAAATTTTCTTTCTCATAATTTGTATTTTTCTATTGAAATCTTGTATCTTTTCCCTCCTTATGTTCATTTAGTCCTTTTAAGTCCTTGACCATATTTATAATAGCTATTTTGTGTCCTGGTTAGCTCTTTCCATCATTTCTGCATCTCTTTATTTTGATTGACTTTTCTCATACTTATAGGGCATATATTCCTGTGTCTTTGCGTGTCTACTCATGTTTTATTTAATCCTAAACCTTATAAATGGTGTATTTTCCTCTTATTTAAAGAAGATTGGATTTGATACTTGCAGACTTAATTTACTTGTACTTCAGCTTTTTTATATTAAGAATTGTTTATAAGAGTCATTACATTTGGACTAGAGTAGCCTTATTCCTGAGATGTGAGATTTCTGAAGTGTCATTTAATTATCTGAAGTTTCAACAAGGTCTCTCTATTCTGGCTGGTTGGAACTCAGATTTTTCCAATGGATATACAAGCTTTGGAATCTTCACTGAGTTCTCAGCAACTTGGTAGGTATCCTTTGCCCAGCATTTTCAAGTATCATCCTGTGTGTGCATACTTTAATAATCAGCCAAAGACTAAATAGGAGTCTTATGTAGGAAGCAATCTAGAGCTCCTTTTCTTCACAGTTATTGATTCTCTTGTACTCTGACTGCAAATTAGATTCTGTAGTACTCTGACTGCAAATTCCAGTCCCTTACATTATGTCCAAAACATTATGTCCAAACTTTGATTTCTGTCTCTTCAGCTCAGATACCTGTGTGCCTCTTGGTCTTCAGCTCCAAGTGCTATGGGTGCCTCAGAGCTGAAAGCTGGGCAATCATGAGGCTCACCACATTTGTTATCCTTATCTTGGGGATCATGGTTGTGTTCTGAAAATATATTTTTCTTTTCACATACTTTTCATATACATATTTGTTTAGTTTTATAGTTATTTATAACAGAATGGCTAGATTATTACCAGCTACTGTAACATGTGAGAATCAGGAGTCCTCTCCCACCCATGAGCATTAAAAATCAAATGAACAAATAAAGCTTCAAGAAGACAGTCAATTATTCCCATTTTCACCAATGTGCTAAGTGCTGGCATTGGTCCTTAAGAACCCAAACTTATAACCATTTGATTAGTGAAACTTTTGGATGGAGTAAATGTAGCACTCATTAGTTATGTGAATTTTTACAAGTTATTTAATGTTTCTGAGTTTTGCTGTCATCTTTAAAATGGAGATAGAAATACTCTTTATAATTGTTGTGAGGTTTAGAAGAGTGCTTTGAAGACACATAACACAGTGTTTGACACATATTAAGCACCCTACCAAATATTATTATTCTGAAGTTAAAAGCTAAAATCTTTATTACAGTGATGCTTAGAAAGTATTTTCATTATAAAAACAGGGTATAAATGTAATTTTAAAATCCAAGTAGTACAAGAGATTACACAATAAGAATTATCTGCCTATCACCTCAGAACTAGAATCTTACTTCTGAGAGGTAACATGATCAATTTTCATATGTACTCTTCCAAAATTTTGCCATGGCTGTACAAACCTCAGTTTCTGTAGCTTCTTCATGTTTATGGAAATGGGAGTATTTTATACACAATTTTCTCTAGCTTGCTTTTATTCACCCATTGATATATCTTCAGTTTTGTTCCTTTTTACACCTACTAATACAATTCATCCTTTAATAACTGCATCATATTCATTGGTATAAATGTAACAAAATTTGTTATGTTTATTGACATATTATAATAACATTTATTTATTGACAGTATTAAGATATTTTCAGGTTTTTGCTTTTATTAATAAGGCTGTAAGAATCATCTTTGTACATATATGTTTGTGTATGTGTGAACATGACTAGGTAAGTTTCTACAACAAAGATTGTTAGATTAAATAGTTATGTATGGTATGACATTTTGGTCAATATAGCTGCATTTTCTTCCAAAGAGTTTCTCAATTGGTGTTCCCACAAACAACACTGATTTCTTAGCACAGTTTCTAATACTGTATATTGTCAAACAAAAATTTTGTGATTTGATACGTGAAACACAGAAATTTAATATTTTATTTTGCATTGCTTTTGCTGTGGAAATAGATGGAACATTTTTATTTGGTTATGAGCTATTTGTATTTCTATCTAAATATCTATTCTAAATATTTGCCCCTTTCCTATTTCTTTTAAATTGGTTTGTCTTTTTTGCAAGATGTTTAAAGTAGAATCAAGAGATTAGTTCTTTGACCCATATTACAAAAAAAATATATTTTTTTCACATTGAGGTTTAATTTATTTTTGTTCAGTTTGTTGTTTTTAGTTTTAAAAGTTTTATATAAACAATATTTTTAATTATTTCCATCATAGTTTTTACTTTTTCTGTTCTTTCTTTCCTATTCCAATATATAAAAATTAAACCATGGATATTTTTGACATTTCTTTCAAAATTTCTAGTATTTAAATATTTTAGTCACATGCAATAGATTTTTAAAATTAGAACTGAATAATCTGGTTTTTTTAAAAATAAATTGCTAGTCATTTGTTGAATAATATTATTTCCTTAGTAACTCATTGGAAATTCAATCCAATAATATGTTTTCATTTTTCACTTTACATGTGATATTTCTCTTTTGCTATAATCCTGGGAGCCTTTACAAATTTTACAGAGAGGGATAAATTTGCTATACTTATTTTTTGGTAGCAATTCTAATATATATAAGCACACATACATTTTATATATAGTATAAATATACTATTAGAAAATGATGTCTGATTTACTGATTCTAATGATCAATCAAAACTGATCTCAATATTTATAATACTGATAATATTTTTTCTTCTCTCCTTTTAAGACTAAAATGCATTTTGTAATGATTAGTCTCGGTCATAAGACTTAACATAATTCTCTCAGAGAGTTTTGGTCTGGCCATATAGCAGTTCGGAGGGATGCCTAGCTCATAAGAGAGAATGAAATCTGTGTGCTCAACTGCAAGTGTGATTGGATTTACAGATTAGCAAAATGGGAAAGATCAAAGCCCTGTTATGAAGCAGACCTACAAGCCTAGAGCTTGCTCTTGTAAGAAAAATTGTTCTTTCCCACTAATCTTTCTAATCTTGACCTCACAGAAGGGGTTTGTACTTAAGATAATGTTATCAGGATGCCAAATTCAATCTCAGACCACATTTCACTTTCTCTTAATGTGGGTGAACACTCCTTTGGTGAATAAATTGGTATCTCTATGGAAATTTAAGGCTTCAAGCAGAATTCTAATTCCATTAAATTGATGTTCAACAGAACACACTGAATTTTGTGGAAACTATGGAGGTCTGCTTACTTACTCTGAATTAATCACAGTCTAATTTTTCCCAAGTGGTAGAACTTCATTGTTCTTATGTTTGTGACTTCAGTGTCTAGCACTGTGCCTGTCACACATCAATTTGCAGGTTGAGTCATTTTTTTTAAGAATCAAAGGTAAATTTGCAGTTTATGCAATTTTAAAATTCTAAACCATAAACCTATATTATTTACAGCTGAACAGGAATGTTTGGGAAGTTTTGAAATTGACTATATGTGGGCAGATAATGAGTTTCTTACCTTCCTGTTTCCTGTATTCGGTCACAACATAATCTTAAGGTGGTGAGCTTTTTCTTATCCTGAATGTTAGGAATATTGGAGCATTTCAAAATGCTTGTTTTATTAAAAATTTTTCCTCATATTGATTTCTATCTTGGAACAAAATGGAATGCATCAAAAATAGTCACAACTGAAACTGTAATGGAAACAATTTAATATTATTGAAGCAGAGGATGCTTCAGTGTATTCCAGTTCCTCAGGGTCATGATAATATTATCATGGATCTGTGTACTCACATATATCCTCTTGCCTCTACCATTATATGCCTCTTAAGAATCATTTATAGTATCTCAAATTCCTGAAATGAATCATTTTCTTCTTTACCTCTGGGTCTTTCCTTAGGCAAGATCCCTATTGGGAAAATTTCTTGAACTTTTTTTCTCTTTTCATTTAGCTACTTGTATTAGCATTTACTAGTCAATGTAAGTACAATATCTCTAGGATAATATCTTGACTTGCTAAAGCGTGGTTATATGCCCTTCCTATGTGCCACAGCACCTTTCTTACTTCTCATATTTTGCAGGAGTTAAGAAGGGCATTCCTCATCTGTGACGCAAATTCATTGCATTCTTTCTCAACTGAGTTTAGGTGGAGCCCCAGAATATTCTTTCTCTCTCTCTCTGTCTCTCTTTCTCTCTCCTTTTAAACAATCTTGTTAAGGTATAATTGACATACTATATATAGTTAAAGTGTATAATTTTATATGTTTCCACAAATGTGTACATCCATAAAATCAGAATCAAAATCAATATAATAAACATATCTATCAAACTCAAATGTTTCTCCATGCCCCTTGTAGTCCTTCTCTTTTGTGCCTCCCTACCCCTACTTTACCCAGCATTCATACAGTATATGCTCTTTTTATTCTTCTGGTTTCTTTTATTCATCACACTTATTTTAAGATGCATCCTTATTGTTGGGTGTTACCAATTGTTCCTTACTTTTTGTTGCTAAGTAAATTGGCTTATTCATTACACTGTTGATAGACATTTGAGTTGTTTTTAGTTTTGGGCTACTGAAAATAAAGTTTCTATGAACATTCATTTACAAATCTTTATATAAACATATGCATTAATTTATCTTAAATAACACGGAGTGGAATAGCTAATTTATACGGTAGGTACACATTAAGCTTTCTAAGAAACTGCCAAAGTGTTTTTCAGCGTGGTTAGACCCTTTTATGTTTCTGCCAGTAATATATAAAAGTTTCATTTACTCAGCACCCTTGCCAACACTTAATATGGTTATTTCTGTTGAATTTTAGACATTCTAATAGATGTGTAGTGGTATCTTACTATAGTTTCAATGTTAATTTTTCTACTAACTAATTATGTTGAGCATGGTATCTTACTATAGTTTCAATGTTAATTTTTCTACTAACTAATTATGTTGAGCAAGTTTTCATATGATGAATCCACCTATGTGTCTTTTTTGGTGGAATGTATTATCAAATCTTTTGCCCATGTTTTTCATTGGGGTTGCATGTTTTCTTTTGGTTGAATGTTAAGATTTCTTTATATATTCTTGATAGTCTTTATCAGATATATGACTTGAAAATAGTTTTCCTAGTCTGCCTTTTTTTTCATTCTTTTAGCAGCGACTTTTGAAGATCATTCATTTCTTCTTTTGATAAAGTCAAATTTTTTAATTCATTCTTTTATGAATTCTGCTTTTGATAAAATATCCAAATAATATTTGTCTAACCCAAAGTTACAAACATTTTGTCCTATGTTTACGTCTAGAAGTTATGTGGTGTTAGGTCTTACATATAGATCTATGATCCACTTCAAAGTTCATTTTCTTTTTTTTTTTTTTTTTTTTTTTTTTGAGATGGAGTCTCTTTCTGTCGCCAGCTTGGAGTGCAGTGGCACTATCTCGGCTTACTGCAATCTTCGACTCCCTGGTTCAAGTGATTCTCCTGCCTCAGTCTCCCGAGTAGCTGGGATTACAGGCATGCACCACCACACCCAGCTAATGTATTTTTAGTAGAGACGGGGTTTCACCATGTTGGCCAGGATGGTCTCGATCTCCTGACCTTGTGATCCAGCCCACCTCATCCTCCCAAAGTGCTGGGATTACAGGTATGAGCCACAGTGCGCAGCCTCAAAGTTCACTTTTACGTGGTATGGGTTCAAGTTCAATATTTTGTTTTTTTATTTTTTTGCATGTGGATATCTGTTTCAGTATTGTTGAAAAGACTATCTTTTCTCATCTGCTTGCACTTGTGTCTTTGTCTAAAGTCAACTGACCATATATGTGTAGATTATGTATAAATTTGTATTCTATTCCACTGAAGGTTGTTTATCTTGATGACAGTACCATAGAGACTTGACTATAGTAACTACACTATAGTCTTAAAAGTTGGTTGGTGAATTAAAGTCAATATTCAAATGTGTTTCTTCTTCACAAAGTTGTTTTGACTCTTCTAGGCCCTTTGAATTTCCATATTAATTTTCGATTCAACTTGTCAAGCTCTATAAAAAGCCTATGGAGATTTTGAAGGAATTGAATCTATAGATCAATTTAGAGAGAAATAACATCTTAACCTTTTTGAGTCTCCGAGTCCTTGATCATGATACATAGCATCATATATTAGGTCTTTGTAAGTTTGCTTCACAAGGTTTTTATTGTCTTTATTTTATAAGACTTGTACATCTTTTGCCAGATTTATACATATTTTATATTTTTGATGGTTCTGATTCTTTATTTAATTTCAACTTCCAGTTGTTCTTTGCTAGTATATAGAAACATGATTGATTTTTATACATAAATTATAGAATTTTCTGAAGATTCCATAGGATTTTCAATGTAAAGGATCATACTATCTGGTAATAGATATCTTTACATCTTTCTTTCTAATATGGATGTCATTTATTTCTTTTTCTTGATTTGTGGTACTGGCTAGTATCATAATTATAGTAGTTAGTGTAAGTGATGAGAATATGCATGCTTGCTGTGTTTCTTATATTAAAGATACAGCATTCAGTTTCATTAATAACTGTAATGTTAGGGGAAAGTTGTTTACAGATGCCATTTATCAATTGGAAGAAATTCTCTTCTATGTCTAGTATGCTGAGAAGCTTTATTGGGAATGGATATGGATTTTGGCAAAATTTTTTTATATTTATTGAGATGATCTTTTTTTCTGTTTTAGTCTCTTATTGTAATGAATTAAATGGATTGATTTTCAAATATTAAAACCCACCTCACATTTCTGGGATAAACTTGGTCATGATGAATTAACCATATTATATATCATTTGATTCAATTTTCTAAAATGTTAAGAAGTTTTGCATTTATTTTCATAAGGGATAGTGGTCTGTAATTTTCATTTTATTTAATATATTAGTCTGGTTTTAGTGTCAGCGTAATACTGGTCTCATAGAATAAATTGGGAGGCATTTGCTCCTTTTTGATTTTCTGAAATAGTTTGTTTAGAAGTTGCATTATTTTTTCTCTTTGTTTAGTAGAATTCCCCAGTGAAGACATTTCAGACTGGAGTTTTCCTTGTGTGAAGATTTTTAACAAACTAAATTCCTTTAATTGATATAGGGCTATTCAGGTCACCTATTTCTTTTTGCATGAGCTTTTTATAGTTTGTGTCTCAAAGGACTAGTCCATTTCATCTAAGTGTCCAATGTATTGCATAAAGTTATTCATAATATTCACTTATTACTCTTTTAATATTTGTAGAATCTGTAGTTGTCACTTATTTTATTCTTGATATTGGTAATTTATGTTGTTTTTTGCTTTCTCTCTTTTTTACCCTAATCCTTCCTGCTAGATGTTTGTCAGACTCATTGATCTCTTTAAAGAACCAGCTTTTGGTTTTGATGATTTTCTCTATTGCTTTGTTTTCTATTTAATTGATATCCACTTTGATATTCATTATTTCCTTTTTTCTACTTACTTTGGGTTTAATTTTCTTTCTTTCTTTTTTTTTTTTTTTAGTTCCTTCAGGTAGAAGTTTTTTCTTTTATACTAAACATATTCAGCACTATAGTATTTTTCTTTATCTGCTACTTTAGGCACATCTCTTTATTTTATTTTATTTTATTTTACTTTAAGTTCTGGGATACATGTAGGCACATCTCTTAAATGTTGATATGCAGTGTTTTCATTTTCGTCCAGTTCACAATGTTTTGACATCCCACTTTAGCTTTCTTCTTTTCCTTATAGTTTCTTTACAAGTGTGATATTTAGTTTCCAAATATTTGGGGATTTTCCAGCTATCTTTCTATTACTGAATTTATTAAAACTTCCTTTTTGGCCAGAATACAGTCTAACTTGGTAAATGTTTCATGTGTACTTGAAACTAATGCATTTTCTACTATGGTTGGGTGGAGTGTTCTATAAATGTCAAGTAGTAGCCGTTCAAGTTGGTTTATGTTTTTTCAAGTCTTCTGTGTCTTTATTGAAGATACAGATTTTCTGTCTACTTTTTCTATCAGTTATCATGGAGGAATGTTAAAATCTTTCATTTTAATTGTGAATTTGCTTATTACCCCTTGAAGTTTTGTCAAGGGTTTTCTTTCTGGTATTTTGAAGTTCTGTTATTAGGTGTAGAAATATTTTGAATTTTGTAATGCCATTTGATTAAGTAACCCCTGAACATTAAAAAATGACCCTCTATATCTTTGGTAATGTTTCTTTCCATGAGTTGTGTAATATGAATATAGTCATTCTAGCTTTCTTTGATAGCCTGGCGCTGGAGTTTGAATATGACTTGTCTCCACCAAAAGTCACATTGAAATTTGATCCCTAATGTGGTGGTATTGGGAGGTGGGCCCTAGTGGGAGATATGTGAGTCATGAGGGTGAATCTCTTGTGAATGGTTTGTTGCTGTTCTCACGGTAGTCTCTTGCAAGACTGAATTCATTCTTGTGGGACTGACGCTTTGAGAGCAGGTTGTTATAAAGCCTGGATGCCCCCTCAGGTTTTGCCTCTTCGCATATATCTACTTCCCCTTGACTTTCCCCACCATGTTGTGATGTAGCATGCTCAGCCCCTTCTGTGTGACACTCTGTGCTACCTCAGGACTCTACAGAGAGTTCCGCCGGCAAGAGGACCTCATTCTTGGAACTCTCAGCCTCCATAACTGTAAGAAATATTTTTTTTTTCTTTAGAGATAACCTAGTTTTGGATATTCTGTTATAAGAAACAGAAAACAGAGTAAGGTAGAAAACTGGTACCAGGAATGGAGTGTTGCTGTAAAAATACCTTAAAGTGTGGAAGTGGATTTCAAATTGGGTAATGAGCAAAGGTTGAAAGAGTTTGGAGGATTAGGCTTGAAAAAGGCTCTGTTTCCATGAACAGATCATTAAGGGTGATTGTGATGAGGACTCGGAAGAACACAAAAAAAAGAGGGAAAATTTGAAGCTTTTTAGAGATTAAATGGCTGTGACCAAAACATTGATAGAAACATAGACAGTAAAGGCCATTTTGATAAAGTCTTAGGTAGAAATGGAGAGTATTTATTTGAAAACTGAAGCAAAGGTCACCCTTGTTACATTGTAGCAAAATTTTTGGCTGCCTTGTGTTCACGCTGTAGGGCCCTGTGGAGGACTGAACTTAAGAGTGATGGACTAGGATATCTGGTGGAAGAAATTTCCAATAGCAAAGTCTCCAAGAAGTGGTATGGTTACTTTTCACTGCTCATGCTCAGTTATGGGAGCAAAGAAATGACCTAGAGGTAGAATTTATAATTAAAAGGGAAGCAGAGCATAAAAATTGGAGAAATGTTTAGCCTACCTATGGGGTAGAGAATGAAAAAGTGTTTTCAGAAGAGGAATCCAAGGGTGCAGTCAAGTGACTGCTTGTTACGTAATAGTGAAAACACTGAGAAAAAGGCCCTGACACCATTTCAAAGATTTTCCAGGCTGCCCCTCCCATCCAGGTCCTGATAAAATAGTTTTAGAGGACAGGCCTGAGGGACTGCTGCCCTGCATTGTTTCAGGACACTGCTTCTTGCATCCTAGCTGCTCTGGCTGAAGCAGCCATGTCTCCAGTGGCCCCAAGTGTGACCCAGGCTTCCACTTTGGAGCAGTCAGGTGGTAAGCTTTGGCAGCTTCTACAAGGTGTTAGGGCTGCAGGTGCCCAGAATGCAAAAGCCACAGAGGCTTGGCAGCCTCCACCTAGATTTCAGAGGTTGTATCAGAAAACTTGGGATACTAGGCCAAAACCTGCCTGAGGGGCAGAGCCACTACAGAGAATCCCCACTAGGACAATACCTAGTGGATCCATAGGTGTAGGCCACTACCAGACCCCAGAATGGTAGAGCCAGTGGCAGTATGTAACCCCAAATGGAAAAGTTATAGGCATTTGATTCCAATCTATGACAGCAGGCATGTGAGCTGTGCCTAGCAAAGCTGTCAGAGGCATTTGAACCAGAGTGACTCCATCTTAAATAGGGTAAAATAAGGCTGAGACCTACTGGGTTACATTCCTTGGAAGTTAAGGCATTTTCAGTCACACAATGAGATAGGAGGATGGCATGAGATACAGACTTTGCTGATAAAACAGGTTGCAGTAAAGAAGCTGGCTAAAGCCCACCAAAACCAAGATGGCGACAAAACTGACCTCTGGTCATTCTCACTGCTCATTACATGTATAATTATAATTCATGTAAATTGTAATCCATTAGCATGCTAAAAGACACTCCCACCAGTGCCATGACAGTTTACAGATGTCATGGCAATGTCAGGAAGTTACCCTATATGGTCTAAAAAGGGGAGGGATCCTCAGTTCTGGGAATTGCCCACCCCTTTCCTGGAAAACTCACAAATAATCCACCCCTTGTTTAGTATGTAATCAAGAAGGAACCATGAAAATGGACAACCAGCGGCATGCTTATGGAATAGCCATTTTTTAATTGCTTTACTCTCTTAATAAACTTGCTTTCACTTTACTCTATGGACTCCCCTTGAATTCTTTCTTGTGTGAGATCCAAGAACCTTGTCTTGGGGTCTGAATCAAGACTGCTTTCTGGTAACAAAGCCATGAGGTGGGACTGACTGCTTGAGGCCTTGGGAGTCCACCCCTCACACCAGTGCACCAAGGATGTGGGACGTGGAGTCAAAGATTATTTATGATCTTTAAGATTTAATGTCTGCTCCATCAGGTTTTTTATTTGCTTGGGGCCTGTTGTTAGTTTCTTTTGGATGACTTTTCCCTTTTGGAATGGGAATATTTACCAAATGTCTGTCTCACAATTGTGTCTTGGAAGTAAATAACTTTTATTTTACACTCAAAACTGGAAGGAGCTTGACCTGTCTCAGATGGGACTGATTTTGGCTTTTGTTTTGGTGCTAACACAAATTAGGACTTTGGGAGACTATTGGGAGGGAATGACTGTATTTTATATGAGAGATGGACATCAGTATTGAGGGGCCAGGAGTGGAATGCACTGGTTTATGTATGGTTTTTCGCCATCAGACTCAGGTTGAAATTTGATCCCCAATGTGAAGGTGTTGAGAGGTGGGGCCTAGTGGGAGGTATTTGAATCATGGGGGCAGATACTTCATAAATGTCTGGGTACAGTTCTTGTGGTAATGACTGAATTCTTGCTCTGGGAGATTGATTAGTTCTTACAGAAATGGATTAGTTCCACTGAGCATGTTTTGTTATAAAGTGAGGGTGCCCCTTAATTTTGCTTCTTCACATGTGTCCACTTCCTCTTTGACCTCCTCTGCCATGGCTTGACCCAGCACATGGACCTCACTAGATACCAACAATGTGCTTCTCATACTTCCCAGCCTGCAGAATTGTGATCTAAATAGACCTCTTTTCTTTATAAGTTACCCAGTCTCAAGTATTCTGTTATAGCAATACAGAACAGACTGAGACAATTATTATGTCTTTCTCTCCTTCTTACTTTAAATCTGTTTTTGTCTTTATATTTAAATTGGGTTTCTTGTAGGCAATGTATAGTTGAATTTTGCTTATTTTGTTGTTGTTTTCAAAATCCAGTCTATTGACTTCTAACTTTTTTGAACTGATGATAAAAATCTCCATATTTATTGTATGCAGCATGATGTTTTGTATACATAGTGGACTGACTAAATGAAGCTATTTAACATATGTATTATCTCACATGCTTATGATTTTTTTAGTGGATTACTTACAAATCCCAGAGAGAAGGGGTTAGCATACCTCACAGGATCAATGGGAAGTGGAGAGTCATCCAGGACATATGCATATTTAACCAGTGGCAGGGAAGCAGGGGAGAGAGAGAGCAAGGGACATGAGGGCCAAAACCTTTACTGGGCTGGGGCATTGCCCAAGCAGGTTTCTTATGGGGAAGTCTAATTGGTGGGTTCAGAGAAAGTAGGCACAAGTTCCATGGAGGGATGCTGAGACTTAGAGGTGGTCACTGTGGCATACCTGCACCGTGCGTGGGGTATTGTGGGGGTCACCAAGGTGAGTCAAGGATGAGTCTATATGACTCGTAGAGAGATGGTCATCAGGAAATGGTGGTATAAGGCAGATATCTGGTTCTAGCACACTGAAAAACTGGGAGGAGGTGGAGAACAGGAAAATGTGTCAAGAATGACTAATTCTTGCTTCTGGTTTGAGAAAGCTCAACTTATGTTCAAAATGTATATAGAATAAATTATGGTGATACATTATTATTGACTATATCACCACCATGTCATACAGTAGATCTATTGAACTTATTTCACTTGTCTCACTGAAGTGTTTTTTTTTTTTTTTTTTTTTTTCAGGGAGGGAAAGACAAAACATATTTATTCCAGGCCAGGTCTTAAAATGCATGCTGCATTGTTCCCTATTGTTATCGGCACCAACAAGGAGAGAACATGCCTTAATGGCACCTCCACCTGGAGCTTGCCATGTGGCTGCTGTGAGGCTCCCTGTGAGTCCATGCACTCTTCTTCCTCATTGGTGCAGTCAGTGAGGTTTTCTACCCTCATAGCAAAGGGATCCTTAACTATAAATTCACTGTGTGCAGAGAAGAGGACAGAATCTGATGCATTGATTGTTCCTCATTTAAACCATGACTTAATCCCTATCTCAGGATTTAACTATCCTTATTTTCTGGTTAAAATTTTTTTTAATAAAAGAAAGGGGGAGATTGGTAAGGGGCAAAAACAATAGAAATTACACCATACTGACACAGAGACTTTAAGTTC
The DNA here is from genome assembly GCF_000001405.40 of Homo sapiens. NCBI lineage: Eukaryota > Metazoa > Chordata > Mammalia > Primates > Hominidae > Homo > Homo sapiens. The sequence continues at coordinate 87,917,982 of NC_000011.10, forward strand.
TAGTCAGAGGGAAGACCCATATAGAGGGCCAACTGAAGTTTTGTGTCCTCTGACAAACACCTGCCCACTCCTCATGCCCCCCGCCCCCCAGCCTCAGGATGCCACCATTTTACTATCAGTTCAACTTTTTTACACTCCGTATATAAGTGAGATCATGTGGTACTTTTCTTTTTATGCTTGGCTTACCTCACTTAACACATCCTCCGGGTTCATTCATGTTGTCACAATGACAGAATTTCCTTCTTTGTATAGCTGAATAGTACTTCATCATGTATATATGCCACATATTCTTTATCCATTCATTCACTGATGAACACTTAGATTTATTTCATATCATGGCTATTATGAATAATGCTGCGATGAACGTGGGAATACAGATCTCTCTTCTACATACTGATTTCAAATTATTTGGATTTATAACCAGTAGTGAAATTACTGGATCATATAGTAGTTCTAATTTTTGAGGAACTTCCAAACTGTTTCCCATAATGATGTATTAATTTACATTCCCACCAACAGTGTACAAGGATTCTCTTTTCTCCATATCTTTGCCAATACTTCTTATCATTTGTCACATAAGACCAAAGCCATTTTACAGGTATTAGATGAATTTCACTGTGGTTTTCATATGTATTTCCCTGATGACTACTGGTGATCATTTTTTTCCATATACTTGTTGGCTGTTTCTACACCTTTTAAGAAATGTCTATTGCGGTATTTTTCCCATTTTTAAATCAAGTTATTGTTTTCTTTTTATGAGTTAAGTTTCAAATATGTTTAGAATATTAAGTCTTTATCAGATGTATGTTTTGCAAATATTTACTTCCATTCCATAGGTTGTCTCCTTACTCTAGTAATTGTTTCTTTTCCTGTGCAAGAGCTTTTGAGTTTGGTGTGATCCCATTTGTCTGTGTTTGCTTTTGTTGCTTGTGCTTTCTGGGTCACAGTAAAAAAAAAAAACATCATTGCCCAAAAACATGACATGAAGCTTTCCCCATATGTTTTCTTATACTGTATTTACAGTTTAGGTCTTTAATCAATTTTGATTTTTATAAGTGGTGAGGGATAAGGGTCTAATGTCATTCTTCTGTGTGTAGATATCCAGTTTTCCAACACCATTTATTAAATAGACTGCCTTTCCTCCAGTGCATTTTCTTGACATCATTGTCAAAAATGAAGTAGCTGTAAATGTGTGGATTTATTTCTCAGCTCTCTATTAAATTTTATTGGTCTATGCATCTGTTGAGTATGAGTTTAGCTATTAATTTTTTATATGGCCTTTATTGTGTTGTGGAACAGTTCTACTTAATTTGTTGTGAGTTTTTATCATGAAAGCATGTTAAATTTTATTGAATTTCTTTTCTTCATCTGTTGAGATTATCATAGTTTTTTTTTATTTTATTAATGTGATATATGGAATTTATTGATTTGCCTATATTAAACTGTTCTTGAATTCCAGGAATTAACCCCACTTGCTCATAGTGAATTATCCTTTTAATAAGCTGTTGAATTTGGTTTGCTATTATTTTGTTAAGAATTTTTAATCCATCATTTATCAGGGATGTTGGCCTGTAATTTTTTTTTTCCTTGTGGTGTCCTTGTCTGGCTTTGGTATTAGAGTAATGCCAGCTTTCTAAAATGAGTTGGGAAGCGTTCTTTCCTCTTCTGTTTTTCAGAAAAGTTTGAGAAAGACTGGTATTAGTTACTTAAATATTTGGTAGAATTCAGCATTGAAGCCATCTGGTCCTGAGATTTTTCTGTGATGGGAGAATTTTTATTATTGATTTACTATGCTCTTAACCATTATTGGTCTGTTCAGATTTTCTGTTTCTTCATGATTCAGTCATGGTGGATTTTATATGTCTAGGAATTTATTCATTTCATTTAACTTAAATTTGTTGGCATATAATTGTTTTAGTAGTCTCTTATGATACTTTAATAAAATTCACCTACCCTAAGTAAGTCTGACAAATGTATTTCTGTGGCATGGGTTGTTATGTCATTTCTTTCATTTCTCTTTTTATTTATTTGAGTCTTCTCCCTTTATTTGAGACTTCTCCCATAGTCTAGCTGTGGGTTTGTCAATTTTGCTTGTCTTTTCAAGGAAACAATCCTTAGTTTTGTTGATCTTTTCTATTGTTTTTATAATCTGTATTTTATTTATTTCTGCTCTGATCTTTATTATTTTCTTCCTTCTGCTAATTTTCAGCTCAGTTTATTCTTCTTTTTCTGTTTCTCTAAGGTTTAATGTTAGCTTATTTGGGATCTTTCTTCTTTTTTGATGTAGGAATTTATTATTATAATCTTCTCTCTTAGGACTGTTATTTTTATGCATCCCATAAGTTTTAAATGTTGTGTTTCCATTTTCTGCTCAAGATTAAAAAAAATTCTCTTTTGATTTATTCATTGACCAATTGGTTGTTTAGGAACACATTGTTCAATTTTCACATATTTGTGACTTTTTCTGATATTTTTCCTATTATTGAATTCTAATTTTAGACCATTGTGGTCAGGAAAGATACTTGATATGATTTCAATCTTCTTCAATTTGTTAGGGCTTATTTTGTGGTTTAATATATGATCTATTCTGGAGAATCGTTTGTGTGCAGTTGAATAGAATGTGTATTTTGCAGGTGTTGAATGCAGTATTTGTGTATGTCTATTAGGTCCATTTGGTCTAAAGTACAGTTTAAGTTTAACATTTTCCTACAGATTTTCTCTCTGGATGATCTGTCCATTACTGAACATGGGGTATTGAATTACTGCATATTATTGTATTGTAGTCTATTTCTCCCTTCAGATCTATTAATCATTGCTTTTTATATTTTGGTACTTCCATGTTGGGTGAACATGTATTTGCAGTTGTTGCATTTCCTTGATGAATTGATTCCTTTATCATTGTTTTAGTACATATTATATAAATATAGCAGAACACCACATATTGGGTAATCTATAATTAGAGATTTACTGGCTCGCAGTTCTGGTGGCTGTAAAGTCCAAGACCAAGGGGCTGGCATCTGGCAAGGGCCTTCTTGATGCATCATAACAGGACAGAAGGCATCACATGGTGAAAAGACAGAATGAACAAGAGGGGGTAAACCCACTCTGACAATAGGGAACCCATTCCTGTGATAATGGCATTAATGTATTCATGAGGACTGCTATGTATAACTACAGACAGTTTCTGACTTATGATGGTTTGACTTTAAAATGTGTAAACTTTATGATGGTGTGAAAGCAATCCATATTAAGTAGAAACGATACTTTGAATTTCGATCATTTCCTGGGCTAGTGATACTCTCCTGTGTTCCTGGGGAGTGGCAATAAGCCATAGCTCCCAGTCGTTCAGCCATGGGATAAGGGTAAACAGCCAATACACTACAGTGTACTGTGTTACCAGATGATTTCGCCCAACCGTAGGCTTATATGAGTGTTCTGAGCATGTTCAAGGTAGGCTCGGCTAAGCTATGATGTTTAGTAAGTTAGGCATATTAAATGCATTTTTGACATGATATTTTCAGCTTATGGGTTTATTGAGAAATAATTTCATTGTAAATCTCTCTCTATATATAAAATATTATATATAATATATATTATATATATACACATTTAGATATGACAACATTACTCTCTCTGTACTTCAGGTACCTTTTGACTCTTTTCTCTTTTACCAGCTGTAAGCTTCTTGAGCTTAGAGATTGGTATTATTCATCCTTGCATCCCCAGGTCCTAGTATGTGCCTGGCACATAGTAAGCACTCAGGAAAAGTTTTAAATGAATAACTGAGTAAAAATATTGGTTGGTAGAGCCTTTTTTTTTCTCAGATAGCAGCTAGTTTATTTCAACAAAACTGTAAGTCCCATTTTGAAGCAGCACATTGGATAAAAATGATTAAAGAGATGATCTAGTCTTCTAAGCAATGAAACACATGAGCATAGGACTGTACTTGAGCAAAATCAGGATTCTGCCAACCACAAGGAAGGAGAAAAATGGTAGGCAGGTAGACAGATAAGTAATAAGTATTCTCAAAAGCACCTGTACCCTTTGTTCTGAAGAGAATGTTTTAAACATATACCAAGTGAGAATTTTAAATAGTGTTTTAGACTGGTTTCATGACAGCGTCTAACTTATATGACTGTAAATATTTCCAGAACACAATAAACTCCACTTCCATCCCAAGATGCTTCATGCAGTGTGTCACTTTGGATGGTAATTATATTGCATTAGGGAGACAGATTGTGCAGCCTCAAAAGGGAAAGACTATACTGGTAAATCTGTCATCCACCCCCACAATGCACACCCTCTAACGAGGAGAATTCTATTATTTCTGGACCATCTTTATTTCACATTTATTAATTAAAAAATACAAGCTACTGGAGCAGAGTAACTCCTAAGTAGAAAGCACTGTTTTTGTTTCAATCATGGAGATCTAGTTTTTGTTTTTCCTCTGTGGGAATATTTTTAAATACAGAATTTTCCTACTTATTTCTTTTCACCCTTTTAAGACAGGGCAATGCTTAATTACCTGTCATATTCATATTTGACAAGTCATTCAAATTTTCCAAGCCTCATTTTTCTCACCTGAAAAAAATATATATAATTGAGTCATCTTATGGAGATTTTCCCTCTTAAAATAAAGGAGCCAAATTATTTTTACACTGCAAAACACTGAGCAAATTTTCAGTATGAGGTTTGTGGTACATGGAAATGTGGTAGTTATTTATTTTTTTATGCCAACAACTTTATACAGTGACTGGAACATGTTGACACTCAGTACATATTTTAAAGGAATAAAATAAATAAGAAAGGAGGAAAGATGGAAGCAAGAGTAAGGGAAAAGGGAGGGAGGGGAGGAAAAGACAGCGGAAACAGAGAGGAGGAATAAAGGAAGAAAAATGGATGGGAGATGGAAGGGGGAAGGGAGGAAGGGAGGGAGGAAAAAAGAAAAGGGAATCAGAAGGAGAGAGAGAAGGAAAAAGTAAGGAAGGAAGGAAGGAGAAAATAAAAGAATAGGGGAACAAGGAAAGGGAGGAATAACTATGACTGTTATGTAATTAGTTGATTAATTTTGACTTTGACCTGTATATAACAACAACTGATTTAATCATGGTAGCTGTTCTGTTCTCCTCCAAATAAGGTAAGTATATTTTTCAAAGTGATTAATGTTACATGAAGTTTAAACATGGTGGTCCTGCGTTGGGGTGGTTGAAGTAGTTATATTTGCTACTTTGTTAGTATTAGTATTAATATTACCACCTTTGAAAATGAAACCGGAAAGAGACGGTTTCATTTCCAAATGCAATAGCTAAGTGGAAATGCTAGAGAAGACGCATTCATTAAAGGGATTGCCCTTTTTTTCCTACTTTTTAGAGAATTTATTCAAAAAACAGCAGGATACTTTTTAAATATTCTTAGATTCTTAGTCTTAAATTGGAAATAATTTATTTATTTATTTTGTCCTTAAGCATAAACTTGATTCATTAGTAGGGACACACAAACAAACATAATTAGTACTAGAGAATAGAAGGTATTTGTATCTTGCTCCAATGTAAGAGTCAATTAATTCTGTGTGTGTGTGTGTGTGTGTGTGTGTGCATGTGTGTGTGTGTGGCAGCTTTTTGACAATCTAATGCAGATACATTTTTTAAAAGATGGTGATATTATTCCTCATGTAAACAAATAATTCTGAGGTTGTTTTAGGAAAGAAGAAGTCGGTGCTTTGGATGCATTTAATGATAGCATTACTAATCATCACTACCATTAATTAAGCACCTGCTCTGAGCAAGGCACTGCACAGATGCTGGCTCATTTAATTCTTATGGGAACACTGTGAAGGTAGCATTTGCATCACAGTTTTGTAGTTGAGGAATCATCGACCCAGAGAGAATAGTTAACATTTCAAAAATACTAGTTGATGGCTTTCCTCATTATGTCCACCTCTCCAAGGTCAGAGAGTGACTGAAGATCAAAGAGAAAATTGAAAAAAAAAAAAACACATTTCTAAGCCCTCTTTCATCTCAGAGAAACAACAAAAAGCTGAAGTAAATACAGACACACACACACACACACAACATTTTAAATAAGACACTTGGCATTGTTCTAAGTTCTTTGCTAAAGTATTTCTGCAAATCCCCTAACACACCTGTAAGAAGGACACTATTTTCCTTATGTGACTGATGAGAGAAGGAAAGTCTGGGAGGTTAACTTGCTTCCCCAATTTGGCAAGTAATGGAATCTGTATTTGAACTCAAAATGCACATACATGCCTTGGAAGTCGGTAAGTAAGGCTGTGCCCCTTTCCCAGGTCACACTGACCTTCACCTGCAGTGCAAAAACACTTTACAAGCACAGGATACTTAAAGTGATACAAAGACAAACAAGACATAGCCTTGAACTCAGAGAACAAAATCTCAGAAAATATCTCAGCTGATGCAACATGAGGAAGTGTGAGATGGTTTGCAAAATAGTCCTTGGAGGTCATAAACTGAAATATTAACTGGTGACCTTTTTTCTGTTGAGTAAATTTTTGATGGAGAAAGGGCCTTCTAGCACCTTGGTGGGAGACGACCTTATTATGATGGAGGAGACCCTCACTCTACTTCACCAGGCAACAGATTTTGAAAGGTGAAAGTAAGCCTTTCTCTACTTTGCAGGAAAGGTGGCATGTTGCATACACACTTTGAGATAACTCTTATAACAGATCTGTGGGATGGTAACTCTTTTTTTCCCTTTTACAAGTGAGAAAACTGAGGCTTGAGAAGACGAAGGGTTCACCTTGGGTCATACAGGTAGGAAGTGGTGGAGGCAAGGCTCAAACCAATGCCTACCTTATTCCAAAGATCCAGTTTTTCCACTGCATCTCATTGCCTCTCATTGTGTATACAAATGTGTGTTGTGTGTATGTGTGTGAGTGCGCATGTGCAAACAAATGGACATATCTTGTGGCTCCTGAAGCCTGCTTTTATATTTGCATTTCTTTTCTCCTTTTCCTCTTCCAGGATAGCATGTGCACACTAGGTAAACGAGGGAGGTTGGTGTGCTCAGTGGTAGGGATGGTGATGTCTTGAACCAGGGAGAGTAAAGAAGGCCTGTGGCTAGTAGAAGCTCTTCTCTCTCACTGGCAATACTAGAAAACCAGAACAAGGGTTATAGTTCCTGCCTTGAGCATCCACCAAACCTGACTTCACTATTTCCTAGATCTGAGTATACTGAAAAGTTAAAATGGAGTTCAGCTTAGAACCTCTTACTTGGTGTAAGTCATAAATACTTAGTTTTCAAAGACTTAATTCAAACGCCAATTCTTCTAAAAAGTTTCTCTTATCACCTGCCCAATTAATGCTAACTTAAGGAATTTATTTTTCTACGAATATTTACCAAGTAGCTACCATGTACCAGGCATTGTGCTAAGCATCTGTGTTAGGGTTAGGGTTAGGGTTAGGCACATCGACGATCATTTTACACTATAATTGTTTTTCTAAGGATCTGTACCATAAACTAACAAGGACAGTTGTTTATCTGCTCAATATTCCTAGCTTTTGGCATGGTTTGCACATAGAGTAAGTATATAATAAAGGTATGTTTAATGAAGGTATTCAGGGAAGAACTGATTATTTCAAATGGAAATCATCTTGGCTGGTTATAGGGTGAGGGAAATCAAAGGTTGAGCTGATCATTTTACAAGTCCCAAGAGGTGATCTCACACTTCCTTGAGGGGACCAGTGGGCAAATGTTATAGAAGGCAGATGACTGCAAAAATAAAGGTAGTACTTTCTTTCTATGAAGTTATCCAATTATAGGATGGGCTGTCTGTTGAGGTAATGTGCTTCTTATAAGTGGCATTTAAGCAAACTATAAAGCCTTTGTCTATCTGGAGTGATCTGGAAGGGTTTTCCACATTGATTTTGACACGAACTCATCTAAGGCTTCTTCTAACATTGATACCTGCCACGCTACGATCAGGAAGTCTTTACGGAGGGAACAGCAATGTCTTAGTGAAGCAGGAGAGGATGGTTCATGTCAGAATGCCCCTCTACCTCTACCAATTCAAATCCTACTCATTTACCCTTTGTGCTGCACCGAGAGACAGCCACTCTGTTAATGGCCTATGCTTGAGTGTTAGCACGGAGTTAGTTCATCATTCATGGATAATGAGCAGAGAGGTCCGACCAATGAAAGAATCGCCACTACCCTCTTTGACTGTCATGATTGTCAACCTTATGATTTTACCCTCAGGTCCTTTTTGGCCTAGTTTCTCTTTCACATCTCTGCTTCAAAAGCTTCAAACCTATGTTCCTGACTGAATTTCAGAAAAGTTATTACCTTCCCTAAAATTAAAAAAATAATAAAAATTACCAAACTATTGTCAATTAAAATGTAGTAGTAAAGTTCTGACCCTGAAGCTAGATCACTTCACTCAGCCATCGACTTCCGGAAAGTGAGCTCACCTTTCTGTGCCTCATCTGTAAAATGAGAACACTGAATCACTCAGGAATTTCCTTACTCTAATTCTAAATAAGTCAAATGGTGGTTTTTTTGTTTGTTTGTTTGTTTGTTTGTTTGCATTCTCAGTCCCAAAGAATTTACCTATTGAGAATGGTAATATATGGAAGCTTGAGTCCCCAAGAGAGTTGCTATGTCATTGTAGATAATTCTAAATGAAGAGGAAGAGAGGCAAACTAAGCTGGCAGGTGACAGTCTGGGGCTGGTGCTGCTAAGGAGTTGAGCTTTATTACTCAAGGATGAGCAAGAGCAGACTTTCCTCACAGGACCTGACCGGCTAATCTGTGAAGGATGACTCATTCATCAATGCTGAAGATGACCGCAGCACTGAGCTGCAGCTCTGTCTTCCACCAGGCTTCCTTTGCACAACGTCACCCAATTTCCCAGGAAACCCTGGCTAGGCTAGTTTGTTTTGATGCATTCTAGAATAGCAACAGTGGTAGAAACAGTGGAGGAGATGGATCCAACAGTTCAGAGAGTCAACTCAGAAGAGAGGAGACAAGGAACATGATGACATGTGGACTTGCATCTGTATGATAAAGTAAAGATTTTGGTTGTACTGTTTCAACTGCTATTCTTCATACTCATTTATCGCAGGAGGCTTATAAAGAATAACTGCAGGTGGTGACTGCTCAGAAAGAGGCGTCCCACTAAAAATACAATTTGGGATGTGAATCTACTTGTCAGTATAAATAGACTTGCAGTGTTTTCAATGATCCATACCTGGCTGTGAGCTACCTGCAGGTAGGGATTATATTAAATATATTCCTACACCCCAGTATTCAGAAGGGAGCATTAACAGAGCTGGTGCTCAATATAGGCTTGATAAATAAAAGAAAAATTTAGAATCATTTTTGTTTTAAGGCAGTTGGATTATAAATGAGTTTCTTTCTTTTCAGGAGTACCCATAATATTGTATACTGCTTTTCACTTGGAGGTGAGTTACCTTCAGTTGACTTACCTCCTGAACAGAGTTCTCTAAACAGAACCTTCTCCTTTGTTAAATTGCCAATCCACATACTCGTCTCTTAACCATACTGTATACATGACATAGTACTCATACCATCCAATCTAAGAAGCCTTCCTCCTATCCCTGGGGAAATCACCCTCTCTCTTTCTTAATTTCTAGTATAACCTAGTATACTAGTATAACTAGTATACTAGAAATTAAGGAAGAATACTAGATTTAAAATTGTCTTCAAATCCCTTTCTGCCTCTCACTTGTTGTCAGCCTTAGGCAAGTTACTTAACTTTTCTCTGCTTGTTTTCTGATCTGCAACATAGGGATACTAACAAAGGCTATTGGCGGAGCAAGATGGCTCATGCCTATAATCCCAGCACTTTAGGAGGCTGAGGCAGGAGGATCATTTGAGCCCAGGAGTTCCAGACCGGCCTGGGCAACATAGTGAGACCTGTCTCTACACAACATAAACAATTTGAAAAAAGAAATAGCTAGGTGTGGTTGTGCAAACCTTTAGTTTCAGGTACTCGGGAGGCTGAGGTGGGAGGATTGCTTGAGCCCAGGAGGTTGAGGCTGCAGTGAGCTATGATTGTATCACTGCATTCCAGCCTATGCAACAGAGCAAGACCCTGAAAAAAATAAGAAAACAGAAAAGACAAGAAAAGAAAGAAAGAAAGAAGGAAGAGAGAGAAACTATCATGGTTTTCCAGTTGGGCTAAATGAGTCAGTACATGTACTTATCAAATGGTAAGTGTTCAATAACTTTTAACTATTAGTAGTATTTTCCCTCTTTCATGTTGTACTTTTAATAACAAATTACTTCTTGTATTTTAATAAAACTAATTTATCAGTTTATTCTAAGATGAGTTATATAAAATGAAAACCCTGGGGAGAGTCTCCACATCTGATCATGTGTTCTTAAAATAAATGAAAAAATGGAAAGTTCTTTTAATTCAGTCTCCCCATGATATATACCTCTTATAACAAGATGATATTGAGTCATCCTTATTGTGTATGATTTTCATAACTATTAAAGATATCTTAAAATGCATTTAAATGTAAATAATTAAAATTTTAAGTAAAATGTTGAGACAAACTGCCGAGGTTTTTTTTAAGTGAACAAAAGTAGATCAAAGGGTAAAAATACATAACGATATAAAAAAATTCCACTGTTTGTTAAAACACTGTCAACACAATAGTTAATAGAAACATAAAAATGAGAAGGATGAATTTTAGATGAATTTGCTTTCAAAAAGCAAATGGTCCTATTTTCAAATAGAACCACAAAGAATTGTATAAACACTCAGTTTCTTAATATGAAAATAAAAAGAATAAGTAACACTAAATCACTCATTACTCTACTATTTTTTGAATTATATAAGAAAAAAGTAGGCCAGGTGCAGTGGCTCACACCTGTAATCCCAACACTTTGGGAGGCCAACGCAGGCGGATCATTTGAGATCAGGAGTTCAAGACCAGCCTGACCAACATGGTGAAACCCTATCTCTACTAAAAATACAAAAAATAGCTGTGTGTGGTCGTGTATACCTGTAATTTCAGCTACTCAAGAGATTGAAGCATGAGAATCTCTTGAATTCAGGAAGTAGAGGTGGCAGTGAGCCAAGATCACAACACTGCCCTCCAGCCTGGGCAACAAAGCGAGACTCTGTCTCAAAAAAAACAAGAAAAAAAGTAAAAGCTCTTCATCCCTATTCATTCAAGTCTATCCTGTAGAGGTAAATACTGTTAACAATTTGGTAGGCTTCCTTCCTGATCTTTTTCTCATTCATATTAATCTGTTGTATTCAGTTAACTAGTTAGTAAAAACAGAGTGCTATACTTATTGTAACCCCCTCTTTCCTTTTAACAGTTTAGCATGGGCATCTTTTCATGTACATATGTTTATCTCATTCCTTTTTTTTTTCCAGCCCAATATTCCCATAGAAATTAAATTTCATTCTTATTAAAGGTTTCACCCTATTTCCTGGTGTGGATATACCCTAATTATTTAAGTCAGTCTGAATGGGAGTTGAATTTTAGGGTTGTATTTCAAATAATCATTTGGAAAATTATTTTAGCTACAGTTTATTTTAGCTACATTAATTTTGATTCTTTTTTTTGGTTTTTTTTTTTAAGGTATACTTTAAGTTTTAGGGTACATGTATACAACGTGCAGGTTAGTTACATATGTATACATGTGCCATGTTGGTGTGCTGCACCCATTAAGTCGTCATTTAACATTAGGTATATCTCCTAATGCTATCCTTCCCCCCTCCCCCCACCCCACAACAGGCCCCGGTGTGTGACGTTCCCCTTCCTGTGTCCATGTGTTCTCATTGTTCAATTCCCACCTATGAGTGAGAACATGCGGTGTTTGATTTTTTGTCCTTGCGATAGTTTGCTGAGAATGATGGTTTCCAGCTTCATCCATGTCCCTACAAAGGACATGAACTCATCATTTTTTATGGCTGCATAGTATTCCATGGTGTATATATGCCACATTTTCTTAATCCAGTCTATCATTGTTGGACATTTGGCTAGGTTCCAAGTCTTTGCTATTGTGAATAGTGCCGCAATAAACATACGTGTGCACGTGTCTTTATAGCAGCATGATTTATAATCCTTTGGGTATATACCCAGTAATGGGATGGCTGGGTCAAATGGTATTTCTAGTTCTAGATCCCTGAGGAATCGCCACACTGACTTCCACAATGGTTGAACTAGTTTACAGTCCCACCAACAGTGTAAAAGTGTTCCTATTTCTCCACATCCTCTCCAGCATCTGTTGTTTCCCGACTTTTTAATGATCGCCATTCTAACTGGTGTGAGATGGTATCTCATTGTGGTTTTGATTTGCATTTCTCTGTTGGCCAGTGATGATGAGTATTTTTTCATGTGTCTTTTGGTTGCATAAATGTCTTCTTTTGAGAAGTGTCTGTTCATATCCTTCGCCCACTGGTTGATGGGGTTGTTTGTTTTTTTCTTGTAAATTTGTTTGAGTTCATTGTAGATTCTGGATATTAGCCCTTTGTCAGATGAGTAGATTGCAAAAATTTTCTCCCATTCTCTAGGTTGCCTGTTCACTCTGATGGTACTTTCTTTTGCTGTGCAGAAACTCTTTAGTTTAATTAGATCCCATTTGTCAATTTTGGCTTTTGTTGCCATTGCTTTTGGTGATTTAGACATGAAGCATTTGACCATGCCTATGTCCTGAATGGTATTGCCTAGGTTTTCTTCTAGGGTTTTAATGGTTTGAGGTCCAATGTTTAAGTCTTTAATCCATCTTGAATTAATTTTTGTACAAGGTATAAGGAAGGGATCCAGTTTCAGCTTTCTATATATGGCTAGCCAGTTTTCCCAGCACCATTTATTAAATAGGGAATCCTTTCCCCATTTCTTGTTTTTGTCAGGTTTGTCAAAGTCAGATGGTTGTAGATATGTGGCATTATTTCTGAGGGCTCTGTTCTGTTCCATTGGTCTATATCTCTGTTTTGGTACCAGTACCATGCTGTTTTGGTTACTGTAGCCTTGTAGCATAGTTTGAAGTCAGGTAGCGTGATGCCTCCAGCTTTGTTCTTTTGGCTTAGGATTGACTTGGCAATGCGGGTTCTTTTTTGGTCCCATAGAACTTTAAAGTAGTTGTTTCCAATTCTGTGAAGAAAGTCATTGTTAGCTTGATGGGGATGGCATTGAATCTATAAATTACCTTGGGCAGTATGGCCATTTTCACGATATTGATTCTTCCTACCCATGAGCATGGAATGTTCTTCCATTTTGGATAATAAACTCAAGATAATCTTTAAAGGCAGAAATAATACTAAAAGATAAGCTATTATGGAAGGAAGGAAGATAGATGCAAGTTGGTTTGGGTTGTCTATTTTTGTTTGAGGCCCTTTCATCATACCTACTGTCATCCTTATTGCAAGTACGAGAAGAAAGAATTCCATATAAGATGAGAAGGTGTAGACAGCTCCACTCAGGCTGATGCTTTGCACTAGGTTGGGAAATGTGTCTACTTTTGCTTGGGAGGGATCCAGAGCAGGGAGGCAATTACCAGGAGTAGGACTGAGAAATCACTTGTTCTTTCAGAGGCCACTGGCCACCAGGTACCATATGGCTGCTTCCATGTTGTGAATTCCCTGAACACCAGGCACACTGGCATTCAAATGTCAGAACAGAACAATTTTCAAAACCAAGCAAATTATATTTGGATTACCCATAATATCAGTTCCTTCTGTTAGCTTTGATGATTCAGAGAGAATATATGTGTTAAATTAACAAGTGTATTAAGAACTTTTGACATCTGTAAACTTTTCCTTAGCTGGTACACCAAATGCCTCTATAATTCTTGCCTACAATCTGTGTGTTTAAGTGTGGACAAGAACAAAATGAGATGAATGTGTGTTCTCTGACTAACGAAGCAGCACCTCCATTTACTGTAAGCAGAAGGGGCCAGGGAGTAAAGGAGAAAGGAGGATATTTGGACAATGCACAGGAGGGGTGGGGTGGGGTGGTGAGGGAGAATGGCAGGCTCCTGGATCATCATGATCCAGGATTTTGGTGCTGCTTCTGAGGATGAAATTGTTTGCTCTCTCCATGTCCCAGTTCCAGGTCCCTAGGTTTGAACACCATGTCCACCCCAAGCCTACCAGCTATAGCCAGGGAGATTAGCTAAATAAGAGATTCAAGGGGGGCAAGGGGAGGGAGAACATTAGGACAAATACCTAATGCATGCTGGGCTTGAAACCTACATGAGAGGTTGATAGGTACAGCAAACCACCATGGCACATGTATACCTATGTAACAAACCTGCACGTTCTGCACATGTATCCCAGAACTTAAAGTAAAATTTTTAAAAAAAGAGAGAGAGATTCAGGCTGAGAAGCAACAACTTAAGAGTTGTTGAGGACAGAGTTTTGTGCCACCAGAAGGGAGAGAAAAACCTGGAACATGGCAGAAAGGCATCATGAAGAGAAGTTTGTGCAGGGGTTTCTAACATGTCTGGGTAGCATGGTGACTCTGCATGCTTAGTTCTCTATAAGCATAACCAAGCTGTCACAACAGTTTCCTTCTATCATCTCACCAAATCTCTTCTGAACTTCCTTTAGTTCTTCTAATGGATTTTTGCCCAGAAAAATAAGATACATCTCACTTAGATCCTAGTGTAATCAGCCTCCCATGAAAAACCCAACAAAACAATTTCTCAAAGCTTGCTCTCTGCTGTGTTAGATAAGCATTTAGATCCCATCTACAAGCATCCTCTTCTCCCCATCCTTTTGTGTAAGTACAGCTGCAGCTAGTTGTCCAGTGTGTAGGCAAAAACCACCTGACTCATCTACTCATACCTTAATGGCAGCTGTGTCCCAGGCTTCAAACTGTACTGGTTACTCAGATCTTCTAAATTGGGCATTCCTAATTCTAGAATCAGCAGCAAAGGGACCTAGGGACAGGTCATATTATTGAAATTTTATTTTCTTAATTTAGAGTCAAGTCATCTTGGTTGCAGTTATGAGAACACAGAATCCACAGTCTGCTAAGTTATATTTTCTGAAGAGCCCTATCAATGACCTTAAAAAGACAACAGCACCATCTGTTATGCACCACCCACAATATCACGTATGGAGGTTCATCTTAGAACAAAGATGAATCCTCAGTGAATACAGCAAGAAATAAACTGACTCAAGTTCCAGATTAGCCAGGCAACTGCTAGGTGTTTTGAAAGCAGAGAAGCCAAATCAGAGATATGAAAAGAAATTAGTACTCAGGTAGAGATGCTACAACATGGCTTTATAACAGAAATAACATATAGTGGGCTTTTTGTTGTTGTTGTTTCCCCAGATCCATTCCTTTTTGTAGCACTGGTATCCTCATTTTCCTCTGAGCCGTTCCTTGCCCACTCCCATCTCATATTTTTCAGGTAAAGTTGATTTCACTCACAGAATACATGAGTAGAACATGTGTTCTGGTCCAGCTTAGTTACCTCATTCTATCCTGTTTGACTCAGTGCAGTTTAAAAATGGGCACATGTCTCAAAGTAGGTCTGCCAGAGAAGGCACAACCTGAAGACTTAAGCTTTCAGAAAAACAAACTCTCAACTGCTAGACAGGAATGAGATTCTGTAAATGTGAAGCTTCCTTGGTGTCTCTGGGCAGAATTGAGAACTGAAGTAGCTCTGAGGAAACAGCCAAGAGGTGGATAACATTTTTTGAGCTGGGAATCAATTCATACTTAAAAAGAAGCCTAGATTTTTCAGTTTGCATGGAGCCAAAAAAAAAAAAAAATTCCCTTTAGCATAAGCAGATCCACCAATGGCAAGACGGGAAGTCCTACCTACATTGGCATTTTCCAATTTAGGAAATATTAGCTGAAACACCTTTCTCTACCCAAGCTTCTCTGCCTTGTTGAGAAGTTGAGAAGCAACAACTTAAGAGTTCTTGAGGACGGAGTTTGCTGCCACCAGAAGGCAGAGAAAAACCTGGAACATGGCAGAAAGGCATCATGAAGAGAAGTTTGTGCAGGGGTTTCTACCACGTCTGGGTAGGGTGGTCCTTTCTTAGTCTGGGGTTTCTACCATGTCTGGGTAGGGTGTTCCTTTCAAGTCCTTTCTTACACAGCCAATAACCTTCCAGCATCTCCCTGAATTAATCCGTGATTGTCCTGGACCACTCAGTGAAGCACTTCAGTATAATCAGCCTTTTTATAGAGGTCTTCCAAGTTAAACTGAAATCTGGATGTGTATCTCAATTACAAATAACATGCCTGTGTGCTTGAAACAGACACTGCAATGACTAAAAGGTAAATCCATGAAATAGGGGCCTATTTATTACCTACAGAAGCACCATTTAAGACACAATTGAAGTTTCAACTTGATTCTTTCTAACTTTCGATCCCCCTTTGGTATGATAATTATACATTTTCTAGTAAAATTATTTCTGCCATGTCATCATAACAGATTGGATTAAAAGACAAATAAATGAATTATATGCTAACCTCATAGGTAGCCTGGCAGAAAATCCACCCAAAAGTGTTATTTTATACCTAGTGGCAAAAAGTTGACCCAGTTGAATTTATTATTTGGGAAAACATAAATGTCATGTTAACATAAAAGGCTATTGATTTGAGGCAGTACTCTCGTGCAATGCTAAATTACTTTCCTAGTTCTGCCTGTGGTCAGTCTCAAAGGAAGTGAAGCTTTCAGTCTGTACATCTTCCAAGCCTACCACTTGTCTCCATCTGTGCTTATAAAAATCTTGCACTCATGAATATTATTTATATGAGTATAATATTAAAGTCTGATCAGGAAAAAAGAAACCATCTGAGGTATTTAACAGAAAAAAATACAAAGGTTTGGTTTAAAATACATTAGGGAATAGAAAAGATGAAAAAGGAATGTTAAGGTAACACTGAGGTAGCAGTTGCAGCAAACAGCTACAATGGGAAGAGATGGGGCAGCGATGAGATGGGATAACAAAGAGAAGAGTTTGGAGATATTGGAATGTAGAAGCTTGAGGAAGAGACTGTGTGGAGCCTGGAAACAGTGTCCTGTGGCCACGGTGTAGAGCCCTTGCCAGGCTAATGCTGGTAGAAACTGCAAGCACTTCGGGAAGGGCGGGTCTCTCCTCCCTTCTTCTTGTCTTCCAGTCTCCTTCAAGGGGACACAAACCAAAAAGCTGTTCTAGAAGATTTGGAGAAATTAAGGGTTGCTATATGACAAGTTACTGAAAGTTAAATATTAGATATCCTTTTAAAAAACGTCTCCTCAGTCATTTCATCCATGTGAAAATCCTCTTTGGCCTTATTTTGAGGGGGCTCTTCCAATATGCTCCTGATCCTTTGATTTTGAACTTCCACACATCTTCCCCCTTTTCTTCATTTCCTGATCCCTTTACTGTTTCTCTCCTGGGATTCCCCTAATGATTCAAAATTATTATTTTCTATAATTCAACCCTCTTCACCCCCATCCTTTCTCATTTCAGACCATGCCCTTCAGAAGACTTCTTTTTCACACAGATTTCTGTAGAGTTTGTTATTCTGTCCTGAGATTAATTTTGTTCCTTTTTTGGAATAAGAACCAGTTACAGTTAATTATTATTTTTATTATTATTTTATTTTGAATTAATTATAGATTCACATGAAGTTGTAAGAAATAATGCAGATAGGTCCAGTGTAGCCTTACTGTTTTCCCCAGTGGTAACCTCTTGAAAACTTATAGTACAATACAATCAAGATGTTGACATGGATATAGCCAAGATTTAGAACATTTCCATTACCATAAGGATCTCTCTTGTCCTTTTATAGTCACACCCACTCCCCACCCCTACTCCCTGCATCCATGAACCTGTTCTTCATTTTATAATTTTGTCATTTGAAGAATGATATGTAAATAGAATGAAACATTATGCACTCCACTTAGAATTGATTTTTATTCACTCAGAGTGGTTTTAATTTACACTTTAATAGCTAATGATGTTTTATATCGTTCATGTGCTTATTTGCTATCTGTATCTTGGTGAAATGTCTCTTTATGTCTTGTGCCCATGTTCTAATTGAATTGTTTGCTATTTGTTTTATTTGCTGTTGAGTTTTGAGAATTCTTTATTATAAACACTAGTTCTTTGTAGGTTGCAAATATATTTTCCTCTGTAGTTTCTCTTTTCATCTTCTCAGTAGGTTCTTTTGTAGAACAAATTTTAAAAATATTCATGAAGTCCAAATTATCAATTTTTTTCTTTTATGGATCGTGCTTTTGGTGTCAAGTCTATAAACTCTTTGCCTAGTTAGACTTACAAGATTTTTTCTTATGTTTTTATTCTAAAAGCTTGATAGTTACATATTTTATATGTAAGCCCAAGTTCCATTTTGAATTAATGTAGAAGGTGTGAGACAGGCCAAGCTTTATTTTTATTTATTTATTATTTATTGGATGTCCAATTGTTCCAACATCATTTATTGAAAAAGTAATCTTTCCTCCATTAAATTGCTTTTGCACCTTTGTCAAAATATCAGTTGGGTACATTTGTATGGAAATACTTCTGGGTTCTTCTGTTCCATTGATTTATGTGCCTACCCCTCCAGCCCTGACACACTCCATCCATACCACACCATCAGTACCACACACACAGTCTTAATGATTGTACCTAAAAAGCAAGTTTTGAAATTTGGGTAGATGGATTCCTTCCACTTTATTCTTCTTTGTTAAAATAGTTTGAGATATTCTAGCTCATTAGCCTTCCAATATAAATTTTAGAATAGTTTTGTCTATAACCACAAAAAATCTTGGTGGGATTGTGGTAGAAATTACATTAAACCTGATTATCAATTTGGGGAGAACTGAAGTATATACTGTATGGGATTATAATTGATTGTTGTATGTTTATTTTGTATTATGCAACCTTCCTAAACTTGGTTATTATTTCTAGGAGGTTTTGTGTTTTGTTTTTGTAAATTGCTTGGTAATTTCTATGTATACAACCATGCCATTTGCATTTATTTCTTCCTTTTAGATTTGTATGCATTTTCATTTCTTTCCTTGCCTTACTACAATGGCGAGAACTTTTAGCAACATGTTGAATAAGAGTGGTTAGAATGGATATCCTTGCCTTATTCTTGCTTTTAGGGGAAAAATATTCAGTCTTTAATCATGAAGTATAATTATAGATATAAGCTTTGTTGTAGATGTTCTTTCTTAACCAACTACTTTTCTGACATTATTATCTGAATGAGTATTGAGTTAGGTCAAATGCCTTTTCTGCTTTCATTGATGTGATCAGGTAACTGCTCTTCTTTAGCTTATTAATATGGTAATTGCATTAATTGATTTAGAGTACAGAACCAGCCTTGCATTCCTCAAATAACTTTTACTTGGTCATCATATATATATATATATATATATATATATATATATATATATCATAATTCTATTTGCTAGTATTTTGTTAAGTATATTATGAGGATATTGGTTTGTAGATTGTTTTGTACTGTCTGGTTGGTTTTTATATTGGAGCATTATCAGTTTCATAAAATGTACTGAGAAGTATTTCATCCTCTTCTATTTTCTGGAAGACATTGTGTCAAATTGGCTTTAATTCTTCTAGAATTATCTAGTGCAACCATCTGGTCCTGGAGATATTTTAGAGGGAGTTTTAAAATTATAAATCCAATTTCATGAATAGTTATGACTATTGCAATAATCTATTTTGTATTAGGCGAGTGGTGGTAGTTTATGTTTTCAAAGAATTGATCCATTTGGAAAAATTCTGCTGTTAAGCCCGTCTACTGAGTGTTTTACTTATTTTAGGTTTAGATGTAAAATCTCCATTTGGTTCTTCATAATATCTTCTATTACTTCACTGGCAGTTTCTATTGCTTGGCCGGCGCTTTCTATTTTCTTCATTTGTTTCAGGTATGTTTGTAATTGCTCATTGAAGTGTTTTTTTTTTTTTTTTTTTTTATCATGTATGCTTTACAATCTTGTCAGGTAATTCTAACATTTCTGGAATTTTGGTGTTTGTATCTGTTGAATATCTTTTTTATTCACTTTCAGATCTTTCTGGCTTTACATATAATAAGTGACTTGAATTGAAAACTGGATGTTTTCACATTATATACTGAGATTCTGGGACTTATTTAAACCTTCCGTTTTAGCTCGCTTTCTCTGTCATCTTGTTACCTGTAAGTGAAGGTAAAAGTTCAGATTCCCCATTTGGCCTCTTTAACACCTGAGATGGGGACTCCCTGTTATTGCTTTTTGGGGATGGGAATTCCAGCTTTTCATGGGATCTTTCCTGACACTATGGTGGGGGTGGACTCATTACTGCTGGGCAGGGGTTAAAATCTTGACTTTCTACTAGGTTGTCTTTGACACCATCTTGGTGTGAGGTTGGAAGCTCAGCCTCCCCATATGGTATACACTGACACCATAAGGGGAAGTGGAAGACTCACCACTGGCTGGTGGGATGAACGTCTTAGCTTCCTTAGCCCTCTCTGGCACTACCCCAGCAGGGTTGTTGTGGTGCTTCTTTACAGCCTCACAAAGGGAGAAGTCCAGTTTCCCACTTGCGTTA
Organism: Homo sapiens; assembly: GCF_000001405.40. Taxonomy (NCBI): domain Eukaryota; kingdom Metazoa; phylum Chordata; class Mammalia; order Primates; family Hominidae; genus Homo; species Homo sapiens. The sequence goes on from NC_000011.10 coordinate 87,938,505, forward strand.
ACTGCTATGCGTAGGGGAGAGGACACGGTTCTTTTCAGTGCCATTAGGTTGCAGTAGAGGGGTTATTGTTTGAAAGGTTTTTTTTTCTTTCTTTCTTCTCTGTTGCTCTTTTCCGTTTTTTTTTTTTTGATTTTGTTGTTGTTGTTGTTGTTGTTTTTTGTTTGCCAGAAAAAAAAAAAACCACAAAATTTTGTTGGGGTTTTAAAATTGTTTGTGACCATGCGCATTTCCAGATTGATGGGTTCTTCAACTCCAAGGCAAGTATACGTAAGGCGAAAAGTAAACCCTATAATTCACCACTTTGTAGCTCCTTGGGTCCTGAGGTCCCTAGCCGGTCTGCCTTCTTTTCTCTACCTTTCAGAGTATTACTATATTTATTTTATATAAAATATAAGGTTTCAATTGTACTTAGTGGGATGAATAGGGAAATGTACTTCTACACCATGCTCCCAGAAACAGAAGTCCTTCATTGTTTTTTTAACGTTGCACTTTACTAAATGAGTTTATTTTTAGTACCTGCCAGATAACGAATACTATCCATTTTAGAGTATTTGGCATTGCTTTTTGTGATCAAATGTGTATTTGTCACTCAGTTCCCAATCAAACCTAGCTTAAAATGTATTTCTTTCAGGAACTCCCCCATTAGAGCTCCCATTAAGTTGCTAGTTTTTAATTAGATATTTAGAATGTTGGCTATAGGATGAGTATGGTTCTCATTGGTGTCTCTTCAATTATGAGTGCTGTGAATCCAGAGTTATGGGTAGATAAAATCCATTGATACATACACACACACATTCACATACAAAATAATCCAAAAGTATGTGACCTTCAGGGATCTGCAGCAATTACTTCATTGGGGTAACACACACATACATACACACACACACACACACACACACACACACACACTCCTTGACATCAATATAGAAATAAAGAAGTTGAAACAAACTAAGGCAACATAAAGACTGTTTGATATTTTTCAACTTAAATGACTACAGTTGTTTAGTGGCATACTTTGTCCTTCTCAAATCTTAAAACAGAATTAAAATGATCTTAAAGAGCAGCACAGTTGGCCAGGCATGGTGACTCACGCCTGTAATCTCAGAACTTTGGGAGGCCGAGGAGCTAAGATAGCTTGAGCCCAGGAGTGCGAGAGCAGCCTGGGCAACATGGTGAGACCCCCTCTGTACCAACAAGAGAAAGAAAAAGAAAAGAAAAAAAGAAAAGAAATATCAAAATTAGTTAGGCATGGTGGCTCACGCCTGTATTCCCAGCTACTCAGGAGGCTGAGGTGGGAGGATCACTTGAGCCTGGGAGGCAGAGGCTACAGTGAGCTACGAGCGTGCCACTATACCCCAGCTACACCTCAGCCTGAGTGACATAGCCAGACCTTATCTCAAAAAATCAAAGTTGTCAAATCAATAATCTATAGTTTCACCTTAATAAACTAGAAAAAGAAGAGCAAATTAAATCCAAAAAAGAAATATTAAAGAGAAGAGCAAAAGGGAATAAAATAAATTGAAAAACCAGAAAAACAGTAGAAAAGATCAAACAAAAAATCCAGTGATTTGAGAAGATAAATAATATTGATAAATCTCTAGTCATACTAATAAGAAAAAAATGTAACAGGAAAGAAAGATTGGACATTTACCCAGATAATACAAAAAAAAAAAAAAGAGAGAGAGAGGGAGAAAAGCAGCATAGTTGGTTGGAGTTAATGTCAGATTGAGGCTCTGTTCACAAATTAGCCAGCATAAATTGTGACATGGTCTTAGTCTAATCTGCTGCCTAGTTTACCTTATATGAAGAATGAGAAAGACACTCATCTCTCTTTGCCCAGACACAGTGAGATAATGAGTGAAATAATACAAGTGCTAATTTCCCTCAATATCTGTTACTAAAATGATCATTGGAAATAGGCCTTGTACAGAATATTGCTAGACAACTCCATAGAACAGGAAAGCAAGAGAGTTAATAGGATATGGAAATTGATATGTGTCTGCCTGTGTTTGATGCTAAAAGCAAAAGAGTTCCTGCTTGTCAAAAGGGTTTTATACACACACACACAGAAATAGATATATGTACATATATCTATATCTATATATATGTGTGTGTGTATATATATGACAGAGAGAGAGAGAAAGAAAGAAAGAGAAAGAGATGGAGTCTCACTCTGTTGCCCAGACTAGAGTGTAGTGGTGAAATCTTGGCTCACTGAAACCTCTGCCTCCTGGGATCAACTGATTATCCTGCGAGTAGCTGGGATTACAGGTGCACACCACTACGTCTGGCTAATTTTTGTATTTTTAGTAGAGGCGAGATTTCACCATATTGCCAGGCTTGTCTCAAACTCCTGACCTCAAGTGATTCTCCCTCCTCGGCCTCCCAAAGTGCTGAGATTACAGGCATAAGCCACCACGCCCAGCCCAGAAGGGTTATACATACTTACTTGGTAAATGAAAATTTGCTGAACACTCCTTTGGTTTGATCAGCAGATATTTCTTTAGTACCTGTTTTGCATGTACCTGTCACTGTGATAGCTGTCATGGTGAACCTAGAACTAAAGACAGATTCTTGCTCTTAAAAGAACCTGAAGTTTAGATGTGAAGGTATATTAGACGCTAATTATTTGCTGGATATAGCACCTACCAACACTCTTTATCGTATGTATTTTATATATATAGGATATATATTTTTATAAATATATGAGATATATATATATATATATATATATATATATATGTAACTTCTATTTTCTCGCTTCAAATACAGAAATGGCCTGGTAGCCCAAACTGTCCCAGAGTTTCTCATCCTCTAACCACATGGATAGGTGTGCAACTTACACTCATCGCAGTCTGTCTGGATTTTATCTGGCTGGAGCTAGTTGGAACATTTTCTTTTCTCCCCATTCAGGAAATGTTGAGTTGAGTTTCTCAAAAAATCAAAAGGCACATCCCCTCCTGAGGTAACATGAAATAAGATGGTATGATTTTACTAAAATTACCCCTCTACTTGATTCTCTTCCTCATTGCACCAGAATGACAGAATCTATGTCCTTCATTTTCATTTCCCAAGCACTGAGCATCCAGAAAATACTCAGCAAGTACTTGTGGAATAAAGGAATGAAGAAAGGCATGGACACTTCTGAAATCAAGTATTTTCAATAAGTTACAGCTATCAGGAAAAGGTATGAGATTAACAGGGAAGATTTCAAGTGTTCTCTTTTTAAAAAATTACTGAGGCTTATCAAGACCAACTAAAGAACATGATTAATTACAGGTTGGGTGATGTCACATTTCCAGTTTTCCCCTTCTCTTCTTCCCTTCTGTTTCTCTGTAGGAATAAAACTCAAGGTCAGACCTGAAAGACACAGAGACTCCCTTACCTGTCAGCAGAAAGAAGCTCTCCTCTCAGGATCATCCCTGAAGGGAGTGCCTCATTACCCCTGCCCCTCTCTCTTGCTCCTTGTCTGGGTATTTGGTGATGAGGCTGCTGACAGCCCTGACTTCTTGCCTGTGGCCTGTAACTTTCTCACAAGAAAATGGTGCCCAACCTGACTGTTGATTTACTGGCTGCAACCATATTTCTCCTTATAAATGATCTCTTCATTTTCTGATGGTTTTGCTCACCATGAGCTGTGCCTGATGCAGGAGTTTTGGAAAATCACATTATTGAATGCTTCTCAAATGTAAAAGAAAATCACCCAGGGATCTTGTTAAATTCCAGATTTTGTCCAGTAGGACTAGCATGAACCTGAAATTCTGCATTTCTAAAAATTTCCCAGCTGATGTTGCTGGTTTACTCACCAAACTGTGAAGGAGAAAAGACACGGCCATTTTGAGTCTCAAAATTTTTCATTGTAAACCTGAAACAATAACCTCCTCCCTGATGAATTCTAGGGTAATAAAGAGGATCAAATCATATAATAAAAATAAAAGGCTTTAAGAATTAGCAACTCGCTGTATAAACCTAAGTTTATGCTTAGGTTGCCTGCTCTCATGCTCACCTTAGTTCAGCCATTCTCAACATCAAGAGTTATTCCCACAGTGGAAATGTAAAGATTAAGACTTGACTTGAGGGGCACTGTCTCAAAATAAACTTCCCTGCTGGTATGTGGAGCTGAAATTCTCAATTGTATTATCATTTATAATAGACTAGAAGGAACACTAGGGAGTACCTACAGGAGTGAGTGGATTTCAGACCTGGCTGAAAGTCTAAATTGTCCGATGACTGCTGAAGATAACAGGACGAACCCTGGGCACACCCACAATTCTCACTTAGAGGAATGTCCACAAGTCTGTGTGTGAAGTATGTCCTCCAGATGATTCTGTCATAATCATTCTCGCTTTTCATAGAAAAGAATTTATATCCATTGAGCTCTAACTCTGTAATTTTGTAAATGAGAGGACCATGACTTGCTGAGTTGGCTGCATCTTTGTTTTATTCCTTTAATGCAGGGAACCTGGGAACTAGTCCAATAGCGGGGCTCTAAAATCCAGAAAATTGGAATGGGTAATTCTCGCATAAGCCAAAAGAAAGTCGTAAAAATGAATGAAGTGAAAAAGTCAAATAGGTTCAAGAAATCAGGATAAGGGAAATTTACAATACCCCATGGGAACAGAATAAGAGATAACCTACAATTGTCAGAATTCAGCATTTTTCCTATTTTGGAGATGTCTCTAAATTTAATTAGGGAAATGGAAAGTCCAGATACTGGCTCTTCTTTGGGAGAAGATTTGTTCACTGTAGACCATTGAGTGAAGCAAAGACAAATAGATAATTTAAATTATTTTTATTGTTATTATAACTGGATTTGTGGGTTGATGATACATGGCTAGGTTACTTTTTAAAAAACAAGATGACTTGCACTCTACATCTTTCTACCCATCATTGCCTCTCTGGTTCTTCCCCTCTGGTATCATCCTCAGGTTACCACCCTTCTATTCATTTATTCAACAAAGATACATAGAGGTCTGCAAGATGCCGTGGTTTTGTGCAAAGCTATGAGAAACAAATGATTGATAGAAAATAAGGTCTCATTTTCTCGCCCATCTTGGTTTAGTGAAATACACGTAATAATAATGGTTATGAAAATAACTGCTTTATTGGGAGTTTGTGTAGTGTAAGAGGATTCACCATACTTAGGGGATTTGGGAGAGGCCTGTGAAAGGGTAAATGATTTTATTTAGAGAGGTCTTAAAGATGGAGCAGATATTTTTAATTGGAGAAATGAAGGATGTGGCAGTTTTTCAGACAGAGGCAACTGAATGTGTCCTACATTAAAGGCATGATCATTTTAGAGACCAGTAAGTCTAAGGAAAAGAACTATAGTTCTACAATTCTGTGAATCTCAGTTCACAAAGTTGAGTATGCAAAAATGTAACTTACTTTTCCATTTATAAACCCATTTTCTGTTTTGATTTCCTGTTTGGCCAATTGGTAGAAATGAAATTTCATTCAATTCAAAAAGTTTTTCCCTCATATACAGACATACCTTGAAAATATTGCAGGTTAGGTTTCAGAACACAATAATAAAGCAAATGTCACAATAAGTTACATGAATTCTTTGGTGTCCCAGTGCATATGCAAGTTATGTTTATACTATGGTCTATTAAGTATGCAATAGCATTATTCTAAAAAGAAACATAGATATATTAATTAAAAAGTACTTTATTGCTAAAAATGCTAACAAAGTGAGCACATCCTATTAGAAAAGTGGTATGCTAGTCCTGCTTGATGCAGGGTTGCTACAAACCTTCAATTGCAAACAAACAAAAAAACAAAAAGCATTATCTGCAAAGCCCAATAAGGCAAACCACAATAAAATGAAGCACGTTTGTATTTGGGTTAGGTGCAAATTCTGTGAGATTTACACAATGCCAACCCATAGTGAGGAGAGGCACTTGGTCTGTGGTCATTGTCTCTTGTCCATGTTGGCATCTGTGAAACACCCTGTTCCCCTGTAGTCTTCCATTTTTGGTCCCTACAGCTCTGTGCTGAATCCTCTTCCTCCCAGAAGGTTCTCTGTGCCTACTCTTCTCTCAGCTGCTTCTGCTCCCATCTCTAGTTCACAGCAAATGTGTGGTCACCTCCAGACCACTCTTGGGCCTTAGGAACCTCTGAGAGATTCTAGAAATGCTTCTATCTGGATATCTTAAACAGTCTTTTCTACTCTATACCTTCCATGAAATGGAGGGTGGTGGATATTTAGAGTCTTTCTGGGTCCCCAGTTTCTACTTTAACTTGTGACATATGGGACTTCTCACACTTACGCAGCCAAACCCATTTGAGCACCCTATCATCCCCTATGCCTCAGGACTTCTAGTAGGGTTTGGGGGTGTTTTTGTTTGTTTGTTTTTGAAGGAAGGGCATTGGAGCAGAACAGAGAGGTAGAAAATCTGACAAATCACTCACTTCTAAATAATGTTAGTTCATATGCTTAATTATTTAAACCTTTGTTTTCTGTTTGCATTCTGCTTTAATGACTCTCTTCTTTTGGAGCAATGGATGCCTCTGAACTAGCTAGACAAATGTAAGAGAGTTACAAGGTATCTTGAAAAGACACATGGGTAAATTTTAAATTTTTCATCTGACCACAAGTATGAATGGATATAAAACTAGAATAATACACACCACGTTGCTGGTTTTCTTTCGAGAGTAGAATTAAGAATGGTTTTTAACTTTCTGATTTTGTATTGTATCTGATTATGACCTGAATTTTCTACAATTTTGCAATTAGCATTACTTTTATTTTGGCTTAAACTCGTAGGCATTAAAATATTAGTCTAAAGAAGTACATTTACAAATGTGGACAGAGGCTGACTACAGAACTTTAAATCTCACTCTAATAAATAAAGGGTTTAGTCTGCAAATGGGAAAAAGGGATTGAGACTTAAAGCAATTCAGATTTTACTGAAATGGAGCAATTTAACAAATTGGAGCTTCCAAAAATTCCTTTTGACAACGGGGTTGTCAGTGGGTTGGAAGGGTAGAAAACAGAGTAAAAGAGAATAGGAATGAATTCAGTGCTGTGGTTGATTAAGGAAGGAGCAGTAAGGATGTAGAAGAGTGAAGGAAAAGAAAAAGAGAGGTTCCTACTAAAGCCCATGCCAATTAATTCATTCATAGTATCATAAAAATAGGATGTCAGAGCTTAAAATGCCTTGGAAATCAACCAGCATAAGCTGATCATATTTCAGATGAAATAATGGTGGCAGAAAGAAACAGTCATTCACCTAAGGTTATGAAAATATCCATGAACCTAAACCAAATTTTGTGCTCGTAAATGTAAAAGCTGCCCTGCTACACTTGGCGTCTGGCATCTTTCCTGACATAATGAATATAACTGAGTAAAGATATTAAGTTAGCTTTTATTGGAAATCTTTGATGTGGCAGGCACTATGACAGGCTCTTCAGATTTATTATTTCTAATTTTCACAATTACCCTTCATTGTAAGTGAGATAATGCACTGTGATGGCCCTTTTCAGAGATGCAGAAGCTGAGGCCCAGAGAAAGTAAATAACTTGCCCAAGTTCACACATGCCAAAGCTAGAATTTAAACCTTGATTTCTCTGATTTTATTAGCAATCTCAGTTCAATAGTAGGGGAATATATACAAACTATGGTTACAGAACTTACCAAATATCTTAAAGGGTTAATCTCTCTACCTTCAAGTTTTCAGCAGTGACCTGCCACTTGAAGGCTGAGACTGGGAAAGAATGTTTTAGTCCCTTTAGAATACTGGTCAGTTATTTAGCTCTTTGATGATACGCTGTCACCTCTAAGCCACATGGGCTAGCTTTAGGTCTTCCTTGATGTATGAGAACATTTGGAATTCAGTCTTTGATTTGAAAACCATTAGAGGCTCTATGAGAGCCTCTAATTCCGATTTTTTTAAATTATACTTTAAGTTTTAGGGTACATGTGCACAACGTGCAGGTTTGTTACATATATATACATGTGCCATGTTGGTGTGCTGCACCCATTAACTCCTCATTTAGCATTAGGCGTATCTCCTAATGCTATCCCTCCCCCCTCGCCCCACCCCACAACAGTCCCCGGTGTGTGATGTTCCCCTTCCTGTGTCCATGTGTTCTCATTGTTCAATTCCCAGGTATAAGTGAGAACATGTGGTGTTTGGTTTTTTGTCCTTGCAATAGTTTGCTGAGAATGATGGTTTCCAGTTTCATCCATGTCCCTACAAAGGACATGAACTCATCATTTTCTGTGGCTGCATAGTATTCCATGGTGTATATGTGCCACATTTTCTTAATCCAGGCTATCATTGTTGGACATTTAGGTTGGTTCCAAGTCTTTGCTATTGTGAATAGTGCCGCTATAAACATATGTGTGCATGTGTCTTTATAGCAGCATGATTTACAATCCTTTGGGTATATACCCAGTAATGGGATGGCTGGGTCAAATGGTATTTCTAGTTCTAGATCCCTGAGGAATCGCCACACTGACTTCCACAATGGTTGAACTAGTTTACAGTCCCACCAACAGTGTAAAAGTGTTCCTATTTCTCCACATCCTCTCCAGCACCTGTTGTTTCCTGACTTTTTAATGATGGCCATTCTAACTGGTGTGAGATGGTATCTCATTGTGGTTTTGATTTGCATTTCTCTGATGACCAGTGATGATGAGTATTTTTTCATGTGTTTTTTGGCTGCATAAATGTCTTCTTTTGAGAAGTGTCTGTTCATATCCTTCACCCACTTTTTGATGGGGTTGTTTTTTTTCTTGTAAATTTGTTTGAGTTCATTGTAGATTCTGGATATTAGCTCTTTGTCAGATGAGTAGGTTGCAAAAATTTTCTCCCATTCTGTAGGCTGCCTGTTCACTCTGATGGTAGTTTCTTTTGCTGTGCAGAAGCTCTTTAGTTTAATTAGATCCCATTTGTCAATTTTGGCTTTGGTTGCCATTGCTTTTGGTGTTTTAGACATGAAGTCCTTCCCCATGCCTATGTCCTGAATGGTATTGCCTAGGGTTTCTTCTAGGGTTTTTATGGTTTCAGGTCTAACATTTAAGTCTTTAATCCATCTTGAATTAATTTTTGTATAAAGTGTAAGGAAGGCATCCAGTTTCAGCTTTCTACATATGGCTAGCCAGTTTTCCCAGCACCATTTATTAAATAGGGAATCCTTTCCCCATTTCATGTTTTTGTCACGTTTGTCAAAGATCAGATGGTTGTAGATGTGTGGTATTATTTGAGGGCTCTGTTCTGTTCCATTGGTCTATATCTCTGTTTTGGTACCAGTACCATGCTGTTTTGGTTTGGTTACTGTAGCTTTGTAGCATAGTCTGAAGTCAGGTAGCGTGATGCCTCCCAGCTTTTGTTCTTTTGGCTTAGGATTGACTTGGCAATGCAGTCTCTTTTTTGGTTCCATATGAACTCTAAAGTAGTTGTTTTCCAATTCTGTGAAGAAAGTCATTGGTAGCTTGATGGGGATGGCAGTGAATCTATAAATTACCTTGGGCAGTATGGCCATTTTCATGATATTGATTCTTTGTACCCATGAGCATGGAATGTTCTTCCATTTGTTTGTATCCTCTTTTATTTCATTGAGCAGTGGTTTGTAGTTCTCCTTGAAGAGGTCCTTCACGTCCCTTGTAAGTTGGATTCCTAGGTATTTTATTCTCTTTGAAGCAATTGTGAATGGGAGTTCATTCATGATTTGGCTCTCTGTTTGTCTGTTATTGGTGTATAAGAATCCTTGTGATTTTTGCACATTGATTTTGTATCCTGAGACTTTGCTGAAGTTGCTTGTCAGCTTAAGGAAATTTTGGGCTGAGACAATGGGGTTTTCTAGATATACAACCATGTCATCTGCAAACAGGGACAATTTGACTTCCTCTTTTCCTAACTGAATACCCTTTATTTCCTTCTCCTGCCTGATTGCCCTGGCCAGAACTTCCAACACTATGTTGAATAGGAGTGGTGAGAGAGGGCATCCCTGTCTTGTGCCAGTTTTCAAAGGGAATGCTTCCAGTTTTTGCCCATTCAGTATGATATTGGCTGTGGGTTTGTCATAGATAGCTCTTATTATTTTGAGATACGTCCCATCAATATCTAATTTATTGAGAGTTTTTAGCATGAAGGGTTCTTGAATTTTGTGAAAGGACTTTTCTGCATCTATTGAGATAATCATGTGGTTTTTGTCTTTGGTTCTGTTTATATGCTGGATTTATTGATTTGCGTATATTGAACCAGCCTTGCATCCCAGGGATGAAGCCCACTTGATCATGGTGGATAAGCTTTTTGATGTGCTGCTGGATTCGGTTTGCCAGTATTTTATTGAGGATTTTTGCATCAATGTTCATCAAGGATATTGGTCTAAAATTCTTTTTTTGTTGTGTCTCTGCCCGGCTTTGGTATCAGGATGATGCTGGCCTCATAAAATGAGTTAGGGAGGATTCCCTCTTTTTCTATTGATTGGAATAGTCTCAGAAGGAATGGTACCAGCTCCTCCTTGTACCTCTGGTAGAATTCGGCTGTGAATCCATCTGGTCCTGGACTTTTTTTGGTTGGTAAGCTATTGATTATTACCTCACTTTCAGAGCCTGTTATTGGTCTATTAAGAGATTCAACTTCTTCCTGGTTTAGTCTTGGGAGGGTGTATGTGTCGAAGAATTTATCCATTTCTTCTAGATTTTCTAGTTTATTTGCATAGAGGTGTTTATAGTATTCTCTGACGGTAGTTTGTATTTCTGTGGGATAGGTGGTGATAGCCCCTTTATCATATTTTATTGCATCTATTTGATTCTTCTCTCTTTTCTTCTTTGTTAGTTTTGCTAGCAGTCTATCAGTTTTGTTGATCCTTTCAAAAAACCAGATCCTGGATTCATTAATTTTTTGAAGGGTTTTTTGTGTCTCTATTTCCTTCAGTTCTGCTCTGATCTTAGTTATTTCTTGCCTTCTGCTAGTTTTTGAATGTGTTTGCTCTTGCTTTTCTAGTTCTTTTAAATGTGATGTTAGGGTGTCAATTTTAGATCTTTCCTGCTTTCTCTTGTGGGCATTTAGTGCTATAAATATCCCTCTACACACTGCTTTGAATGTGTCCCAGAGATTGTGGTATGTTGTATCTTTGTTCTCATTGGTTTCAAAGAACATCTTTATTTCTGCCTTCATTTCATTATGTACCCACTAATCATTCAGGAGCAGGTTGTTCAGTTTCCATGTAGTTGGGCGGTTTTGAGTGAGTTTCTTAATCCTGAGTTCTAGTTTGATTGCACTGTGATCTGAGAGACAGTTTGTTATAATTTTTGTTCTTTTACATTTGCTAAGGAGTGCTTTACTTCCAACTATGTGGTCAGTTTTGGAGTAGGTGTGGTGTGGTGCTGAGAAGAATGTATATTCTGTTGATTTGGGGTGGAGAGTTCTGTAGATGTCTATTAGGTCTGCTTGGTGCAGAACTGAGTTCAATTCCTGGATATCCTTGTTAACTTTCTGTCTCATTGATCTGTCTAATGTTGACAGTGGGGTGTTAAAGTCTCCCATTATTAATGTGTGGGAGTCTAAGTTTCTTTGTAGGTCACTCAGTACTTGCTTTATGAATCTGGGTGTTCCTGTATTGGGTGCATATATATTTAGGATAGTTACCTCTTCTTGTTGAATTGATCCCTTTACCATTATGTAATGGCCTTCATCTCTTTTGGTCTTTGTTGGTTTAAAGTCTGTTTTATCAGAGACTAGGATTGCAACCCCTGCCTTTTTTTATTTTCCATTTGCTTGATAAATCTTCCTCCATCCCTTTATTTTGAGCCTATGTGTGTCTCTGCACGTGAGATGGGTTTCCTGAATACAGCACACTGATGGGTCTTTACTCTATCCAATTTGCCAGTCTGTGTCTTTTAATTGGAGCATTTAGCCCATTTACATTTAAGGTTAATATTGTTATGTGTGAATTTGATCCTGTCATTATGATGTTAGCTGGTTATTTTGTGCATTAATTAATGCAGTTTCTTCCTAGCCTCAATGGTCTTTACAATTTGGCATGTTTTTGCAGTGGCTGGTACCAGTCGTTCCTTTCCATGTTTAGTGCTTCCTTCAGGAGCTCTTTTAAGGCAGGCCTGGTAGTGACAAAATCTCTCAGCATTTGCTTGTCTGTAAAGGATTTTATTTCTCCTTCAGTTATGAAGCTTAGTTTGGCTGGATATGAAATTCTGGGTTGAAAATTCTTTTCTTTAAGAATCTTGAATATTGGCCCCCACTCTCTTCTGGCTTGTAGAGTTTCTGCAGAGAGATCAGCTGTTAGTCTGATGGCCTTCCCTTTGTGGGTAACCCGACCTTTCTCTCTGGCTGCCCTTGACATTTTTTCCTTCATTTCAACCTTGGTGAATCAGACAATTATGTGTCTTGGAGTTGCTCTTCTCAGGGAGTGTCTTTGTGGCATTCTCTGTATTTCCTGAATCTGAATGTTGGCCTGCCTTGCTAGATTGGGGAAGTTCTCCTGGATAATATCCTGCAGAGTGTTTTCCAACTTGGTTCCATTCTCCCTGTCACTTTCAGGTACACCAATCAGACATAGAGTTGGTCTTTTCATATAGTCCAGTATTTCTTGGAGGCTTTGTTTATTTCTTTCTATTCTTTTATCTCTAAACTTCTCTTCTTGCTTCATTTCATTCATTTCATCTTCCATCACTGATACCCTTTCTTCCAGTTGATCGCATCGGCTCCTGAGGCTTCTGCATTCGTCACATAGCTCTCGTGCCTTGGTTTTCAGCTCCATCAGGTCCTTTAAGGACTTCTCCTCTGCATTGGTTATTCTAGTTGTTATCCATTCTTCTAATTTTTTTTTTCAAAGCTTTTAACTTCTTTGCCATTGGTTCGAATTTCCTCCTGTAGCTCGGAGTAGTTTGATCATCTGAAGCCTTCTTGTCTCAACTCGTCAAAGTCATTCTCCATCCAGCTTTGTTCTGTTGCTGGTGAGGAGCTGCGTTCCTTTGGAGGAGGAGAGGCGCTCTGCTTTTTAGAGTTTCTGGTTTTTCTGCTCTGTTTTTTTTTTCCCATCTTTGTGGTTTTATCCACCTTTTGTCTTTGATGATGGTCATGTACAGATGGGGTTTTGGTGTGGATGTCCTTTCTGTTTGTTAGTTTTCCTTCTAACAGACAGGACCCCCAGCTGCAGGTCTGTTGGAGTTTGCTAGAGGTCCACTCCAGACCCTGTTTGCCTGGGTATCAGCAGCGGAGGCTGCAGAACAGCGGATATTGGTGAACCGCAAATGCTGCTCCCTGATTGTTCCTCTGGAAGTTTTGTCTCAGAGGAGTACCTGGCTGTGTGAGGTGTCAGTCTGCCCCTACTGGGGGGGTGCCTCCCAGTTAGGCTACTCGGGTGTCAGGGACCCACTTGAGGAGGCAGTCTGCCCGTTCTCAGATCTCAAGCTGCATGCTGGGAGAACCACTACTCTCTTCAAAGCTCAGTTGGAAATGCAGAAATCACCTGTCTTCTGTGTTGCTCACGCTGGGAGCTGTAGACAGGAGCTGTTCCTATTCGGCCATCCTTGGCTCCTCCCCTACTGGCCTGGAGCTGAGTCAATTTGGGGAGCTGAGTGAAATACGTGGGTAGAGGAAGCAGTGGGTAAGGTCCTGGGAGCTCGCTGCATCCCCAAGCAGGTCATTCCTGCCTGGCACCACAGGGATCCATCGGGAGGGTGGCCAGAGGAGCTGGGGGGTAGGGAACACTCTCATCTCTTATTTCTTTCCCTGTGTTACCTTTCCACAGGCCTCTTTTGTATCTCTCAAAGTCTTGAGCTTCATCCTGGGAATTTATGGAACTCATTTAAAGGTGGGCCTCAATGACCTCAAATGCAGCCAGCAGTAAATTTTAGGACATTCTCTCGAAGCTAAAGGTTACACTGTTTTCAAGTGAAAAATACCTTTTTGGAGTCATTTTTAGGAACTGAACAGGATCTTGTTTCTTATTTTCTGTTGATGTATTGGTATATCCACATTCTCCTCTTAACTTCCTCCCTGTTTAACTTCCTATTGCTCCACCTTTTTCAGAATACCATATTCCTTCACCCTGCATTGGGCAGGGCAATGGGAGCTAAAGCTGTTGGTCCAAGAGGAACACAGCTAAATGACACAAATGGGTTATACCCACAAATCCAACATCACAGTATTGTAATCAGTATAGGGTTCAGTACTATGCATGGTTTCGGACATGGTCACTATGTCCTGAGGATTGTAGAGGCCAAGATCACCAGGGATTGGAGAGTTCAGGAAATATTTAATAGAAGAGGTTGCATTTGAGCTGGACTTCCAGGACTTTTTGTCTTTTACATGTTTGTCTGATTATAACAATAGCACATGCTTATTGATAAGTATTTAGAAAATGCAGATGTATATAAAAAGGAAAACTATCAATCAATCATAAGCTCATCAGTCTGAGATAACCACTGTGTTTGTGTCTTTATTATAGACAATAAGTATTTTTCATGTTTTAAATGTTTTTAATTTTAAAACATTTAAACATAAAACATTTAAAACATTAAAATTAAAATTTTAATAACTTTTTAAAAATTCTATAAAGTTGATCATTATGTAAATATGTCATTATTTATTTACACAGACTCCTGATGATCATTTCATATATTCATCTAATAAATATTTACTATGTGACCACCTATGTGTTAGACATTCTAGGACTGGAGGTATAATAATATACAAGCTAGATAAAGTCATTGTCCTTGTGGAGCTTACATTCTCTGGGAAGAACAATAACAAGCAAAGAAAGAGTTCGTGTGTGTGTAAAGGGGGTTGTAGGCATGCACACATGTATATCAAGTAGTGATGAATGTATAAGGAATAGGTGCTAGAGAGTGATGGGAGATACTTCAATTCTTTCCAGCTTTTTAGTCATAAAACAAGTGCCTGGATAGCAACTCTTAGCAATAGTACAGTAGTCCCCCCTTACTGGCAGTTTCACTTTCTAAGGTTTTAGCTACTTATATTTAACTGTGGTCTGAAAATAGGTGAGTACACCACAAAAATATAACTGTGCTATAATAAAATTTATGTGAATGTGGGCTCTCTTTGTCTGTCCTTTAAAATATAATTGTTTACATTATTATTATTTATTGTTAATCTGTTATTGTGTCTAATTTATAAATTGAATTTTATCAAAGGTATGTATGCATAGGAAAAAACATACTATCATGGTCTACATAGGGTTCAGTACTATCTGCGGTTTCAGGCATCCAGTGAGAGTCTTGCAACATATTACCTGAAGATAAGGGGAAACTACTGTAAATGAAAATATCTGTATTGCTTCCCCCTGAACAATACTGTATGTTTCTCTTTAAATGCTTGCCTTTTTTAGGCCCAAGATGGAATCTGTGTTTTAGTGTTTTTTTTTTTTTCCATTTACTATTTGTCAGGTTGAACAATTTCGTTAGCTATTTGTATTTATTTATTTTTGAATTTCCTATTCCTGTTTTGATGTAAATCTACAAAATTTGAACATGGAGGAAAGACATTCCAGCAGGAGGAAATGATATGAGCAAAGACACAGAGGTGGGACCCCCTAAAGTGTGCTGTGGAATGCTGTTGATCCTAGATGAGGGTGGCCATGTTCATGTAAATGTGCACACAAGCTGAGATACATAAGAACATCCAATGATTTTGAGTTAAAATGTAGTCTTGTGTCTGGTGGTTGATCAGTAGCATTGATGATTGCTAAATATTCTGGATCCCCTTCCTTTGATTGTCCTTCTTGTGAGAGGACGATGCATCCACCCTGCTGAACTCAGGGGTGAGCATGTGAACTCCTACCAATGGCATCATGGTGGGAACAACAGCCAGAACTTTGAGACTCATCACATAATTCCCCATCTCCTCTCTGTCTCTCCCTTGAGTTTGGAAATGTTCCAGATAAAGACTACTTTTTCAGCCTAAATTTCTGAATAAAGGTGACTAATTGGTCTTCAGGGAATTTGTGTGCTGTGTTGTCACAGAAAGATAGAAAAAGAAAGATTTTCTACATATTCAAGTCTCAATACCTACTGAAAGACCTGCATAAATGCACGCTAGAGAAGGAACAGCCTTGTTGAGAAATTTCTGTGCCTTATCTGAACAATTTTTCCTCAGTTTTCTGTGAGCACTCACAAAGCCACCACTAGCTTTCAGGAAGTGACCACACACCATCAAGAGGATCAGCTGCTCAGGAAGGCAGGACCAGATAAGGTATAGGCGAGCCCGGGAGCAGGCTTCAACCACAGTGGCAGGAGGAAGTGGATTTGGTGCACTGCAGAAAGCAAGGACACTTTTAGCTAAAATGTGATGGGCACCTACTGTGCTATACACATTATCTCATTAAAGACTCACCCTTTCATCTGGGATGAAAAGCATTATCCCGTGTTTATGAAAGAAGAAACAAGTGTCAGCTCCACCTCCAGAACCTGTAAAGGCAATATTCAAAATAAGCAGAGGAAAGAATTTCTGATAATTAGTAATATTGCATCATATATACTAAGTAGCGGGTTGGAGTAAATTTGGTGAAAAGATTGTTGTTGAACAGACTGCAAAAGGAGCACAGCAGAAGAAAAGAGCAGGAGCATAGTGGGAGCTGCAAAGCAGCTGTGCATGCAGTAGTGTTCACTGGCCCATGGGTGCCCCATCTGACTCCCACAAGAAGTCCATGAAAGCCACATTGGCACACACTCTTCCACATTGGTGCACTCTTCCACATGCTTTCATTTATTTTTTCCTCTTCTTGCTCTTCTCTTATTCTTTAATCCAGCAAATCCAAATTATAAAGGAAATATATTTCCTCTCTAGTCTCAAGTGAGAATATTTATCAAAATTTCAGTTCCCATTACAAAATAAAATAAGTCAACAATGGACACTGGAGGCTGCTGGAAGCGGGAGGGGTAAGCATTGAAAAACTGTTAGGTACCATGCTCACTACTAGGGTGACATGATCATCCGTATTCCAAACCTAGTATCGTGTAATATACCCACATAACGAACCTGCACATGTACTTCCTGAATCTAAAATAAAAGTTAAAATTATTTAAAGTATCAGTAGACAATATGACTTATCCTATAGACTCTTTTGTTTAACGAAGCCTAAAGCTATTGTATAAAGCCCGTAGCTAACTATAAGCCAAACTTAAATGAATAAAATAAGCACAACATTTAGCTCTTATATCTATCAATCATCTATCTATCAATCAATCTTTCTATCATCTGTCAATCATCCATTGAGCTAGGCATTCATGAGGCTTCAGATGACCCCTGTCATCCGAAAGTGAATATTTTCTATAAAATATTGGTTTTCTAGGTCACCGTTTTCACACTGTGGGGTCATGCCTCATAACTCATTAGTGAGTGATAAAATCAATATAATGGGTAGCAAACAGTATGCACACACACACACACACACACACACACACACAAGTAGGACAGAATAGAAAATATTGTATTTTCTCTTAACAAGACATGTCAAAAGAGAAAATGCAATTTTATAAAACTCTTGCTTCAGTACATTAGCAGACATAAAAAACTAAGTGCTAAACCAAAAATGTTTAAAAGTCTCCGTTCTACAGTATGGTTCATATATTTTCTGAGCTAATAAAATAATTTTTAAAAACAAACATACATACATACATGCATATACCTTGTAACTGTAAGTAAGTAAATTATTTAACTTATCTGAAAATATTTACTTGTAAGTAAATATCAACGATACAAAGTCATGATAAAGGACTATTATGAAGAATAAAATGAGAACATGTTGCACAAGTCCCTCAAACTACATCCAGCAAATAGCAAATAAATTGTAGCTATTGTTCTTATTATAAAATTACACAGAGCATAACACTAGAATCAAAAAGTTGTGAGAAGAACAAAAATATCCTTTAGTCATCTGCATTGGAGACCACTCACATGCAAGCTTAAATTCTTGGGTCCTCGCCTCTTCACTATTCTCTGCTGCAGAGATTTGCTTAGCACAGGCTTCTATCACCTGCACCATGGCCTCCCACTCCTGCCCCATGGTCTCTCAGATGCCATAGTAGGAGATGTCTGTAGAAACCAAACGGCAGGATAATTAACCCCTACGTGTCCAACCTTGTCCACTGGGGTCTGGGAACTAATTAATAATTTGTGGGAGCTCAGAACATGATATGTGAAAACATGGCACTCAGCAATTGAAAAAGCTACAGGAGCTAGAAGGTCACTCTGACCACCCCCACTTTTCTGTATAAAGCATAGTTATAAAACATTTTTTTTAATCTACCTTAACTGAAAGTAAGTCATAAGACCCGCATTCCAGAGGAGTACTGCACCAAACCTGGAGAGAAGGAATGATACACAGAGAAGCCAAGAAGAATTTGAACCTTTCAGGGCCTTTCTGGGTTCCCTCCCCCCACCTTCAGTTTATTATCATGAAGTTTCACCCTGTTTTTTGTACACTGACATTTCTACAGGACTGTCCATTCCTCATTGAACCTAAGTATAAAAATGCAGTTTTTTGGGGGGGGGTCCTTGAGTCCTCATTTCCGAACGCTCTCATGTCACATAAAACATTGTTAAATCAATTGGCTGTGCTTTTCTCTTATGAATCTGTCTATTGTTATAGCACTGTAAGTAATAACTTACAGTGGGTGAGGAAAAATATTTACTTTTTCACTCCCACAAATTGATTCCCCCTTTGTCCCTTAGGTGGTCAGTTCCAAGATTCATGTCACAAGTTTCCTTAAAAGTTCTCTCTGAATCAAGCTTCTTTGCCTGTCACAGTAGACAATGGGATCATACATATTTGGATTGCCTTTCTCTACTTCCTGCTTCTCTCCCCTCACCCCCCATAGGGGCAATAAGGTAATAACTTTTTCTCATCCGTCATAAGGGTCACGGATGACAGTCCTGTAACAAAAGACAGATTAACAGAAAAAAAAACCCATAAGTTTATTTAACCAGGGTTTTATGTGACCCCCATACCCAGGGAAAACTGTGTGCTTTTATTCTAAGTCTGATGAAAAAAGTGAAAAGTTGTGAAGAAGCATGATTGGACAAAGAAAGTAGAATCTAATAGTAATCAACTGCGAGGAGACCAAGCAAGGCCTACTTGTTCAGATTATTCTTGGGCTCTCTATGTGGCATTCCTCTCTCAGCATATGGGGCAGGAACTCTAGAACAAGACCCTCATGACCTGCTTTCAGGGAAGGTAGGCCAGAGAGTGACGTTTCTAGGTTTTATGGTTCACTTTGAGGGAGAGGAGTTCTAACTTCTATAATCTGAGGTGGGGAGAAAAATTCTTGACACATCTTGGGGGAGCGTGGGGAAAGGAAGAAGGGAGAGCATGAGAAGGTCAGAGTGACCTTTCTTCTAAGGCCTACCAATCTCCTTCCTAACGAAATACTCAGCATGCCATGACACCATATTTTGGGATATCGTGTTCTGATCCCTGATATGCTCATTTCTCTTCCCTAGAATCACTTTCCAAATATCACTTTCCAAATAAAGCACAGCTGGTCCCAGACTTACAATGATTCGACTTACGATTTTTGACTTTATGATGGTTTGAAAGCCATATGCATTCTGTAAAAACTGTACTTCAAATTTTGAATTTTGATCTCTTCCCAGGCTAGCAATATACTGTACTCTACTCTTTGTCACTGGCAGCCACTGCCCCCAGTCAGCCAAGCAATTACAAGGGCAAACAACCAGCACTCTATGGGGTTCTATGTTGTTAGATGATTTTGCCCGGCTGTAGGCCAATGTAAATGCTGTGAGCACATATAAGTAGGCTCGGCTAAGCTACAATGTTCTGTAGGTTAGGTGTATAAGATGCATTTCTTAGCTACATATTTTCAACATATGATGGGTTTATCTAGAGGTAACCCAAGTTAAGAAGCATCTACCCCTGCATGCAAGCCTCTGTCTTGGGCTCTGCTCTTAAGGAGATCCAAGCTAAGAAAGTCTCCAACCTCCTTTCTTCATACCTATCTTATTCTTTCCACTGCTAGTGTTGTTCTTAGTAATTAGAGAAAATGAACCCCAGGAAGCGAGGCTCTTAGCAATGTTATGATACACCTAGAACACTCTGGTCTCCATTTCCAGCTTCTAGTGTCTTTTGTGAGGGAAGGAAGTAGACAGCAAGAAACCTAAAGATGTCCTTGACTTTATTAATTTGGAGATTTCAGGAATCATTGTCTTTTTCTAAAAGAGAAAACTGAAAAGTATCAAAAGGAATTTTTGATGTCAAGACAAATAGGACTAGCTCCAATAATAAGCACTATTCTTGAACAGGGCATACGTTTGCCTTGTTTGTAAATACATGGCTGCATTTCTGCTCCACCAGAGTAAGTGACATATGCAAATCCTGTATAATAATCCCTTTCTAAGAAGGCTGCTTATTTGCTTTTTATGTTTGTTTCTGTAAATTGATTAGAGAGGAATTTGTTTATACCCCAAATAAGACAATAGAGAATTGTAATCATATTTCACCACAGGCCTCCAATTTCTGCCCTAGAGAATATAATGAAATGATGGAAACACCTCCTCCTTCTGCGGAACTGAAAGCTGTGCTTTAGGCTGTTGGCACAATTTCTGCCATGTACACCCCACCAATCATCAAATGGGCCCTAGGATTAAGATCCCTACCTTCAGGCTATGGGCCCATAGCTGCACAGTAATTGCAGTGTTGCTTGCAGTTGTGTTTGATAAGGAATTAATGACATGTGAAACATTCCGACGCATTTAGGATATCTCCTGCCTCATTGTGATTAAGGGAATCAAAATGCATTCTGATCTAGAATTGGAGGTAGCCTAAACCCTCCATCATTCTAAAACCTACACAGTAAGCTAAGACTATTACCTTATGTAATTTGTACTTTAGAAAATAAGGACATTGAATCTCAAAGAAGAAATAATCTTCTCAAAGTCAAATACTAAGTAGGTACAAGAACGCATATTCATACTCATATCTATCTGACTCTTCAAGACCACACTATTCCATCTCACGTTAGCATTTGTGGAATAATTCCTCTGTGCTGAGCATTGTGCTATGTGTTTCTATAAGTATCTATTTTACTAGCATCAGAATACCAACAGCTCCTGAATTTGTATAAGGTAGCTGGCCAGCCAGCTCATAGACGCATTCTCCAGCCTCCCACCAGTTATAGCCAAATATCCAGGTTCTCACCAAGGGAATATGAGCAAAAGTAATATGAGCAACTTTTGCATCACTTCTTTAAAATAAAATTACTTGTTTTCCTTTCTCTCCCTTTCTATTTTCCCTCAGGCAAGAAGCTTGACATAGCATCGATGAGCCCAAGTCAACTATATGAACAAAACAATGTCTCAGGAGGGGCAGGGTATCACGTCAGAAGAATCCTGAGTCCTTAGATGACCTTGTAGAAAAGAGCCACAAACTTACTCTGGGCTACCTTCATACCTCTGAACTATTATGCAGAGAGAAATAAATGTATTCAAATCACTGTTTTTTGGGTTTCTTCATTCATGTAGCTTAGCCTATAACCTAAGTAATGAAACTCCAGAGAACACTGTACACATTACAAAGGAAAATCTAGAGTCAATTTGCCAAAGTTTATGTAGCCTATGAGTGTCAAAGCTGGGATATGAACCCAAATCTTGTCTCCATTTTCAGGGCTTTTAAATCAAACAAACAGTGTAATTGACTTAGAAAAGTGCTTCTCAAAGTTTAGCAAGCATCAGAACCACCTGGAAAGCTTATTACAATGCAGATTCCTGAGCCCCTTCCCTAGAGACTCTGATCAAGGAGGTCTTGGGCCAAACCTAAGAATTGGCAGTTCTAACACGCCCCCATATGATGCTGAGATTACCTGTCTAGTGACCACAGTTTGAGTATCACTGACAGTAACTCCTTAAACAGAGATGGAAGACAACAAAAAAAAGAAAAAAAGAGAGAAATAAGACTTTAACGTTCAAAGGACAGAAGCCCTGGGCATGACTGAAGCAAAGGGAGCAAGAACTGAATCAGGAAAATGCTGATAACAATGATGATAAGAGCCAGCAATTATTGTGTGTCATGCACTGTTTTCATTATCAGATTTGATCCTCACACTCTATGAGGTAATTTAAACAATGCTTTTCATATATGAGGAAACTGAGGTTACTTTCTTTATATCAGACGCCATCCTTGTTACTTGTACTCTGTACAAGGTG
Source organism: Homo sapiens (assembly GCF_000001405.40). Lineage (NCBI taxonomy): Eukaryota > Metazoa > Chordata > Mammalia > Primates > Hominidae > Homo > Homo sapiens. Next base: position 87,960,659 of record NC_000011.10, read on the forward strand.
AGCGACTAACCTGCATTTCGGTTACATAACTTCAGAATAATAGCTCTTTGATATTTTTATAAAGTAAACACTGTTCATAAAGGAGTGCCTAAAAGATATTCACTAACTCCTTTCCCTAGATGTGCTAAAATCTAACCTCCTATTGAGCTAGACCAGCCAAAATCTACCCAGACATCCCTAAGCCTGTTTTGCCCATTTGTAGCATAGTAATGCCTTACAGACACATTGTAAAAACTAAAGATGTCACGTGGAGGATGGACTCAGTAAATAGGAGAAATTACTCATGTTAAGAAGGAAGGGAATGAAGACAAATCATTCCTGAACAGAGAATTCACAGCATATTGAAGGGAAGTAAAAGGCAGCTTTAAACCTAGCATTTTTAATTATTCCATTTCAATGTCTCTTTTCATGCTGTGCCTATTAGAATAAAATAAAATTTTCAAGTCTTTCTGGCCCCCTTCTGCCTGCTCCAAAACCTAATGGCACTTGTGGCGTTGGACCTCCTTTCAGCTAGAGTGCTGGGCTGAAGCAGTTGTGGAGAACACTTTGATCCCAGCCAGAGTAAAAGCTGAGGACATTCAGTAATAATTTGTCTTGCCTAATAATTTGAAAGTGCCTAAGGACTAACCTCAGAACATCATGACCCCAATGAATGCTTAAAAATAACAAGTTTAAGGAGAGATTGTGTGATCCATATAATGCTGTAATGAAGTGATTGACATCAGTGTCCTGAGCTGGCTGGGGGACATGTGGAGGTGCCAGAGTATTTTCTACAGAGTATCACAGCCGTGCAAGTGGCCAGCCATGGCATTCTGCATGTTGGAACAACCCAGTGTGCTGACAGTATTCATCCCCCAACATCAGGATCTCAATAAACCCATCTGAGACCCAAATCTAAAAATCAAAGACAACTCCAACTAGATTTGATTTTCTCCCCAAAAGTCAATCCCTCCTTTTTACATAAAAGCTGACTCTGGTACATCCTGAAAAGAGGAATGGTTCTGTACCCAGGAACTAAAGTCCTAGAAACCAAGCCTGGATGCCAGCAGTAGCAGGGACATCACGCCATGAGCTGAAGAAGCACTGTTGGGTAGCCACAGACCAAATACTACACTCTTGGGAATTGTCTTTAGCTCTAAGAGAAAATGTGTCATGGGCTGTCTAAATAGTAGGGCTGCATTATTTATGTCATATTTATGCCTTGATTTTTTTCCAAGAAGACTTGAGGTTTACTAAAATATGTGCAAAATGAGACACTGAGGATAAAAGAGGATCAAGACTTTAGTGAGAAAGAACCAACTCCCCATTCAGAAAGCTTTCATATTGGTCATGGTTTGATCTTAGGACTGCTACCTGTGTCTTATTTCCTTATCTATAACAAAAAGCTACCTAATTACCAATTTTATGTTTGTTACTAGCACTACATTATAAAGTAAGGATGGAAGTTCTCTATAAATTGATTTATCCTCCCTTCCTCTCTCAGAAAAGGAATGCCTTAAGATTTCCAGTCTTGCCCTTTTCCGAAAGAAGGCATCTTGGTGTGAAGGAGTAGGAAAAAAAGCATCTTTTAAAAAAATCCCCGATTTGACATGTACTACCTGGAGCACTAAACCGAGTCCACTTTCCTTTTCCTCATCTGTACAATGGATTTCAAAGAGGGAAACTTTGTCATATGTGACTGCATGAATGAACCTGCAGGACATTACGCTAAGTAAAATTAGCCAGGCACAAAAGGACAAATACCACATGATCTCACTTATATGAAATGGAATCTAAAAAAACTGAAGTGAACCTGACCTCAGGCAAGGAGTGGAGTGGTGGTTACCAGAGGCTTGGCGGGGGCAGGGGGCAGGGGGGAAGAAGGATATGCTGGTCAAAGGATATGAAGATGGAAGTTTGCTATAAATTGATATATCCTCAGTTTCTCTCTTAGAAAAGAAATGCCTTAAGTTTTCAACTAATATATAGTAATCCAAGTCATGCAAACATGTTGAAATACAAGTGAATGGGAATGCAGTTAATATATGGATAGCACTGAGACGTCCCTGAAAATTTTTTCAGACGGAGGAAATAAATGTTTTGAGATTTATTGCACAGCGTGCTGACTATTGTAATGTATATTTCAAAATTGCTAAGAGTAAATTTTAGATGTTTTCACCATAAAAAAATAAGTATTTCAAGTGATGGACGTATTAACTAGCTTGATTTAAACATTCTACATTATATACATATATCATAACATCACTTTGTGCCCCCAAAATGTGTACAATTATTTGTTGATTTACAATCAAATTTTTAAAAATTAAAAAATATTACCTGTATCTCAGGGGTTCCATGAGGACTAAAGATGAGACTATTGATATGAAAGTCCTTGATAAAATGCAGAGCTATTTATGAATCACAGTGTTTATTATTTTAACTATTTATAATAATTTGATATAAGTTGCATTAAACATCCTGGGAACATATTAGTGTTATAAAAACTGTAACAGTATATTAATTCTCTGAATTTTCTACCAACTCACACATATAATACACACATACATACAAACACTCACATGTTGACACACACCCAAAACAGAAATAAACATATCCACAGAGCCCTCTGTTTAGGTGCTTCTTTGATCCCCCAGAGTGGCCTGAGCAAAATTCCTAACCTTATGTCTTGGTACACAAGTGATTAAGAATCAGTTGTGAGTAAGGCATAAATAATATGATTCTCAAAAAATGTGGGCATTTCTGTTGCCTATAATGCAACATATACATACAGTTCTAAGATACCTTAAATCCTATAAAATCACAAATTAAAATAATAGGACTATAGAAAACCTAGGAGTGGGACAGAACACTCAAAAGTCTATGCAACATTTTAACCACCGCACTAACAAAAATAATAATGAAATATGTTATCAAAATACAAGCAGAGTTAAAACATCATGTTAAATTCCTAATACGTAGAGATAGCTAAATATGGCTGTATATTTCTTTTTTTCTTTTTTTTTTTTTGAGACGGATTCTTGCTCTGTTGCCCAGGCTGGAGTGCAGTGGTATGGTCTCGGCTCCCTGCAACTTCTGCCTCCCGGGTTCAAGTGATTCTCCTGCCTCAGCCTCCCAAGTAGCTGGGATTATAGGCACCTGTCACCACGCCTGGCTAATTTTTTGTATTTTTAGTAGACACAGGGTTTCACCATGTTGGCCAGGCTGGTCTCGAACTCCTGACCTTGTGATCCACGCACATCGGCCTCCCAAAGTGCTGGGATTACAAGCGTGAGCCACCGCTCACTAAAGGTGATCTGATGGAATAAAGTTTAAGCAATGGTAGATTCTACTAAGTTTGGAGATAAGGGAAAAACACACAAAAATCAAAGGTAACTGTGCAGTAAGTCCTCCAAAAATGGAGCATGTGGCAAAAATAAGCCAAGAAGAAATTATGGCTTGTATATCAGTTATCTATTGCTGCATATCAAACCTCCCCAAATGTAGTAACTTAAAACACCACCATTTATTAGTGTGTCTATAGGTCAGCTGACTGGTTTTACTGACCTGGGCCAGCCTTGACCGATCTCAGCAAGATGCAAGGACCGTTGCATTCGTGATCAGTCAGCAGGTCAGCAGTAGCCTGGCTAACCAAGAAGGAACTCCAGTGTGATATTCTCTGCTTGAAGGAATTTTTAAATCTTTAGCAGGTTAGTCTGGACTTATTCATGTAATGGTCATACAGTTTCAATGGAACAAATGGAATTGTGGAAGGTCTCTTGAGGCCTAGGCTTGAAACTGGTAGGCCATTAATTCTGCCCCTGTTGACTGGCCAGAACAAGTCACAGAGCCAATTCATATTCAAGGGGTGTGGAAATAGACTTCAGTTCATCATGATAGGAGCTACAAAGTGCAAAACGACATTGTAAATAGGTATAAATAGACGATGGGAGAAGAGAATTGAGCCTATTTAACAACCAATTAATCAATGAGAAATACATCTTGCATATGGTATTACCTGCTTCCTCCTTCTGGGTCCCGCTGTGGCCACTTGGTGGTATAAAACACTAATGGGCTAGGAAAAAAAAATTAAAAAAAATTGCTTCCACATTTTCCTGGCATTATTCCTCTATTTACAATCACACATGGACTAATTTAATTCAGATTACAAAAACATATGTTGTAGCACAACAGACCACCGTAATTTATAAATTACTTATTTCACTAAAAAAATTTTCAGGAGAGTTTCAATGTTATCTATATATTAACAGCTTTCTCGCTCACTTGCATCCCAATATGTTTCCTTGACTTGGAAACAAACAACTAAAGTTATATCTACGGCAGAGTTTCTCTGCCTTAGTTAGCACTGTTAACATATTCAGCCAGATAATTCTTTGTTATATGGGATTGTTTTGTGCATTATAGGATGTTTAGCAGCATCTTTGCCCTCTACCTGCTAGCATGGGCCTCAGGTTGTAACCAAAAATGTCTCCAGACACATCCAATGTCCCCTAGAAGGAGGCACAATCACCCTCAGTTGAGAACCACTGTACCAGAGAATCAGCAGTGTGCATAACCTACAGCCTATTGCAACTATGCCACAACTATTAGTCAATTTCAAGATCTCAGGTAAACATCATCTGTTAATGTGTCTCAATAAAAAAAAAAAAAATGATTACTGTGCTTGGGAAGGGCAGACTGTTTTTAGAGGAGAATGATAATTCTCCACTCTGGAGATTGCCTTTCATAAAAAGGGAACACTCCTGAAACCCTTGGCCTTTGTTCATGCTATCGCTCTTCGATGACGACTGAATTTGAGAGAGGAATCATGTACATGTTCCCAGTTCATGTTCATTTACTTTTCCCTCAAGAGAAAACTGCTCACACACTCCGCTCAACTCCTTCACTCTTTAGGGTTTATAGGGTCAGGCTCTATTCCTGTGGGGTATGGAGGGGTGAAAGAAAGTTTTTACCAAGAAGTATTATAATATACTACATTGATCAGGACAGTTGGGACATAGATGGTGAAATGTGGTTTGGGGCAAAACACATGCGAACTACCTGAGCATTTTGATATGCCCAAGGCAAAGACTTCAGTAGCCTGCAGGAAACAATGAAGCCAGTTTTTATAGGTATTATTTTAACTTTTAACTGTTTTAACCAGGACAGAGGGAGTTAGGCCTAAGGTAAATGGAAGTGGGAATTTGTGCATTATGGGTTAAGACAGTTTAAGGCAGCTTTGACCTCAAGCAAGTGGTTTATGCTTTTATAGAGGGAACTAAACATGCTCTGCCTTAAGAAAACAATGTTATGTATCTGCTTATTTTAAGGAAAAGCAAGTGCCCAGCAAAGGTGTGTGTTGTGGGCCTCAGTAACTCTTGAAATGGATAGACATCAAGCCCAGGAAAGGTACAGGCAAAGGACCTCAAGAAAAAGTTTTAGGTCTCAGGTTCAGCAAAGACAGAGGATAGGGGCACTCAGACATCCACAAAGGCACCAGCCACAATTACCAAAGATATGGGCTGGAGGAACCTCAACCAGACGATAGTAGCCTGAGAAAATGTGGATCAGGATAGGTTAATTTCATATAAAGAAGAACCCCTCCCCTTCATAGGGGGAGGGCTTTTAAGCCTAAGCAATTTTGTGCCACAAGAACATTGGATCAAGTCTGAAACTATTATATTTACATGTAGAGGAGTATTGGTGCTATATCACTAGACACAGCCCATACTCATTTCAGCACTAGGAGATGGAAACACTGGGCTCCAAGGGAAAAGAGAAATGGCAATAAAGAGGTTTTCCAAGGTACTCAGATGGTAGGGAAAATGCATCTCCATTATGACAGGGGATATAAATATATATTTCTAAATTTCCAAGAAGGCAGCAATGCCTTAAATGCAACATGCAAGAGAGGAGACAGTTTGTCTCAGTGATTTCCTCCCACCCCATATAGTAAATCAATAATGCTAAAATTAACCTCATTTTTGAGTTTACAAAGCACAGGTCATAGATTTTTGGACAAGGTACCAGATGACTGGCATTGTCTCTAGCCCAAAACAAAAAACCTTTTCTCCATTTTTCCTCCTTTATATAGACTCCATCAAGTCCCTGCTGTAATTCTTGGCAACATTAAGTACATAATTTTATCTGAGATAGTTTCTCTAGGGTCTGGGAATTGGATCATTTTCAAAATTTATTGGGTGTGAGCCAGTGCTGTGATGATCATGCATGTTCTGTTACCTCTTTGGATTTCTCAAAAGAGAGGCTTATAAGAGCTTCGCATTGAACAAATAAAGCTTCTAAGTTCCCAAAGGACTCACAATCATTCCTGTGGAAGCCTGCCTGGCTTCAGCTACTGAAGGAATCCTAACTCCAGCCAGGCATGGATAATCCCTCTGGCTGAGATTAAGCTGAATATTAACTTGGAGAGGAAATAATGAAGGCAGTCAAATAATTTGATTTTCAAATTTAATTCCTTTGAACTTTAATGTCATTGGACTTCAACCTACAAAGAGATTTATATTTCCACCTTTATTTGTCACCCTATTTTGAGAAGCATTTGTATCTAAATTTGCAGCACTTCTAGCTTGGCATTTTATTATTAAATTATTGTAATATTGTTACTTTATCTCTTTAAATAACCCATGAATTGACTATGCTGAGCAAAACAGCTGAATAAATTTGAGTGGAAAATAATTGCCTTGAAATGAAATCAGTTAATGTGTGGTTTGGACCAACTTCAGAGCCTTCTGGGGTCAATAGCTGTACTGCCCACTGGTGGGTCTAGGATAATATATTTTTTTAAAATAGTGGTTAATAATTTTAAAATATCTTCATGAAAGTAAAAAAACAAGACTATCCTTAGAGATGGTGGATCTGCTTACATGAAGGAGATAGTGATCCCACAGATTGGTCATAAGCCTAATGGTTAAGCCCAATGCAATACATTAAGAGAACAAAAAGCTGGGCAATGTGAGGGGTGAGGAATGCCTCTTCTCCACTTCCAGTGTTTCCTTCCAGGTGGAGGGCATTGTTAATGTAACATTACTGACATTCCTGCCTATCAAGCAGTCCTCTCCAAAGAAGAAGTGACTGATTTCACTGGAAAGCTAAGAAGGAATAAAATGAGTGAGCTCATCTCAGTTTCTTCTTTTCTCTTTCGAAAATAATGTTGTCTTCAGAGATCATGTGCTGAAGTCTGCCCAGTCTTTCAATAGGCATAATAGGAAATGCCCTGCGGTGGGTAGGAGGGTTGGGGATGGCATGCGGGAGGTGTTGGGTGTGTATGGGACACTAACAGTCCAGCCATGCCTCTCACTGGATGGATATGTCTTCTTATTCTGAGGTTATTTGCTGAAAGTACATTTGCCACAAATAAAGCCACATTCTCCAATATATTCTTTTTCAGTAATAAAGTTGATATATGACCTCTTGTTTGTATTATTTGGCTTATTTTCAAATGGTTTATAACTTTAGAAAAATACAGAGAGATGTTATTTATTGTACCTTCTTAATTTCCCCAAAAGAGACATTTTTTTCTATTGCACATTTTCATTTTACTTATGTTATAAATTTGGTTTCCAGGACCTTACTGGTTTCAGCCATTTCATGGCACAACAGTAAGGGAGTAAAATCTGGTGTCTCAGAGGCCGTTAATTGTCCTCCATATCCATTTTTCTTTATTCCTTTTAGTATTAGGACTCAAGGTGTGGCTGGGCACATAGCACCTAGCTAGAGACTACATTTCCCAGCTTCCCTTGCGTCTAGGTGTTGCAGTGTGACTAAATTGTGGTCAAAGAGAAGTGATCAGAAGTAATATGGACACTTCTGGGGCTCTTAGAAGGAAGTTGTATGCCATAAACATCTTTCCATAGAATGGAACACAGAAATAGTGGTGGTGAGTCAGCTTCAAGTGTACAGATACAGACAATAATTCTATCAATATTACTCAATGTTGTAGTACACAAGGAGATAAGGAGCTTGCACGACAGTGGAGTTCAAAATACTGCTTTCTTCACTGAGAAAGTCTAGCTAAGAAAAATAACCATCTGGACAAAGCAGTGTGCTCAGTTATGTTATTGACTTACATACTAACACAAGTTTCTTATTTTATTGCAGACTTGTAACAAAGAGTTGATATTTTGAGCAGAATTGCTTAAGAAAATGGCATAGTAATTTAACCAAAAAATATGGGCCCCCTAAGCTAAATAATGTGTACACCTGGACATAGAGTGTGGAATAGTAAGACACTGGAGATTCAGAACAGTAGGAGGATGGGGGGCAGGTGAGGAATGGGAAATTAATTAATGGGTACAATGCACATTATTTGGGTGCTCGTTACACTAAAAGATTAGACGTCATCACTATGCAGTATATCCTGTGTACTTTGTCTTTAGGCTCTGATTAATCAATATCTAAGGGTATGTGTTAATCAGGCTCTTTGACTCACTCTTGATCTTTTTCCTATGGTCTTTGACATGAGTCTTGGGGGACAAGGAAGAAGATAAAAAGTTACATTACCTTCAAATTACATTAACAATAAAAAATTATGATGTAAGGGCCTTTTCCAACTCGATATTACTCAATTCCAGTAGAAGATCCTCATCTTACACAACCATCATCATCCTTTGGCACAGTTGGCCAATCCTCCAGATAACCACACATATCCCCCCCCAATAGAGTATGTGAATGAAAACTTCCATATCCAAACATAACCTGAATTCCTAAAGTAAATATTTGTTAACAACATAAATTATCACGATGAAGGTGGCAGTAGGTTGACTATTTAAAAAATGTATTCTTCAAACGCTCCATGGTATAATAGCTGTATTACCTAAGGGAATGTTAGACGTGAAGAATGAAGTCTAGGGCATTGAGCAAAAATGATTTCAAAACCTCCTTAATTTATAATTTAACTACTATTATTCAATTATCAAAATTTTGGAACATCCAAAGAGGCAAGTCAAAATAATGCAACGTGAAGATCAAGGAGCCTGGAAATAGACCTCATTTGGTCTGTGTCGGGAAATTATATTTATCTAAAATAAACTAGAATTTTAGTACAGAACAGATGCATTTCTAACACATATCTTACTTTCTGTGTTTGGTTTTCTGGTTCTTTACCCCATTCCATTAGTTAGCATGGCCTAGCAAAAAGGTAACAGCTTTTAGAATTGGCAATTTTGTTTTTCTTTCTGTGGTGACACAACAGTGGATTCTGGAGATTTTAAGCTCCTATATATACAGCAGTAACCAGAGAAGCAGAAACAGCCCCATATTTGAGGAGAGGTAGGGTTCAGTAAGCAGGTAGCCAAGCCATATAGAAACCTGTATAACCAAGGTCCAAATAAACAAGTAAGTCAGGTTCAGTAGGAAGAGTAAAAGTTGTGAGACCAATGACGGCAGAATCAAGAGATTCAAAGTGAGAAGATTGACATGGAAAAGTCAGGCAAAATGGGCTCAGAAGTAGAACTAGTTTGAGAATCAGAAACAGAGCTGGGGCTAATGTAAAGCAAGTAAGCACTCAACTTGGGAGCAAAATTGAAGGGGACACAATGTCAGTAATCTAGAAAATAATACTTTAATGTGGTATTTTAAAAATTAAAATGCAAAATAAATCCATAAAGAACAAAATATCAAAATTTTAAGTAAAATCAGGGTCCAGCCCTGTGCTTATGCAGGCCTGCCTCACTCACCTCCCCCCAATCTTAGCCCTGTTAGACTCTGCCTTTATTTCATATTATGATATTTTGTTCTTCAAGGAGTGTTTTGCACTAATTTTGCTTTTTAAAAAATATTGCATTAAAATATTAGTTATCTTAATTTCTGGGTTTATTTGTTCTCTCTTACGTTTTGTGCCCGAGTGCCTCACATACCTCCCCCAAGTTCCCGCCCTAGGCATGGGGTGCACATTCCTACCTTAGCCAGAGCATAGACTTTCTATGTTATCCTAGAAAAGTCATTGCTTGTGTTTTCTCTAATTCTTTAAAATGAAAGACTTAAACTGATGATCTACAATATCCATTTCACTTCTGACATTCTCCAGGTAGTTGGAGAAGGGCGCTAGGGTGAAGGAGTGATAGTTGGGGCATTGTATAAATATGAAAATATAATTAAGCTGGGACTTGCAGAGGAAGCAGAGCTGACGGGTGAAGAGTTAGGGAGCTGCAAGCTGACAGCTGACTTCAGATGTTATCACTGAGCCTTACATTTGGGGCTTTTGTTACTCCTTTTCCTCTTGGATGCTGAGACAAACATTTACACAATTCTGGTGTGAGATGGCAAGGGACAAAAGGAGTCCCTGCGCAGCAGCTAAATGTCACTCTAGAGCTCTGGGATTTAAAAAACAAAGAGAGCACCTGAGGATAGGAAGTCATGACTGCTCTTAGATGGGTACTAAAAAGGCTCATTTTACATCTAGGGCCACATTCCAATGGGGCAGTCTTCAGCGTTGCACGGTTCTTCAATAATTTCTCACTCCAGTGATGATTCCTGCCTGATTATCAGTTTGGTTTTTCAGCTGAGTAGATTTCAAGCTATTGAAAAGCAATAAGGGAGCAAAGACTAGGCCTCAGAGCTGAGTTACAGTGGATTTAATTGGCTATGAGACGCTCTGGCAGAGAAGGGGGAGGCAAGCAGAGCAGTCCCAGAATGCTGAAGTGTTGATGTAGCTGTAATGAGGCAGGAAGAACATTGCTTCAAGGGTGTTTCCAGATGGGTTTATCTTGTTGAAATAAAGTCAGGAAAGACAAGAGAGAGCCCTGCAAATTGTGTTTTAATGTTTGGAAATGGCAAGGCTGCCACTAATATGTCTGCAAATTGGAGGGAGCCTGGACTAATGTGCAGCTCAGAATGTACAGGGAAAATGACCTCCCTTCCCGTCACACCTGTTCACTTTTTCTCTCCTTGCCACTCCCACTCTTGCCTTTATGACCTGGTAACAGGGATACAATGTGTTTGTTTAAGGCCATTGGACGCTAACAGCTTATTTTCACTAAAGTTCTATAGATACAGAGTGAAAGGCAAGAGATGCTGATGCTAGACAGAGGCATAACCAGGTTCTAATATATGGAGGAGTGAGTGTGGGAACAAGATATTGTTGGAAGAATAAGCTTAAATAAAAATTTTAAAGAACCACCTTTGATTACATCCTTCTCTGTCTATGCCTCACAGTCTTACTTTCACTCTACTCTAAAACAATAATGTTGTTTTTGCTGAATGTAGTAGACAGAATGCACATGTTCATTGCTATGCCCTCTTGAAATCTCACTAAAATATGTGTAAAAGCGTTTTTTTTTTTTTAAAGCTATTTAAAAAGGAGGCAACAATCCACCTGAACTGACTCCACTATTCTGGTAGATGGAGTGTAGACACATTAACAGTTGTTGATGTAGCTGTACACAGAAGATGGAAACTTTCCTTCAGAGAAAATTCAGTAAGAAAGACGATTCACCTCTCTGCATTACAGAGTGCCATGGAAATAGGAAGAGCCAGTTATGTCTTAAGGCTTGAAAATAGTATGGCGCCAAAAATAAATGATTGAAAATATTTATAAGGTGCCCCACACTTCAGGACGCCTTCCTTAGCCCACATAGCAAGGTGATTACACCTCCTCTACCTTTGCCAAAAATAGTCTGTTATCTAAACAATTTGAACACAAGAGTAACTGTCAGTTATAGCTGATTGCAGAAGTGAAACACAGTATTGAACATGGGAAGAAACAAGTGAAATCTTTCAGTCAAACAGTGGGGATAATCAGAATATACTCACTCACTTTACAGAGCACTGACACCCACGCTTATAAGCCCTGGTATTTGGTACGATAGAGACTATACTGAATGAACAGAGATAGAAAACATATGCTTGCTCCAATTAGATAGCAGTTCTTGTTTTTTTTCCACATTAACAGATTTAAAGGAATCCTCTCTGAAGTACAATAGACCCACACCTACTGACCTCTGGAAGTTCATCAATAAGCAGCTAATTCCCCTAGTCAATCACTTTATGGTGAATTATATCACTGAACAACTTCTGTCTTTGCAACGAAGTTTCCAGACAGCTTTTTGAATATTTTTTACCTATATATTTGAGGTAACCTCTTAAGTCAGAAACCAAAATAAATATATTTTTTAAAAAAAGTCAAAAGGAAATACCAACGTAATATGGTTTGGACTTGTGTCCCCACTCAAACCTCATGTCAAATTGTAGTCCCCAGTGTTGGAGGATGGGCCTGGTAAGCAGTGATTGGATCATGGGGGCAGGTTTCCCCCTTGCTGTTCTTATGATAATGAATGAATTCTTATGAGATCTGGTTGTTTAAAAGTGTGTAGCACCTCCCCCTTTCCTCTCTTCCTTCTGCTCTGCCCATGTAAGACCTGCCTATATTTCCCTTCCACCATGATTGTAAGTTTCCTGAGGCCTCCCCAGCCATGCTTCCTGCACAGCCCACGGAACCATGATCCAATTAAACTTCTTTTCTTTATAAATTACCCAGTCTCAGGTATTTCTTTATAGCAGTGTGAGAATGGACTAATACACAAGGAAAGAAAGAAAATGTAGGGAGGAGCTAAATAAACAAGCAAATGATCATTTATACCTCCACAGAAGTAAGAGAACATATTTTGTCCATTAAATAAAAGACTACTATAATAATTATCAGAGAAAAAAATAAGAATTTTAGTTCTCTAGATTCTTGCCATGAAAGAATAGCTGCATAAGACTTGCCCACCTGATGCAAATAACTCTGAAGTGGACACAACACATGAAGCAGTTGTCTTCAAGAATCGGACCATAGGCAGCTCAGTATTGTGAGCTTTGAAATGAGAGAAGCACAGAGAGAGAGCACATGTGCCAATGTTCTAGGTCTGAGGGTACACCCCTGTCTACGGTGCTGGAGACCAGGCAGAGTATGGCAGTCTTGCTAACCAAAGAATCAGTTAGTGAAGAGAGCTTCTGAAATGGCTGAAATTTTGGTGTAGGTTACTAGACAGGACAAAGCTGCAGTGTGGAGGGTACTCAGAAGCCTCTTTACCCAACGAGACCTCATCAAAGACTGGCTACACACGTGAAAAATGAGACCCTGTGAATCCCAAAAGAGAGAAGCTGATGCAGGGCAGAGACCTAAATGAAAATGCCATAGGTCATTCAATGCCAGAATATACTGGAGGACCAATCCAGGTTAGAGTGAAGAAGTCTTGGTGAACAACTTGCTCATTCATTTGAGATCTCAGGAAGGCTCCACATTAAGAGTCACCCCATGCCCTATTTTGAGGGATTTTCCCTATGTCTAAAATTAAAATAGATCATCCAAACAAAGAATAAACCCAAGCCTGACATGATCAATAAAATCCATCATTCTTTACCTGTATTCTGAAAGAAAAAACAAGCACTTTTTAAAAACATAACTCAATACCCCTACCATGTATCATCAACAATTGTCCAAAATAAAATAAAAATTTGTGAGATAGTCAAAGAAGGAGGCAAATGAGACCCATAATCAAGCAAAAGAAGTCAGAAGACACAGATATCAAAATGATCCAGTTATTAGAATTTGCAGAAAATGAAACAAGCTGATGTAAGTATGTTCTCAAGTACTTATGGAAGCTACAATGAGAGAACATATGGCAAAGCTCCACAGAAAAAATAGAAGCTATAATAACAAAAGAACCAAATGGAAATGAAAACTACAACTTTGAAAGAATTGAAAACCATAACCCTGAAAGAAAAAAAAAATCATAGGTTGGGCTTAACAGCAGATTTGATATTGAAAAATAAAGGATCATGAATGGGAAGTATCCAATCTCAAGAAGAGGCAAAATAAGACTTTTTAGAAAACAAAAACCTCAGTGACTTGTGAGGTGTTAAAATAGTGTAATATATTACAATAAAACCTCAGGAAAAATAAGATAGAGAATAATTCAGGAGAAAAAAATTTGGAGAAATAATTTCTGAATTTTCCCTCAAATATAGCAAAAATTGTAAGCCTACACACCCAAGAAGCTCAGAAAATACCTAAAAATATAAATGCAAAAAATCATAGTAGGATTTTTTTTTAATCTGCTGAAAACCAAGCCTGCTGAAAAGCAGCCAAAGGGAAATGATACTTTATATACAGAGGGATTATTATATAAATTACAGCTGTCTCAAATCAGAAAAAATGATGATCAGAAAAAAAAAGGTGTAACCATTTAAAAGCACTCAGAGATAAAACAAACAAACAAACAAAACTCTTTAGAGCAACGAATTCATTTCCTAGGCCTACCGTAACAAACTACCACAAACTGGGTGGCTTAACACAACAGATGGCCACAGTTCTGGAAGCAGAAATCTCAAACCAAGGTGTTGGCAGGGTTGCTTCCTTTTGGAGGGAATAATGGAAAAGCCGTTCTATGCCTCTCTCCTAGCTCCAGGTGATTGCCAGCAATCCTTGGCATTCCTTAGCTTATAGACACCTCACTCCCATGTCTGCCTCCATCTTCCCATGGTGTTCTCTGTGTATTTCTCTGCATCCCCTCCTCTTCTGATAAGGAAGTCAGTCATAGGATTTGGGGCTCATCTTAAATCCAAGATGATTTTATCTGCAGATCCCCAATTAGGTGCATCTGCGAAGAAACTACTCCCGAAGAAAGTCACATTCTGAGGTTCCAGGTCACATGAATTTTAGGCGGATACGACTCAGCCCACTACAATCCAGAATTCTACATTCAGCCAAAATGGTTTTCAAAGATGAGACAAAATTAAAGACATTTTCAGGTAACGAAGCTGAAATAATTCTTTGCCAGCAAACTTGTACTACGAGAAATAAGGAAAACTCTTCAGATAGAATGAAAATAATACCAGATAAAAAATCAGAACTACAACACGAAATGGAGATGACTAACATGGTAAATATACGGGTAATTATGCAAGACTATGTATGTTTTTTCTTCTCCTAACAATCTTTAATAGACAACTGACTGCTTGGTAACATTTTATTGTGAAGTTAATAACATATGCAGAAGTAAAATACATGACAAAAACATGGATTAAATGAAATTATTGAGAGATTCCTTCATTTTCTATAAATCTTTAATTCTAAATATGCTGTAATAAATTAAGGAAGTATGTTATAATTCTTAGAGCAGCCACTAAAAATGTAGTAAGAGGTATAACAAAAAAGCCAATAGCTCCTCAAAAGAATAATAAATTGATACACCCATATCAAGACTGACCAAAGAAAAAAAGAGAAACAACACAAATTAGCAATGTCATGAATAACATAGGGTATCTCACTAGAGATTAAAATGGCATTTAAAAGATTAAAACAAATGTTACAAGAACAATCAATCTCTTAAATAAAATTAATCAATTGTTTGAAAAATACACATACTAAAGTCAACACAAAACATAAGACTCCAAATAACGCTATTGCTGTGAAAGAAATAGAATTAACAAAAAATTTCCCCCTCAAAAAAGTCTGGTATATGTACATATATGTGTGCGTGTAAATATATATATGTGTGTGTGTGTATATATACATATATATACCTTTATGTATATAGGTATATATAGGTATATTTATATATACTCTATGTATATTTTTATGTATATACCTATATATATATACACCTTCATATATGTTATACATGTAAGAGAAGGTGTGTGTATATATATATATACATACACACATATATATACACATATACCAGAGTTTTTTATATGTAGGTATATATATAAAATATAAATATAAAAAATATATACAAATACAAATATTTATATATACACATATTTATATATTTATATATATTTATATATTATGCATTTATATTTTTTATATTTATAAATATATATATTTTACATATAGTTATATATTTTTATATATTTATATATTTGTAATATATTTATATTTTATATATATTTTTTACATTTATATTTTATATATACTTATATAACTATACAATAAATATATATATTTTATATACTGTCTATAAATACATATTTTACATGATATATAAATATATATGATTTTATATGATATATAAATATATATAATTTTATATGATATATATTTATATATTTACAATATATTTTTACATATTTATATTTCTATATATTTTATATAATATATATTTATATATTTATATATATTTCACATAATATATATTTATATATTATATAATATATACTTATAATATATTATATATTATACAATGTATAATATAAATATATATTGTGTTATATAATGTATTATATATTATATGTTATATAATGTATTATATATTATATGTTATATAATGTATTATATATTATAATTACATTATACAAGTATATTATAAAATATAATTACATTATACAAGTATATTATAAAATATAATTACATTATACAAGTATATTATAAAATATAATTACATTATACAAGTATATTATAAAATATAATTACATTATACAAGTATATTATAAAATATAATTATATTATACAAGTATATTATAAAATATAATTATATTATACAAGTATATTATAAAATTATATTATACAAGTATATTATAAAATTATATTATACAAGTATATTATAAAATATAATTATATTATACAAGTAAATTATAAAATATAATTATATTATACAAGTAAATTATAAAATATAATTATATTATACAAGTATATTATAAAATATAATTATATTATACAAGTATATTATAAAATATAATTATATTATACAAGTATATTATAAAATTATATATTATATAAGTATATTATAAAATTATATTATAAAATATAATTATATATATAATTATATTATAAAATATAATTATATTATAAAACAATTATATATAATTATATTACATAATATAATTATATATTACATATATAATTATATATAATATAATTTTATATGATTATGTAATTATATAGATAATATAATTATATCATTATTATATAATATAATTATATAATATACTTATGTAACATAATTTTATAATAATTATGTACTATACAATTATATAATTATGTAATTGTATATTATATAATTATATAAATTATACAGTATATAACTATATATTATGTAATATATGTCATATAATATATAGGGATATATTATATATTTATATATTATATGACATATGTTATATATTCTATAATATATATATATTATATTATAGTTATATATTATATCATAGTTATATATATTATAGAGTTATATATTAAATATATGTTCCTATATAATCATGTATATTAATGGATAGTAATATACTTACAAATATATATAAAGATGTAGTCATAGATTTACATATAATTATATACATAAATATGTAGTGACACCTTTATATAATATATTAATATAATATATAAATAAGATATATTATATAAATACATATCTTATAAACTATTATTTTAATATTATATAAATATATACTTACACATACATAATACATCTATTTTTATCATATATACATCATATATAAATATATAGGTGTATATATTTATATATACATCATATATAAAAATATAGGTGTATATATTTATATATACATTATATATAAATATATAGGTGTATATATTTATATATACATCATATATAAATATATAGGTGT